>NC_000014.9:23361713-24611713 GCF_000001405.40 Homo sapiens
ATCAAGGGCCACAGGCTCAGGTAATAACTCACAGGTACCAAGTGCAAACAACGTTTCCAGACACTGTGCAAATCTTTGCATTAATCAACTCATCTCATTTAATTCTCACAACAACCTTACGAGGGAGGGACTGTCATTACCCCATTTTGGAAAGAAAACTGGAAGAGGGAGGTTAGTACTTTGTCTGATGCCATATCGCTGGCACAGCTTGTGGAGCATAATCTGAACCCTAAGCTGCTTGATCCCAGAGCCTGCGCTCTCAATCACTTGTGCTACTGCTTCTCCACAATTACAAATGTAGGAATCTACTTAAAAGAAAGAGTAGTAACAGTGGCTGAGAGGGTCCCTAACTCAAAAGCAAGTCAAGCGCATAGGAAAGCCTTCTTATACCCTATTTCCCTTTGCTATAACCCTTCGCAGTGCTCTTGCTCCATGATGTCATTTGGTAGAATCAAGCTAAAACCACTCAAAACATACAATTACATTCAGCTTCAGTTTTGATTGCTAAATGATGATGCTTGCTGGTAGGATCCCAGGCAGTGGTGACTTACATGTAGTGTTGGAGAGCAGCTAGTTAGGCATTACTAGCCAGGTAGCCAAACGGACTGACTAATTCAGCAAAAAAATCTCAAAGTTAAAGATCTCAGGCAGGCTGCCACCAGACCCTGGGGAGAAGGATGCCCTGCTAGAGTCAGCAGGAGTGCATATTCCTCTTAGCTGATGTTTCCCTCTGGTGGTGAGGTTATCCGGCCTCTCATGGCTGGGTGATTTTAACAACAAATTGACCCCTCTTCTTGCCTGATTCCCAACTCATCAAACCATTTTCTGATTATATTTTGGTTTCTAAAGGATATTGTCCCACACAAAGAAACGTGCTAACCAGATGACACAAATTCCCGGTTAGTGCTGCACTTTTCTTTTTAGTTGTAAATTATAAATCAGTCTTTTGGATCTAGCCAGGGGATTAAAAGCACAGTTCTAGAGGCAGACCTGGGCTTGAGTCTTGGCTGTGTCTCTTTCTTTTAAAATTTTATTTAAAATATTTCTTTAGAGATCAGCTCTTGATCTGTGGTCCAGACTGGAGTGCAGTGGCACAATCATAACTCACTGTAACCTCGAATGCCTGGGTTCAGCCTCCTAAATACCTGGGATTACCGTTGCGACCCACTGCTTGGAGGTCTGTCCCTTTCTTTTTCTTTCTTTCTTTTTTTTTTTTTTGAGACGGAGTTTTGCTCTGTCGCCCAGGCTGGAGTGCAGTGGTGCGATCTCGGCTCACTGCAAGCTCCGCCTCCCGGGTTCACGCCATTCTCCTGCCTCAGCCTCCCGAGTAGCTGGGACTACAGGCGCCCACCACCACGCCCGGCTAATTTTTTGTATTTTTAGTAGAGGCGGGGTTTCACTGTGTTAGCCAGGATGGTTTTGATCTCCTGACCTCATGATCCGCCCGCCTCTGCCTCCCAAAGTGCTGGGATTACAGGTGTGAGCCACTGCGCCCAGCCAGGTCTGTCCCTTTCTAGCCAGGTTCCTTTGGGCAGATTGTTTAACCTTTCTGAGTCTCAATTTCCTTCTCTGTAGAATTCCATATGCGCATATCCATTTTCAGATAATAACAATACTACCTTCACAGGGTAGTTGTGAGAGTTGCATGAGATAACGCATAAAGAAACTATGACAAAGCGCAGCACAGGGCCAGGTGCAGTAAATGCTCAATAAATAATAGCTGTTATTAGAATCCTGTGAGTTTGATTAGCATAAATGCCCCTGACCCCAAAAAGAAAAATCTACATTCTTGGGACTACAAAGCTGACCAGCTGGCTTCTGAACCAGTATCTCTATGCCAGAGTACTCCCAGAGGTACTCTATCTCCAGAGGGCCTCCTTCCCCACTCTGAGCTAGGGTTTCCTGGCCATCGTTACAGATTGAGGAACTAAAAGGAATTTGGGGCCAGGTGCGGTGGCTCATGCCTGTAATCTCAGCACTTTGGGAGGCTGAGGCGGATGGATTGTTTGAGCCCAGGAGTTTGAGACCAGCCTGGGCAACATGGCGAAACCCTGCCTCTACAAAAAATACAAAAAGCTGATGTGGTGGTGCGTGCTTGTAGTCCCAGCTACTCAAGAGGCTGAGGTAGGTGGATCACCTGAGCCCAGGAGGTCGAGGCTGCATTGAGCCGTGATTGTGCCACTGCACTCCAGCCTGGGTGACAGGGTGAGACCTTGTCTCAAAAAAAAAAAAAAAATGGAGTTTGGTCTGAGAAAGAACCAAACTTGAACCTGTCCTCAAAGGGTATGGGAGGACATTGGGTGGCTCTGTGCTTCTCTTTCCAGTCTCTCTCCGAGAGTCCCCACTGAGAAGGGAACAGAAAGCAGGTGACGGCCTCGCTTCCCTGGGAATCTTAGGCAGGACCTAGAAGAGGGTGGAAAGGGAACAAAGCTGCCTGGATTCAGACTGCATAGACTGTAGAACAGAAAGCAGAGGTGGGGCTGTAGAGCGCTCCTCCCGGTGTTAGGACTGAGTTCTGTCCAATGGAGCCAAGCCTCTGGGCCCTGCCATTGCAGGACAGAGTTGTTGATGGACTGATTGATGATGGGTGTGACCACTCCTGCTCTATCCCCCAGCAGCCCAGCTGACTGGTGAGGGAATGGCCAGCCTAATGTAGGTGGCAGAGAGCCTCTGTGCTCTCTGGGAGGCCTCCTCCCACTGTCCCATCATGCCAGCTGTCTCCTCCCTTTGTCCCGATCCCTGGAAAGTGGCCTGAGGCTCTGGCTGACATCACCTCCCCTCCTCCCTCTGTCTTCTCTTTCTTGATCTCCCTCCTTTGCTCTATCTCCCTTTTTTCCTTATCCCTCGTCTCGAGATGGGCCTCCTGGGGTCGTTCAGCCTCTCGTTTTCCGTTTTCCGTGAGCCACTAGGTCCTTTCAGCCCCCTCCAAACCTTTTACTTGCCTCCCAACCACAAGCCTCTGCCAACCACCAGTGGCCATCTGTTCCCGCCCAAAAGGAGCAGATAGGACTCGGGCTACGCTTGCCCCTTCCCCTCCATTCAGGCGCAGCCTCTAGGAAGAAAAAGGAGAATGGGGAGGGGGCGGGGAAGAGGGGCGAGCCCGGAGCCAGGAGGAGCAGGGGATGAGGAGTGAGAGGGAGAAGGGAAACAAAAGTGAGAGGAGGGGGACACAGCCTCCTGGAGAAGAAAGGGACCAAGGAGAGAGACAAAGAGAGGGCAGAAATAAAGTGACAGGAGCGCAGGGCAGGCCGTGGAGGTCTCTCCCCGGCAGCCTCCACTCCCTGGTGGACTCACCGACGTGGCAATGGCCATGGCTTTGGCCTCCCGCGCAGCCTGCCTCAGGCCAGGCTCGGTTTTGCTGACTTCAGCGGTGGCTGCCCCGCACCATGGTCCGCGGCCTCTAGCCCCCAGCTGTGGCGCCTGAGTCGTGGCCTCCGCCAAGGTTGGAGGAGGAGAAAGAAAACCCACAAAACTTCCCAAATGAGAGGCAGGCTAGCCAGGCAGGAGGAGGAGCGGGGCGGGCCGGGGCGTCGCTGCGGGACGGCATCCAAGGGCGCGCGCTGCGTGCTGTCCCCGCGGCCTCCCGGGCGCCACCGGCTCGGCCAGGCCCCGGGAGCTGCCCGCCCTAGGCCGCGGGGGCGCCCCGGGCTCGCAGGATCCGAAAATTCCCTTCCCGGGCCGGGGCGGGTGAGCAGGCGGGCGCTGGGCTGCGCTCGACGCCTCTCCAGGCCGCTCAGGAGAGCCTCGAGGGCTGGGAGAAGCCGCCGGGGCGGTTGGGCTGGACGAGCGAGTTTAGGGGCCAACCGTCTCCACCCGCCGGCCGCGCTGCAGAGCGGTGCTCCCAGGGCTGGGGTCTGCGGCGACCCCGCTGGGAGGAAGGGAGAGCGAGAACTGAGACGCTTGCCCCAAGTTGCCTGGAGCCAAAGGCCCCCGAGAGCGTGGCCGTGGGGCTGGGTCGCTGGAGTGGCCGCTTCGGCCCAGACACTCGCACCCCCGGCGGTGCGGCGGTTTTCACGCGCGCACTCACTCAGCGCGCCCGGGGGTCTGAGGTCGCCGCTACGGCGCCTCGCCCCGGGCAGCAGCAACCAGCACGCAGGCACCCCTGGAACAGGCGGGACTGCCTTCCCGACGCGCGGCCTGCGCCCAGGCGGCGGAGGGGCCCAGCCCCCTTCCAGTCCTCGGCTCCAGGGCGCAGGGCCACGAGCTCCCGCTCCCACCCTCGGCCCCTGGCACCCGGCGCCGGCTCCGCCGCCCTCTCTCACACGCACCCTTGGCAGGGCCCCGCGGGGCGCCCCAAAGCTTGGGGGCAGCTCCCAGGTGTCTCTGGGAAGGGAAAGAAAGGCCACAAAGCAAAAGAAGGAGCAAAGAGAAGGCGAGGGAGGAGCAGGGGCCCGGGTCCTGTGGACTCGCCTGGGCTGGGAGTGGGGACACTGAGAGGGCTGCGAAGGCTCCGGGGGTCGCGCGTGGCCCGCAGGCTCACCCCTGGCCCGCGGCTGCCCTTCCCTCCCCTTCCTGGGCTCCTGGCCCCTCTCAGTGCTGTTCCTTTCTCCTCCCCTCAGGCCCTCTCCTCTCCCGCGCAGGGCTCCGTCCTGGGGATTAAGAGAAAGGAGGGAGGGGAAAGGGGAGGGGAAGGGAAGGGGCGGAGGAGAAAGAGGGACGATCCTTCCAAAGGCGGGTGTTGAGTTTCAGCTCAGGACCCTCGGGTCCAACTGCCTGTGGTACCCCCCACACCCCCCACCCCCGTCCCGCCCTGGCCCTGCCCCAGTCCCCGGCGCCTTCCTCCTCCGGACTCCGCTGCATGCCTCGCTTGCGGTGGTCCGATCGGCTTTCTCCGGGAGCTTTCCTCTCCCCGCCACGCCCCCGTCTCCCCGGCCGTCCCCGCGCCTCTCGGCCTCCCTTTCATTAGCCCCACATCTGTCTTTCCCATGGGAGGGAGCGCGCGCCTTCCGCCCAGCGGGGCCCTTAGCAGAGCCTCTCCAATCCTCGGCGCCTCCCCTACACAGGGTTCGCTGGGCCGTTCTTGCGGGGCACAGGAGGGGAGTCTGGCGCTGGACATGGATTCTGGCCCTAGTGACAACATGAAGCAGGGCGTCTGGCCCCAGAACTGCAGGCGGGCAGGTTGTGCGGCCTCTTACACTCCTCTGCCAGTCTGGGCCTGTCGGCCTCCTCAGCCTGGCTCACTCTTGCTGCTATGAGGAGAGGATTGGGCAGGACCGCTGGCACAAAAGTTGCTAGAACTCTTCCAGAGGAGATGGGATCTAGCCCCACCAGGAGTTTCCACTGAAAGGATGGTGCTCCTAGCCCCCTACAGCTCCTCTGCCCTGGGATAACTCCTTAGTGTGTGCTGCTTCCCTGGACCTTCCCTCTGGGACACACACATCAGGGCCTCTCAGGCTTGAGTGAAGCCTGCCTTCTTCCATTTTTGAGGTTCCTGGTATTTAAAAAGCAAGATGACAAACAGGATTGAAAGCTGTGGTATATTTTGGATGTTTACATTGAACAAATTAACGCTTCAAACACATACAATAGAGAATGACTCTGTGCATAACCTTATTTGGAGACAAGATCAGAAATGTAATATAAGGCCCTTGGTGAACTTGAGGCCCTGGACAGATAACCTTGCCTCAATATTCCACAGGCCCACACATCTAGGCATTTCCTAGGAGAGTGTGGTCAGGACACCTGCCCCAGCTCCTTCCCCACTGTATTACCTGGGCACCTGTGAAGAAACCTCTGCTGGAAGGGTGTGGTGGAGCCTATGGGGTGGAATAGGGAGAGATTCTGGGATAAACATGGGGATGGGGATAAACTGTGTTGGCTCTAGGCTGGCTCTCCATGATGGAAGACTCCTGAATAGATTCCAACTCCACTGGGATGGTAGAGGAACTTTTAAATTTCCAGGGAGAGCTCCTGCTTCCCAGCTCCAGTTAGGTTAGAGGTGGCCACTAGGGAAGATTTTCCAACCTCTTCCAGACCCCAGCCCTGGGGGACCTGGCTGCCAGGCACACGGATATCCAGCTGCTGGCGAGTGACTTGGTGTGATCTCTGCCCAGGAGACTGCCAAGGCAAATTGGGGTCCAAGGTGGAGGTGGGCAGGAAACCCTGTCTTCAAAGATGAATGCTTTGACTGGCACGAGGGGAAATAGATGGAGGCCAGAAAAGGCTAAGGAGGAAGGAAACTGCTAGGACCAGGCAAGGGTTGGCTTGGGAGATGGGCAGGCAGTTTCCCTGCCCGGGGAAGGGTAGAAGAGGGACAGCAGAGGACAGACCAGTGGGAAATAAGGCTGCTTCTGGAATATCCAGGTGTGGAATGGAGCCAGTCAGAGTCACAAGTGAATCCTGCTTAACTAGCTGTGTGACCTTTGTCCAGTTATAGGGCATCCGAGTCTCAGGTCCTCCTCTGTGGCAGTGACTTTGGTGAGGAGTAAGCTTATGTAGATTGCCAGGCACAGTGCTCTTCTTCCATGGCTTTTCCTCTTTACCTTGGCTTCCCCTCTGACTTGTGCTTTCCAGAAAGCTGAATGTGTTCGTTGTTGAGGGCAGGTGAGGTTGGAGAAAACCCAGGCTTGGCAGGTAGCTGAGACCCTGGGTGGGTGGCAGCCTCAAGCAGTGGGTCTTCAAGGTTTGCCCTTGCCATATTCAGGGAGAAGAAGGGAAGGAACCCCTCCATTTGGCTTCCCGGGTCCCAGTCTTTTCTCCCATTCTTTCCCCTTCCCTGCAGGTCCAATGAGCTGGTTTTTTCCTCACCTGACCCCAAGACTTCCTGGACCTCTCCTTGTTTCTCCTGCTACCCAAAACTTCTTGGGTGCTCACCAATTCTTCAGTTCTCCTCTCTTTGGACCCATAGCACCTAGATTGCCTGGGTTCTAATCCTGGTTCTAACACTGGCTAGTTACCTTGGCCAAGTTCTGTGACTTCCTGGAGCCTCTGGTTCCTTGTCTGTAGAGTGGGAATGTTAATTGAACTTTTAGCATTTACTTGTTATGAGGATTAAGGGAATCCCAAGAACAGTATCAGGCCCATGAGGTGTAAATTTTGGACAAAGGCAACTACTATTATTGTTATTTGGTGATGGCCTTGTGGTGGCACTAGAATGTCAAGGACATGGTGCCTGCCCTCAAGAAACATATCATGTAGCTCATGCTTGAATCCAGTCAATATCTTCCGGCTGACTCTGGAATAAAATCCAAATGCTCCATGGTAGCCTGGAGGACCCTATGTGATCTCCTCCCTGCCCACCTCTTTCACCTCATCTTGTCTCCCTCTCCTCCTTATCTCTTGTTCAACATCTACACTGTCCTTTCTGTTTCTCAAATATGCCATGCTCTTTTCCACCTCTAGGACTCTGCATGTCCTGCCCCCTCTGCCTAAACTACTTCCCCCAGACCCTTTCTGTCATCAGGTGAAATCCTGCATCCTCAGAAAGGCCTTTCCTGGCTTTCCAACTTAAAGTTGCCCTGCCTTCCTCTCCCCCACCCCCAGTAACTCCCTATCTCATAATGCTGTTTCATTTTCTTCATAGCACTTATTATTATCAGAAATTATCTTGTTTCCTTGTTTATAATCTGTCTCCCCCTAAAACGTAAGCTTCATGAGGCAGGGACCTTGTCTGGCTTGTCCTCCCCTGCATTTCTAGCTGTTAGAATAGTGCTTGGAACACAGTAGGTGCACAGTAAATATTTGGTGAGTGGATAAGTGAACGAAGGCAGCCATGACTATAGGACAAAGCCGAGTAAGCTGAGGGGCCTCCTGGGGAAGGCTACAGCCCTGGACTAAAGACATGGGTTTGTTGGGTTCTTGGTTCTGCTAACTCTGATTCTCCATGTGTCTCCCAGGGTCTAGACTGGGTTCTCCTTGAAGGCTGCTCCTGAGCCTAGGCGTTTTTGTAGCTAAACCATTATCATCTACCAATCAGAAAGTGGTAGCACTGTTCTGGGGGCCTCCATCTGTGCCAGGTGTTCAACCTTTAGTTGCTGGATCATAGGGAAGTATGGTAAGGTGGTGTCCCAAGGCTGAAGGAAGCATCTACTTACCAGCAGGAGCAGAAGTATTTCAACATTTTGATGTTCGGTGCCTTAGCTTCATGTACAGTGAGTGCCGATGAGCTTCAGTAGACCCTGCTGAGTCCTGTGGATTCAGCACTATTTCAGGAGCTGAGGTCTGGAGCAGCTAAGCTGGTTGGCACCTTTGTGACCATCCAGGTCAATGTTCCCCCCAATCCCCGCCCACCCAAACCCACCCACTTCTACAATTGAAGAGGGAGGAGCAGAGAGAGGGCTCAAGATCCAGAGCTGGTCATTGGCAGGGCCAAGACTTCAAGGCAGCAGGTGGAGACTTGCATATCTTCCTGAGAAGGGGCGGGGAAGACATATTCTCACTTTCTGTAAGCCCCAAGAGCCTTTCCAAGCCAAGATTGGGAAGTGTATTCCACCACATCTTCCCTGCCCTTTCCTAGCAGGTGCTTCTCTCTTTCCTCAGGGCCACAGGGACAGGAATCCCAGGAAGCTCTCTTCAACTGCCAGGTCAGGCCTAGGCAGGTGAAGACGTGCTGGGAGGGGACCTTGATGTCATGTGCCATGCAGACTTTCCTTTGTTCCTGCCTCCAGCCTTCTCCCCATTGCCACCCCCCTATCCTCACACCCCCAAGGGTTCCCTGGAAGCTGAAGTGACTCAGGGATTCCAAAACTAGTCACCTCAGGAGGAAACCCCACTGGAAAATGTTTCTCATGACAGGGAGTCACCCTAAGGAGTCCCACAAAGCTGCTACTGAGATAAGGACAGAGGGTGAGCAAGTGGGGTGGGGTGGGGGCATGTGGCTCAGAGCACAGGTTCTCAGGTCAGTCCTGGTCATCATGGGGGTGGGAAAAGCCAACCCTTCCTGGAGGGTTTCTCCCTCTGTCCTAGAGGGACACCCCAAAGGACTCTTCTGAAGGGCAACGTTCCTGGTGACCTAGGCTGGGTCCTCCCTGCAGCGTCAGCAAGTGAAACAGGTAGTTGGGATCACTTCTGGCTCCTTTGAACACCCCCTCCTGGGCAAGGGTCAAGATAGGAGATCTGAGCCAACTCCATTTCTACTACCTTCTTAGCCCTGAGGTTCTGATTGGTGAGAGCGAGACCCATAGGTATCCAGCTCTTCTGAAACGGCACTGCCTCCTAAGATCCTGTTCTGGGATTGAGGTTTTCCCAGGAGCACGGGAAGCCACCTTGAGGCCATGTCTGCCAGACAAAAGGCTAGGAAAGGGAGCTAGTGCAGTGAATCCGAACAGCAGGGCTGGATACCTAAGTGGGCAGACACACCCTGTGGCCCTCAGCAGGTGCAGTTGAAACTTGTCCCAACCCAAGCCCAGGTGAGCAGGAAAGCATTCACTGTGGGGCTCCCCTTCCATTCACAGCCAACTAGGGGTAGGCACGGTGTGGCACTTCCATGCCAGGAGGTTACATGTGGAATTGGTCAGAGCTGGAATGGGAAACCAGCTCAGCCTCTTTCTTTGTGATCTTGGGTAAGTTACTAAATTTCCTTGGGCCTCAGTTTCCTCATCTGTAACATGGGGATAATAGTTTCCATGTCATGGTTTCATTGTCGGGATAAAATGAGATGATGCATGCCCAGGGCTTAGCACCATGCCTGGCACATGTAAGTGCACAGGAGCTGAGGCCAGCAGGATATGGAAGGGAGAGGACGTCTGCGAGTACTGGGGGCAGAGGGTGAGGCAGTGAGAGTGGGGCCATGATACTGGCCTCATCACTGTTCCTGAGTGCCCCTGCTTTCCCAGCCACCACCTGCTTCTTCTAAGTGCCCTCCATCCCACAGTTCCAGGTGCCCCAAGACTCATCAGAGCAGAGCAGTTTCTCCCAATTTTCCAGATTGCCCTTTGACTTCATCACTTCTCTCTTTTGGGGCTGCTTTGCCCTAACGCATTGGAAAGATTCCTCTCACTGCAGTTTAAGTTATTCCTGGTTCCCTTTGTTGATTTCCTAGTCCTTGGTTACTAGAGGAGTATTTTCTAAGGGAAAGCACATGCAAATCAAGCCACATCATTCTAGGGGCAATGTCTGTGTATGGGTATGTTGGGTGCGTATGGGGGATGAGGCAGGCCAATAGGCAAGCATGAAGAGAAGGACCTGGGGGGAAGGACACACTGGCCCACTCTCAGCACAGTGTCTCCCAAGCAGGCTGGACCCGGCTGACCTGTGTCTTTGGGGTCAAGCCCAACTGTAAGCCTTTCTGGGGCACACATACACCCTCCTGGCTAACAGTGGCCCATGTTTCTGGACCTGCTGAGGCTGAGTGGGCTCACTTCATGGCCTGAAAGCAGTAGCTGACCCTGTCATGGGCTTGGTCCCCAAGGCTCTGTGAATGAGAGCAGGTTGGTTCCTGGAACTGAGACCTCCTTCCTGTTGGGTCTTAGGTGAGGCTGTTTCAGTTTCCCTCCTCTTCCTTGCTTCACCTTCTCATTTGTGCAATGGGGACACTCACCCACAGCTTCTTCCATCAGACCTTGCCCATCCAGCCAACAAACTTAGGAAGTCAGGGTCTTCCAGCAGCCCTGTGAGGGTAGGCTTGTATCCCCGGTGGGGGGCAGTGACTGGCGAGGGCAAGGGGGAGTTAGGGAGTGGGTCATGGACAATGGGGGAGAAGTCATAGCTGATGGGGGTCATAGAATTTTGGGGTCATTGAAAATGTGGAAGAGGTCAGAGAACAAAGGGGATGGGAGTCAAAGGATGTCTAAGGGAAAGGAAATAATCACGAAGGTGGATGATCAGAGGGACACCTGGGAAGAGGGGAATGGTGAAACCAGACCCTGGATGGGGGGAGCAGGGATCATGGAAACGAGGCCTCTTGAAGGGAGGCCACAAGACATTTCCTAATTTTGGCTACCAAACCAACCAGGGAAATCCCGCTAATGCCAGTTCACAAGAATGCAGAACAGCAGACTGTTATTGCTTTGACCCCATGGCCAGAAAAATTCAAAGAGCAAAGTTTACCCAATCAGCTACCAGGCATATAATGATGGTCATCACAACTTCCATGAGTATTGCATTTTAAGCAGCCTTTGGAAATACTTTCAGAGTTTTTTTGGTTTTGTTTTTTAACCTCAAGTCACTCCCTAAAAAGACAGTGGAAATAAATTTGAATAAACAAAACAGGCTTGCTGAAAATAAAATCAGGACTCCTAACCTGCTCCAGTCAGCCTGCTTCCACGAGGCCTGTCAGTCAGTGCCCCACTTGTGACTGAGTGTGCAGTGCCCAGCATGTACCAGGTCAGTGCAGAGGGCTGCCTGAGGGCTGTGCTGAGAGGGAGAGGAGCAGAGATGCTGCTGAGGGTGGAGGGAGGCCAAGCTGCCAGGTTTGGGGCTGGGGGCCAAGTGGAGTGAGAAACTGGGATCCCAGGGGGAGGGTGCAGATGAGGGAGCGACCCAGATTAGGTGAGGACAGTTCTCTCATTAGCCTTTTCCTACAGGTGGTTGCATTCTTGGCAATGGTCATGGGAACCCACACCTACAGCCACTGGCCCAGCTGCTGCCCCAGCAAAGGGCAGGACACCTCTGAGGAGCTGCTGAGGTGGAGCACTGTGCCTGTGCCTCCCCTAGAGCCTGCTAGGCCCAACCGCCACCCAGAGTCCTGTAGGGCCAGTGAAGATGGACCCCTCAACAGCAGGGCCATCTCCCCCTGGAGATATGAGTGAGTCTGCTGCCCCTCCCGAATGCCTGCCCTGTGTGTGCTGGCCAGGGTATGCGTGAGGGACCAGGGCAATTCCAGCTTACTTTCCCATTTTGATCTCAGAGGGGCTGTAAAGGTTTGGGAGTTAGACAAGGTCTGTATTTGAGTCCTAGCTCTGACTCTCATTGGATGATCTTGAGTCAATTCAAGTTTTCAAAACTCAGGGTTTTTTTTTTTTTCACCTGCAAAATGATATAATGCCCCATAGGCTAATGTGCAGATCAAATGAAATATAATGTATGTAAAAGTCTGTATTTATGTTGGTTCTCTCCTTTTCTTTTAAAACATCCCTATAATGGCCCATGTTTTTTCTGGGTAAAATATTAGGGAATAATGGCATGATACAGGCATGAAGCATCCCAATACCAATTGATACTGCCCTGGCCATGAATGGGTTAGTTATAAGCATACTAAAGGAGTGAAACCCTTAACTTTTGGGGGCAGCTGGCTGGCTGGAGCTGTGGACTGGATATCTTTGATCATGATCATGGGTACTGTATTCTTTCACTCAGTGTGCCACATAAATATTATAGTTCTCTATTTGTGCCATGATATGAAAAATATTAGGAAGTGCTGAAATATGAATGATGAAGCAAAATATTAAAAACTAGGGTCTTAGGGATTCCAGACATGTGATTTCACTTCTTCCTTCTAGTTCTGTCTTAGCATTGGCTTTGGGGGTAGATGGAGAAGTTCAGTGGTGGGGAGGGGGTCAGATCTAACTGAGATTGGATCTAGTGTGGACACTACAGGTCATGACTCTTTGGAGTGGTCTCAGAAGCTGGCTGGGTCCTGGGCCAAATCAGATGGCATGGGAGCTTCTTAGGGGAGGCGGGTGCCAGAGGTTAACTCAGCTGTCTTCCAGACCCCTTGCTGGGAGTCTGTGAACCCGAGAACCACTCAGGTGGCTTTCCCCAAAGTGTGTTCTGTGCAATGCTCATCCCATGAGCTGCTTCTCAGAAAAAAGTGATGCCAGGTAAACTTGGGAAAGACTGCTGTATCTCCTACCCCTTGGAGATTCATACTGTCATTGTACATTAAAGTCTGCAAGAAGTCTGTAGAAAGTAAACCGTTAAACTGGTGTTTCCCAAATTCATTTAAGCACCCAACAGGTGCAGGTGATTTATTAGGGAACCCACTTTGGGAAGTGATGTGCTAGCTAATTCCATTTGCCAGGGCTTGTCTGTGTGGGGAATGGTCCCACAAGCTGGAGACTGTCGCCTGCCAGACTAATGGAGTCGCAGACCTGTGGGACATCTACTTTTCAGTGTTTTTCATCTTTCTTTCTTTCTTTCTTTTTTTTTTTTTGCCATGAAATCCTTTCAGAATAAGTAAATAAGTCTTCCCATGCACTCTCAAGTATGCTTATAATATAAGCTTGCACAGCGTCTGGAAGAATGTGCAGGAAATAGTTGAGGATAGCTTCTTCTGGGGAGTGGGGCTGGTAGGGAGAGACTATTAACTTTCACTCTTTATACTCTTTAATACTTGGATGTCAGAGTGGTTTTTACTTTTGCAATAATGCTATAATAATAATAGAAACACCACCTAAAGTCCGGCCCGGTGGCTCATGCCTGTAATCCCAGCACTTTGGGAGGTCGAGGTGGGTGGATTACCTAAGGTCAGGAGTTCAAGACCAGCCTGGCCAACCATGGCCAACATCATGAAACCCCATCTCTACTAAAAATATGAAAATTAGCTGGGTATGGTGGCGGGCATCAGGAGAATCGCTCGAACCCAGGAGGTAGAGGTTGCAGTTGAGCCAAGATCGTGCCACTGCACTCCAGCTTGGGTACTCCGTCTCAAAAAAACAAAAACAAAAAATCAAAAAACAAACAAAAACACCTAAAGTGTAATCATTACAATAAGAAACCTCATGCTGAGTCAGATAGAAGCAGTGCTGGTCAATGGAGGCTAAGGCAGGAGCCTGCTCACCCTCCCCTGCCTCCCTCACGGTCCCAGGACCAGTTGGAAAGCACTCTGTCACCTGCTACCCTCATTTACAGTGGGGAAAATTTAATAAAGGAGGGAGGTGACTTGTTCAAAGTTACACAGCAAGTGGGTTCAGAACTGAGACAAGAGGCCAAGGCCCCAGACGGACCATTTCCTTCTTCTGGCACTCCCATGCCACCCCACCCTCTCTGTTTCCGGCCCATCTTTCCAAGGCCTGACAAGTGCCGCCCCCACAGGTTGGACAGAGACTTGAACCGGCTCCCCCAGGACCTGTACCACGCCCGTTGCCTGTGCCCGCACTGCGTCAGCCTACAGACAGGCTCCCACATGGACCCCCGGGGCAACTCGGAGCTGCTCTACCACAACCAGACTGTCTTCTACCGGCGGCCATGCCATGGCGAGAAGGGCACCCACAAGGGCTACTGCCTGGAGCGCAGGCTGTACCGTGTTTCCTTAGCTTGTGTGTGTGTGCGGCCCCGTGTGATGGGCTAGCCGGACCTGCTGGAGGCTGGTCCCTTTTTGGGAAACCTGGAGCCAGGTGTACAACCACTTGCCATGAAGGGCCAGGATGCCCAGATGCTTGGCCCCTGTGAAGTGCTGTCTGGAGCAGCAGGATCCCGGGACAGGATGGGGGGCTTTGGGGAAAGCCTGCACTTCTGCACATTTTGAAAAGAGCAGCTGCTGCTTAGGGCCGCCGGAAGCTGGTGTCCTGTCATTTTCTCTCAGGAAAGGTTTTCAAAGTTCTGCCCATTTCTGGAGGCCACCACTCCTGTCTCTTCCTCTTTTCCCATCCCCTGCTACCCTGGCCCAGCACAGGCACTTTCTAGATATTTCCCCCTTGCTGGAGAAGAAAGAGCCCCTGGTTTTATTTGTTTGTTTACTCATCACTCAGTGAGCATCTACTTTGGGTGCATTCTAGTGTAGTTACTAGTCTTTTGACATGGATGATTCTGAGGAGGAAGCTGTTATTGAATGTATAGAGATTTATCCAAATAAATATCTTTATTTAAAAATGGCCTAATCTGTATTTGGCATCCGTGGTGCCTGAACATCTCGCGGTCTCCCAGCCTGTCCCTTCTCCTTTCCACCATTGGCCCTCACCTCTGTCCACCCTGCCAGCTCTCTCCGCCCTCCAGAGTTTCCGCTGCACCCTCCCGTCCTCTCCCATCTCTGTCTCCCTGGCCCATCCCAAACACCAGGGTGGGGGCTAGGCCGCGCTCCCGGCATGCTGGAGAGACAGAGGCCCATTGAGGCATTGCAGCAGGCACAGAGCGCCCCCTTGTCCCCCAACAATCCGCCTTTGTCCTCCAGTCCTGGCTGCTGCAGCTTGGTCCTGGGGGTGCTGCCTGGGCTGGGCTCCAGCTCACACCCTCCCTAAAAGGAAATGGGAGAAAGGACCGGCCAAACAAGAGGGTTAAGGTTAGAGAAGGGGGACACAAATGTCTTCAGGCTTAGGTCCCTGGGGGCTCCCAGTCCTGCCCCTGTTCCTCTACTCACATCCCAGCTCCTCCCAGTTTCTTTTCGGACCTCCTCCTCTCCCCTTCCTTCTCTATTCCAGGCTGGGTTGGGCTCTAAGCAAGGGGAGGGATTAGAGCCTCCTTCCTCTCTGCCCCTCCCCATGGGTCTCTAGGGGGCTGGTGCAGGCAGCAGCAGAGGCACTCTGGGCAGCTGGGTGAGGGCCCATCTGGGCAAGGCCCCCAGCGCCTGCCTTCTCTCCCGGGGCCCTGTGGGCAAGCCTCCTGCTTCACTTTCAGGTTTCTCGAAGTGCCTTCTTGCTCCTGTCTGTTTCCCCATCCTGCCAGATTTCTGTTTCTCTTGCTGGGCTTTTGGCAGTAGGGGGCTGTGTTGGTGGGCCCTACGAAGATGCTCAGTGCTCGAGATCGCCGGGACCGGCACCCTGAGGAGGGGGTAGTTGCAGAGCTCCAGGGCTTCGCGGTGGACAAGGCCTTCCTCACCTCCCACAAGGGCATCCTGCTGGAAACCGAGCTGGTAACAGCTGCCTCCCAACCTGGTGCCTCCATCTCCCTGACCCCCGGCTCCTGGCCAGCCTTATGCCAGCCCCCAGCTCACCCTTCAGTAGCCTCCTTCCCCAAGCCCTCTGGACACCTCTCCTGCCCGCAGCTGCCCCTTCTTCGTCTCCTACTCTGCCTTCTTGCTGCCTCTCCACCCGGAGACATTTACAGCAGGTTTCAGTTGCAGCAGGAAGGACTGCAGTTAGACAGGGTGACTTTTTGGGACATTGAGGAAGCTTGAGACATAGGGATGGGACAGGGGCAATGACAGCCTCTAACATGGCCACTTCTCAGCACGTCCAAGAAGTCTAACTATCAAAAAGGGCAGACTTCCTGCAACTGCACTTTATCTGTGGTCTGCTGCCCAGAAACATCTCTTCTCAGGAAAGGATCTTCCCCTGGTTACTTAGCAAGACCACAGTGTAGAGTTAAGGCCTCTGCACGTATGCCACCCTAGGTCATCAGAGCTAAAGGGGCTCCCAGAAACCACTGGGCAGCATCTGCCTTCTCTCTTGGCATGGAATCAAAGGCTCTGGTCCTTGTCAGGGGGCTTTCAGGCATCTGGGGGTGGGGAAAGCATTATGAGGCAGGGGGCTCCTCTTGGTCCCTGTGGAGTCGGGTCTCTGTGGGCACAACTCCAGGGGCTGGCATTCACACTGTACCTATGAATTACTGTGGGATAGTGCTCCTGGGAGCCATATGGCTTGGCCAGACTGCTGGGGTTGCTGGGTGAGCAGAGTGGGAGGCCGGAGACTGCCCTTGACCGGCAAATGCCCTGCAACGGTGGCTCCTGACACCAGGGGATAGGGAGATGTGCCAGAGTCCTTCCTCCCCTCCAAGGACAGGTAGTAGGTGCCAGCCTAGGGGAGCTTCCAAGGAGGGGAAGGCAAAGCCCTGGCCCCTGCCTGTGTCCCCTTCTTGGCATGTTCCACATGCTCGGTCCTGCAGGCCCTGACCCTCATCATCTTCATCTGCTTCACGGCCTCCATCTCTGCCTACATGGCCGCGGCGCTACTGGAGTTCTTCATCACACTTGCCTTCCTCTTCCTCTATGCCACCCAGTACTACCAGCGCTTCGACCGAATTAACTGGCCCTGTCTGGTGAGGAACCCTGACCCCTAGCCCAGTTTGGGGCCCTTCCCTCTCCTCTAAATGATGCATTTTCCTTTCCTCCCCGAGCTTCTTTCCATTTCCACACCACAGCTGGGCTTTGTCCCATGCTATGCCCTGCACTCAAAGGTGTGCTTTGACTCACACTGATTTCACAGCTGCAGGGCCACGGGCAATCAGGAGGACCACATCCGCTAGATCTACTCTCCCACTCAGCAAAGGTCCAGCCCCAGCCCTGGCCTGGCTTGACCCCCCCGGGCTGGCATACTCCAGCCGCTGTCCCCTGGGTTCCAGCCCCAGCGCCTGGCTTCTGGTCCTGGTTGCTCTGGTTCATCTGCTTCCACTCCCTGGGTAGCAGTGTGAGCGCTCTGTCTCTTGAATGTGCTTCATATTGTGTGAGGGGTATCCTATGGAGGGGTTCAGAATCCCTCAGGGTCGGGCTGCTGGCTAGCCTGGAAAACTTCAGGGTAACGCCCCCTGCCTTCTGAGGTCCTGTTAACCCTGCACCCCTGGCCCCCAGGACTTCCTGCGCTGTGTCAGTGCCATCATCATCTTCCTGGTGGTCTCCTTTGCAGCTGTGACCTCCCGGGACGGAGCTGCCATTGCTGCTTTTGTGAGTTCAGCCCTGCAGGACTCCTTAGCCCCTCAAGAGCTCAGGCTGGTGCTTGCACACTTTCTGTATCAGAAGCCACAGCCAGGACTTGGGGTTCTGGCTTGCACCTCACCCTATACCTTAACCCAATGGCCCTATAGCCTCTGTTTTGCCATCCCCACTCCCACTCCCACAGGTTTTTGGCATCATCCTGGTTTCCATCTTTGCCTATGATGCCTTCAAGATCTACCGGACTGAGATGGCACCCGGGGCCAGCCAGGGTGAGTGCCTGTGCTCTGTGGAGAGGAGATGCCCTCCCCACCCTAGCTACCCATCCTGATGTGGGTCCCTACCTGGCTCTATCCTCACAGGGGACCAGCAGTGACTCTGGGGCTACCTGGCTCCTAGGCCCAGCCAGCCAGAGAGGACAGTGGAGCCCAGACACGTCTCCTTGGGATTCACTAGCCCCCAGCCCGCCAAACCCCACCCCAGCCCTACACAGCAGTCTGGCCTGAGACGTCACTGGGGACTTATCTGTGGAGCCTGGTGCTCCAGGATGTGGCTTCTCATGAAGCTCTGGCCAGAGGAGGGGAACTTATTGGGGGAGGGGGGGTGGAGGGGAGGAATCTGGACCTCTAAGTCATTCCCAAATTAAAATATTCAAATTCTACTGGTGAGTCTCTTTCTTCCCCAGAAATTAGGCAGGTCAGGAATGTCAAGGAGTATTCATGGGAATGTTGCCAGAGCAGGTCGTGGTCTGTCTCTGGGACTGGGTCTGAGCAGTGAGGATGTGGGGGCTAGCCAGAAGAAGCTGAAGACATCCTCCAACACAAAACTTCTACGCTACACCTCTGTGTGCACGGCCACTTTGTGGTGTGCCTGGTGGCTGGGCATCTGGAGTTCTGTGTCTGAGAAGGCACAGCCTTCCTCATGGGAGCATGCATGCACCACCACACCTGTTCCCGCAGGTTAGTGGGCTGGAGGCCAGGCGCTCGCCTGGGGCGTGTGCAGAGCTCCCCCTTGTGGTGTGGGGAAGACTTGGCCCACAGGACGCAGGGAGAGGGCAGCCTGAGGTATCAGAGGAGGGAGAGATTTCCCAAAATGCGAATGCTGGGAGAGCCGTTGATTATCAGCTGGTCCAATGCCCTCATTTCACATAAGAGAAAACAGGCCCAGCCAGGGGAGGTGAACTCATTTGTGACAGAGCTAGGGCCAGAACGCAGCTCTTCTGACACCTAAGCGAGTGTTCTGGATACTGTACTGAGCCTCCTTGTAGCTCAGAAAAGAATGGCCAACTCTTCCCTCCACTGCGGGTCCACCCTCCCAGCTTGCCAGCTCCTCAGCACACATTTCCTGAGCATCTCCCATGCACACTGTGCTGGGTGCCAGGGCCTCAGAGGTGACGGGGGGCCTGCCCTTTAGCACTCACAGGCTGGGAAAGAGACAAGCTGGTCAAGAGCTCCCCACAGTGAATGCTATGGGAAGGCTCAGGGGAGTTTGGAGCAGACACTGCCACAGCCCGGGAGTCAGCCCTGCTGGGCCGAGACAGACAGATGTGCAGCCAGACGTTCCTGCCCAGCCCGAGGAGCCCAGCATGGCCTGGCTCAGCAGCTCCATCCCAGCTGACGTGCTATCTCCTGTCGCTGATGTGTGTGTGTTCCCGCCCTGAGATACAATCCTTCTTCTGGAGCGCTCCTTCCAGCTGCAGGCCCCAGCTCCCAAGTCCTGCCCGAACCCTGGATCTTGAACTCTGGTCAGAGCGCTCTGCTTCCTTGGTGGCAGCCACTCCTCTCTCTTGGTCTTTTTCCTGCCTCCTGCTTCCTGTTCTCCTATCCTTGTGTCCTGGCTCACCATCAGAACTGGCAGCCTCTCCTGGGCTAGAACCAACAGGATTTTGTGTTTCTCTGGTCACTGCTCACATTTCTCAGGGCTTTATGCACAGTCCATTCTCATGGTCTCAGAGGAGGGATAGAAGAGGCTCCACTTGGGGAGTCAGGGAGATGGGGTGCCAGGTGAACGGTTAAGGAGGCGGTCAGCAGAGCCTGGCTGCAAAGCCCAGTGGGGAGTGGGGATTTGCTTTGTGCAGAACGGGGTCAGGACCGGGCCTGTCCCACAAGCAGCTGTGTGATCCAGGCCAGACTGTCCCCAGTAGGAGCTTAGAGAGAGCAGAAATGTGACCACAGTGTTTCCCTGTACAGGCACCTGTGCCATCTGTGTCTGTGTGAGAACCAACATGAAATGAGCAATGCCCAGGCTTGGTCCTCATGGCATATTGGTTTGGGCTCAGTGTTGATTGGCCCCAGAGTCTCAAGATGCCCTCACGGTGAGGTGCTGAATCATAGGAGGCAGGGGGAGACCCCTGGGGAAGACAGGGAGGGGGCTCCCTGGGAGTTACTTCCTAGGGGCTGACTAGAATGGAATCTCTCCCATCTCCTTTCCCATACCTTAATTCTCAGCCAGCTCTGAGCCTTTTCTGGCATTGGTGGAAAATTCATTTCAGAAAGAATGGGTGTCCTAGGACACCTTTAATCATTGCAGCCTCAGGGGTGGGGTAGGTGGAGAGTGGCTTCAACTTCGGCACCAAAATTCTATCTCGTAGCATCTTGGACTGGCTCACCATTTTGATGCCATTGTTTTCTTCACTTTTGAAATTTCTCCCTCTCCACCCTTGTGTGGTTGACTGAGCAGAACTGGGACTCACAGCTGTCCACGTCAGGCAGAACACCTCACTCCTCTGCACCTCGGTCTCCTTCCTTGTGGATATGGGATGCCTTGGCTCTGGCAGCTCTGATACAGGGGCTGGGGGCCTCCCTCCTCTCAGGCCCCCTACTGCCCTGATCCAGGATGGACAGCTGGCAGGAAGGACAGATGGGCTCAGGCAGAGTTTGGCACTCATATTTATTACAGGTTGGCAAGAGTGAGGTTCCCGAGGCAGTGTCACTCCTCATCGTGCATTTTTTGCTGCAAAAAGAATAAGAGGTGTGAGGGGGCAGCTGGCAAGAGGGAGAAGTGTGTGGGGACAAATCCCTGGGGCTTTCAGAGGCCTAAGGGAGATGCCCTTGGAGGGAGAGGCAGGGCCCCAGGGATCCTGTGGTCCCACGTTAGAGGCACTTGTGGTTTAGGGGGATGGAACTGGGGATCTCTGCAGAAGTTCCAGTCAGTGGGGGGCTGTTTTGAGCAGGAGAGTGGATTCTCAGGTTATGTAAGCTATGGGACCCTCAGAACTGCCTACATATAGGGCAAGCAGTGCCCACTCTGAAGGGCACCCATATCAGGGGGCATGCTAATGTGGAAGTGACTAGTGAAGCCCAGGGGAGGGACCCACCTTGGCACCAATGTCACGGCTCTTGGCTCGAAGCTTGTTGACCTGGGACTCAGCGATGTCCGCCCGCTCCTCTGCCTCATCCAGCTCATGCTGCACCTTGCGGAACTTGGACAGGTTGGTGTTGGCTTGCTCCTCCTGTGGTGGGACAGTGGGGATGGGTGAATGAGCTGGAGATGGGCTATGGGATTCTCAGCCTCTCAACCTGAGGTTCCAGCTCCCTGTCCCTGAGGCACCCATACCTCATGCATATTCCTGCAACAGCCTTCCCAAGGGTATCCTGCAACTGCCTTGCACTCTTCTCAAACATGTCCAGCACTCAGAGTCCTTCACGGCCATCCACTGCCCCAGACAAATCCCATGCTGCCCGATCTGGGCCCCTTCAGAATCCTGTTTTGCTGCACCTGTCCCGGACCCCAGCTTCCTGTGCAGGCATGCTAATCAGCAACTCACATCCACCCAGATGTCTTCCCCACTGCCCTGTGGCTAGCTGGGTCCCCTTCTAGGCCCAATTCCACCGCCACCTTCCTGCCTTCAGCTTCGGCTGCCCCACGTCCTGCACTAGCATCTACACTGCCTTCTGTTGGGTTATGGTATCTGAATTGTAAGCAGCTTGTAGGTGGTGCCTTTGTTAATTCAGAACACCTGACAGCTCTGAGCATACCAGATGTGTCAAACAAATGTTTGAGAGTTAAAGTTTATAGCAAACTCTTTGTCCAGGCCCCTCTGTAGGAGATATTCATTGGTTCTCACAAATAGTAGGTGTGTTGATGAGAAAGGGAAGAAAGCTCTGAACTCACCGCCTCCTCGGCCTGGCGCTTGTAGGCCTTGACCTTCAGTTGCAGCTTGTCCACCAGGTCCTGTAGCCGCAGCAGGTTCTTTTTGTCTTCCTCTGTCTGGGGGTGGGAGGGTGGGAGAAGCTGGTTTGGAGGGGGAGCAAATGCAATCACCTTTCCCTCCTCCATCATTTTACTCTTCTCCCCTTGCCTTTGCTGCCCCTCCCTGCAATGATCCAGGTCAAAGAGGTGGTGGGGAAGATTCTCTGACTCTATCGTAGGTCAAAGGGGCAATGCAAGGTTGTCAGTCAGGGATCCACAGAGCAATGAAGGCTGAAGTCATAAAGCTAGAAGTAGGGGGAGGGGCTCAGAACCTAATGGAATTCCCTAATGTGGTAATATAAAAGCACCAGGTCTGTTCCAGCTCCAGTATGGTGGATAAAGCTCCAACCTGGACTTACATAGGTTCTCTTGGCCAGTAGTTCTTGACCAGAAAAAGAATGCAGAAAGAAGGGGGTATTATCATAATCCAGATTATTCTACATTCTAATATATTGTACTGGGCCAGAATTCAGGCATCGGGATCACTGGCTCCAACGTCACTCGATCATTCCTATCTCTTTATCATTGTATGTGCCAGGATGCCATTTCTACTTCTGTCCACAAATCACTCTGTGGTTCTGTATCTGTAACCTCTTTCTTGTGCCTCTGGTATCCATCTATCAAATGGACTGACACCCTCGTCTCCTTGGCCTTTTCTTCCCAGGTACACTGAAAATAACGGGCCAAGGGCACAGCTCTCAGCTATGCAAGTGGAGGTTTTAGAGCATTCTAGGGTCCTCTTTCTCTGTGGCCTTCTCTTTGTGTGCCAGAAGTTCTATGGAAGATTTCCGGGTCTTTTCCCCTCCCCTGACTCTTATCCCCACAGTCGAAGGTGGAAGGATTCTTTGAACTGTTCTGAAGTCTTCATGGTAGCACTTAGAGTTATTAAAAAAAAAAAAAAAGAAAGAAAGAAACCTGGGGAAAGACTAGTTAGAAGAGTTTTCAGGAAGTAGAAGTAGATTCTTCATTTGCTGGAAAAACTCATAGACTCAAGTCAAACTGACTGCAGAGCGTGAGAAGAACGTTAAATCTACCAACAGCATCTCAAGGAGGAGGTGAGAGGAGCCCTGTGAGGGCGGGGCAGTGGGGCCAGAGAAGAAACTTCCACATCTACTCCTGGTGTCTGGCGTCCGCCGCACCTGGTAGGTGAGCTCCTTGATGCGCCGCTCGCTCTTCCTCATGCCCTTCACCGACTCTGCGTTGCGCTTCTGCTCGGCCTCCAGCTCACCCTCCAGCTCCCGCACCCGCGCTTCCAGCTTCTGCAGCTGCTTCTTGCCTCCCTTGAGGGCGATCTGCTCGGCCTCGTCCAGCCGGTGCTGCAGGTCCTTAATGGTCTGCTCCATGTTCTTCTTCATGCGCTCCAGGTGGGCGCTGGTGTCCTGCTCCTTCTTCAGCTCCTCTGCCATCATGGCGGCCTGTGTGCAGGAGAGAGGTGGCAAGGAACATGGGCCAGGGGCCGGGGCCTTTTGCCCCCCAAGGATCTCCTTTCTCCCATCAGGCCCTCAAATCCACAGAACTGCAGAGTTGGCTTGGTGTTACAGCACAGTGGCCTGGCCTGGACCCAAGGCCTTGTTTCTGTCTTTAGGGGAGGCGGAAGGTGGGCGGTCACTTACATCCGTGATGGCCTTCTTGGCCTTCTCCTCGGCGTTTCTGCACTCCTGCACTGCCTCCTCCACTTCCGACTGGAGCTGGGTCAGATCCGACTCCATCTTCTTCTTCTGGTTGATGAGGCTGGTGTTCTAGACATGGAGAGAGAAAAATGATCAAATATATACTACACTTTGTTACCTGATTTCATACCCTTTCTCCAGAAAGAATTAAAGGTGGTCATTTTTTTTTTAAAACAACAAGCCCACTTTTAGACTATTGATCGTTTTGTACCTGCTTTCCCTTTTCCTATGAAAGTGCATACATTCTAGACATTGTATCTAAGATTACTAAACTCTGAAAAAAGACTTCAAATAGCAAAAGGTCTGCAGTATTACCCTGGAGCTCTTTAGCAACATGTTTACGTAGGAGCATGACAATATTCCAAGGAAGATGGAAACAACTTTTTACCAGGACAATATTCCAGAGATGTTTATAGCTATACCAAGAATGTAGTGGGGTAAGGAAGAGGGGATGAGGTAAGTGGATGATGTCATTCTCACACATACTAGATTAAAGAACAAAACTCCACAGGGCACTGCAAAAGGTGAGCACAAAGTCTCATTGCAGAGTATAACTGAAAACAGTGTGGGTGGGATTGCAGAAAATGGTGTTCTAGCCAGCTTGGTTTGCAAGAGATGCAGTTATGCTTCTTTAAACTCCCAAACTCTCATCTTTACAGAGCAAGCCGGAGGCTGTCTTTCAGATCAAGAATATCAAATAACAGGATACATTCCACTACTCCCAGATTTGTGGCTTTGGCAGGTATCAGCAATCAATCATGACCCTCTTAGCTTCTAAGTAGAGACCGCTTTCTTAATATAATGGTTCTGCAGCCACCACAGATGAGAGTTGGCCTAAGAGAGGAAATGATTTGTGACCCTGGCTAGATGTGCTCACTTAGAACATCTGGCTTTTCTAGATGTCCTGGGCTCTGCACTCAGTAGGTTTCCACAAGGTGGCTCCTGACCCCCTCACCTGGGAATGCAGCAGCTGCACCCGCTCGCTGGTCTCAATCAGCTCCTGCTCCGCCAGCTTCCGGGACCGCTCTGTCTGCTCCACCACGGCACGCAGCTCCTCCAGCTCAGCCTGCAGCAGGTTGTTGCGCCGCTCCACGATGGCGATGTTCTCCTTCAGGTCGTCGTTGGCACGGACCGCATCGTCCAGCTGGATCTGGGTGTCCTGAGCATCAGGAGAGTGGGTGTGAGCAGAAGCCAGCCTCGGTGCCCTTCACTGAGGGCACCTGTCAGAGGTCCCTGCAGTAACCCAGGGGCAGGAGGAATCTGGTGCCTGTATCCAGACACCACTGCTTCTCCAGGCCACATGGAGGCCAGTCCCCTGAGGGGACCTCCCGCCCCCATGTACCTTCAGCAAGCTCTGGAGGCTCTTGACTTGCTTCTGGGCCTCGGCAGCCATGCGGTTGGCGTGGCTGAGCTGGATCTCCATCTCATTGAGGTCTCCTTCCATCTTCTTCTTCACCCTCAGGACCTCGTTGCGGCTGCGTGTCTCTGCATCCAGGGAGGTCTGCAGCGAGTCCACCACCCGCTGGTGGTTGCGCTTGGCCTGTTCCATCTCCTCGTCCTTCTCTGCCAGCTTCCGCTCGATCTCTGCCTTGATCTGGTTGAACTCTAGCTGGGCCCGGAGGATCTTGCCCTCCTCGTGCTCCAGGGAGGCCTGGGAAGGGGTGGGGCGAGGGCGGGCAGACAGGGCACAGGGCAGGGTTGAGAGGGAGGATGAGAAGATACACGGTGTCAGCCAGGACTATCGCCCAGAGAAGAAGAGCTGAGAAGAGATGGGGAGGTGGGATCTGCACCCCATGCCCACCACGGTGCTATTGGGGAGAAAGTGCTGGACTCTCTGGGCTTCCCCTGTCAAGAAAAGGGTTTGGACCTCACAATTGCCAGACCCTCCAGCACTAACACTGCATAAATTCCTGACCTGTCTAAAGTATTATAGAAAATGGAGGAATTTTTATAACCACAAATACAAAATTTTATCTTGTTTTCCAGGTCCCTCACCCTTTCCTGAGAAAAGTTAGAAGCCCAGAAAACTCAGGGCTATTCCCAGGTGCTTAGAAATGAAGAGTAACAATAGCTAATATATATTAAGTGCTTAAATGTGTTACCTCATTTAATCTTTATAATAATCATGTGTAAAATCATATGAGGTATGTACAGTTAATTCCATTTTACAGATGAGAAAACTGAGGCAGAGAGAGATTAAAGATTTTGCCCAACGCTGCAGTGAAAGTCCTCAAGCTGTGTTCCAACTCAGGCCTGTTTGACTCTGGAACCCCACACTCCTACCCACTGTCTAAGTGGTTATTATTATGGCCAGATTCCAACTTTTAAAACCTGGTGGGAAACAAAACCTTTGGCCTCTAATCAGACTGACATTTTCCTTTGTGCAGACCTTGGCTTTGGAGGCAGTCATGGGTAGTGAATAGTGGGTAGATAATGTTGAACAAAGAATATGGAATGAATAGATTTTGTCCTGGGGTCAGGGTCACCCCCAGGTGAGGGAGAAGTGGGAGACAGCGGCAGAACAGGGATGGGGTGCAGGGAGTTCTCGGCCCTCACCTCTGCCTCCTCCAGGGCTGACTGCAGCTCCAGCTTCTCCACCTCCAGCTGTTTGCGGACCTTCTCCAGCTCATGCACATTCTTTCCTCCTTCTCCTAGCTGCTCAGTAAGGTCCGAGATTTCCTCTGGGGACCAGAGGGCCAGAAAGCTCAAAGCCTATGTTCCCCCTGCCCCTGCATGGCCCTCCCTCCCACCAACTCATCTCTGGCCTCTTGGACCCCCAGCACACCCTGAAGGTTCTTGTTCTCCCGCTTGAAGGTCTCTAGGTGCTCCAGGGACTCCTCGTAGGCGTTCTTGAGCTTGAAGAGCTCTGTGCTGAGGGAGCGAGCCTCCTTCTGTGAGGACTCCAGCTCAGACTGCGACTCCTCATACTTCTGCTTCCACTCGGCCAGGATCTGCCCGGGGACAAGGCTCACTCTTCAGCCCCCCAGCCTTAGCTCCCCAGCCCTCCTGCTTCCCAGTGCCCCAGCCCCCAGCCTCAGCCGCATGTCCAAGATCTGTCCCTGGTCCCGAGCCTGGGCTTAGCCCTCCTCCTCCACCTCCAAGGAGGTTGCCTTTGGCCTCTCACTGAACCCCTCATGCCCCCTTGCCCTGCATGCTGGCTGCGGCCCCCGCCCATGGTCCACCTTGTCAAAGTTTCTCTGCTTCTTGTCCAGGGCTGCAGCAGCAGCATTGGAGCGCTCTACGTCCACCATCAAGTCCTCTATCTCATTCTGTAGCCGGTGCTTGGTCTTCTCCAGTGAGGAGCACTTGGCATTAACAGCCTCCACGGCCTCCTCGGCATCCTGCAGCCGCTGGGCCAGCTTCTTTCTGCCCAGGTGAGGGTGGAGGGTGTGTGTGTGACTCTACTGGGCAACACTGGAGCCTTGGGTGGACCTCCTTCCACCCCCTCCCTATATCTCCTTGAGACACCGTAAGTCCAGCCTAGCAGGAGCTGAGCCTGCTCATGCCTGGAACAGAGTCCGCCAGCACGGGCTGCCCAGGCGTCCTCCCTACCTGCAGTGGCATCTGGGTGTCAGTGCCCCCTGCCCTCACCCCCCACACAGGCTGATCGACGGTAGCTCCTCTGACCAACAAGCTTTTTGCTCGTCTTATACGTGAGCATCAGGTATAACCCGGGCCAAAAGCTCGCCCGTCACAGGAAGTGGGTCAGGGCCAGCCAGAGTTCACAGAGCAAAGAGTTCAGGCTTTCTTCCAAGCACTTCTGTTGCCCTCCGAGTTCCTCCTGTCTCTTCCACTTCCGTCTCATGACCACTTTGCCTGTCCCCACCCCAGGTCCTCTCGCCCCTTCCTCTCTGAGAGTCAGGTTAAGGGGGTATCTGGAGCTCACTTGGCCTCTTCGAGCTCCTCAGTCCGCTGAATGGCGTCCGTCTCATACTTGGTCCTCCACTGGGCCACCTCCGAGTTGGCCTTGGACAGGACGCGCTGCAGCTCGGCCTTGGCCTCTGTCTCCTCCTCGTACTGCTCCCGCAGCAGGTCGCAGTCATGCCGGGCCGACTGCAGTGCATGGGCCAGGGCGTTCTTCGCCTGGGGAGGGGGGGGGGCACCAGGAGGTGGGAGGGACTCCCTGTGCCCCATTCTCTAGATTCTCTTCTTATGTAGTACTTCAACCAAGCCCAGCCTTATTCACCATGTGGGCTGATGTGGCACCTCACTGTTTGAGGAGTTTCCCAGTCTGCTCACCCCATCCCCTTACGAATAAGAAAAGAGGCATTAAATGACGCTTAGCTGCAGGGCAGAACCTAGACTGGAGGGTCTTTCCCTTGCAGAGGACTCTTTCCAGCTCCAGGCTCCATTTCTGGCACTGAGATGAATTGCCCCAGGGCTGCCATCAAGCCTGCCCACCCTCCCCACTGGGCCTCACCTTGCCCTCCTCCTCCAGCTGCCTTTTGAGGTCCTCCATTTGCTGGGTATAAGAGAGCTTCCCCCGGGTCAGCTGCGAGATTAGCGCCTCCTTTTCCTCTAGCTGCCGGGCCAACTCTCCTGGAGGTGAAATGAGGGGCTTGTGGGCCATTTCACAAGTCATGTCCTGCCCTAGGCAGGGGGTTGGTTAGGGGCACCCACCATTCTCGGTCTGCAGCTTGGCTCGCTGGGTGGTGAAATCATTGAGGGAGCGTTGGGCCTCTTCTAGCTTCACGCGGTACTCATTGGCCTGGTCCTCCAGCGTCCGAGACACTTTCTCCAGGTTTGCCTTCAGGAAGCAAGACAGGAAGGGTGAGTGTGGGAGGGGCTGAGTCGACCAGAGGAAGGAAGAGAGGGTCAGAGATGGGGAATGCCAGAGGGCAGGAGGGGGACACAGAAGGTGTGGGAGGGCGCAGTCTGAAGAGAGACTTGAATTAAAGAAAGGAGGAACATGAAGAGATAGAGAGGGTGAGGAGAGCCAGAGAGGGGCAGGGGAGACAGGAAGAGAGACCAAAGGGTGATGAAGAGAATGAGAATGACAAGGGAGATGGCAGACAGAGAGAGAAGGCATGGGGGAGGCTCCGCTGTGCAGGGGAGAGGGCGAGGGGAGGCCGAGCAGAGCCTGCCTTGGCCTTGATGATCTGCTCCATGTTGGAGGTGACGTCATCCAGCTCCAGCTTGAACTCGCTCTTCTCCTTCTCCAGCTTCTGCTTCACCCGCTGCAGGTTGTCGATCTGCTCGCCCAGCTCGGCCACGCTGTCGGCGTGCTTCTTGCGCAGGGCCGCGGCAGTGGCCTCGTGCTGCAGCGTGGCCTCCTCCAGGTCCCGCCGCATCTTCTGGAACTCGGCCTCGCGCTTCTTGTTCATCTCGATCTGCACGGACGTGGCCCCGCCGGCCTCTTCCAGCCGCTCGCTGATCTCCTCCAGCTCCCGAGACAGGTCTGAGCGCAGCTTCTCCACCTTAGCCCTGGCGGTGCGCTCGGCCTCCAGCTCCTCCTCCAGCTCCTCGATGCGTGCCTGGGTCAGACACAAAGGGCTCAGACCCACCGCCTGGACCCCTCCACTGGAATCCCCCCGGCTCTGAAAAGCTACCAGGAACTTAGGTTCCTCTCAAGCAGTGGTTCTCAACTAGGGGCAATTTTGTGCCCCAGGGAACAGTTGGCAATGTCTGATTGTCATGTCTTGGTGGGGCTTGCTACTGGCATCTAGAGGGTAGGGGCCAGGGATGCTACTAAACATCCTATAATGCATAGGCCATCAATAGGAATTTGGCTGAAGCTCCCAAGGGCATCTCAGACCCAGTGTGAGCATCTGCAGCCCCAAATCCTGAGAACCTGTGGTTGAAGGGGGATCCTGGTATCCTGTGAGATCAAGAAGTTCAGAGTCCCCAGATTCACTAGGCTCTGTTGCGCTATTCATAAGACGGGAAAATGAGTGCTTGTATTTTACAAATATTTGTGACAACATGCCTCGAAACAATCAGATACCTTTGCAATTCTCCAAGTTAACCACAAAGTCCAATCAACCATATTCCTTGCTCTCCCAGGCTTGCTGTGTTTATGCCCAGGGCTGGGTTTCAACATGATTGCTCCCTTCCAGGCCAGGAAAGTGCTAGCAGGCTACTCTCCTCTTCACCTCATCTCCTTATCCTCTTTAAGTGCCCTTACCTCATTTTTTGGGCCTTAGCCTTGGTCTTGACTAAATTGGGAGAATATCGTATCTACCATTTTGATCTGTTGTCTGGCTAGCCAGGAGCAAAACGGGGGTTCAGTGGAAATCCCTTCACCTCGGGTTATGGACAGCTTTAATGGACTGTTCATGGATGGGTCCTACAAGCAGCAGAGAGGACCACCATGCCTCTGCTCCCAGGATGGAGAAGGTGGGACTTCTGAGCAAGATCTTGGGGATGAAGGAGGAGCCATAGCCTATTGCCGAGAGCTGATGAGACTAACAGGACTGTTATTCTGTGTCCAAGAGGCCAAACAAGTTGCCCAGACCTAGGGTAGAAGAACCTGAGGATGGCCCGATATTCTAGCTAAAACCCAGAAGGGGCATCCAAGAAGATGGGAGGGCAAATTACTAATGAAGGCGGGCCAGTCCCTGTGCAGCCCCAGAGGAGTGGAATTGTGTTCATACATTACTTGCAGCCTGGGCCATGGGCCTCAAGTGCAGAGGGGAGACTACCTCTTTCTACCAGCCACAGTCTGCCCCAAAGTGAGAGGACAAGGTCCCGCCCCAGTAGCCGAGTTCCTGTTGCCCTTGGGGTCACTATGTCCAGACCTGGCCATGTAGCTTCTGTAGCTCTATAATGGGGATGGCAGTGGACTTCCAGGTCTCTTCTGACAAACCCGATACTAAAAGCACATTAGGGTTTGAGGTTCATTAAAGCTAAGGGAGACTATGGCTGTTCACTAAATCTTGAGCTGCAGAGGAATGAGAAGGCCATTGAGAAGACAAAACAATACCTTCTTAGGCTAGTGGCTGGCTGACTTCTCTAAATTGGGCTATATTAATATGATACTTGTATAGAATTTCCTAGTTGACAAAATGGTTTCAAATACATTATCCCCTCTGGTCCTGTGTGGTAGGTATTGTCAGTCTCATTTTACAGGTGAGAAGAGAATCTGAGGATCAGGGAGGGTAAGTGACTTGCTCACAGTTGTTGGAATTGGCTCTTATCATGAGTGCCCTATGGGGACTCAGCCTGGGTTAGTGGCTGGGGTTAGTACCGGGAAGAATATGAACAGAGCAGCTCACAGGAAGGTGCTCCTTGAAGCCTTTTTTTTTTTTCACCCTGCGTTCAGAGGGCTGAACTACCAGAGGAAGGGTTAGAGGAGAATAGAGCTCTATCATTTGTCTTAGAGTAGAAAGTCCCTGAGGCAGAGCAGATCTCAGAAGGAGAAGCCCTTTAGTAGGTATGAGTCCCCCTTCTCAAACAGTTTTGCTAACGTAATGTATTCTTGCTCTATGGGGGAAGGCTAGTGTTCCTGAGCGCCTGTAAGTCAGGGATGGTTGGGTCTATGAGGCTGCCTGGAGTTCCAGATATTGTGTAGAACCCTAAGCAGCTGCTGCAGCCTCAGTTACCTCAGGGCTATTGAGCTCCCACTTTCATGCACTGGGAAAAAAAGTCACCTGGTTTTCCTTCAGTTTCTTCTGTAGTTGAAGGGCCAGCACCTGCTCATCCTCAATCTTACTGTTCTGCTGATTAATGTCAAACTCCTTCCTGCAGGAGAAGGGTGGGGGTGGGGGAGTGACAGGTAGCCTTCCTTCCTCTGGGGCTCATTCTCTTCTTGGCCTTAGTATGCCAGAATCGGCACCTCCCCCTCCCCTCGCCAGCCCAGAAAGTGGCGGAAGAGGGCTGTGATTGACCTTATTCCCAGCATACCCAAGGCAACTGTGGCCAGTGGAGGCGCAGCACCCTGCACTCTATCTACCAGGCCAGACACCTCCATTAGCCCCTCCTGGCCACCACAGTCTCCTACTTCTTAAGCTTTTCTTCCAGCTGCAGTTTATCATTTTCCAGGTCCATGATGCTCTCCTGGGTCAGCTTCAGGTCGCCCTCCAGTTTCCGCTTTGCTCGCTCCAGGTCCATGCGCACCTTCTTCTCTTGCTCTAGGGATCCCTCCAGCTGTTGGAGGGAAGAAAATAAGCAAAGTGTGGAAAACATGAAATCCATAGTGTATGCTCTTTTGCCTCCTTCTAAACTTGAAGTCCAGTGGGATTGGAAGTCAAACCAACAGAGAAATCCTGCAAGCACAAAGGATTCAGAGACCTACTGTAGTGAGGAACTACAGAGAGCAAAAAAGCTTCAGGGGCCATAGAAGTTAATTCTAGGGATCAGGACTTTCTGGGCCATTGGTGTTGCCTGCAAAATCTTGCTCTGAGAGCAGGAGCATGGTTCTTACTACTCACATCATCCACCTGCTGCTCCAGCTTGACCTTAGACTTGGACAGGCTGTTGACCTTGTCTTCCTCAACCTGAAGGTCATCCAGGGCCTGCTGATGGGCCTCTTGTAGAGCTTTCTTCTCCTTGGTCAGCTTAGCGATGATTTCATCCAGCCCAGCCATCTCCTCTGTTAGGTTCTTCACCTGCCGACCAAAAACCCATCCCCTTTAGGGTCAAAGATCACCAGCCTGGAGACATCTATGGGGACCTCCATGCCAAGGACCAGGACAACACTCTAGTCTGGGAGTCTTGAGGAGACCTGGGCTGAAGCCAGAGGGAGCTGCCCTCACCTTGTTCTCTGTTGCATGCTTCTCCTTCTCCACCTTGGCCAGTGTCAGCTCCAGGTCATCAATGTCCTTCTTGAGCTCTGAGCACTCGTCTTCCAGCTTGCGCTTCTTGGCAGTGAGCTCCGCGTTCATCTCCTCCTCATCCTCCAGCCTCTCATTCATCTCCTTTACTTTGGCCTCCAGCTGAATCTTGTTTTTGATCAGCTGGTCGCAGCGCTCCTCAGCATCATTGAGGTTGTCTTGTTCCTGGGAGAAGAGAACAGGGAGGAAGCTGATGGTTAAAGAGAGGAGACCTAGGGTCTTAAAAAGAGCTGGCACTCCTAGACTCCCAGTCCCTGGTTGTGAGATGGGCTATAATCTAGGGGAGGGGAGGAGAGGGCTGAAGAGATAATCACGTGGCCTCACCGCCTGCACTTGGAGCTGCAGGTCATTCTTCTCCTGCAGCAGGGACACCATCTTCTCCTCCAGCTCCTTGCGGCGAGCCTCGGACTTCTCCAGCGTCTCTTTGATGCGCCCGAACTCTTCCTTCATGGTGGCCATCTCCTTCTCCGTCTCTGCGCTCTTCAGCAGCGGCTTGATCTTGAAGTAGAGCTTCATCCAGGGCCAATTCTTGACCCCCATGAAGGCCCGAATGTTCCACTGGATTACCAGCAGGGCATCCCTGGCAAGGAAACGTGGAGGCAGGGTGGGGCACTATAAAAGAGAGCTTCCCAATCATGGGCCCTACTAAGCAAGTTCGTAGGCACGTAGACTTCCTTCTTGTGCACACCCACCTCCAACATCACTACACTGAACATGGAGTTGCTTGATAAATATTTATTAATCAATTTGATGAAAGGGCAGTTTATATCCTCCCAGCTGGGATATTAGTGGTAATGGAAACTACCACTTATAGAATGTCTACTCTGTTTGGTTTTTCTATTCTCATAAGAACTTCAAATATGTTAAAAATTATGTAGGGGTTTACATATAAGAATGTCTATAATAAGTATGTAAGTTATGCAGCATGAAAGCAAAATGACTATCCATGAACCTACCACTGAAACAGGAGCTGAAATGTTACCAGCCATTGATCTACCTGTGCGTTCCTTCCTACACCCCTGTCACCCCGCCAGGAGCAGCCGCCACTCTGAATCTTATTTTTCCTTTCCTTGCTTTTTCAAAAATTACTTTAACCACATATGAATGTATCTTTATTTTTATTTTACTTTATTTATTTTGAGATGGAGTTTCACTCTTGTTGCCCAGGCTGGAGTGCAATGGCACAATCTCGGCTCACTGCAACCTCTGCCACCCGGATTCAAGCGATTCTCCTGCCTCAGCTCCTGAGTAGCTGGAATTACAGGTGCCTGCCACCATGCCCAGCTAATTTTTGTAGTTTTAGTAGAGACGGGGTTTCACCATGTTGGCCAGGCTGGTCTCCATCTCCTGACCTCAGGTGATCCGCCTGCCTTAGCCTCCCAAAGTGCTGGGGTTACAGGCATAAGCCACTGTGCCCAGCCATATGTATGTATCTTTAAACAATGAATGGCTGGTTTTGATTATTTATGAGCTTTATAAAAATTGCATCATACTGTATGTATCCTTCCAAGATTTGCCTTTGTTTACTAACAATATGCTTTAATGTTCAAACATATTGTATCATGTAGTTGGAGTTCACATCTTTTCACTGTTTTATAATATTCCACTGAATGACTGTAATACTATTTACCCATTCCCCTGTGGATGGAAATTCAAGTTGTTTTAAGATCTTTGCTATTATGACCAATGCTGCTAAAAGATTATTTTTCATGTCATGGTGTACATGTATAAGAGTTTCTCTGTAGGAATGTACTCAGGAGTGGAATGGAGAAGTATGCAGCTGTTCAACTTTTTTTTTTTTGAGATGGAGTCTCGCTCTGTCGCCCAGGCTAGAGTGCAGTGGCTCGATCTTGGCTCACTGCAAGCTCTGCCTCCCGGGCTCATGCCATTCTCCTGCCTCAGCCTCCAGAGTAGCTGGGACTACAGGCATCTGCCACCACACCCGGCTAATTTTTTGTATTTTTTTAGTAGAGATGGGGTTTCACCATGTTAGCCAGGATGGTTTTGATCTCCTGACCTCGTGATCCACCCGCCTCGGCCTCCCAAAGTGCTGGGATTTCAGGCATGAGCCACCGCGCCTGGCCTGCAGCTGTTCAACTTTAAAAGATAGTGATAAACTGTTTTCCTAGGAAGTTGCACTAATTTACACATCTGTAAGCAGTGGGTCAGGCTTCTTAATTTTTGTCAGTCTAGTGATTTTTAAAACTTTTAAAAATTATTTTTCCTTTCATTTTATTTTTATCTACTTGTTTCTTTCATTTTTTAAAATTTGTAGACCATCTGAGCAAGCAAAGTCTAGTGTTTTAAAATGGTATTTCATTGGTGTCTTAATTTGCATTTTCCTATAGAGAAGTTTCTTTAAAAAAAAAAAAAGAAGAAGAAGAAGAAGAAGAAGAATTTGCAATGAGATTCGAAGTGGTAAAGTAACTTGCCCAGGCCAGCTGGTAGGTCTGAACCCAGGTCTTCTGACCCACACTAGTTGACATTGCGGATCTGCCTCTACATCTCTAGTGCATGCCTCCCTTTTCCTCCTGTCTCACCTGCGTTCCACTATCTTCTTGAACTCAATGCGCATGAGCTGGCCCCGGGCTTGGGCCTGCATGCGCGTGATGATGCGGCTCAGCCTCTCATCCCGCATCTCCTCCAGCAGCCCAAGCAGCCCTGCCTTGAAGAACACCTGCAGGCAAGGGGTAGATGCAACAGGCCGCAGCCTCAGAGGGGAGTATCCAGGGTGGAAGACCCTGGATGAGCTCCCAGGTGACCCATCACCCCATGCCTTCTAGAAGTAAGAGTAAAAATTTGACAAACAAGACCGGAATGAAGCCTGGGTTTCAGCCCTTGATAAGGTTGATAAGGAAGCCAGAATTAGGCTTCTGCCTCCTAAACTCCTCTCTGCTCCACTCAACATGGCCACCTGCCCTGCAACCACCCAGTGGGGCTCTAGACTCACCTTGGTGTGGCCAAACTTGTACTGGTTGTGATCAATGTCCAGAGAGCTGAGCAGCTTCTCTGTCCCCTTCCTGCTATCAATGAACTGTCCCTCAGGGATGGCCACTGGGTTCAGGATGCGATACCTGAGGAGGGAAGTGTCCAGAGTCACCCATGCTCTGCAGTGATCTGCTCTGCCCACAGAATTCCAGGGTCACCTGCAGATCCCATTCCCATCAGGGCAGCCTGGCTCCCCCTGTTCTATGAGCTCTGGGGCACCCTCATACCCACCTCTGCCGGAAGTCCCCGTAGAGGATGCGGTTGGGGAAGCCCTTCCTGCAGATGCGGATGCCCTCCAGCACGCCATTGCAGCGCAGCTGGTGCATGACCAGGGGGTTGTCCATCACCCCTGTGTCAGGAGGGAAGGGGAAAGGGTCAGCCTTAGGGTAAAGTGGATGCCAGCTGTCCTCCCCAGACTAAGGTCTTCTCCTGGCTCACCTGGAGCCTTCCGCTCATTGGGGATGATGCAACGCACAAAGTGAGGATGGGTGGTCCTCAGGTTGGTCATTAGCTTGTTGAGATTTTCCTGGAGGCAGATGAAGGTGGGGAGTTAGGAGCCACAAGGACCATCCCTTAGGCCCTTAAACCCTGGTCCCCAGACACTCTCCACCAGAATCATCAAAGGGACAGGGGCTGCCACATAATTTGTGACGTGAGTTCAGGCTTTTGTGGAATCTACACACTAAAAAACGACTACGTAGCCCTAGCTTCTTTCCTCATCAAACTCAAGCATCAGAATAGGTGGTGCAGCCAGAAGTCTCTGGGCTGGGCCATTCCACCAGGTGTCCTGGCACCCCTGGGCCCTTCTTACCCGGTGGAGAGCCGACACCGTCTGGAAGGATGAGCCCTTTTTCTTGCCTCCTTTGCTTTTACCACTGTCCCCTAAACAGCGAGAGGAGAAATAATCAACAGGAGCTGGAAAATAAAGGAGCCCTTGGGCAGAGGCAGAGCTCTGCTGCTCGCTTGGTAGCTCTGAGACTTTGGGCAAGGAATTCTCCAAGATTCAGTTTACCATGAGGATGACAGTAACAACTTCCCAAAGTTGTAAAGAGGATTAGATAAGACCACGCCTGTAGGGCAGCTCACTGGTGCTTGCCCATAGTAGGCACTGACATACATCAGTGCCCTTAGCTCTCCCTCTACTTGCCCTTCCTTCTTATATCTTTCCACATTCTAGTTCTCCTCCTCCTCCTCCTCCTCCTCTTCTTCTTCTTCTTCTTCTTCTTCTTCTTCTTCTTCTTCTTCTTCTTCTTCTTCTTCTTCTTCTTCTTCTTCTTCTTCTTCTTCTTCTTCCTTCTATTTTTGAGATGGAATCTCACTCTGTCACCCATGCTGGAGTGCAGTGGTGCAATCTTGGCTCACTGCAACCTCCGTCGCCCGGATTCAAGCAACTTTCCTGCCTCAGCCTCCCAAGTGGCTGGGACTACAGGCAGGTGCCACCACGCCAGGCTAATTTTTGTATTTTTAGTAGAGACGGGGTTTCACCATGTTGACCAGACTGGTCTCGAACTCCTGACCTTGTGATCCACCCGCCTCGGCCTCCCAAAGTGCTGGGATTACAGGCGTGAGCCACCGTGCCCAACCTCTACTTTTCTTCTTACACTTTATCCTCTTCATTTCAAGCCACATCCTTTCTCTTCCTTTTCTGAACTGGAGGCTCTTTTGTTCAGTGTCCTCTCAACATTTGTTGAGAACTCCCACATGCATCGTTCCCTGCTGGGCATGGTACAGGGATGCATGTGCCACCCTCACTGACCTCCAGTTACTCCCCATCTTGAGGAAACATGAGACAGCTATATCAACACTCATAACACAAAGTGGAGAACGGCAGGTGCTACAGAAGCCCAGCTGGACTGTGGTGAGGTGAGCCAGGAGGTGGCTTGACTCATGGGCTCCCCTGTGCCTGCCTATGGAGTCATGTGCTTTGAAGCAGCAGGACCCTGGCCCTTTGTGTCTTCAGAAGTCCCCTGGCCCAGTGCAGGGGCTGCCTGCTTACCAGTATCGGCAGTTGCGTAGGAGGAGAAGAGAGTGGCCATGAGCTTGAGGGAGGACTTCTGGTACAGGGCCACAACAGTCTCGTTGAGAGGATCCTTGTTTTTTTCCAGCCAGCCCAGGATGTTGTAGTCCACAGTGCCGGCGTAGTGGATCAGGGAGAAGTGGGCTTCCTGCTTCCCCTTGATGTTGCGTGGCTTCTGGAAATTGTTGGACTTGCCCAGGTGGTTGTCGTACAGCTTGGCCTTGAAGGTCATGTCAGTGGCCTTGGGGAACATGCACTCCTCCTCCAGGATGGACATGATGCCCATGGGCTGAGGGCAGGGTGAAGAGGCAAAGAGAGAATCACTGAGCACACTCCCAGGCTTCCACAGTCCCATACCCTGACAGGAAAAGGAATCTGGAGCCAGTAGCGCTGGCCTGCTGAAGGGGCGCTGTGCTGGTACCTCTTACCCTAAAACAGGAAGCCAATATTCCTGGAATTTAAAAAGCCCCTTCCTCCTCCTTTCTGCCCAGTGGGTCCAACAAAGAGTCATGCACTCCTAATCACCCCCCACAAGGCCCACAGTGCCTCACAGCACAGCCCCTTCTCTCTGATGGCTCACTGCCCCAGGGGCAGGAGGGCAGGGACAGATGTGTGTCAGAGGCACCGGGCCAGGCTCTGTCTGTATGACACCAGTAGCAATTCTTCAAGGGTTAGATAGAAGGATCCAGGTTCTTTACCACACTCTGCACTTCCAAAAACCTGGTGGTTCTTGATTTTTCTTGGGGCAGGAATCCTTTTAAGAATTTGTTGAAGCTAAAGACTGTCTCTCCAGAAAAACGCATGTACACACACACACGTACACACACACACATGCACAAGCACACACATGTATGTATGAATGTACACATGCTTTTTTCCACACACAGTTTTATGGCATTCTGAGGGCTCTGAAACATGAGAACTCTGGTTAAGAATCTGGATAATGACCCAAAGCATGTGGGGAAGCTCCCATTTCATGAAGGCCGTGGCTGGGCTGGGTGTGGGTCAGACAATCCGGGCTCTGGCCTATGCTGACAAAGAGCAGAGGTTCACTGAGAGCAAGTCAGCCCCAGCCTATGGGGCCTCCCGCCTGCGGCCTTGTCTCTTCTGAGGAATGCCCATAAGCAAGAGGGCTGGAGACTGGCTTATTTCTCAACCAACAGGAAGGTGGTGGGAGGCCAAACATCTCTAATTTCAGCCTAGGATCTTTCCATGAATGACGCTTCTCATGGGCGGTCAGAGGGGCCAGGGGCCTCTCCTTCACTACATCTCACTCTTAAGACACTGAGGGGACCACCACAAAGGGGCATAAAGTGCAAGGTCCTGGGAAAGGAAGAGTGGGGGGATCATCCTGTTCATGCCCATGACTTCACAGTGGGGAGAAGCTGGGCCTGGAGAAAGGCCTGGGATTCTTGGGACTCTAGTTTCTTGGGTGTAGAAGGGACTCAGCCACCACTTTGTCTGGATGGCAGAGGAGGGGGCATAGGTGGTGAGGCCAAGGAGGCACCTTCTCGATGAGGTCAATGCAGGCCTGCAGGTCCATGCCAAAGTCAATGAATGTCCACTCAATGCCCTCCTTCTTGTACTCCTCCTGCTCCAGCACGAACATGTGGTGGTTGAAGAACTGCTGCAGCTTCTCGTTGGTGAAGTTGATGCAGAGCTGCTCAAAGCTGTTGAACTGCAGGGGGCATGAGGGGTGGGAGCAGTCAGAAAGTGGGTGTGAGTGGCCATTGGGGCTGTGCCCGTGCACTGTGCCGAGCCCAGCAGGGTATGGCTGTCCCCTCCATGTCAGGGCAGTGGAGGAGGGCTTCCCCTGAAGACAGGGACAATGACTGCCTCTGTCACCACACAGTCCCCACTGCCTTCCCATGTCTGGTCCACAGCTGGCTCTCAGCAAATGGCTGTTGAATGTAGGAGCAAGCGAGTGATTGTTCTCCCACTCCCAGGGGTCCCAACTCACGTCGAAGATCTCGAAGCCAGCGATGTCCAGGACTCCTATGAAGTACTGGCGTGGCTGCTTGGTCTCCAGGGTGGCGTTGATGCGCGTCACCATCCAGTTGAACATCTTCTCATACACTGCCTTGGCCAGAGCCCCGATGGAGTAGTACACCTGCTGCACGCTCTGCCCCTTGGTGACATACTCGTTGCCCACTTTCACCCGAGGGTGGCACAGCCCCTTGAGCAGGTCAGCTGAGTTCAGCCCCATGAGGTAGGCCGACTTGTCAGCATCTGGTTGAGAGGGAAAGGATAAGTGAGCACTTCCTTTTTTTTTTTTTAAGATAGAGGCTTGCTCTGTCACCCAGGCTTGAGTGCAGTGGCACGATCTTGGCTCACTACAGCCTCCACCTCCTGGGTTCAAGTGATTTTCCTGCCTCAGCCTCCCAAGTAGCTGGGACTACAGACATGAGCCACCATGCCAGGCTAATTTTTGTATCTGTAGTAGAGACAGGGTTTCACCATGTTGCCCAGGCTGGTCTCAAACTCCTTACCTCAAGTGATCCACCTGCCTTGGCCTCCCAAAGTGCTGGGATTACAGGCATGAGCCACTGCACCTGGCCTGAGTGAACACTTTCAGGGAGTGAGCCTCCTTCCCTGTCCTGGGGCCAAGACTTTAGGAAGCATCAGGTCCAATTTCTTTTCCTTAAAGAGGAAGAAATCAAGGCCTGGAAGAGCACAGGGCTTGCCTTGGTTACTCAACCAACGTGTGCCTGAGTCAGGCTGGAGCACAGCCCCCTTATCCGGCCCATGGCCTCTTGCCACAACTGGCTCTTCTCAGCTCTGTCTCTACATCTGTGGCATCTCTGGGTCAGGTCTTTCACAAGCACTGCTGTGGGCATATCCCCACCTTCACCATATCCCTCGCCTCTCCAGGGCAAGGGTGTGGCTGAGGGGCTAGATGTCCTCTGCTCCCTGTCTCCTTCGTTCTCTACCCCAGTGTCTAGCCCTGGACTGGCCATGCTGTCTTCTCCATCCACATGTTACCCAATCTGACTGGCTGAGAGTATATCAGACAGTACCACGCTCCTACCCCCAGCCATCCAAATGTGCCACCCAACATGGGTATTTCTCTGTTTAGAGGAGGAGTTATTTGGTGTAATTTCAAGAATGTTGTAATAACTGTTGGTGTGTTATCATGAACCCCAGCTTGACACTTTGATCTGGGCAGACTTGGAGAAGGGTCCCTGAAGGTAGGGAGGAATGTTCTTGGGCACCTGTCTAGCACTGTTTGCACCTTCACATTTTCTCAAAGGACCTCACAGTAGCCACCAGAGGAGTGAGGAAAGATTGTTGATCCATTTCACTGAGGAGGAAACTGACACACCAATGCCCTGGGCTATGTCCTGACCCCTGGCCCACTGCCTCCCAAACAACATGGTATGAGCCCACGAGGGGCTTACCCAAGGGCTGGGCAGGCAAAGGCCCTGCATTAGTGATGGTGATGTGCAGAGCTCAGGGGCTGTGCTTCCTGGGGCTGGGGGAGTCTTGGGCACAGGAGGAAAATTCCCCACCTCAGTTCTGGTGAGTGCAGCTGGGGTTGAGGAGTTGGGATTGTGGTGGACTCTCTGTCTGCCCACGTCTCCCACGTCCCTGTCCCTCACCATCCCACAACACACCCCACTGCCCCACAAGCCTCAGAGTCTCTGGGATCTGAGTCCCGCAGAGAGCCTGGTCAGCACCTCAGGCCTTCCCAGGGCTGCCTGCCTGCCCCTCCCACCTTCGGTGCCGTCTGGCTCCGCCTGCTCCTCCCGCTGCTTCTGCTTGAACTTCATGTTCCCGTAGTGCATGATGGCTCCCGTCAGCTTGTAGACGCCAGCTTTCTCCTCTGAAGTGAAGCCCAGCACGTCAAAGGCACTCTGGGACAGAGCGAGAGACAAAGAGGGGGGTTGGAGCGGTGGCCCCAGGAGCTCCTGGGGTCCCTCGAACGGCCGCAGCAGCCCCCTCACTCACATCGGTGGCCATGAGCTCCTCGGAGTCATCAATGGAGGCCACGGACACCTCTCCCTGAGACACGAAGGCGTAGTCGTAGGGATTGTTGGTGACCAGCAGCATGTCTGCACCAGGCAAGGGGTGAGGCAGGGGCAAGGGGGCAGGCGGAGGGCAGGGAAGGGGCAGGTAGAGTTGGGAAAGGGAGGGAGGGGCAGGGAGGGGTAAGGGACGGGGTGAATGGAGGAAGGGAGGACAGGGAGCAGGGAGAGAAGAGAAGTCAGCAAGGACCAAGGAGTGAACCCAGAGGAAGTGAAAGGGTAGAAGAGGGGCCCTGGCAGGGGCTCCAGTAACAAGGAGGAGGGAGGGTGGCAGGGGAGTGACACATGGGAGATGGGGAGGCAAATAAAGAGGAGAAGGCAAAGACAAGCCGAGGGAGGAGTGGAGAGAAGGGTGGAGAAGGAGTGAGGTGTGTGACTGCACAGGGAGGCGAGAGGAGACGCAGGTGGTCTTGGGAGGGAAGCGAGAGGGAGCTGGCGGAGTGAGTGGAGGGAGAAGGGAAGTGAGCAGCAAGGTGGGGCACAGTGGGGAGCAGGAGGGCCCTGCCCTGCATGCAGGAGTCGTTGGGGTGTGCAGCAGGGACAGCAGTGGGTGGGGGGTGGCAGGCAGGTTCACCCAGCAACTCCGGCTTCTTGTTGGACAGAATCTGGTAGAAGATGTGGTAGTTTCTCTCAGCTTTCAGCTGGAAGATCACCCGGGACTTCTCCAGCAGGTCTGAGGTGGGTGGAGGGGAGGAAGGCAGGTGAGGAAGGAAAGAGAGTAGAGCCAGAAAAAGGTGGCCATGGGGGCAGAGGGCAGGGGGCACCCACAGCTTGATGAAGAGGGCCAGGCGAGAAGATGTGGCTTAAATAAAAAGGATCCTAAAGCCCAGAGGCAAATGCAGACAAAACAGGAGATGGCAGGAATGATGAGACTGGCCGCCAGGCAGGGAGAGAAGGCAGAGGGGGACCTAGAGGGTGGCAGCCTCCCTGCTGGTACTCACAGGTCTCTATGTCTGCAGAAGCCAGCTTTCCAGTGGCCCCAAAGTGGATCCTAATGAATTTCCCCTGGGGACGAATGGGACAGAGTGAGGGAACTGGCGGGAAGGACAGAGTGAAATCCTGGCCCTCTGTTCAGCCCAGAAGCCCTGGATGGTTCTGGAAATGTAAACGACCTCTTTGGTGTCTCAGTTGAGTATAAGTGAAGCCGGGCAGAGGATGCCACCCTCACACACTGTGCAGGGACCTCCTAGTGGAACCTCGGCCCAGAGGGGAACACATACAGAATGCCTCCTGCTCATACCTCTCATATGATCTCACCTAATCCTCCCAGTAATCTGCAGGGTGGATATTAGTCCCCCTGTTTCACAGGTGAAGGAACTAGGGCTCAGAGAGGTGTAAGGACTTGCTGAGCAAGTGGAAAGTCAGACCTTTGGCTCCAAAGCCTATGCTCTCTTCCCACCAACGTGTGCATGTTGATATCCCAAAGCCAGATACAGTACAATCAACTGGGTGTGGCAAAACAGCACCCCCTTTTTCTTGTCAAGGCTGGATGAGGCCACTGGGAGTGGTCAAAGGCACTCACAAAGCGGGAGGAGTTGTCGTTCCGGACAGTCTTGGCATTGCCGAAGGCCTCCAGAGCGGGGTTGGCCTGGATGATCTGGTCCTCCAGGGTGCCCTATGAAAGGAGCAGAACTGCATGGGTTCATCCTCCATCCACCTCCAGGCAGTGGTGAGAGGGCAGGGAGGCTGCCCTGGCCCTGAGGAATGGGGGTGCGGGGCTGGGTGAACCGCTAGTGGGTCTGCGACTCCACAGGATCCTACCCAGACCTCAGGGTGAGTGTCTCCTGTCAGGAAGGTCTTCCATACTGGGCTGACCATCGGGAGCCCAGCTCAGTGTGGCTGTCCCCACCACGTCACAGGGAGGGGAGGGTTAGGGGTAACTCGGGTCAGCCTGCCCCCCAACCCCTGTTCTGCCGAGCCTGTGTCCCCCATGGCACCTTGTTCGCATTGGCATTGTCCTTCTTGCCACGGTCACCTATGGCTGCAATGCTGGCAAAGTACTGGATGACACGCTTGGTGTTCACAGTCTTCCCCGCCCCGGATTCTCCCCTGGGGGCCACAGAGACCAATCAAAACTCAGGATTCCTACTGTTCTCCATACAGGGCTCAGCATCACATGCTCCCCTTCCCAGCCTGGCCATCAGAGCCCAGCACCCAGCAGGATTTGCCTGACATGGTTCATTGCTCTGGCACCCCTCTAATGAGAGCTCAGTGCCCCATGCTCCCTGCAATCCCAGCCTTAAACCTCTCCTCCCAACTACACCCTAGGCATCAGCGTGTATGCCCCCAGCCCAGTCCCTTCTGTGGGAGGATGGCACTCGCTCACGTGATGAGGATGGACTGGTTCTCCCGATCTGGAAGAAAAAAGAGGAGAAGCAATGGGGTCAGGGCTGAGGATCTGGGTGGGTGTCTGGGAGGAGGAGCAGAGACCAGGGGCCACCAGGCTCACCTGTCAGCATGTACTGATAGGCGTTGTCGGAGATGGAGAAGATGTGGGGCGGGGCCTCACTCCTCTTCTTGCCCCGGTAGGCGGCCACCACCTCGGCATTGTACACCGGCAGCCACTTGTAGGGGTTGACAGTGACACAGAAGAGGCCCGAGTAGGTCTGGAGCAGGAGACAAGGCTGGGCATGAGGTTGGTGGGGAGAGCCTGGGACAGGCAGTGGTGGCAGCCAGGCATGTCCCTGTTCACTCCAGCTGGCTCTACTCCTCCTGCAGCTGACTAGGGGTGGAGGGGGGAAGGGGACTTGGGTCCCTTGGGAGTCTCTCCCCCTCTTCTTGGGAGAGCCCCCCTGGCTTATTTAGGCCTCCACGCAGCACAGGAAGCCTCTGCAGTGTGCAGGAGCCACTCACATATATCATCCAGGCCGCGTAGCGCTCCTTGAGGTTGAAAAGCACCGCGGGCTCGTGCAGGAAGGTCAGCATGGCCATGTCCTCAATCTTGTCGAACTTGGGTGGGTTCTGCTGCAACACCTGGTCCTCCTTCACAGTCACCGTCTGGAGGGGGCGCATAAGCAGGAGGATGAGTGACCACAATCCCTCCGGGACCCTTGCCAGCACTGCCCACTGACCTCCTCCCAGGACACAGGGACTTGGCCTTGCTCCCCTTGCTCTGACCAGTGCCCCGGCCCCTACCCCGATGTCCCCTGGGACACTTTCCCCAGGTAATTTCCCTTCCCATTGTATCTCCCATCCTAGAGACTGTCCTAGGGTACCTTTCTCTTGCCAGATCCCCAGACCATCCTGGGGACACCCTGTGCCCATGACCATCACTCTTCAGTCCCTATGTTCCAAGGGTCTTGGGGCAGACCTGGAGATTGGCAGCTCTCAGATCTGTGCACACCTTATGCTGACCCCGAGGCTGTCTCCCGCGGGCAGCGCTTTAGGGTATCTGTTGCTCAGGGCAAACCTTCACCCCTGCTGGAAAAGTAGTTCACCCATCTACTCCACACTCCCCATCCATCACTGTTGGTGTGGTTTGATTGGCAGCAGTCAGTTTGCCATGCCCTGATGTCATTAGATCCTGCCAGTAGGTATTCCAGTGTTTTTTATAGTGGAGAAATCCGTGGCTCTAAATGACTAAATGATTTGCCTGCACAGTGACTAGCGGGTGGCAGAGCTGGGATCAGAGTCAAAAGCCCCAGGGGATTGTGGCCTGTTATTCTACACTTCAATGGGTTGTAACATTCAGTCAACGAGTTCATGAGGCACACAGCCCTGAGCCGCAGCTGGTAACCAGGGGTGATTCTCTTGGCTGGTGTGAGCAAACCAGGGACCAGAGCTTCTGAGTGCCAGTCAAGGAGAGTGCTCAGCTCAAAAGTTTCTGATCTTTGTGTTCATCTGGGTCTAAGAATTACTCTTGATTTGGGTGAACGGAATTTGAGAAAGTGGACTCATGGAGGAAACTGAGGCACAGGGAAGAGGGATACAAGTGCAAGAAGGGGGCATCATTTAATGCTGTGTCTGTGCCCTCTTTATCTACAAGACCCCTCTTAGGCGAACACTGAGGTTCTTCTTCCTCAGCATCCTCTCTGGCAGGGGGAACATGGCCCTGGGTGGCACCTGTTGCACCAGCTCAGGTCAATTTGAGAGGGATCAGATTCTGGGCTCCTCAAAGGAGCATGTCCTGGCATCCCCACTGGCCTTGGCTTTTCTCCAGCCCTCTCAGCTCCCCCTGCAAGTGGCTCCACCTCTGCATCTTCTTTCCCAGACCTCCTTCCCTTCTGCCCCGGCGCCATGCCCTACTCACCTTCCCATTCTCGGTTTCAGCAATGACCTTGCCTCCCTCCCGGGACAAAATCTTGGCTTTGACAAACTCTTCCTTGTCATCGGGCACGAAGCACTCAGTGCGAATGTCAAAGGGCCGGGTCTGGGCCTCTAGACGCTCCTTCTCTGACTTGCGGAGGTACTGGGCCGCTGCCCCAAAGTCAGCCATCTGGGCATCGGTCATCTTGGTGCTTCCCCTGGGTCAGAGACAGGAGGGCTATGTTACTCCTGAGGGAGCCCAGGCTCCAGCGAGTGGCTTTGTCCTCTGCAGCCCCCCTCCCTACCCCCGCTCCTCTCCTCCACCCTGGGAGAGGCACCTGCTGTTGCACCCTCCCCTACTCAGGGCTCTGCTTCTCCTGCCCTCTGAGGTGATGCTGAAGGACAATCTCTGTAAGGGGTTTCCCTGGGGTGGCATTGGCTGGAGTATGCTAAGGGTTGGCGCTGAGTGCTTGGGACAGCAGACCCCTGGTCCAGCAATCCGGCTCCCAGGAGAAGCATGCCCCAGTCTCTGCAGAGAAAATGGGGGCAGTTCTCACCTGGTTATCCCTTCACGGAGAATCCTGAAGAATCTGGACCGTGGGTGGAGCAAGGAACAACAGAGGTAGAGCCGGGCAGAGAGAAGAACAGATGAGGAGAGTGAAGAACAACAGAGGCAGGCCACCCGGGGATGGAGGCAGCCCCAGAGCGCAGACAGGCAGGACAGACCAGGGAGTCAGAAAGGGAAAGACGCAGAGGCAGAAAAGAAAGGGCACCGAGTCAATATGAGTGCGAGGGACGGGGTGTGGAAACAGGGTTAGAAGCAGAGAGGCAGGGAGGTGAGAACACGTGCCAAGAAGGAAGGACAAGGGAGAGAGACAAAGAAGCATGATTGTGACAAGTGTCGATGAAGACCAAGAGGCAAGATAAAACCAGGATCAAGGGAAGGAAGCCATCCAAAGGAGGAAGGAAGATGGAAAGATGGAGACAACATGTAGGAGACTCAGAATGATGCAGAGAAAGAAATGGAGAGTCAGAGAAGGAGAAAAGAGGTTTCTGGGTTTCCTGTGGAACCTCCTTGTGTCAGGGGGAACTTCCCTGGGCCTGGAGATAGGCAGTTTTAATAGAGCCCTTAGGCCTCCAACTGACCTGCACCCCACTCCTGGTGAAGGAGGTCCCTCACGGTGGGGGCTCTGTGGACGGGCTGCAGGGCATCCCACCCCAAACCTCCTCTTACCTGGGCCGCAGGAGTCTCTCTATCTGTCCTCAAAGCTCCAGTTCCTTTATATCCCGTTTCCCCCACCCTCTGTCTAAATTTGGAGTCCTTCCGGAGGGACCCTCCCTCCCACCTCTCTCCCCTCCTGGCTCCTCCTCCTTTGATCCTTTGGCTCTGGAGGTGACAGGAGGACAGCAGGGCCCCCTGATTTGCCCAAGAAAGGTCTGCTGCCCCAGCCTCTCTGGCTCCACGGCCTTTTTTTAGTCCTTGGGCACATTCCTCCCCTTCAAAGGGCTGATGAGCAGATAGTGGGAAGACAGGACCTTCTCACACCGCCTCTCCCACCCTGCCATGGCCCTTACCTCAGTTATTTTTAACCCGAAGGGTGAACTGAAAACATGGGTGAGGGTCACCTTCTCCTGCAGGCCAAATGCCTGTCCTCCGCCTCCCAACCATGGGCTTTCCTCCCCTGTTCCCCAGCCTCTCCTTCCCATTCTGACCTCCCTCACACAGTCCCAGGCTGGGAGCATCTTCCTGCTGTTAGTACTGGAGCCCCCAGTGCTAGGGACTAAAAGCTGCAGTATGGTGCCCAGGGAAGGGATCTGTTGTCCATCTCCATGGCTCAGTTTTCTTTTGTCAGGAAATTCTGTCCTGGCCTCAGTCTGCATAAGTGCCATGCCTGGTCTCCTTCTGTTCCCCAAGTCTTCAGACAAGTGTTCTCCCAAGGTCTTGAGGCCACCCTGGTTTGGGGACACGTCTGGAGTCCCCACCCCTTCCCTAATGCTCCTGATAGAGTGGCCAACATCCAACCTGCTCACGCAATGGCAGTGATTCTCCCTGCCGCCTCAGGCAGATTTTCACACAGAACCCCAGTTCAGCACTCTCACATACAGACTTGACCGTGTCTGTGCCCATCTTCAGCCACACATGCAGATTTTTCACACTTACCCACTCAAGCTTGCAGATTTCTTTTCTACTTTCTTTTGTGTACATGGATGCACACATTTGCACATCCGCATTTGCACACATAGGCTTTTGCCCTCCCCTGCTACCCTCTGCTCCTGGGGTGGGGTGGGCAGAAGAAGATGGTGCTAATCCTAGGGCCTGAGAGAGGAGGGGGGTGGGTGAGGGGCTGTCCCCTTCTGCCTCACCGGGCTGCCAGAGGGTGCAGGTGCCTGGCAGGCCTGGGGATTTACACCATCTGGTCCCCAGGCACTGCATTCCATCGGGGTGGGGCTCTGCCACCTGCCCCCTCCCCAGGCAGAATTTTGTTGCCCCTTTCCAAGCCCTCCAGGGCTTATACTCACATTCCCTTCTTTGTGGGTGTCCTCAAGCACCCTAGGCCCTCAAGGCCCCGCTCCCCATCCTCCAATGCTGCCATCTCTCAGAGGCTGTAGGTGTCAGGTCTTCAGCAGGCTGTTCCTGTTATGACTAAGTGGACATTGTGTTCAGGAAACAAAGCCAGACTCCCCTGCTCTGGCCTTCCCCCCACCCTCACACCCAGGAACACCCTCCCAGCCCCCCTCCCACCAGTTTACTGTCACCTCTCAATATAGCTCCAGGGTGTGGAGGTGGGTAGGACGACAGGGGTCAGCTTCTCTGGGTAGGAGCACTTTCCATTAAGATGTGGCCTCTCCCCTAGCTCCCTAGGACGCTGCCACCCCATTCCTGGGCTCAGGAACACACCTCTCTTTCCAGAGCATTTGGACCTTTTCTCAATGTCCTTGGAGGGACCTTAGTTGACCCCACATCCCCATCTTCTGCAGGTGCTTATGCCAAATCATTACCCCCAGGGGATGCAGGCCACCTGTCCCCAGCTCTAGGTTACTCGAGGCCCCAGAATTCGAGCCGGGGGGTTAGCCCATGGCCAGTGCGTCACTGCTTGGTTCCCATAGCTCTGGGGACATGATAAGGAGCTGAGAACGCCAGGTCAGTCTGGGTCGGGGTCAGGTGACAAAGACCAGGCTTTGTCCTCAGGGAACCCTGTGCTCTGAGCAGGCCTCACTTGGTATAGGTGGTGGTGGCAGGGCAGCGGGGAGTGGAGGTGGTGGGGGGTAGTCCCCCGCTCCTGTGGAAGGAGGAGGAAGGAAGGTGTTCACTCAGCCCCAGGCCCTGCCCGTCTGCTCCGCTGTACCGTCCTCTCCCTTCCCCAGGCTCCTTCTCTCCCTGCTCTCACATATTGCTCTCCGTCCTCCCTAAGCTGCCTTGCACACAGCTCCTCATTCTGCTGGGAGTCCTGGAATATAAGGACAGGGATGGAGGCTTCGGCCACAGGTGAGGGTGCCAAGGAGGCAAGGCTGGCCTCCCTGGCACAGGTTGCCTGTCTTCTGCCTGGCTCCCCGTTGCATCTGTCTCTGTCTCACCTTCATTCCCTCTGCCTGCTTCTCCATCTCAGAGTGGGGCCTGCCTCCGATTCTCCCTGGCCCGTGTCTCCACCCGGCTCAGGGTCTAACATGAGGCTCTGCCCTCTCCGAGCTGGCCTCTTCTCTCGCCCTGGGCCTCCACATCTTGCTCCAGGCTCTTCCTCCTCTCCAATCTCCTTGCGCCTTCCTGACTCTCCTTGCATTTGCAAGTGACCCAGGATTCTTTCCTTCACTCGGGATCACCACCCGCAGCTCTTCAAGCTTCTCCCTCCAAGGCTCCCTCTCTTTTCCTCTCTCCCCATCCCCCTCAGCACCCCTCCTTCTCCCTGGCTTGGCTCTCAGACCTCTCTCAACCCTGCTGTCTGCATCCAGCCCCCGACCATTCTCATAGGATCTGTATCTCTTGCGGTCTCTCTTGCTCTGGTTGCTTAGGTGCCCTGGGTCTCTCTGCATAGCTCCCTTTTCAAGGGTTCTCTCCTTTGTTTCTAGTTATCTCTTCATTGCTGTCCAAGTCTGTTCCTAGCCAGAGGAATGGCCCTAGGGATCTCGGCCCAAGCCGAGGTTGTGCCACTGCACTCCAGCCTGGGCAGCAGAGTGAGACTCCGTCACAAAAACAAAAACAAAAACAAAAAGGCTGAAAGAATCCTAGAAATCACAGAGAACTGAATTACCTTGGCCTCTGGGGCTGTGTGGTTCAATTGAGCTGGATAAATGAAAAGGAAGCATCCCTGGTTTGAGGGAGCTCTGTCTGGGTTGGCCTAGGGAAGGAGAATGGAGGTGGCTATGAGGAGAAAGGTGGCGGCGCCTGCGGATCTTTCTGGGGCCTCCTCATTTCCTGCATCTTTTTTCCTTGTCTCTGTTTCCTCTGGTTACCTTGTCCTGTGGTTGCTCAATCTCTTTGTCCACTGCCACCCCCTCAGGTCTTTCCTTGTCCCCTCCCTACCCCCTTTTTCTCCTCTGCTGTCACCTGCTATTGTCCAGTACTGGTTTCTCCTTCTCCGGCTTAGGGCCCTTGGCTCTGGCTGCCGCAGTCCTCAGAGCTCCGAGCTCAGAGCTGGGTACAGAGCAGGAGTGGGCTCCGAGTGGGTATGTTGGTGGGTTGGGGGAGATCCAGTCCAGGGCTGAACCACTGCTTCCCAGGTTCCCAGTGGGGCCGACAGCCCCAGTGCCTTTCAAGCCCCTGACCTCTGTGGCCCACAGTCCCAGGCCTGCCTAAGCAACCCAGCTGTGGCAGGAACTCCAAAGGGGCTGAACTTGTTTAGTTGGAGGAGACTTACTCTTTCCTCCACCTCCTGGCCCTCTCGGGAGCCATCCCTTCCCTCCCTCTCCCCAGAGTCCTGTTCACACATAACCTTCCCCAGCCCCTCATCTGTCTGCCTCCCCTCAAGATGGCTTGCCATAAATGGGCCAGGAGAACCCCATCTTCCCACAAGCCCAGAGGACAAAGGGCTTGGTAATGGGAATTACAATGGGAAGAAATGAGTGGGAAGAAGGGAGCACCCTGGGCCAAGGGGGCTCGGCACCAGGAGGAGCTGAGGAGGACGGCAGGTGGGCTGAGGGTGTGTTTCTCCCACCTGTGGTGGGCAGGGGGTATGCTGGCTTCTGGCGGTGGCTGGAGAGGGTGGTGGCTCTATTTAAAAGGGGATGCAGGCTACAGCTGTGAATCCTTGTGTACTCTCAGAGACTCGCCTGGGACTGGCACTTAGGCAGCCATTGCCTCACCTGGCCCAGTGGTTCACACTTCTGCGGGCTCAGAAAGGGCACTGGCCAGCACCCACACCCCGAACCGCTGCCCTTTGCCCAGCCCTGGGCAGTATCCATGGTGGTGGGTGGGGCAGGGTTGACGGAAGCTGGGGTGCAGGTCCACAGTAGATGGGCTCAGGGTGCTCTAGGTGAACTTTAGGGGTCTCCCTAAATCTCCTTTAAATCCTGGCTGGACCAGGGAGAAGGCTGGGAGGAGAGGTGTCGCCTCTGCTGCATTTGGCTGGTTTGGGGGAAGTGAAAGGGGTTTTCAGTGCTGCTCCACGAAGGCCTCCTAGGCCAGGCCTTTGAATTTGCCCCCACTCCCCTGCATTTCCACCTCCCCTAGTCCAGACCCCATCCCCGGGTCCTCAGGGCAGTGAAGAAGAGTCTGGAGTCAGGATCTCGGCTTCAAGGAAAATTGCTTTATTCTGCTTCCTCCCAAGGAGCTGTTACACAGGCTCCAGCATGGGGCTTTGCTGGCACCTCCAGGGCTGAGCAGATCAAGATGTGGCAAAGCTACTCCTCATTCAAGCCCTTTTGAAAGGAAACAAAGTCCAATCAGTCCTTGGAGAGATGGTATTGGGCAGGGACAGGGCATGGGAACAAAGGTGAGAGGGGTCTGATGGTGGGGGGCCTGCTTTGTGGGCAGGTGGAAGCCCCTGTGGCAGCAGCACATGTGTTTCCAGGGATCGATGTTCGGGGGGCAAGTTCTGGAGGGTAGGGTTCTGGGGTTGGTCAGAGGGAAGTTGCCTGGGCGAGAACAAAGCCAGGCCCGGGTTCTCTGGGATGTCCATTTTAGGTTTGAGTTACAAGATTGCAGGACAAAATTAGGTGGAAGGGAACTGGAAACTAGCAGTTGGGGGGAAACTGGGATATACTGGTTGTATATAAATTAGGGTCTTCTAGGGTGGCACCCCTCCCTAAGGCTGAAATTCCCAGAACCACTGAAACTTAGAGCTGAGCTGGGAGTGGTGGCTCACGCCTGTAATCCCGTACTTTGGGAGGCTGAGGCGAGTGGATCACAAGGTCAGGAGTTCAAGACCAGCCTGGCCAACATGGTGAAACCGCATCTCTACTAAAATATAAAAATTAGCTAGACATGGTAGCACATGCCTATAATCCCAGCTACTTGGGAGGCTGAGGCAGGAGAACCCAGGAGGCAGAGGTTGCAGTGAGCTGAGATTGTGCCACTGCACTCCAGCCTGGGCGGCAGAGTGAGACACCGTCTCAAAAAAAAAAAAAAAAAAAGTTAGAGCTGGAAGAATCCTTGAAATCACAGAGAACTGCATTACCTTGGCCTCTGGGGCCATGTGGCTCAAGTGTGTGGAATAAATGAAAAGGAAGCATCCCGGGTTTGAGGGTGCTCTGTCTGGGTATGCCTGCTGTGGGGGTGACTAGCAAAGCCCAAAAGAGGGACCCACCTTCGTGCCAATGTCACGGCTCTTGGCCCGCAGCTTGTTGACCTGGGACTCGGCGATGTCCGCCCGCTCCTCTGCCTCATCCAGCTCGTGCTGCACCTTGCGGAACTTGGACAGGTTGGTGTTGGCTTGCTCCTCCTGCGGGAGGTGGGAGCATGAGGTGAGAGGGGGCCTGGGTTCTCAGACTCCTGGCTTGGGGGACGAGCTCTCCTATGCCTCCCCTGGGCCTAGTCCCCAGCAGGGTCACTCACCGCCTCCTCGGCCTGGCGCTTGTAGGCCTTGACCTTTAGCTGCAGCTTGTCTACCAGGTCCTGCAGCCGCAGCAGGTTTTTCCTGTCCTCCTCCGTCTGGGGGCCAGAGGGTAGGCAGGGGGTGAAGATGGCACAGTCATAGAAGGTAGCATCCCCTCCGCCCTGCCCTGCTTCATCTGATATCCTGACCCAATTCTACTTTCTGATCCTCACTAAACACTTGAATTCTCCTTATAATTTCTTACCAAATATGTGTAAATATTTTAAATGATCTGTACCAGGAAAGAGTCCAAAGAACTAGTGGGACTCCTGAAATTATGCACAAAATTGTGTGTGTGCAGTGCTCCAGGGAGCAGGTTTTTCAGGGTCCGGGGACCCCATGCGGGATGAAGTCCCCTGCTCTGGACCTCGGCACATGCTGGGAGTGACTTTGGGGCTATGAGTGTGATGGAATTTCCTGGGCTGCAATGCAGGCCAGGAAAACACTGACTTAATCTAAGTTAAGGACAAAGTGTGCTTAGAGAGATAGTGACATCCTGGATTGGAAAAGAAACAAATTCTAATTCAGAGTCTGATTCTAGAAAACACCTCAGAAAGCTAGAGTCCACACTGCCCTGGGCAATGAAAAAGTTTTTATGCTTGTTTGAATGGGATGGGTGTGTTTTTGGTGTCTTTTGGGGGTGACCCTGGCTACATATTTGCTTTCTGGTGAGCTGTACTGGGTGAGCTTTGTCTGGAATTCTGTGTGTGTCCCCTGGCGATGGGCTAAGAGTGGGTGTTGAGATGGAGCTCCCAGGCCAGGAGGCTCAGAGACTGACCTCTGAGCTAGGGGACATTCAGAGTGGGGCAGGGCTAGGCAAAGTGAAACGGGGGCTGCATTCCCATCCTCGCCCTGGAAGAGGCTAAGAGCAAACTCTTCATTCTCCTCAGCTGGTTGTCACTGTGGCTATGGTGCCAGGGCTCTGCCTGGAGTCACCGCCCGTCGCACCTGGTAGGTGAGCTCCTTGATGCGCCGCTCGCTCTTCCTCATGCCCTTCACCGACTCTGCGTTGCGCTTCTGCTCGGCCTCCAGCTCATTCTCCAGCTCCCGCACCCGCGCTTCCAGCTTCTGCAGCTGCTTCTTGCCGCCCTTGAGGGCGATCTGCTCGGCTTCGTCCAGCCGGTGCTGCAGGTCCTTAATGGTCTGTTCCATGTTCTTCTTCATGCGCTCCAGGTGGGCGCTGGTGTCCTGCTCCTTCTTCAGCTCCTCTGCCATCATGGCGGCCTGTGTGCAGGAGAGAGGTGGCACATGGTCTGGTCAAGTCCTCACACACTTGCTGCCCAGCCCACGGAGAGACACTGGTCTGGATCGGGTCGGTGGAGTGGGGGACTTACATCCGTGATGGCCTTCTTGGCCTTCTCCTCAGCATTCCTGCACTCCTGCACTGCCTCCTCCACTTCAGTCTGGAGCTGGGACAGGTCAGCATCCATCTTCTTCTTCTGGTTGATGAGGCTGGTGTTCTGGGTTGGGGGAGGGTTGGGCAGAGCAGGAAAAGCATTGAGCATCTATGCATAGCTCTCAAGCCTTGCTTGCTGAGCCCCAGCCTGTGCTCCCTTCAGGAATGAGCAGGGGAGCTGCTCACCTGGGAATGCAGCAGCTGCACCCGCTCACTAGTCTCAATCAGCTCCTGCTCCGCCAGCTTCCGGGACCGCTCTGTCTGCTCCACCACGGCACGCAACTCCTCCAGCTCAGCCTGCAGCAGGTTGTTGCGCCGCTCCACGATGGCGATGTTCTCCTTCAGGTCGTCGTTGGCACGGACTGCATCGTCCAGCTGAATCTGGGTGTCCTGAGGATCAGGAGAGTGGGCATGAGCAGGGAGCCAGCCTCGGTTCCCTTCACTAAAGGCACCTGTCAGAGGTCCCTGCAGTAACCTAGGGGCAGGAGGAATCTGGTGCCTGTATCAAGACACTACTGCTTCGCCAGGCCACGTGGAGGCCAGTCCCCTCTGGGTGAGTACCTTCAACAAGCTCTGGAGGCTCTTGACTTGCTTCTGGGCCTCGGCGGCCATGCGGTTGGCGTGGCTGAGCTGGATCTCCATCTCATTGAGGTCTCCTTCCATCTTCTTCTTCACCCTCAGGGCCTCGTTGCGGCTGCGTGTCTCTGCGTCCAGGGAGGTCTGCAGCGAGTCCACCACCCGCAGGTGGTTGCGCTTGGCCTGTTCCATCTCCTCGTCCTTCTCTGCCAGCTTCCGCTCGATCTCTGCCTTGATCTGGTTGAACTCCAGCTGGGCCCGGAGGATCTTGCCCTCCTCGTGCTCCAGGGAGGCCTGGGAAGGGGTTGGGGGAGGGGATGCAGGCAGACAGTCAGGGCACAGGGCAGGGTGGGGGCCTGCTCACTAATCATGGATACGAAGTGACTTCAAGAGTGGTGTAAGTGGTTCAAAGAAGCAGAAGGTGGAGGAAAAGAGAATCTAAGAGAAAATAAAAATAAGCCTAAGAGAAAGTGATTCAGGCCCTCACAGGGGAGAGCCAGCTATGAAGACAAGGAGGAAAATGAAGAGAAAAGTGTTGCCAAGGAAACAGAGGCAATCAGGTATAGAGTATAAAAGAAAACAGAGGGAGGCAGAGGTGGGAACCGGGAGGTATGTGGAAATGGGAAGCTCAGCTAAGATGCAATGGGTAAAATGTTTATGTGAAGAGAGTTCAGTGACTGGTCATTCATTCACTCCACAAATCTTCACTGAATGCCTACTATGTGCCAGGCTCTGTCCTAGGCTCTGGGGATGGGACAGTGAACAAAACGGACAAAGCGGGGGATGAGAACAGGGACCAAAAGCCTGGAGCTCAGCTCCCTGCACCCCGTGCCCTGCACACACACACACCTCGGCCTCCTCCAGGGCTGACTGCAGCTCCATCTTCTCGGCCTCCAGCTGCTTTCGGACCTTCTCCAGCTCATGGATAGTCTTTCCGCTGGAACCCAACTGCTCAGTCAAGTCGGAGATCTCCTCTGTGTGGGGAACACGGTAACTCGGTTGAGGGCTGCTGAGGTCCAGTGGAGTTGGAGGGACACGCCTCTTTGCCCAGACGCCTCTTGGAGCCCTTGGGTGGCACCATATGGGAACACTGCCAGTGCAGCCCCTCCCCAGCCTCTTGGGCCCCCAGCACACCCTGCAGGTTTTTGTTCTCCCGCTTGAAGGTCTCCAGATGTTCCAGGGACTCCTCATAGGCGTTCTTGAGTTTGAAGAGCTCTGTGCTGAGGGAGCGAGCCTCCTTCTGCGAGGACTCCAGCTCCGACTGCGACTCCTCATACTTCTGCTTCCACTCGGCCAGGATCTGCCCGGGGACAAGGCTCACTCTTCAGCCCCCCAGCCTCAGCCCCATGTCCAGGGTCTGTCTCAGGACCTGCCTGGGCTCAGCCCTCCTCCCCCACCTCCAAGGAGGATGGCTCTGGCCTCTCACTGAACCCCTCATGCCCCCTTGCCCTGCATGCTGGCTGCGGCCCCCACCCAGGGCCCACCTTGTCGAAGTTCCTCTGCTTCTTGTCCAGGGCTGCAGCAGCAGCATTGGAGCGCTCTACGTCCACCATCAAGTCCTCGATCTCATTCTGTAGCCGGTGCTTGGTCTTCTCCAGCGAGGAGCACTTGGCATTAACAGCCTCCACGGCCTCCTCAGCTTCCTGCAGCCGCTGGGCCAGCTTCTTCCTGCCCAGGGGAGGGTGGCAGAGGGTGGGGAGGATGGAGGGTGTGGATGGGGACAAGAGGAAACAACATGAACCTTCTCAAAGACAATCCTTGAAACCTCAGAAGTGTAGCTGGAGAAGCCTGAGGACAGGTCCCAGGGGCCGAGAACATCAGGCAGAGGATCCCAGCAGGGCGTGGAGACCCAGGCACCCTCTGACCCTGGCCCAGCCTCTGCGCTATGGACATTGAGGAGGTATGGGCTTCTGCAGCCCTCCCCACTGCCTTTCCCTGCCACAGTGCCCTGCCCCAGACGGAAGCACTCTGCCCTCAGACAAACCTTTTGTTCGTCTTATATTCGGATCAGAAACATAATTCGAGCAAAAAGCTTCCCTGAGAGGAGAAGGAGGTGGGGCCGGGGCAGAGTCCTCCTGTGTTGTCAAACACTAGCTAAGCATCGCCTGTGTGGGATCTGCTGAGGCTGGGGCTGGGCTGAGTCCTGCCTGCAAAGGGGCCTCAGCCAGAAGTCAGGCTGCTCAGAACTCACTTGGCCTCCTCGAGCTCCTCAGTCCGCTGAATGGCGTCCGTCTCATACTTGGTCCTCCACTGGGCCACCTCCGAGTTGGCCTTGGAAAGGACGCGCTGCAGCTCGGCCTTGGCCTCCGTCTCCTCCTCGTACTGCTCCCGCAGCAGGTCGCAGTCATGCCGGGCCGACTGCAGTGCGTGGGCCAGGGCGTTCTTCGCCTGGGGAGGGGTGGGCACCAGGAGGTGGGTTCAGCTTTCTCCATAAAGCAACCCCACCCTTGCCCTTCTCCTCACCCCAATCTCAACATCATCCCTTGGCCTCATCTATGTCCAAACCCCCAGTGGACCTGTCATGGTTTACTGTTTGCTGATAACAAAGAATGCCAATACAGCAGTGAACTATTTAAGAAAAGCTTCATGGCCATTGGCCCTGAGCTCCTCCCCACACCAGACATGGTCATCATCACCGCCATTTTACCTGGCTGGGGAGAGGGAAACAGGCTCAGAAAGGTTAGGGGACTTCCCTAACCTAAGATCACTGAGCTATAAGAGGCAGGTTAGTATGAACCCTGGAGTTTTTTAAAAATCATGTTCTTTCTCCTTTTTCATGAGTCCAGCAAAGTGCTAGGAATAGGCTCCAGTTGAATTTCTTTCTCCAGTTTTCAGGTGGCCCTGCAAATCCCAGGACCCATTTGTGCAGTCCCTACATCCCCTAGCCGTGCCCGGGCAAGGCCATCTCGTGCCTCCCTAGTTCATTTTCTCTCCTCCTTCTCACACCCTGCCTCCCGTCCAGGGATGCAGCAGAAGCAGAGGGCCTCAGCCTGGGGAGTAGATGGCATGTGGCAGGGTTTGGGCTGTGATTTCTTTTTAGAATTCTTGGAGAACTGTTGGTCCACAGCCAGCCTTATTGCTGGGAAGGGAAGTGATTTGATGCAAGGCTAGTCAGTGTGCTCCTTGCTTGGGCCAGGTGGCCCGAGTCTAGCCCTTACCTTAACCTCCTCCTCCAGCTGCCTCTTGAGGTCCTCCAGCTGCTGGGTGTAGGTGAGCTTGCCTCGGGTCAGCTGGGAGATCAGTGCCTCCTTCTCATCCAGCTGCCGGGACAGCTCACCTGGGGAAGCACCATTCTAGATCAGCACTCCTCTCTATCCCCACCTCCTCCTCTAGCCCTCAGGCCCCATTTTCTGGAGAGACTCTGTGTCTGTGTGTGCGTGTATTGGCTTGTGCCCGAGGCTGGAGTGGCTCAGGAGGTTGGGGAGACTGTGGTGGGAACCATGGAGCCCCTGCTCTAGGCTCACCATTCTCGGTTTGCAACTTGGCCCGCTGGCTGGTGAGGTCGTTGACAGAACGCTGGGTCTCCTCCGCCTTGCTCCGGTGCTCATTCATCTGGTCTTCCAAGGTCCGGCACATCTTCTCCAGGTTAGCCTGAGAAGGGAAGGAGAGTTATATGATGGATGTTGGGGGCGGGGGGAATGAAGGGGTGTAAGAGGTGCAACTGAAGGAGAAAAGAAGAGGGAAGGTGTGAAAAGAAGGAGGGGATCTGAGAACCAGGCAGAGGAAGGGAAGTGGGAAAATGAACCATGAAGGAAGAGACACTACATGGACAGAAAGGGGAGGTGGGAGGAGGAAGTTGGAGGAGGGGAGGCCGAGCAGAGCCTGCCTTGGCCTTGATGATCTGCTCCATGTTGGAGGTGACGTCATCCAGCTCCAGCTTGAACTCGCTCTTCTCCTTCTCCAGCTTCTGCTTCACCCGCTGCAGGTTGTCGATCTGCTCGCCCAGCTCGGCCACGCTGTCGGCGTGCTTCTTGCGCAGGGCCGCGGCAGTGGCCTCGTGCTGCAGCGTGGCCTCCTCCAGGTCCCGCCGCATCTTCTGGAACTCGGCCTCGCGCTTCTTGTTCATCTCGATCTGCACGGACGTGGCCCCGCCGGCCTCTTCCAGCCGCTCGCTGATCTCCTCCAGCTCCCGAGACAGGTCTGAGCGCAGCTTCTCCACCTTAGCCCTGGCGGTGCGCTCGGCCTCCAGCTCCTCCTCCAGCTCCTCGATGCGTGCCTGGTCAGACACAAAGGGCTCAGACCCACCGCCTGGACCCCTCCACTGGAATCCCCCCGGCTCTAAAAGGCTCTCGGCTTCTCTGGAACAGCAAGTCAGTTTAGCTCTTCCAGTGGAGAGGTGGGAATTAAAGGATTTGGGGAAGATAGTTTGAAGAGCCTTCCTTTAGGCGAGGGCCTGACAGTCTACATGCTCTTTATTGGAAGGAAAGTGGTTGAAACTTGCTCTTAAAGATGGACAAAGAGACCTGTGTTCTGGGGATATTTTAAGCAGTTTAGTCATAAAAAAATAACAAAAGTTGAAAATGAGAGAGCCGTATTTGTCTGACCAGACAACTAAAGACCTAACACAGCTTCTGCTCTAGAGTAAGGAGGAAAGTCATGCCATCAGAGTCGAAGGACTCTTAAAAACCTCCATGTAACAGGGGAGGGCATGGAGACCCAGAGATCTGGAGTGGGCTCCCAGAGGTCACCCAACTAAGGCAGAGCTGAGACAGGAAGCCAGGAATTCTGCCCTCCAGGCCTGTGACCTTTTCAGGGTCTCTGTGGATCACCTGACCCCTTTTGGATGTATCCATGGGCACACTGTGATAGCTGCGTGCCTGCCTCCATGGACACATAATCAGTTCCTGTAATGCTGTGAACAGGACACCCTAGAGGAGGGGGCAGGGGAAACAGAACCAGCCCAGGGACTCAGCATCCCGCGTGGGTGTCCAGACCTCACCTGAAGCTCCTTGAGCTTCTTCTGCAGCTGGCTGCCGAGGGCCTGTTCATCCTCAATCCTTGCGTTGAGAGCATTCAGCTCAAAGTCTTTTCTGTGGGGAAGGAGGGATGGTGAGGTAAGGGAGACTCGTGGGGCCTCAGGAGGGTCCACCAGTGGTTGAAAATGGTAATGATACAGGTAAAGAGTAGGATTTCATTAGAAAAACAGCTTCTGGGGGTGATGTAGGATCCCTGGAAGTGTAACACCTGCGGTGAGATTGAAATCCAACAAGAATGTAATGGGAGGAGTGCTGTAGACAGGGTGATGGGGCCTGGGCTCTACAGGACATTCCCATCTTTGGTCCTTGTTTTCTCATAATGTAAAATGAGGGGGTCGGACTAGATTGTTTCAAAGGTCCTTTTTAGCTCTGATGGTCTTTAATTTTGTCACTATTGCTTTGGGTAACTCAGCTAACCTTTCTGAAACTTATTTTCCTCTTTGGTAAAGTGAAATTAAAGATACCATCCTTAAAAGGTGTTTTGAGAATCAAATAGGATCGTGTATTTATTCATTTATTCAACACATTCTGTGCCTGGGAAGGTATGAAGATTCCTGTGCAAACACAAACTTGATGAGGATGTAGATTATGATGATTCTCAAAGCCTTTCAAAGTCCTGAGCCTGAAACACCATAAGACCTTCAATTATCAAAATATGTTCTGCAAGCTCACTGTTTACCAAGTCTGGAAAGTCTATACATTTTGGAAGAACTTACACTAAGAATTGGAACCACAAGTTAAGCAAAACAAAGAAATGGCCCTGATCCCCTGACTTCTTTAATGTGAGGGCATTTCTTGGTGCCCTGTGGGCTCTCTGTGAAAAGCCACAAAGGGACTTTCCTAAGAGGCTCTCATGTGGAGCCTTCCTCCATGTCAAGGAACTGGTCTCCAAAGAGAGATGTGTATGAAGGGGGAAGGCTGTTATTTTCATTCCCACTGAGTGCCTAACAAGAAGAAAGGACTCATGGGATACAATGGACTTTTTGCCAGGGAGGACCATCTAACTAACCCTGATATCTGGGACTAGGGGAGGAAAGCCCTTGCCTGGGAGGCCTTTTCCCATGGTTTGCGCCTCCACTTGTGGAGGCTGCGTGAGGTTGTTGCCTCAGAGGATGGCTGTCTTGGGTCTGCTTGTACTGTTATGGGCTGGGGAGGAGGAAGGGCAGCAGGGAGGGGACACAGTACTTTTTCAGCCGCTCATCCAGCTGCTGCTTGTCATTCTCCAGGTCCATGATGCTCTCCTGGGTCAGCTTCAGGTCGCCCTCCAGCTTCCGCTTCGCTCGCTCCAGGTCCATGCGCACCTTCTTCTCTTGCTCCAGGGATCCTTCCAGCTGGTAGAGAGAAGGAGCCAGGCCCAGTGAGGCAAAGCATCCTGACTTGGTGATTTTGTTGTTCAGTTACCTCAGGACTTGGTAAATCTTTGTGTTCAGGACTTGGGAAACCTTCCCCAGAGTGGGCCAAATGTTATTAGGGGACTGTGAGATTGCCTAGATATAGGGGATGCTGAATCAATATTTTATAGATAAAGGAATAAATGACTGTGGGATGAAACCCCAAAGCCGTATTCTTTCTTTCTTTCCCTTTCTTTCTTTCTTTCTTTCTCTCCTTTCTTTCTCTCCTTCCTTCCTTCCTTCCTCCTTTTTTTTTTTTTTTTTTTTATGGAGTCTCACTCTGTCGCCAGGCTGGAGTGCAGTGGCGCGATCTCGGCTCACTGCAACCTCCGCCTCCCTGGTTCAAGGGATTATTCTGCCTCAGCCTCCTGAGTAGCTGGGACTACAGGCGCACGCCACCACATCCAGCTAATTTTTGTATTTTTAGTAGAGATGGGGTTTCACCATATTGGCCAGGATGGTCTCGATCTCTTGACCTCGTGATCCACCCGCCTTGGCCTCCCAAAGTGCTGGGATTACAGGTGTGAGCCACCGCGGCTGGCCGCCGTATTCATTCTTTCAGCATCCTATAAACACCTACTGGGCATCAGGCTCTGTGCTAAGCACTGCAGTCCCCAAATTGAATAGATCTAAGTTCCTATCTAAAGGAAGCTTGTAGTCTTATGGCTGAGATAGAAGCTTAAATAATTAAAATACAGAGTGATAAGTGAGTCAACAGACATATGTGCATCAGAGGGAACAATGATCAGATTCTGCCTTAAATATTGGAATTTCAAAAATTCTACTTGGGGAGCCTCACAAAATTTCCAAAGAAATTTATCATGTTCTTATGAGATGACCCTCTAAATCTTGTGTCAAAGGCAGAGATATATGGGATTGCACTTAAATTAAATAAGAAAACTCATCTCTATTATTGATCATACCAGTGAGATTAGATACATAATTCAGAATTGATCACCACCTCTGACTTTTCATTCCCCAGCTCCTTTCTAGAAAGATATCAGAAAAGTTAACATCCTCTAACCCTACCCCCCTCTAAACATAAACACAAACACACACACACACACACACACACACACACACACACACACACACACACACAGAGCTCTGGGCACAGATAGACATGGCATATCTAGGCCCCACAACTCTCAATCTACTCACATCATCCACTTGCTGCTCCAGCTTGACTTTGGCCTTAGTCAGGGTGTTGACCTTGTCCTCCTCGGCCTGAAGGTCATCCAGAGCCTGTTGGTGGGCCTCTTGCAGAGCTTTCTTCTCCTTGGTCAGCTTGGCAATGATCTCATCCAGCCCAGCCATCTCCTCTGTCAGGTTTTTCACCTGCCGACCAAGAATCCCATCTCCTTTAGGGTCAAAGGTCACCAGCTTGGTGCCATCTGTGGGGAGCTCCATGTCAAGGTCCATGCTGCTCTCTGGATGCCGAGTGGCTAGCCTGGGTCAAGGTCAGTATGGTCTGAGAGTCCTGATGAGACCCGGGCTGGAGCCAAAGGGAGCTGCCCTTACCTTGTTCTCTGTTGCGTGTTTCTCCTTCTCCACTTTGGCCAGTGTCAGCTCCAGATCATCGATGTCCCTTTTGAGCTCTGAGCACTCATCTTCCAGCTTGCGCTTCTTGGCAGTGAGCTCAGCATTCATCTCCTCCTCATCCTCCAGCCTCTCGTTCATCTCCTTCACCTTGGCCTCCAGCTGAATCTTGTTTTTGATCAGCTGATCACAGCGCTCCTCAGCATCTGCCAGGTTGTCTTGTTCCTGAAGGTGAGGAACAGAGGGGAGGCTGTTCAGGGGGTAAGGTCCTCATTCTTGCAGGTAGAGGGAAGGAGAGGCACATCACTCAAATAGGAGGGTAACTCTAGGATATCCCCACTTGGCAAGAGCTTCAGAAGTATGGGGAGGGGAAGAGTTTCAGGATAGTATAACTTGGGAACACTGGGGAGGGGAGCAGAGAGGAAAGGAACCAGAAATCTTCATCTGGACCTCTTCCTCTGGTCTCCTCCATCGAAGGGTGGGAATTGCATTTGCTGATGCCAAGCACTTATGTATGATGGCTTAATGAAATGGACAGCTTTATTCCCTGTCTAGAGGAAATTGAGGCTCAAAGATGATGCATGGTCTGCCCAAGGTCACAAAATAATTAAGCTGTGTATCTAGGTTGAACCCAAGTAGAAAGCCTGTGCTTTTAAAAGTCAGCTCTTTTCCCTCTGCCCTTTCCTCCTCCTGAGGGACCTCTTTGGAGGTCTTTAGAAGTGTTGATCCCAGAGTCCTCTGACTGAAGGAACAAGACAGTGAGCCCCTGTGCAGGGAGGTGCAGGGTTGTGGGAAGTGAAGGCAGAGCAGGGTGGAAGAGCCAACAGTAGCCCAGGAGCCTCACCGCCTGCACTTGGAGCTGCAGGTCATTCTTCTCCTGCAGCAGGGACACCATCTTCTCCTCCAGCTCCTTGCGGCGAGCCTCGGACTTCTCTAGCGCCTCTTTGAGGCGTGTGAACTCCTCCTTCATGGAGGCCATCTCCTTCTCTCTTTCTGCACTCTTCAGCAGCGGCTTGATCTTGAAGTAGAGCTTCATCCAGGGCCAATTCTTGACCCCCATGAAGGCCCGAATGTTCCACTGGATTACCAGCAGGGAGTCTCTGCAGGGGCCCATTGAAAGGAGTGCTGAGCCTCCTGCCTCCTTCCTACCTGAGGTCCTGAAACCTTGGGAATATCCCATTTCCTTCATCCCTCCCACCCTTCCTGAGGCCTCTGACCCTGTGACTGCAGTGTGTTCATATGAGCCCCTCCTGCAGGTCTCTGTGTTTGAAGATCTGCTGAGCTTTTTTTCCTGACACTGCCCCTGAACCAGCCTGGGCCTCAGAGAAGCGGGAAACCTCCTCTTGAGATCTCTCACCTACGTTCCAGCAGCTTTTTGTACTCCATTCTGGCGAGCACACCTCGGGACTGGGCCTGGATACGCGTGATGATGCGGCTCAGCCTCTCGTCCCTCATTTCCTCCAGCAGCCCCAGCAGCCCGGCCTTGAAGAACACCTGCAGGCAAGGTGTGTGTTGGCCATGACTAGGGAGGGGTACGAGGGAAAGAGATGGTGGGGATTACCTTAGGAAGGGTAACAGCCTAGAAAAGGATTGCAGGGAGGAGGTCAATGGCAGCTGGAGCTGGGATGAGGGGAGTGGTGCTAGATGTTCCACTGGGAGGGGTAGCATACAGGTAAGAGATTTTGCTAAGATGATTACAACAGGAAAAGCATCAGAGGAGTCAATGGAAAAGAGATGTCTTCCTTTAATTAATTAGTCTCCTTTCCTCACCTTGGTGTGGCCAAACTTGTACTGGTTGTGATCAATGTCCAGGGAGCTGAGCAGCTTCTCTGCCCCCTTCCTGCTATCAATGAACTGTCCCTCAGGGATGGCCGCTGGGTTCAGGATGCGATACCTGAGGAGGGAAGTGTCCAGAGTCACCCATGCTCTGCAGTGATCTGCTCTGCCCATAGAATTCCAGGGTCACCTGCAGATCCCATTCCCATCAGGGCAGCCTGGCTCCCCCTGTTCTATGAGCTCTGGTGCACCCTCATACCCACCTCTGCCGGAAGTCCCCGTAGAGGATGCGGTTGGGGAAGCCTTTCCTGCAGATGCGGATGCCCTCCAGCACACCATTGCAGCGCAGCTGGTGCATGACCAGGGGGTTGTCCATCACCCCTGTGGCAAGAAGGAAGTAGGAGGAGTCTGTGAGAACACTGGACTGAAGTTCTGGGTTCTGATCCTGGCTTTGTCACTGATTAGCTTGTAATCTTAGCAAGTCAGTTAGTAATAATCATTTGTTTCATTTTCTTCTAGCCACATTTTTAACTAAAAGGCTTTCACATTCCTTTTTTATATGATTCACACCTATTATCATAGGTGGTAGCCAGAACAGATATATCCAATGTTCTAGATGAGTAAATTAAGCCCAGAGGGGTTATGGGACTGGCCCAAGTTCACTAAGCTGATCAAGAACAGAGCCAGGTCTTGAACCCAGGTCCCTGAGCCTCTGTCTCCTAATTAGCCAAAAATGGATTAACAATTTGAATATGTCTCATTGGGGGATTAAGTGGTTCTGCAGGTAAATTTAAAGTTGAACTAAGATTCTGTCTTGGACAACCAGCTATCCAAGGGGTTGTAGGGCCACTGATGAGGTAATGTCCATCAGAGTGCCTTACACATCACCCTCATTACACACTGCAAGTGCAAGGTAGCGCTGAGAGGGAGGTACCCTGGGAGGCCTCATGCGGGATGGGAGGAGAAGAATGTGGTTTGGAAACCACTGTGGTGGTAGGTAGGGAGATGTCCTAGGAGGTCCTGTTCCCAGGGCGGTGTATGCCCAGCAGTGGGTTGGCCTGAGTTTGTGGCCTCACCTGGAGACTTTGTCTCATTAGGGATGATACAACGTACAAAGTGGGGATGGGTGGAGCGCAAGTTGGTCATCAGCTTGTTCAGATTTTCCTGTGGCCAAAAATGCAATAGAGAAAAGTAAAGAAAATGCCAGAAAGAGATGCAGGAAGAAGAGAGGAGAAGAAGGAAGGAAAAGAGAGATGGAGAGAATTCGAGAAGTCACAGAGATGAAGGGGCCCTGGGGGCAGACAGGGATAAGGAGAGAGGGTGGGAGACAGAAGGGAAAGAGGAGAGAAGGGAGATGGGAAGTAAATAAGTGAAGAGGCCAGGAGATGACGGGAAGAGAAGACAGAGTGAAAATGGTCCCGAATGCACCAAGGAGACAGGGAACGGGAGGAGTAGGGGATGAACAAGGCAGGGAAGGGTGGGGCTGGGTGGGGTTGGGCAGATGGGGAGCCAAGTTGGCTGGGGCTGTGTCCCACTCACCCTGTGCAGAGCTGACACAGTCTGAAAGGACGAGCCTTTCTTGGCCTTGCCTTTGCCCTTCTCAATAGCTGCAGGAAGGAGAGTCAACAAAAGAAGCATCAGTGTGGGGAGGTAGGGTGTGAGTAAAGAATCACAGCCCCTCTTTACATCCTTGCTGGCATTTGGCCCCTGGGTGAGGGCCTTCAATGTGGCTGCCTCAGTTTCTTCACCCAGTTCCATCCCACTGAGTCTGTAAACCTTGGGGTACAACCTGACATTGAAGTGGTGGGGTGTAGCAATTGACCTGGCTCAGAACCTTGGCAGAATCCCTGCTCCTCTGTACCGGGAGCCTCAGTCCCTACTTACGCGCATCAGCCCCAGCATAGTTGGCAAACAGGGTGCTGAGCAGCTTGAGGGAAGACTTCTGATACAAGCCCACGACAGTCTCATTGAGAGGATCCTTGTTCTTCTGCAGCCAGCCAATGATGTTGTAGTCCACGATGCCGGCATAGTGGATCAGGGAGAAGTGGGCTTCAGGCTTCCCCTTGATATTGCGTGGCTTCTGGAAGTTGGCGGATTTGCCCAGGTGGTTGTCAAACAGCTTGGCCTTGAAGGTCATGTCGGTGGCCTTGGGGAACATGCACTCCTCTTCCAGGATGGACATGATGCCCATGGGCTGAGGAAGCAGGAGAGAGCATCACTGAGTGTCCTTCACACAGGTGGACATGGATTCTGCTCTATGGTCAATATACTTGCTCGTGGAGGTGCCATGTTGGGTGTTAAGGTAGTAGGCTCAGCTCTGAGTACAGTTATCTACTGACTGGAACCGGTTCAAGGTGGAGGATTTTGTCTGATGACAGAAGGACCTTTGTGAAAGTCTGGGAATATGGATTCTATCGATGCTGTACACACCACTCCACGACCCAGATGCCTGAGATGCTAGGGTTGAAAATAGGTGCACTCTTATGATCCCCTACACCACCCTCACACTTCCTGATCCTTGGATGCATAAACCAGGCCCAATAAACATGCAGGTGTGGGAGGTCATCATGCAGGTGCCCATCCTCCATGTGTCCACTTTCAAGCCCCTGGGAAATCAGCTGTCCCTGGTGCCACCCTGTCCTGGGTGCTCAGCACAACATAGGCTCTGGAACCAAGGGCTCGGATCCTTCAGCCCCTTCTATTTTTATATTCCCCAGAAGGGAGAGGGGCTGCTATTTTGTCTATGGTGTTCTTGTTGGGTGTGCAGGGAGAATTCAGGTGGTAAGGCCAAAGAGGCACCTTCTCGATGAGGTCAATGCAGGCCTGCAGGTCCATGCCAAAGTCAATGAATGTCCACTCGATGCCCTCCTTCTTGTACTCCTCCTGCTCCAGCACAAACATGTGGTGGTTGAAGAACTGCTGCAGCTTCTCGTTGGTGAAGTTGATGCAGAGCTGCTCAAAGCTGTTGAACTGCAGGGGGCATGAGGGGTGGGAGCAGTCAGAAAGTGGGTGTGAGTGGCCATTGGGGCTGTGCCCGTCCACTGTGCCTGAGCCCAGCAGGGCGTGGCTGGTCCCCTCCATGTCAAGGCAGTGAAGGAGGGCTTCCCCTGAAGACAGAGAAAATGACTGCCTCTGTCACCACACAGTCCCCACTGCCTTCCCATGTCTGGTCCACAGCTGGCTCTAAGCAAATAGCTGTTGAATGTGGGAGCGAGTGAGTGATTGTTCTCCCACTCCCAGGGGTCCCAACTCACATCGAAGATCTCGAAGCCAGCGATGTCCAGGACTCCTATGAAGTACTGGCGTGGCTGCTTGGTCTCCAGGGTGGCATTGATGCGCGTCACCATCCAGTTGAACATCCTCTCATACACTGCCTTGGCCAGTGCCCCAGTGGCATATATCACCTGCAAGGTGGAGGAGAGACCCATATTGAGCAGGGTTGTTGGGAAGAGTGAACTTGAAAACTCTCATCCCACCATGCCAGTCTCCCTACCCTGCCCACCCATTATCATCTGAAGATGGACCCACCTGCTGGACATTCTGCCCCTTGGTGACGTACTCATTGCCCACTTTCACCCGAGGGTGGCACAGCCCCTTGAGCAGGTCGGCTGAGTTCAGCCCCATGAGGTAGGCAGACTTGTCAGCCTCTGGAAGGAAAAGGCAAGTAGCAAAGTTGGTAAAGAGATGACTGCTGGCCAGGTGTGGTGGTTCATGCCTGTAATCCCAGCACTTTGGGAGGCCAAGGCAGGCGGATCACTTGAGGTCAGGAGTTTGAGACCAACCTGGCCAACATGATGAAACCCCATCTCTACTAAAAATACAAAAATTAGCCAGGCATGGTGGTGCATGCCTGTAATTCCAGCTACTCGGGAGGCTGAGGCAGGAGAATCACTTGAACCCAGGATGTGGAGGTGGCAGTGAGCCAAGATCGTGCCACTGCGCTCCAGCCTGGGCAACAGAGCAAGACTCCATCTCAAAAAAAAAAAAAAAAGAAAAAAGAGAAGAGAGATGACTGCTGAGCAGACATGGCCCTCCATGACTTGACAGCTGCCCCCAAGAATCCCTGCCTCCCACCTTCAGTGCCGTCTGGCTCCGCCTGCTCCTCCCGCTGCTTCAGCTTGAACTTCATGTTTCCAAAGTGCATGATGGCGCCTGTCAGCTTATACATGGAGTTTTTCTCCTCTGAAGTGAAGCCCAGCACATCAAAAGCGTTCTGTAGGGAGGCCCCATATTGGCGGACCCCAGAAAAAGAAGTATGATGGGTAAGTGAGATCCCTTGTAAGTTGGAGAGAAAACTTGTCTCCTTAATCCCTGTGGGTTCTGAGACTCCCATACCCAGTGGGGAGCTCCAAAACAAAGGATGTAAGATGCAGGGAACTCCAAAACAAAGGATGTAAGATGCAAGAGCAGAGCAGACGTCAGTTGGCCGCAGCCCCAGTGTCAGTGGCCACAGCTTTTCTGAGTTACCCACTTATGCTTCCTGGCCCTACACTTGCTTCCTGCCTGGCCTTCCATACCTGTCTGCATCTGTTCACCTAACAGCCCCTCCAGCCCCATGCCGTCTGCATGGCCTTCCCTCCTCGTCCTGCTCCCTCGGTGATGCTTGTTTCTTGGCTTGTGTGTCTCTCTGTCTCATGGCTTTCAGCTCTTCCTGGTTTGATAGAACACCAGATACTGGCCAGTCCTGTCTCACCTCATCCATTCCCCAGTACACCCTGATCACAGGGCACATTCTGGCTCTCAGGAGGTCCATACCACTTTAAACAACCAATGGCCAGCGTCTTAGCTCTGCTTTTGGACCCCTGTTTGCCCCTCACTGCCAATCCTCCCACCCCCTGGCTGGGTCCTCACACACTCACATCAGTGGCCATGAGCTCCTCAGCGTCATCAATGGAGGCCACGGTGGTCTCTCCTTGGGAGATGAATGCATAATCGTAGGGGTTGTTGGTGATCAGCAGCATGTCTAGGGGAAAAAACATGGTTAGGGTGGGACACAAGCCCCCGGCTCTCATGGAGGCTGCTCGCCACAGCACATGGCCTGAGGAAGAGCACAGGACAGGGCTTGGCTTGGCCCCACATCCCACTGAATTGAATCCAGCAGTGCCATGAAACCCAGGGCATGCCAGCTGAGTCCAGCCACAAGCAGAGGGGACCAGGTTGCCATGGAGATAGTTGGTCTCAGTCGGTGGCTCTGACTCACCCAGCAGCTCAGGCTTTTTGTTAGACAGGATTTGGTAGAAAATGTGATAATCTCTCTCTGCTTTCAGCTGGAAAATAACTCTGGATTTTTCCAGAAGATCTGTGAACAGGTGGGGAGAAGAAGGAGAGAAAGAAAAGTTAGGGTTTGGGCACAAGGAAAATTAATGATAAATGTAGCAAGCAAAAGGCAGAGGGAAGGGAAGAGCCAGAGAGACTAGTTGGACAGACACAAAGAGATCACACAGAGAGATGGAAACAGAGACCCAGAAGGAGAGAAATAGTCTCAGAGAGAAATCCCAGAGAAAGACACCTAGCCATGCAGAGACAGAAATGGAGAAAGATGCAGAGGAAGTCTCAGAGAGAGACAGATATGTAGACCTGAAGACAGAGACACCTACAGACAGAGACTTAAAGAGGAGAAAAACAGAGGGAGGGAGGGGAGAGAGAGAGAGGTCAAGACCAGATGGTCTAGAGCAAGGGTGAGCTTAGGCTGAGCCTAGCAGATTCATGGCACTCACAGGTCTCTATGTCTGCAGATGCCAACTTTCCTGTTGCCCCAAAATGAATTCGAATGAATTTCCCCTGGAGAGATGGAAGAGAGTGGTGATGAGTTGGGGGAAGGCTCATATCTGAGACCATTCCTCCACCAGTCCAAGTCCCAAGGCCAAGGTCAGGGACCACTCACGAAGCGGGAGGAGTTGTCGTTCCGGACGGTCTTGGCATTGCCAAAGGCCTCCAGAGCAGGGTTGGCCTGGATGATCTGGTCCTCCAGGGTGCCCTGCAGAGGCCAAGAAGGAGGCAGGTGAGAGCTCTTCTCCCTCCCTTTCTGCGGTACAGGACCTTGGAGGGCAGCAGGCCTACCTTGCCCGGGCTCTGGTCCTTCTTGCTGCGGTCCCCAATGGCTGCAATAACAGCAAAGTACTGGATGACCCTCTTGGTGTTGACTGTCTTCCCTGCTCCGGATTCTCCGCTGTGAAGACAGGGGCTTATTGGGCAGTGAACAATACTACTGGAGACCAGCAAGCCTCAAATCAGGAGAGAATGCCTGGGCCTACCCGAGAGTAGGAGCCCTGGGCAAGAAGCTGCCAGGTTATCTACACCCAAAATCCACAACTGTCTTCTGATGCACAGAGGTCAGGGCTGGCACCAGGAAGGATGCCACCAGAAGGCACTGGTTTGGGCAGGCTGAGCCTGTGCTTGGCTGGGCAAAGTAAACAGGGGAGATGGGCCTGGGCTGTTTTGGGAAAAGTTGGTAGGGCTGGAAGAATGGGAAATGTTTCTGAAGGGAAAGAAAATGCAGAGGTGAAGACATGGCGATAATGAGCTTCTGGATAAACGCGTGATGAGTTGGAGAGTGGGTGAAGGAGGTGGGAGAGGAAAAACATGAAGGGGATGGAAAGCAGAAAGGAAGAGGGAGAGCAAAGAGAGGGGTCAGGGTAATGGTCAGAGAAGAAGGAGATGGGCACGAGGTTGGGGGGAAAGAGGCTGAGTCTATGCCTCGGGGCCTGGGACACCTGATGGGGCTGGAGGCTGGGATCAGGGAGATTCTGAAAGGGAATACAGTAGCAGCTACACTCACGTGATCAGGATGGACTGGTTTTCTCTGTCTGTGGGGAGAGGGTGGGGAGGAAAGGTCAGGAGCTGCACAGGATGCTCTCGTGGGGCTTCTCCCTTCCTTCTCCCTCTCCCTCCCGGCCTATCCCAGTTCCCTTCAGGAAGACCCTTCCAGGGCCTCTCACCTGTCAGCATGTACTGATAGGCGTTGTCGGAGATGGAGAAGATGTGGGGCGGGGCCTCGCTCCTCTTCTTGCCCCGGTAGGCAGCCACCACCTCAGGAGTGTACACCGGCAGCCACTTGTAAGGGTTGACGGTGACACAGAAGAGGCCCGAGTAGGTCTGGGGATAGAAAAGGAGCAGTGACTTGCCAGTTGCGAAGGGGGAGGGCTGGTGATTTTGGGAGTTAGAGAAAGATCCCAGGAGAGAAAGAAGAGAAAGGAAAACCTCTGCATGCACTCAATCTGAGTAATGCCAGTCCCCAGAGTGTTGGAATTGAACCAAGGATGTTGGGACGAGGTTAGAGTGTAACCCTGCCTAGACACAAACAGAAGACACTCTTGGCTCCTGGGGTGGACATGGATGGAGCAAGAACAGAGATCCCAACGTAGGGCCAGGTGCAGCACTCACGTAGATCATCCAGGAGCCGTAGCGATCCTTGAGGTTGTAGAGCACCGCGGGCTCATGCAGGAAGGTCAGCATGGCCATGTCCTCGATTTTGTCGAACTTGGGTGGGTTCTGCTGCATCACCTGGTCCTCCTTCACGGTCACTGTCTGCAAGAGCCCCCACCCAAGCCCTCCTGTCAGCCTGGGCTTTCCCTCCTTCCTCAAGAGGGTTAGGAGTTGGTGAGTGACAGGGCAATAGTGCTCAAGAGAGAAGGAACCAGGATCTCACAGGGAAGACAGAAGGGATATTGGGAAGGAGAGGGCTCTTTGGAGGGTCTGGATTCTTCCCCAAAGGGAAGGAGAATGGGACCATCCTCAGGTCTGCATGGGCATGGGGCATGGGTGTACCCCTCTCTGTCCACCCAGGTGTACAGGTGGCCAGGGTGGACTCTCACATCAGCCTGACACCCACCTTGCCATACTCGGTCTCGGCAGTGACTTTGCCACCCTCTCGAGACACGATCTTGGCCTTGACAAACTCCTGTTTGTCATCAGGCACGAAGACATCCTTCTTGAGGTCAAAAGGCCTGGTCTGCGCTTCTAGCCGCTCCTTCTCTGACTTGCGCAGGTAGGGGGCGGCAGCCCCAAAGACTGCCATCTCCGAATCTCCCATGGCTGTGCCTGGAGTGAGCAGAAGCTGGCTGCCCTCCCATCTGCCCATTCTTCCCTTCCCTCCCTGGGCTCTCCCCTTCAGTGGGAGCCCCAAAACCTAGCACCATGCTCAAGAGTCAAGAGGAGTTACCAGTGAGTCCCTTCCTCTTTGAGGTTACCCCTTAACCAGAGGAGCAGCCTAGCAAACCTGCCAGGGTAAAAGGAACAACTAACTATTGTTCAAGCTGGGGCTCTCCTAGGGGAAGGAAGAGCATTCTGAGCTCCCTGTAGGAGCAGAAATCTAACTATTTCCATCTCTGACCCTCATCTATCCCTGGACCCCCTGGTCACAGGTAAGTAGCTCTTGATAGCCAAGATATTCTCTCCAGCACATGGCAGAAACTAGAGTTCCATAGGCTGGCTTTGGGGCTCTAATGCCCAGTCTTACTAGATTTTCAACACTCTAGCTTCAGCTTTTCTTACCTGGGCTACTCAAGTGTGTCTACAGATGAGGAAAGGGGCCAAGGCCTGCAGGGGACCTGGAGAGAGGGAAGAGGCTGTGTCAGGGCAGGCTGTGCCCAACCTGACCAGTCCCACCTTCCTGCTTCTCCCTGGCTCTGTTCTTCAGCATCCACCCTCTTCCAAAACAAGGTGGAAAGGGTGGTCAGCTTCTCTGGTCCCATCCTTCTTGTTTTTCAAACCCTATTCCCTTTTTCCTCAAGAACTAGTTCTAACAGCTTCCTGGTGTCAACTCAACCTGAACCCTAATCCTCTTCACTCCTGCGAGATGGTCCCACCCCTGCCTGTACCCATCTAGTGGTACCTTTCTTTGAGCCATCTGAGAGACAACTAATGGTCACATTTGTTCGGCACTTTCCAGTCTAAAAGCACTTCAATGCACTTTCTCCTACTCAGTCTTCACCCCATTTGACAGATGAGGAAATCGAGGTTAAATGGCTTGCTTGGCCAAGAGCCCATGACAACAAGTGGGAGAGCCAAGACTTGAATGCAAGTCTGATGACTCTAAAGAGACTTCTTTTCCATCCTGTCCCCATTTTGTTGTCAGACTTTGTGGACATTCTCAGAGAGAAGACACTGTGGGCTTCCTCTCACAGACACACCCATCACATAGCCAAACACCCTCCACAAGCCCTCTGATGAACACTCATGCCTGCTGCTTGGGCATGCCTCTCACATGAAGACAGGCTTCCTTCCCATACCTCAATCCGCACCCCAACCCCAGGGTGCCATATATGCCTCAACAGCAAATGTGCACATTTCAGGATGTGTGCCACGTAAGTAGATCACATCACTGCGTGTTCTTCAGTACACAAAGACCTGGAACATCCTACACCCCCGTGCCTGTGAGTTCCTTCTGCAGAGGGTACAGATACTATAACAGTCATGACTCGTGGAGGCATAGACAAGAACCTCTGCATGCATGGACAGGGGTAGCTACACATTCCAGGCCTCACAGAATCACATGAAGGCATACACACTTCCTAGAATCCTTCTCCACCATTCTTTCTCCCTCCCTGCAAAGGAACCTCCTCGTTCACAGACGTGATCATACACCCACATCTCCCACTTGATATTTCTGTATCAGTCAGTGAGGTACATACCCTTTCTCACATTCAGACTATGCAGGCTTGTCCACACACACACACACACACACACACACACACACACCCTGTAATGCATATTGGTCCCATATGCTCAGATGCAGATATCTTCCCCTAGGAACTCCTGTGGCACATACGCCCATGTTTAGACCTGCACATGTGTGCCCAGTGACTGGACCTGGTACTCTGCATGAAGTCCTGCATGAAGCTTGCTATTCCAAGAGGAATCCCTTCCTAAGCCTGGAGCCCCCTTATCCCAGAGTAAAGCCTCCAGCTCCCGCTCCTACCTGAGAGCAGCAGGGAAAGACACAGAGCAGGACAGAGCTGTGGAGCCAGACCTGGTCTCAGGGGCTGTATATATGGGGCAGCAGGGCACCCCCACCCCCAACGGCACCCAGTCCCTAGCCGGATTTAGAAAGGGCTGTTGTCACTAGAAGCATTTCCCCCAGGCTCCCCCCCTTCCCAAACAGTGCTCCCCTCCCCGCCTCTCCAGCTAGGAAACAATTGGAAGTGGTCGTCATTGTTATGGCATGGACTGTGCAGGGTCTGAGTTCCAGGGGGCGGGGTGGCTCAAAGTGCAGCAAAAATATCTCCCAGGCCAGGCCTCACATTCCACAGCTGGCAGGAGAGGGAACTGACCACGACCACCAAGACCACAGGCAGCCAATGTCCTGGCTCTCCCGCAGGGCACTTCTGGCCCTGGACACTGCTCCCCCTCCAGTCCCCTGCTGCGAGGCCCCTGATGGCCTGGCCGCATTTCCACAGTGTCCTCCCTGCTCTCCTGGCCCAGGTCCTGTATCCAACTGGAAGCTGGGAAGGGGCTGAGTGTCAGCAGCAGAGAAGGGTAGGACAGAGTTGGGGGCATGGCCCCAGGGTGAGGCAGCTAGACTGGGGCAGCTGGAAGGACATTTCCTAGCCAGGTGGCAAGAACAATAACCATGGAGCTTAGAGATGGGGACTCTGGCTCAGGCACTGATTTCCTTGGACCAGCAGGCAATGTGTTGAGGTCACCAAGCCTCCGAGCCAGACAGGCCTTTAGCAATCCATCCAAGCACTTCATTTAATGGAGAGGGACAGTGCATTCTTTAAGGTTATACAGCTAATCGGGGCAGCAGGATTCAAGGTGGGAAACCTCAGCAGATGGGAGTGGAGCCCGGCCTGTGGAGGGTAGCCTGGAAAGGTGGGCTGGGATTCCAAAGATGTGGGGACCCCCTATGCGCAGAGAGCAGGACCCAGCTGCATTGGTCCTAGTTTGGAGCGGTTTGCCTGACTCACGTTCCTGGCTCTGCCCCACAGGTACTAAAGGCCTGAGCCCAGAGACAGACCCTCTCAGAGCTATAGATAATACAACTACTTGGAGCTGGAAGGAGACCCCTAAGACAGCTGTTGTCTGGCCCACCCAGCCTCAGCTTTATCCAGAGCTGGAGGCGACTAGTGTTCTGGCAAGTGAGGCAGAGTAACAGGACAGGAAAAATCTTCCCCTCTGCAGGCCTGAGGAACAGCCACAAAGGAGGGGAGGAAAGGGAGCTGGGGCCCAGCCTACGAGCACAGAACACAACCGATGCCATGCTCTTCTAGCAACGGGGCATGCAAGCTTGACTGGCTCCGTGTCTAGGCAACCACTGCACGATTTGGTGTGAAATCTCCCCCTTCTTCCCAAGCACAGCTCTTCCGCGCATGCGGATTAGTCCATCTGATTAGCTGTCAGCTTGGAAGGAGTGAGGCAGGCCTGGGGGATGGGTGCAGCAGGTACATTTTGAAGGTGGGGTGGGCATAGCAGGGAAGGGAAAATCCAGGAGGAGGCCTCTGTGGGGGTTGCTTGGTAACCAAGGCACTAAGGTACAGTCTGAGGACATTGAGCAGCTATAAGGGGGGTGCAGGCAAGTGGGGGTAGACCACGAACTGCAAGGGCTGTGTCTGACAACACCGCAGCTCTGCAGTGCTAAGGTATACAGTTGCTGAGGTTATCCCAGTAGTCTGTGCTACTAACATGCCCGGCAGAACAGACTCTGGCAGTCCCCCCCAGGCCCTGCCAGGTGCTGAGGAATCAGCCCCATTGACAGAGACAGACCCTCTCAAAGCTATAGATAATACAGCTGCTTGGAGCTGGAAGGAAACCCCTAAGACAGCTGTTGTCTGAGGTTCCCTGTAGGAACCTCAAGGATTGGCGATGAGGGGCAAAAACTCCTTTCGTCCCCACCTTCCAGCTTTCCAAGCTCCAAACTGCCACCCCTCCCTGATTTCCCAGGGCAATTAAGATGCACAAAGGGTGCTTGGGACGTAGTTGAGCCATTTCAAAGCCAGTGTCTTCACCACAGGCCAGCGTCCTTCCTTGGCTGGGGACTTGGGTAGTCTTTTCTGCATTTGGGAAATCAATCACACTTTGTTTCTCTCCTTTCGGGTTTGGGAGGCTCTGGTCTGTTGGTGTTTGGGTGTTACTGTTCTCCACCCATGCCCCCTCTCATTGCAGATAGAACTCACCTCCCTAACTAGGCTTTGCCTCACAGCTCAGACAGATCAGAGGGCCTGCTGTCCTTAAAGATCCCCACTCACTCCCTAGCTCCTCCAGCACCTGCTCTTGGTTACATCATGATTCTCTTCCTGCTGCTTGCTGCTGTCTGAAGACTGAGCAGCTTTGCAGATTCCTCCATTCAACAAGTATTTATTGAGTGCCTACTATGTGCCAGGCATTATTCTGGTCAATAAGGACATAACAATGACCCAAAGAAAGATCCCTGCTCTGGACTGCTTTAGTCAACTGTTTGTAGAAATGGCATCCAGGCCTACCCTTTGCACACATGCACATTCCTTGTGGGGAGAGTGAGGGGCCAGGGGCCCCACCATGCTGGGGTGGGTGGGGATTGTGCAGAGTGTGCTACAAAGTGATAGCAAGATAAAGGAGAGCAAAGCAAAATGCTATAAATAAAGAGAGGCTGGAAGGAGGGCCGCTTCGGCAAGGTAGACCAAATAAGGCCTGAAGTGAAAGGAAGGTGATCTGTCCCCCGTCCTCCCCTCCCCGCATTGTGCCGGCTTTGTCTGCACTCTGTCACCACCCTGATCAAGTGTCAAGCCAAAACAGGGGCCATTTGCTGTGAACACGCCAGCGGTAGTTCAGAGGAAAAGTTGCTAAAATTACTCCCAGTAATTGTGAGGGAGGGAGACACCAGGGCGAATTAGAAGCGATGTCAGCATGGAGAGAGGGGAATCAGAAAAAAGCTCCGGTACCCAAAGGGAAGGAAGAAACGGGGCAGGAAGAGGCAGGGCACTTGGTGCAGGGGAGGAATGAGGCACTCGTTGTTTGTGCACAGGGCAGAGGGGAGCCACCCAGGAGTGGAGGCTGACTCTCCCATCCGCCTGCCCCCAGAATCCCTGACCTTGGGGGGACCCTGCCCTGGCTCCACACGAGCCTAGGATTAGGGAGCTGAGCTTTCTGCCTGTCTCAGATTTCCCTTTACAAACAGCTGCTCCTTCTTGTCATTCTTTTGTCTTCCTGCTGGCTTCAAAATCTTTTGTACTTGTGCACCCCCTCTCATTCCCTACTCTAGGTCTCTGCTTTCTGATGGATGTGAACAAAGAGAGAGATGGAGGGCCGGAGACAGGCTTGGGGCTGGCCTAGTTCACTTTGGGGTAGTTAGGGCAGGTTGATCTTGCCTTCAGGGAGTGTTTGGAGGGACACAACTCACCAAAAGGGAGACTTTGTGGGGAGTGACCGGTCTGGAGGGCCAGAGGCCTCAGAAGCATACAGGATGAGCAGTCTGGTCAGCTTTGGAGTCAGTCACAAAAATCCACTTTGAAACCCAGTGATTCCATTTTCTAGCTGTGTGGTCTACGTCAGTCATATAATTGCTTTGAGCCAGTTTTGTCATCTGTAACATGGGGATAGCCACATTTTGTTTCCAGGGCTACTCAGGCCATTAGAGATTGCACAAGCAGAGTCTACACACAGCAGACACACTGTGGGCCCTCACTGAATGGCAGCTCTTAGGTTAGGAACACAAAATTGAGGAAGCCAGGCTGCAGACAGGAGGGCCGGTTGCCCTGCCATAGGTTCTTTGTCCCCACACCTCCTTCAGCCCCACTAAGTCCACTTGGTTCAAAGGATGGTCTGGACCAGAGTAGATCAGAAATCCTGCAGTCTTGTGGTCGGCTCTACCCAGACTGTGACTGCCCTTGGGAACGTCATGCCAGGAGGCCAAGGTTCTCAGACTGTCCTAGACTCAGTCTAGGCCCACAGTCCAGCCCTGAGCTGGGATAGGCATCACTGCTTGACTGCTGCCCACTGAGCTTCCCTCATGACAAGCCAGTGTGTCCTGAGGTCCAGCAGGAGTTGACCCAGGCCAAGTGGTGACATTGGTCAGGCCACCAGATAGGAGCAGGCTGGGCGTTGGTGGCTCACACCTGTAATCACAGCAGTTTGAGAGGCTGAGGCAGGCAGATAACTTGAGGTCAGGAGTTTGAGACTAGCCTGACCAACATAGTGAAACCCCGTCTCTACAAAAAATACAAAAATTAGCCGGGCATGGTGGTGCACTCCTGTAGTCCCAGCTACTCAGGAGGCATGAGAATCGCTGAAGCATGAGAATCACTTGAATCTGGGAATCGGAGGTTGAAGTGAGCTGAGATCGCACCACTGCACTCCAGTCTGGACAGAGTGAGACTCTGTCCCAAAATAAAATAAAATAAAATAAGCTTTCAAGATGGGGACATGACAGTGGAGCTTGGTGAGGGGAGGGCTTTAAGAAGCACTGAGTATCAGGATATGTTCTGGGCAATGAGAATCACAGAGTGACCAAAGGCATGGAAGGGGAACGGTGTGGTGAGTTCATAAGGACTCGGAGGACACATGCCTGATGAGGCTATGCGTATGGGGGATCTGGAGACATAGGTGGAAGGAAAAAAAGGTAGGGCCCCAATGTCGGAGAGGGGAAAGGGCTATATACATATTGAGTGACCACCTGTGCCAGGTGCACAGTGTTTTATACACCATGATCTCACACATGTTCACAATTGTGTGTCACTTTAATTGTGTTTTATGGAGGAGCAATGGGGTTCAGAGAGGCTAAGATGTTTGCTCAAGGTAAGTAGCAAACGTGGCACTGGGATTCAGACCCAGGTCTGTCTTGCTCAAAGGGCTTTCTACGGACTCTGCCCTGTTTCCCAGGACAGCAAAATGGATAATACCCTGGAAGCAATGAGGAATGACTAAAGTTCTAAACCATGGCAGTCATTGTGATGTCTTGAAACCAGAGTTTGATGGGCCTAGCAGGGGTATTATTGGGTGCTTTGCGGAAGAGAGGCTGGAGGCAGGGAGACCCGAGAGGAGGATACAGTAGCCATCAACGTTGGCAGGAAAGCGAGACCAGCAGCATGAAGCGGAAAGGCAAGGCTGGAAGGCCTTTCTAAAGAAGGAATAAAATGCCTTGCTAACAGCCTGGACGCAAGAAATGAGGAAGGGAGAGGCATGACTGCACGATGTCGGCAAGGATGGGAATAATGGCAAAAGGGACACGTAGGAGGAAGGACAGTGTTCCGTTTGGGGGAAATGGAGGTAAGAGTGGGGCAACCAATGGAAGATGTTTTGCTTTCCTGAAGGAAGCTGGAGCTATGAGACCAGTGGGCAGAACTGGATAAAGAGGGCTGACTACCTCGGGGGATGTGAAAGAAGCCATGAGGTTGGAGAGAAGAGGAAAGGCCTGGGAGATACCCACAGTACAGCGATGGGAGAAGGAAGAGAAGCCCGCAGAGAAGAGAAGGAGATTCAAAGACAGCTAAGGAGAGTGAGAAATGGGCAGTTTCCTAGAAGCCAAAAGAAGCATTTCAAGAAGAGCAGGTGGCCAGCAGTGTCAGATGCCAAAGAAAGCCTGTGTATCAGGAAGACAGAGAAAAGAACTTGGATTATCTTGGAGCAAGCAGCTTGTGTAGTGTCACAGGCAAAGCCAGGCCACAGGGAGTTAATGAGGAAAAAGATGAGTGGACAGGAAGTGGAAGCAGTGGGTGTACACCATGCATTTGAGGAGTTTGGCAGTGAAATGAATGAGATTAGACAACAACTCAAGGGAAGAGGGCCAAGTAGCACGGTTTGTTTTGTTTTTAAGGTAGGGTATTCCAGAATATGTGAAGAGGGGGTAATAAAAGATGCCCTTGTTTTGTTCACCATTTTCTTTTGCACTTTCTGGTTGTTTTCTTATTCTCATCTCCCTTTTTGGAAGCCTGGGGGGTGCTTTGAGAATGCCTAGAGAGTTTGGGTACCCACCACCAGAAAGTGGGCTTGCAAACATGAGGCTCAGCTGGCTCCCTCCTCATCTTCAGATATGCACGTAGGGAGCTCAAGGCAGAGCTCGATACAGCCCTGGCTGTCATCATTGGGCCCACTCACTGGCTGGAGAAGGGTCTCAGCCTCCTGAGTTCCATCGTATAAAGATTAAAGTAGGGCTGGAGGGCAGGGAGTAGCCCTAGCGAATGATCTGGAAACATATGTAGTGCTCAGCAATTCAATGTCTTCTGCTTGTTTTTGCTTCACTATTTTTACTTTACGTAGAAAGACAATGTCCCTGGTGTGAAGGTACAGGTGCCTTTACTGGGCCCAACCTACAACTCAGCCCCAAGAGAGCTTCCTAGTCTCTTAGGGCAGGGCTTTTGCTGGTGCTCCAGGAGAATGGTGGAATGCTGACCCTTCTGGGATGTTCTGTGCTGTAGCAGACATTTGAGACTGCAGCAGCACTTGCTGGGTGTGCAAGCCCAGCAGAACCTTAATTCCACTTTAGTGCAGAACCTTAATTCCAGTCCTTTGCTATACATGCCTCAAAGTTCTCCACAAGAGTTAGAAACTGAGTAAGTAGGCAACAGATACACACATTATGCAGGTTCTTCCAGCCATGGGAGAAGGTGGTAAGTGACCTCCCTGGGTCTGAGAGTCACAAAGTCAGATTTGGAACAGAGGGGCCTGGGGAGCTGGCTGGTGCTTTTCTCCAGGGAAACTTTTCCAGGGCAGCTAGCAGTCCCAGTGCCAGACTGCCTCTTGGGTCCATGAATCAGATTGGAGGCTGAGAGCTGGTCAGGCTCCTGGATGTCTGAAGGGACCAGTGCAGAGGTTTAGCTTCCCTACCTGTAGCAAGGAAAGAAGGGCCTTTATCAAAGGTCTGGGAGTTTACTAGATTAAAACAGCTGAACCATTCTAAGCAGGAAGAGTGGGAAGGAAGCAAGATGGGACAGTAGTTGGTTTGCTGGGAGTGAGGAAAAGTCAGGAAAGGGGTCCATGGAGAGGCTGGGAGAGGGGCAGAGGGGGAGATATGCAGAGATATTGCATAGTAGCGGGGCTGGGGGAGCTGAGGTCCGGCTGTGGGAACAAAGACAGTGGAGTGACGAGGCTAAGACTGCAGAAAAGGTGCAGAGCTGTGTGTCTGTGCATGGTGGAGGAGATGACCTTGCCCAAGGGCAGAGCCTTGTGGCTCTGAGAAGCCAGGGCAGGGGGCACAGGCTCCAGCCTGGTCTCCCCGTGCCTGGGCCCCTTGTCTCTGAGATTACAGCCTTGGCTGCCAAGAGCAGCTCCATGGGGGTGGTGTGGAACAAAGCGAACGGCCCTTTTGTGATTCTGGGTTCCTAAGAATAGCTTGGCTGTGTGTGGGGAGGTGTCTGTAGCCTGCCTGTCCTGGGTCTTGTTCTCAGAGGTGTTCGAATGCCTGGTGTTGGCGGGGCTCATTGCTAGTTGCTGGGGTAGTGGAGGCCGTCAGCCCACCTCAGCCTCTGTTACCTGTGCTTGTCCAGCTCAGCTTTGGGAGAAGGCTCAAGGCCCAGGGACAGTGGAGGGGCAGACACGGAGTGGCCCCAAGGTGTTAAGGGAGAGAAGACAAAGGCCACAAGCCTGGAAAACAAATTTGATGCCTGAAAGTGAAGACAGGGAGGGTTCTGGGAAGGTAGGGGTTGAGGGACAGCAGCCAGAAGAGGCCAGAGCAGGGATGGACATGTGGGAAGGACTTGTGGGACATGGAGGAGAAGCAGAGAGAATAGGTGCACGCGGAGGCCAGAATGTGGAAAGCAAAGGGATGAGGAATGGTCCAGGGGAGGGGGAGCAGGATGGACGGGTTGACAGAGAAGAGCAGATGGAAGGAGAGAAGAGAACGAAGCGGGAAAGGCAGTGGGCACTTCCACAGAGATTGGAGGGGGGTGGCATGACTCTTGGAAGAGCTTGGAAGCAAGGCTCTCAAACGCCATTCCTGTGAGATAACAATGCAGTCAAATCCCTCCCTAATCTCCCCTCCTATTATTAGCCCAGCGTCCTCTCAGAGAATAGGCCACAGGTCCCTGGGCTCTGTCCTTTCCCCCATGCCCTTGGCTGGAATTAGACAGACGTGCCTGCATGGTCATCTGCTAACCACGGTGTCCGGACTTCTAGGCAATGTCATTGGACAAGAGGATAGAGAGGTAGTGGGAAGGGGATGGAAGGTCACCGGACACCCTCCGTGGACGAGGCAGCAGCTAGACACAGAGAGGGGTGAAGGGGTGCACTAGAGGTCTTTGTGCTCAAAGACTTTTCAGATCAATAGAATAAATACACAAGCAACATGATCACAAGTACAAAATAACATGGTTAACACGTGCAAAATAACTGGAAAGTCAAACACATAGCCATGGGGATGCAAAAGAGCTGTCATGAAAGGGCAGAGCAGAGAGGGGAGGGTTTCTGGGGAAGGTGAGCTTGGAGGTGGGTCTTGAGAGGATGGATCTCGAGGAACCACGTCCACAGCTGCTGGCCAATGCTGTGGGCATTCCGGAGGAAAGAAGGGAATCAAGGAGACAGTGGCTTCTATGTCTACTTTTCTGGCCCAGCCTCTAGGGGCAAGGTTGTTAAAAGCTTAATAGCAGACTCCTGGGTTTTTAAGCACACTGGTATTTGTTGCTATTTATTTAAAACTGCTGTTTCTTTCTTGTCCAGCGTGGTCCTTTTACGTTTTCCCCTTAGCCTCCCTCTTGCCTCTAGTATCCCTAAATACTGTTTATCATTTTGATACTTAAAATGGCCAAAAGTTATCATACATATTTTTATTTTGAGCTCTTTTGACTCTGACAAATCGAAACAAAATAAATACTTGATGAATAATGTACCAAAGAAAGTGAGCAGCTGCTGTTCTGTGTTCCTATGAGGGCTCCAATTGCTCTTGCAGGATGAGGGACATAGATGAGATTCTCTGGATCATATTCAGGGAGAGGGTGGAGGAGGGTGGAGGTAGCTTGCTTTCTCTCTCTCTTTTTCTTTCTGTTCCTTCTCTCTCTCAACTTGCTTTTTTCTTCCTCTCTCCTTCTTTCCTTCCTTTCTTTCCTTTCTCCCAAATTATAAAAGTAATGCTCATTACTTTAAAAATTCAAACAATAAATCTTCTATAAGGCAAAACAAGTGAAGTCCCTTCCGCTGTTCACAATCCCATCCCCAAAGGTTAATAGTCAGAGTGTATCCTGTGCTTGTCCATTTGGAACCTTTTATGTATATGCATAAAATACATGTTGGGATTTTTTTTTTTTTTTGACAGAGTCTCACTCTGTCACTCAGCCTGGAATGCAGTGGTGTGATCTCTGCTCACTGCAACTTCTGCCTCCCAGGTTCAAGCAATTCTTGTGTCTCAGCCTCCCCAGTAGCTGGGATTACAGGTGCGCACCACCACACCCAACTAATTTTTTAGTAGAGATGGGGTTTCACCATGTTGCCCAGGCTGGTCTCGAATTCCTGAGCTCAGGTGGTCTACCTGCCTCGGCCTCCCAAAGTGCTGGCATTACAGGCATGAGCCACCACACCCGTGGATTAAAAAAAAAATAGAGACAGAGTCTTTCTATGTTGCCCAGGCCGGTTTTGAACTCCTGGACTCAAACAATCCTCCTGGCTTGGCCTCCCAAAGTGCTGGAATTATTGGGATGAGCCATTATGCCCAGCCACATGGGAATTTTTTTCAACTGGGATATAAAAAAATGAAACATATATATTCAACCAGGGAATGCTGACTTAAAAAAAATGTATGTAGTTTTTGGAAGCTTCTCAAGTCATTAATGATTCCAGGATCCCTCTTCAAGTGACACATGTGGACAGTTACCAGAGTCTTCAGAGGCTATATAGTAATCAGCACTCAAAAGTGAATCAAAGTGAATTTTGAGAAATGAATGAAAGAGGCCAAGGAAGGATAAGAAAGAGGATGCCAACCCCTTTTAACTTCAGCCCTTCTTTGTTCCTGGACATCCTCCTCTCAGGAGAGGTCACTTGGACAACATCTGTCTGGGGTCAGAAGTGACAGTAGGTGCATGGTAGACTCTCGGGTCATGGGAGATTATCCTCATGGCAGAGTCACCTGTCCCTGCTTGTGAAAAAGACTTTTTTTTTTTTCACAATGGTAGCGTTGGCATAATGATGCCTAGTAATTACTTTTGCAAGGCTGGTTCTGAAATGCCACATTTTTCATGCTCAGAAAAAGGTGGTCATTTTATCTGGTCGTTTTTCTGTTTTGAACTCTGGAACTCATCCTGAATGTCACATTTGTACCTGTTCTTTGTGTGGAAGCTCTAAAGTGGCCTTTAGCCAAAAGTCAATCAAAAGTTTTGAGCAAGATCCTAATATAGTTGATGACTGATGCAGCCCTTGAGCTGACAGCTGGTGTAGCATGGATGGCTGGATTCCTGATGTGAAAGTATGAGACCAGAAGCAACTGAAACGCCCAACTCTCTACTCTCATTCTGCTCTGTGCTGCTCCCCCTCCTCCCCACTGCGGGCCCCACACGAAGCCAATACTAATTCCCCAGTTTCTGCCTTTTCAGAGACCCACTGTGTGCCCTGCCCAATCAAAGGGAAAAGGTGGGATGGAAAAAAGGAAAGAAAAATATAAGATAATTATTATGGCTCCTGACAGCTCTGTCAGTAGGATAAGGGCCTGAGATATGGAACCATCCTCTCTTGCAAACAGGGAGCATGCATGTGGAGGACCAAAGGTGGGAGGAAGGCTTGAAATCAAGAGAATGGAGGGTGAGAAAGGGAAGTGCAGGGAGTGGGGTCTACAGCCCCAAAGGTGAGCCTCAGGAAGGCCTCACCTCTCTGGGCAGTGCCAAGAATCCTGGGGAAGAAAATATGAGGAGTGGCCTGGCTCCCAGCCCTTGTGTCCTACTTCCCCTCTCCCATGCCTCATTATACCTGAAGGGCCAGTCCTGCCCCTGTCCCTGGATGCATGTGAGAACCCAGGAGGAGGACCTGCATGGGCTCTGGCCTACACTTGGAGTCTCAGCATCGTCACTCTTGCTGCTGTGCCCTAGTTCTAGAAATTCAGCTTCTATCTTGTTCCTAAGACTTGGGCCCCACCCTGTGCCGCAGGCCGGTAACTGAGCCCTGGTTCCCTCTGCCAGAGGCCTTGTCTTGGTAACCCTCTTCGTCTTCCTGGCCCTGTCTACTTCTCAGGGATTAGATTTTTCCCTTAAGCCCCAGCCAAGAAGCCAGGGGCACTGTTTCCTGCTCATAGAAGGAGATAGCATATTTTGATAACTAAGAACATAGATTTTGGAGTCAGACTTAGGTTAAAAAATCCTGGCTCTACCACGAACCAGCTATGTGACCTGGGTGTGTCATTTACCCTCTCTGAGAAAAAACATGCAGTATCATGTGCAGTCTTATGACCCAAAATATAATCCATAGACTGGCAGCATCAGCATCAGTGGGAGTTTGTTAGAATTGCAGAACCTCAGGCCCCAGCCTAGATCTATTGAGACATTAGCATGTTAACAAGAACCCAAGGTGATTTTGTGCACATTAAAGTTTAAGAAGCACTAATGTAGAGGAAAGAGCACAGGCTCTGGAACCAAGAAGATCTTGCTCTGAATCCCAGCTCTAAACCTCAGTCTTATCTGTAAAATGTGGATGGCAATACCTACTCCATATACTTATCTTGAGGATTATGTATATGAAGTTACAGGCACATGTTCTAAGAAACAGTGAATTCACTAACAGTGAATGTATCTATTACTATCTATGGCCTGCTTGGCTTTCCAAACCTGTTCCAGTGCCCTCTTATTAGAACATCTTCCTGATTCTGATTGCTTTAATAGACTACCTCCTTTCATCTGCTGCCAGGCTAGTCCACATCCTTCCAGCCTCTGCAATGAGAATATTCTCTGAGATCTGCCCCATCTCACTGGGTCCTGTCTAACTCCAGATCCCAGGTCCTTCCAGGCCTACTGTTCTGCTCCAGTTAACAGGAACACAGCTTACCACACCCCAGGAATTCATTCCACCAACATTGATTAGCACCAGCTTTGTGGCAGGCATAGTCTTGACTTTGGGAGCTCACAGAATAATGTTGTTAAAAAGATTAACTGAGGCACATAAGATTTAAAAGAGTTTACTTGAGCAAACAGCAATTCGTGAATCAGTCAGCTCCAAACCAGAAGTGGCTGGGGGGCTCCACTAAGGGTACACAAGTGGGAGGCTTTTACAGGAGGAACATGGAAGTAAGGCAAATAAAACATTTGATTGGTTACAGGTATACAGCTGTCTTATTTGGTCTGTCCTGTTAGAAAGTCCCTAGTCACATAATTATAAGTTTGTTGGTTGCTTCTGATTCATTGAGCTTAAGTTCTGTTTTTCTTTAACATAGGCATTTACAAGAAATAGCCCAAGTTAAGTTTCACTTATGTTCACAAATCAAGCAAGGTTAAGATCACTTAAGAGGCCTAACTGGCTTTTCCTGCTCAGGGATTCCTCAGGCCCAGTGTCCATTTCAATTACTTTAACACCGTAGCAGGGCAGACAAGCACAGAGGTGGTTACAATATAACAGAACAGGTACTATAATGGAGGAAGTACCAGGTGCTATGAAGGGCAAAGTCCGGATGCCATGGGAGCATGAAGCAAGGCCACGTGATTTGGACTGGCGATCAGGGAAGGCTGTCTGGAAGAAACACCATTTTAGGCGAGACTTAAAGGATAAATTGGAATATGTATTAGTCCGTCCTCACATTCCTATAAAGAAATCCCAGAAACTGGGTAATTTATAAAGAAAAGAGGTTCAATTGGCTCACCGTTCTGTAGGCTGTACAGGAAGCATAGTGGCATCTGCTTCTGGGGAGGCCTCAGGAAGCTTCCAATCATGGTGGAAGGTAAAGAGGGAGCAGGCACGTCACAATGGTGAAAGCAGGAGCAAGAGAGAGAAGGGGAGGCGCTGCACACTTTCAAATGACCAGATGGCACCAGAACTCACTCACTACCGTGAGGACAGTACCAAGGGGGATGCAGCTAAACCATTCATAAGAAATCTGCTCCCATGATCCAGTCACCTCTCACCAGGCCCCACCTCCAACATTGGGGATTACATTTCAATATGAGATTTGGGTGGGGACACAGATACAAATTATATCAGAATATGTCAAGAAGGAGCTGAGCAGAGAAGCCAGCGTGTCCAAAGCCCCAAGAGGAACTGAAATTGATTCAGAATGGCTAAAGTATGGGAGTAATCAGGGGAATATGACAAGAGAAGAGCCTAGAAGGCAGGTTCAGCTGGTCATGAAGGACCTTCTGAACCAAGTTAAGGAAGTTTGGACTTTAATCTATAGGCACTGAGCAGCTATTAATGTGTATTAAAAGAGATCATGATACTATCTGATTTTATAGAATAGGTGGCATAACCAGTGATTCTTGGGGGAAAGCAACGTTTAGTTTCTGATTCATTTGCATGAGAGATTCTAGACTTGTGGTCACAGGTAAAGAATGAAGAAACCTACCTAGAGAAACTGGGAACTAGAGAAGAGAAAGGGGAAGGGATCCAGGAGAAAGGTACTCAGTTACATTTATACTATTCGGCAGATTCCACCTTCGAAATGTCCCGCCTCCTCCTTTCTTTTCCATTCTCTTGAAAAACACTAGGCAAGCCCCTTTTTCACGTCTGCATAATTGCAACAGCACCTTAACTAGTCTTCCAGAGGCTCATTTCACCAGATGGCTAGCAGACTTGATTTTCTAAAGCACTACCTCTTACATATCTGTCATTCATAGAAACTTCCAGGGCTCCCTGTTGTCTTTAAGATGAAGCCTGGACTCCTCTGGCTGGCATTTAAAGACCCTCCATAAGCTGGCCCAACTGCCCCACCTTATCCCTTCACAGTCTCCCCCCAGGTCTGACTGGTCTATGGACAGCACCCTCACCCCAGGTTGGGCTTTCTCAGTCCCTGACCTTGTCGGGACTTTTTCTGGCTGCTTTTCTAGGCACAGCTCAGTGGCTCTCCTTTGAAAGCACTTGCCAGTCCAACACAGCTGACCCTGAAACACACAAAACAAACTTTGTTGAAACTTTACAACTACAAAAATGACACCCAAGATCTCCTACCCAATCACATTATTCTCCTTTGTTCAGTTCTTTCCAAGGGGTGTGTATATGTGTATAATACATATTTTTTGTATGGCTGCTGTGTGTAGATATATATGTACATAATCTCATAAAACACCAATTAGCATTTCATATTCTTACAATCTTATATTTCATAAATGGGGATAATAATATTGCTAACCTATGGGTTTGCTGTCAGATAACTTAATACAGTGATATAGTTTAAATATGTGTCCCCCCAAATCTCATGTTGAAATGTAATCCTCAGTGTTGGAGGTGGGGACTGGTGGGAGGTGTTTAGGTCCTGGGCGTAGATTTCTCATGAATGGTTTAGCTCCATCCCCTTGGTGCTGTCCTCACCATAGTGTGTGTGTTCTCTCAAGATCTGATTGTTTAAAAGCGTGTGGCACCCTCTCCCTGTCTTGCTCCCGCTCTTGCCATATGACATGCCTTCTCCTGCTTTGCCTTCTGCCATGAGTAAAAGTTCCTTGAGGCCTTCCCTGAAGCTGAGCAGATACTGTAAAGCCTGCAGAACTGTGAGGCAATTAAACCTCTTTTCTTCGTAAATTACCCAGTCTCAGGTACTTCTTCATAGCAATGCAAGAATGGCATAATACATACAGAGATTCTCAAACTTGTTCATGCTGCAGAATCACACAGAAGCTTTGTTAGGACACATTTTCTTGGCTGGGTGCAGTGGCTCATGCTTGTAATCCCAGGACTTTGGGAGGCAGATCATTTGAGGTCAGGAGTTTGAGACCAGCCTGATCAACATGATGAAACCCCATCTGTATGAAAAATACAAAACAATTAGCTGGTGTGGTGGTGCATGCCTATAATCCCAGCTACCTGGGAGCCTGAAGCAGGAGAATCACTTGGGCCTGGGAGGTGGAGACTGCAGTAAGCCGAGATTGCATCACTGCACTCCAGCCTGGGATGCCTGAATTTGCATACCAGATGCTACTGGATTGAGGACCACACATTGAGAACCACTGAATTAATGCATGTAAAGTGCTCAGAATAGTGCCTGGCATGTAGTAAATGCCCAATAAATGGAGCTACGGAGCTATTCATTTGCTATTTCTGAGTAAAAATATTAACATTTACTTGTTTGATATTTAGATTGTTTATAGTTTTAAATAACATTGTTATTGAGATATAATTCATGTGCCATAACATTTACCATTTTACAATATACGATTCAGTAGTTTTTAGTATATTCAGAGTTGTGCAAGCATCACCACTATCAAATTTTAGAACATTTTCATCACCCCCAAAAGAAATACCATACCTATTAGCAGTTACTCCTCTTTCCCACTGACTCCCTGTTTGTAGTTTTTTTGAACTTATAAATAAAGTATCTCTAAACATAAGTACACATGGCTTCTTTTTATTTTGAATGATTTCAATAGAACAAATTCTAGGAGACGAATTCCTTAGTCAAAAATTATGAATATGTTTACATATAGCCACTCTTTGAAAGCATTAATTTACAATCATTGTGGCTTTTTTTCCTGCTGTTGCTTTTCATTGTTAGCATATTGCTTATTCTTACACCGCTTCAGTTTCCTTAAGTTGATGGCACCAGAATATGAGGTCCTTGGGGTTGAGAACTGTAATATTTTCATCTTTGTGTCCCCTAGGGCTACACTACTGAGTGTGGTAGTCACTAGCCAAACATGGCTGTTGGGTACTTGAAATGTGTCTAGTGCAACTGAGACACTGAATTTTTCATTTAGTTAAAATTTAAAATGAAGGGAGATCAATTTATTTTCAACAAAGATTCCAAAACAATTCTTTGAGGAAATGGTGCTGGATACACACATGCAAAAAGATACATTTAGACCACACCCCACACTATACACAAAAATAACTTAAAACAGTTCAGAGACTTACATGTAAGATCTAAAACTTACAATTTTTGGAAGAAAACGTAGGAAAAGTCTTTGGTTAGGAAACAAGTTCTTACATACAATACCAAAAGCATAATCCACAAAAGACAAAATTGTAAGTTGGACTTCATCAAAGTTGAAAGATTTTGTGCTTCAAAAGATGTCATTAAGAAGATTAAAATTTTAAAAAGAAAATTAAAATCTAAGCCACAGACTGGAAGAAAATACTTGCAAATCATATTTCTAATAAAGGACTTGTGTTAAGAATAGATAAAGAACAAGTACAACTCAATAATAATACAAGAAAATTTTAAAATAGTCAAAAGATTTATAGACTTAAAGTCAGCTAATTAGCAAGGTTAAAGAAAGAAAAGATTTATAGATATTTCAACAAAGATATGCAAATGTATAACAAGCACACAAAATATGCTCAACATCATCAATCATTATAGAAATTCTAATTAAAACCTCAATGAGATAGCACTTCATACCCATGAGTGTGACTATAATAAAAAAGAAAGGCAATAATAAATTGTGGCTAGGATGTGGAGAAACCAAAACTCTCCAACATTGCTGGTGAGAACGTAAAATGCAACAGCTACTTTGGAAAACAGTTTGAACTTTTCTTAAAAGCTTAACTGACATACATGTACCAAATAACTCAGCCATCCACTTTTGGGTATTTACTCAATAGAAAAGAAAGTATATATCCACACAAAGACTTATATAAACAAGTTCAAACAAGCGTTTGTTCATAAACGCTTGGATATTATTCATAATATCCAAAAAGTGGAAATAATCCCAATGTTTATCATTAGGTGAACAGATAAACAAAATGTGGTACATCCATACAATGGAATATTATTCAGCAATAAAAAGGAATGAGTACTGATACATGTTATTAATGTAACATGGATTAACCTCAAAAACATGCTAAATGAAAGAATCCAGATGAAAAGGCCACATATTTTATGATTCCATTTCTATGAAATGTCCAGAAAAGGAAAATCTATGAAGACAGAAGGCAGTGGCTGCCTGAAGCTGGTGGTGGAAATGGCAATGGACTGCAAATGGGTGTAAGGGATCCCTTTGGAGCATTGGGAATGCTCTAAATTGGATTGTGGTGATGCTTGCACAAATGTAAATTTTCCTTAAAAATAATTGAATTGTATAAAAGGGGTGAATTTTATGCTATGTAAATTATACCGCAATAAAGCTCTTAAAAAACTAAAGCAGTGTAAAATACTTTCGGTAAAACACAGCTTTGTTGTTTTGGTAGGATTGTTTTACTTCAACGATCAACATAAGATATTGTCGTATTATAGTAACATATCAAGAATATGTGTTGTTTCTAGTGTATACACAAACATCACCAAACTAGTTGTTGTCAATAGATTGATTTGCTCCAGTGCGTTTTTCTCACACTAATTTAACATTATAATGTGTTTATTTGAATATTTGATATAGACAGCATGGTTATAGTGATACCTATATAGAGTCATAATTGGTAATTAAATTGAAATACTTATTATTTTAATTTAATAAATATAACATTTTTATAGTTGAAAAATAAGTATGTACAAAATGTTTTAGTTTAAAACGAAGGCATGTTACTAACATAGAATCTAGTGGGAACACTTCTGATTGTGAACACTCCAACATGTAAAGAGATTATAAGTCGGTCACTCTCATTCTCAAAGCAAGAAGAAAGCTGAACTGAAAACCTACAACTTTTCTTAGTTCTATCAGAGAATTTTGGCTACAGGACAAACTATCACCCTGAAAACTGGAGAGACGGGTGAATACGGAGAATACAAGCCAGCTTACCTGAAGCAGGAGGTGCTGGAACCAGTAACTGACAGGAACACCTAAATGGTAACTTCGATGAATTGCCAGAGGCTGAGCGTGAATTAGCTTGAGAGTTAAAAACTCCTGGGACCCCAGTCTAAGGGGAGAACCCACACTTTCATGAGTTTTACCTCCCACCAGGTTCTCATGATGAAGAATGGAGAGAAATATCCTTATGTTTGGCAGGGCGAGGGTAAAGTGACCATTTAGAAATAAAACCAGAGCTTTCTCCACAACTAAGGCCTATCCAGCAGGGGGAAAGCCTTTGCCGATGTCTTCTTTTACTTGGGGAAAGGGAAATTATCTAGCTCCATCACATTCTGGACTTCCTGTCTCACATATGAGGTAAAAAACAAAACAAAACAAAAAAATACCCTAAGAAACAATTCATTCTGGACTTCTTATCTCACATATGAGGTACAAAACAAAACAAAACAAAAAAATACCCTAAGAAGCAATTATGAAGGTTACAGTCTAGAGTCACAGGTCCACTAAAATACTGAGCTCCAATCATGGGACTATAGAATGCTCTCCTACCCAGTATCTTGCTACCACATCAACAGGACTCCTGAATAGTAAAAGTGGATTATAGCTGACAGGGCTGCAAGGCTTAGATTCTATTTACGAAGGAGTTTCTAAGGAAACTCAAAGACAACAGAGGAGGCAAACACAAGGACTTTAGAAGAAATTAAAATCTTTGACACCTACTGCTGCAGCAAACTAAACACAGTCTAACTCCTGGTCAGATAAAAATAAAAATAAAACTTCACACACAGTCTACCTCAATTCCTATTACCATGTCTGCTTTCAGCAAAAAATTACAAGGCGTGCTAAAAGACAAGAAAAAATACAATCCAAAGAGACATAGCCAGCATCAGAACTAGACTCAGATGTGGCAGAGATTTTGGTATTATCTGTTTTAAAATGTACTGAAGATTTTGTTTCAATCAAGTATGGTAAAATGACAAACATGGAGACAACTGCCTTGAAAGAAGAGCTTATTACAGTTCTTAAGGGGAGGGGACAACTCATGCCACACAGGGCCAGATGGAGAAGCATCCGGTTCAGTCAGGAGGTAGACAGAGAGAGAAAAGCATGGACACAAGCCTTTATTGTGTTTCCCACAGGAAAGGAAGGCAGGGCAAGGTAAATAGCTTAGCTTTGACAAGTCTGGACAATTTCAGCAGGCTCTGTGTTACAGCAGTGATCTCTAGTTGTCTGGTCTCTGGCCCTGGGATTAATTAGGGCAGGGGAAGTACTGGCTTGGTGTGCAAGAGTTAGATAAAGGAGGTGGTTAGGGATACAAGCTTTGGATTGGTTGGTTTGCTGGATGCTCATGGGCAAGTTGTTTACTGCCTCTAGAAATTAGTTAGCTCTGGAAGAGGCAGTCTTTCCAGGATTAGCAGGCCCCTAAGATGTCAAAACCTCATAAAATACAGAAAATTAAAAAACATGATTAATACATTATTGGAGTGGAAATTTAAATTAACTATGATTAATATGCTAAGGACTCTAATGGAAAAAAAGTGGATAATATTCAAGAACAGATGGGTAATGTAAAGCAGAGAGATGAGAACTTTAGGAAAGAATCAAAAGGAAACGTTAGAGTCAAAAACACTGACCAAAAAGAAGAATGCCTTGATGGATTAGTAGACTGGACATGGCTGAGGAAATATTCAATGAGCTTGAAGATATGTCAATGGAAACTTCCCAAACTGAAATGCAAAAAGAAAAGTAACTATATTCAAGAACTGTGGGACAATTACAAAATATGTAATTATGTGTAATGGAAATACCAGAAGGAGAAGGAAATGGGCAGAATAAATATTTGAAGTAATAATGGCAGGCTGGGTGCAGTGGCTCACTCCTGTAATCCCAGCACTTTGGGAGTCCGAGGCGAGCGGATCACAAGGTCAGGAGTTCAAGACCAGCCTGACCAACATGGTGAAACCTTCTCTCTACTAAAAATACAAAAATTAGCCAGGTGTGGTGGTGGGTGCTTATAGTCCCAGCTACTTGGGAGGCTGAGGCAGGAGAATCACTTGAACCCAGGAGGCAGAGGTTGCAGTGAGCGAGATCACGCCACTGCACTCCAGTCTGGTGACAGAGCGAGACTTCATCTAAAAAAAAAAAAAAAGCTGAGAATTTTTTTAAATTAATGACAGAAACCAAACCATAAATGCAGGAAGATTAGACAAAAATATCAAAGCAGGATAAATACCAAAAAAAACCCTATACCTGGGCATATCATATTCAAATTGCAAAAACCAAAGACAAAGAGAAAATCTTAAAGAAGAGAAAAAAATTACCTATAGAGGAATGGATAAGAATGAAAATGTAATTTCTTGTCAGAAATCTGCATGCAAAAAGAGAGTAAAGTGAAATATTTAAAGTGTTGAAAAAAAAATCCACCCAAACTAAAATTTTGAATACAATGAAATTATCTCTCAAAAGTGAAGAGAAAATAAAGACTTCCTCAGGGGACCCTTTCTATTTTGGAGAATGGAGGCTACTCCAGTTAAAAAAAAAAAAAAAAAGTTCTCAAACAAACAAAAGTGAGGGAATCTGTCACCAGCAGACCTGCCTCTCAAGAAATGCTAAAAGACGATTACATAAATCAGAAACTTGCATCTACATAAAGAAAGAAGAACATCAGAGAAGGCAAAAGATGAAGATAAAATAAATCTTTTTCTTAATCCTATCAGATCTAATAGATAACTGTTTGTTCAAAGTAATAATAGCAGCAATGGATTGGGTGATTAGAGCACATGAACAAGTGGTTCGATGAATTATAGCAATGTTAGTAGAGAAGGGAGGGAGGAATTAGGAATACTCTGTTATATTATAAGGTACCTGCATTAACCGTGAGACAGAATATTATTTGAAAGTGGATTTCGATTAGTTGTAAATGTATATTGCAAATCCTAAGGCAACCACTAAAAAATTTTTGTAAGAAGTGTAACTGGGGCTGTGCATGGTGGCTCACGCCTGTAATCCCAGCACTTGGGAGGCCAAGGTGGGTGGATCACCAGAGGTCAGGAGTTCGAGACCAGCCTGGGCAATGTGGGAAAACCCCGTCTCTACTAAAAATACAAAAATTAGCTGGGCATAGTGGCGCACGCCAGTAATCCCAGCTTCTTGGGAGGCTGAGGCAGGAGAATCGCTTGAACCTGGGAGGCAGATGTTGCAGTGAGTTGAGATCGTGCCATTGCACTTCAGCCTGGGAGACAAGAGTGAAACTCCATCTCAACAAACAAACCCAGAAGTGTACGTGATATAGTGATATGATAAGAAATATATATTTGGTCTTTATCCCTGGTTTCTGATACAGAGCTCCTAGTGTAATACAATAAATTAATATTTTATGTTTGTCCCCAGTTCCTCACACAGAGTAGCTCGAATCCTTGGAATATCCAGGGTGATAGAGGTGGTAGTTATTGTTATTTATAGTAAGCCCCTTACAACCATACCTGGTCTTATGTTAATGAAGTGACCCTTGGAGGATGGGGCTGACTGGCAGAGGGACAAACTATGTGATTAGAGGGCTATGGTTTGAATGTATGTGTCCCTGCAAAATTCATGTGTTGGACTATAGCTCCCACAAGATGACATTATTAAGAGTTGGGGACCTTGGGAGTGACCAGGCCATGAGAGCTCCTCCTTGTGGATGAGATTAGTACCCTTATAAAACAGCCTGAGGGAGAACATTCATCCCTTTCGCCCTTCTGCTCTTTTGCCAAGTGAGGACACAACATATGTCCCCTCCAGAGGATGGAGCCACAGCCACAAAGCACCTTCTTGGAAGCAGAAAGCAAGCCCTTGCCAAACACCAAGTCAGCCAGTGCCTTCATCCTGGACTTCCTAGCTACCAAAACAGTGAGAAATAAATTTCTTTTTTCTTTTATTTTTTTGGGACGGAATTTCGCTCTTGTTGCCCAGGCTGGAGTGCAATGGTGCGATCTCGGCTCCCTGCAACCTCCGCCTCCCGGGTTCAAGCGATTCTCCTGCCTCAGCCTCCTGAGTAGCTGGGATTACCAGCACGCACCACCACGCCCAGCTAATTTTGTATTTTTAGTAGAGACGGGGTTTCTCCATGTTGGTCAGGCTGGTCTCAAACTCCTGGCCTCAGGTGATCTGCCAGCCTCAACCTCCCACAGTACTGGGATTACAGGCATGAGCCACTGCGCCGGGCCAATAAATTTCTATTATTTATAAATTACCCAGTCTGTGATGGTTTTGTTGCAGTGGCAGAATGGATTGAAACAGGTTGGAACTTTCAGCACCCACCCCCTCTGCCCAACTTCCAGAGAAGGAAGAGAGGCTAGAGATTGAGTCAATCACAATGGCTAATGACTTAATCAATCATGCCTATGTAATGGAACCTCCATAAAAACTTCAAATGATGAGGTTGAGAAGGTTTCCAGGTTGGTGAACACATCCATATGCTGGGAGGAGGGTGCACCTCAAGTCCATGGGGACAGAAGCTCCTGTGCGCAGGACCTATCTGGACTTTGCTCTACGTGCCTTTTCAGTGAGTCATCTGTATCCTTTATGATAGCCTTCATAATAAACTGGTAAAGGTAAGTAAAGAGATTCCCTGCGTTCTGTGAGCCATTAAAACAAATTACTGAGTCTGAGGAGGGGGTCATGGGAATCCTCAATTTGTAGTCCAGTGAGAGAGAAGTGTGGGTAACCTGGGGATCCATTACTTGTAACTGGCATCTGATGTGGAGGTGGGGCAGTCTTGTGGGACTAAGTCTTTAACCTGTGGGATTTGTGCTAACTCCAGGTAGTTAGTATCAGAATGGATTAAATTTTAGCACACTTAGCTAAATTGCTCTGTGTGAAAACCTTACATATTTGGTATCAGAAGTCTTGTGAGTAGAGAAACAGTTTTCCTTTAGATATGCTGAGTGGAGAGAAAATGGAATCCCATGAAATGCTCAATTAAAACCAGAGAAGGCAGAAAAAGAGGGAAGAATTTTTAAAAAACAAAAAAGTGTAGTGAATACAAAACAATTACACACATGGTAAATATATAATTCAAATATATCAATAATCACTTCAAATGTGAGTGATTATAAATGTCACCATGGATGGCAATAGCAATTTGCAGTAGCAAAGCAAAATGGGGGAAAAAAAGTTGTTCCTTGCGTAAAAAAATTTTAAGATAATAAAATGGACAAAATATTAAGAGAAACTTTCAATAAATACATAGTGAACTTGATTTTTAAATTTCTGTTCAATAATCAAAATGAATTGATAAAATTAGTCTCCTGAAATCAAAATTAAATGTCCAAAAATTTAAAAAAAATTAACAGAATCTGAGCTTGTAACTTTATTGAGCAATAAAATGGCTTAGATTCTTACACAAAAAAGAAGACCATTTTTAGATGGAGATGTAAAAGAATCTGTTGTTTCGGTTATGAAAATTTTGTCAGAAAATTATAGGGAAAAGTCTAGAAAAATTTTTTTAAATGAAGGCTCTCCAATTGGAGACAAAACAGTTGCTATAGAATTCAAGACACCTCTAACAAAGTCAAAATTCAAATGATTCAGGCCGGAAGTGGTGGCTCACGCCTGTAATCCCAGCACTTTGGGAGGCCGAGGCGGGCTGATCAAATGAGGTCAGGAGTTCAAGACCAGCCTGGCCAACATGACAAAACCCTGTCTCTACTAAAAATAAAAAAAATTAGCCAGGAGTTGTGGTGTATGCCTGTAATCCCAGCTACTCGGGAGGCTGAGGCATGAGAATTGATTAAACCCGGAGGCAGAGGTTGCAGTGAGCCAAGATCATACCACTGCACTCCAGCCTGGGTGACAGAGTAAGACTCTGTTTCAAAAAAAAAAAAAATTCAAATGATTCAAAATTTCAAAAATTGCAAGTACTTTTCTTTAGCTTTAGATGAATTATGCAGTATGAGATACTGCCCAATTAATACTTTTGGCTTTTTGTTTTGTTTTGTTTTATTGGTCTCAAAAGACTTCTAAATTTACAAAGAAATATGTGGCTCCCCCCCAAATTAAACTCATGGCATAGAATAATTTTGCTAGATATAAAAAGTGTGGTTTATATCAAAATGGATGGCGCTCCAGCCATGTTAGGTTAAAAGTTCAAATGTATTGGAATTTTAAAACAAGAGACTGGTGTTTCCATTATTGTTTTATCATACCACATGATACATATTTAAAATATTCGTGTTCAACTTTCTGAAACAGACTGTATGAAAAATTCATGGATATGGTTGTTAAAAATTTCTCAGCACTTCCCAACTCATGTTTATGAGGCCAATATTACCCTGACATCAAAACTAGACAAAGACATCACAAGAAAAGAAAAATACAGAGCAATATTTCTTATGAATATAGATGTAAAGGTTCTTAACAAAATATAAGCAAATTGCATCCATCAGCACATAAAAAGGATTATATACCATGACCAACTAGGATTTACACCAGGAATGTAAGGCTAGCTTAACATTTGAAAGTCAATTAATGTAACACACAGTAGCAACAGAATCAAGAACAAAAATCACATGATCATCTCAATAGACATAGAAAAAGCATTTGGCAAAATACAACACCTTTTCAGGATAAAAACACTTAACAAACTAGGAATAGAAGGAAACTTCCTCAGCCTGATAAAGGGCATTTATTGAAACTCCACAGTTAACATAATACTTAATAGTGAAAGACTTAATGTTTTCCCCATAAGATCAGGAGTAGGAAGCCTAGGATGTCCACTCTTGCCACTTCTATTCAACATTGTATTGGAGTCAGGGCAATTAGCCAAGGCAATGAGATCAAAGGCATCCAGAATGGAAAGAAGGAAGTAAAATTCTACTTGCAGATGACATGATTTTATATATAGAAAATTCTAAGGAATCCACTAAAACACAATTAGAATAATAAATGAGTTCAGCTAGGCCAGGCGCGGTGGCTCATGCCTAGAATCCCAGCACTTTGGGAGGCCAAGGCGGGCGGATCACCTGAGGTCAGGAGTTCAAGATCAGCCTGGCCAACATGGTGAAACCCTGTCTCTACTAAAAATATAAAAACTAGCCGGGCGTGGTGGTGGACGCCTGTAATCCCAGCTACTCGGGAGGCTGAGGCAGGAGAATTGCTTGAACCCAGGAGACGGAGGTTGCAGTGAGCCGACACAGTGCCACTGCACTCCAGCCTCGGCGACAGAGTGAGACTTTGTCTCAAAACAAAACAAAACAGAACAAAAAAAAAACCATAAATGAGTTCAGCAGAGTTGCAGGGCACAAGATTAATATACAAAAATCAATTGGATTTCTACATACTGGCAATGAACAATCAAGAAATAAAATTAAAACACAGTTCCATTTACAATAGGATCTGCAAGAACTGAATAATGGCCATCCCAAAATACCAAGTCCTAATCTCTAGAACCTGGAAATGTTACCTTATAAGAACAAAGGGTCTTTACAAATGTGATAAAATCAAGGAGGTTACCTTAGGGAGATTATTCTGGATTATCCAAGTGGGCCCTAAATCCAATCACAAGTGTCCTTATAAAACAGAGGCAGAGGAGATTTGACAACACAGAAGAGTAGGCAATGTGACCAAGGAGGCAGAGACTGGAGTGACATGGCCACAAGTCAAGGAATGCTGTCAGCCATCAGCTTGAAAGGGTCAAAAAACAAGTTCTCCTCTAGAGCCTCCAGAGGGAGTGTGGCCCTGTTGACACCTTGATTTCAGACAAATTCAACTGATTTTGAACCTTTAGCCTCCTGGATGATGACATAATAAATTCCTGTTGTTTTAAGCCACCAAGTTTATGGTAATTTGTAAATGCAGTCATAGGAACATAATATGACATGAAAAATAATTTTGAAAACAGCAATAAATTTAGCAGAAGAAATGCAAAACTTATACCCTAAAACCTACAAAATATTGTTGAAAGAAATTAAAGAAGACCTAAACAAATGGAAAGATGTCTCATATTCATAGATCTGAAGGCTTAATGTAATTAACATGGAAGTACTCTCCAAGTGGATCTACAGATTCACTGCAATCCCTATCAAAATTCCAGTTGTCCTTTTTGGACAAAAATTGACAAGCTGATCGTAAAATTCATATGGAAATGCAAGGGACCCAGAATAGCCAAATAATATTGAAAAATAACAAAATTGTTAGGCTGGGTATTGTGGTTCACGCCTGTAATCCCAGCACTTTGGGAGGCTGAGGCAGGTGGATCGCTTGAGGCCAGGAGTTCAAGACCAGCCTGGTCAAAATGGCAAAGCTCTGTCTCTATTAAAAAAACTAATAACAAAATTGGAGGACTTACATTTCCTAATTTCAAAACTTATTACAAATATACAGTAATCAAGATAGTGTGGTACTGGCATCAAGACAGACATACAGATTAATGGAATAGAATTGAGAGTCCAGAAATACACATGTACATTTATAGCCAATTGATTTTTTTTTTTTTTTTGAGACAGGGTCTCACTCTGTTGCCTACTCTGAAGTGCAGTGGCACAATCTTGGCTCATTGCAATCTCCATTTCCTGGATTCAAGCTATTCTCCTGCCTCAGCCTCCTGAATAGCTTAGACTACAGGTGTGTGCCACCACACATGGCTAATTTTTGTATTTTATTTTTTTGGTAGAGACAGGGTTTCATCATGTTGCTCAGGCTGGTCTTGAAATCCTGACCTCAAGTGATCTGCCCGCTTTGGCCTCTCAGAATGCTGGGATTATAGGTGTGAGCCACTGCACCCGGCCATTTATGCCCAGTTGATTTTTAACAAGGGTCCCGAGACCCTTGAGGAAATGATCAACAAGGAAAGAATAGTCTTCTCAAAAAATGTTGCTGGAACAACTGAATATTCACATGCAAAGGAATGAGGGCAGACCCCTACTTCACACCACACACAAAAATTGACTTTTTTTTTATTATTATACTTTAAGTTTTAGGGTACATGTGCACAATGTGCAGGTTAGTTACATATGTATACATGTGACATGCTGGTGTGCTGCACCTATTAACTCGTCATTTAGCTTTAGGTATATCTCCTAATGCTATCCCTGCCCCCTCCCCCCACCCCACAACAGTCCCCAGAGCGTGATGTTCCCCTTCCTGTGTCCATGTGTTCTCATTGTTCAATTCCCATCTATGAGTGAGAACACGCGGTGTTTGGTTTTTTGTCCTTGCGGTAGTTTACTGAGAATGATGATTTCCAATTTCATCCATGTCCCTACAAAGGACATGAACTCATCATTTTTTTATGGCTGCATAGTATTCCATGGCGTATATGTGCCACATTTTCTTAATCCAGTCTATCATTGTTGGACATTTGGGTTGGTTCCAAGTCTTTGCTATTGTGAATAGTGCCGCAATAAACATACGTGTGCATGTGTCTTTATAGCAGCATGATTTATAGTCCTTTGGGTATATACCCAGTAATGGGATGGCTGGGTCAAATGGTACTTCTAGTTCTAGATCCCTGAGGAATCGCCACACCGACTTCCACAATGGTTGAACTAGTTTACAGTCCCACCAACAGTGTAAAAGTAAAGTGGATCTTACATTAGGTCTTCGATCCATTTTGAGTCAATTTTTGAACTCTTAGGAGAAAACATAAGTGTAAATCTTCATGAACTTGTTGCCTAAGCAACAATTTCTTAGATATGATACCTAAAACACAAGCAACACTCCGCCCCCACCCCCCAAAAAAAGGTAAATTGGACTTCATAAAAATTAAAATCTTGGCCAGGCATGGTGGCTAACACCTGTAATCCCAGCACTTTGGGAGGCCGAGGCAGGAGGATTCCTTGAACCAAGAGTTTGAGACTAGGCTGGGCAACATGGCAAAAATCTGTCTCTGTGAAAAAAAAAAAAACCCACAAAAATTAGTTGGGCGTGGTGGTACATACCTGTAGTCTCAGCTATGGGGGGTGAGGCTGCAGGATCACTTGAGGCAGGGAGGTCAAGGATGTGGTGAGCTGAAATCATGCTGGTGCACTCCAGCCCAGGTGACAGCGCGAGACACTGTCTCAAAAAAAAAAAAAAAAAAAGGCCAAGCATCGTGGCTCACACCTGTAATCATAGCACTTTGGGAGGCTGAGACAGGTGGATTGCTTGAGGTCAGGAGTTCAAGACCAGCCTGGCCAACATGGTGAAACCCCGTCTCTACTAAAAGTACAAAAAATTAGCCAGGCATGGTGGTGCATGCCTGCAATCCCAGTTACTTGGGAAGCTGAGGCAGGAGAATCACTTGAATCCGGGAGGTGGAGGTTGCAGTGAGCCAAGATCGTGCCACTGTACTCCAGCCTGAGTGACAGAGCGAGACTCCATCTCAAAAAGCAAAACAAAACAAAACAAAACAAACTTAAACAATTTTGTCCTCCAAATAATACCACTAAGCAAGTGAAAAGACAAAATAAAGTGGGAGAAAATATTTGCAAATCATGTATCTAATAAGGGGTTTGTGTCTAGAATATGGAAAGAACTCTTACGACCAATAATAAAAAGACAACTCAATTTAAAAATGATCTGAACAGACAGTTCTTTTTTTTTCTTTTTGAGACGGAGTCTTGCTCTGTCACCCAGGCTGGCGTGCATTGGCGCAATCTCGGCTCACTGCCATCTCTGCCTCCTGGGTTGGGTTCAAGCAATTCTTCTGCCTCAGCCTCCCAATAGCTGGGACTACAGGCATGTGCCACCACACCCAGCTAATGTTTGTATTTTTAGCAGAAATGGGGTTTCACCATATTAGCCGGGCTGGTCTTGAACTCCTGACCTCGTGATCCGCTCGCCTCGGCCTCCCAAAGTGCCGGGATTACAGGCGTGAGCCACCATGCCCAGCCGACAGTTCTTCAAAGATACTCACGTGGCCCATGAGCACATGAAAAGATGTCCAACATCGTAAGACATTAGGGAAATGCAAATCAAAACCTCAATAAGACACTGGAGTAACTCACTAGAGTAACTATAATTAAGATTATAGATTATAGCAGATGTTGGCAAGGATGTGGAAAAATTGGAACTGTTTTATTGCTGGTGGAAATGTAAAATAGTGCAGCCCTTTGGAAAACAGTCTGGCAGTTCCTCAAATGGTTAAACATAGAGTTACTGTATGACCCAGCAACTCTACTCCTAGATGTAAACCCAAAAGAATCGAAAACATATGTTCCCATAGGAATTTGGCTACAAATGTTTATAGCAGCACTACTTAGCCAGAACGTGGAAACAACCCAAATGCCCATCAACTGATGAATGGATAAATAAAATGAAGTATATCTATACCATGAAATATTAGTCAGCAGTAAAAAGGAATAAAGTAGTGATATACACTACAATATGGATAAACCTTGACAACATTATGCTAAGTGAAAGCAGCCAGTCACAAAAGACTACACATTACATAATTCCACATTAAGGATATGTTCAGAATAGACAAAGCTACAGGGATACAAAGTTGATTAGTGGTTGTCTAGAGCTGAGGGTTAGAGGGTTGGGAAAAAAAGGGGAAGTGACTACTAATGGATACTGGGTTTTTTTTGGAACATTGTAAAAATGTTCTAAAATTGTTATGGTTATATTTGCACAACTCTGTGAATATACTAAAAGCCACTGAATTCTATGATTTTTTAAATCAAAACAATTTTTTTTTTTTTTTGTAGAGATGGGTTTCACTATGCTCCCCAGGCTGGTCTCAAACTCCAGGCCTCAAGTGATCCTCCTGCCTCAGCCTCCCAAAGTGCTGGGATTACAGGTGCAAGCCACCATGCCCAACCCCACTGAACTGTATCCTTTAAATAGTGAATTGTATGATATGTATATTAAATCTCAATATAGCTGTTAAAAACTTTTCTCAGTATATACTTGAAATATTATGGACGATTGCCAGTTTATGAAACTGTTGAAAGAAATAGAAGACAATAAATTTAATGATCTTGTATTCTTTGCCAATGCTTGTTGGTTGAGTGGTAGAAGAGCTTTACAAAGATTTATTGTACTGTTAGCTCCAAGATTCTCTTGTAACAAAAGGAATGATTGTGTCAGGGCTCAGAAAACGATACTCCAGAGTATGGCACTTTGGCATGCTAAGCACTTTGAACTAAAGGAGATTGGAAGGCCTTAGAAGCAGCCTCAGAAGCAAAGTCTTTCTCTGACCTTCTCCTGCCCTCTTGTCTGCTGCCCTTCCTTCTGCTGCAAGGCAAGCCATAGAAACTAGAATTCTGGCTGGGCGTGGTGGCTCACACCTGTAACCCCAGCACTTTGGAAGGCTGAGGTGGGCAGATCACTTGAGGCCAGGAGTTTGAGACCAGCCTGGCCAATGTGACGAAACCCCATCTCTACTAAAAATACAAGAATTAGCCGGGCATCGTGGCAGAGGCTGCAGTGGGCAGAGATCGTGCCATTGCACTCCAGTCACTCCAGCCTCAGCAACAGAGCGAGAATCTGTCTAAAAAACAAAAAACAAAGGCCGGGCGTGGTGGCTCATGCCTGTAATCCCAGTACTTTGGGAGGCCAAGGCCGGTGGATCACAAGGTCAAGAGTTCGAGACCAGCCTGGCCAATGTGGTGAAACCCCGACTCTACCAAAAATACAAAAAAAAATTAGCGAGGCGTGGTGGCGCATGCCTGTAATCCCAGCTACTCAGGAGGCCGAGGCAGAAGAATTGCTTGAACCCAGGAGGTGGAGGTTGCAGTGAGCTGAAATCGCGCCACTGACTCCAGCCTGGCAACAGAGCAAGACACCGTCTCAAAAAAAAAAAAAAAAAGAAAAAAAAAATTAGAATTCGTCTTCCCTAATGCAGGTTTTAAAAACTGGAACCCCAGGGCTGGGTGTGGTGGCTTATGCCTGTAATCCCAGCACTTTGGGAGGCCGAGGTGGGTGGATCACGAGGTCAGGAGTTCGAGACCAACCTGGCCAATACGGTGAAACCCTATCTCTACTAAAAATACAAAAATTAGCTGGGCGTGGTGGCATATGCCTGTAATCCCAGCTACTTGGGAGGCTGAGGCAGAAGAATCGCTTGAACCCAGGAGGCAGAGGTTACAGTGAGCTGAGATCGCGCCACTGCACTCCACCCTGGGTGACAGAGCGAGACTCCGTCTCAAAAAAAACAAAAACAAAAACAAAACAACAAAAAAACTGGAAGCTCTGTCCCCCAAACCAGCCATAAAACCTAAAAATTTTACTCTAAATTTCTCTCACCTTTCTGCTAGGAGCTAGCCGTAAAAAATATTCTCTGACTTCCTCATTTGATGGTCAGTCATAAATCCTCATTTTGGAGGGGTCCTCCCTGTAAACCAGAAAGTATCTGAAACAGGTCTCAATCAATTTAGCAGTTTATTTTGCCAAGATTAAGGACGTGTCTGGGAGTGAGGCTTGTGCCTTTCTCCAAAGATGACTTTCAGGGCTTCACTATTAAAAGGGGAAAAGTAGGCTGGAGGAGAAAGAGGGAGGGTACATTAATCCACATGTTGCAAGAGAAAAGGAGCAGGTAGGGGAATAGTCAATTGGTATTTGTCTCAGGCTCAGTAAATCGGCACACAAGATAAGGTGAACACACAGTAAATACTTGTAGAGATATTTAACATTTTATCTGTAGCTATCCGCTTAGGAACAATAGCAAAGGCAGTTGCTTGCATGACTCCGTTGAGCTTAATTTTTTTCTTTTGGCATAGTGAACTGGGGTCCCAAGTTATTTTCCTTTCGCATTCCCTATACCCCAAAGGATTGCTATCTAGAGAGGCTAAGAAAAATCTGAACAGACAGGCCTTGCTGGGATTCCCCCCTCAGTCTAGTTCTGTCAGATCATACTCTTTTTGTCCTATCACATTTCTACACGCTGTCCATTCTTCATCAAACCTAACCATAAAAATGGAATCTTCATTTCTGAAGGCTCCCGTGTCATGTAAAACTTTCAATAAATTCATCAAACTTTTTTCTTGTTAACTTCTTTTGTTATAGGAGTGTCTTCTATGACCCTTATGATGGGTGAGGAAAGGTATCACACTTTTCTGCCCCTATAGTTGACAAGTATTTTATTTTTTTAGAGATGGGGTCTCCCTCTTTCACCTTTTTTTTAGAGATAGGGTCTTGCTCCGTCACCCAGGCTGGAGTGCAGTGGCACGATCATGGCTCACTGCTGCCTTGACATGGGCTCAAGTGATTCTCCTGCCTCAGCCTCCAGAGTAGCTGGGACTACAGGTTCAAGTCACCGTTCCTGGTGGACAATTATTTTAATAATCAAGGCCGGGAGCAGTGGCTCATGCCTGTAATCCCAGCACTTTGGGAGGCCGAGGCAGGTGGATAGTGAGGTCAGGAGTTTGAGACCAGCCTGGCCAACCATGGTTTAGTAGAAACCCCGTCTCTACTAAAAATACAAAAAATGAGCTGGATATGGTGGCGGGTGCCTGTAATCCCAGCTACTCAGGAGGCTGAGGCAGGAGAATCGCTTGAACAGGGAGGCAGAGGTTGCAGTGAGCCAAGATCGCGGCACTGCACTCCAGCTTGGGCAACAGTATGAGACTCCGCTCAAAAAAAAAAAAAAAAAAAAAGGCCGGGCGCGGTGGCTTACGCCTGTAATCCCAGCACTTTGGGAGGCTGAGGCGGGTGGATCATGAGGTCAGGAGATCGAGACCATCCTAGCTAACATGGTGAAACCCTGTCTCTACTAAAAAAAAAAAAAAAAAAAAAAAAATCAGCCGGGCGTGGTGGCAAGTGCCTGTAGTCCCAGCTACTCGGGAGGGCGAGACAGGAGAATCGCTTGAACCCGGGAGGCGGAGGTTGCAGTGAGCCGAGATCGCGCCACTGCACTCCAGCTTGGGCAACAGAGCGAGACTCGGTCTCAAAAAAACCCAAAATATGGCAGTGCAATTTGTTTTCTCATTGCTATCATAAAGCATATGAACAAACTAAATTTCAAATTCCCCGAAAAGGAAAAGTTTATTGCTGATCTAATTAGACAGGTCCGAAAATTTATGTAGAAATAGAAACTTTTCATAATACAAATCTTGATAAAACATTACAAAAGCTACTGGATAATTGACTAAGTATGCTGCAACAGCATCCTGAGCTTCCACAGTGGGCCTGAAGCAGCAAATTAAATGTTAGAGGAGTGGGGACTGAACACCCTCCTGCCTTCTTGAATCCAGCAAGATCTAGATACCAGGATTTCCTTACCTCACCTGCCCAGATACAGGTGTTATTCTTAATTCCAAAAGACAGCTTCAAGTCGGTAAGATCTGATTTCTAGACCCAGCTCTGTTGGACGAGTTGTGAACAAAAAATTATACACTATCATTCACCCTTTCGGTGCTTTATTTCCTAAGGCATGGGATGGGAACAATGAGTATCCGTCCAACCTACTTCACCAGCTTGTGAAAAACCAGAGTGAGAGAACACATCTGAAAGCACTGGGTAATGATGAGGCAGGTTATACTGAAACATGCACTGCCAGAGTTTGAACCAAGTTCTGCTGAAGACCTGTGTGACCGCGGTAAGTCATGTAAATATGAACCGTTCCCCAATTTGTAAAACGTATTCTTTTCATGTCCCCAAACTGGTAGGAGCGAAGAGTGTCGGGGCGTTATTGGAGCCGTTTCTCAGCGCTCCACAGTGCACACCAAGAGGGCAGGTGTCCTCGCACTCGGTTTCTAAACTCTGGCTCTGGGCTTCTCTAGCCTCGCTCTCTTATTTACAGATGAAGAAGGCTCAGAGACCGAGTGACTTGTCCACGGTCACACAAGGAGTAGTGTTACAGAATCGATTCCAGGGCCACCGGGTCTGTAAGGCATTTGGCGCGGTGGCCGTTGGATGAGCAGCCAGCAATGGCGGCTCTGCAATGTCGACACCGCAAAGCCAAGCCAAGGCCCATCACCTAGCGGCCGGTTCACGCACTACAAGAAAAGTGCCGTGAAAAAAGACTCTGGGTGCTGCGGCAGACGGGAGCCAATACGCGCTAAGTTCGCTCTGCTAATTCCTTTTTTCTATTGGTCCTTCCAACTGTCAATCAATTATTTGACTGTCTCTTATTGGCTTGCCGTCAATCATTTTACTCAGTCTACCAATCACACGCTCTTTGCCAAGTGCTTTTTTTCGTCCTGACGACTCTTTCTGAGTCTGACGAATTTAGCCAGTTCCTTTATTCCATTGGCCAGATCAGACTCCTCCTCTCGTTTATCCTGTTGGGGGCGGAAGTGAGAAAGCCCTTATTCGTATTGGCTTAGATTTGCAAGCGGCAGTTGTCTATCAAATCTATCAAGTCGCCCTTAGCGCTCAGGAAGTACGACACCGGAAGGGGTGGGCTTTGCGAAGATGGCGGCGCTGGTGAGTTTGGTGTGGTTTCTTCCTCGCGTAGCTATTGTGGAGTTGTCCTTTGCCTTCAGCGGCTGGAGGCAAACTGTTGGTACCAGGGAAGGGTGGTGATGAAAGTTGCTTCAGGGAGGCGGCCTCCCTAGAGTTACCGTTCCTGTCCGGTAACCCAAGGGGCTGGCTTTAAGGCGAGTCTGTGAACCCGAGTGTGAAGGCCCCGAGTCTGGGTGTCTGACGGAGAGAGGGCAGTTTCCCACCCTAGACGTTCCACTTTCCTATAATCCTGAGGAAAGAATGACTTTTCTTTACGCCTCCTCTCCCTTCTGTAGGGGGTGCTGGAGTCCGACCTGCCAAGTGCCGTGACACTTCTGAAAAATCTCCAGGAGCAAGTGAGTAGTGTCGCCTCTGGAATAAATTAGTCACGGATTGGCTTTGAGTTTGTGTACTTCACCTCAAAACTTTGGTGATTGAGATACGTGAATGCTTCCAAAAACCTTAGAGTAAAATGATGTAATCAAAACCTTTTCACGCCAGAATTCTAAGTAATTGATTCTGCACCCAAGGGAATACAAGAAACTCCAAAAAGAAATTATATGAATAGTTTTCCTTTATTCATATAGCTAAGGAAACCAGTGCTTGGAATGGTAACATGACTTGCCCTTTGGGTGCCCAGGTAATACACACTTATATACAGATGCTTCTCGACTTAACGATGGAGGTTATGGCCTGATAAACCCATTGTAATTCGAAAACCTCATAAGTCGAAATTTAGGCTTGATGCCGCTGCCCAGCATCACGAGAAAAGGACGGTTTCTACCGAATGCATATTTCTTTTACACCCTCGTAAAGTGGAAATTAAGTCATAAGTCGGGGAGTTATGTAGTTCTATGCATTGTAAGTTCAACTAGTACAAACAAAATTACAGTGCTTCAGTCACTACTCTCTCAGTCCTTTTCTCCTCCCTGTGGTTCAGTAAAAGATGGTCTCTTCTTTAAGAAGTGGAAAGTTTTTTTTTTTTTAAACTTTTTGAAGAACCATCTCTCCTATGCTTTCCGAGAAGTGAGAAGATAGTACTATACTTTAGACAGTGTTTCAGATAATTTTTAGGTGGCATTGTTTAGCTTTTGCTCTTCACAGTTTGCAGACATAATTTGATATAATCTAATCACTTGTTTTATTTGGGCTAATTTCAGGTGATGGCTGTAACTGCACAAGTGAAATCACTGACACAAAAAGTTCAAGCTGGTGCCTATCCTACAGAAAAGGTAAGATGTACTCAAACAGTAAGCATCCCCTGACTTAATGTTCTCAGTAGTTCTTTCATTGTATGTTTATTGTGTCTTATATATCCTAAGTGCTCGAGCTTCAAACATAAATATGATCCAGTTTCTGTGCTGAAGTCTAGAGGGAAGACAAAGCAAAGCAATAGATGTAAGTATTAATAGTAGCAGTCACATTACAGAGTTATGAGTCTCCAGCCAAAGAGAGGGATTAATTAACTGCCAGAAGAGCAGAGGGATTCAGGACAGGCTTCCCAGAGGAGGTGATAGGATTTTGAGGAATAAATGGGAGGGACAGAAAGAAGGAACATGTGCAAAGGCACAAAGGCCTGAAAGTATGGTGATAAGGGAAAGGAGTAAGTCATTTTTGTGATAGGATGTACTTTCTGTGTTATGTGTGTTGGGGGTAGGAAATAAGACTGGAAAAGTCACTCTGAAGATTACTGTAGGCCAACTGAGGAGTTACTTTCAGATTTCATCTAATCTAAGACACTTATTAATTGGGACATATCACTTATTGTATATATTAAGAAAAAATGTGACAGGCCGGGCATGGTGGCTCATGCCTGTAATTCCAGCACTTCAGGAGGCTGAGGCTGGAGGATCGCTTGAGCTCAGGAGTTCGGGACCAACCTGGGTAACATAGTGAGACCCTACAAAAGTTAAAAATTAGCCGGGCATGATGGCATGTGCCTGTAGTCCTAGCCACTCAGGAGGCTGAGGCCAGAGGATTGCTTAAGCCTGGGAGGTTGAGGCTGCAGTAAGCTGTGATTGTGCCACTGCATTCAGCCTGGGTGACAGAGCAAGACCCTGTCTCAAAAAAAAAAAAAAAATTGCTTATGACATAATACCAAGATGCCAGTGACTGAAACATGCATCCTGATTTCAGAGATGTTAAAATATGAAAACCATGTGCATCTTAAAATTGAAATATGCGCCTGTAATCCCAACACTTTGGGAGGCCAGAGTGGGAGGATTGCTTGAGCCCATGGGTTTGAGACCAGCCTGGGCAATGTGGTGAGACCTATCTCTATAAAAAAAAATTAGCTGGGCGCAGTGGTGTGTGCCTGTAGTCCCAGCTACTCAGGAGGCTGAGGTGAATGGATCGGTTGAGCCCAGGAGGTCGAGGCTGCCATGAGCCACGGTCGCACCATCGCACTGCAGCCTGGGCAACAGAGTGAGACTGTCTTAAAAAAAAAAAAAAAAAAAAAAGGCCAGGCTAAGAAGAAAAGGTGGCTCACACCTATAATTCCAGCACTTTGGGAGATTGTGGCGGATGGATCACCTGAGGTCAGGAGTTCGAGACCAGCCTGGTCAACATGGCAAAACCCCATCTTTACTAAAAATACAAAAATTAGCCGGGCATGGTGGCGTGTGCCTGTCTGTAATCCCGGTTACTCGGGAGGCTGAGGCAGGAGAATTGTTTGAACTCAGGAGGCAGAGGTTGCAGTGAGCCGTGATCATGCCACTGTGCTGCAGCCTGGGCAGCAGAGCAAGACTCCATCTGAAAAAAACAAAACAACAACAATTAAAATATTGTAGTTTTCAAATGAAGGTCTGGTAGAACCTTCTCAGGGATTACTGGTTGGGGGCAATGTGGAAGAACAACTCTGGATCTCTCATCCCTACTTAACTGGAAAACTCTGGTATTATCTGTTTTTATATATTGAGCTTTTGTCCTAAGATATTTAGGCCAAATATTCTATGGGTAAATACAAGTATGAAAATCATTGTAATAAGAGTCACTGAAGGAGTTTTAAGCACAGGAGTTACAGCAGATTTGTGCTTACAGAAAGATAACTAAAAACAGCATTCAAAATATATTCCCTTCTTGTCTTTATCATTCACTTATGTTCTTATTGTCCATTTTTATTTAAAAAAAATTTAAATCTTTGTTTTTCTCTCATATGCTTGTAGCTCAGTTTGAATTTGACAATGCCCAAGCACGTCGGAAGAGCCTGCTTCTCAAATTCTTACCTGTTTTTGTCCTGGGTACCATGCTTTTTTGTTTTGTTTTGTTTCGTTGAGATGGAGTCTCCCTCTGTCGCCCCGGCTGGAGTGCAGTGGCACGATCCTGGCTCACTGCGGCCTCTGCCTCCTGGGTTCAAGTGATTCTCCTGCCTCAGCCTTCCGAGTAGCTGGGATTACAGGCGCCCGCCACCACTCCTGGCTAATTTTGTATTTTTAGTAAAGACGAGGTTTTACCATGTTAGCCAGGCTGGTCTCGAACTCCTGACCTCAGGTGATCCACCCACCTCGGCATCCCAAAGTGCTGGGATTACAGGTGTGAGCCACCACACCAGGCCTTGGGTACCATGCCTTGAACCATTTCAGTGCCTTTTGGAGATGGATGAGTTGCCAGCATCCTTCTTAGATCCCTATATATTTGTTTATTTATTGAACAAATACATATTAACTTATCTTTTTGACCAAAGACTTTTACTAGGTGCTTTATAGGTTACAAAGTTCTTTCACATTATCTTATTTGGGCCTCATAATTATTCTTTGTGGCAGGGAGGAAATGTACATATTTTACTGATAAGACTGAGGTTGGCCTGGTGCAGTGGGTCACGGCTGTAATCCCAGTGCTTTGGGAGGCTGAGGCAGGTGGATCACGAGGTCAGGAGTTCGAGACCAGCCTGGCCAACATGGCGAAACCCCGTCTCTTAAATCTTAAACAAAGATTTAAATTTTTTTTAAATAAAAATGGACAGTAAGAACATAAGTGAATGATAAAGACAAGAAGGGAATATATTTTGAATGCTGTTTTTAGTTATCTTTCTGTAAGCACAAATCTGCTATAACTCCTGTGCTTAAAACTCCTTCAGTGACTCTTATTAACAATGATTTTCATACTTGTATTTACCCATAGAATATTTGGCTTAAATACAAAAAATTAGCCGGGCGTGGTGGGAGGCACCTGTAGTCCCAGCTACTTGGGATGCTGAGGCAGAAGAATCACTTGAACCCAGGAGGTGGAGGTTGCAGTGAGCCGAGACAGTGCCACTGCACTCCAGCCTGGGCGACAGAGTGAGACTCCATCTCAAAAAAAAAAAAAAAAAAAAGACTGAGGTCACAAGGTTAAGTGACTTACTCAATATTTGACTACCAAACACCTAATTCAGAACTTAAACTCAGTTTGTGGACTCTAAATCCTTTGCTCTCCTTCTATACCACAGTAGTGTTGATCTCAAGAGCTTAGCATGTTGGCTTAAAGACATCCAGGGATGAGGTGTTGGAGTCAGATTGAGTTTGAATCTTAGCTCTACTTGTATTACTGTGTTATCTTGGCCAAGTATTTAACCTCTCTGAAATAGGTTTTCTCAGGGCTGTGAAGTTTGGAAGATACATAAAAGCCCAAAGAAAAAAATGAAAAATCAGTATAATCACCACTCTGAGATAACCACTGTGGTAATATTTTTGAGATTTTTAAAATTATAAGAATAATATATGCAACACTTTTTCACACTCTAAAGTACACCATTTCTTCCTTTTCCTCATCTCACCCTAGGGGTAGCAGTTACTTGTGTGTTGTCTTGTAGACATTTTTCTATGTGTATAAAATGTATTCATCATATCCCCCCCTACACACACACACTTTCACAATTGAAGTCATATTACACTTTCTACAACTTGTGGTGACATGGATTTAATTCGATGTCATTATATATAAATCATTGTTTTTACCTGTATCATATAATTCCATTGTATGGGGGGAAATTGGTAATTACTTTGATTAAATTAATTTAAAACTTGGCAGTCTGTGGAGACATTTTTGATTGTTAGAGCTTGGAGGGGCCATCCGTGGGAAGAGGCCAAGGATGCTGCTGGAAACCTACAATGCCCAGGACAGCCCTCAACAAAAAATGTTCTGGCTTCAAATGTCAATAGCTCTGAGATTGAGAAACCCTGTTATAGTCTTTTTTGGGGGGGTAGTTTATTGATTTTCCTCTTCTCATTGTCTTCTATTAATTTTCTGAGCGTTGTTTCTCTTGTATTAGCATAACTTTCTCATTGGCCTTCTTAGGCATAGCTACTTCTTGAGACTATTCCAGATACCTAATATGAACTGATTGGGAAAATCTTGAACTTGGAAAAACATCCCGTTTACCCTAGGCTTTCATCTGGTTCTTTGGCTAAAACCAAATCTGTTTTTCTTTCTGTTTTGTTCAACTCAGGGTCTCAGCTTCTTGGAAGTGAAAGACCAGCTGCTGCTCATGTACCTTATGGATTTGACCCACCTCATTCTGGACAAAGCCTCAGGAGGATCTCTTCAGGGACATGATGCAGTTTTGAGACTGGTGGAGATTCGCACGGTATGAAGCATTTGGCTTCTTGGAGTTTTAGGTTTCTAAATTTTGAGCTCCAAGGGTATCACACAGTAGCTCTCATTTAAGTGAGTCTTCTCATGTTTAAGGAAACCAAATGAGAAAAGGTATTTTTCTATTCATTTGCTCTACTTTGTACATATTTTAGGTGCCTTATGTGGCACCTTAATATAGGGACTCTGGTGTGTGCTTCATTTTGGGAAGGAAATATAATCCTGATTAACTACCATGTTGTAGGTTTTGGAAAAGCTTCGTCCCTTGGACCAAAAGCTGAAGTATCAAATTGACAAGCTGATCAAGACTGCAGTGACAGGCAGCCTTAGTAAGTGAGGAGACCATCATGAAGTTGTGGGGACCATCAGAAAGTTCCAAATTTTGTAAAATTCATTGGGTTATTTATTTCAGGTGAGAATGACCCACTTCGTTTTAAGCCTCATCCCAGCAATATGATGAGCAAGGTAAGGGGTTGTAGTATTCTCCTGATTTTTTTCTGAGGCAGCTATACCTAGATGAGCCTCTTGGTGATCCTGGATACCCTGGGATTCTCTTAGGACTTGATTTTCCAACTTGTGTGTTAGAATGCTGAGTTTGAGATTCCCTTTTTTCCCTTTTTATATTCCCACCACCCCAGGGTACTCCAGCTTTGGGTTTTCTTCTCACTTATCTCATGAATGCTTCCTAAATTTGCAGACATTGTTTCTTTTGTAGTTGAGCTCTGAGGATGAGGAGGAAGATGAAGCAGAAGATGACCAGTCTGAGGCTTCAGGGAAGAAATCTGTGAAGGGAGTGTCTAAGAAATATGTTCCTCCACGCTTGGTTCCAGTACATTATGGTATAAACTTTGGCTGCTGCCTCCTCAGCATGAACTGTTTCTCTTTTCTCTGTTCTTGGATAACCCTGCTTATTTTCATCATGTAGATGAAACAGAAGCTGAGCGGGAGAAGAAGCGTCTAGAACGAGCCAAGAGACGGGCATTGAGCAGCTCTGTCATTCGTGAACTTAAGGAGCAGTACTCAGATGCTCCAGAGGAAATCCGTGATGCTCGGCATCCCCATGTTACCCGCCAGAGTCAGGAGGACCAACACAGGTCTGAGCCCTTGCATTAGAAATTATTCCTGCACTCTAGAGTCCTGTCCTCATGCTTTATACTAATGTGACTAAGTTTGGTACCAAGAGAATTAATGTTACATAGAAAATGGAGTGAAAACTTTGGGATGATAGTTTCTAAGAATCAGGAGTTTGGAGTTCAGGATAGAAACTAGGAAAATTTTTACCCCAACTGTTTAGTTCAAAGCAAAAGCAGTACATTGCAATTCGACATGAGATTTGAGGGGGAAAAAAGCAGTACAAAGAGGAATGTATGCAGTTCCACATAGTACAACTTTAAGATTCTGTGTTTCACTGTCACAGCTCTCACTTTTGTGCAGAAGGCAATAAAGGTAGGTTTTTATAGTGACATTGTGAGTGCTAGATAAGTTCAGGGAAGGAAAGTAGAAAAGCAGTGTAATTGAATACAGACTCGTCAACTTTGCTCAGGTGCAGTCTTTGCAGTTGATGGATTTGCATGAAAGGACACGTTTAGGGAAACCTGCTTATAGAGCTGAAATAAAAAAATTTTGGTGTAATATTTTAAATAATATTGTGGATAGGCTATGGATTCATATCTAGCATGAGGGAAGTTCTAGCACAGAGCACATTTCATTGAGGAAGCTCAGTATTGAGCATTCAATATGTCCTTACTAAATACTATGTTGATCTGCTGTGAAACTTCTTGAGAACTCCCTGAACAAGAGATGAGTAGATACTTGGGCCCAGGTTGTGGGCTGGAGCTTTCCATCTCCATGGTCTGAGCCTGCTGGAAACTGTCTTTCTCTGGCAGGATTAACTATGAGGAGAGCATGATGGTGCGTTTGAGCGTCAGTAAGCGAGAGAAAGGACGGCGAAAACGAGCAAATGTCATGAGCTCACAACTTCATTCCCTTACACACTTCAGTGACATCAGTGCTTTGACAGGGGGAACTGTTCATCTTGATGAGGTGAGGTTGAGATATGGTTGTAGTAGGATGTGACTTTCATGCTTTCAGCAAAATGTATGTGGGGCTTATTACCATGAGGAACTTGGGAAGGGATGCTGGCTCTCAGAACCACAGTGCCATTCCATCACTTCTCCATCTGTCTCCAGGATCAGAATCCTATTAAGAAGCGGAAGAAGATACCTCAGAAAGGTCGGAAGAAAAAAGGTCAGTGAACTGCTGGGACTTAGGTGATCAGGTGCAAGGTGGGGAGTACAAATTGAGTCTCTTTGGATTTGCCATTCTGGGTCTCACCAAGCCCTGTAGTATCTCTTCCATACTGGGCAATAATCTCCTTAGGTGGGCTTTTATTTTTTGCTTTCCTGAGCTGGAAATCAGCATCATTCACAAAATGAATCTCTGGATTCTGCCTCTAAGGTCCCACAGCTCCTGTTCAGGCTTCCCTAAATAGAACTGGTAAAGTGTCACTTGAAGGAACCATTATCCCATTTCAATTTTATTCCTACTTCTCGTCTTTTGTCCTGGGAAGATATTCAGGGTACTGCCTAGGAGACCCCACCCCTGTGAGCCCTTCCCTCTAGATGTCCTGTTTTCCTGTCCCTTTAGCTTTTCCAACTGTCCTTTGCCTCATTCTTGGTTTCCCTTCCTTTCAGGTTTTCGGAGGCGGCGGTGATTATGGGTGTACATATTTGTATATTTTTTGTCATCCTGAGATACTTCTAATTTCATTGTATATAGGTGGTTTTCCCTGGAATTCATTAATTGTTTGCTTTGGACATGTGGAAAGAGCCTTACTAATAAAATTGATTTTGCTTATGAATTAAAGCCCCTTTTTGCACATGTATTGTACGACTGGAGTCGTTGGGTTTGGGATATTTTTGGTGAGTGGTTGGTGAAAAGGGAAATTTTTTTTGGAAGTGCAAAACATTTGTATTGTTTTCTTTGATAATATATTTTTCCCAAAAACTAAAAATTGGTTACGTCACAAAAAGTATTGAGAGACGAGGCTGGTATAATCAACTCTTTCAACCCATGTTGCCACAACTTCCTGTATGATTTGTTATAATACAATACAGATTGAGATATTAACACATGAATTTTAGGTTTTATTAGTGTTATCTGGGCTGGCCACCAGGTGGCATAAGTGGTTCAAGAAACTTGAGCTTGGCTGTAATCAAAAGCAAGATAGAACCTTTCCACATCAGCAAGATTATTCTTATCTCCACTTCTCTGAATGTTTTTCATTTCTTTCTGAAATAGCATGAACATAAGGCTGATCTTTGGTCAGTTACTGAGGGAGTTTGTAGAAAATAGTAGAGTGAGTAAGAAGGCTAGAGTGAAGAGTCAGTATAGTCTTGTGTTTTTCAGACTCTGACCCCCACCCCCCCGCCTTCAACTGAGGGTCATTTTACCAGAGTCAATAAAGGCCAACCCTTCTATAAAGAGCTGGCAAAAAAAAAAAAAAAAAAAAAATGCCAGCAGACAAGCAGAACATTCCTAGCTTAACAGCCAAACAAATGAAAATCCCACAGAAATAATTAGCCAAACTCAAGCCAGGAGACTGGTGGGCGTTATACATCTGAGATCTTGTATTCTAATGAGAGAATAACCTCTGTTGGTGAGATGTCCCACAGGCCTTGGATAATACAGAAAGTGAAAAAAGGGATTAAAAAAAGATAGAAGTTGGGTCTGTAGAATTAATTCATTGGAGTTTTTAAAAAAGGCTTTGGGTCTCATGAACATCTGATTTTAATGTCTAGTATTGCTGGGTTATATCGATAGACAAATTAATTTGGGTTATATGACTAAAACCTCGTTGATTCTGAATTTCTGAATTTGGATTTATACTATTCAGCCTGATTGGGGCAGGGGTCTTTCACTCAGCTGCCGCTTGGTAGAAAGTAGTTAGGAGACTGGACCTATGGCTGTCTTAGGCTAATTCTGTGATCTTGGGCAAATCACTTAATATCCCTGGCCTTTAATTTTCCTCAGCTAAGGAATGTATTAGACTTCATCTGTGAGATTCCCTTCAAGTCAAAGAGCCTAGAGCTTTTGTGCATGACACCAAGATGGGCTTATGTCTGGGGCCGCTAACCTTTAGTCCCTGATAGATCTGAGAGAGTCTCACATGCCCTGGGCTCTCATACTTCTGTTTCCTCAAGGGAATCTAAACAAAGAGCCACAAGAACAGATTTAGAGACTTTTTTTCCTTTATGGCTGAACTAACTAGATGAGTGATTCAGTTCAAAAATACTTTAGTTAAAACCACTTCATTTGCTTGTTAGGACCACTATATTTGTTTCTAATTTATTAAGATTTGTGGATTATGGGAACTTCCAGGGGAAGGGAAGTGCTCTTTAAAAAACAAAACAAAACAAAACAAAACAAAACAGGTACTACCTTCTGGCCAGGTGTGGTGGCTCATATCTATAATCTGGACACTTTGGGAGGCTGGGTCAGGAGGATAGTTTGAGGCCAGAGAGTTCAAGACCAGCATGTTTAACACAACAAGACCCTGTCTCTAAAAAAAAATAAAAATAAAAAAATTAGGCAGGTGTGGTGGCGTGTGTCTGTAGTCCCAGCTGCTTGGGAGACTGAGGCAGGGGTATTGCCTAAGCCCTGGAGTTTGAGCTTGCTGTGAGCTATGATCTTACCACTGCATTCCAGACTGAATGATAGTAAGACCCATCAAAAAAAAAAAAAAAATTCCTGTGCTATAGGCTGAGCTAAGTGCTTTATACTTAATCCTTATAAATTTTTTTTTTTTTTTTTGAGATGGAGTCTCACTCTGTTGCCCAGGCTGGAGTGCAGTGGCGTGATCTCCGCTGACTGCAACCTCTGCCTCCTGGGTTCAAGCGATTCTCCTGTCTCAGCCTCCTGAGTAGCTGGGACTATAGCCACGTGCCACCACACCTGGCTAATTTTTTGTATTTTAGTGGAGACAGGGTTTCACTGTGTTAGCCGGGATAGTCTCAATCTCCTGACCTCGTGATCCACCCACCTTGGCCTCCCAAAGTGCTGGGATTACAGGTATGAGCCACCACGCCTGGCAATCCTTATAAAATTTATGAAATCTCCATTTTACTAGTGAGGAAGCTTAGACACTTAGGGCAAACAATTTTTCCTGAGTTGGAGAACCAGTGCTTGGGGAACACTGAGGATGGAGGACTTCAAGTGTCCTGTGGTTCATGAAAATCTTCAGGGTTAAAAAATCTTTTTTTATTTGTAGGTGGTTTATAATCTAGCTCCCCCGCCCTACTGCCCCATTTCTGTTACAGGCCTCGTCTTCAAAGAAACCCTAAGTTCCACAATTCTGGTCTCTTTGTGGTATACCAGTGAACACAGCAGACAAAATCCCTGCCTTTGTGGACCTTATATTAATTCAATCAAGTCTTTAATCCCAGGACATTTTGTTTTCCCTGGCTTTTAGGCATTATTTGAAAGAAGTTTCTGGTAAAAAGTTGAACTATTTCTGAGAATATTTGTACCAGAGTCATCAAACACTGTTTAGAGTGTATTGTTTGATGGAGTATTACATGGATTCTCAATATGTAAAACAAGCATAAGTGGGGTTACTTTGATTGAAGTGGGAATGAGGGGTCCTGAAGTTCCATGTTCTTATGACCCCCTTTCCCCAAGATTCCTGAGGAGCCCCCAAGGAACCTTTAGAATTCCTTAGAATATAGTTTGAAAACAACTGTTAGGGTAGTAGAACAAGGGAACTAAGAACTAGAATTTTAGGATTTCGTTATGGCTGTTCTGGTCACTTTTTTTCTTTCCCTTATTCCTACTAATAGATTCAGTTATCTGATTATTCAGACCATATGAATATCGGATTTCCTCAGTGTATTGCTGACAACAGATCATTTCTGGTGTTCACTAAGTAATAGCTGTCATTAATGCACACATGAGCACCTTACCTGTTTGGTTTTATCATGTGATGGTTTTGTCATGTGATAGCTTTATTCTGTAGAAGTAATTTACATCTCTGCCTCATTCTTTTCATCTTAGGGGACAGGGAAGAGAGTTTGACCAAGGTCTGTCTTTGCCTTAAAATCATTGTTTTGTTAGGATTTTATGAAGGCTTGGGGAAATGTCTATTGGGAATTCACAACAGTCTTCATAGATACCTTATTAGGAAAACTGTGTTTTGTTTGCAGGGGAGATTATTAGTGTGTCAATTTTCAGCACCATGGAGAGTTCAAACGCTCCTCATTCCTTGGTTTGGTGAATGGGACACAGCTAAACCATAGAGCTGCGTGGTGTAGACCTGCCCTTTTTCAGAGCCCAGTTTGTCCAGTCTCCAGTTCTGATTGGTACAGATTGGATGAGAGTCAAACACACCCCTGAGTGTCCCCCATCCTCCCTGGAATCTTTTAGGTCCATAAATCCCAGATTCATGCCAAGGATTTGGCTAACTTGATGGAGGTATGTGAGTGGAATCCTGCCTCCTGCTCCATTGGTAACATCATTTATCATTTATATTATGATACATGAAATTTTTACCAGCCCTTAAGAAAAACTCTGTTCCCTACTCATCTTTGCTTAGAGAACCTTGAGGGGACTTAAAGTTGCTTTTTCATTCCTTGGGCCTCGTTTTCTGCCTCTGCATGAGGAAAGGCATCAATGCTCTGGCTCTCTGCCCAGTCTTGCTTTTGTGTTTCTTTGATCTCATTGTTCAGAGGGTCTCAGAGAAGCCCCCAGAGCCATGCCTTTGCATGTTTAAGCTATTGATGCTTTTGAGATGACAGAGCGTCGCTGTGTAAGAAGTGTATTAAAGGTCTATCGTGAACAAACTTGGGTCAATAGGTGGCAGTAGTCACTGAGTCCTGAGGCCCTGACACCCCCTAAACACAAACACATTTGATGGCCATTATATTTAAGGAAGGATGTGAGAAAGGAGGTCACATTGAGATTAAAACGGGGAGAAAAGCAATCCTTTTTGGTGGAATCCAGGAAATGCTGAAATGTGCTGGATTACATCTGTGGGAGTGTTGTGTGGGGTGTAGGGGAAGATTGCTGTCAGCTAGTGAAGGGCACTGATTGGAAACAGCAGAGCCTCAGGATTGGGGGAACAGATTCATTCATCTAAGATGTAGGTGCTAAGGTTTCTTCCAGCTAGAGTAAGCATGTGTTAAATGAGGACCAGCACTGAAAGGACAGAGTGGGGTTGGAGTGAGTAGAGATACAAGTAGGGGAAGGAGGGGCAGAACTGTGTGACGGGACCGTGGAAAGGGTGGGCTGTGAAGGGGAGGACTGCGGTTAGAGGGGGAGGGGGAGGCTGCTGCAATACTGAGCCTATCTAATGGGGGAGGGGAGGGGGAGATATTGGTGTGTGCTGCAGCTGCATTACTTCCCCTCCCCCACACTTCCCAAGAAGCCAGAGCAGTGCTGGCAAATCTGTCTTCATGTATTTATTATTATTAAAAATGTGACAGATCCTTCCTCCCTGGAAGCACAACAAATACTACTGATCACATTTCTCTCTCCCCTCCCTCTGCAGAGCTTTTGCATTCTCTCTTTCATTCCACCCTGTCCTCCCCCACTTGGTCTGTTTGGTGGGGGGAACCCTTCCCTTCTTTCCTTCTTAGACCTTGGTGGCTCCCTGGGGGTTTCTAATGGTGGTTGGGAGTTTTGAGGCAGTGCTGGGAGGAAGCAGCTGAGTGAGGGGCATTCATGGCCCCAGGGAGGCAGCTGTATTCTCTTATATCCAGTGGGGAGAGGAAATCACTTGGAAATAAAGATAAAAATCCTTTCTCCAGGTAATGAAATAAGCAGGTGCTCACATTCCTTTCAGTACCTGGTGTTCCTCCCTCTTCATATTCTTCTCTTTTCTACTGCCTGAATTCTGAAGGGGAAACCCCCTTGTAATGGAAAAAGCCAGGAGTTCTCTGTCTTCCCTCCCTTACCTTAAGTCCCTCTCTTCCCAGGAAAGCCATATACTATTTATTCTTCTAGCCTGCATGTTGTGTAACCAAGAGATTTGAATGGCAAAAGCCATGGCTTCTTCCTCCCCACCTGCACCCCAGACTCCCATGCCTAGGCGGGAACCTCTTTTGTTGCAGCCTGTAGCCCTTCACCATACCCATAGGTGGTGCTGCTGTTGCTCTGCAGGCAGGGCCCTCCCGGCCAACATCATTCCTCCCCACCCTGTCGCCCTCCCCCTTTCCCCAGCCCTCTACTGCCTGATTGTTATTCCACCAACGTCTCCTCTACTGTTCCCTTCCTCAAATTAATTTTGTGGCGCTCTTTTTTCCGCAGTGCCATCTTCTTCCCCTCCCCCAGCTCCGGCTCTCTTGCTTTCTGTCTCTCTCTTTCTCTGTCTGCAGGATCTCCATCTCACTTCCCTACCTGAAATCTACACTCTTCCCTACTCCCTTTTTCGTTATCTGTTCTACCCCTGACATCTTACAGATGACTCTCCCAATGAAAGGGGGCTGTAGATGAGGGTGGCTTAGAAGAGAACAGGGTGAGGAGAACTGAGGGGTCAGTACCGAAGAGTAGGTGGGAGAATGACGAGGCTCTACAGGGGAAACATGATGGGAGACAGAAGATATCCTTTGCTGTCTGCATCTATTCAGTTCCTGGATTTGGATAAGGAGAGTTCACTTGGCAAGCGATCGATCCTGTGTTATCTGAATCTACAGATTTGGGTTCTACATGCTGGGAAAATGGGAGCTAGGGAATAGCAAGAATTCAGATAATAATGGCTCATCCAGAAACTTTTGGATTAGATTGCTAAGGATACCTCTACTTTCGTTATCCTGTGTTTTGAAGACTGGAGGAGATGTCCTGTTACTGATCTTTTGTGTCCTCAGAAGGTTCTTTCCAGGACAGTTGTGACACTTATGTGATGGACATCCTGGCTCTCTGGTCACTGCTGAGCACAATTCTGGCTGCAGGACCTTGGCTCACTCTTGTAGTCTGCCTCCTTTTTTTGTCATTCCATGTTGTTCCTTTATCACAGCTGAATTTACCTGGTTGCCCCATTCAGCCCACAGTGCCCTGTATTGCTTAGCCTTTCCAGAATATGCCCAAACTCTTTAGACTGTTAGCTCTTGCCTCATCTCGCTTCTTAACTTTATTTTGGAGACCTTTCATTGTGAGACCAGTACCCCACAACCAGCTAATTCAGCAGTGTTTTTTATTGTAAAGTTATCCAATTTCTAGGATGGCTAATTTTTCTCTTATTGGATTATTCTTTATGAATTAGTAGCATCCAGTTACTCCCTGGATGGTAGTGCTGAGTCTGACTTCTGTATATACTAGGAATAGGCCACAATATGGACCTCTTTCCTTGATTCCCTGGTGGGAGGAGATCTTCCTTAGCTTAAGTGGCAGTCCTAGAATGGCTGGCTTCCATTTCCTCAGCATGTGTAAGTCAAGACTGACTCCTGGACTATGGGGAGAGGCAGAGTTTGCCAGAGCCACAGTGAAAAGCAGGGACTAGAACACCAACCCCTCACCTTACTGTCTGGGCCATGGAAGTGCCTGTGGAGCCCTGTCTTCTTGCCTACCTCTCCTGCCTTCCTAAGGTGCATACATGAGTTGGTGGAGGCAGAGGCTGGTGGCCTCTTCATTTCCTCAGCTGATTTTCCTGTTTCCTTTCTTAGAGATCTTTCTTGCTGTATTCAGGGGACTGTAGTTAGGGTCATGGTTTCATGTAATGTAGACAGTGATCTCTGTTTAGGTCCCTCTTTTAAAAAGCAAGATCCAATAAATATTTGTTGCAGTGAATGGTAGAGACTTAGCTGCTTTAGCATCCTTTGGGAGAGCAGTAAATTGAGTTTTAACTATTTTTCTTTGTAGATACTTACATTGCTGTAGCTAAAATTGTTTGATTTTTGTTTTCTTTTGCTTACAGGCCCTATGGGGGAAATGATTTATCTAAGCCTATTCAAATAAGTCATTAGCAGAGCTGGTATTAGAATTTGTTTTCTCTCACATCCAGGTCTGACTTTTCCTTTACTACCCCTTAGAAACCAATGTCTCCAATTCATCCCCAGAGCCACTGGCAGCCTTGAAGGCAGCAACGTGGCCAGGTTTTGTGTCAAAAGCTGGCCTTGGTTGGCCTGATGCTGAGACAGCATCAGCAGCAAGACAGCCAGGGCATGTGGGCTTGGCTGGCTGGTTGAGGAATCTAGCTTGCTGGGATGGTATTAGCATTTCCGCAGGCCTTACACAGGCTAGCCTACTACAGGGGCCTCCAGAGTACCAAGGCAGGGAATGAATTCCCATTCCAGATTTAATTTGACCTTAACTGCTGGCTAGTATACCCCTTCTGCTAAATACCTTGGAGCTGGATGGCACTTGGTGGTGGATGCTGGAACTCTGGACGCTCCATTCTCTCTGTGCTGATCTTCCGCAGCAAACTCTTCAGTCCCAGGATCACTTAAATAACAAAAGGTTCTATGGACCACCCCCTTCCACTAGTGCTGATAACTCTAAATCTTACATCATTTTGTTCTAGTGTAAAACTACCATTGTGACTATATTAATACATTTTCTTATAATTTTTATTGTTAGTTAAAGCTTAGAATAGAAAATAGGCTTAGAAAGCATTTGTATGTACCACTTTGAGCCAATGGTACCTTACCCTGAGAACTGCTTTGTTTCATTTCCCAGCCTTGGGTTTAGCCCCACGGGTGGGCTCTGGAGAACAGAAAGCCCCTGAGTTTCTATTTCCTCTCTCCCAATTTTGATTTACTCACTGCTGACTCTTACAGGAAGCCCTAGGTGGTAAAGAGATCAAATCAGAATTCCTAGCCAGGAAAACCCTGTCTCTTAGTTACAATGACCCTTCTCTGTACTGCATTCAGCTCTGTGGCTGTTAACACCAGAAAACCTTCATCTGGCTTCACACCCTCCTTCTTAGTTTCCTTCAGTCAAGTCTTATGTAATCTGTCACTGATGGCAGACTTCCTTCTTACCCTCCTTTTGTAGTCCCCCCGAGGCTTCGAGCCACAAAGCTTCCTAGATGCCTCCCACCAAAGGGGTGCTTTCTGAAACCAAACCTTTTCTGTCTTTCTCAGCCCTCATATCCTCACATCAGTCCCCTACTGGACACATTTCCCCTGAGAGTATCAGGGGACACTCCTAGAGAGCCACTAGGTACTGCTGCAAATCCCATTCCTCACCCATCTCCCCGCTGGAGCTCCTGGAATCAGATTTTGCAGTTTCCTGTCATTCTAGCCTCCTTTTCTGTTCATTTGGAAGATTTTCTCCATTGCTTTTGATAAATTCCTGGTTTGGTAGAAATATCCAGTTTTTAGGAAGATCTTGTGGGATGGGTTCCCTGTCTCCGGCAGCTTGGTTGCCCCTCAGAAAGATCTGCTCCTGCATTCTGCCTGCAATGCTGCCATTGCCCTCTGCCTGGCCTAGGCTGTGTGGGATCAGTATGTGGAGTCCTCTGCATAGACATTCCATCCCTCTTTATCCATCTTGGCAAACAAAGCATCGCTGTGCCCCTAACTTCCTCCTCTTCCTTCTCCTCCATCATTTATTTCTTCTTTGCTTTCCCTCACTTCTCCCTTTCTCTCATGGATACCCTTCCTTTAAATCTCCTTCTTGTCTGTTTGCTCCCTGTTGCCCATCCATGCCCACTCCCCCCATCTTTCATTTTGAATAGCTATCTTCCTCATCGCCTGCTCTTGCTGAGCAAACAGCATGCTGTGGGAAGAATGGCAGCAGAGTAGGTCCCTGGTTGCCAAAGTAAGCTATCCCTTTTCTCCAGAAGATCAGTGCTATGTTTTCCCATCTTGTCCTCAGTGATCCTTAAGAGCCAGGGAACCCCAAGATTCTGACTCTCTCTTGGGACGAACAAGGTCTCTTGGCTTCTTCCAGTGTTGAAGAGGAGAGGAATTATTCGGTTCAGATGTCCCATTCTTTGGCTCCTGAGTGTGGGTATGTCCATGTCTCTCCCTTTCTTTCTCTTGTTTTCGCTTTCTGTCTCTCCCCAGCACAAAGCAGCGGCAGGACTGAATGAGCCTGTCTAGAGACTCTGCCAGCCTATGCCCCTCACTTTTGTCCCTCCCCTCTCACTGTGCATGCTGTTGGTGGGGGGGGGGGGGGGCAGAAGGGGGTTTGGAGGGCGGTGGCATGATGCCAGCCAACCCAGAACCATCTGTGGTGCCTTCTGCACTGTAGCGGGCGCTGTCTGTCCCGCCCTCCTCCTCTCCCCCTCTTCCTCTCTCATTTTTAATTAGGTGCTGAATTAATTAAATCCCACATGCTAATTAACATTCCTACAGGGAAGAATGCCAGGTCAGAAAAATGGGGGGTGGTGAAACAAGGCTTTTGTCCATTTAAGAGAGGATATTTAGGGATGGGAAGGTAGGGGGAAGAGGAATAAAGGTTGAGGTGGAAAGAACAATCTAAGGGTGGAAAGAAACCTGAGATAGGTATAAAGAGATGGAGAAGGGAAATCATGGAACCTATTAAAAAAGAAAAAATTAGAATTATTAGCACTGGAGAAATGAAACCTGAAGCTTCTAATGGTTAGGAAGTAGAGCCGTGAGTCTCAAGCATTAGTGTGCATGAATAACCTGAGAAATAATGACACAGGATGCTAATTTGCTGCCTTGAATGTCTTCTAAAGAAATAAATTTCAATTTTAACAGGAGTAATTTAGGTTAGAAATGAAGGAGAACTTCCTTATTTCAAGGCAGTGGGACACTTTACTAAAGGAACTCTAGAAGGTAAATTCTTATCTGCTCAGAATGGTTAAAGTTTGCCCAAAGCCAGGGGAGGTGATGCACTTTGAAGATTTTTTTCTAGATAAATACTGATCCTGTAGTGTGTACTGTGTCCTGGAGCACCAAGAAAATCCAGGATGGGGAAATTCAGGATTCATCCTCAGTTCTCTTTTCTCATTGCATCCAGGGTGAACTTTGACCTTGCTCTCTATGGTCCTATCAACTTTTTAGGGATGAACCTTCACTTTAAATTAGGTCATTGCTTCTCTGGGAGGTTTAGGGCACTGATTCCTAGCTAGGACTTCAGATGGCTGTCTAATGGCTAGCATGAATTCTCTTCTTGGCTGAGGGGTTGACAGACAGGAGAATGACGAGTTCTGTATGGGGCCAGAAGAAGGGGGGATGGGATGGTGTGGATTGACAAGAGTATGGCCGGCACAGAGGACTCCACTGTGAGGTGTGACCTAGCCTGAAAAAAAGTAGGGAAAGCTTGCTTGTCATTGCTTTTTTCCTCTGAAAGGTAAAAGAAAACTATGCTTAGTACAGATCTAAACTCTCCCTTGCCTCCCCTGCTCCCCCACCAATAAATGATGTCTGGAAGGTATCCAGCAAGTTAGCAGATCCTTCTGATGGCCCTTAACCCAACCTTTTTCAGTCTGAAATGCATCAGGGGCAAGTACTATCTTATATCCCTCTCACCACCATTCATTTAATTAGATGGCATTGCCCACCACCATTATTCCTGCTATAATAATCAATTAACTCAAAAATGTTGGCATATTAAACACCTACTATCTCTGTCAGACACATTAAGCATTAGGGTTAGATACAAAAATAAGGAATGAGGTAGAACTGCTATATCTGAGGGGTGTATATATTCCAGTTTAGTGGGGTGGGGAAAGGATGTACACAGTGAAGTGTGGTAACTTGGCCGGGCATGGTGGCTCACACCTGTAATTTCAACACTTTTGGGAGGCTGGGGTGTTAGGATTGCTTGAGCTTAGGAGTTTGAGACCAGCCTGGGCAACATAAGGAGACCCTATCTCTGTAAAAAACACAAAAAAAAAAAATTAGCCAGGTATAGTGGCATGCACCTGTGATCTTAGCTACTTGTGAGGCTGAGGTTGGAGGATCGCTTGAGCTCAGGAGGTTTGAGGCTGCAGTGAGCTGTGGTTCATGCCACTGCACTGCAGCCTGGGTGACAGAGTGAGAACCTGCCTTAAAAAACTCAACAAAGTGCTGGGTGCGGTGGCTCACACCTGTAATCCCAGCACTTTGGGAGGCCAAGGCGGGCGGATCATCAGGTCAGGAGATCGAGACCATCCTGGCTAACATGGTGAAACCCCGTCTCTACTAAAAATACAAAAAATTAGCCGGGCGTAGTGGCGGGCGCCTGTAGTCCCAGCTACTCAGGAGGCTGAGGCAGGAGAATGGCGTGAACCCAAGAGGCAGAGGTTGCAGTAAGCTGAGATTGCACCACTGCACTCCAGCCTGGGCAACAGAGTGAGACTCCGTCTCAAAAAAAAAACAAAAAACAAAAAACGCTCAACAAAGTGCAGTAACTCATTCTGCCGTTCTGCATATACATATGAACATACAAATATGAACTCCTGTAGCACTTGTTGCCTGTGCTCCTTTTTTATATATTGTTACTTATTCATTCTTACATATATGTGTCTTATCTGACCCCAGAGATGGGGGTCTTTTTGATGGAAGAAACACAGGGCTTCAGAGTGAGGTCCAAATGCACTAGCTTAAAGTCTTACATGTTAGCAGCTGTTCAGTAAATTTGTTGATTAATATATAACCGTTTATCAAGGTGGAATCATTGCTTTAGAGTCTGTGACATTCCTAGTTGTGGCAAGTATTTGTCCTCTGAAGGGAGCTCTTATTTTTTAAAAGTTGCAAAAAGTATGATGGTGAGTAAGATATAATTATGTGATGAACAAGAAAGGTAACTGAATAGGATAAATTGCTTAGGTTCCTAAATGGGAGTTGAAGCCAGCCTGGGTGGCTAAATAGGGGCAGTTCCTAAATAGGGGCAGGCCTGAAGAAAGGCAGTGGAGAGTGAAGAGAAAAGGGCACAGGTCTGTGTTTGTATGTACTATAGTTCCTTTCACTTTTTTGTAGATATTTCCCCCCCATCTTCCTACTCCAAAATTATGATTAGGCAACTTATACACATTTATATTGTTTTGTTCCTTAACATTGTGTCATCTTTTCCTATACTATTAAAAAATCATATTAAAAACATACTTGGGTTAGCATGGTGGCTCACACCTGTAATCCCAGCACTTTGGAAGGCTGAGGCAGGAGGATTGCTTGAGCCCAGGAGTTCAATACCAGCCTGGCAACATAGGGAGACCCCATTTCTACAAAAAAAAAAATACGAAAAATTAGCCAGGCATGGTGGCTTGTGCCTCTAGTCCCAGGTACTTGGGAGGCTGAGGTGGGAGGATCGCTTAAGCCCAGGAGGTCAAGGCTGCAGTGAGCCATGATTGCACTACTGCACTCCAGCCTGGGCTATAGAGCAATATCCTGTCTAAAACAGAAACAAAAACATGCTTAATGAACATGTAATATTCCATCATGGATATACCAAAATTTGTAAAACCATTTCTTATTTGTTAGACATTTAGAATGTTTCCAGGTTTTTGTTGTTTAGTTAGGTTTTCTTCCTTTTACGATGACATTCACATCTTTATACATAAGTCTCTAGTTTTCTGAAGAGGAATTTCTGGCACAAAGCATAAAGACCCTCATTCTAGTCTGTAGATTGTGTTAGATTCACCTGGGAAACTTATTATTATTTAAATTTTTTAAGGACTTATTTTTTGAATAGGTAAAAAATTTAAACACTATGAGAGGGAATGCAATGAAATTTTCTGCCACTTTTGCCCCTTGTCTCCCCTCCATAAAGGTGTTCTATTCATGTATGAGTACATGTGAAGATACTGAAGATCTGCACACAAAAAAATAGAGATTATTTTGATCCTCCCTCCCGGAAGTTCTAATTCAGTCTGAAATGAAGCATTGGAATATCCCCCCACTCCCAAAGCTTTCTAGCTAATTCTACTGCGTAGCCAAATTTGGGAACTACCAGGTTAGATGAACTTCTACGTAGGATCCTTTCCAGCTCTAAAATTTAATGACTGAAACTCACAGAATTCATAATTTTAAAAAGAGTGATGGTTAATATAAAAAGCCATAATCAAGTGTCATAAAGATTCTCTTGGAAATGATCTCAGGGATCCAGTTTTTTATACTGAATTTATTATTAATAATAATACAAATAATGGCTACCATCTGTTGAGTGCTTATTTGTGGTGAGCTCTGTGGAAAGTGCTGTATACATTTTCACTTAAACTTCATAGCACCCCATGAGCCAGCTAGGTAATTCTAGAGGCTTCGGGGAGATTAAGCAGCTTGCCAGTAATTGTGGGACTAGTAAGTGGCAGAGTGAAGATCTGAACTCATGCCTCTTACTGTAGGCTAATATTCGTCCTCCCGCATTCCCTTCCCCCAACCATGAGATTAATAATATAGATAAGAGAATACCCCTTTCATCCTCACCCCCAAATTCTTGTAACCAGTGTTATCAAATTAGTGTATGTCCTTCTGGATCCCCTTCTGTGCATTTATTTACGTAGAAGAGTATTACATGGTTTTGTGAGTGTTTTGAAGTTGTTATTTTATTTTTAGATAACTGGAAGCACACTGTAAAGAGGGTTATACCATACTTGCTTTTTTACTCTTAATAATATACCTTGAAAATATTTCTACCTGAAGATATAATATTGGCCGGGTGTGGTGGCTTATTCCTGTAATTACAGCACTTTGGGAGGCTGAGGCAGACAGATCACCTGAGGTCAGAAGTTTGAGACCAGCTTGACCAACATGGAGAAACCCTGTCTCTACTAAAAATACAAAATTAGCCGGGCATGGTAGCGCATGCCTGTAATCCTAGCTACTCGGGAGGCTGAGGCAGGAGAATTGCTTGAACCTGGGAGGCGGAGGTTGCGGTGAGCCGAGATTGCGCCATTGCACTCCAGCCTGGGCAACAAGAACAAAATTGTCTCAAAAAAAAAAAAAAAAAAAGGTAATGTTATTCTAAGGAACTAATGTCTCCAGTTCATGTAACTATTTCCCTAATGGTGGGAATTACTATAAGCAGTACTATTAGAAAGAATGTTGGAATATTTTGTCATAAATGCATAGAAGTAGACTTGCTGGAGAGAAGTTTTAAATGTTAGTGGAGATGGAAGTTCCCTCCAAAAACGCTAAACCATGCTAGCAAGGGAAATGGTACTCTAATATACTGCTAGTGGAAGTCTATGAGAGTACCGTTTCCCTTGCTAGCATGGGACAAATGGTTGCTCCTCACCTGAATTTGCTTTATGTTAATTGCTTCTACTGGATGGTCTCTTGCAGAAAAAGCCAAATATTGACAGATCTCTTTTGATTAAACTCTAGGGTAACTTTCCCCTATTATTTCTGACCTCTGTCTGCACCTGTTCTCTGAGATACATAGTCTTTTTTTTTCTTTTTGAATCAAGTGTCTACATTTTATGTCTTTTCTGAACATCCTTGTGCCTGTCTGCATTTCCCTTTTTTAGTCACTATTATGCCTGGAATGGTTTAGGTATAACTCTGCTTAGAGTCAAAATGATTTCTCTTAACTACCTATCAGCACTGGTGGGGGTGAGGAATTATATAACACTTTAACACATTGCTTATTTTCTGTTTTAACACTTTGTTTGGTAAATATTGTTTTGCCCTATGTGTGATCTGTTTGGAATGTGAGTCAGGCTGCCTTTGAACAGAAGCCACTAAAGGGTGGGATCAGAGTGCTTGTGTGTGCTCATCAGTTCAGCAAGAGGCCTCTTGATTATAGGGCAGCACTGGCTAGTGCACAGTGAAAATGGGCCTGCCCTAATGAAAAGGGGTACAGTCACCTTCAAGCCCTACTGACTTTTGGATTACACACAGGAACAAATAAACAATAACTAAAAATAAGTGAGAAGTAATGAATATTGTTTGCTACTTTAACAACTTCAGTTGCCTTAGTAGTTATTACAGAAAAAATAAAGGGGGTAGATACATTCAGGAAGGCTTCTATTCTTGAAGGCCTTTTTTGACTTTCCTCCTGTGTGAGTAATGGAGGAATAAATGTGTGGAGGGAGGGAGGAAGAGGCCTCTTCCAGCACCAGGGATCTAGGATCCTTGAATAATTGGAAATGTTTGCCACTGTGGCCATAAAAAGTTCAAGTTGGGCTATTTAGCTTCTAGATCTTGATGCTATGAACAGATCAATGAAGAAAAACTGACATTGAGGGATCATTTAAGAAACTCCAGAGCATTAGAGCTGAGAGGGAATTTGGAGGTCATTTACAATGGCATATGGCTTAATGGGGTTTGGAATCTGAAAAAACTGACCTTGAAACTCAACCACATCCTAGCTGCATAGCTTTTGGCAAGTTGCCTACCCTCTCTGAGCCGCAGTTTCTTCATTTGCAAAATAAAGATAATAACTACTTCATAGGATTGTTTTATTTGTTTTTTTGAGATGGAGTCTCACTGTCACCCAGGCTGGAGTGCAATGGCACAATCTTGGCTCACTGCAACCTCTGCCTCCCGGGTTCAAGCAATTCTCCTGCCTTAGCCCCCCGAGTAGCTGGGATTATAGGTGCACACCACCATGCCCAGCTAATTTTTGTACCTTTAGTCGAGACAGGGTTTTGCTGTTGTGGCCAGACTGGTCTCGAACTCCTTGACCTCAGGTGATCTGCCTGCCTTGGCCTCCGAAAGTGCTGGGATTACAGGCATGAGGTACCGCGCCTGGCCACTTCATAGGATTTTTATGAGAAATAGAAATAAGTATAAAGCATTTCCCAAGTTGCCTAGTATGTAGAAGGTACTCATTTGGTTATCAGATGGGCCGGCACCTTCATTTGGATGAGGAAACTGGTTCAGAGAAGTGAAGTAGCCAGCTTGAGGTCACAGACCTTGTGAGTAGCAGAGGCAGGCCCAGAATCTAGATATCTTGACTTTTCGTCCAGTTTCCTTTCTACCACACTACAATACAGGCTTCTTTCATTTATTCTTTAGTTTAAAAAGAAAAAAAGCAAAAACATGCTGCTGCCACCGCCCCCACCCCACATGTGCGCATCCTCATCCTTCTTTGTCTTTCTTTGTGTATAGGGAGATAATTGGGATGGGAACCCCACGGAGGTACAAGATAGGAAGAAATACTCAGTAGGGGAGATTTAATTGACTGGCTTATCAGAAGGCCTTGCTGGCAGTAAACCAGTCATCTTGGATCCATGTCTGGCATTAAGCAGTGAGGAATGTACTTTGAGCTCTTCCACTCCCCTCCCCCTTTTTTCCTACTGTGCTCACAGGCTCTGGTTGGCTGGGACTTCCAAATGGATGAGGCTGATTTGCGCTGGTATCCTATTGGTCAGCTCTTGTTTCCTCCTAACCAGGAGCTGCTGAGAGAGGAAAATAGCTGGTTGGCCTTTGGGATATTTTTTCTGCATTTTGCAGAGGGAAGAAGGGAGGAGGATGTGAAACTGGAAGGTCCAAGGCTGAGAATCTTGCCTCAGCAAAAGTATGCAAGTGTCTTTGGGAATCACTGGCTCCCATATTGCTAAATTCTGTACAGAGATTGTCCTGGATGGATTAAATTGGCAACACTTACCCACTCTCCTTTTAGAGCTAACTTCAGGGGACTGTCGTGTCTTATGCTAACTACCACGGCTGCTGTCTTCACTGTGGTACCTTGAGCCCTGGACCGTTACCTGCTTTTCTTGCCCTATTTTATATTTTCCTACTTCTATTCCCAAAGGGCCTTATTTTCTGTTAGGAGACAGTGAATAGTGATGTTAGCTAAGTGCTGCTAATGAGTTTGATTGCTCATGGTATCCTTCCCAGGTGATGTCATGCCGTAATTTAGGTAAGAGTAGCACATCTGTCTACAGAGGATTCTAAGGAAATGACTCTAGGCATAGGTAATTTGGGCAGCATGATATCTGCAACAGGTAGCATTTGCTAGGCACTCAATAACTCTGAGTGCTGCTTTTTGTATTAGGCACTGTGCTAGGTGCTGGGCTTAGACAAGAGCCCTCTCACAGAGGAGTTCATAATTTGGAAGAAAGATGGGCGTGTTTGAATGGTCATTACAATATAGGGTATGCTCTGGAGTGGACTGTCTGTTTAAAGTACTATGTAAGATCAATGGAGTGGATCCATAAGACATGACAGAGAGATTTGGGGGCCTTGGTCCAGGACTATGGTATTGGGGCTGGGGCTGTACTTTAGCTGTCTGTAGACTCAGGGTCGTATGGAAACCTGGTATGATGGTAGATGCATTCCCCTCTTTTGAGGAGAATTTATTGGAGCAGAAACCTTGATAACATCATTGGGTCACACATGGGGTTAGGAATACTCTTCACATGCAGTCTGGTATGGTAAAGTGGCAAGAACCCTAACTGGGAATAATAAGACCTAGGTTCAAGTCCCAGTTCTCTTACCTAGAGCTGGATCGTAATCTATAAGCTGATTGAGTACCTCCTATGTGCAAAGAGGGTATAAGAATTGGACTTACAAAACTTCTTTCCTGATCCCAAGAGCCCATGATGAAGTTTCAAGGCAAAGCTTAAAGGGATTAAAAAGGAGGAAAAATTAAGTGATTCAGTAACTACTATTAAAACAACTTAATTGCAGGAATTGGGATACTCATAATTACATCTCTCTCTTTTCTTAAAAAATAGGTACTCTATAGCTCCTTACTTGGAGCTAGATACTTAGCAAAGCCCTTGATAAATATTAATTGATTGACTAAGGTCTGACAATGAAAAGTAAGCCATTTCTGAGGGCCTTGGTGAAATAGTTTTGCATCACTTGACAAAATAAAACTCCCTTAGCTCTTAAAATTATATAGTGCTTTAAGATCCTTGGAGGGAGATATTGAAGTAAATGCAGAATGCCATCATTAGTCTGATGCATGCCATTGGGAAACCCTTGTCACCTTATGAGATGTGAACTGCCTGTAGCTTCAGTCCAGGCCATGTGTTATAGAGAAAAGTGCCCTGGATTATGAGTCAGAAGACCTGGGTTCTACTCTCACCTCTGCTACTTACCAACAGGGTAAATTTGAGGGAGTCAGCCTTTCAGTTGCCTCATCTTTAAAGAGAAAGTAATATCCACTCTGTGTTGATACATAGAACAGGAAATTTCCAAAGCAAAGCTTAAAGTAGAATGTGCTCTTAACCACAAAAACACTTTCCTCGGAGGCATTAAGTCTCCTGCGTCCAGGTAGGTCCTGAAGTATCCCTGCCTTGCAGATGAAGTAACTGAGACCTACAAAGGTTATATTTTGAGCTGATCTTGTCTTTGTTTCAGAGAATGATCTTTACTCAAATGTCCCCTTCTCTATGACCGCTCTATTTAAAATGGCCCTATCTTTCCCTCTATACAAACCCCTGTCCCCCTTCCCTGCTTTATTTTTCTCTGTGGCATTTGCAACATCTAACATACTACATATACTTAGAGATGGCTTATCTACTGAACATTGCCTTATGGTACAATTTCTGCTGGCATTTCAAGAGCAGAGGAATGTCGTGGCTAGAGTGAGCCTTGGACATTATGCATCTTGGGTCTTGCCTTCTGGCTAAAAAGGGATCCTGCCAAGTGGAAGGATCTTGGTAGTCTGTTTAGCTGGGCTCAGCTTCAAGGTCAAGGATAAAACTGGTAGTAAATAATATTCGGAAGAAGAAATCTGGGAAATAGGACTATTGTGTTCCTTTGTTCCTGAGCTTGTCACAGGCACTGTCCTGTTGGGGAAAGCCAAGAGGGTTCAGAGGGCTCAGGTTCCCTAGAGTGAATTCCTTGTAGATTGGTCCAGTTACTAATGAGGTTACTATATTAAAAATTCAGATTTATGGTGGCTCACACCTGTAATCCCACCACTTTGGGAGGCCGAGGTGGGCGGATCACTTGAGGTCAGGAGTTCGAGATCAGTCTGGCCAACATAGTGAAACCCCGTCTCTACTAAAAATAAAAAAACTTAGCCGGGCATGGTGGCGCATGGCTGTAGTCCCAGCAGCTGAGGAGGCCGAGGCAGGAGAATGGCTTGAACCCAGGAGATGGAGGTTGCAGTGAGCTCAGATCATACCACTGCACTCCAGCCTGGGCAACGGAGTGAGACTCCATCTCCAAAAAAAAAACCACTCAGATTTATGCAAAATTTAATGATTAGTGAAAACGGTTTTACTTACAAAAAGATTTGGGACATTTATGTGCTATAGATGACAAAACCCTGGACTAAGACTTAGCAGTTCTGGCCTGGGTGCAGTAACTCATACCTGTAATCCCAGCACTTTGGGAGGCTGAGGTGGGTGGATTGCCTGAGCCTAGGAGTTTGAGACCAGCCTGGGCAACATGGCAAAACCCTGTCTCTAAAACAAATACAAAAATTAGCTGGTTGTGGTAGCGCACGCCTATAGTCCTAGCTACTCAGGAAGCGGAGGTGGGAGGATCCCCTGAGCCTGGGAGGTCGAGGCTGCAGTAAGTCATGACTGTGCCACTGCACAACAGCCTGGGTGACAGAGTGAGACCCTGTCTCAAAACAAACAAACAGGGCTGGGCGCGGTGGCTCACACCTGTAACCCCAGCACTTTGGGAGGCTGAGGCGGGTGGATCACCTGAGGTCAGGAGTTCGAGACCAGCCTCAACATGGAGAAACCCCATCTCTACTAAAAATACAAAATTAGCAGGGCGTAGTGGTGCATGCCTGTAATCTCAGCTACTCGGGAGGCTGAGGCAGGAGAATTTTTTGAACCTGGGAGGTGGAGGTTGCGGTGAGCCGAGATCGGGCCATTGCACTCCAGCCTGGGCAACAAGAGCGAAACTCCGTCTAAAAACAAACAAACAAATAAACAAAAGACTTAGCTCTGCATTCCAATCTTGGCTCTGCAGCTAATTTCTGTGTGGCCTTTGGTAAGGCACTTAACTTCTCTGAAGTTGGGTTTCACTATTTCTTCCTAAGTTGCGATCTCTCTAGTTTGATCATATGAGATCTTAGGTTTAAAATTTTTTTTTTTTTTTTTTTTTGAGTTGGAGTTTCACTCTTGTTGCCCAGGTTGGAGTGTGGCGCAATCTCGGCTCACCGCAACCTCCGCCTCCCAGGTTCAAGCAATTCTCCTGCCTCACCCTCCCTAGTAGCTGGGATTACAGGCATGTGCCACCATGCCTGGCTAATTTTGTATTTTTAGTAGTGACGGGGGTTTCTCCATGTTGGTCAGGCTAGTCTCGAACTCCTGACCTCATGTGATCCACCTGCTGTGGCCTCCCAAAGTGCTGAGATTACAGGCGTGAGCCACCGTGCCCTGACAGGTTTAAAGTTTTTAATGCTAGGCCAGGTGTGGTGGCTCACGCCTGTAATCCCCAACAGTTTGGGAGGCCTAGGTGGGTGGATCACCTGAGGATAGGAGTTCAGACCAGCCTGGCCAACATAGTGAAACCCCGTCTCTACTAAAAATACAAAAATTAGCCTGGCGCGGTGGTGTGTGCCTATAGTCCCAGCTACTCGGGAGGCTGAGGCAGGAGAATGGCGTGAACACAGGAGGCGGAGGTTGCAGTGAGCCGAGATTGCGCCACTGCACTCCAGCCTGGGCGACAGAGCGAGACTCTGTCTCAAAAAAAATAAAAATAAAAATAAGTAAAAGTTTTTAAAACTTATAAAGGAAAGAAGGATATGAATATGTGTTAGCATTTATTGGGTGACTCCTAAATGCCAACCACAGGATAAGGGGTTTTTCTTAGGAAAACTAGCTCATTTAATCTTTACAGTCACTGGGGCATTTTGCAACCATCTTACAGATGAGGAAACTGAGGCTTTTGGAGATTTTTTCCTTAGAGAGTGAAAAAATTTTCCAGGGTTCCAGATTTATTACAAGAGCTCCTTTCTCAGATGTGGATCTTGGTCCTCAGGATGCTGCCTAGCTGCCCCCTTGGAATACTGCTGTTGCTGTACTGGCATGCTTCTTTGCTGAGCTTCAGCATGAGAATATAAATAGTTTTTCTTGGCTGGGTGCGGTGGCTCACGCCTGTAATCCTAGCACTTCGGGAGGCCGAGGCGGGTGGATCACGAGGTCGGGAGATTGAGACCATCCTGGCTAACATGGTGAAACCCCATCTCTACTAAAAATGCAAAAAATTAGCCGGGCGTGGTGGCAGGCACCTGTAGTCCCAGCTACTCGGGAGGCTGAGGCAGGAGAATGGCGTGAACCCGGGAGGCGGAGCTTGCAGTGAGCGGAGATCGTGCCACTATACTCCAGCCTGGGTGACAGAGCAAGACTGTCTCAAAAAAAATAAATAAATACAATAAAGAAATAAATAAAATAGTTTTTCTCATTCAGCGGTGTTAAAATGGGAATCATCAAACAAAACAGTCCTAAGCAGTGTTCTATGGCAATAGCCTGAATGGGACAGATTAGCAAGGCCACAAGATCTTTGGCTTTGCCCAAACCCAGTGGACCTCACCATTTGACCTGTTGAACTTTTCTTCTTGAAACTCTTCTTCCTTGGTTTCTGTGATGTACACTCCCATTGGTCTTTGCATCTCCCTGTTCCTTCTTGGTCTCTTTGGCTTCAGAGCCTTCTCTCACCCCTTAGACATCTTAAGAGTCTGTCCTCTTCTCTGCTTCTCACGCAGCATTTTCTCACTGGGTCATGTCATTCACTCCCATGGTTTCAACTACATCAATTTCCTAATAATTCCTAAGTCTCTATCTTCAGCTTCTAACTCCTGTATTCATTATTTGATGGGTACTTTCACCTGGATGATCTAAACAAACTTTAGTTTAATTTTTTTTGTATTTCAATAGTTTTTGGGGAACAGGTGGTGTTTGGTTACATGATTAAGTTCTTTAGTGGTGATGTCTGAGATTTTGGTGCACCCATCACCAAGCAGTGTACACTGCAACCAATGTGTAGTCTTTTATCACTCAACCCCCGCAACCCTTCCCCTCAAGTCCCCAAGGCTCATTGTATCATTCTTATATCTTTGATTCCTTATAGTTTAGCTCCCACTTATAAGTGAGCATATACAATGTTTAGTTTTCCATTCCTGAGTTACTTCACTTAGAATAATGGTCTCCAACTCCATCCAGGTTGCTGCAAATGCCATTATTTGGTTCCTTTTTATGGCTGAGTAGTATTCCATGGTAGATATGCACCACATTTTCTTTGCCCACTCATTGATTGATTGATGGGCATTTGGCCTGGTTCTGTATTTCTGCAATTGCGAATTGTGCTGCTATAAACATGCATGTGCAAGTGTCTTTTTCATATAATTACTTCTTTTCCTTTGGGTAGATACCCAATAGTGGGATTGCTGGATCAAATGGTAGTTCTACTTTTAATTCTTTAAGGAGTCTCCACACTGTTTCCCATAGTGGTTGTACTAGTTCACATTCCCACCAGCAGTGTAAAAGTGTTTCCTTTTTACTGCATCCACACCAACATCTATTATATTTTGATTTTTTAAATTATGGCCATTGTTGCAGGAATAAGGTGGTATCACATTGTGGTTTTGATTTGCATTTTCCTGATAATTAGTGATGTTGGGCATTTTTTCGTATGTTTGGTAATTTGTAGATCTTCTTTTGGGAATTATCTGTTCATGTCCTTAGCCCACTTTTTAATGGGATTATTTGTTTTTTTCTTGTTGATTTGTTTTGAGTTCCTTGTAGATTCTGGATATTAGTTCTTTGTCGATGCATAGTTTGCAAAAATTTTCTCCCACTCTGTGGGTTGTCTGTTTACTCTGCTGATTATTTCTTTTGCTGTGCAGAACATTTTTAGTTTAATTAAGTCCCATCTATTTATCTTTGTTTTTGTTGCATTTGCTTTTGGGTTCTTGGCCATGAACTCTTCGCCTAAGCCAATGTCTGGAATTGTTTCTGATGTTATCTTCTAACATTTGCACGGTTTTAGGTCTTAGATTTAGGTCTTTGATCCATCTTGAGTTGAATTTTATAAAGGTGAAAGATGAGGATCTGGTTTCATTCTTCTACATGTGCCTTGCCAAGTATCCCCGCAGCATTTGTTGAAAAGGGGTGTCTTTTCCCCACTTTATGTTTTTGTTTTTGTTTTGAGACGAGTCTCGCTCTGTCGCCCAGGCTGGAGTGCAGTGGCGCGATCTCAGCTCACTGCAACCTCTGCCTCCCGGATTCAAGCAGTTCTCTGCCTCAGCCTCCCGAGTGGCTGGGATTACAGGTGCCCACCACCACGTCCAGCTAATTTTTTTGTATTTTTAGTAGAGATGGGGTTTCACCATCTTGGCCAGGCTGGTCTTGAATTCCTGACCTTGTGATCCACCCGCCTCAGCCTCCCAAAGTGCTGGGATTACAGGCATGAGCCACCGCGCCTGGCCCCACTTTATGTTTTTGTTTGCTTTGTTGAAGATCAGTTGGCTGTAAGTATTTGGCTTTATTTCTGCATTCTCTATTCTGTTCCATTGGTCTGTGTGCCTACTTTTGTACCAGTACCATGTTGTTTTGGTGACTATAGCCTTGTACAGTTTGAGGTCAGGAATGTGGTGCCTCCAGATTTGTTCTCTTTGCTTAGTCTTGCTTTGGCTGTGGATGCTTGTTTTTGGTTCCATATGAGTTTTAGGATTGTTTTTTCTAGTTCTGTGAAGAATGATTATGGTATTTTGTTTTTTTGTTTTTCTTTCTTTTTTTCTTTTTTTTTGTTGAGACTCAGTCTTGCTCTGTCACCCAGGCTGGAGTGCAATGGCACAATCTCAGCTCACTGCAACCTCCACCTCCTGGGTTCAAGTGATTCTCCTGCCTCAGCCTCCCAAGTAGCTGGGATTACAGGTACCCGCCACCACGCCTGGCTAATTTTGTATTTTTAGTAGAGACAGGGTTTCACCATGTTGGTCAGGCTGGTCTTGTACTCCTGACCTCAGGTGATCTACCTGCCTTGGCCTCCCAAAGTGCTGGGATTACAGGCGTGAGACACCGTGCCTGGCCTTTTTTGTTTTTCTTTTTGAGACGGAGTTTCACTCTGTTGCCCAGGCTAGAGTGCAATGGCGTGATCTTGGCTCACTGCAACCTCTGCCTCCCAGGCTCAAGCAATTCTCATGCCTCAACCTCTCGAGCAGCTGGGATTACAGGCGTGTGCCACCACACCCGGCTAATTTTTGTATTTTCTTTTTAGTAGAGATGGGGTTTCACCATATTGGCCAGGCTGACCTGGAGCTCCTGGCATTAAGTGATCCATCCACCTTGGCCTCCCGAAGTGCTGAGATTACGGGTGTGAACCACCGTGCCCAGCTGATGATGGTATTTTGATGGGAATTGCATTGAATTTTTAGATTGCTTTTGGCAGTATGGTCATTTTCACAATATTGATTCTACTCATCCATGAGCACGGGATATGTTTCCACTTGTTTGTGTCACCTATGATTTCTTTCAGCAGCATTTTGTAGTTTTCCTTGGAGAGGTCTTTCACCTCCTTGATTAGGTATATTCCTAAGTATTTTATTTTTTGCAGCTATTGTAAAAGGGGCTGAGTTATTGATTTGATTCTTAGCTTGGTCACTCTTGGTGTATAGCAGTACTACTGATTTGTGTACATTGATTTTGTATCCTGAAACTTTACTGAATTCATTTATCAGATCTAGGAGCTTTTTGGATGAGTCTTTAGGGTTTTCTAAGTATACAGTCATATCATCAGTGAACAGTGACAGTTTGACTTCCTCTTTACTGATTTGGATGCCCTTTATTCCTTTCTCTTGTCTGATTGTTCTGGCTCACTTTCTTTCTTTCTTTTCTTTTCTTTTTCTTTCTTTCTTTCTTTCATTTTTTGTAGAGACAGCGTCTCAGTCTGTTGCCCATTGCTAGTCTTGAACTCCTGGCCTCAAGCAATCCTCTAACCTCAGCCTCCCAAAATGTTGGGATTACAAGTGTGAGCCATCATGCCCAGCCTTAGCTTAACATTTCTAAAGCCACTGCATCATTTCTCTGCCACATTTACTTCTTTTTTTTCTTAAATAAACTTTATTTTTTTAGAGAAATTTTTGGTTCACAGAAAAATTGACTGAAAATTACAGAGTTCCCATGTCCCTTGTAACACCCTGTGTCCACACATGTACAACCTCCCCCATTATCAACATCCCCACGTCTCAGTGGTACATTTGGGGGTTTTGTTGTTTTGGTTTTTTTTTTTTTTTTTTTTTTTTTTAGAGATGGGGTCTCACTAGATTGCCCAGGCTGGTCTTGAACTCCTGAGCTCAAATAATCCTCCCACCTCAGCCTCCGAAAGTCCTGGGATTACAGGTGTAAGCCACCATGCCCAGCCTCACAGTGTACTTTTGTTACAACTGACAAACCTATATTAACCCATCATCACCTAAAGTCCATGGTTTACAGTAGGATTTGCTCTTCATGTTGTACAGTCTATGAATTTTGTCAGATGTATACCGACATGTATTCACCATTATAGTATCATACAGAATACTTTCACTGACTTAAAAGTCGTCTGTGCTCTGTCTCTTCATCCCTCCCATCCCACTGACCCTTAGCAACCACTGATCTTTTCACTATCTCCATAATTCTGCCTTTTCCGGAATGTCATTTGTTTGGAATCATACAGTATGCATAGCCTTTTCCGAATGGCATTTTTCACTTAATGATATGCATTTAAGTTTCCTCCATGTCTTTTTATGGCTTGATACCTCATTTATTTTTAGCACTAAATAGTATTCCATGTACCGCAGTTTGTTTATCTAGTCACTTACTGAAGTATATCTTGGTTGCTTCCAAGTTTTGGCAATTGTGAATAAATCTTCTATAAATATCCATTTTCAGTTTTTTGTGTGCTTATAAGTTTTTAACTTTTTTGGGTAAATACCAAGGAGCATAGTTGCTGAATTGTATGGTAAAAGTATGTTTGGTGGGGCACGGTGGCTCACGCCTGTAATCTCAGCACTTTGGGAGGCCAAGATGGGCGGATCACAAGGTAAGGAGTTCGAGGCCATCCTGGCTAACACAGTGAAGCCCCGTCTCTATGAAAAATACAAAATTGGCTGGGCATGGTGGCAGGTGCCTGTAGTCCCACCTACTCGGGAGGCTGAGGCAGGAGAAGTGCTTGAACCCGGGAGACAGAGGTTGCAGCGAGCCAAGATTGCACCACTGCACTCGAGCCTGGGCGCCAGAGTGAGACTCCATCTTCAAAAAAAAAAAAAAAAAAAAAAAAAAGTTCATTTTTTAAAGAAACTGCTGAACTGTCTTCCAAACTGGCTGTATCACTTTACATTCCCATCAGCATTGAATGAGCGTTCCTGTTACTCTGCATCCTCAACAGCAGTTGATACTGTATTTTGTTTTTAGCCATTCTAATGATATGTAGTAGTATCTCATTGTTATTTTTATTTCCAATTCTCTAATGACATATATGTTGAACTTTTATTTATATACTTACTTGCCATCTGTGTATCTTTTTTTTTTTTTTTTTTTTTTTTTCAGATGGAGTTTCGCTCTTGTTGCCCAGGCTGGAGTGCAGTGGCACTATCTTGGCTCACTGCAACTTCCGCCTCCCGGGTTCAAGCGATTCTCCTGCCTCAGCTTCCTGAGTAGCTGGGATTACAGGCACCTGCCACATGCCCAGCTAATTTTTTGTATTTTTAATAGAGACAGGGTTTCACCATATTGGTCAGGCTGGTCTTGAACTCTTGACCTCAGGTGATCCACCCGCCTCAGCCTCCCAAAGTGCTGGGATTACAGACATGAGCCACTGTGCCGGGATTACAGACATGAGCCACTGTGCCCAGCCTGCCATCTGTGTATCTTATTTGGTAAGATATCTGTTCATATCTTTGGCCTATTTTTAAATTGGGTTGTTTTCTTATCATTGAGTTTTACGTGTTCTTTGTATGTTTTGGATAATAGACTTTTATCAGATATGTCATTTGCAAATATTCTCTCCCAGTGTGTTCCTTGTGTTCTCATTCTCTTGATATATATATGTGTGTGTCTGTGTATCTGTATGTGTACACAAACACACACACTTTTTTTTTGGCAGAGCAGAAATTTTTGATTAAATTTTTTAAAATTTCAATAGGTTTTTGGGAAACAGGTGGTATTTGGTTACATGAATAAGTTCTTTAGTGGTGATTTCTGAGAGTTTGGTGCACCTATCACCTGAGCAGTGTACACTGTACCCATTGTGTGTGTAGTCTTTTAGCACTCACACCCCTCCCACCCTTTCCCCCGAGTCCCCAAAGTCTTTTGTATCATTCTTATGCCTTTGTGTCATCATAGCTTAGCTCCCAACATTTACTTCTTTTAGTCACTTTCCAGTTGGTGGTTCCAGTATCTTCCTGATCACCTAAGCACATAGTCTGAGCATCACTCTGGATTTTTTCCTCCACTTGTCCCTATATACCATCAGTTAAGGAAAGCTAATATTACTTTCTATTACCTATTACCCATGTTTTTGTTTAGTTTCTAATTACCTCTAACCTGAACCAACCACAACCTCCTCTTACCCCTGCCTCTGGTATTATTCCTATTCAAATCTGTTCTTCAATTAGCCACCAAAGTAATCTATCTGAAGCATAAATCTTACCATTACTGTAATCCCAGCACTTTGGGAGGCTGAGGCCGGTGGATCACCTAAGGTCAGGAGTTCAAGACCAGCCTCACCAATATGGTGAAATACTGTCTCTACTAAAAAATACAAAAATTAGCCGGGCATGGTGGTGTGCACCTGTAGTCCCAGCTACTCAAGAGGCTGAGGCAGGAGAATCACTTGAACCCAGGAGGTGGAGGTTGCAGTGAGCTGAGATCGCACCACTGCACTCCAACCTGGGGCGACAGAGCAAGACTCCGTCTCAAAAAAGAAAAAAGAAAAAAAATCTTACCATTACTCCCCTGCTTAAAATCCTTCAATTGCTCTTAATAGCCTTCAGAATGACATTTAAATTTCTAAATGTAGCATACACAGAAAGCCCTTTCTGACCTGTCTTCTGCACATCTTTGCCTTATACTTTTTTTTTTTTTTTTTTTTTTAAGAGACAGGATCTCACTCTGTTGCTCAGACAGGAGTGCAGTGGTGCAATCATAGCTCACTGCAGCCTCAGAAATCCTGGGCCCAAGCAATCCTTCTGCCTCAGGCTCCTGAGTAGCCAGGACTACAGGTGCATGTCATCATGCCTGGCTTATTTTTTATTTTGTAAAGACAGGGTCTTACTATGTTGTGCAGGCTGGTCTTAAACTCATGGCCTCAAGCAGTCCTCCCGCCTTGGTCTCCTGAAGTGCTGAGATTAATAGGCATGAGCCACAGTGTCTGGCCCTTTGCCTTATACTTTTTGCTGTACAGCAGTAATCTACTTGTAGTTTCTTGTGCTCACCATTGCTCTTTTGCAGGCCTAGCACAGTTCCTGGCATTAAGTAGGTACTTATTAGTTTTATGTTGAATGATAGTGAAATATATAAATGTGAGATCGCATGGACTAGAAGTATTCCAGGTTCAGAGCTTCTAGAATAGGATACTAGGGAACCATCTTACCTAGAGAGCTTAAAATTTCCCTGAGGGGATATGTGGACACTACTGACTTTATAAAATTCATTTCTGCTGTTGATTCTATGGTGGGAGACTGATGTCCCAGCACTGTCCTGGAATTTAGGAGACTTAGACCTAGTCTTGGATCTGTCACTTGGAGCAACTAACTGGCCATCTATAGGCCCAGAGTCAGTGAGTTTGCAATGTAGTTAAAATAGTGGGCTCTGCATTTACTCAAGAAAGACTGTGAAGGGAGTAGGTTTAGGGGTAAAATCAAGAATTTAGTTTTTGTAATAAGTTCAAGAGATCTATTGTACAAAATGATGACTATAGTTTATAACAGTGTAGTGTATTGAAAATCAAGGCTGGGTGCGGTGGCTCACACCTGTAATTCCAGCACTTTGGGAGGCCAAGGCAGGCGGATTACCTGAGGTCAGGAGTTCAAGACGGGCCTGGCCAAAGTGGTGAAACCCTGTCTCTACTAAAAATACGAAAAAATTAGCCGAGTGTGGTGGTGTGCGCCTGTAATCCCAGCTACTTGGAGGCTGAGGCAGGAGAATCGCTTGAATCCGGGAGGCGGAGGTTGTAGTGAGCCAAGATGGTGCCATTGCATTCCAGCCTGGGCAACAGAGCAAGACTCCATCTCAAAAAAAAGATATAATGTTTTTTACCGCATTTTTACCACAAAAAATGGTAAGTATATGAAGTAATACATATGTTAATTAGCTCAACTGAGCCATTCCACAATGTATACATATTTTAAAACATCATGTTATACACAATAAATATATACAATTTTTATTTGTCAATTAAATAAGTAAAATTTTTTTAAAAAGAGTGGGCTCTGGAGCACAGTCTGCCTGGTTAGAATCTCAGCTGTTCCTCTCACTAGTTAACCTCTCCTTGCCTCAGTTAATAGGTGTAATAATAGACCCTATTTCACAGAGCTGTATTAGATGAGTTAATATAGCACCTGATATAAGGGAAGTGCTGAGTAAACACTGCTTGTTATTGTTATTGTTGAAGGAAATACAGTTGGCCTTTGGAGATCTCCAGGTGACATGACCTTAACCTAGTAGAAGCAGAGGACACCCAGGGCTCCTTTTCAACCCCTAGTCTTGGGATCTGGCCTAGCTATATTATATCTGAGTGACCCACTCTTCCCTATTCCCAAACAATACTTGTTACTACAAATACCTTGTGGATGGGGAGAGTTATTAGAATGCATATTTCTGGGTCCTTCCTCTGCCCTAGTGAATCAGAGTCTGTGAAACGTGGTCTGGGAATAAGCATTGTCAGCAAGCTTATCAAGTTATTCTTATGCTTACTCAAGTTGGAGAACCATGGCTCTAGAAGTTTGTATTTAACCTGGGATAGCCTGGAATAGGGGACTGAAGTCTGTGGAGGAGGACTAAGCAACCCCACTGAGTGCAAGTTGGGAAGGTGCTTGGAGTTCCAGAAAACATCCCACTGAAACATCCAGGTTCTCCTGACTAGTATGTTCTTGAGGCCGTGGTGGAGACAGAGGAGGATGTAGAGTGTTTACCAGCCATCTTGCCAGTAGGTAGAGAACACTGAAATGACCCATTTCTCCCTGTGCTCAGCCTTAATGATGGAATTAATCAGATGGATCTGACCAAAACATATACCATTCTATACTTAGCTTTGTTCATTCAGCAAATATTTATTGAGCACCTCCTTTATTTCAGGCACCATTATTGGTGCTTGGGATATATCTGTGAATAAAGCAAAGATCCCTACCCTTGTGGAGGTTACATACCAGAGGTGAGAAATAGAAATAAACAATAAACATAATAGCTAAATTATGTAGTATGTTAGAAGGTAATAAATGCTTGGAAAAAGGAAAACATAGAGGAGGGTAAAGGGGTTGGGTTGGGGGTAAGCTACAGTAGGGTGGTCAGGGCCAGGTGCAGTGGCTCACGCCTGTAATTCCAGCAGTTTGGGAGGCCGAGGCGGGTGGATCACCTGAGGTCGGCAGTTCGAGACCAGCCTGACCAACATGGAGAAACCCCATCTCTACTAAAAATACAAAATTAGCCAGGCATGGTGGCTCATGCCTGTAATCCCAGCTGCTGGGGAGGCTGAGGCAGGAGAATCGCTTGAACCGGGGAGGTGGAGGTTGTGGTGAGTTGAGATCGTGCCATTGCACTCCAGCCTAGGCAACAAGAGCAAAACTCTGTCTCAAAAAAAAAAAAAAAAAAAAAAAAAAGAAAAATAGAGTTGTCAGGCTAGGCCTCAGTGAGCAACAAGCAGGTGGAGGACAGGGAGCTTGCCACCCAGTTATCCAGGGACATGCATACCAGGCACAGAGGACAGCTAGTGCAGCGGCCCTAGGTGTGGAGCATATCTAGGTTGAAAGGTTGGAGTAGGCTGGTTCGGGTTGCAGGGGGGATGTAGAAGTGGTGGATGCTGAGGACTTTTCATCTTCCTCAAGGTTTCCTGGCCTTCTCTGTTTTTTCTCCTGCATAGCCTCCCCATCCCCCAAGGGCCACCACTAAGTAGTCTCTCCTGCTTCTTTGCTGCTAATGGTGGGAGGCTTGGAGAGTGGCTGTCAGGCCGAATGATGGTTCCAGAAGACAATATACAGTTTATCAATACTGAATCTTGTAGCTCACCTCTACCATCACTGTTATAGGGAGCCAGCCAGGCTTGGCAATGTTATTTGATAATATAATAATCATCATTTATATTGCAGCTCTGGAGTGCCTCTGCTACTGACAACTGCTCAGTATCTGAGTGTTGGAGAGATAAAACAGGCTCTAGAAGAGAAAGTGAACCAGGATGGAATCTACAACCCTGGCAAACTGAGTATTGGCTTCTCTCACTGACCACTGAGGGGATAATTTATCAAAGATGTCACCCAATGATAAAAGCAGCCCTAAAATGCTTTCTTTAAAAAATGTGTCCTCTGAGAACATTTAGGTTTTGCCTCTAGACTCTGGTTAGGTGAGTGACTTCACTTTGTGCCCCTTTATCCTATGGTTCCTCAGCTAGAGGAGTAGTCAGCAGGTGGGACAGTGAGTCACACTCTGAAATGGCTCTGTCATTCCTGTGCCATAGGCTGTCAGGAGTCTGGGACTTCTACAGGAGGCTTTAGAGAGGGAGGGAGGAGATGGGGTCAGCTGGGACATTGATAGGCTTTCAGAGTTTGGAGGGACCTTATCACCTGGAAATATGGCAAATCAAATTTGTATTTTAAAGCTATTCTGTCTTTGAAATGGTATGGTGAGTTTTCTTGTGAAGAGTCATCACTCTTGTTAAGTTGTTGGGGGGGGTTGTACACTGGGAGCATGGGTATGACGTAGGATGGGACCAACAATAGGACCCAGAAAGTGAAAAAAAATTGGTAATATTCTTATTAAAATGAGCTGGTCTCCACCTATTACCATTGTTCTTCAGCTCCACAAAGGGCCATGCAAGGAAAGGTGGGCTCATTATGGCAGGGGGAGGCCAGTCATCATGAGGGTAGATGTTCTGAAGCTCAAGGAGCTAAAGAACCACTCCTGGTCACTTGACAAGCTTTCCTCAAAGTGGAACCTGCTTCTGTGGGAATAAAATTTAAAATTAAGGTGAGTCATATGTCCCTGCAGGTTTCAGACAGCCTATCCTCTTGAGGACTCTGATAGAGAGGTTAAGTGACCTCAGGGACTCCAGATGCCTAAGTGAGGACAGGAAAAGGGAAGGTTGCTAGGGATGCAGCAGGAGATGTCCCAGGAGACATTTGTAGTTTCTGGACCAGAATGGGATTGAGGAGGTAATAGGAATAGAAGCTTTGTGTTGATGCCAATGGTCTATAGTGAAGGATGTTTTAGAAGAGAGAGCAGAGATGGCTTAGAACTGAAGTTCTGAATCCAAGATATCAGGAACACTGAGGGGAGATTTTGAAAAACACAAACTCCTTCTCCCATCCCCTACCCCTACAGGGATACAGAATAGACTTTCCAGGGGAAGATAGATGCTGCAGGGTTCCAAAGATGGGGTGAAGGCAAAGGGTATAGGTCTGTGATATGATTTCCGCACCCCATGAGCTGGTTTGGTACTTTCCTGTATTACTCCTACATTAGAAAGACAGCCTCACTGCTGTCCCTTTGTTCATGGACTGTTAGGATGCTGCTGACCTGGGTGGGGACGGCTTATCCATCTGCCAGCTTCCAGGTCAGAACCAGCCCTAGTTACTTGATAGGGCTTTCCACAAAGCAGAATACTGCTTCTGTGGGAATAAAATTTAAAATTTAAAATTGAAAATTGAAAGTTAGCTGGGCCTGGTGGTACATAACTGTAGTCTCAGCTACTTGGAGGGCTGAGGTGGGCAGATTGCTTGAGCCCAAGAGTTGGAGGCTGCAGTGAGCTGTGATCATGCCACTGCACTCCAGCCTGAGTGACAGAGCAAGAGCCTACCTCAAAATAAATAAATAAATAAATAAATAAATAAAAATAAAACTTAAAAAGTAAGGCCTCTATGGCCAAATAAGTTTGAGAATTAGTGGGTTAAACATGATCAACCATTTGGGTTTTTTAACCAGCTCCTCAGAGCCTTTAACATACCAGCATACATTGTGAATCTCTTAAAAGAGGGAATATGCAGTATTTCTCAAACTAATTTGATTGGGGGGTCCTTTTTTTCTTGAGGAGCATTTCATCAGATTAATGTTTCACAGAGCACACCCAGGAAGAAGTTTCACTATACTGGCATCTCTCTCCTTTTTAAAAAAATAACAACTCAAAGTTAGATAGCCCTTACTGACTTATTCCTAAATTCCTGACTTTTGAGGTAGGTAAGAGTACACACTTTTCCTACTCTGGAACTGCAAAGGCAGGCAGTGTTATGTTGTGGTCTTCCTAAGGCAGTCTTACAGGCACTGTCAGCGATTCTCTGCTATTAATAATTCCCATTGATTTGATACCCTCACATTTCCCTATATTGATCTCCCATGTCTCCCTGCAGCAGATGTTCCTAGAATGCTCCTTCCCCTTGACAGAGAGGTAGACAAGGGCAAGTCAACAGGGACCCCTCTGAGCCCAGAGTGTTCTCTTGGTGACCTGGTCTGAGGGTCAGTGTGGCTGAATTGACAAATAGTAGCTGTTGACTCCCTGGTTTGGGGTTGGTTTTCTATAGGAGAAGCAACTGTTGGAGTCAGCTGCCTGAGGAATATACTTCTCTAGGCTGGGGTGGGGAAATGAGCTTGAAGACAAGGAACTGGCTGAGTCTTAATTTGGGTAAGAAGGCTCGGTGGCGCTCACTTGGACTGCAGTTTTATACCCCATTTTCCATGTCTATTCTCCTCCTTCCCCCGCCCCAACCTGTCCATCACCACTCAGCTCTCTTCCTCCTTCATCCTTCTTTTGGGTTCTCTTTCCCTCCCCGCTGTTCTTCTAAGAAGACTGGCTCTCCTTCCTCCTCCCCCATCCCAATCTCTACTTCTCTTCACATCCCCTCTGCACCCCCAGCCTGGCAGCCTGCCCTGTAGGAATGTTAATTAGCATCCACGATTTAATTAATTCAGTAGCTAATTAATGATTGGGGACTGGGGGCTGGGGAGCTGGGGTGCAGGGGGTTGGGGGCTGGAGGTGACAGGGAGAAATAGCAGAGGTTGCAGAAGGCATCGCAGATGGCTGTGCGGTGGCTGGCACAGTGCCCACCGCCATGGATGCAAACACACTTGCGCGCACGCACACGTATACACACACACACAAAAAGGAAAGGGTGATCGAGGAATCAAAAGCAGGCAGGGAAGGGCACAGGGGCCCTGGGAACTGGGGCTGTGCGGCTGGGGGTGGGGAAGGCTCTAGATCTATTTGAATCTGCTCCGGAAGTAGAAGAGGAGAAAAAAAAGAAACAACCACAGGCGCAGAGAGAAGCGAGCTCTCCCGATACCCCACCTCACCCCACCCCCACCCCACCCCAGCCACCCCTCCTCCCTGGCATGGGATTCATGGGCACCAGCTGAGAACGGGGTCCCCTCCCTCTGCCTGCCATAAATATTGGTACTGAGGACCCAGACTCAGAAGGATAGGATATTCCCAAAGAAAAGAGTTTTTCTTTTAAGTTGCTTTAAAAAATATATATGTGTGTGTGTGTGTGTGTATATATATATGCATATATATGTATATATGCATATATATATATATATTTTAAATTGCACCCGTTCTGGTGTGAGGGCGAAGGCGAGTGAAAGAAGGTGACTGAGCCAGGAGGAGAGCACAGATGGCTTGGTGGTGGTATGGTGTGGTGAGTTGTGGGGAGGAAAAGAGGGGGGTCTGGCAGAGGTTGGGGGTGGGTGGAATGAGGACCCTGTTTTCCTCTTTTCGTATTGCTGTGGATGAAGGAGAGAGAGAGAAAAAGAGAGAAAGTGGGTGGGGAGAGAAGCGAGACAGATGGCAGAGTGGAGAGGCAGCAGCCAGTGCCGGCACTGCCCAGCCTGGGCGGACCCAGCTCCCTCCGCCTGCCAGCTCTCCAAATGCCACCCTTCCCCCATCCTCCCCTCTCCCCATCCCCCCAGCTTGGCACTGATCTCGGGGAGAGAGAGGGAGGGAGGCTGGGCAAAGAGCATCTGTTCCCTCCATTCTCCCAGCTCCATCGGCTGCCAACCTAGGGCCATCGTCTGCCTCCATCACCCCTCCGCCCGCCCGCCTACCCACCCAATCCCAAACGGGTGCTGGATCAGGTGCTGAATCCGGCTGCCTCCTCGGGTACCAGTCACTGTGCATTGCTGTGTGTCTGCCACCGCTGCCTGGCACTCATGGGGCCGTGTGTGTGTGTATGTGTGTGTGCGCGCATGTACATGTACGCATAAGCGTGTGCTGTATGTGAGCCTCCTGGGCATGGGTGGGGGTTGGCATTGCGGTTGCCAATCTAGTGTACAACCAGAAGGACAGAGGGATGGAGTGGAAGAAGGAGGGGAGAGGCTTGGGGTCTGGGAGGGGAGAAGAGGGTGCATGAGTTGCTTCATGCTGCCTGCTTACAGGCATTGGCATTGTAGCTGCCACCCTTGTGCCCACGGAGATGGGAGGAGGCGAGTGGAGGGCGCAGCGGCAGGAGTCCTGTGCTCTGGGAGGAAGGCTTTGTACATGGGAGCTGTTGGCATCACATCTGTCAGGCCGGTGCCCAGAACTGGGGCAATGGAGACTGGGGGATCCAGGAAGCAGGGAGGAGGGGCAGAATGTGTTTCTGATGTTGCTGTCCCTCTAGAAGCTCAGCTCTGAAAAATGGTTGGAGTATGAGGTGATTAGTGCTCTTCCAGCTTGAGGAAGTAAAGTGGTGGAGAGAGTAGCCAGGGAAGTGCCAAGAAACAGTCTACGAGCCAGGGAGGAGGGAGTGTGCCACCGTACCCAGGGAGAACTTGTTGGGGCTGGCAATCTGGCCCTTTGTCAGAGTATTGAAGGAGACAGCAAGAGGACCAGATGTGAGGTGGGTGGGTGCTGGCACTGCCCATGGCACCTGGCACAGGCTCTGGCATTGTGTGGAACAGGGGAGGTTGACAGTGCCTCTTGCCAATCTGGTTGAGAGGGCTATTGTGCCAGGAGTGAGAAGGAAGGAGGTGAAACATTTCGGGAGGTGGGGTGTTTGGGAGACCAGATTTTTTTCTGCCAGGTCCTCCTTCCCCTTCCCTCTTAGGCATGGGGAGTGGAGCAACAGACGGAGAGTGGCATGAAGACACAAAGGAGGAAGCACACCATTGCCAAGACCCCAAGGAAGAAGGATGGAAAGCGCTGGCAGTCCTGCCTGGCCCCCAGCCAGTTCCCTGCTGAAGATGGCCAGATCCCCTTGTCTGGTCTGTATATGCCACTTTTGCTGGGGTGGAAGGAGGGAAGGGCTGGCTTGCTGAGCTGGGCTCTAGAATGGGAAGGGTACCTTTCTGCAGATCCCATTTGGACTCTCCACTTGAACAAGTGAGGTGTCTGATTTTCTTCTTCGGTACCTTCCTCTCCTCCCCCTCCCTTCGCCTCACCCCGCTTTCATCTCTCATCACCACCTGGGTCCTACTGCTTGGCACCCAACCAACTGGATGCTGCCACGTTTGGCAGTGCTGCACTGGCACGTGAACAGTGTCTCAGATCCTGGCACTGCAGCAAACCCAAAGCCACCAAACATGCTCATGATGCCACTTGGCAGCAGTCAGAGAGAGGGGGCTGTGCACATAGTGGTGGCCAGGCATTGGGTGGAGCTCTGTGCAGGGAACTGGCATGAGAGGATGCCCTTAACAACTGGGCTGAGTCAGCACTCCCTGGTCAATCTCAGCTCTGCCTTCCTCCCAACTAGATATCCACCTCCTTCCTACCCTTATTGCCCCCACGAAAGGGATTTAGATGGTACCATATTGAGTGTTTGAGCACCATGCGAAAGGAAACAAGCACAGAGGGACAGGCTAGAGCACAGGCTGTAGACACACCCAAGGCTCCAGGCTAGTGGACCATACATATCCTTGGACAACAAGAACAACAACAACAACAACAAAACCCTAGGAGAGCAAAAGGAGGTGGAGAGAGGGACACCAGCTGTGTTGTTACCAGGATGGCACAAGAAGAGATTGGAAGGGAAGTAGGAAGGAGTGACCCTCAGACCTTGCTCTTGGGTGATGGGGTGGTTTGTACTTATGCATATTTCATTCTGCCTTGTGCCTTGTGATTTGCTGAGCTGTGGTTGAGATGAACTGGTTCTTTCTCCCTTGTTAAAAGGTCCATATTCAATAATAGTCCTAGAAAGATGGAAAGGTGCTCTAGGCCTAGAGAGGTAGACAGGTGTTAGGAAGACAAAGGGACTTGTCCTTCCAGAAAGACTATGCAAGGCACCCAGTTAGAGTTGGATAGATTTCCATATCTTTGAAATCCATCCCAAGAAGGGAGATTGAGGATAAGCAATGATCCCTGGTAGAGGGGAAGGCCCCTAGGAGGAGAATCCCCAGCATCTGTGGTGATACAGACTAGCCCTCAGAAAACTAGACCTTGAGCCCCCATCTGAAAGAATTTCTAGTAGGTTTGGCTTTCCCAGTGACTGGGCAGATCTTTAGAAGATCTGGAAGATTTGGCTGTGGGTGATGTGGAGGGGAGGCTGGGTGGCTCTGGGAGATAGGACCTGCCCAGAGGTAGGAGTAAAGTCCATGCTGGGCTGAGCTGCTCAGGGCTGGGGAAGTTCTGATTTCAGCATCTCTGGAAGTGTATGGCTACTTCAGAAGAAGCAAGGTGTTTTCCACAGCAGAGGAGAAAGCAGGGAGGCACTCAGCCAAAGTGGTGAGTGGACAATGTTTCTATCTTTTCTCCTGTTCAAGAACAGCCAACGTGAGCAGAAGACCATGGTCAGTTTCCAGTATGTTGGGGGTGGGAGTCGGGGTGATGTCAGAGTAATGAAGTCAACAAATCTGAGGTTATGATAAGCCCTGGTGTGGTAGCCCCTGGGGTAGCAGGGTTGGTCCCTGGGTGCTGAAGAGATGGGGGCAGGTCACAGATATGGTGCTAAGCTCTCTAGGTCAGTGGTTCTCAAACTTCAGAGGGCATAGAATCATTTCAGGAGTTTCTGGTTCAGTTGGTCTTAGGTGTGGTCCAGGAATATGCATTTTACATAAGCACTCATGTTCCAAGTGGACACTTGAAACGTTGAAAAACACTGTTCTGAGAGATGGCAGTCACCTTTAGGATGGTCGATCCAATCAGGGTTTCCCTTGCCTTTTGCATCTGTCTTCCCCAGACTTACTCATGTCTTTATGCTGACATGTTTGGGATATGTTTGTTGTGGGGTGTGTGTATGCGTTTTGGGTGGGAGCAGTGGGAGGAAAAGGAGAGATTGTGAGGTTGAATCCAGCGAATGTAACTTGTTAGAACAATGATCCTCACTGGCAGTAGTTACCACAGAAGAATCCTTTAGGGAACACTTTGAAAATTCACTCTTTCTTCACCCACAGATTCTGAAGGCTGGCTGCCCGTGGGTTTCTGAAACCTCATCATTGAGAATCACTAGGTTAGGAACATTGTCAAGAGATTATTCTCTGTGATCAAGTCAAAATTGTGTAGATTTTGTGGCTAGGTACAAGATGGGTCCTGGAGGCAGGCCTGGGTCCCGGGTAATGGAAGTAGGGGTCCACAGAGTACAACTCAGCCTACTGCTGATACTCAGCAAATGGCAGAAGATGCTGTGGTTTGAGCACTTGGTGGGGACATCTAGAAATGAGCACAGCATGGGTCATTCTTCACATCCAATTGAGAAGACTTAGTGCAGGGTTTGGTATCAGGGAGGACTTGTAGATATGGGGCAGTGCTGAGCCCCTGCTGATTACTGGTTGTGGTGTCTTAGCCATTGTTTGTGTAAGAATATGTGTGCAGTTGGGTGGGATTAGGAGTCAACCCCGGGTGCTGCATCACCTTTCCCCCTCTTCTTGGACAGGTTCAGCTTGTTCTGGTCTACCTATACTCAACCTGCTTCCCCATTAGCTTCTGGCCAGACTTCTTTCCATGGCTGCGGAATTGCAAGAAATACCATACTTAGACTACTGCCAGAGAATAATGACATTTACCCCTTGTCTGTGCTTTGTGTGAGGGCTGTCTGGGTTCCATATATGAAGGAGCGTCACTGGGTGGTCACGCAATTGAATCACGCAATTTTATCTTCTTCCCATAACATATAGTTTCTCTCAAGAGGAATTACCTTCATGATTACTTCCCATCTTTCCCCAAACTTGATGGGCCATGGTCAAGATCTTCTGCAAATGTCCTCTCTCAAATTTGCCTTCATCTGATCTTTTTATAATGTATCTGAGCTATAATCCTGTAGACCCTGAGGCTGGGTCTACAGACTTGCTGTAGCAAGAGCTTTCTCAGTATAAAGGCATTTCTTCCCAACTCAGTCTCCTAGAAATGACGCTTTCATGGCTTATAAGTTTCTGACTGGTTGCTTCTGAGAGAAATTGTCCCCCAATACCTGGCCATTCGCAGAAGTTTACCCTGTTTTTCATGGTGACATCATATGAGTTTTCCCAAAAGTTTCCTCCTAATTTGCCTCCTACATATCTCTTCCCTGATGTCCAGAATAATTTACGGTCCTCTCCCCATCGGGTGTGTGTGTGTTTGTTTGTTTGTTTTTTGTGACTGCGAGGAGGGGAGTGGACCCCTCAACCATGTGCGTGCCCCCACTGCTGCCATCCCCCTGTCCCCTCTTGACTGCCAGCAACAGCTTGGTATGGGCCCAATGCCCATCCATTTTCAGGGCTAGTTGATTTGGCAGGTGAGTTGTTACACACTCCTTAGCAGATCCTCTCCCCATATGTTAATATTCAACATTTGGTCACTCTTCCTCTTACCGGTTACTTTTTCCTCTCACTTTCTCTGTTTATAAGCTTTTTCTACCTACTTTTGTGTGAGAAAAATTAGCGTGTGTTGGAGGGTATTTCTGCTTATGGGAGTATAGGTCATGGGTCTTGGGATATGTCCCTTGTACTTATACATATGCCCATGGGGCCCCATCCTTGCTGGCACTGGTGTGTTTCCCTGCAGCCCCCTCTGCTGGGGTCTGCTGCTGTTTCTGAGGGTGTGTTTGTTTGTTTCACTGGTGTAGTTATATATATGGAGCTCTATATTTCAGATTTACATATCTTTCCAGGGATGAATGACTGTCTTAAAACAGATCACAGTGGTGGAGATTTGGAGAATCAGTGGTCTGGTCTATAAGCCCTGAGAGTGGTTAAGAAACAAATACAAAGAATTAAGCAGATGGGTGCTATTATGCCTGGAATAAAAGGCTTGCTTGGTTCTTAAGCCTACTTCTGTAAGTATACTCCAGGGCTGGAAGGGTGGGATAGAAACAGATTTCTTTATGTGGTTCCTGTTGCAAACTCTGTCTTGTTTGGCCATTAAGGCTTCAGATTTTCTTATATTCTTCTAGCAATCTTTTTGTTCCTAGTTGAGGATTGGACACCTTACACCATCCTCACACAGACTCTGGTTTAGAGCAAAAATAGCCAAGATCACTTTCACCACCGCCTCTTGGTCTGACCCTGGTCGTTAAGTAGGGCAGAGCTCAATTTGGGTGCCTCTTTAAGGACGAGTGTATGTTAGAAGCCAAGCCCTAGGGTTAGGGGTGGGGGAGGTACTGTAAAATAGGTGTTATTGTGCCAAATGCTTGAGTTACGGCTGTTACTCCACAGGAGAAATACCATGATTTAATTCTGGTGACTTGGCATTAGCCTCTAGGATTCTGCAAAGGATTGTGCTGACTCAGCCTTCTGTCCACCAGAATGCCCACTGTGCATTGCTCTCTGGAGCAGGACTGCTGCTGCTAAGGACTTCTGGTGTGAGAAAGGGACTGGGAAGGAATGCTTCCAGCCACTGGGAACATGGAATGGTGCCCCCTCAGGAAGCATGTTAATTGACCTAAGTCAGCAGAGTCAGCCCGGCTCTTTTGCCCCCAAATTCCAGGGTTCCAGGTAAGTACAGTTGCTTAGAGTCAGCTCATATCTACTGTTGGGACCGCACGTGGTATTGCCAGGCCAGGGTGTTAGGTGTAAAAGAACATGTTGCGTGACAAGAGGAGGGGGGATTTCTGGTTACATCAACTCTCGGTGAAAACACTCATAGTTCAAACTGAAGTTGGCTGAAATCCTTAAGATACAGCACACCACACTTCTAATCATTCCATGCCAGGTGTTTGTCGATGCTTTCTTTAAAACGTTTCCTTTGTCTTGTTTTTGTTCTAAATTGTTTTTGGTTTCTAACTTTTATACACAAGTCACATTCCCAGAAAGCACAAGTGAAGAATCTTCTTTCCTCAGATACATGCTGCTAAGAAAATAGTTTTATATATAGAATTTCAACAGGAGAGAGAAAAGGACAGGGAGAGAGGGGTACAAGAGAGGCGGGGAAAGAAGGTGGCAGTGAGCACAAGACCCGGTGGCCAGTTTCTCTCCTGTTGCCTAGATCTGTGACTGGCATTTTTGGTATCAGAAATTGGGGTGGAATTACAAAACTAACTCCGCCTAATTTGCTGTTAGTTAGAAAACTAACTCCACCCCACCCCTAATTTGTTAGAGTTGGAGTTATTCAGAAGTGAATGGGACAGGAAGTGAGACTCATGGAATATATGGGGGCTACTGACTGAGCTGAATTTTCTGTCCCCTCCCATTCTGTCTGCATGTAAGACACTGCTTCAGTATTAACATGTTCACAGAGTGATGTGACTGATAGAGCAGAAAACCTAAATCCCAGGGCTGGCTGAATTTGTATGAGAATATGAAATGGATAATGATAGAGCAACAGCCTGGAGGGGAGAGAGGATGGAAGGAGAACACCTTGAAAGAGAAGTGGTCTTAGGGACAAGAGTAGTAGGAAAAACTACCTGGAGGACGAGGAATTTTGCAGACTTTTCTTTGCTAAAAGAAAACATGGACTTCTCTACCCCACACTACTTTAGCTGGGCTTTAGGGTTGCCAGAATTTTCACCTGATGGCTACAGAAACCATTTGCCTAGGGGTACAGAACATTCTTCTAGGTTCTGTTGGTTCCCTTGGTGATAACACCCTATCAAAGATTGACCTGTGCTTCAGTCATCTCCTTGCCCACCCCATCCCCTCAATTCGTGTCAGCTCTAGAACCCCATGAGTCTCATGGACGGGTCCCGACTCCCTTGGGGATGCCTCCAGCAGCTGCTGCTTAACGGAGAAGCTGGGCTGGGCTGGACTGGAGGGAGCAGGAGCAAGGGCAGAGGACAAGGGGGAAGAAAAGGAGACTGGGGGGAAGGGAACAAGGGACCCAGCAAAGGTGGGCCTCCAGGGGGGCAGCAGGGTTAGGAGTTTGTGAGAAAGGTAAATGCAAGGAGAAGGCAGGAGATGAAAGAGAAGCAGATCTCAGATTCAGAAGTTAAATACCCCACTCACCCCCTTCTTCCTGGGACTGCCAAGATACTTTTGGTGACACTGACTTTTCTAACTCATAGCTGGAAATGAGGGGCTATTACCTGTCCTGATAAATACCCAACTCAGGGAGCGGGGACATGTCCCTCCCCAGAGTTCAGGCTCTTCTCCCTGTATCGCCAGCTCCCACCTTGGAGGCTGCGCATAGCAGGGGAGGGCTGCACCGGCATCGGCCCTTCGAGGACCACCAGACCCATAGCAAGGAGCTAAAGCTGTTTGGTCTTCCAAAGATGAGGTGGTTTAAAGAAACCCTTAAACCGGGGGGGTGGGGGTGGGACAGGGAGCAGGGAGTGACACAAATAGGAAAAAAAACACTTGTCTGATGGGAGTTTTCTTCCTTTTTTTTTTTTTCTGTATTTTCCAAGTTTACGTTTTTCTTTAGTTCATTCCTCTGGTGTCCGTTTCTCTCTTTTGTGCGCGTGTGCACGTACTCTCTCTCGCTCTTGCTTTTTTGGTTGTGTTTCAGTTTTTTTTTTTGAAAGAACTTTGGATTTGCCGTTGGTGGGCAGTGCCTGTCCCTGGAGGCTGGACCCTCACGTGGCAGGGCTAGGACAAGGGGCAGGCCCACGGCCGCTGAGAGGATCTCTGTGTTTAAAGCCTTTGAGAATAAGTTACTGCAGTTCCCAGGGTGCAAGGTAGGGATTGGCAGAGGGGTTTCTGGTGGCGGCATCCCCTAGAGTCCAGGCCACAGGGGCTCCCCTGTCAGGCAAGGAGAGGGTTAGGAGGGAGAGGGTAGGAAGAGTGAACCAGAAGCACTTCTCCCATGCCAGCCTCCAGTTTGGTTAGAGTTTTGTGGGCTCCCTGCCCATGCCAGGCTCCAACTTTGGGAGCCAACTGAGCATTTGGAAAGAGTTTGTGAGCGGTGTGGTGCTCTAGACAAAGGGTTAGGAAGGAGAAGAGAGAGTGGCGAAGTTTGTTTTCCTTCCCCCTTCTTTGCCTTGGGCTTTCTTTTTCGTTTCTTCTTTTTATCTTCTTTTTCAAAATTTTTTGGTGTTTTCTCAGTGGAACATCATGGGATAACGTGTGTGTGTGCATGTATGTGTATGCATTTATGGGGATGGGGAGCTGGGAATTCAGTGAGGAAAAGGAAGATAGAACCAAGGATATATTTTGTGTGTGGTAGGCAGACATGTATGAATAATCAGGGTGCCAAGATGGGTGTATGTGTCTGTGAAGATGGGCAAGGGCTACATCTGCAAGGAGCTGAGGAGGAGGATCAATGTGTGTGTCTGTGGGGATTGGGAGGAGGCAGGACTCTGCTGGAAGTGGGGTGTGTGGTGCCCACTGAGGGTGGGAACTGAACAGTTCCTGTGAGGTGGGCGGGGCCAGGGGGTGGGGTGAGGGATTTGAGCTCCCACCGAACACCCCTTGGGGTAAAAGAGGGAGCCCTGAGGCCCTCCCCTCTCCCCATCTTGGTTAATCTGTTTATAAAGCTAGAAGTGTAGAGGTAGTCGTAGTTTTTGGGTTGGAGTCCGTGTGAGGTAATCTTGCTTCCTCTTTGGCAAAAGCCACAGCAGCCGAGGCAGCAGTGGCGGCGTTGGTGATGGAGATGGGTGGGCCCCCTTGAGGTGGGGCTGCCTTGCGCCTGTGGGCCGAGGAGCGCAGGTGGGAGGCTAGGGCTTCACGCCCACTCAGCAGCACCTCACATGCCAGGCAGTGGTAGGTGCAGATGGGCACCCGCAATGGGGGTGGCATGGAGCCCCCAGAGCCCCGCCCAAAGAAGCAGAAGGATCTCTGGTGGGCAGTAGCCGGGGCCTCCCCGTCAAATGCCATCTTGCACTGGCGGCACAGGTAGCGATGGGTTACATCCACGGTGGAGATGCCAGTGCTGCCTGTCAGCAGCTCATCAACCTCACCAGCTTCCCCCTCCCCTGGAGCAGGCAGTTCAGGAGGCTTTGGAGGTGCTGTGGCTGTGGGCTCAGGGGGCTGGGGTGGCGGCTGGAGGAGGGCATTGGGGAGCAGCCCAATGAGGGTCTGAGGTATCATGGGGTTCATGGGAAATAGCCCCTTCTTCATGCCATAGAGCTGTTGGAAGTAGGCCCCCTGTAGCTGGGGGCCAAAGACAGCTGGCGGTGCTGTTCCCCCAGCAGGGGGCAATGGAAAGGGCAGGAACTGGCCCCCCAACAGGGCTGGGACAGTGGTCTTCAATGCTTTGAGGTTCTTGAGGGCATCATTGGAGGAGCTGGTGGGGCCTGCAACTGGCTTTCGCTCACTGGAGACCTTGTCCCCCAAGGGCTCAGTAGGAGGGCCTGGGACAGGGTCAGTGGTGCCTGCTGTGGAGGTGTTGGTTTGGTCGGGCATGGGTCTCTGAGGTAAGGGGCGGCCTGGGCCAGCAGTCTGGACCACTGTGGTGGTAGGCAGGACCGAAGTGGCGAGGCCGAGGAGGCCTGAGGAGGCTGCCGGGCCTAGAAAGGTGAAAGGAAGGATGAAGGATTAGCCATCTCCTGTCCCATCATTCTTCCTGCCATAGGCCACCTCCAGCCACACACACCCGTTCCCAGCACCGGATTTCCATGCCCCTTCCCTCCCTTCTTTCCCCCAAGAGCCTGATGCAAAGGAAGGCCACAGGAGATTGGGCATGGGAAGAATCAGGAAGGAAAAGGAAGGGCATGTCATTAGAGGGGGATGTTCTCTGAAGTCCAGCTCCTCCCAGCCTCCCTACTCACCTGAATTGAAAGGAGCTAAGTTGCCCAGCGGGGGCTGAGCCAGAGCTGGGCCAGATAAGAGGACCGGCGCCAGGCGAGGCAAGGTTGGGGCAGCCCCGAGGGGCATGGAGGCAGGTGTGGTGGCAGGTGGGGCCTTGAGAGCTGGGGGAGCCTCAGGTGCTGGGGCCAAGTCGTAGCACTTGCTTTCACTCTTCAGCTGGGCTCGAACCGCCTCCTTGAGCTTGGCCAGGTGCTGACGGGAAAAGAGATGGCCTCGGCAGGAGACATAGAAATCATACTTGACATCACAATAGGGGCAGTCAGTGCGCTGGGCTGCTAAGAGGCCCTCACTGCTGCCCCCAGTGCTCCCAGCGGCTGTCCCCTGTAGTTTGGCCTTCTTTTCCTTGGCACGAGCATTCTGGAACCAGACCTGGATGACTCTCTTGGGCAGCCCAATCTCCTCTCCCAGCACCTCACACTCCTGCATGGTGGGGGTGCGGTAAGCTTCATAGCAGGCTTTCATGATCTTCAGCTGCAGGCTGCTCATCTGGGTCCTGTAGCGCCGCTGCCCCATTCCATCTGGAACCCCAGTCCCACCTCCAGGTCCCCCACTGGTCCCTCCAGCCCCAGGGGATTCTGGTTCAGCTAGGCTGGAAGCAGATGAATCACTCAGATCTCCTGCAGAGAGACTGCAAGCCTCACTCTCTGGAGAAGCTTTAGGTGGTTCCTCTGGGCCCTCTTCCTCACTGGGTGGAGGGGGAGGTAGGAGAGGTAGAGGTGGCTCTGGTGTTGGGGTGGTGGCCTCTTTCCCAGGTGGTAGGAAAGGCTGGGGCCCAGAAGCAAGCGTGGCAGTGGGGTAGGGAAAAGCAGGTGCTTCCCTCTTTGGGGCTTCCCTCCCAGTGCCATCATCTACCTTGCCTAATAAGAGGTTGAACTTGGGCAAGGATGCAGGGGTGGCTGTGGCAGGCGGTTTCACTGCTGGACTAGGCACCCCCCCAGGGGTGCTTCGAAACTGGCCTTTCCTCTCCCGGGCCCTGGTATTCTGGAACCAGACCTGTACCACTCGCTTTTTGAGCCCCACCTCCTCGGAGATGCAGTCGAGCATCTTGCGTGTTGGGTTGGAATCCTGCATGTACCAACGGTACAGGATCTCTAGCTGCTCAGGCAAGATGGTGGTGCGCAGGCGCTTGTCCCTGGGGGGCTCGCCCTCCCCTCCTCCCCCTGCTTCACTGCCTGTGGGAGACAAGCTGCCGTCCTCATGCTTCCGTTTGAGAGGTGGACCTGGCATTGGTGAGGTGGCTGCCACCAGGGGGTTTCTCTCCCCAAACACCAGCAAGGGCAGATCTAGGAGTTGGGGGGGAGCACTGGGCTGCAGAGATGGCAGGAAATGTAGTCGGCGGTGACTGGTCAGGAGGTCCTGGCTGGAGAAAGAAATGGCACACTGGTCACAGGTATGGGCTGGGGAAGGTGATGGAGTAGCCTTCTCTTCAGGCTCTTTGCCTCCTGCCTTTGTTGCCTCTGCTTGGCTCAGCTCCTCCCCATCTGGAGGCTCTGGTAATGGGCCCTCAGGCCCTGCTGGAGGTTCAAGGCCCTGTTCCTCCTCTACTTCTTCTTCTTCCACCTCTTCCTCCTCTTCCCCTCTCTCTGCCTCTTCCTCCTCCTCTTCAAGGGTCTGGTCATCATAGCACTTCTTGAGGTGGCGCACCAACTCAAAAACACAGGAGAAAGTGGCGTGGCAACGCCTGCAGCCGGAGGCTCCCCCAGTGCCTCCTCCGGTTGGCATGGACCCACCCTCACAGGCATTTTTGCGTGCTTTCTGGCGGGCATTCTGGAACCACACCACCACCACACGGCTAGCCAGACCCAACAGACTTGCGAGTCGCTCCACCTCTCCGTCTTTGGGGTAGGCGCTAGTCTCAAAGAAAGACTGCAGGGCTTGGGTCTGGAACTCTGTGAACTTGGTTCTGGAGAACCGGCGGCCGGCAGGCACCAGGGGAGGAAGATTCCCTCTGGAGCTTTCTTCCTCTTCTATGGGCCAGTGTCCCCCTGCTCGACTTCGCTCTTCAGGGGCACGGGTCCCCCCTGCCTCAGGCTCTGGGACCAGGAAGGGTGGGCCCAGATGGGGAACAGGTGAATCCAGAGACCCATCAGGAGGTTTGGGAGGCTCTGCAAGGGGCGGGTATAGGCTGTCATAGCTCTTTCGAAACTGAGCAGCATAACGGCTCAGGGCTTCAAAGGGCAGAAAGCGGCGGTGGACATGTTCCTCGTGTGTCTTGAGGATAAGCATATTGGAGAAGAGTTTCCCACAGGCCCCACAGGCCAGCTTGTCCCCACCCCCGAGGGCCTCAGGTGGGGGTGGGGTAGGGGGAGGGGGCACAGCTTGCTTCCCTTCATTGTACTGGATCACCAGCTCAAAGCCAAAGTTTTCTAGAAGGGCTTTGGCTGCAGTGCGGGCAGCCTCGTTGGGCAATGGGTCGGGGGGTGAGGAAGGCCCTGCCTCATTACCCTCTTTGGCCATGGGGGGCCGCTCCCACTCCCGCTCAGCCAGCTCAGCCTTGGGAGGTTGGGGTGGAGGAGGAGGGGTGGCAGCTGGCAGGGACAGCACAGGTGCAGGCCCAGCTAGTGTCAGCTTGGGCCCCACCTTGAGATCGTGGAGGTAGAAGGGCAGGAGCAGCTGCTGCTGCTGGAGCTTAAGCAGTGATTCGGGCACCAGAGGGAAGGGGGGCAGGACTGGTGGGGTGAAGAGAGGGGCTGGGAATCGGTGCAGGTCCAAGGGAGGTGGGGGAGGGGACAGGAAAGGCAATCCAGATATGAAGCCACTGGTGTCAGGGCCCTTCTTCTCAGTGCCCACCTCCCCCTCTGTCTCGCCTTCCTTGGGCTCTTCTTGGCTGCGTTCTGGCCCTTCAATCTTGGAATCAGTCTTGGTTCCCCGAGAGCGAGTCTGATGCAGAACTGACCGCATGTGGATCTCCAGGGTGGAGCTCTGGTTGTAGGAGACTCTGCAGACTGTGCACTTAAAGGGCTTGTCTGTGGCAGCAGTGGTGGTGGGTGGGGCACCGGCCTCTCCCCGTGCAGGGGCAGAGGGGTCAATGGCAGCCTTCTTCATCTTGTGAAGGTGGGAGACAGAATTATAATGAACCAACAGAATATTCTTCTGGGTGAAGGACTCCTTACACACAGTGCACTTATAGGGCCGGGCAGGGTCGAGAAACTTGTCCAGGGCAAAGTTGGTGGTTTTCCGATAGGTCAGAGGGTGGCGAGAGTCAGCTGGAGCTGGCTCTGCAGAGCGGAGCTCCCCAGTGGTCCCCTCTTCCTCCTCAGCCATGGTGGGCGGAGGAGCTACGTCTTCAGCTTGGGCATCAGGTTCAGGGACTGGAGATGGGGCTGGAGAAGGGGGTTGGCCAGGGCTTCCTGAGGGTTTGTCTGGGACCTCAACTGAGGCCAGGGGAGGCTCAGGAAGAGGATCTGGACTGGCTTCTGGGGTCAGGTTAGGGCCTTCTAGGGGAGAGAGAAGAAAGTACAATGAGGAGGGAACTTCGTTTAAGCCAGACCCCACCCACTCAATACCAAGGCAGTTGACCTTGGCCTCAGTCATCTTCAGACCTTGTTGGCCCATGGAGTCCCCTTTCCTGGTACCTTGGGAGGTTTGCTGTTCCATTCCTTACCTGCTGCCTGGTCTCTGCTCGGTGTAGGCTCTGGCCCATGAGTGGGGGGTTCTTGGCCATTGTCCAGAGGGCTTAATGTGGGTGCAGACAGCACTTTGGTTGTAAATGTCATTTCTACAGTTGTAGCCTGCAATGAGAAAAAGCCTAGTGGCTTCACCACCACCCCCCACTGCCCCTATGCCACTCCTGACCCATCTGCCCTACACCTGTACTTGTGCCGAGATCCCTTGCCACAGATCCAGCCTCCTGTCTGAACAAACCTCCCACCTAATTGCTGCTTTTGCTACAGATGAGAGAGCCTGGGCTGCTACCTCTCCTATCTGGCTTCCTCTTTCCCCAAACCAGAAGTCATCATTCTTTGAGGCTACCTGGTCTGGCAGGCTGGTACCTGCTGTTCAACAACTCTTCTCAGGACTTAGTGGAGGTGAAACAGAAGCCTCTGCCTCATCTCTTAAGTAGAGGCAGCTAGACAAGCTCAGTTCTGAGTCTCCCTCTCTAAAATCCAACTTCAAATCCATGAAATGCTGCTTTTGTTGCCAACACATGCACTTGCCTGAATACTCCTGCCTCTTCCTCCCCTCCTGGATGGCCCTAACAAGGCCTTGTCGGACCGTCCTCACCCAGCCAACACACGCACTTGCCTGAATGCCCCCTGCCCCCAACACATGCACCTGCCTGAATACCCCTGCCTCTTCCTCCCCTCCTGCACAGCCCTAATAAGGTCTTGTTGTACCGTCCTCACCCAGCCTGTACTCACTACAAGCAGCAGCTTCTCAACGCACTCGGGCACCACGTTGTGAAGGTGGCTAAGGTGGAAGTGCAGGGCAGGCCGGCCCACCAGCTGTTCCTGGCACAGTGGGCATCTGTACTTGGGCTGCACTGCATGCTGGGAGAGTGTATGAGCCCTCACCTGGCTGGACTCTGGGCTCAGGAAGCTGCAGTATGGACAGCAGTATACCTGGAGGGAACATATGGGCAGTGGACGAAGTGTCAGGGAAGGATGGGACCCACCATCACATAGTCCTTTGGATGCAGCACTGGCCCGCCCCCACTCCTTTTTTTTTTTTTTTTTTTTTTTTAGATGGAGTCTGGCTCTGTCACCCAGGCCGGAGTGCAGTGACGTGATCTCGGCTCACTGCAACCTCCGCCTTCCAGGTTCAAGCAATTCTCCTGCCCTCAGCCTCCCAAGCAGCTGGGATTACAGGCGTGTGCAACCACGCCCAGCTAATTTTTGTATTTTTTAGTGGAGACAGGGTTTTGCCACATTGGCCAGGTTGGTCTTGAACTCCTGATGCCAGGTGATCTACTCATCTTGGCTTCCCAAAGTGCTGGGATTACAGGCGTGAGCCACCACGCTTGGCCTCTCACTCCTAATTGAAGAGGAACTAGCCAGATAGGAAGGCATTATAGCAGACCCAGCCTCCAGCCACAGTCCTGAGAGCTGGCTCCTCCCCACTTTCCCTTGGATTGGGACAAAGGCCTAGCTTAGGCCGCTACCTTGCACTCCTTCTTTGTCTGGCCCTCTTCCACCATCCTGGCCTCTCTGCCTTTTCTTGGTGTGTCTTTCCCAGTCTTTGCTGCCTGCCTCAACTCTCCAGCTAACAGATGGCTCTGTACCTACTGCCCCCACCTTGGATTTAGTTTTCTTCTCTTACCTATCCTATCCTGTCGTGTCTTCTCTGTGAAATGGTTCCATTTCCTCTGGGCATTTTCTGGACCCAGAGGCTCCCTTGTCCCTGCCCACTCTGCCTCTGTGAACCATCACCTGGAAAGGGGCCCTACCTGTCTGCTCAGAAGCCAGCTCATCCTCCCTCAGGCTCAGCAGCTCCCACCTTATTTTCCATCTTTCTTTTTCCTTCTTCTTTTTCCTAATGTGAATAAACACCACAGCTCCCCCAGTGGCCCAGGAAAATTCTGGCCCAGCCCTCTCAGCACATTCTCAGCCACACTTCCAGAGGGGTGAGGCTGCCAGAGGCCCCACCATCACCTGACTGCCAGACCTACCCAGCCTGCATCCAGGCTGGCACCAGTGGCACAGGCCTGTGTGTCAGGGAGGGGATGACTGTAAAGGAAGGGGATCCAGATGCTCATCTTAACGCACCTAGCCCCTGGAGCAGACATCTGGAAGAGGTCTGTTGGCGGGAGCAGGAGTTAGGAAGAAAAGATGCTGAGGACATAAGGCATTACTTCAGCTTGCAGTAATGCAGTAACACTGCGTATTGCAATAACAATAAATGTTACATATTGTAGTCCAGTTTGGAGAGCTGTGAGGCACAGGATGGCATCTCAAACCAGAGGCTGGGAATCCCCTCAGAACACAGAGCTGCCATTCCTGGGTGCTGCCTAGGTCTGAGTCCTGGGGATTTAGAGATTTGTGGCACATGCTGTCAGTGTGAATCATTTGGTTGGTGCCCCTACCCTTAGTAAGAGGATGCCAGGACAGTTCCATCCAGGCTCAGGGCGTTTTGTAGGGTAGGAACACCGGTGTCTTGTCTTTCTGCTCCTAACTAAGGGATAAAGAGCTGGGCAGTAGCTGGTTGTTTGCTTTTGCCTTTCTCCTCCCCTCCTTCCAGCATGTACCCCCACTCTTTCCTACTCTCAGCACAATTCCTTTATTCATCTTTCCCTCAAGTTCCTGCTGTCTCCCTCCTATCATCTCCCTCTGTGCTTGACCCTGCTGGGCCAGCTCTGCCCCCGAAAGTGCTGAACATGTGGAACTGGATCTGGGTGGAATTTCTTAACTGTGCTATTCTGAGTGAAATAAGTCAAAGCATGACAAAATTACGTCTGCCTTTAGAATATGAGCAGATCTCAGTAAAGCCAGGCCCCCACTTCAGCTCTTCCCAGTTACCCCAATTCTGACCGTGGTCTGGTTGGCACTGTCTCTGGAAGGGCCAGTCTTGTTTTCTGTCTCTTCTGAAGCTGAGGATGAAAGAAGAGGAGATTAAGGAACCCTGACAGCCCTCAAGATGATTTGTAGCAGAGAGCTTCCAGGGTAGGGAGTTGGGCACTAGAGAAAGGGCAGGAAACTCAGTAGATAGGTGAGGCTTGGCAAGGGCTGACTCCGGGTCAGTAGGATGGTCAGGTCTGAGTTCTCAAAGAGGGCGGAAGTGCCTAGCCTCTCGTGGCTCAGCCTCCCTTCCCCCTGATGAGCCCTTTCTTTAATCAGTTTTGCTCCTTGAGCACAGACATTGCTGGGCTCCTGGATTACTGCAAGGTCCCGTGAGCGTCTCAGAAGGTAGGAGGACTGGGGGGAAGGGAGGGAAAACTCACCCAATTGTTCTGTCTTGTTCTGGGCATCTTTCTCAGGGGTGGGTGGCTCAGCTAAGGGGGTGACAGGAGCCTTCCCTGTGTAGGATGGGGGGAGAGTCAGCTTAAAGAGGTGTGGCATCAGGGAAGGGAGGACATAGGACAGAGGAAGCAGGACAAGCAGCCAGTCAATGAAGGAGAAAATGGATGGCTCAATCAGCAGGTAGGAGAGTATGAAAAGCCAACAAAAAGAAACACCCACACAGAAGATAGAGGGAAAATTACAGTATTAGAACTGGTAGGGCCTAAGAGATCATTTTATTAAGAGTCCAGTTCCTGTCCTTTTATAGAAGTCCAGCAGTAGACAGCAGAAACAAGACCAAACTCAGCTCCCTGTCTTAAATGACCCAGGAAATGGGAAGCCCCAGAGAAATGTAGTAGGAGGGGCACTGAAGAAGGAAGCCTTGGCTGAATGGAAGCAGCTGCTGCAGTGAGCAGGAAGTGGCAGGTCTAGCTGGAAGAGGAGATTACCGCTCAAGTAAGAATTGACAGATGTGTAGGAATTTATTTTCGGTGGCAGCCTAATTAAAGTGTTAAAGTTCCTTAACTCCATTCAGCCCTGCGCCAGGATCGTTAGCTATTGATCTGGGCCCCTCCGGCACTTAACTCCAGCCAGCATATTGGCAATTCAATTAGCACCAGTCAATGCTGCGTGTTCCTGGCTCCTGCTGCCCATGCCCTCGCCCTTGCCCACCACTGGCTCTGCAAAGCCCGACGCCCATGCCCACCTCTGGCAGCCCCTTGCAGGCTCTTCTCCTGTACCCTCTGGATCAATGGTGCCTGGCTGGCTGTTCCCGGCCTCTGCTGGTACAACCTCAGCTGCCTAAGGGTGACTCTAAGCCCAGCCTTAGGGCTGAAGACCTCCTAGGAGACAGGAAGAGGCTGGGAAGCTTGTCAGGGGCCTCTTCCCATCCCTGCTGCCTTTGGATCATGCCCACAGCTCCTATCTCCTTCCAAGAAGCCCTGGCCCAGCACAAAACAGGTTCTCTCTCCTTCCTACCCAGCTCCAGCCTGCCACCCTCCAGCATTACCAGGACACTAGTCACTACTCAGAATCACTGGGTGGTTCCTCTTCACCCTCTTCCTGTTCTATGTCATCCACCCAGCAAAGCCCCTGCCCTTCTTTGCCCCTCCACTCAAGGTAGCCTCCACAGTGCCTGACACGCTCATTCTGTCTTATCCCTTCGCAGCTTCTTCCCATTTAGTATAGGTGGCCTACAGGCCCTCTTCGCCTTCCTTGTATCTCTAACTCCGCAGCCCCCCTGCTCCCCACATCCTGCTGCCCTCCCTGCCCAGCTCTTATTCTCCAGTCCCTTCTTCCTCACCGGGAGTCCGGAGCTGCCCGTGGCTGAAGCTCAGGATGCTCTGAAGAGCTGCGAGTCCTTCCTCAGTGGTTGGGCCATTCTGTAGCAGCTGCAGACGCCTCTGGGCCTGGGCATCGCGGTGGGCAGGTGTGCGCAGGTGTTGCAGCACAGCCAAGCGGGAGGGTGTCTCCCACGCACACAACAGGCAGTGGTATAGCCCCAGCTCTGCCCCTGCCTCCGCTCCCTCCATGTCCAGCAGAAACTAGAACCATGGGAAGAGGCTGGCTCAGGCCCAGAAGGGACATGCCAGACCTCAGGGGACTTTTTTTTTTTTTCTAGAGAGAGTCTTGCCCTGTTGCCCAGGCTGGAGTGCAGTGGCATGATCTCTACTCACTGAAGCCTCTACCTCCTGGGTTCAGTGATTCTCATGCCTCAGCCTCCCGAGTAGCTGGGATTACAGGCATGCGCACCACACCTGGCTAATTTTTGTATTTTTAGTACAGATGGGGTTTCACCATGTTGGCCAGGCTGGTCTCGAACTCCTGACTTCAAGTGATCCTCCCGCCTCGGCCTCCCAAAGTGCCGGGACTACAGGCGTGAGCCACCGCACCTAGCCTCAGGGGACTTCTTTGCCTTCCCTAAGGGAGACTGACTAGCAGCAGCCCCCTCCCCACCCCTCGCTTCCTGCTCCTGAAACCCCCCCTTTCCCTCCTATGGCCACCTAAGTATTATTGCTTGCTCTCCCCAACCCTTTCTCTTTCTCCTACCACTCCTGGACTCCCTCCCAGCATGCAAATGGAGTCTGGTTCCATCCTCTTGAACCTCTGGTGACATGACAAACTGAGCTGATACCACCCCTCCCTCCAGGGCCAAACACCAGAAGAGCTGAATAAAGTCTGTTTCACTTGTCAGAGTTTACTATCCTTTGGTCTCTTTCTCCATGTCTGTCACTTTGTTACCCTGGTACATATGTCATTACCTGGTGCATACTTTCCTTTTTCTCCATTTGTCACCCAGGGTTTTCCTATCACTTTCTTATTCTGCATCTCCTCCCTCTGTCCCCATTCCCTTCTCCTCTTCCGATGGCCCTTCCTGACCCAGCCTCACCTTATAGATTTGGCTGTTTTCTTCGTGGGCTGCACCCCTGGCATGCAGCTGCATCTTCTCCTTGCTGTTGGACTCAAAGTCACAGATGTTGCAGCGCAGGTGTAGTGGGGAGACAGACCCATAAGGAGCCCCATCTCCCAGGGATGCTGGGGAAGGGGTGCCCATGGCTCCACCCCCCTCCCGCAGGTGGGCTGCCAGCTGGTACTTCTGAGCATGTTTGTCAGTCTTGAGGTGGAGTTGGAAGTTGGCCTTGAGCTGGGTGCCATAGCAGCAAAGCTTGCAGCGGTGGGTGTCACCAGCCACCTCCTTCCATTCAGCTTCCGGGAGGCTCCGGCCTATGCTGCAGTGGTAGAGCAGCAGCTCCAGGCTGTCTGTGCTGAAGGCCTGGCACACTAGGCAGCGGAACACCTTCAGGGACAGGCTGTCGTCTGGGGGTGGTGAGGTGGGCAGGCTGTCAGATGAGGAACCCAGGAGCTGACTTGGAGGCAGGTGGGCATCAGGGGATAGGCTTCCAGGGGCTAGAGGACAGAGACAGATTAGTGGCCCAAGAAAGAAATGGGGCACGGTTGGTTCTCTATGTGGGGAGGTGGGTTAATGAGTAGGATAGTGCTCAGAGGGACTTATGGTTACCTAAGTGGGGAGTTGGTCCTTGGGAGAAAGCACGGAATAGAGTTTGGCCCTGGGGAGGAGAGAAGAGGGAAGAAGCACAGAAGCTTACCGGATGTGGGGAACTTGCGGGCAGGTGCTCCTACGTGGTGGAAACCATTGAGAAGTAGCTGGGCTTCCAGGGGCTTGTCTGGCCTCAGCCCCGGGCCAGCCAAGGGAGTCTGAGGCTGCCCTAGGGCCTGGGGCCCAAAGTACTGGAAGAGTTCAGGGGGGCTAGTGGGGGTAGCCCCTGGTGGGGGAGGAGGGCCTGGCCCCATCAATCCAGGTGGCAGGCCCAGCGGCAGCCCCTGGTGCAGCATTAGGACATTCTGCATGTGCTTCTCAGAGGTCATATGGATGCGCAGGTTACGGGAGATGTTTGTCTCGTAGCTGCACACCTTGCACTGCCAGGATGATTTGGTCTTAGGCTCTTTGTCTCCCGCGGAGGGTGGGAGTGATGCCTCTGGTGGACTTCCCTGCCCACCAGGGCCCGCCTGGAAGCCCTGTAGGTTGGCCAGGTGCTTGTCAGACTGCATATGGATGCTGAGGTTGCCTTTGGTGGTTGTAGAGTAGTTGCAGACGTCACAGCGGTAGGGTTTGTAGCCACAGTTGTAGCTCTCTCCACGAGCAAGGCGGGGGTGGGCGCCCCCAGCACTGCAGTAGCTGCAGTGACTGTTGCTCTCAGGGTGCTTCTCTCGCATGTGCACATCCAGGGTCTGCTGGTACTTGTAGTGCCAGTTGCACTTGGGACACTTGAGTGTCTTGCAGGAGTTGCGTGAGTGGAGCAGGGACATGTGGCTGGACAGGCTGAGGCCCTGGAAGGCTGCAGGGGCTGGGGTGTAGTCATCAGCTAGGCGATAGGGCTGGGGTGGGTCACTGGGGTCTTCGGGGGAGCCCACTGGGGCAGGGAGAGTGCCCCCCTCCTTGGAGGTGGGTGAGCTTTGGTTGAGTGGGGGGCAGAGCCCTCCATCCTCTTCTTGCCCCTCAGGGAACCAATCTGGCCCTGCCTCGCCTGCTGCTACTGGCGATTCTTTGGCTTGGGTTGGGCTGGGGTCCCAGGTGGCTGTGGGTGGAGAGGGTGGGCTGAGGGCCATAACTTCTTCATCCAGGAGGATAAGGGCCTGGACTTCTGCCTCAGGGGGGCCATCCTCTGTCTGGGCCACATTCGCCTCCATGTTCACTGTGCTGCTGTTGTCAAGGGGTATGTCAGAAGAGGGGCGAGCAGGGAGTTTTGGCTCCAGAAAGCTTATGAGGGCCTTGCAGCCTTCATCTCCCTCCTGGAGTACAGCTGGGCTACCTGACAGGCCCTGATATTGGGCAGGGGTTAGCTTCACCCCATGAGACTGTGTGTGATCCATAAAGGCCTGGGGCTTGCTGAAACCCAGGCGGCACAGAAGGCAGAGCCAGAAGACCGCCACGTGGTTGCCCCCGCTGTTCCCCATGGGGCCATCTTTGGGATCTCCGGGTGGATTTGGAGCCAGCTGGTAGCTCCAGAAAGCTCCATGCCTTTCCTCACAGGCAGCCGGAGATGGTGCTGAGGTATCATGGGACAGAATTTGGTCAGAAGAGCTAAAGCCTTGGATTGGGTCAAAGCCATGTTGGATGTGAAGGGCAGTGAGGTGTGAGGGGGGTGGGTAGGCAAGGAAGGGCAGACTGGGCTCTTCCTTGATGCCCGCCTCACCCCAGGGGAAGCCCTTTGGTAACAGGAGTTCACTGCCACCTGGCAGGGACAGCTTGGCCACTAGGTAGGCCTCACCTCCAGCTGTGAAGAATAAGTGGTTGCTTAGGTCCATGGGAGGGAGCCCTTCTTCTTCCTCCTCCTGCTCCTTGTCCTTTTCCACCCCTGGGTCATTTGGTGGGAAGTGACCACAGTCAGGCCCTTCCTGGGGCTCCCCAATCTCCTTTGGTGGGACGAGGCCACAGCCCGACTCCAGGAGCTGTCCCCCTGGCTCTGAGGACCTCATGTTCTCAGAGGTGGAGGAGGCAGCAGGGGGATCTTTGGTGACAGGATCAGAGGGGGTGCTGGAGGAGAAGGTGTCCGAAGGCAGGGACGGGGCATTGTGCCCAGGGGAGGGGGTGGTACCAGTGGTAGAGGCTGAGTTAAGGGTGGCCATGGTAGACGGAGGAGTGCTGGGGGCTCATGTCAGCGTGACAGCCAGTACCCTGTAGGGAGACAAGGAGAGAGCAGTGCTGTGAGGCTGCAGGGACCCCAGCTGGGCAGCTGGATCTCTGGATACTCCTGCCCCATCCTCTTCCCTGAACACCAGACTCAGACACCACTTTGCTAACCTGAAATTTCACTTAGTGTCTAACATGCTTCAAAACTTAATATGTCCAACATCAGAACTCTTCATTTTATTTATTTTATTTTATTTTATTAATTAATTAATTTTTTTTTGAGATGGAGTTTTGCTCTTGTTGCCCAGGATGGAGTGCAATGGCGTGATCTCGGCTCACCGCAACCTCCACCTCCTGGGTTCAAGTGATTCTCCTGCCTCAGCCTCCTGAGTAGCTGGGATTACAGGCTTGTGCCACCACACCTGACTAATTTTGTATTTTTAGTAGAGACGGGGTTTCTCCGTGTTGGTCAGGCTGGTCTCTAACTCCCGACCTCAAGTGATCCGCCCACCTCGGCCTCCCAAAGTGCTAGGATTATAGGCGTGAGCCACCGCGCCCAGCCTAGAACTCTTTATTTGTCCCCTGAACCTGCTCCTCCCCATCTTTCCTATCTCCAAAGTTGGTACCAACATTTATCCAGTGGCTTAGACTAAAAACCCAAAGTTTTATCTTGCCCTCACCTACTGGACATATCCACTTCAACAGCAACTTCTAAAACATGTCAATCCCTCCATTTATCTCCTTCACTAACACCATCCTGGGGCCCGCTGAAATCCGGGCAGCACAGAAGGCAGGCCATTATCATCTCTTTCCTGGACTAACACAACAGATGCCACACTGGCCTCCCACTTCCACTACTGCCCGCTACAGTGTATTTTCTCTCCATCCAGCAGCCAGAATGGGGGCTTTAGTTTTTGCTCTATCTTTAGCACAGAAAACAATGCCTGCCACAGTCAGTGTCTTTTGAATGGCAGAATTCTAGGAAAGACCCTCAGATTTTCCATACCCTGACGAGGTAAATTCCCTAAGTCTTGCCAGAGATAGGGCATAATTGATTTCCCCTGGCATGCAGGCACCATGCTTCTCTCCAATGCCTTCCAGATCCATCTCTGGTCACAGCATGTGGAACAGATGGGAGCTTCTCTGGTCAGTTGAAAGATAACAGCTAGTCGGTTGCCTCCTCTTCCTCCCAAAAGAGGTAACAAATAATAAGTAATAGTAATAATATTACTAATAGTTATGTAGGTACATATACCATGGTCCTGGCACTATGTTAAATGCTTTATGTTAATCATCTCATTTAATCTCACAGCAACCTTATTTTATGGATGGGGCATCCAAGAAACAGAGATGTTAAGTGAGCTACTGAGGGTCACACAGCTCCAAGATAGTGAAACTAGAAATGGACTGATGAGGCACTGAGTAAACCCCAAAGTTGTGGTCTAGACTCCTCCACCCAGCTAGACTGTCCCTTGGACACAATACAGGTAAAATGAGACTCCAAAGGACTAGAAATGAGGATTCCAGTCTGGGCACGGTGGCTCACATCTGTAATCCCAGCACTTTGGGAGGCCGAGGCAGGCAGATCACCTGAGGTCAGGAGTTTGAGACTAGCCTGGCCAACATGGTGAAACCCTGTCTCTACTAAAAATACAAAGAAATTAGTTGGGCGTGGTGGTGCATGCCTGTAATCCCAGCTACTCAGGAGGCTGAGGCAGGAGAACAGCTTGAAACTGGGAGGCAGAGCTTGCAGTGAGCCGGGACTGCACCATCGGGACTGCACCATCGTACTTCAGCCTGGGCAACAAGAATGAAACTCCGTCTCACCAAAAAAACAGAAAGAAAGAAATGAGGATTCCTGGGCTGCCTCCAGCTGACAGAAGCGCCAAGGCTCCCATCCTTTTTTTTTTTTCTAAATCAGGAACCTCCCCCTCAAACTCACCAATTCCCATGCCTCTCCATCCTATACTTCCCCCAAGGTCCCAGTTGGCCCATCTACGTCCTCTCTAGCTCTCGTATTAGCAGATCTCTAGTGATTAAACTGGTAGTGCTTCAGGCCAGAGTGCTTCGTGTAAGGGGCGAGGGGCGTGGCCTCTCTTTTCCTGGGCTACCTCTAACCCTCACCTTCAGACTTTTTTATTTGGAATGGGTCCTCAGTCTGGCCCCACCCAACCTGAAGGCCCCATTGTAGCTTCCCTCCTCCTGGGGTTCTAGCCAGGCATGAAGTCAGAGCCATTAAGGAATGCTGAGTGGAGTGGGATTAGCATGGTAATGAAAATGCAAATCAGCACCTGGGAAAGGGGTGGAAGGGATGGGGAGGTCGGGGGAGTTGGAGAACCAAAAGGGAAGTGAAGGAACTGGACTGAGGGGAGCCGATTTCTCGATAACCAGAAAGCAGAAGCCCTCAAGTTGAGGGAGAAAGGTATTCCTCCTACAGAATCCATGGTGGGGGAGAGGGGTAAGGGTGCTGGTTTGTGAGGGTCTGTTATTCCATCGTCACCCACAGGGTGGGCCACACCGCCCTTCCACTACCCCACCTGGTGGGAATAACTGACTGGGCAAGAGGCCCTGTCCTGGGCCCTGCCGCCAAGGGCTGTACACAGGTGCGTGCTCTCTCCCAGCCGGCCCAAGTGCTACAGCTCACCCTCCCTAAGCCTACCAGCTGCTTCCTGGCTCCTGACTCACCACGCTCGATCACAGCTCAGAGTAGGGCTAGGCAGACCTAAGCCCCAAATCCTACAGTAACTCCCAGATCCTCTCTCAAAAACATCTATTTCCTAGAACTGGAAAAAGACATAGCTGATTCCTAGCTAGAAACCAAAGGAGCTTAGCTTTCGGCTAGCTTGTAGGTGAGACTCTGATCGGCCGAGGGTAGGTTGGCAGCTATTTAAAATTGCAAATCTCTTCCCCACCTCCCAACCTAACCCTCCTCCTCTTTAGGAAAGAATTTCAATTGCAAATATATCTCTGCCTCAGTACATCCTCCCCCAACCCCAACTCCCCATCCCCCTTTCTTCTCGGAGCTTCTCCCATCACCCACTATTTATTACAAACCTTTAGCTGCAGCGATTATTTTTTTGCTTTTTTTCCCCTCATTGCATTTTCACTCCTCCATCTTTCCTTCCTTCCCTCTCAGAATCGCTAGGTCCCTTTCTTTGCCCTTCCTACCTTGAACTGGAGACAGTGCAGAAACGGACAGGCCTAAGAGTCATCCCCTCCTGCCACCCCCAAGACCAAGATTCTTGCTCATCCTCAGACCCATCGCCATTCTTCCCTTTAGTTCCTGGCTTTCCTTAAGGGCATCCCCTATCCCTGCGGACACATCTCAGATGTGGGTAAAGAGACAAGGCGACCCCTGAAAGGCCCTGACATTGCTTCCTCTGAAGGAGGCAAGAGGAGGAAGGAGGAAGAGGGTGGATCTGGTGTAGGGTGGAGGTTGGGGACGGTCAGGGAAGACCTGGGTAGAGGCAAGGGCTGGGGGCCTCTGTGAAGGAGAGGGGTTAGGGGAGACAGAGCAGGCAGTGGCGGTGCTGTGATTAGAGAGGAGATTGATGTGAAGGGGCGCCACAGACGGCAGAAAGAGTCAATAAAACGAGAGGATCACATTAGAGGCGACAGAGAGAGCTTTAAATTACAAGGCTGCTGCCACTGAGGGGGATGGGAGGAGGGAGGCCTGGAGCCAAGGGAGGGCGGAGAGTTCTGAGGGTGTAGTCATCCCCTGAGATGAATCTTGCAGCTCCAAAATGGCCCTTAGTCTCCAGAGTTCCCTGCTGCCCCTTCAGCCTATCCTCCTCCCCTAATGCACTGTTTCGTCACAAGGCTGAGGAGGGGAGGAAGATGAAGATGGAGAGAAAGGTGTGGAGAAATAGAAGACATTTTTTCCTTTTGGTATTGCCCTCTTCCTCTGTCCAGACCCAGGTCTCTGTTTACTTCTCAGGATGAGAAAGGAAGGATGGAAGTGCTACTTTCAAGGCTCAGCCAGGGAGTTAATGCCCTACAAACAAAAAAATATATACAGTCGTAATTACTGAGCTGCAAATGTTCTTCCATGGAGGTGGGAAGATACACATTAGGACCCAGAAAGCTGCCGAGAGAGAAATGTGATGAGACAGAGATAAGAGGCTCAGATGTAAAGTTGCAGAAACACAGGTGGAAAGCTGAAAAGCCAGGCCCTGACCGAGCAAGATGGGGGAAATAGTGAGACTTAAGGACCGGAGAATTACAAGAGACAAAGGGCATGGGCAAAGGAAGGACCAAAAAATTGAAGTCTGAGAAAGGAGAGAATCTGCCCCTCGCTGAAGAGGAGCCATGTCGTGGATTCAGGCTGGCCGGCAGAACTGGAGGCAAAGCTGACCAGGGGTGCTTCCTCCCATCCCCCAGCAAGACCAGGGCTCCCTTTGGTACAGCCCCCTCCCACCTCTGGCTGACCAAGAGAGGAAAGGAAACACTACTGCTCCCTAGTGGTTACAGAGGGAATATCACCAAGGAGTTGGCAGGGCTAATGGGACCTGACTGGCTTTTTCCTCCCTAACTCCCCTCCAAAAAACAAAACTCCTTTTTCTCCAAACCCAACTCCATGGCAAAGTCTTTCGAAGTGAAGTCTATCAGGGCACCATCAAGTTTGCATACAATGATTTTCACATCAGGGCCTTCCAAACAGTTGTTTTTCATTTTTTGAGACAGGGTCTCGCTCGGTCTCCCAGGCTGGAGTGCAGTGTCACCATCTTGTCTCACTGCAGACTCTGCCTCCTAGACTTAGGTGATCCTCCCATCTCAGCCTCCCTCCCAGTAGCTGGGACTACAGGCATGTGCCACCACGCCCAGCTAATTTTTGTATTTTTTGTGGAGACAAGGTTTCGCCATGTTGCCCAGGCTGGTCTCAGATTCCTGGGCTAAAGCAATCTGCCCGCTTTGGCCTCCCAAACTGCTGGGATTACAGGCATGAGCCACCAAGCCCAACCTTCCTAACAGTTTTGCCTTTCACTTTTCTAATTGTTTAATCTACCCACTTTCCCTTAGAGTCAATTTTAGGACCTTTTTTTAAAAATTCCTCTCTTAAATTGTTGCCTCAGGCATTGCACCCTTCCATACTCACTGTCCTCGCCTTCCTCCCCTTTTTGTCTCAACCTGTTGATTACAAGAGGAGGTGACCATGGAGAGAAGGGGAAGAGAAACAGGAAGGATGAGATGTGTGTACCCCTAGTATGGAGGATTGTTTGGTATAAACAGCAAATAAACTATAACTAGATGAGCTCTATTTTTTAGGGCAATGGAAGAACATGGGCTTTGGATCCACACACAGAGAGCCAGGTTCAATCCTTGCTCCATCACTCACTAGCTGTGCAACTCTGGGAAATTACGTATTGAGCCTTAGTCTCCTTATCTGGGAAAATGGGAATAATGATATTTTCCTTACTCAGTTGTGAAGACCAGATAGGTAACGTGTAAAGTGCATTTGCTGGGTGTTCAATGAGGGTAGTTCTTTTCCTTCTCTCTTTCCTGTCTCCCGTCACAGAGTGGAGCATGGTGTTTGCACAGAGGCTGACAGCTTTCCTTCTGTTCACCCCTTTTTCTTTTTTCTCTCTTTTTTTTTTGAGACAGAGTCTCGCTCTGTCACCCAGGGTGGAGTGCAATGGTGTGATCTCAGCTCACTGCAACCTCCACCTCCCAGGTTCAAGTGATTCTCCCTGCCATAGCCTCCCGAGTAGCTGGGATTACAGGTGCATGCCACCAGGCCTGGCTAATTTTTGTATTTCAGTAGAGACGGGGTTTCACCATGTTGGCCAGGCTGGTCTCGAACTCCTGACCTCAGGTGATCCACCTGCCTTGGCCTCCCCAAGTGCTGGGATTACAGGTGTGAGCCACTGCGCCCGGCCTCTGTTCACCCCTTTCTTGACCAAGACTCATCCTCTAATCTCTGCCCTTTTCAACTGAGGGCAGAATCTTAGATGGACAGGATTTTTTTTTTTTTTTTTTGAGACGGAGTTTCGCTCTTGTTGCCCAGGCTGGAGTACAATGGTGCGATCTTGGCTCACTGCAAACTCCACCCCTGGGTTCAAGCGATTCTCCTGCCTCAGCCTCCCAAGTAGCTGAGACTATAGGCAGGCTCCACCACGCCCAGCTAATTTTGTATTTTTAGTACAGACAGAGCTTCTCCATGTTGGTCAGGCTGGTCTCAAACTCCCAACCTCAGGTGATCTGCCCACCTCGCCCTCCCAAAGTGCTGGGATTACAGGCCTGAGCCACCACACCCGGCCAGGATTTAAATCTAGTCTACTCAGCCATAGAGTTCACTTCTTAGCCCTCTTGATTGCTGGGTCTAGAGAGACCCATTATTCCAGAGCAAAGAGTAGAAATTGTGCCCAGGCTCACATTTGGACAGAAGCAGCTAATAAGTGGATCAAAACTATTCTGGCCTTTCCCTGCATGTCTTCTTTTTTTCTTTTTTCCAAAGATCCTTTCCAAGTCATCCCTGCATTTAAAACTATCATTCTATCATCTCTAAATCTTACCTTCTATATTTAAAAAGAAAACAAACAGTACTTTGATTCTTCCCTTTTAATTCTACCTATCTCTTCTAGACCCTTCCCCTTTTATAAATATTTAAGGAGAGCTTACTTTGTGCAAATAAGTTTTGTCCAAAAGAGAGAGAAAGAACGAGTATGGCAGGGAATGAGACAAGCAGGAAAAGGAGTGTTGTAAAGGGCAAAGAAAGATCGCTAAGGCAGAGAAGAGGAGGGAGGAAGAAGGGAAGGAGAGAGGGAGAGGTAAGGAAGTGAAGAGGAAGATGAAGCTAGGTCTTGATTTGCATATATTGAATCTTTTCCAGGCCTCCCAGCTCTGGCACCAGATTGGGATGGTGGCCTGTCCCCAGTGAGAAGGAGGTGGCAAGGAGGCTGTCTCTTGCACTTTGCAAGATGCTTAAGGTGGGCATGAGTAGATTGGGTGAGGTGTGAGGAGAAAAGGGTAGGCTCAGGAAGAAGATGGGGGTGGTAGGGAGCAGACAGGAGGAGAAGGGAAGCGGTAGGCTGAAACCACACACGTTCACATTTGCATGGATTTGCTGAGGTGTGCTGCAGAGTGTCTGCTACTGATGGGGGTGGGTGTCCAGGAGAGGAGGCATCTCCCTTGATGACTTGGAAAGTGTTGGATGTGTTAGGACAGCAGTGTGGAGCTGCTCTGCTGCACAGATCTATGTGATTTTATAGTACACTGGAGAGACTCACATCCTGCTAGATGTGGTTCTCTCGTTCTACATACCACAGGCTTAGACAACCACGAACCAGCTCGGAACCCTTCTTCTGTATGAGCACTCAGGGAGTTGTCCCCTTAAATTCAGAATCAGGATCCTATCTGATCCTTGCATGGGGGACCGCTGAAGAATTTGGTCTCCCAGAACTTGGTAGGAAAACATTCTTTTTTTTTTTTGGAGATGGTGTCTCTGTTGCCAGGCTGAAGTGCAGTGGTGTGATCTCAGCTCACGGCAATCTCTGTCTCCTGGGTTCAAGCAATTCCCCTGCCTCAGCCTCCCGAGTAGCTGGGATTACAGGCGCGTACCACCACAAGCAGCTAATTTTTTGTATTTTAGTAGAGACAGGGTTTCACCATGTTGTCCAGGATGGTCTCTATCTCCTGACTACCTGACCCGCCCACCTTGGCCTGGGATTACAGGCGTGAGCCACTGCGCCCGGCTGGAAGGAAAACATTCTGAGTGACCGTGTATGTAAATAAGTCTTTCTGGTTATTTTATTCTGTGAACCTGTGTGATGTAATGACTGCATTTAAATAGTATTACAACAAAAACTAATTGTAATAATAGTAAATAGCTAACATCTTTAAATGTTTGCCATGGGCCAGGCACCGTGCTAGGCCCTCGGCAAGTATCACATCACCTAATCCTCCACTTCAATCTGATGCAATAGATGTAGCTATTCATTCCTATTTTACAAACATGGAGACTGATTTAGATGGGTTAAGTAATTTTTAAGATCTCCTGCTTAAAAAGAAGTAGAGTTGAGATTGGAACTCAGGTAGCCTGATGTCAGTACCTCTGCTCTTGGGTTAATTTGTAAGCTTCTGAACTCTGGCTGGTATGCATTTTGAATGAGGTCTTTTGAGTCTGATTGTATTACTCTGTGTGTCACCTTGAGCATATGTGCTATCATGTTCCGCCTGAAGGTGCTAGATGGCTGTCTTCCATTTGGTTTGTTTCTTAGTATAAGATGGACCAGAAGAGGAGCACTGCTTTGCGCAACTCCAGGGTGCGTCATTCACACTGCAGTCCATGCAGGGGCACTGGCCATGCCCTGTGTGAAGGAAGGGAAGGAGCGGGAGGGAGGGAGTGGGAACAGGAGGGAAGGGATAGATAATGGCGGGTAGTGTTCTTTGAATGATATGTGTACCCATTTGTGACAACATCTCTTAAAGTTGAAGGTCTACACATGTGTATCCATATTAGCATATGAACTTCATCAGACAAGCACTCTCCCTCCAACAGAGGGAGACCCTGTCTCAAAAAACAAAAAAAAATAGCCTTTAGAGTCAGACAGACCTGGAATCAAATTCTAGTTCTGTTTCTTAATATGTAAATGACCTCAGGTAAGTTGCGTAAAGTCTCAATTTAGTCTCTTCATATAGAGAATGGGGCAGGCCGGGCACGCGCCTATAATTCCAGCACTTTGGGAGGCCGAGGTGGGTGGATCATTGGAGGTCAGGAGCTTGAGACCAGCCTGGCCAACACGGTGAAACCCTGTCTCTACTAAAAATACAAAAAAAATGAGCCGGGCGTGGTGGCATGCACCTGTAATCCCAGCTACTCAGGAGGCTGAGGCAGAAGAATCGCTTGAACCCGGGAAGCAGAGGTTGTAGTGAGCCGAGATTGCACCACTGCACTCCAGCCTGGGTGACAGAGTGAGACCCTGTCTAAAAACAAACACATCAGAAACAGAAAACAGAAAAAAAAAAAAAAAAAGGGAATGGGGAACTCATGGAGTTGAGTCCATTGAGAGGATCATCATTGAGATTGGCACTTTGGGTGTATCAATAAATGGAAATGGAATAATTATTCATCCATATGCCTTATTTCCTGTGTTGGGGTATGTGTATGTTGTTTTTTGATTGTATGTGGGGCAGCTGGTAACCTGGCTGTAGCCCTGTCCCAGTACTTCTTTGGGGTTGGTGAAGGTGCTTGTTCTCCCTGGCTGGATTTTCCCAGGCCCTCCATGTACACGTGTGTGGGCCCTGTGCTTCCCTTTCAGTAGTAGGGTATCCTGTTCAGTGTGTTGCTGTGAGCCCGTATGTGGTTGGCCCGGCTGGCGCGGGCGTGTTTAGGGTGGTGGTAATTACTGGGATGGCCCAGCCCTAATGAGTGTGATCTCGTTACACTCTCGCTGCCTCTAATGGCGCTAACCTCATTTCACAGCCATTAGAGATGGAGATGAGGCCCCGCCCACTGGCCCTGCCAGCTGCAGCTTTTGCAGCCCTGGCCACGTTCTTTCCCTCCGGCTCGCCATTTCTCCATTCCACTTCTCCTTCTCCCACCTTTTTTTTCTGCTCCTCCTACCAGGTTTCCCTTTCCTGTCCCCCATTGTTCTTTTCCCTGGCCGTTTTTCTGCACCCCTCTCCTCTTTCATTCTCCTTTCATGTCTCCCTTCCCGCTTCTCTCTTCGATTCTGGGCTCCTCTTCTCTTCACTCATCACCCTCCCTTTTTTCTCCTCTAGTCAATTTGTCCTCCACATTGCCATTTCTCCATCCTCTTTTCCTTCCCTCTCCCCCGCCCTTCACGGCTCCAGTTCCTCCCCTCCCCCACATTGCCCTGTCTGGCCAAAGGACAAATCTCAAGGGGAAACCAGCAAAGACAAACAAGGAGCAGTGACTTCATTATCGTCGTTAATTTGCCACTTCAGTTCCTCCCATAAGGGTCAAAGCCAGCACTGCTTGAACTCAGGACTGACACGCAGGCCGAGACCATGGCCTGGCTTTTCAGCCCTACTTCTTACACAACCACTCGTCCGCCCTCCTCAGCTGTCTTCATTTCCCTGCGGAGGGGTCAGGCTTCCTGTTTGCTCTCCAATTTCTTAGTCCTCACAGCCTACTGCACTCCTTCCTTTCTCATTTAAATTGTGGCCATCTCTCTGTGCTCTCTCCCATCTCCAAGTCATGGGTTTTTCACCTTTGACTCCTATCTCTGTCATACTCTCTCCCAACTTCTCCCTGCCTAATCTTTCCAGAACCTCTTTCTCATCCTTCCCTGGCCTTCTCTCTAATTTCAAGTGCACTTCTTTCCCTAAAGCAGCAGGATTTATCTGTAGGTTTGTGGAAACCACATAGCCTGAAGAAGCTGGAGATGAGAAGAAAGGCATCTGTGGCCCAAGCAGACCACTGATACAGAACACAGAGATGGCTGGGGGGAAATGCAGACAACTGTGATGGAGGCAAGAGAAGCAGCAAAATCTAGACCCATGCCCATGGCCCAGGAATAAAGAAGACAGAGGCTTGAGATTAGGGAAAGAAAAGGGCATCACAAAACAAGGAATGAAAAATCTGAGGATGGAAATGGCGTTTACCCCATCAGGTCCTCGGGGAAACACAATCTAACACTCTTGGCCCACCCTCTGCCCTCCTTCACTGAGAAGCCAAATGACTGGTAATTGACTCTTGACCTCTAGCCCAAGCCCAGCCCCAAAGGGAGAGGTCCAGGGCAGTTAGCTATGACTGGAGGAGGCACTAGGGAAATGTGCATACATGAAGTTAAATTCCTGCCTACACCCATTCTGCCCCACTGACTTTGCACATCAACGTGCTCCACAGGACCAGACTCTCCATGCATAAACTGCTCTGCAGAGAGGTCTTGCACACCCTGGAACATTCATGTCTTTCTGATTGCACAGGCCCCTGTGCATGCGACATTCCAGTTGATGGTCCTGCTGGGAATTCCAAGGCCTGAACTTTAGCTTTGATGTAATCCTGTGTTCCTGCCAAATACAGAAAGAGGGCTCCTGTTCTCTCATTAGACTTTGGGGTAAAAAATGCTGAGGGGTGCTGAGCATCTCAGTAGAAATTAGAAAAATATATCTTCCTCCAGGTGTATGCAGCCCCCATGCCAGTGGTACAGCTTGGTGACAGGACTGTGGGTGGACCTCAGCCCTGTCACCCCTTAACAACTGCACATGAGGACCCTGGTCTCTGGACTAGTTCCTACATGAGGAAGCCACTGAGAGCCCATGGGATTACCCTACGGGGCTGGAAGTTACTTCTAAATCTTTCACCCCTGCCTTGCCAGCCTGGGGAGGAGGGATGGGCAGGCAGTTCCCTAGGACTTTCCCCAGAGAGGCAAGGGGCTCTGGGAAAGTGGGTGGTGGGCTGACCGAGCTTAGTGTGAGGAGCTCGAGAAGAAAGATGGAAAAATCAATGAAATGAGTTTCTAACGGTGAGGTAAAGGACCACTGTGTCGACAGCCTGTCGCTTGCTGCAAAATATGAGCTGCCCAACTCCGTGGCGGTGGCTGACAGTGCAACAGCCACCACTGTCCTTCCTTCAGGCCCCCCGCCCACCAGCCCCTTCTTTAGCTGCCCTGGCCTTGCTTATTATAGCCAGACTGTCCTCCAGCACTCCCAGCTCTCTCCCCTGTCTTCTTTTGTAGATTTCTCAACCCATTCAGGGGCTTTTTGGCCCTTCACCTCGTGATTCCTGATTGGGTGCATGTTTGTTTTCTATAGCTTCTGTGTATTTAGACCTCCTCTTTCTGCAGATTTTGCTCTGAGAGTTGTGGTGAGTTTTACATCTCTTGCCTCCCCCTCTTCTAGATACCTCTGGAGTCTTTCAACAATGGAGAGTCAGATGTCAAGGCCATCCCTCACAGGGTTCTTTACATCAAGATCTGGGCAGCAGTAACTTCTCCCTCCTTTGGCCTTTTGGCCCACATGGCCAATGCTGCCTTCGTTGTATTAATAATTACCTGGCTTGGGATAGGTGTTTAGAATGGGTCTGGTATTGATTTATGAACTCCTTATTTGCGGCCATTGTATATATACGGTTATGACCAATTCAATTGTAGTTTCATGATTGGGAATGGGGTGGGGATGCTACTTTTAATTCACATTTGCCAACTCTCTCTTTGGAAACAACTCTCAACCTTTTCTGGAAACCGCCTCCTTTCTCTTCCCTCCTCCACATCTTCCTCTTGGGCTCCTAGGGCTGTTCATTCATGTTTTCCTCCAATTATCACTACAAAGACTCTGCACATGAGCCCTGAGAGTTCCCCTGGCTGCCTCCAAGTGTGACCCTAACCCAGTCTCTCCTGTCTGCCTCAGATCTCACTGTCACTGGTTAACTACCCTCCAGCCATTCCCTCCGGTTTCTGATTTCCCAGTTTGCCCATTAATGTAGACTTAGGTGGGGGGAGTGGGTGAAAATTAGGTGGGCAACTCTTTCCCCCAGCCTCTCCCTACTAATTCAACGTTTGATCAGTAGATATTTATTAAGCCTTTTCTGTGTGACAGACACTGTGCTAGGTGCTGGAAAACAATTGGAAACTAGACAGATGTAGCCACTCCTCAGATGACCATGTGACTAACCCTGAGTCTCTCACCAGACAGCTAAGTCTCTCAGACTAGGGGACTCTGTCCCATTTCCCCCCTTTCTGTACAGCCAAATTCCACTGTGCCCTCTGGCATTTCACAACCCTTCCCTTTTCTCAATCCCTGAATGAGTTTACACTCACACAGCCCCGATCCCTTCCCTCTGCATTCTAGCTTTAGTCTCCATTCCTAAACCCAAAGCCATTACACTTTCAACAACTCTCCTCCCCACTCACAAAGCCCTTCTCCTTTCACATTCTGTAACTGCCATTTCTAGTCCTCCTCTTCCGTCTCTGCCTGCCTTTTGATCCAACCATCCTGACCTCAATGCCCTGTCTTAGGTTCCTTCCTCTTGCTACTGTCAGGCTCTAGCAAACCTCAGGTGCTCACAAACAGGAGTTATTTGTGACAACTGTTGTTCTGAGCTGGGAAGAGCTCCAGGGAGGCAAGGTCAAGCTACCAGAGTCAGAAATCCTACCAATTCGACCCAGGCCCTGGCCCGTAGGTGATACAGCACCCCGGCAAAGCAGCAAGTGATTCCTGTATGGGTCTCAAGGTAACACCAGCTGCCTCTGACATCATGGAGGGAGGAACCCTGTCAGGTTGCCAAGGCAATACCAGCAATTTATGACATCAGAGGCTTGAGGTCTTTGGTTCTCAGGGGCTGGGAAGATTCAAGTTCCTCTCAGCTGAAGTTTATGGGAATTCTACTTTTTCATCTCTTTGCTTGTGTTCTGGCTTGGGAATGAAATACAAAGGCCTTTCGTGGGGGTAGTGAGTGATTAGGCCAATGAAATGAATGCTCGTGAGGTTCTCTCTCTCTCTGTCTCTTCCCTGGATATTTCTGCTTTCTCTCCCTCTCTTGGGCATTTCTCTCTTCTGGGGCTTCGCCCAGTGGTATTCCTGCTATTTGTGCTATGCTTTTTTTCCAACCCCCCGGCGCCCCCGCAGTGCTCTCGCTCTCTTCGCATCAGTCACGCTGTGTCCTCCTCACACCAGAGGCATTTGTTTCCTTTGATACCTCATCCTCTCCTCTTTTCCTCCTACCAAGCTCTGTGCAGCTCTGATCTGCCTCAGCACTCCTTCGTTTGCCATCCATTTACCTTCTTTGTACCATACTCTCTTCCCATCTCATCTTGTTCAGCAATTCCTCCCTTCCCCCTCTTTACTACTGTATTAATTTCATAGTGCTTTTTCTGTTGACCTCCACTTTAGGAATATTCTATCATTTCTCTTCCTTTTACCTTCTGTATTGCTATCAACACGTTTTGTTTCATTCTTCCAATTTCTTATTAATCACCCCTTGGTTCCTCCCCTGCCCCCGAGTCCGCATAGATTTTCCTCCCTTCCTTTGCACATCCCTCACGTCATACATTTCTCTACCCCATGTGTTTATTGCACCGACCACCCCTTTCTTTCTTTAATTCTGTTCACCTCTGAAATCGTCCATCTTCTGCCCATGTCTGCCTGCTCCTTTTACCTTTCCAAGCTCCTGAGGTTTGGAAAAACAATGATGGGCTAAAAACTAAGGTAAACTCTCCAGATCCTTTATCCACCCTTACTGTTCTTCAGGCTAAATGAACTTGGCTCCTTACATACGATAGCTTTTATTACACTAATAAACACTGCCTCATTAAAAAAAAATGGTGCTGGATCTAAATATGATAGTAGCAGGGGCCTAGGAAGAAGATGAACTAAAAAGTGAAGAAAAAGCAACTGATATCTAGAATGAACTGAAGGATGGGGGGCAACCAGGCAGGGTGGAGCTTAGAGTCCTAGGGAATGTCCCCTTACAAAATCAAAGTTGACAGTTAACTGACATAATGGCACTGACTGATGGAGGGGTTATATGCCCCTGGAAGCTCATTAAATTTATTTCTTGGCCTGTTTATGTGCCTTCACAAACCATACCCCACACCTCTCCCAGCCCTTTGCTTGCTGGTACTTTCTGCTGCTGGGGTTAAAATGCTGGATAAGAGGAAAAGGGATAAAAGAAACTAGAAACTTAGGGTGATCAAGAAGAAAAGGTAGGAAGAGGGCAGATTATGGGAACAAAGGTGGAAACTCAGAGCTCATGGGAAACAGATGGAAAAAAGGGGTGAAGCAAAATGGGGAAATAAAAAATATACAATGATACAGTGGGGGAAGGGAGTAAAATTAAGTCAGCAGGGAAGAGGTTTTGTTGTGCGAAGCTCCTGGAAAGGCAGATGACACGCATGAGACCAGAAGGTGAGGTTCTGATGAGGGAGACAGGCACATGGCAAAGGGGACAGTCAACAATGCTAGGAAGTTCCAAAGCTTCTCTGGTGATGGTGGAAGAGGAGGCTGTCCTGGCCATGCTGAAGGCACTAGAGGCTTTGGCGAAGACACATTTGCTCCATCATCCCACTCCTCCAGGCCCTGACTGTGACCACCACAATCATGACTGATAAGCAAATTCCAAAGTAGCCTGAAAAGGCCAGAGATATCCAGACAGACTCTGAAGGAGAGGGCATGGAATCCTAGACCGACAGAACAGGCAGCCAAGGCGTGACACATAGTGATAGAGACACACAAGGAGAGGATCACTCAGATGGGAAGGGTCACAAGTGGAGACAGTGACATACAGATCCAGAGATGGATGGGATGGAAGAGACAAGATGAAGAACAGCAAAACCAAAAGTCAGGGACACATGGACAGAGATCAGCGGGGCTACAGGCACAGCGAGGAAGCGTGGTCCTGTGCTTGAAAATGATAGGGCTGCTCAGAGGGGCAGACGAGCGGATGGGGGTGGTAGGATGGGCGTGCAGGACAGACACGCTTCACCTTGAATGGGCTTATGGCCTCCCCTCACCTACTCAACACTTTCAAAAAAAGGAATGGAAAGCCCAACTTCAGCCAAAAACGAACGAAGACTGAGAGTATCCACGTCCCCTCCCACTCCACGCCCCAGCGCGCTAGCCCATCCATCAGCCCGCCGGCCGCGGTTCTCCCATCCCACAGCCGGCGGGGGGCCGCCGAGACCCAGGACCCTCCAGGCTGACAGCTCTGAGCCCTCACACTCACCGGGCCTCCCCTTCCCCCCGGGATCCCCGCTCCCTGCCCAACTCGGCGCGGTCCGTCTAGGCTTTCCATACCCTTCGTCTGTCCGGCGGGCCTCTGCCTTTCCCGTTCCCGTTTCTCCCTCCACCCCCGCATCTCTCTTCCCCCATCCTCGCGCACGCCCTCTTCCTCCCACACCCCTGTCTGCTATCTCCCAGGGCTCTCGGTCTGTCTGTCCGTCCGTCCTTGTCCCCTCCCCCAGCCCCTTCCCGTCCCTCTCCGTCCCCTCCAGCGGCAGTCTCCAAGCGCCTCCTCTCCCGTCTCGAGCTTCCAAAGAGCAAGGAAGGGAAGAAGAGAGAGAGGGAGAGGAGAAAAAAACCAACCCAGCAGCATCGGAAATCGATGCACTTACACCTCAGCTGGAAGCAGGGACGGGAGTCGAACCGCGGCCACCGAGCAGCGCGAGGCGGGGAGGGGAGGGGGCGGCTCTTGGAAGGGACTTCTCCGATGTGTTGATTCCTCTTTTTTCCCCTCCTCCTCCCTCCCTCCAGCGCTCGCTCCGGGGCGTCAGGGACGGAGACGGAAAAAAATAAATAAATAAATTCACGGCGGTGAGGGAAGTGAAGGAAAATAATCAATGCTATTTGGCTGCGGCTGAAGTGTTTCCCCGGCTTCGTGAGGGGGTTTCCATTGATTCACCCTGGGCACTCGCTCGCTCCCTGCCTCCTCCTCCTCCTCCTCCTTCTCCTCCTCGCCCTCCTCCTCCTCCTCCTCCTCGCCCTCACTCCTCCGCCTCATTCACTGGCTGGAGTCTAGGCGTCCCACACAATGGAATAATCAATACCCAGGCGCCCGGGGCTGCCCCACTGAGCAGGTGCAGCGACCCGCCCGCCGCGGCGCATGCCGGGAGTTGTAGTCTGTTCGCGCCCGCCCGCCTGCCTCGCGGGACCCAGGGCCGGGGGCAGGCCGGCCAGCCCACCAGGTCGCCTCCAGGTTCAAGCCGGTGCCTGCAAAGAGGGCAGGCCCCTTTAAACTCTTTTCCGTCTCCTCTCCTCTTCATCCTGTGGCCTGCAGAAACCATACATGTGTTTTGTTGTTTTGTTTTAAATCAGCTTCAGAACAAGCCCTGAGCCGCCCAAGGCCTCCTTTTTTCATTCTCTTCTTCCTGCCTTATTATTCCGCCTCCCCCATCTCCCCCCGCGAAATTGGGTACTAGAACCTTCTCTACCGCAGCAATTACTCTTTAGTCTCTGAGAGCTTCTGCCTCCTCCACACGGTTACATAGTCCCCTGAGCTGGGTTGGGGGAGGTTCGGGCTCCTCCTCATCTTCAGTTTATCGCTTATTAAGTGCTCCTGAATTTTTTTTTTTTTTTTTTTTCTGGAGACGGAGTCTCACTCAGTCGCCCAGGTTGGAGTGCAGTGGTGCGATCTCGGCTCACTGCAACCTCCACCACCGGGTTCAAGCGATTCTCCTACCTCAGCCTCCTAAGTAGCTGGGATTACAGGCATGCATCAACACACCCAGCTAATTTTTGTATTTTTAGTAGAGACGGGGTTTCACCACGTTGGTCAAGCTGGTCTCGAACTCCTGACCTTGTGATCCGCCTGCCTCGGCCTCCCAAAGTGCTGGGATTACAGGTGTGAACCACCACCGCGCCCAGCCCGTTTTTTTGTTTGTTTGTTTTTTTCTTGAGACAGAGTCACTCTGTCGCCCAGGCTGCAGTGCAGTGGCATGATCCCGGCTCACTGCAACCTTCACCTCCCAGGTTCAAGTGATTCTCCTGCCTCAGCCTCCCAAGTAGCTGGGATTGTAGGTGCCCACCACCATGCCCTGCTAATTTTGTATTTTTAGTAGAGACGGGGGTTTCACCATCTTAGCCAGGCTGGTCTCGAACTCCTGACCTCAGGTGATCCACCGGCCTCAGCCTCCCAAAGTCCTGGGATTATAGGGGTGATCCACCTCACCCGGCCGCTCCTGTATTCTAATAATAATTTTTAAGATTTCTTGAATGCACAGGGACAGTTCCAAGCACTTTTACATACATTGTTTACTCCTCTCAATACCTCAAGCATGAGGTAGATGCTATTATAGTCTCATTTATTGAGGAAACTAAGGCACAAACAAGTGAATTAACAGGCCCAAGGTCCAATGGCCAATAAGTAAGTGACAGTGCCAGGACTCAAAAACCTCCATGGTCTGGCTCCAGGGCCCATACTAACTGCTATAGCCTACTTCTCTTAAACAACACAACAAAACCCTGAAGTTCACATGACAAAAAGGAGAGATAAATGAACATTTTGAGTTTATACTATGTGACAGTTTATGACTGAATCCTCACAGGTAACTGTGAGGCAGGCCACATTTTCTCAATGAAAAAGCAGAGGCTGGCCGGGCATGGTGGCTCACTCCTGTAATCCCAGCACTTTGGGAGGCTGAGGTGGGTAGATCACCTGAGGTCAGGAGTTCGAGACCAGCCTGACCAACATGGTGAAACCCTGTCTCTACTAAAAATACAAAATTAGCTGGGCGTGGTGGTGGGCACCTGTAATCCCAGCTACTCGGGAGGCTGAGGCAGAAGAATCGCTTGAACCCGGGGGGCAGAGGTTGCGGTGAGCCAAGATCACACCATTGCACTCCAGCCTGGGCAACAAGAGTGAAACTCCGTCTCAAAACCAAAAACAGGCCGGGCGTGGTGGCTCACACCTGTAATCCCAGCACTTTGGGAGGTGGAGGCGGGTGGATCACAAGATCAGGAGATCGAGACCATCCTGACTAACAGGGTAAAACCCCATCTCTACTAAAATTACAAAAAATTAGCCGGGCATGGTGGTGGGCACCTGTAGTCCCATCTACTTGGGAGGCTGAGGCAGGAGAATGGCATGAACCCTGGAGGCGGAGCTTGCAGTGAGCCGAGATGGCGCCACTACACTCCAGCCTGGGCGACAAAGCGAGACTCCGTCTCAAACAAACAAACAAACAAAAATTAGGAGGGTGGGGTGGCACGTGCCTGTAGTCCCAACTACTCAGGAGGCTGAGGCGGGAGAATCATTTGAACCCAGGAGGCAGAGGTTGCAGTGAGCTGAGACGCCAGAGTGAGACTCTGTCTCAAAAAAAAAAAAAAAAAAAAAAAAAAAGCAGATGCTTAGGAAAGTGGAGTAGCTTGCGGAAGGCCAAACATCTAGAAAGTGAAGCTGGGAGTCGACCTCAGGTCTGGCTCCGGAAACTGGTCTTTCTGTTCAAATAAGCTGCTGCTTTTGCCCCACTGGATTGGATCTTATAACATAAGGAAAAATTAGGTCTTCATCCCAGGTTAACAAAACCGGAAAGCAAAAGATGGATGAAAAGCAGGCTTTAGGAGCTGGGGTTTCTTCTCTCCCTAACCAACAGTGCTTAACATGGAGTGGGGACAGAGGTTGACCCAAGCTACTCCAAGTTCAAGATGCCATTTGTTTATTTATTTATGCACAGGGTCTTGCTCTGTTGCCGAGGCTGGAGTGCAGGCAGTAGCAGGATCGTAGCTCACTGCCCTTGACCTCCTGGGCTCAAGCTATCCCGCTGCCTCAACCTCCTGAGCAGCTGGGACCACAGGCATGCACTACCACACCCGGCTAATTAAAATTTTTTTTTTTTTTTTTTTGTAGAAACAGGGTCTTCCTATGTTGCCCAGGCTGGTCTCAAACTCCTGGCCTCAAATGATCCTCCTGCCTCGACCTCCCAAAGTGCTAGGATTACAAGTGTGAGTCAACACACCTGGCCAAAATGCCATGTCTTTAAACCAGTGTCCTTCTCCCTATAATACCTCTCACTGGTCATGTATTTCCAGAAACATACTGGTGAGAGGGCAGGTGTTGAGAACATGGCACTTCTCACCCATCATAGGAAGGAGTCCAGGAGTTAAGAGCCACGGTTCCTCAGGGAGCTTCCTCACATGGAAGGTCAGACATATAGTTAGAGTCTCCAGATAACCATAGTCCTCAGAGGGAGTAAGAAGGAATCATCTCTATTAATATTTTGTCTCCCAAAGCATTCAAAGGGCCAACCCCCATGTTTTCCTGAATTTTATTTTTTTGGGGACAGATGGAGTCTCGTTCTGTCGCCCAGGCTGGAGTGCAGTGGCGCCATCTCAGCTCACTGCAACCTCTGCCTCCCAGGTTCAAGCAATTCTCATGCCTCAGCCTCTGGAGTAGCTGGGAACACAAGCACGCGCCACCATGCCCGGCTCATTTTTGCATTTTTAGTAGAGACGGCGGGCCGGGGGGGTTTCTCCATGTTGGCCAGGCTGGTCTCGAACTCCTGACCTCAGGTGATTCACCTGCCTCGGCTTCCCAAAGTGCTGGGATTGCAGGTGTGAGCAACCGCACCGGCCTTTCTGTATTCTAAATGAACATAAGTAGTTCTACACCTGACAAAAACTGCTTAGGGACCGCTGGAAACTCTGACAAACTCCTCAGTCTAGCACTCAAGGCTTTTCCCTCAACTGCATTTCTAGCCTCGTCTTCTCCTTACGTACCACCCAGGTGCTCTCCAGTTTCTGGGCCTTTGCTTAGGCTATTCCTGTCTCCATCTAGGTCTCCAACTGTTGAAATACCATCATATCTTTAGTTCCTGGCCAAAATACCACTTTATTCTCTGACAGAAAGTTTCTCACCCACTCTTACCCTCAACGTTCATGCCAGGAGGTATTAGATCCCCTCTAAAACTCCAGAGTAGCTAAACTGGACTTTATTACGCGCTGCCCCCGCCCCCTTCCCTCCCCCCACCCCAACCCCCCTCGCCACCATTGCCACTGGCCTGCGCTTAGCTGGCTGCTATAGCAGATATCTGTTGGACGGTGTGAATGGCTTGTATTCCAGGCCCATCTGCCTGCGTTGGGGGTGCGGCGGGGGGTGTTGGAGACGGGACTGGGGCTTGAGCTCCTTGCACCCGACTCTCCCCGCCGCCTTGTAGCCCCAGTTCAGCTTTAGGTAGAGTACCGCAGGCACCAAGTGCAGCTTTCCTGTCGCCATAGCGACGGGCGGGGCGAGATGGCAAAGTCTCCCTTTGGAACTACATCTCCCATCATGCATCCGCGCCTCGGGGTGCCTGGCTCAGCCTCAGGCATGAGACCTGTACCAGCCCCCGGGAGCCGTGCGGGGCCAACAATGAGGAGCAGAATGCAAGGGGCGGCCTCGCTCCCCTGGCCACCGCGGGGGTCGCGGCCTCCCATTACATAGCGCGTGTCTCGAGCCCTGGCCTGCTCTCGGCACCGCCACAACGGGCGTAATATGGCCGCTGGTGCCGGGACCTGCCGGGCGCGCGGAGGGTCGGGCCGAGGTCCGGGATCCGGAACTGCTCCCGGCATTCCTCGCGAGTGTATGGCGTGGGCTCCCTTCCCCCTCTGTGGGTCCCGCGAGGAGACTCTCGGGCTTTGAGGTGAGACCTGAAGTTCCGCTGGCCGGTAGTGTAGCAGGAAAGGGCAGGTCCTCCCGGGTCGTGAGCCAGTAGCCTCCTGGGGTGGCAAGGTGTAGAGAGGGGGGCGTTGAAAGGACACCCGCTACCCGGCCTGCTTTCTAGGGGTCTCTTTGGATTGAGGACATCAGCAGCAGTGGAAGGGATTTTACTGGAGACCTGTCACTGTCAGAGCCTTAAAATATCACCGACGGGGCCTTAATGTCACCGAGGTAGAGAGAAAAGGGCAGTAGCCCTAGAGACTATTGCGACACAGTGTGCCCCTCATAAGTTTTTCCAGGGAGGGGTTCTGTACTGAGTTGACGCCCCAGGAGCTGAGCACCAGGCTTTGCATCCTTGGGAACTCAGCAAACGTTTGTTCAGCCAATTGCAGGTAGCATGGCCCAGGGCTTGATTGAGGTGGAGCGAAAGTTCCTTCCAGGGCCTGGCACAGAGGAGCGGCTGCAGGAGTTGGGGGGCACCCTGGAGTACCGGGTCACCTTCCGAGACACCTACTATGACACCCCTGAGCTGAGCCTCATGCAGGCTGACCACTGGCTGCGACGACGAGAGGATAGTGGATGGGAGCTCAAATGTCCTGGAGCAGCAGGTGTCTTAGGACCCCACACGGAGTATAAGGAACTCACAGCGGAACCTACAATTGTGGCCCAACTCTGTAAGGTGCTGCGGGCTGACGGCCTGGGGGCTGGAGATGTGGCTGCTGTGCTGGGCCCACTGGGGCTGCAGGAAGTAGCTAGTTTTGTGACTAAGCGGAGTGCCTGGAAGCTGGTGCTCTTGGGAGCTGATGAAGAGGAGCCACAGCTCAGGGTGGACTTGGATACAGCCGACTTTGGCTACGCTGTGGGTGAGGTAGAGGCCCTGGTGCATGAGGAGGCTGAAGTACCAACTGCCCTAGAGAAGATCCACAGGCTCAGCAGCATGCTTGGTGAGGGAGACAGGCCCTTTTGTGCTTTTCCTGCTCCCCACTTTTCTCTTTTGGAGGCACCTGCTGGACCATGCAGTGGGGGAGGGCCTCCGGATTAAAAATTTTTTTTTTAATAGAGACAAGGTTTTGCCGTGTTGCCCAGGCTGGTCTGGAACTCCTGGACTCAAGCAATTTGCCTGCCTCGGCCTTCCAAAGTGCTGGGATTACAGGTGTGAGCCTCTGTGCCTGGCCTGGATTATTTTTGTAATGGGAATTGTTTTAGCAATTTTCTAAGTTTGCTTACAGTTCTGTGAAATCTCGTTTTCTCTTTAACAGTAGCTAATTTGGATCTAGTCCTTCCACGTGTCTAATTCCAGCCAACCTGCCTCATTTAGTTCTCATACCTATAGCCAGATCTCCTTCAGTTTCATTTCTCAGTTCCCTGCTTTGACTCTTCCTTCCCCCAATCTCTTTTTTTTCTTCTTCTTCAGTCACCACTCCTCCACAAGGAGTAAAAAGTAAGCCTTTTTACAAAAGCTGCCCTCTGGGAGGCTCAGACCCAGGATCTTCAGATCATGAGACTGATGCACTGCCCACTACACTGAGAGTCCAACCAGTCTTGTCCTTTTGTTTTACAATTACCTAGATCCTTTTAATTTGTCCTTTTGGCTTTTTGTAAAGGACAATAACATTATAGTTATGTGAGACAGTGGGGCATGATTTGGCAGATTTGTTCCTAAGCATAATTCCCTTGTAGACAGTTCATCCACACTAGGAATTGTGCATCCCATGGGGCCTTACAGCCCTGCAGTGCTGTTTGAGCCCCCTCAGCAAACATACACTGAGTTCCTTGCTATGTGCCCAGCATGCTGCCAGGCACTAACAACAAGACACTGGCAACAGGCAGTTCCATTCTCACCTCACCATGTAGAGGCGAGAATTCTATGTGAATCCCACCCCATGGCTATAGCTTCCCTCCTCTTCTTTCTATAGCTCTTGGTTTCTATGTGTACATCTCTGCATGTGCTTCATTACTAAGCTAATGAGCTTTGGCCTGGTCTAGGGCTTTAATCTTGATTGCGGAACAGGGTAATAACTGAAATGAGCTGACGCTGAGGCATCCTTCGTTTATCTTGGTGCCTGGGTGCCTCTTCGCCATTTCTCCTTGCTGGAGGAGAGAGGCTGAGGTGTGGCTTCTAGTCCCACTCTTGCCTGAAGTTGCTCTTTTAGGTCCCACTTCCACAGGCAGGCAGGGAGTGGACTAGTGTGTTACAGAAGCTGGGTGGGTGACATTCAGAACCCCAGTGTGGCTTTGGAAACATCCACGGAGTCCTGGCTAGGTGGGCAGGGAGCAGAGTCCAAGTGCTTGTGGCTCTGTCCATTTCTCTCCTCATTGTCCTTTTACCTGTAGGTGTGCCTGCACAGGAGACAGCACCAGCCAAGCTGATTGTGTATCTACAGCGTTTCCGGCCTCAAGACTATCAGCGCCTGCTAGAAGTGAACAGCTCCAGAGAGAGGCCACAGGAGACTGAAGATCCTGACCACTGCCTGGGCTAGGGGTGTCACTTCCTAGAAGGGGAAGGGAACTCTGGGTCTAACGGAGTCCACTCCTGGGCCCACTGTGCCTCTCCCCTCAGTGTCCCTTCTGACAGTGACTCCTCTCTCTCCAGCGCTGCCTGTTTCTTCCCCCTCCTCTAAGCTACTCTTCCTTGAGCCCTCCCTGGCTGCTTCCTCTCGCTCATCCGTCAGATGCAATCTGTGGGCCGCCCCTCTCCCCTGGCCGCTAAGCAGCCTCCATTGATTTCCGCTCGTGTTTATAGGATTTCCACTTAGCCGTGATCAGTAGTTAAGCACAGGAAAATCCCTTGCCACCCCCCCTCCCTTGGTCGATGCCATTGATTCTGCCAGCGGCTCCTAAACCGCCTTACAGCTGAGTTAGAAGATGAGGAGAGGCAGCAGGGATTTCCCTGCCTTGGGATGTGGGAAACAGAAGAAAAGTTGAGGAAATGGTTGGGAATCGCTGTTAGAACTCTAGAAATTCTAATCTGACTTTGCCACTGTGCCCAGCTCTGGCCCAGAGGGTAGAGTGCCTCCTGTGGAAGTTTAGGGGCAAATTTGTTCCCTGACCTGGAGAGGGTTAGAAAGAACCAACAGCTGCCCCCTCCCCGCCCCCGTGTTGAGACAGGTTCTCAAGGCTCAGGGGAAGATGCATACCTCCTATGTAAGAATGCTCTTCCCTTGCTGTTATTCATACACACTTTCCACTTCAAATATACCCAAATATGGCTTTCCTCACTTCTCAGGCTTTATTGGGCTTTATTTGTGGGAGAAGGGGGCTGGTCCCCAGTTTTTGCAGTGCAAAGCCAGAGCGCCACCTGCTGGTAGCCCTCAGGTGTAGGTTCGAAGCTGCTGGGGCCCCCTGGGGTTTGGGACACAGGAGAATTTCAGGCTGTGAGTGGAGACAGTTACTGCCACGATTCCACAGGCAAGTTGTTCACCTCAAAGATCTCCTGCACCGACTGGTGAAAGTGGTCGTAGGTGAGGCGCAGCTTTAGCCGCAGGGGGGCCTAGGAATAGGAGAGCAGGGACCAGGGTTAGCACCCACGGCTTCTTCTATCCCTGGGTCTTGTCTTGGGGGAACTCCTGAAGCTCACCTTGTTAGGATTGAGGATTCTGAAGAGCTGGGTGATAGGAAGGCCACCCCGAGCTGGAACTGTGTTCCCACTGGGGGCCTGCAGCTGCAGCTGGAGACTCTGAACACAGGAGTTTAACAGAGCACAGTATGGCAGTAGGTAGGGCTCAGGCAGCCCCTCTATACTCAGTGGCTCCACACCCTTTTCCTGTAACTCCCCAAGTGCTGATCTCCAGATGACTCAATCCCATCTCACACTGTCTCCCACCCACCTCCTCCACTTAGTGGCCTTTTCTCCTGGAGTCCCCAGGCCACCTCTGAACTCTGATCTTTACAAACCTTGGGCACAGCAGCCTGGCAGATGAAATGGGTGACATCACCCTCTGAGAAGTTGGTGGCAGTGATGGTGATTAACAGCAAAGCAGGGTTTTCAGGGGGTCGAATGAAAGACAGATTCAGCTGTACTCCCTCACGCTCAAACACTTTGAGATCTGGGATGGGAGCTGGAGTAGGGAGACAGAAGCAGCTCAGTGTGCAGGTTTGAGAGAACATGTTTGTTCATTCATTCAACAAAAATTGAGTAAACACCTACTGGCCCTGCACTACTCGAAAGGCTAGTAACAAAGTAGACATGTAGATGAGGATGGAGCTTACTGTCTAATGGGGGAGAGAAACAATAAAAAAAGGCCGGGCGTGAGCCAGTAATCCCAGCACTTTGGGAGGCTGAGGTGGGTGGATCACCTGAGGCCCGGACTTGGGAGGCTGAGACACAAGAACAGCTTGAACCCGGGAGGCAGAGGTTGCAGTGAGCCGAGATCACGCCACTGCACTCCAGCCTGGGTGACAGAGCAAGACGCTGTCTCAAAAAAAAAAAAAAAAAAAAAAAAAAAAAGGCAAGATAATTACAGACCATAATAGATGCTATGAAGGAAGTAAGTCATGCCAGAATAACTGGGGAGAACTGACTTAAATAGGAGTGGTAGGGGAAGGCATCTGACATTTTAGCTGAAGCCTGAAGAGTGAGAATGAGCTGGTCATTTGATGTGCTGGGGAAAGAACATTCCATGTAAAAAAGAACATGAAATGCCAAGGGTGGGAGGGTGTGAGGAGCTGAGAAGGGGGCAGTGAGTGGGTAGTGGGAAAGTGGTATAAGAAGGGTTGGGGAGGAAGCAGGGCCCTGTAGGCCAGGGAAAGAAGTCTGGAACAAAGGGAAGACAGATGACCATGATTGACTTCATTCTTTTACCTCCTGAGATGGCGATGGGATGGGGGACACACAGGAAGAAGCAGGGTCCATGAGCCTCAGCCCTTGGCTTAGGAGGAGGAGCAGTACATTTCCACCTACCTTCTCTAAGACATCTTCCCTTTGCTTAGGCTTACCTGGGGGTGGAGGTACACAGGGAAGGTCAAGCAGGTGTACCAGGGCACCTCCTGGGGAGGGGTCCAGATGGGGAGGATGCTGGACATCCCCAGAAGCCCCATCCAGGAGATCTAGCAGATCCAGGAGCTGTGAGGCCTGGCAGAAGGGACAGAAGGGGCAGGGCTGGGTATGAAGCTCAGCCCGTCTTCCTACCCCAGAGTTTCTAGCCTTCTCACCTGGGGCTCTGTGGGCACTGGGGCTGCTTCTGAAAGCTGGGCTGCTTCTTTGCTTTCCTTTGCTTCCTCATCAGCCTGAGGGCCATCTCGCTCCACAAGAGGCATTTTTTCCAGGATGGCAGCCCTGAGAGGATGGAATGCAAGTGTGCCTCTGTGTGGTCTCTGGGCCTTTCACAAGAGGCATCTAGGATGAGGACTAGGAATATGGAGCCCTGGGCACATGGTGGCTCAGAAGTACCCTTCTGATTTCCTAAAATGACATGTTGTTGCTGATTTTCAGATGAACAAGGAGGGTTGGAAGCCAGCTTAGCTTCAATTAACAGTGGGTGGGAAGCTCTCACCGTGGATATGGAAGAACACAGGTGAGGATGAGGCCCTTGTACCTAGAAAAGGGCATTTGGGAGAGGGCAGGGGTTTGGGTCCCATGCTGCAGCACAGTGCTGGACACACCTCATGTGGTCGTATTTCCGGAAGAGTGTGTCATACTCCACAGCCCGCTGCTGCAGCTCCACGTCCAAGCAGCTCCCGTAGATGGACACCACCTGGCGGATGCGGCTGGGCCAGTGTAGTATGTAAGTGGCTATGGCAGTGTGCCACTGCAGGATGTGGCAAGAAGGAAAGGCCCACGGAGCAGGGAAATACCCAGATTTGGCTCAAAAACAAGAACCTAAGGGCTAGGGGGTAGGGAGGGCTGGGCATGTATGCCTGGAAAGAAACTCAAAAATGGGTGGACCCAGTGACAGGCCATCTCTCAAGGGGCTGGGACCCCTTCTTACTTGTTGTCCCCACAGAGGCGAGTGCTGAGCTTCATGAGGGCTGTGAGGGCATATCCTCGAGTGGCTGGCAGGGACATGTGGGACTGCAGCACCTTTTCCAGCAATGCCAGCACTTCCTCTTCGTCCACCTTCAGACATGGATACAGTTAGTGGCCCTGGTGCAAGTCCTGTCCCCCTGACAAGTCCCTCCTCAGTGTACCCCCAATGAGGTCTCACCTGAAGGGGCTCAATCTCCTCGCAGTTCCCTGCCAGCAGGAGGTCCCCATACTCCCCAATGCACCAGGCTGCCACCTGCACCAGTGGTTGCTACATGGGATAAGAAACTGCTGGGCTGGCCAGGCATGGTGGCTCAAGCCTGTAATCCCAGCGCATTGGGAGGCTGAGGCGGGAGGATTGCTTGAGACCAGGAGTTCAAGACCAGCCTGGGCAACAAAGCGAGACCCCCCCCATCTCTATTTTAAAAAAAAAAAGAGAGAGAGAGAAAGAAAGAAACACTGCTGGGCCAGTGTCTGAGGTCCCCTCCTCACTTCCAGACCTGGCAATATCCCTTTAGGCAGTGCAGAGATGGTGGGGGGTTGGAGGAGTGGGGAAAGGGAAGTTTGTTACCTGGCTCCCACTGCCCTCTGGTGGCCAAGCATCAGAACTACATGGCCTAACCAAACAGGATGGAAATGTGAGAGGGTCCCTCCCTTGTGGAAGGGGTGGATGATGCTTTCTGCCCACCCTATTTAATTAAGATGGAAAAGGGGGCTATAGATACTGGCTGGCATCTGTTAATTCATTCAGCATTCAAGGTAATAATAAAACCTCATAAACACAAGAGCTTTAATCTCAAGGCAGCTCTAAGAGGCAGTCAGGGTACATGGAGCATAAGGGAAGTTAGTCATCTGTAGTTACATAACCAGGAGGTACCAGAGTCAGGACAAAAGCCCAGATGTTCTTAAAAACAGGGCTCTGTGCTCAGATGTCTTCTGCACTGTGTAAGCAGCTGTGACCTTGAGAGAAAAATTGGAATCTAGTAGGGAGGAGGTGGCCCAGGATGGGCAAGGGAGTGGTTGGGCAGCCCTGGGCCTAGGTAGGTGGGAATGGTACCTGGGAAATGTCTTCTGCCAGGGCATTGTAGAGGCGGCGCACAGAGTAGGCATGTAGCTCCTGGGCCCCCCCAATCAGCTGGGTCAGGTTGGCCACTGCATCATCCCGCACATGGGTGCCCGCCTGGAAGGTGTGGGCATGGCCAAGTCAGTGTGGTGAATCTTGACCACTTCTGCCCAGCTCTCTGACTGGCCCCTGCCTCACCGTTGTCAGCACATGCAGGATGGTGTCTATGTGCCAGCGTTTGGTTGGAGCAAACCTAGGGGATATATGGCTCATCAGTCCTGGTACTGACGCTCCCCAGATTCTACCCTCTTCGACTCCTGGGCACCTCACCTCTCTGCAGCCAGCAGGATGCCTGAGGCACAGTCAGCCCGTAGGTCAGGAGGGCAGGACTCCAGAAAGGCCTGCAGCTCTTGCATCATGGCTCGCACATTGGAGCTATTTACCAGAGCCAGGCTTAGTTCCAGGGCTCTCCTGGCAGGAGAAAGAGGTTTCCATGCAGGTAGCCCAGGTCATCCTGGTCCATGCCTCAGGCCCTCTGCTTCCCCAGGGACCTGTCCCCCTTAGTCCCCTTACTCCAGCTGCTCTAAACTGGCTCGAGTCTTGGCCACAGGGCACTGGGAACCTCTGCCCTGCCCTCCTGTCCCCTCTATCACTGCTCACCGGCTGAGGGAGGCATCAGTTTCCCGTAGACATTCCACCACAGTGGGCCGATGCCGCTGCACAGCACTGTGATCAGACTGCACCAGTCGAAGCAGTGATGTCAGGGCTACATACCTGGTCAGGATGGGGGAGGTTCTATCATACCATGGCCATCAGCCCCCACTCCCCGTCCTGTCCTGGGTATAGGGATAAGATAAGAGAGAAATGGATCAGGAGGCTCTGGAGGAAGGAGGGCAGAGGGCCAGGGGATCAGTGGCACAGCCTAGGTAGACAGTTGGGACTATTACCTAATGTTCCTGTCACTGTTGAGTAGGAAGCGACCAAGAATGTTGACAGCTAGAACCTATGAGAGGCAGAAGTTGGGGTCAGTCGGAAAGGAGCAACCTGCTCAGCCATTGAGGACTGGGAACACATTGGCGCAAGATGATGGGGCTAGGAGGGAGAAACCAGCAAGCAGGACCTGTGTGGGTGAGGTGGTGGGCGGGGCCGTAGTGGGAGAGGCATAAGGGGTGATACCCGTAGGCCAGCTGCAGAGCGGATATCCATGATGGTGAGTACTGTCTCAAACAGGACCGCATTTCCGGCATTTCGGCTGGTGTCCGTGTTAGTGGCCACCTGAGTGGATGAGAGAGGAGATGTATCTGCTCAAGGCCCTCCTCAGGTCTCCTTTTTTTGATACAGGGTCTCACTCTGTCGCCCAAAGCTCACTGCAGCCTTGACCTCCCAGGCTCTGATGATCCTCCTGCCTCAGCCTCCTGAGTGGCTGGGACTACAGGCACATGCCAACAAGCCCAGGTAATCCTCAGGATTCTTGAAGGACTCCAACATGTTATCTGTCCATCCTTCAACCATCCAACAAAGTTCCCTGAGGCTCTACTATGTGCCAGGGCCAGCCTGGGCACTGGGGCAATAGCACTAAGACAGACTGTGTCCCTTCTTCATGGAGTTCACTGTCTAGAGGAGATGGAGAGGCAATTACACGGCCACTGCACAGTGACGAGTCATGTGAGGGGCACCCAGGGCTGATGGGGTCTCCAAGCAACACAGCTAACCAGTGCCCTCCCAGGCCCCACCTGGGCCAGCAAGTCATTCATGGTCTCACTGCTCTCCTCGTGGTTCCGGCCCAGGATCCGAAGCAGACGAAGTATCTGGACCTGAGGTTGGGTTGAAAATGGAAAGTTGGAGGGGTTCATAGGATAAGGAGTCGTGGGGCTGAGGAGAAAACTCCAACATGTGAGGGTCTGGCTCGCTCCCTAGAGCCTTCCCCCACCTCCTCACCTCCACAGGTCCCTTGGTCCTAGGAGGGGAACAGAGGTGTGTGAGGCCAGGGGAGTTTAGGACAGGCTTAAAAAAAAAATTGTTAACAAACTGTATTTTCCTGACTTTTAGGCATTCCCTCTCCCCTCACAGGTCCTGGGATGACCCGAGCAATCCTGTGCCTGCTACTCTGCTGCCCAGGACACTGAGAGAACCAGTGTTCTCTGGGAGGAAACCACTGGTCATGGTCTTACTGCTATGCCCTCTCTGATCCAGGGATACAGCAGTGAAAGGTCACCCCACCTGCAGGAAGGGGTCGCTGACTCCAGATATGCTGTGTTCTGTGGAGTATCCCATTGTCACCAGAGTCCGGAGGATGTGTACCAGCTGGGGTACCACCTGGAGGGAGGGCACAACTTTGGGCATTCGTTCTAATCCTCTCCAGCTAAAGCCCCATTCCTTCCCCACTGACCCTGTCTTCCAGGCCCAGGGCCTGCCCCTTCACCAGCCCACCTTTCGGAAGTGCCTGAGGGCTGCAGGGCTTCGTTCGCAGAGCTCCGTGATCAGCGTGATGGTGCCCAGCAGGATGCCTGGGGTCAGCGTCGGGGAAGTGAATGGTGGGGGCCAGGGGCAAGAGAGTCTATTGCGTGTGTGCCTGTGTGTGTGCACTACCCTTCTCCTGTGAGCTGGGGTTCCCATCCGATTTTCAATTCTTCTGTCCATAGACCTGAAGCAAAGGATGGGGGGCCCCACAGCCTTACCATGGTGACGCTCATGAAGCAGTTGGGCACAGGGTGGGAGGAAGACACTGGAGAGTTCAGGGACCTTCCGGATCATGTGCACTGCAGTCAGAATAGCCTGCAGAGGTCAGGGGCCTCAGACAGGGGTCAGAGGAGATGGACCCCTGCATCTACTACTATATAGCACGCAGCAGGCAGTGTGCAGGAGCACGTGCCAGGAGTCCCGCCATCTCACCTTCTTGCGCACGTAGGGACTGGGCTGCAGGAGCAGTTTCTCCACCTCTGGGGCCAGGTCTCGGCACATCTCAGCAGAGCCCATGGTGCTCAAAGTGCACAAGGCCAGGCCTTGTACTGGCTGAATCCCCTGGCTCAGGTCACTGCAGGGTTTGGGAGGACGGTCAGTCAAACCTCTGAGAAAATCAGTCCTTTTCAATACCCACAACAGGCAGTCCCCTGGGATTTCCAAGGTCCCTACTCTCCCATCTCCCTGATTCCAAGTGATTGCCAGAACCCTCTCACTTCTTGATGCTGTTGGTAATGAGCAGGTGGGCATCGTGCCTCTCATCCAATAGAAGCATGGCCCCCAGGTAGCCCACCCTCTTGTCTGTGAATCTGGAGGAGGCGATCAGTTTCAGGCACTCCATCTATAGTGAAGGGGGCAGACCAGGAAGAGGCAGGGGTGAAACCATAGACACTCACATCCCTGTTCCATCTTCCTCTTTAAAACCAGATTAACCTGTGGGGCATCATATCTCATCACTCTCCCTTCAACAAGAGGAGAAGCTTAGGAAATTCAGGCGTTAGTGGGTAGGAGGAACTAGGAGTTGAGGAGGATGGGAGCGGAGAGGAGGAGATGCCTGCCCTAAAGGAGGCTGGCCAGAGAATGAAGGGTTCAGGCCAGCTGATGACCAGTAGGGGTAGCAATGGGGAAAGAGGTTTGCAGTGCAGGCTGTGAAGACTCTGAAATTGTAGAATTTAAAAAACCAGGGCATAAACAGGTGAGAGAGTCTGGGACTCTGCCCCACTAGCCTTCATCAAGCTCAGGAGGGAGGTATTCCTGGCCAGTACCTGTCCAAAGTGGGCGGGGTAGCCCAACATGTGGACGTAGAGCAGTTTGGCCAGCTGCCGGTGCCTGTGCACTGGGTCCCCGTCGCGGAAGGAGGCCCGGATGTGGGCACACTCCTTTTGGATCACCTCCCGCTCCTGGGCCTGAGTCTTGGCCCCGCGAATCTCTTCGATGAGGTCCTGAAGCTTCAGCGAAGGCACCACCATCCTGACTGGCAGAGTCCGGGAGTGGAGAAACACTCTCTGGTCGGGCGTGCCTGGGCTTTCGGCCCAGGCCCGTCCTGTGTCAAGACCCTAAGAGCCCGGGTCCCACAGGTACCCTAAAATTGCGCCCGCATTTTACCTTTCCCGAAGTGGGTCTCCAAATTCCGCGCCCACCCCACCGCCCGAGAAGCCCACTACGCATGCGTCCGCACCCCACCGGCGCCCCTTCCTATTGAGCATGCGCGGGAGCCCCACCTATTTCTCTCTACCGTTTCCTCCCCCTACCTGGTACCCCATCCCTAGCTCAGCCATTGCTTTTTTTTCCACGACCCTCCGCTGTTTCTTCCGCGAGCTTCCTCCCCCGATTTCCATCTCAGGCAGCGGCAGCGGCAGCGACAGCCTGCCTACCCCAGGACTCCAGCCTCACCTGGCTTCTGCCTCAACTCCGCTCCTCTGCCCCCCAGCGCTTCCTGGTACGGGGCCGAGCAGGGGTTGGTGCTCCGTGCGGTCCTTCCCTCTCCCCGCCTCCACCACGGGACCCCGCCCTCCTGGGCCGACTGCAGAGCCTTCCTGAATCCTCTGACCTCGGGCCTCAGGCTTTAGCGGAGAGACAGCATGATAGGCCTGGAGTTCTTCAAGAGGCCTCCTCGCACATCCTTACCACCCGGAGAGCCTCAGTTTGGATTTGAAGCCATCGCACCCCAAAGGAGATGACAATCCCCCCCCTTTTTTGAACTTTTTTATTAATATATTTTTTTTGTTAAATTTCTTTGTATTTTTTTCCTGCAAGACTTGGTGTTGGCGGCACTGTTGTAGTTTAACTTCAATCCCAAATTCCATGAAATAGAAATCAGAAGTAAAGGTTGAGAGGGGAGGAAGGAGGGAGGCAAGCCAAGGAATAAACAAGAGTTTGACTAGAAAAAAAGAAGAGGGTATGTGTGGTGGGCATTCCTGGGCAAGGCCATTCCTTGAGGGAGGGGGTTGGCAGGCAGCTTGCCTCTGCCTCATGCAGGGGAGGGAGGAAAGATCCCCTGGGGACCCTGCAGTCCCCTCTTCCTAGGGCTTCCTGCTCCCAGGGGAAAAACTAATACCAGAGAGGGATCAGCCACAACCTCAAACAGGGCTCTCCACCCACCTGTCACCCGGGTTTGACTCCCACCTCTGCCCTGCCTGGGAAGCATGTGAGATCAGCTATCTTTGATCCCCTCCTTCTGTTGTTTTCCCATTTCACAAGATTCTGATGTAAAGGGGGAAGGGATATAACCCATTTTGGGACTACTAAACTTGTCACAGCTTCTGCTTCCATGTGAGCTCCTGTTATCTTGTCTGGTCCTATCCCCCAGAAGTGCCTCCTCCCACCACAACTCCCAGAGTTGGGATGTGGGGGCCTTGCTCAAGTGCCTCTAACCCTCTGCAGTAGAAATGTCTTCTTCAGGCCCCTTAGGAATTTAATCAAAGGCCACAAGTGAGTCCAGACCAACCAAATAAACTATTATGGGGGAGACAGAAGGGTGGGAGAAGTCAGTGGCAAAGTCTGGGCAGGGTGGACTTGACTGCATTGGATATTCTCTGTTCCTTTACACGTTGCTCTTGGCATGGCATGCCACCAGAGGGGGCTGGAGGAGGGGCTGGCCGATGAGGAGAAAAAGAGGGAAATGCTGGGGAGTTACTCTACTTTTCACTTCCCTTCTCTCCTTCAGGGAAGGATGGAATTGGGCAGTAACCCAGCTCAGTGCTTGGAGGTAAGATAATAGCCTCCAAGATTAGAGGTGGAGGATGCACCTCCTGCAGCTTTTTCACTAGGCCTCAGAGGGACAGCAGGCCCCTTAGGCTAGGGAGCCACAGCAGCTCAGCCAGTGCCTTGCCCGACATTCAATCACTCCTTCTTCATTTTCTTCCTCCTCTCCATTCAGCTTCCAGGAGTCTCCTTAGGACACCAAACCCCCACCCGCAGCGAAGTTGAGGTCTAAAGAAAAGGTGGGAGGGCGTGGAGCAATGGTCTGACTTAGATTTGTGTGTCTCAGAGAAGACAGCAACTCTGAGAGAGAAAAGCCCTTCATATGTAAACAATCTAGAGAAAGAAGGGGTTGGGATGGGGAAGGGAGTGAGGAATACAGAGACAGATCCAGAAGAAATGAGATAATCTGAAAGAAGACAGGGAAAGAAAAAGCGAGAGAAAAAAACAAAGGAGCACAGAAAAGAAAGGAAGAAGAGAAAGAAAGATAGGAGAAAACACAGCCAGGAAGAGGAGAAGAGAAAAAAGGCAGGTCAAAGGGGTGAAGAGGCACGCAACCAAAGCCAGAACCAGGCCAGGAAGTAGCCTCAGGTGAGGAGCTGGGAGAACAGGAATGCCAGGCTGAGGTCCAGGAGGGCCACGGCTCCCACCACCAGGGGGTTGGCAGCTCCCTAGAGAGACAGAGGGGGAAGCAGACTCAGTCCCCGAGGACAGGGCCCACCTTCCTGCCCTGACTGAGGTGGCAGAGCTGAAGGGTCTCAGGCACCTCCCTGCACAGCCTGGAGCAGGGGGATCGCCAACATTTGTTTTGGATTGCAAAACCCCCTCTTCTCCCAGGCAGGGCCCCACCTTTCCTCTGACACCTTCAATGCAGGGACAGCCCTTCCACCTCCTCCCTCTAGTCCCCTCCCATCAGCATATCATGTGTCCCAGGCAGGAGGTGCCTGGCCTTAGTAGCAGACATTGGCAGCAGCAGCCAGTACTGCAGTAAGGCAGAGGGATGAAGGGGTGAGGATGTGGTTGCTAGGAAACAGAAGGCCTAGAGCCCAATCAGAGTAGAGGGTTCTGGGCAAACTCCGCCTCTCCCGGTTTTCTGCCTTCTTCTCTATTTCAACTTCTTCCCGGGAGAGGGAGGGAGAGTCAGGGTAGGGAGGGAACAATCTTTTCCTTTTTTATTTCTGGGCACCAAAGAGAGAAAGTGCGGAGGTGGGGGTGGGGGTGGAGTAGGAAACTGAGAGCTGGAAATGATATGGAAGGAGAACGGGGGAAAAATGTTCTGGCTCTCCCATTAATTATTAGTTTACAACCCTGGGCAAGTTACTTTTTTTTTTTTTTTTTTTTTTGAGACAGAGTCTCGCTCTGTCACCCAGGCTAGAGTGCAGTGGCGCGATCTCAGCTCACTGCAGGCTCCGCCTCCCGGGTTCACGCCATTCTCCTGCCTCAGCCTCCCAAGTAGCTGGGACTACAGGCGCCCGCCACCACGCCCGGCTAAATTTTTTTTGTATTTTTAGTAGAGACGGGGTTTCACTGTATTAGCCAGGATGGTCTCGATCTCCTGACCTCGTGATCCGCCCACTTCGGCCTCCCAAAGTGTTGGGATTACAGGCGTGAGCCACCGCGCCCGGCCTGGGCAAGTTACTTTAAGTGCTCTGGGCCTCAGTTCCCCCATCTGTCAAATGAGGGAGTTGGGCTTGCAGGTGTGTAAGGTTCCTTCCAGCTCGAACGCCCTCTATTTTTTTGAGGTGGGATGTGGTCCAAGACTGGCCAGGCAGAGGAAGCCGAGTGAGATAAAAAGCCCCCCCGGTGATCAGACAGTTCTGGAAAGGGTGGGAGGCAAGGCTTTGGGAGAAGAGGGCACACAGCAGGGACAGAGGATCTCACCGGCTGGGCAGGCCTCTCGGTTGCAGCGGGCTCCCCGAGCTCTTCTGTCAGGCACCCAGCATCAGGACCCCTCGAGGACGAGCCCCTCAGGACCAGCATGGCGATGGGCTCAGGCTCCGTGCCTGCTGGGGCCCTCAGCGGGGGCAGGGGCTCTTCATCCTCCCCCTCCTCCTCTCGAAGACTTCCTGAACTGTCGCTGCAGCCTCCGAGGAGTGGGGAACCGTCTCTGGGCCCTGGCCCTTGCATCCCAGCCTCATCCTCAGCCTCATAGCCAGCTAGTTCCTCTGCCTGTGCGCCTGCCCCCCCCCACTCCTCAGGCCAAGCTTTGGGGCTGGAGAAGGGACCCTGGTCCCCTCCAGGAGGCAGTGGGCTCCGGCAGGCAGGGGGTCGCCAGGGTTGGCGGGAGGAGGCAGGACTGCTGGGCAGTTCAGGGGATCCCTCTGAGGGGGTCAGTCCGTTCTCATATACCCCAGGGCTGTCCTCATCCAGGGGCTCCGTGTCGGAACCTTCTGAGTCCTGCCTGGGTCTGCGGCCTGGGTAGGGATAGCTGAGAATCAGAGGGGCCTAACTGGCCTTGGGCTGGAGTGGCTGCAGCTTTATTCCTGACTGGGCACTTCCCAGGACTTTGGAATTCCCAGGCTCATAGCCTCTCACCGCCAGACCCCAAACCCCCCATTATCCTACTGCATACATTCCCAAGTCCCACTCCCCAGACTACCAGGTCTGGCCCCCACCCTGTGTTCCTTGCACCCTCATTCCTTGTTTTTTCCCATCCCCACTTCCCTTGCAGGGCTTCTCATCTGTTTCCCCACACCTGAGCCTCTCTAGCTCCCTAGGGGCCTCACTGCCCTCCCCCCAGCTGTCCATGCCTCACCTGGGGCCTCTAGCATGGGCTGCAGGTCCTGGGCTATCAGTTTGGCCATTCGAGCTGCCTCCACGGCCTTCTCAGCGACACTGCTGGCTGCCACTGCCTTTAGGAGGGCGTCTGCTGCCCTGTCGGGTCCAGAGACAGGGATTTAGCAGAACTTCCCCCACTTCAAGTTAGTCCCTGCTCAGATGCTCCAGCCCCCTAGCCCCTGTCCCCTCTACATCACATCCTCCTCTCCTCTGGAGTCGTCACCCTTCGCCACACTCTGCCAGCTGCTTCCCTTCCTGGCAGGCCAGGGCAGCTCCCGTTTGGTTTCCTCCCCCTGACCTGGGCTGTGTTTGCCACCATCACACCCTCCTGCTCCTCTCACACCCTTCTACTGCTACGTCCTGTAGTAACACTTCTTCCAGTTGCAAGGGCCAGGCCCTCCTGGAACTGTGTAATTCCATTCCTATCCTGCCCCCTTCCCAGTGACAGTCGAGACCTCACTCTTTTAGCACATCCCCTGCAGTCCTGCTTGGTGCTTATGAGCTATACTACCACCTTCTTTGCAGTTAGCACCTCCTGTTGTTACTAACCCCTCTCACCCCCCTGGAGTCACAGGCCTCTCTGTGGGGTCTAGCACAGGGTCCTGTACCTTGATCCTCCCCTCCAAGCAGCTTCGCCCCTGCCCCGCCCCCTCGTTCAGAGCCACCGTCTCCCTTATGTTAACAGTCTCTGCCTCCCTTTCTCTTTCTACTGTCACTTCTCCTTACTATTAATCCTACCTCTACCCGTACAGATTTCCTGGCATGAGAACTTCCTATCTTGCGTTCCTTCAGCCTCTTCTGTTATGACACTGTTCTTCCTCTTGTCACTGCTACCACCCCACTGCCCCCCGTCATGCTTTCCTGAGCTCTGGAACTGGAATGAGAGTGGGTCTCCCCTTTCGGTAATGATCCCATCCCCTCTCCCTACTAACATGCAATATGCTTTCTCACCATTGCAACTACACTTCTGGCTAAACCCTTAGTCTCCCTTCCACAACCCCCTACCACCTTCCCTGCTCCTTAGGTGCAGGCAGCCTGGGAGTCTGATCAGTCCTTCCCCACTGTTGCTTCTCAGTTCTCCCTGTGATGTCAGATGCTTCCTCAGTTTTCTCTTCCCTTTCACCCTCTGCTGTTAATCGTAGATGCCTTGTCATCCTTAAATGAGTTCTGTAATTCTGAGGGTGGGGCACAAAAGAGCTGAGGAAAAGGCAGGCCGACGAGCTGCCATGGGCTTGAATTGATCACACCCCATGACTTCCTCTGGCCACAGGCCTGTTCTCTCTGGCTCAGGAAGGCAGTCTGGTATGGGGGTGGGGAAGAGGATGGTGATATCTACTGTGCATATTCTTAGTCCATAGCCTCTTCTTTATGTTCTTTGGGAGCCGTGATTAGCCCCTTCTCCTCAAACCTGGTGGGTCAAAGATCTTTAGAGCCTATTTGGAGGGATCTCAGATAACGTGGCTCTTCTGTCTTAGGACTCTCAGATTGTATATAACTAGCCCTGTCCTGAAACTGAGCTGGACTCAGGGTGCACAGCGGGCACATGTGCAGTCTCCTGCCTCTGGCCCTTCAGTGGGGCAAAGTCAAGGAGAAGGTGGACAGGGCTGTCAAGGGCACCTGTTGAGCCGTGAGCGTGAGGATCATGGTCTTGGGTTGTATTGAGTTATTTTGGTGGCCTGAAACTGGTGCACTGATGAGGCCTGTTTTTGTGTATGAAGAGTATGGATGATCAAGTCCCACACAGTAGACTTAGTCTGTGCTCAGGCATCAGACTCAGGCCAGGCTCAGGCTACCTGGCAGAGGCACCTGCTGCTGAGGCTCTGCTGTTTCCATGGCAGCTGGCAGCCAGTCGGGATTGCCAGGCCTGTTGCTGGGGAGACCAACCAACCTCCTCCCACTGCCTGATCCTCTAGTTACTGAGATCAGTTTTTCCTGCACATGTCTCCACCCTATCTAGCCTAAAATGTTCCCTGGTGCTCTGCCTTCCCCCTTCCCTGGCTTAAGTCCCTGGGCTCTAACATCCAGACTCCCAGACACATCTATAGATGCACATTCTCTGACTCAAACGTCTACTCTGCATTTGGCATGTTTATATTCTTTCTCTCTCTCTGTAACACACACACACACACACACACACACACACACGCACTCTCACTGTGTCACCCATTATACAAACTCATTTAAGCATATTTGGACATATCCTGATCTCTGATCTCTCAAAAAGTCTCAAATTTAAATGAAATCCTCCACCCCTTTAAAAGAAAATTCAATATGTAAAAATTCAAATATGTGAGTTGTATAAATAAGGGGTCTATGAATCTCATTACAAGTGGATTTTTGGCTTCTTTTAGATTTTTTTTTTTTTTTTAGACTGGCGTTCACTTTTCTCGCCCAGGCTAGAGTGCAGTGGCGTGGTCTCGGCTCACTGCAACCTCTGTCTCCCGGGTTCAAGTGATTCTCCTGCCTCAGCCTCCCGAGTAGCTGGGATTACAGGAACCTGCCACCACACCGAGCTAATTTTTGTATTTTTAGTAGACAGGGTTTCCCATGTTGGCCAGGCTGGTCTTGAACTCCTGACCTCAGGTGATCCACCCACCTCGGCCTCCCAAAGTGCTGGGATTACAGGCATGAGCCACCGTGCCCGGCCTTCTTTCAGATCTGTGCTATTTAATTCAGTAGTTACAAACCATATGTGGCTATTAAGCATTTGAAACGTGTCTAGTCTGAATGGAAATGATGTGATTTAAGTGTAAAATTTAAGGGGCGGTCCCGTGCTGCCCACCTTGCTGCTCACCTCGCTGCGCAGGGAGCCTCGCTTGCTGCCCAGGGAGCTGCAGGTTTCAAAGACTTAGTTCAAAAGGAATTTGTAAAATATCTTAATAATTTTATACTGGTTACCAGTTGAAATGATAATATTTGGATATATTGGTTTAAATAAAAATATTATTAAAATTCATCACACCTGCTTTTTTTAATTTTCTATTCCGTTGTTTGTTTGGTTTTTTGTTTTTCAGAGACAGGATCTTGCTATGTTGCCCAGGCTGGTCTTGATGGGCTCAAGTGATCCCCTTACCTCTCAAGGGTCTACAGGTGTGTGCCACAATGTCTGGCTTCTTTTTGTTTTTTAATGTGGTTACTAGGAGATTTAAAACTACCTATTTGGCTTATATAATATTCCTGTTAGACAGCACTGCTTTAGATAGCAAGGTTCCTGATGCAAGGAAATGTAATTTGATTTACAGAAACGTTTCATTTACAGGGAAGCCTCCTCCCCTCAAACCTCCCATCAGTTGGGTAAAAGAAGGCAGAGGGGGCAAAACTGGGAGAGACTATCTTTTCAGGTGGATAGGTCAGCTGTATAAATTAGACTTCCCAAAGGCCCAAGGCTGAAATGGTGTCAGGCTGGGACGTGATTAGGAAGGGACAGTCCCTATTCCACCCAGGGTTGATGCTCCCAGCCTGAGGCCTGGAGGCTGGATCAGCTGCAAGAGGAGGAAGACTAGGGACATGTTTTGAGTTCCAAGAGATTTCTGGGCCTGCACAAAACAGCTTCCTTGCTACTCCCACACACAACAATGGATTCCATAGACATGCATCTCCACACAAAAGACACCGAGACACATTTACAGTCTTACACCATCTCCCTCAAATACCCAGCTATCCAGAGTTACACCCACATCCACCTGTAGCCTCGGATATAAACACCAAGAATGCCCAGGGGTCCAACTGCCTGGCCTTAGGCTTGCAATAGCAGGCCCTAGGCCTTGGGCCTTGGGCCTCCCTTAGGCACACCCGCCTTCCTGGTCCCCAGCGCACCCCCTCCTCTTAGCCCAGCTTTGGCCTCTGAACTGGACGCCCACCTGGCAGCGGCGATCTCCTGGCGCTGACGGGCAGCACTCACGGCTCGACGGGCGCCCTCGACAGCCCTGTCCACCTTCTCCTTAACCTTGCCCCGCCGAAGGGCCAGAGGCAGGAGACTGCGGACGCGCCCGCCGTGCACCAGCCGGTTGCGCTTGTACTTGCCCTCCTCGCGGGAGCCGTCGGGGCGGGTGGTGCGCCCGTAGCCGTGCCGCCGGTTGCCCAGCCACTCGCCCTCGTAGCGCAGCCCGTTGGAGCGCTGGCTGACGCCGAAGCCGCTGCGCCGATCTGCGCGCCACTCGCCCGCGTACACCTCTGTGGCCGAGCCCTCGATGAGGGCGGGCGGCGCTGCGGCCGGGGGCCCGCTGGCCTCCGAGCCGGGCGGTCCGGTGCTGCCCACCTCGCTGCTCACCTCGCTGCGCAGGGAGCCTCGCTTGCTGCCCAGGGAGCTGCGACGTCCGCCCGCTCGGAGCCCGCTGAGCAGCAGCGAACGGCGAAAGAATCCGCCGGCCGCCGGAGTGCGCTTTCGGGACGACGCGCCGTCGGCGTCCCCGGGCCCGGCCAGCACGAAGCCGCCCCGGGAGCCCGAGGCGGGGCTGCCTCCCTCGTCGCCCGGCAAGGGCAGGGGCGGGGGTGGCGTCGGGGGGTCGCTGTGGCCGGAATCCAGGGAGGTGCGGCGGGGCGAGCGCAGCAGCGCCGCCTGATGGTAGGGCACACTCTGGCGTACCCCGTAGCCGTGGCGCTTCCCGGCCTGCCACTGGCCCTGGTAGGTGCCTGCGGGCGGCGGAGGGGTGGGAGAAAGAGTCAGGACGTGCCGCTGGGCTCCTTGCGCCCCAAGTCCCAAGCGCCCCTGGAAGCCCAAGCGTCAGGCGGGAGAGATGGAGGCAGTTAGTGTGGAGGTCGGGGAAGGGCACTGGGAGCCGGGAACAGGCCAGGCTGGGCCGGAAAGTGTGGGAGAGCAGAGTGAAGACGGGCAGGTAGCAGGAGCCCTACGTGGATTTTGGCAGTGCGGGTAAACAGGGGAAACGGGGAGGGCCCGGCAGGCATGCGAAGGACAGGCTGGTCAGGGCGTTTAGATAGGCAAACAGTACTCTGAGGGGCACGCCGACCCGACGGAGAGCAGAGGTGTTGGGGACAGGCAGGTAGAGAGGGAGGTGTGAGGACAGGCAGACAGGGAAGGGGTGAGGGAGAAGCGAGCAGGAGACAGACAATTGAGGAAAGCATAATCATGGTGGGAGAGAGCAGAAATTGGGGGCTGGGGGTCACATCGATGGGGAATGGTGGCGGGGGAAAGAAGGATGGGCGCAAGGGCGCAAATGGCGGGCGAAGGCCCAAGGCTGGGGAAGGCGCACGCGGACGAGCAGACAGACACTGGTGGGCCGGGCCCCGCACCTCCGTCGGAGTAGGTCTCAGTGCCGTAGCCGTCCTGGAAACCGTCCTTCCAGAGCCCGGCGTAGCGCAGGCCGGACACGCTTTCCCACACGCCGCTGCGCCCCTTCAGCCCGCCCAGCCACTCGCCGCGGTACGTCCAGCGGCTCTTGCGCTCCACGCCCAGCCCTTCGCGCTTGCCCTGCTGCCAGTGGCCCTGGTAGCTGTGTCCGCCGGGCCCCGTGAAGACGCCCAGTGACTCGAAGCCGTGTGCCCAGCAGCCGCTGTACTCGCCCTGGGCGCCGGGGCCCGTGCACACGCCGTAGCCATGTGCCCGCCCCGCCTCCCAGCCCCCCACGTAGCAGCCCCCGTCGTCAAAGTCGAACTTGCCCCCGGGGGACATGCATGTAGTTGGCGCGGCCTCAGCCCCCCGGCGGCTCAGCGCATCCTGGGACTGGAGAGCCTGCTGGGGGCCTTGGAGCCGGGCGAGGCCTCGGGGCGGGGGCAGTTAGACCGGGGCCGGGCGGGGGGGCCCCAGCGAGGGCAGGCAGGGCCGGACCCTCATCCTGAGTGGCTGCGGAGAAAGAGGGAGGGGGGCAAGTGGCGAGAGAGGCCCCTCCTCTTTGCCCGCCGCTCCCTGGCCCGGTGGCTCTGGGGCATCAGCGCCGCCCCCCAATCCACCCCCCTCCTTTGGCAGCATCTTCCAGCAGCCCCCAAGCTTTGGGGGAATGGGGGCTTCCCCCATTTCTGTCTTTGTGGAGCGGGCCCCTCCCAGGACTTGGGGCCCCAACCCCAAGCGGGAGTCCCAATTCTCCAACCTAGAACCCCGAAGTGTCGAGTGTGGATGGCAGTTTGGGGGTCCTGAGAGGGGGCTGGGCAGAATCGTAGGGCACCCGTTTCCCTGGCTGCTGTCAGGACCCCTCTGCCCCGGTTCTTCGGCGTCTCTGGCAAAGGGATGGGGGTGGGGGGTAGAATATGTAGCGGGGAGATCGGACCAAGGTAGGCAGACGGTTTTTCGGGGGGTTTTTCGGGGGGTTTTTCGGGGGATGGGGCCCAGGGGAGGCTCTGCAGGGGAAAGGCCAGGGTGGGGACGGGCAGACAGGCAGAAGGGAGGGGGCAGGCTACTCACCATGTGGGCTGGGGCTCAGGCTGCCTCCCCGGCACAGCATCCATGGCAGGATACCTCCACTCCCACCTCGCCCGGACAAGCCAAGCCCCCTCCCCTTCCGGAGAGACTGCTCCAACCCAGAGAGGAAAGGTGGGGGAGTCCGGAGAGTCCCCTCTCTCCCCAGCTGGAGGAGCAGGCTGGGTGGGGGGGCGAGGTAGTGGCAAGGGTGGGGGAAGATGAGAATAGTGTAGGGGAAAAAATCTGCCTTGGATGGAGATAGGGAAGAAGAGCTGGGAGCTGGATGCAAAGGGGGAGGGGGCTCTCAAGAGGGGGTGTTTTTATTATTTTTTTCTTCTTATGGTTGGGAGAGGAAAAATAAATCAAAATTCCGATTCCATCCCAGCACAAATCAATGTTTGCTCCATCCCAGCATCACGGGGGAGGCTGGGCCAGGCAGATTTAAAGGGGCAGGGAGAAGAGAAGAGAGAAGAGGGTGGGTAGAGAAGGATACGGTGAAGAAGAGACAGCGGCAGTGTTGCGGGTGGTGGTGGGGTCCCCAAGCAGAAAAGGATGGGTGTCCGCTAACCCTTCGGTGAGGGAGGAGGCAGGCAGAGAGGAGAAGGAGATGCACTGAGACCCCCAGGGAGGAGAGAAATCCTGGCATGCGGGCTGGGAGTGGGGCGAGGCGGAGGGGAGGGAAGAGGAGCGAGGGGGAGGAGACTGAGCTGAAGATGGGGAGGCAGGGGGAGGCCGAAGCCGGGCGGGGGAGGAGAGATGCTGGCGAGGCTGGGAGAGGGTGAGAAGAATACAAAGAAAGAGGTGCAGGGGTGAGCACTAAGGAGGGGGGAGATGCAGCCTGAGAGAGGGGAAGGAGGGGAGACCCATACTGGGGCTCGGGAGGGATGGCAAGGAGGAGAAAAGCAGGGGAGGAGGGAAGAAGGGGGAAAGAAATAGATATGGAGACTGAGAGAGCGAAATAAGGCTCCTGAAGGGAGGGAGAAAGCTCTGCAGAGGGAAGGGCAGGCGTGGGTATAGAGATCCAGGCAGGAAGAGCCCAGATAGAGGCAGGAGGGCCGGAAGTGGTGTTTGTGGGGCCCTAGGGAGAAGGATGAACCTGTCAGCTGCTTGGACTGAAGCCAAAAAGCTTTGGGGCATGGATGCGGGTGTCCACTGAGTCCACTATCCTCCGGAAGAAAGCACTGGAGGGGGACCAGGAGGCTCACGCTCTTGCACTTTCTGAAGATGCCTGAAATGGGACCCTGCTAGGAACCCTGGCCCCATCAATGCTTCTCCAGGCCTCCCCATCCTCCATCCCCACCACCCATTTCTCTCTGGGTTGTCCCTCTGAAGGAGAAGGGGGTGTATTGCTTCTGAATGGGGAGGAGGGCATCATGCTTGGTGATGGCATGAAGATCCCAGGGCTTTAGAATCTTTTCTTTTGCAAATCTAGAGGCAAAGACATATAGACATGTTTGAGAGGGCCCTTATTATGGCAAGGCCCCCTCTAGCCCACCACCCCTCTGTCCTGTCTGTCCTCTCACCAGAGGGCCAGCACATCCTGACCTTGCTGTTTACAGACAGAAGTAGGCACACACTGTCTTCCCTCTCCCCTTAGTTTACTTAGACTCTGCATCTAGTTCTATCCCTGCCTCTAAGCCTTTTTAGGAAGGAGGACACTGTGTCCAATTACACACAACAGAGTACATAGTCAAATGCACTAAATTGCCCCTATTTTCATACACAGCTTGGTCCACCACTCCTCCCCCACTGCATTCCCATTTTACAGAGAAGAGAACTAAGGCCCAGAGGGGAAGTCATTCACCAGAGGTGAATGACAACAGAACTGGCAGAGCTAGCAGTAGAACACTAGACTTCAGACCATTTGAGCCCTGTAATTCCTGCCAGGATTCCATGAACTTGGGGACCCTCCCTTAGGCTCAGGGCCTCCATTTTGAGTACTCTGGTAAAATAAAGAGCATGAGGTTTGGAATAAATAGGGATTTCTCTTGCATCGTGTCTTCCCACAATTTACATGAGGTTGGAGAAATGTAAAATTTAAGCCTCCAGGAAAGGGACCACATCTTCTAAGTGCTTAGCATAGAACAGGTCAGCTGTGGGTCCACTTGGGGCATGACTGTTGATGGAGAGTTTATTCATTTATTCATTCACTCATTTCTCTATTCATCAAGTATCTACATAGTTTACTGTGTACCACCCACATAGCCAGGTGCTAGAGACACAGTGGTGAACACTGTGAGGCCTGCCCTCATGGAGTTTACTACTGTTGAGAGGTGACAGAGTGCTGGCAGCCCTCGCAGCCCTCGCAGCCCTCGCTTGCTCTTGGCACCTCCTCAACCTTGGCGCCCACTCTGGCCAGGCTTGAGGAGCCCTTCAGCCCGCAGCTGCACTGTGGGAGCCCCTTCCTGGGATGGCTGAGGTTGGAGCCGGCTCCCTCAGCTTGCCGGGACGTGTGGAGGGAGAGGCACGGGCGGGAACTGGGTGAGTGTGGGCTTGGCGGCCCTGCACTCAGAGCGGCCAGCTGGCCCCGCCGGCGCTGGGCAGTGAGGGGCTTAGCACTCAGGCCAGCAGCTGCAGAGGGTGCGCCTGGTCCCCCAACAGTTTCGGCTTACTGGCGCTGTGCTGGATTTCTCGTCGGGCCTTAGCTGCGTCCCTGCAGGGCAGGGCTCGGGACCTGCAGCCGGCCATGCCTGAGCCCCCCTCACACCACCCCACCCCCCCTCACCCCACTCCTCTCACCCCATCCCCCCACCCCACTCCCCTCACCCTACCCCCCCACCTCACCCCCCTACCCCACCCCCCTCACCCCCCTACCCTAACCCCCCTCACCCCCCTACCCCCACTCCCTCCTCCCCCCCTCCCCCGGCCGTGGGCTCCTGTGCCTCCCCAAGGAGCTCTGCCCCCTGCTCAGCGGAGCCCTGTCCCATCCACCACCCAAGCGCTGAGGAGTGCGGGCTGAGGAGTGCGGGCGCAGGGGCAGGACTGGCAGGCAGCTCCACCTGCGGCCTGGTGGGGGATCCACTGGGTGAAGCCAGCTGGGCTCCTGAGTCTAGTGGAGGCTTGGAGAACCTTTATGTCTTGCTAAGGGATTGTAAATACACCAATCGGCACTCTGTATCTAGCTCAAGGTCTGTGAACACACCAATCAGCACTCTGTGTCTAGCTCAAAGTTTGTAAATGCACCAGTCAGCACCCTGTGTCTAGCTCAAGGTTTGTAAATGCACCAATCTGCGCTCTGTGTCTAGCTGATCTGGTGGGGACTTGGAGAACCTGTATGTCTAGCTAAGGGATTGTGAATACACCAATTGGCACTCTGTATCTAGCTCAAGGTTTGTAAATGCACCAATCAGCACTCTGTATCTAGCTAATCTAGTGAGGACTTGGAGAACTTTTGTGTCTAGCTCAGGGATTGTAAATGCACCAGTCAGCTCCCTGTCAAAAAGGACTAATCAGCTCTCTGTAAAACAGACCAGTCGGCTCTCTGTAAAATGGACCAATCAGCAGGATGTGGGTGAGGCCAGATAAGAGATTAAAAGCAGGCTGCCCCAGCCTGCCGTGGCAATCGGGTAGGGTCCCCTTCCAGAGGGTGGAAGCTTTGTTCTTTCGCTCTTTGCAATAAATCCTGCTGCTGTTGGCTGTTTGGGTCCACACTGCCTTTATGAGCTGTAACAGTCACCGTGAAGGTCTGCAGCTTCATTTCTGAAGCCAGCGAGACCACGAACCAACCAGAAGGAAGAGACTCCGAACACATCCGAACATCAGAAGGAACAAACTCTGGACGCGCCGCCTTTAAGAACTGTAACACTCATCGCCGTCTCTACTAAAAATACAAAAAATTAGCCGGGCTTGGTGGCAGGCGCCTGTAGTCCCAGCTACTCGGGAGGCTGAGGCAGGAGAATGGTGTGAACCTGGGAGGCGGAGCTTGCAGTGAGCCGAGATTGTGCCACTGCACGCCAGCCTGGGCGACAGAGCAAGACTCCGTCTCAAAAAAAAAAAAAAAAAAAAAAACTGTAACACTCCACGGGAGGGTCCGCGAATTCTTTCTTGAAGTCAGTGAGACCAAGAACCCACAAATTCTGGACACACCTTGTAGTAAAGGCAGGCAACCAACAAGAAACTCTAGTGTGGTTAGTGCCACATCAAGTTTGTGGGGTGGGAGTAGAGAATAGGGATGGAATCCACCTGAGGCTGGTGCTCTAAAGAAAGAGGCATTTAAGATGAATCCAGAAGGGAGTTCTGGGGCAGGCCAAGCTGTGTTGCTCACCTCTAGATATTCAGCCTAGGGTGTCAACCTTTCCTTCTCCACACAGAGCCTTGTCCCACTCCACCCCTAAAATTCCCCTTTTCTCCAAGCAAAAGGGAAAACAAGAAAAGAAAAACCAACCTATGGTCCTGGAACACCCGTGCCTTGTTTCTTAGGGAGAAGAGGTGACAGGGTGTGATGCCTTGTTGGAAGCTATACTGTATTCTGAGCTGCAAATTAAGTGTAGGGTCCAATGAAGTCCCGAAGAAATCTCTGACAGAAGTACTCCCAGAATGTGGGATGCACAGTCCCAGCGCCCCCATGTCTCCCTGAGTGAGCCAGCCTTCCAGCCCCTTTCTTTTCTGTCCCTACAGGCTCTACAGTTCCCTCCTTCAGGGCAGGGGCACTTTTTTTTTTCAGAGAGTGCACTGGTTTGTTTTGCCACAATTTACCAACATTCAGGTGTCAGAGAAACGGGAAGTAATGTTTGAAGGAGCAGCTCTGTGCTAGGAGCCAGGTACTGTGCTTGGCGCGCAATCTGTATGACCTCATTCCATCCTCACAGCAAAACTGTCACTGTGAGCAGTCCAGGCTGGAGGCCTGGAGCTAGGTGTCCAAAGATGGTCAGACTTATGTCTGAATTCTGACTCTATCTGCCACCTACTAGTTGGGTGAACCTGAGCATATCACCTAACTTTTCTGAGCTGCAGTTTGTTTATCTCTAAAATAGGATTATGATAATCTACTCCATGCCTTATTTTGAGGATCAAAATGATCATGTATGAAGTGTAAGTATGCATAATATGTATAATATAGGAGGGAAAACCACTTGGCATAGTGTCCAGCACATAGTGAGTGCCCAGTAAATAATGGCTTGAAAAATAGATTGGCATTATGCCAGTTTTATAGGTGAGAAATCTGGGACCCAGCAGTTAATTTGCTTAATGTTGCCCAGCTAATAGATGGCAGCCCTTGGAGCTTGATATATATCAGACTCCCAAGTTAATATGCTTTAACAAATGCAATTTTGGGGGTCCTGTTTATAAAACATGCTCATTGTAGAATAAGAAAATACAGCATATCAAGAATAAAAATTAAAACCACCCCTAGTCTCACTGTATAACAGTTTAGTATATTTTTATATAGTCTTCTATGTACTTTTAACATAATTAAAAACAGTGCATATACAATTTTGTATCCTACTTATTCACTTAGTTTTCATTGTAAGCATTTTTTTTTATTATACTTTAAGTTCTGGGGTACATGTGCAGAAGGTGCAGGTTTGTTACATAGGTATACACGTGCCATGGTGGTTTGCTGCACCCATCAACCCATCACCTACATTAGGTATTTCTCCTAATGCTGTCCGTCCCATAGCCCCCCACCCCCCTACAGGCCACAGTGTGTGATATTACCCTTCCTGTGTCCATGTGTTCTCCTTGTTCAACTCCCACTTATGAGTGAGAACATGCAGTGTTTGTGTGTCCGGCGTTGGTGGGTTCTTGGTCTCACTGACTTCAAGAATGAAGCCGCGGACCCTCGTGGTGAGTGTTACAGCTCTTAAGGTGGCGCGTCTGAAGTTTGTTCCTTCTGATGTTCAGATGTGCTCTGAGTTTCTTCCTTCTGGTGGGTTCGTGGTCTCGCTGGCTCAGGAGTGAAGCTGCAGACCTTCGCGGTGAGTGTTACAGCTCTTAAGGTAGCGCGTCTGGAGTTGTTCGTTCCTCCTGGTGGGCTCGTTGTCTCGCTGGGTTCAGGAGTGAAGCTGCAGATCTTCACGGTGAGTGTTACAGCTCATAAAAGGAGCGTGGACCCAAAGCGTGAGCAGTAGCAAGATTTATTGCAAAGAGTGAAAGAACAAAGCTTCCACAGTGTGGAAGGGGACCCGAGCGGGTTGCCAATGCTGGCTCGGGCAGCCTGCTTTTATTCTCTTATCTGGCCCCACCCACATCCTGCTGATTGGTAGAGCTGAGTGGCCTGTTTTGTCAGGGTGCTGATTGGTGCGTTTACAATCCCTGAGCTAGATATAAAGACTCCACGTCCCCATCAGATTAGTTAGATACAGAGTTTCAACACACAGGTTCTCCAAGGCCCCACCAGAGCAGCTAGATACAGAGTGTCGATTGGTGCACTCACAAACCTTCAGCTAAACACAGGGTGCTGATTGGTGTGTTTACAAACCTTGAGATAGATACAGAGTGCCGATTGGTGTATTTACAATCCTTGAGCTAGACATAAAGGTTCTCCATGTCCTCACCAGAGCAGCTAGATACAGAGTGTCGATTGGTGCACTCACAAACCTTGAGCTAAACACAGAGTGCTGATTGGTGTATTTACAATCCCTGAGCTAGATATAAAGACTCTCCACGTCCCCACCAGACTCAGGAGCCCAGCTGGCTTCACCTAGTGGATCCTGCACCGGGGCTGCAGGTGGAGCTGCCTGCCAGTCCTGCACCGTGTGCTCGCATTCCTCAGCCCTTGGGTGGTCGATGGGACTGGGCGCAGTGGAGCAGGGGGTGGTGCTCGTCGGGGAGGCTCGGGCCGCACAGGAAACCATGGAGTGGGTGGGAGGCTCAGGCATGGCGGGCTGCAGGTCCCGAGTCCTGCCCCATGGGAAGGCAGCTAAGGCCCTGGCAAGAAATCGAGCGCAGCGCCGGTGGGCCAGCACTGCTGGGGGACTCAGTACACCCTCCGCAGCCACTGGCCCGGGTGCTAAGTCCCCCATTGCCCGGGGCCAGCAGGGCTGGCTGGTTGCTCCGAGTGCGGGGCCCGCCAAGCCCACGCCCACCCGGAACTCCAGCTGGCCCACAAGCGCCGCATGCAGCCCCGGTTCCCACTGGTGCCTCTCCCTCCACACCTCCCTGCAAGCTGAGGGAGTGGGCTCCGGCCTTGGCCAGCCCAGAAAGGGGCTCCCACAGTGCAGTGGGGGGCTGAAGGGCTCCTCAAATGCCACCAAAGTGGGAGCCCAGGCAGGGGAGGTGCCGAGAGCAAGCGAGGGCTCTGAGGACTGCCAGCATGCTGTCACCTCTCATTTGGTTTTCTGTTCTTGTGATAGTTTGCTGAGAATGATGGTTTCCAGCTTCATCTATGTCCCTGCAAAGGACATGAACTCATCCTTTTTTTATGGCTGCATAGTATTCCATGGTGTATATGTACCACATTTTCTTTATCCATTCTATCATTCATGGACATTCAGGTTGGTTCCAAGTCTTTGCTATTGTGAATAGTGCCGCAATAAACATATGTGTGCATGTGTCTTTATAGTAGAATGATTTATAATCCTTTGGGTATATACCCAGTAATGGGATTGCTAGGTCAAATGGTATTTCTGGTTCTAGATCCTTGAGGAATCGCCACACTGTCTTCCACGATGTTTGAACTAATTTACACTCCCACCAACAGTGTAAAAGTGTTCCTATTTCTCCACATCCTCTCCAGCATCTGTTGTTTCCTGACTTTTTAATGTTTGCCATTCTAACTGGTGTGAGATAGTATCTCCTTGTAGTTTTGATTTGCATTTCTCTAATGACCAGTGATAATGAGCATTTTTTCATATGTTTGTTGGCTGTATAAATGTCTTCTTTTGAGAAGTGTCTGTTCATATCCTTTGCCCACTTTTTACTGGGGTTGTTTTTTCTTGTAAATTTGTTTAAGTTCTTTGTAGATTCTGGATATTAGACCTTTGTCAGATGGATAGATTGCAAAAATTTTCTCCCATTCTGTAGGTTGCCTTTCACTCTGATGATAGTTTCTTTTGCTGTGCTCTTTAGTTTAATTAGATTCCATTTGTCAATTTTGGCTTTTGTTGCCATTGCTTTTGGTGTTTTACTCATGAAGTCTTTGCCCATGCCTACGTCCTGAATGGTATTGCCCAGGTTTTCTTCTAGGATTTTTATGGCTTTAGATCTTATGTTTAAGTCTTTAATCCATCTTGAGTTGATGTTTGTGTAAGGTGTAAAGAAGGGGTCTAGTTTCAGTTTTCTGCATATGGCTAGCCAGTTTTTCCAACACCATTTATTAAATAGGGAAACTTTTCCCCATTGCTTGTTTGTGTCAGGTTTGTCAAAGATCAGATGGTTGTAGATGTGTGGTGTTATTTCTGAGGGCTCTGTTCTGTTCCATTGGTCTATATATCTGTTTTGGTACCAGTACCATGATGTTTTGGTTACTATAGCCTTGTAGTATAGTTTGAAGTCAGGTAGCATGATGCCTCCAACTTTGTTCTTTTTGCTTAAGATTGTCTTGTCTATGTGGGTTCTTTTTTGGTTCCATATGAAGTTTAAAGTAGTTTTTTCCAATTTTGTGAAGAAAGTCAATGGTAGCTTGATGGGGATAGCATTGAATGTATAAATTACTTTGGGCAGTATGGCCATTTTCACGATACTGATTCTTCCTATCCATGAGCATGGAATGTTTTTCCATTTGTTTGTATCCTCTCTTATTTCCTTGAGCAGTGGTTTGTAGTTCTCCTTGAAGAGGTCCTTCACATCCCTTGTAAGTTGTATTCCTAGGTATTTTATTTTCTTTGTAGCAATTGTGAATGGGAGTTCACTCATGATTTGGCTTTCTGTTTGTCTGTTTGTCTGTGTATAGGAATGCTTGTGATTTTTGCACATTGATTTTGTATCCTGAGACTTTGCTGAAGTTGCTTATCAGCTTAAGGAGATTTTGGGCTGAGAGGACTTTTTTTTTTTTTTTTGAGATGAAATCTTGCTCTGTCTCCTAGGCTGGAGTGCAGTGGCGTGATCTCGCCTCACTGAACCCCTCCCCTCCTAGGTTCAAGCAATTCTCCTGCCCCAGCCTCTTGAGTAGGAGGGATTACAGGCTCCTACCACCATGCCTGGCTAATTTTTTTTTCTTTTTTTGAGACAGAGTCTCACTCTTGTCACCCAGGCAGGAGTGCAATGGCATGATCTCGGCTCACTGTAACCTCCACCTCCCAGGTTCAAGCGATTCTCCTGCCTCAGCCTCCCGAATAGCTGGGGTTACAGGTGGGCACCACCACGCCTGGCTAATTTTGTATTTTTAGTAGAGGACGGGTTTCACCATGTCGTTCAGGCTGGTCTTGAACTCCTGACCTCAGGTGATCCACCCGCCTCGGCCTCCAAAAGTGCTGGGATTACAGGTGTGAGCCACCTTGCCCAGACTAATTTTTGTATTTTTAGTAGAGACAGGGTTTCGCCATGTTGACCAGGCTGGTTACAAACTCCTAACCTCAAGTGATCTGCCCACCTCAGCCTCCCAAAGTGCTGGGATTACAGGTGTGAGCCAGGCACATTGTAAGCATTTTCCATGTCATTAAAACATCCTTGATTTTTAAATGGCTATATAATATTCCAGTGTTTGGATGCACAATAATTTGTTTATTTTAGCATAGCACTTTTACATTTTTTTCTATTAAAAATTAACAAGTGACCAGGTGTGGTGGCTCACACCTGTAATCCCAGCACTTTGGGAGGCCGAGGCAGGCAGATCACCTGAGGTCGGGAATTCCAGACCAGCTTGACCAGCATGGAGAAACCCCATCTCTACTAAAAAAATACAAAATTAGCCAGGAGTGGTGGCACATGCCTGTAGTCCCAGCTACTCGGGAGGCTGAGGCAGGAGAATCACTTGAACCTGGGAGGTGGAGGTTGCAGTGAGCCAAGATTGTGCCATTGCACTCCAGCCTGGCAATGAGAACAAAACTCAGTTTCAAAAAAAAAAAAAAAAATTAACATGTTCGTATACAAATCTTTGTATCTCTGATGCTTTCTTTCTTTTTTTTGAGGGGTCTCACTCTGTCACCCAGGCTGGAGTGCAGTGGCATGATTATATTTCACTGCAGCCTCATCCTCCCAGGATCAAGTAGCTGGGACCACAGGTGTGCACCACGATGCCTGGCTAATTTTTTGTATTTTTTTTTGTAGAGACAGGGTTTTGCCATGTTGCCCAGGCTGGTCTCGAACTCCTGAGCTCAAGCAATCCTCCTGCCTCGACCTCCCAAAGTGTTGGGATTACAGGCATGAGCCGCCACGCCCGGCCTCTGATACTTTCTTTAAAAAGTTTTATAAAAAAAAGTTTTATCATGGAACATTTCAAACATGTACCAAAGTAAACAGAATAGAATAAAGAACCCCCATGTATCTATCACCCAGCTGCAGTAATTCTCACTCTTGTCCAATCTTGTTTTCTCCTCCCTCATTTATTTCAAATTCCAGGTATCATGTTATATCAGTCTATTGATTTCTTCAGGCTGGATTCTTAACATAAGGATCTCTGAGTCACAGGATAGAAACATTTTTAAAGATTTTGGCTTTATTTTACCAGCATCTCTGCTAGAAAGTTTGTACAAATTTACACCCTCACCAATTGTTCATGAAAGTGCTTGTCTTATTGCACCCTGACCTGCATTGATCTTTAGTTGTAACACACACACACACACACATACGCACAGAGATACACAGATACACAGACAGACACACATTTTTGCCAACTTGATAGGTGAAAAGTGTTTTATACAGTATACATTTGTTTGATTGATTGCTAGGCTTATATTAAGTAGGCATCTGGTGACTCCAGTGGAGCAAATCCTCCTGAAGGTGCCCTAAACATGCTGGCACCTCCTGGGGACCTCAGCTGAGGCCTGTGGGGGTGGAGGTGGGAGGGTACAGCTTTTCATCTGTGCTGGGACCTGGGAGCTTCCCCCTGCCCTTAGAGCGGGGAGGAGCTTGAAAAGATTTTCCTCCTCATCTCCCGGCAGCCACCAGGGGTCAGGATGGGGCCAGAGATGCTGCTGGTGGGAGAGGGTGAAGATGGCCAGCTGCCAGACACTGCATTTCCTCTGTCTGGCCACTGCTGGCTGGTTGCACAGCTCCCCTCTGCTTATCAGATCATGATTCCAGAATGTTCTTCATGGCTGGCCTTCGCTGTCTGACTGTCCCCGCCTCTCACTGCTCCCAGGTTTGGCTTGCTGAAAAGGGAACCTGCTTGACAGATACCACCCTGGACATATAATGGTTTTGCTTTGTTTCTCTACACATCTCTGTGAGACTGGGTTCACTATGGCACAGGGATTTTTAACCTGAGATCCATGAACTGAAAGACCCAAGGACAGGCCTTAGGGACTGTAAACCCTCTGAAATTGGGCAAATGGGGTATACATCTCCTTTTTCCCCGTCTGGGGAGAGAACAATAGCTTTGTGAGATTCATGGCCCCCAAAGTCCAGCATCTTCCGGTACCCCTCCTCCCTCCTTAGCCCATTTGCTTCCTATGATGGCTGCAAAGAGAGAAACTTGCTGTTGGAAACAGGGGGCCTTGGGAGTCAGGCTAAGGGATTGGACCTTCCTCCTCACCCAATGAAACTGAGAGAAGAACCTGCATTTTCCCTGGGGTGGGATGCACTGGTAAAGGGGAAGTGGGCAATACTGTCAACCCCTGGGGCAACCATCGGGGCTGTACTGGATCTAGGTACACAGTGAGGTACCCTGCCTCATACTGATGTGCACATGCTTGTGTGCTGTTAATGACTGGGTCCAGGGAGCAGAGGATGAGGGAAGAAGGCTGATCTCAAGCTAGTGGTCTTGCAGCCTATATCTCTGAGCCCTGGGCAGTGGCATGAGCAAGATGCCCAAAATGTAGCAAGCAGCCAGGTTACTTTCTGCTGGGGTACTGCTTATTTTGCTTATTTTAGTCTTAATAAAGCAAAGTAAAGTCTTATTTTGCTACAACTTGATCTAAGTATTAACTCTTGTGCAAGTGTGGGTGGGATGTGCGGTTAGGACTCACGAGACTCTCAGAGCAATGCAGCCTTGCTCTACAGCAAAAAGAGGAGCTGGGGGCTTGGCGAGGCTGAGGGTCAAGGCCAGAGTTGTCCAGGACATCAGATATGCGGAAAAAACCTGAGCATTACTAAATCCCATACTAGTGCTTCATTTTATCTCACAGTAATGATTTATATTTGTACATAAACTAAGGCTGGGCACAGTGGCTCATTCCTGTCATCCCACACTTTGGGAGATGAAGGTGGAAGGATTGCTCGAGGCCAGGAATTTGAGACCAGCCTGGGCAACATAGTGAGATCCCATCTCTACAAAAAATTTGAGAAAACACTTGCGCTAGGTGTTTGAGACCAGCCTTGGGAACATGGCAAAACCCCATCTCTACAAAAAAACCCCAAAACTAGCTGGATGTAGTGGTGCATAGCTGAGGTCCCAGCTACTTGGTAGGCTGAGGTGGGAGGATTGCTTGATTCTGGGAGGCAGAGGTTGCAGTGAGCTGAGATGCGCCATTGCACTCTAGTGAGACTTTGTCTCAAAAAAAAAAAAAAAAAAAAACCAAAACCAAAAAAATTAAAAAAGCTAGCCAGGTGTGGTGGTGTGCCCCTGTAGTCCCAGCTACTCCAGAGGCTGAGGTGGGAGGATCACTTAAGCCCCATACTTTGAGGTTGCTCTTTCTCCAAAAAAAAAAAAAAAAAGGCAGGGCAGTGGCTCATGCCTGTAATCCCAGCACTTTGGGAAGCCGAGGTGGACAGATTACCTGAGGTCAAGAGTTCGAGACCAGCCTGGCCAACATGGTGAAACCCCATCTCTGCTAAAAATACAAAATTAGCCAGGCTAAGGCATGGCGGTGCATGCCTGTAATCCCAGCTACTTGGGAGGCTGAGGCTGTGTTTTAGTAGAGGCCATGTTGGCCAGGCTGGTCTCGAACTGCCAACCTCAGGTGATCTGCCCACCTGGGCTTCCCAAAGTGCTAGGATTACAGGCATGAGCCACTGTGCCCGGCCTACTTGGAGCTATTTTGAAATACATAATAGATTATTATAAACTATAGTCACTTTACTGATCTATCAAACACTAGGTTTTATTTCTTCTATCAAACCGTATATTCTTCTATTAAACCATATATTCATCCCCCCACCCCCTTCCTGGCCTCTGGTTACCACAAATCTACTCTCTATGTTCATGAGATCCACATTTTTAGCTTCCACATATAAGTTAGAACATTTTAAACAATTTCCCACCTCAGGTCCAAAAAAGTTAGAACATGTGATATTAATGTTTTTGTGGCTGGCTCATTTCACTTAACACAATGATCTCCAGTTCCATCTATGTTGCTGAAAATGAGAGGATTTTATTCTTTTTTATGGTTGAATAATATTCCATTGTGTATATATACCACATGTTCCTTATCCATTCATTCACTGATGGACACTTAGGTTGATTTCATATTATGGCTACTGTGAATAGTGCTGCAAAAAACATGGGAGTGTAATATCTTTTCAATTTATTGATTTCTTTTCTTTTAGGTACATACCCAGTAGTGAAATTGCTGGGTCATATGGTAATTCTAATTTTTAATTTTTTTTTTTTCTTTATTTGAGATGGAGTTTTGCTCTTGTTGCCCAGGCTGGAGTGCAATGGCACGATCTTGGCTCACCGCAACCTCTGCCTCCCACATTCAAGTGATTCTCCTGCCTCAGCCTCCCGAGTAGCTGGGATTACAGGCACTCACCACCACGCCCAGCTAATTTTGTATTTTTAGTAGAGACAGGGTTTCTCCATGTTGGTCAGGCTGGTCTCGAACTCCCGACCTCAGGTGATCTGCCCGCCTCAGCCTCCCAAAGTGCTGGGATTACAGGCATGAGCCACCACACCTGGTCAAATTTTTAGTTTTTTGTAGAAACTTCATCTTGTTTCCATAGTGGCTGTACTAATAATTTACATTCCTACCAACAGTGCACAAAGATTCTCCTTTCTCTACATCTTCGCTAGCATTTGTTATTCTTTTTTGTTGTTATTGAGAAAAAGTCTTGTTCTGTTGCCCAGGCCAGAGTGCAGTGGCACGATCTTGGCTCACTGCAACCTACGCCTCCTGGGTTCAAGCAATTCTTGTGCCTCAGCCTCCCGAGTAGCTGGGATTACAGACATGCACCACCATGCCCAGCTACTTTTTGTAGTTTTGGTAGAGGCGGGGTTTTGCCATTTGGTCATGGCTGGTCTCAAACTCCTGGCCTCATGTGATCCACCTGCCTAGGCCTCCCAAATACTGGGATTACAGGCATGAACCACTGCACCTGGCTGCATTTGTTATTCTCTATTGTTTTGGTAAAAGCCATTTTAATTGGGGTTAGATGACATCTTATTGTGATTTTGATTTGCATTTCCCTGGTGATTAGTGATGCTAAGCATTTTTTCATGTACCTGTTGGCCACTTGCATGTCATCTTTTTGAGAAATATCTATTCAGATCTTTTGCTCATTTTTAAATTGGATTATTAGTTTTGTTTGTTTTCCTATTGAGTTGTTTGAACTCCTTATGTATTCTCATTATTAATCTCTTGTCAGATGGATAGTTTGCAAATATTTTCTTCCATTCCGTGGGTTGTCTCTTCACTTTGTTGACTGTTTCCTTTGCTATGCAAAGCTTCTTAGCTTGTTGTAATCCTATCTATTTTTGCTTTGGTTGTCTATGCTTTTGAAGTCTTACTCAAGAAACCTTTGCCCATGCCAATGTCCTGGAGCATTTCCCCAATGCTTTCTTCTAGTAGTTTCATAGTTTCAGGTCTTAGATTTAAGTCTTTAATCCATTTTGATCAATTTTTGTATGTGGTGAGAGATAGGGGTCTAATTTCATATTTCTGCCTATAGTTATCAATTTCCCCCAGCATCATTTATGGAACAGCTTGTCCTTTTCCCATTGTATATTCTTGATGATTTTGTTGAAAATGAGTTGTCTGTAAATGTGTGGATTTATATCTGAGTTCTCTATCCTGTTCCATTGGTCTGTGTGTTTTTGTACCAGTACTATGCTGATTTGATTACCATAGCTTTGTAGTGTATTTGGACGTCTGGTAGTATGATAGCTCCAGCTTTGTTCTTTTTGTTCAGGATAGCTTTGGCCATTCAGAGTCTTGTGTAGTTCCAAATAAATTTTAGGATTTTTTTTTCTATCTCTGTGAAGAATGTCATTGGTATTTTGATGAGGATTGCACTTAATCTGTAAATTGCTTTGGGTAGAATTGTCATTTTAACAATATTAATTCTTCCAGTCTATGAGTATGAAACATCTTTCCATATTTTTGCATCCTCTTCAATTCTTTTCATCAGTGTTTTATGGTTTTGCTTGTGTAGATCTTTCACTTCTTTGGTTAGATTGATTCCTAGGTATTTTTTTTTTCTTGAGATGGAGTCCACTCTGTTGCCCAGGCTGGAGTGCAGTGGCATGATCTCCACTCACTGCAACCTCCTCCTCCCGGGTTCAAGAGATTCGCCTGCCTCAGCCTCCTGAGTAGCTGGGATTACAGGCACGTGCCACCACACCTGGCTAATTTTTGTATTTTTAGTAGAGACGGGGTTTCACCATGTTGGTCAGGCTGGTCTTGAACTCCTGACCTTGTGATCCACCCTCAGCCTCCCAAAGTGCTGGGATTACAGGCATGAGCCACCATGCCCAGCCGATTCCTGGGTATTTTATATTCTTTGTAGCTATCGTAAATGGGATTGCTTTTGGATTTCTTCTTCAGATTGTTGGCTGTTGGTGTATATAAATGCTACTGATTTTTTAAATGTTAATTGTATCCTGCAACTTTACTGAATTTGGCAGTTCTAAGAGTTTTTTGGTGGAATCTTTAGATTTTTCTAAGTCTAAGATAATGTTGTCTGTGAACGAGGCTAATTTGACACCTTCCTTTCCAACTTGGATGCCCTTTAATTGTTTCTCTTGCCTAATTGCTCTGGCCAGGACTTCCAGTGTTATGTTGAATAAAAGTGGTGAAAGTGGGCATCCTTGTCTTATTACAGATCTTAGAGGAGGCTGGGTGTGGTAGCTCACGCCTGTAATCCCAGCACTTTGGGAGGCCAAGGCAGGCAGATCACTTGAGGTCAGGACTTTGATACCAGCCTGGCCAACATGGTGAAACCCTGTCTCTACTAAAAATAAAAGAAAAAAAATTAGCCAGGTGTGGTGGTGCATGCCTGTAATTCTAGCTACTCGGGAGGCTGAGGTGGGAGGATTGCTTGAACTGGGAGGCAGATGTTGCAATGAGCCGAGATTGCACCACTGCACACTCCAGCCTGGGTGACTCTGTCTCAAAAAAAAAAAGAGGCTTTCAATTTCCCCCTACTCAGTAGCATGTTAACTGTGGGTTTGTCATACATGATCTTTATTATTCTGAAGTGTGTTTTCTCTATATCCAGTATGTTGAGTTTGTTTGTTTGTTTATTTTTTGAGACAAGGTCTGTTTCTATTGCCCAGGCTGGAGTGTAGTGGGCTCACTGCAACCTCAGCCTCCCAGGTTCAAGTCATCCTCCCATCTCAGTCTCCTGAGTAGCTGGGATTACAGGTGCGTGTTCACCACCATGCCTGGCTAACTTTTTTTGTATTTTATGTAGATGGGGTTTCTCTGTGTTGCCCAAGCTGGTCTCGAACTCGTGAGCTCAAGCGATCTGCTGGCGTGGGCCTCCTAAAGTGCTAGGATTACAGGGGTGAGCCATCTTGCCTGGCCTGTTGAGGGTTTTTTTTTTTTTTTAGATCATAAAGGGATGTTGAATTTTATCAAATACTTTTTCAGCATCTATTGAAATGATCACATGGTTTTTGTTCTTGGTTCTGTTAATTGATGTATCGCATTTATCAATTTGGGTACATTGAGCCATCCTTGTATCCTTGAGATGAACCCCGCTTGATCATGGGAAATGATTTTTTAAGTGTGTTGTTGAATTCAGTTTGCTAGTATTTCACTGAGGACTTTTGCATCTATGTTCACCAGTGGTATTGGCCTGTAGTTTTCCTTTTTAGTTATGTCCTTGTTTGATTTTGATATCAGGGTAATACTAATCTCATAGAATGAGTTTGGAAGTATTCCCTTCTTGTCAATTGTTTTGAAGAGTTTTAGTAGAATTGGTAATAATTCTTTAAACATTTAGTAGAATTCAGCAGTGAAGCCATTGGATCTTGGGCTTTTCTTTGACAGGAAACTTTTTATTATGGCTTTCATCTCCAACTTGTTATTGGTTTGTCAATATTTTCTACTTCTTCATGGTTCAATCTTGGTAGATTCTAGATTCTATGTGTCCGAGAATTTATCCATTTCCTCTAGATTTGTCAATTTGTTGGTGTGTATTAATAGTTGTTCATAATAGTCTCTAATGATTCTTTGTAGTCTTTTTTTTTTGTTGTTTTGTTTTGAGACAGAGTCTCTCTCTGTAGCCCACACTAGTGTGCAGCGGTGCAATTATGGCTCACGGCAGCCTCAACCTCCCTGGCTCAAGCCATCCTCTTGCCTGAGCCTCCTGAGTAGTTGGGACTATAGGTCCATGCCACCACACATGGCTAATTTTTACATTTTTTGTAGTTATAGAGTCTTGCCATGTTGCCCAGGCTGGTCTCAAACTCCTGAGCTGTAGCAATCCTCCCACCTCAGCCTCCCAAAGTACTGGGATTATAGGCATGAGCCACTGCACCTGGCTAATTCTTTGTAGTCCTAGGGTCTCAGTTGTTATGTATCCTTTTTTATTTCTGATTTTATTTGTTTGGGTCTTACTTCTTTTTTTCTTAGTCTAGCTAAAGGTTTGTTGATTTTATTTATTTTTTCAAAAAATCAACTTTTAACTTTGTCAATCTTCTATATTGTTTTTTAGTCTCAATTCTTTTATTTCCACTCTGATTTTCTTTCTTTCTTTCTTTCTTTTTGAGACAGAGTCTTGCTCTGTCACTCAGGCTGGAGTGCAGTGGTGGCGTGATCTCAGCTCACTGCAACCTCCGCCTCCTGGGTTCAAGCAATTCTCCTGCCTCAGCCTCCCTAACAGCCGGAACTACAGGAACGTGCCACCACACCCGGCTAATTTTTGTATTTTTAGTAGAGATGGGGTTTTACCATATTGGCCAGGCTGGTCTTGAACTCCTGACCTCGTGATCCACCTGCCTTGGCCTCCCAAAGTGCTGGGATTACAGGCGTGAGCCACCACGCCCGGCTCACTCTGATCTTTACTATTTCTTTCCTTCTATTAATTTTGGGTTTGATTTGTTCCTGCTTTTCTAGTTCCTTGAAGTGTATCATTATGTTATTTATTTCAAGTCTTTATATATATATATATATATATATTTTTTTTTTTTTTGAGACAGGGTCTTGCTCTGTCACCCAGGCTGGAGTGAAGTGGCATGGCCATAGCTCACTGCAGCCTCAGATTTCTGGACTCAAGAAATCCTCCTGTCTCAGCCTCCTAAGAACTATAGGTGCGCACCACCATACCCAACTAATTTTTTTAGTTTTTGTAGAGATGTGGTCTTGCTATGTTGCCCAGGCTGGTCTCAAACTCCTGGCCTCAGGTGATCCTCCTGCCTCAGCCTCTCGAAGTGCTGAGATTAGGGGTATGAGTCATCATCCCTGGCCAAGTCTTTCTACTTTTTGATATTGGTGTTTTTTGCTATAAAATTCCCTCTTAGCACTGCATTTGCTGTGTCCCATAGATTTTGGTATATTGTATTTCCATTTGCATTTGTTTCAAGAATTTTTAAATGTCTTTCTTAATTTCTTCACTGACCATTGACTGTTTAGGAGCATGTTTAATTTCTTTGTGTTTGTGTATTTTCTGAGGTTCCTCTTGTTATTGATTTCTAGTTTTATTCCATTGTGGTCAGAAAGGATATTTGATACGATTTCTACTGTTTTGAGTTTGTTAAGACTTGTTTTGTGACATAAGGTATGGTCTATCTTGGAGAATGTTTCATGTACTGGTCAAAATAATGTGTATTCTGCAGCAGTTGGGTAAAATGTTCTTTAAAAAATATTTTGTAGAGATAGGGTCTTGCTGTGTTGCTCACGCTAGTCTTGAACTCCTGCGCTCAAGTGAACCTCCTGCTTCAGCTTCCCAAAGTGTTGGTATTACAGATGTGAGCCACTGCACCTGGCCAAAATGTTCTTTAAATGTCAGTTAGGTCTATTTGATCTAGTGTATAGTTTAATTCTGATATTTCTTTGTTCATTTCCTGTCTGGATGATCTGTCCCTTACTGAGAATGAGATGTTGAAGTCCCCTACTATTTTTGTATTGAAGTCTATCTGTCCTTTCAGATCTATTAATGTTTGCTTTATATACCTGGGGGAGCTCCACTGGTGGGTGCATAGATATTTATCATTTTTTTTTTTTGAGGCGGAGTTTCACACTTGTTGCCCAGGCTGGAGTGCAATGGCGTGACCTTGGCTCACTGCAACCTCTGCCTCCTGGATTCAAGTGATTCTCCTGCCTCAGCCCCACGAGTAGCTGGGATTACAGGCATACGCCACCACATCCAACTAATTTTGTATTTTTAGTAGAGACGGAGTTTCACCATGTTGGCCAGGCTGGTCTCGAACTCCTGACCTCAAGTTATCTGCCCACCTCGGCCTCCCAAAGTGCTGAGATTACAGGCGTGAGCTACTGCATTCGACCTGATATTTATAATTGTTATATTCTCTTGCTGAACTGACCCCTTTATCACTATATAGTGACCCTCTTTATCTTTTTAAACAGTCTTTGATTTGTAGTCTCTTTTATCTGATATGATTGTAGCTACTCCTGCCCTTTTTTGGTTTCCAGTTGCATGGAATATTCTTTTCCACACTTTCACTTTCAGTCTATGGCTTTATTGGTGAAGTGGGTTTCTTGTGGAAGCATATAGTTGGATCTTTTTCTTTATCCATTCAGCCACTGTATGCCTTTTAATTGGATAACTGAGTCCATTTACATTCAGCTTTATTATTAAGTAAGGACTTACCACTACCATTTTGTTGCTTGCTTTCTGTTTGTTTTATAACTCCTCTCTTCTTGCTTTCTTACTGTCTTCCGTTGTGGTTAAGTGATTTTTCTCTTGTAGTATTTTTTTTTTTTTTGAGACAGAGTCTCGCTCTGTTGCCCAGGCTGGAGTGCAGTGGTGTGATCTTGGCTCACTGCAACCTCCATCTCCTGGGTTCAAGCAATCCTCCCACCTCAGCCTCCTGAGTAGCTGGGATTACAGGCTCATGCCACCATGCCTGGCTAATTTTTTCTATTTTTAGTAGAGACGGGGTTTCACCATGTTGGCCAGGCTGGCCTCGAACTCCCGACCTCAGGTGATCCACCTGCCTCGGCCTCCCGAAGTGCTGGAATTACAGGCGTGAGCCACTGCGCCTGGCCAGTATGTTTTAATTCATCGCTTTTTCTCTTTAGTGAATCTATTACAGGTTTTTGTATTGTGGTTAATGTGAGGCTTACAAAAAACATCTTATGGATATAACAAGTTATTTTAAAAGGATGCTAACTTATCTTAGATCACAAAGAAAAGAATACAAACAGACACACACACAAAACTCTACACTTTAACTCCATACCTCCCACATTTTGACTTTGTATTGTTTCAATTTATACATTTTTATAATGCTTGTCTCTCTCTCTCTCTCTTTTTTTTTTTTTTTTTTTTTTTTGAGATGGAGTTTCACTCTTGCTGCCCAGGCTGGAGTGCAATGGCAGGATCTTGGCTTAACGCAACCTCCGCCTCCCAGGTTCAAGCGATTCTCCCATGTCAGCCTCCTGAGTAGCTGGGATTACAGGCATGCGCCACCATGCCCAGCTAATTTTTGTACTTTTAGTAGAGACGGGGTTTCTCCATGTTGGTCAGGATGGTCTTGAACTCCCGACCTCAGGTGATCCACCCGCCTCTGCCTCCCACAGTGCTGGGATTACAGGCGTGAGACACCGCGCCCGGCCTATAATGCCTGTCTCTTAACAGGGTGCTGTAGGTATCATTGTTTTTGATAGACTTGTCTTTCGGGCTTCATATTAGAGTTATGAGTGGGTAGCACACCACATTTACAGTATTAGTGTTTTGGGTTTGTCTATGTACTTAATTTTCCCAATGGGTTTTATACCTTAACAAATTTTCTTCACATTAGTGTTTCTTCTTTCAAATGAAGAACTCCCTTTAGCATTTCTTGTAAGGTAGGTCTGGTCCCTTAAAAGAAATGAGAAGAAAAAGTTAAGAGGTGAATTCTCTCACCCTTTCACCCTTTTTTTTTTGGGAAAGGCTATATCTCTTTCATATTTGAAGGGTAGCTTTGCTGGATACAGTACTCTTGGATGGGAGGTTTTTTTCTTTTGGCACTTTAAAAATGTTGTTCCACTCCCTTCTGGCCTATATGGTTTCTGTTTTGGAAGTCTGTTGCCAGATGAATTGGAGTTCCTTTATATGTTATTTACTTCTTTTCTCTTGCTGCTTTTAGGATCCTCTCTTTGCCCTCGTTCTTTCAGAGTTTTATTCTTATATGCCTTGGAGTAGTTCTGTTTGAGTTGAATCTCTTTAGTGTTCTCTGACTTTTTTGTACCTCAGTATTTATCTCTTTCCCAAGTTTTGGAAAGTTTTCTGTCATTATTTTTTTGAATAAGCTTTCTACCCCTTGTTCTTACTCAACTCCCTCTTGAACACCAATAATTTTTAGATTTGGTTGGTCTTTTGAGGTAATTTTCTATATCTTTTTTTTTTTTGGAACAGGCTCTCACTTTGTCACACAAGCTGGAGTGCAGTGGCACTTGGCTCACTGCAGCCTTGACCTTCTGGGCTCAAGTGATCCTCCCACCTCAGCCTCCCAAGTAGGTGGGACTACTGTACAGGCCATCATGCCCACCTAATTTTTAAAATTTTTTGTAGAGATGGGGATTTCACCATGTTGCCTAAGCTGGCCTTGAACTCCTGAGCTCAAGCAATGTACCTCCCTGGGCCTCCCAAAGTGCTGGGATTACAGGCATGAGCCACTGTGCCTGGACAATTTTCTGTATCTTATAGGTGATCTTTGTTCCTTTTCACTCTTTTTTCTTTTTGTAGTTTCCTCCCTTTGCCTTTGTGTGATTCCTTCTTCTAGACAAGGCTACCATGAACTCGGTTCCTGCTGTTTATACTCGAACAGCCCTTGACCAGCATTTGCCCTTGTATAAATGTAAGGGTGTTCACACCATGAGGTTAACCCTTAGCCTTACACTTCCCTAATGAAATCTCTGCATAAGCACATCAACCTTTCCAATCGGTTCTTTGACTACATAGCTTTCCAACAACCCTGGAATAGGTGGTGGTAAAGGCTCATCATTACATGGAACATGGAGAAGTTGAGGTTGATTTCACTCTTCAGTGAGGACTGAGCAGCCAGTATGTGCCCTGTTCCCTTGTGTGGGAGATATAAAGGAGGCGTCACACCTGGCAGGTCATGCTTCACACATCTGGTAGCTCTGGAGTGGGGGCCTGAACCAGGGCACCTCCCAGAAGTTCTCAGCTCTCCCTCTCTCACTGCATGGGAGGGAGATGTGCCTCATGTCTTTTTGTCAATGCTATGGGTACTTGACAGATGACACTGACCAGATAACTCAGGAAGAGGGCACCACTAGGCTGTGGATTCTTTTTGGTTTGCAGATTAGGTGGGAGATAATGGTGATAATAACTGGCATTCACTGAAGACTTACTATGAACCAAGCCTTGTGCTAAGTTCTGTACTTGCAGTATCTCATTTAATTCTCAAAATAACCTATGAGGTAAGCACTATTTATATTTGAGCCCATTTTACATGTAAACCCATTTTACAGATGAGAACACTGTGGGTTACAGAGGTTGGTAACTATGTCTATGGTAAATGGCTCTCAAACTTTAGCGTACAATGAAATTAGTGGCACAGCTTGTTAAAACAGTGTGTGGGACCTCACCCCCAGAGTGTGATTCCATAGTCTGGGGTGGGGATCAAGAATTTTCCTTTCCAGCAAGTTCCCAGGTTAGGCTGATGCTACTGGACCAAAGGCCACATTTTGAGGAATACTACCCTTGGCCATACAGCTGCGAAGTGTAGGGTCCTGTTCGTTTTCCCCCTAAAATCTATGTTTTTTAAACCACTGCACATGTTGCCTCATTACAAACTTTTCTTTGTAGATTCCCCCCAACCCTGTCCTTGGTGGGAGATGAACTGGGTGAAGCATGCAGCCAGCCTCCCTCTCTTCACTCTAATCATACCTGTAGCTTTCTCTCCTCCTGGGAAGACTTGCCCCAGCCACCCAGCTCTTTTTCTGTATGGCTGTGTGCTATGGTCTGAATGTGTCCACCTCAGATTCATATGTTAAAACCTCATCTCCAATCTCCTGGTGGTATTAGGAGGAGGGGCTTGGGAGGTGATTAGGGATAAGAATGTAGCCATCCCAGAGAGCTGCCTTGCCTCTTCTACCATGGGAAGACATAATGAGAAGGTGCCATCTGTGAACCAGGAAGTGTGCTCTCACCAGACACAGAGTCTGCTGGCAACTTGATCTTGGACTTCCAGCCTCCAGAACTGTAAGAAACAAATTTCTGTTGTTTGTAGGCCACCCAATCTGTGATACTTGGTTATAGCAGACTGGACAGACTAAGACACTCTGTTACCCTGTCAGGAATATCTTCCTAATGACACCATTCTACCATCTCCTCTGTCCTTGATTCTCAGGGGGCATCCTGCTCCTACCCAGTGGATGGAAGGAGCCTACAGGAGTAATTTGATAGTTTGGCTTCAAGGCCATGTGGCTGCTGGTCTTGAGATGATCCTGGGGCTCTTTTGTGCCACTGAATCTGACCTTGTGGTTTCATGCTCCAGATCACATAATGACTGAGGCTCTTGCTTGTGGGTCCCTGACATCAACAGCCAGACCTCTTTTGTACTGACCTCCTGCTCACTGGTATTGACAGGTCTCTTCCTGCTTGACCAGCACTCTGCTTATGCTGGCACAGGAGCTGCCCTGAATACGTTCAGAGTGACTGTGGGCATTCTTTCCTCTGGGGTGCATGTCTAAGGTCATACTCGCATTCTTGGAGGTGGGCTTCCCTTCACCTTCAACCACTACTGTGTCTCCTTGATGATAAGCTACAGGAAAAGAAGAGTAGGGTAACTTTAACTGCACTAATATTTAGTGGTGATCCCGGCACCCCTCCCCTGACAGAGCAAAGTCTCGGGGCTGAACTGAAGAGGTAGTGTGACCCTGTTTTATAGCAGAAAGAACATGCAGGCATTACATGAATACTGAGACCCAGACACCACATGCAGCAGCTCAGGTGCCTAGTGAGGCTCCCACTGCAAAAGGCGACTGTTTCATCTTCAATAAAGCAAACATTAGATAAAGCACATTAGAAGGCCAAGTGACTCATTTCTATTTCTGGCCTTCAGACATCAGTGACCATGGTGACCTCAGGCTGTGGACAGGAAGGATGGTTGAGGGGTTGGCAGTGGTAGGATGGGCCCCAAACCCTCTGCAGGAGACCCTGAACAACTTTGGAAAGACTTCTGACCATTTTTGCCTTGAATGATGACGCACCAGGGCCCTCTGGTCCTTGCCCTCGTTCAGATCTGACTCCTGTGCTCTCGTCTCCGTGAGCTTACCTGTGAGTACCCCTCTTTCCCACCACATTCTCACCAGTTTCTGGATCACTCTCCCAGCAGAACTAGTGGCTCTCCCCTTTGGAATCCCACAGGACTTGGTTCCTCTGCATCTCAGGAGTTTCTTACATTGTCTCATCTGTGGTTGTTCTGCCCGCACCCGACCCCTAGGCCCTAGAGGGCAGGGACCCATTCCCAGTGCTATGCAAAAGCCTGACAGTGATGACTAAAAAGCTACAGGCTGTCACGTAACACTGGGGGCTGCTAGCCCCACCTGAGACCCCACTGGGTTGCCAGAGCCTAGGTATTCGATCCCTGGTTTTCTAGATTTGTCCTGAAATTCAAAGCTCAAGCTACTGTAGCCAAATGGCCACAGTGGGCAGGGAGGAGGCCGGCAGGGGAGGGTAGGTGGGGTGCAGGAGCTCTGCAGAACTGTGCTGGGACCAGAGGACTGTTCCTGACTTGAGCCAGGCTCTGGAAAGCGGAATTTGGTCAGAAGGGAAGGGAGGTATTGGTGGGAGGGGTGCCCAAAGGACCAGCAGTTAGAGGAAAGAGGCCCATCTGGAAGCCCATCTGGGCTGGAACCACCCACCCTTTGGAATGCATTTATGCTAATTAGATACCATGTCTTAAAGTAGATTTAGAGGTTCATAATGTTTTTATTAAAAGAAAAGAAAAAAAAGAAACCATGTCAAATAGGTTTGGGATCTGATGGGCTTTAGGGTGGGAAAGTCAGAAGGCCTGGGGTACCTGATGGAGAGGAAGCAAAGGTGAAATTTGTGGTTTCTTAGGTCAGTAACCTATCTTCTCTAGACTGCAGTTGCCTCTCTAGACACAGCTTTGGTGTTAGGTCTGAGTTTATCCACCAGTTCTTCACAGGCCACTGGGGCCCCTAATGAGGCTCCTGGGGGGTTCTTTCTGGGACATCTGAGCAGGCTCTGGAGTCAGGAGGACCCTGCCAGGTTGTAGCTTGTGTGTCTTTGGGAATGTTGTGCAACCTCACTGAAACTCAGTTTTTCTTACCGTTAAAAAGGGTGTCATGTGCCAGGTGTGGTGGCTCAGGCCTGTAATCCCAGCATTTTGGGAGGCCGAGGCGGGTGGATCACGAGGTCAGGAGTTAGAGACCAGCCTGATCAACATGGCGAAACCCCGTCTCTACTAAAAATACAAAAAAAATTAGCCGGGGGTGGTGGTGCGCACCTGTAACCCCAGCTACTCAGGAGGCTGAGGCAGGAGAATCGCTTGAACATGCGGGGCGGAGGTTGCAGTGAGCTGAGATCACGCCATTGCACTCCAGCTTGGGTGACAAGAGTGAAACTCTGTCTCAAAAAAACAAAACAAAACAAAACAGTTTATTAAGAAAGTAAAGGAATAAAGAATGGCTACTCCTTAGGCAGATCAGTGGCTTGGGCTGCTGGTTGACCATTTTTATGGTTATTTCTTGATTATATGCTAAACTAGGGGTGGATTATTCATTTATTCATGAGTTTTCTGGGAAAGGGGTGGAGAATTCCCAAAACTGAGGGTTCCTCCCCATTTTAGACCATACAGGGTAACTTCCTACATGGCCATGGCATTTGTAAACTGTCATGGGGCTGGTGGGGGTGTCTTTTGGCAGCTAATGCATTATAATTAGCGTATAAGCAGTGAGGACGACTAGAGGTCACTCTCATTGCTATCTTGGTTTTGGTTGGTTTTGGCTGGCTTCTTTTTTTTTTTTTTGAGATGGAGTTTTGCTTTTGTCACCCAGGCTGGAGTGCAATGGCACGATCTTGGCCCACTGCAACCTCTGCCTTCTGAGTTCAAGCGATTCTCCCGCCTCAGCCACCCGAGTACCTGGGATTACAGGTGTGCACCATCATGCCCGGCTAATTTTTGTATTTTTAGTAGAGATACAGTTTCACCATGTTGGCCAGGCTGATCTCAAACTCCTGACCTCAGGTGATCCATCCGCCTCGGCCTCCCAAAGTACTGGGATTAGAGGTGTGAGCCACTGTGCCCAGCCTGGCTGGCTGCTTTAGTGCATCCCGTTTTATCAGCAAGGTCTTTGTGACCTGTATCTTGTGCTGAACTTCTATGTCATTCTGTCACTAAGAATGACTTAACCTCCTGGGAATGCACCCCAGTAGGTCCCAGCCTTATTTTACCCAGCCCCTATTCAAGATGGAATTGCTCTGCTTCAAACACCTCTGATAATACCTCACAGGTTGTTAAGATAATTATGTGGGAAAGTACCTGAGGATGTGCACCACCAGGACTGGTCTAGGAGTTCTTGGACCTGGCCTCCCTTCATTCCTTTCCTCTAGCTCCAGGGAGTTGGTGGTTATGGAGCTACTATGTGGCTCTCTGGCAAAGTTTCTGGGCTCAGAGCCTCAATCCCCAAGCACTGTGGCCTCTCAGAGCCTTTGGCTTGGTGCTTCCAGTCCCCAGTACTCTCCCTGGGGCTCTGGGGTAGGAGGCTGAATGCCAGGCCAGAGACCCCTTTGAGTCCTCATGGCTGGCATCTCCAGGCTGGGGAAGATGGAGAGGGTGCTTGTTTCCCGATCTTTGCAGAGTGGAAACTGGCTCAAGTCCCACACCCTGACTCAGCCACCCAATGTCTTCTGCTTCAAGGTTTCATTCTTTCTGGATGCCATTACCTGTCAGGAAAGGGGACAGGGATTGGCTATAGGTACTTCAAGCTTAAGCCTTGCATTGATTCACATAGGGCCTTAGCTTGCCAGAAAAAAAGGGCCCTGCTTAGAGGTGAATGTACAGGTGTTGAAGATGACATATCGACTCCCTGCACAATTCTGCCAACCCTAGCCCTGATTGTCTTCACTTGTCTACACACAGAGGCTAGGTTGTCAGTCCTGACCCAACTGAAACCAGTGATTCTTGACAGTAGAGAAGATCTTTTCTCTGGCAGGGCATATATTCCAATAGAGCTTCATAAATAGGAAAATCCACCAAGAGTACAATTATAAGAGGTGGAGAAAAGCCCACAGTTAGAGGATAAACTTGAAGGGGCCAACAAGAGAGATTTGTGCCAACAGCAGACATAGCTGTCTAGATACAATTAACAAAGGATTTGAGCTCCAAGCACTTATCAGAGACTCTCCCATGGCACTGCTCATTAAGTTTTATACATGGTAGTTGCTGACCGAATGACAGCACAAAAGACACAGACGGAAGGAAAAACACTGGGAGGAAGTGCTTGTGGAGGGAGACAGGCCTGTGTACAGCCTAGACTGTGGGACAGGTGGGAAGCATTGCAAACAGAAGGCATGGCAGGAAGCCCACTTATGCTGAACACGCACAAAGTCAGTGTCCCAGTCTTTGCGTGTCCCATGGCTATACCAACACATCCCAGGGTTGTCTGCCTTTTGAGTTTTCCCCGTGGCATGACACTCCTAATTCATGTTTAGGTTGTGGCCAACTCTGACTCACAGCTTTTCTTCTATTATTCTTGTACTCAGCCACTTGAGCACCAACCTACACTTGTGGGATATGACTTTCTAGCTCTATTTTTAGAAGAGTAACATCATTCTGAGAATGGAGGGGTCATCTTGCAGTTTCTTCTCCCCATAGTTGTCATGGTCAATCTTTTACATGAAAATTAGATGTGTCACTTCTGTGTTCAAACCCACTGCTCAGAGTAACAGCTAAGTCCTCATCGTGACTCAAAGCCTAACCCTCTCTGAGTTAGTTCCTATCCCTCTCTTTCAGCCTATTTACTCCAGGTACACTAAGCCTCCTTGCTGTCCCTCGAACTATGCCAAACACTCTCCTACCTCCTGCTTCTGCCTTGGTTTTTCCCACTGCCTGGAACATTCTTCACTCTCACTTATTTAAGCCTCTGCTCACTTGTCAACTCTTCAGAGAGGCCATCCTGATATGGGCCAGAGAAAAAAATCACTCACATCCTGCACTCCCTGTCCCCCTCACCTTGTTGTATTTTTCTTCAGAGCACTTCTCAGCACCTGCCATTTTTATGTCTACTTGTTTATTACCTGTCTCTCCCACAAGAATATAAGCACCTTGAAGGCATTTTTTTAACTCACTGCTGTATCAATACCACCTAGAGTAGTGCCTAGCACACAGGTGGTGGTGAATAAATATTTGCTGGATTAATTAATGTCATGAAGACGTTTAAAACACCCACAATCCTCTGTGCTCACAAGACAGCTCTTGGAGGGGCATCCCTGGTAATTCACCTGTGCTTGCTTACCCACAAGAATATCTGCAGGAGCAGGGAACTTCAGCCAGTGCCCAGGTGTGTTCTGTAATCAGAGGCAGGGCCAGGAAAGTGCAGTGTAGGGAGGGAGAGAGTCAGGAGGGAAGGTGGCTACCCCCGGGTTCCATGTGTTTGCCAACTGGGAGGATTGACAGTCCTGACACGGGCAGAGCCATCTCCATGCTTCTCTCCTGCATCACAAGGGACTGCCTCAGACCCTGCCTCTCACAAACTCTCACAAGAGGAGGCTGTGTCTTGTCTGCCTCCAGCTCCCGGGCCCCTGCCACCCCCTGAGGATGACTTCTGGAAGTTCCTCAGCTCATCACCCTCTTCGCAGGCATCCTCTTCACCTCTCAGCAGTGGCAACTGCTGCTCCCCAGGACCTTCTTCCTGAGCTTCTTTTCCCTTCAGTGTGGGGACACTCCTAATTTGCCTCTTCAGTCTTTGACTTCTCCCTTTTGGCTTCCTTTTCTTCTTCCCCTCCCTAAAATGGAAGGATTTCTGTGTCAGTCAGAGTCCAAGCAGGAAAACGATTCCATGCAAGGCATTTCTTACAGAAGGGATGTATTCAGGGAATTGACTACTCCAGTGTTGGAGGGTTGGAAGGGCAAATGGAGATGCTGCAGTGACCAGATATGGTAACTACAGGAGTTCCTTCTCAGGGCTGGAGGGACAGAAGAGAAGAAGTGGGGCCACCAGAGCCTCCAGGCTCAGCCTTGCCTGGCCCATGTTCAGACCACAGAATGAGGATGCATTGTGATGGGGTTGAGCCTCTGGGGCGCTGGTATCTCCAGGAGGTGCAGTTCACCTGCTGCCAGGAGTGTCTGAAGAATTGGGAGCTAGCACGGGCAACCTATTGCCCATAGGCCAAATCCAGCTGCCACCTGTTTCTCCATGGCCCACGAGCTAAGAATGTTCTTCACATTTTGGCCAGGCACGGGGCTCACGCCTGTAATCCCAGCACTTTGGGAGGCCGAGGCGGGTGGATGGTCTGAGGTCAGGAATTCGAGACCGGTCTGGCCAATGTGGCAAAATCCTGTTTCTACTAAAAATACAAAAAAAAAAAAAAATTAGCCAGTCATGGTGGTGCACACTTGTAGTCCCAGCTACTTGGGAAGCTGAGGCAGGAGAGTTGCTTGAACCCGGGAGGCAGAGGTTGCAGTGAGACGAGATTGCGCCACTCCACTCCAGACTGGGTGACAGAGCAAGAGTTCATCTCAAAAAACAAGCAAACAAAAAAAGAATATTCTTCATATTTTAAAAATGGCTGAAAATAAAACCGAAAAGGAAGATATATCTCATGGCACATGAAAATTATAAAACACTCAAACTCCAGTGTCCATGAATAAAGTTTTATTGCAATGTGGTCATCCTTATTCATTTATATATTGTTTATGTCTGCTCTTGCAGTACAATGGCAGAGTTGAGGAGTTATAACAGAGACCATATGGCCTGCAAAGCTTAAACTACTTCATGTCCAGCTCTTTACAGAAAAAGTTTGCTAAGCCCTAGGCTAGAGTCCTCCTGGAGGGACATTGACAGGAGCTGGAAACAGGAGGAAAACCCTTCTCTCACCCTATGTCCTTCAGCCACGTCTCAGTGCCTCTTAGTAGCAGAATTGAATAGGAAGCCAGCTGGCAAGAGAGAGTCTGGGAAAGGCTGTTGGCAGTCCCTTGGCCCTCACACCACAGGGGAGGGTGGCATGGGCCCAAGAGGCAACAGGCAAACAGCACAACTTACAAGTATCTTATACTGGCCTTTTCCTCTTCTGTCTCTGCCCTCCCTCCCTTAGTAATCCTATCCACAGTCATGGCTTCTATCACATCTCTGTAGACAATGCACACATCCATGGCTCCATGCTTGAATTCTGTTATCAGTCTTGCATTTCTAACTGCCTTCTTGACAACTCCATTTAGAAGGCTTCCCTTCATCTCAAAGTCACCATGTCAATAGGTAGAATTCATATTTTCTATCAAGCTTGTTTCTTCTCCTCTGTTACCTATTTTTGTTGGCAATGCCACCATTGTCCCTGGCTTCATGTTTGGATCCTCTCTGTCTCTTTTCTCTCGTGTCAAAGCATTTAGAAAGACCAGATCTTTCTCTGTAAGACTTCGCAACTATTCTCTACTTTCCCTTCCCAGCACCATCACCTGGGGTTGTGCCACCATTACCTCTTGCCTGGATTATAGATATGACCTCATAATGGGTATTACCCTACACAAGTTTCATTCCAATTCCTCTCACACATAGTTGCCAGATTAATCTTCTGAATCATCAGATTCAAAGTCCTTTTGGTTTCCCTTTGTTTATGCATTGGCCAGAAATTCAAAATTTTATACAGTTCTGTATTAGTTCATTTTCACGCTGCTGATAAAACATACCCAAGACTGGGTGATTTATAAAGAAAAAGAGGTTTAATGGACTCACAGTTCCATATGGCTGGGGAGGCCTCACAGTCATGGCAGAAGACCAAGGAAGAGCAAAGGGACTTCTTACATGGTGGCAGGCAAGATAGAGAGCCATGCAAAAGGGGAAGCCCCTTATAAAAACATCAGATCTCGTGAGACTTATTCACTATCATGAGAACAGTATGGGGACATAGCCAAACCATGTCATTCTACTCCTGCGGTTTTGCAAGGTACAAAGTCCCTCCCGGCTGCTTTTATGGGCTGGTGTTGAGTGTCTGCGGCTTTTCCAGGTGCATGGTGCAAGCTGTTGGTGGATCTACCATTCTAGGGTCTGGAGGATGGTGCTCCACTAGGCAGTGCCCCAGTGGGGACTTTGTGTGGGGGCTTCAACCCTACATTTCCAGGCCCCGACTGCTGTGTATGGAAATGCCTGGATGTCCAGGCAGAAGTTTGCTGCAGGGGCAGGGCCCTCATGGAGAGCCTCTGCTAGGGCAGTGCAGAAGCGAGATGTGGGGAGGTACAATTCAAGATGAGTTTTGGGTGGGGACGCAGCCAAACCATATCAAGTCCCAGTGACTACAGTTTGGTTTTCCAAATTTGTTTCCTATTTCTTTCTTTCCTGTCCTCTTCCTTTCCAATACTTTCATATAGCCTCTTGTTCCTTCAGGTTCTGTGCACTTTATTTATACTCTCCCCTCTGCCAGAAATGTTTTTGGTACTTTTTAGGATTAGGTTAAGTTATGAGTGAGAGAAAACCCAGTGTAAGGGGCCCATTGAGGTTGCACCAGAGCCCCTGTGACCCGTTTAATCATCTCCCACAGCTTCTGCACATCGAGAGAAGCAGGGGCAGCCTTTAGCTGAACTAGGTAACAGCCTAGTTCCATTGTCTGAAATCTGGGCAAACTGTGAGGTGTAGTTTACACTCCAGAACTGACCTTTGGGACCAGGCTAAGGCTGGGGCTTTGCTGAAACATTCCCTTGCTTGTCCTCCTCCCTTCCCTGTCTTACTTTCCACACTCCCTTACTGGTTTCTCCTGGGAGCATTTTTTTAATTTTTATTTTTGAGACAAGGTCTCACTTTGCCACTAAGGCTGGAGTGCAGTGGCATAATCATAGCTCACTGTAACCTCAAACTACTATGCTCAAAGGAACTTCCTGCCTCAGCTTCCTGAGTAGCTGGGACTACAGGCACACATGACCTGATCAGCTAATTTTTAAATTTTTTGTAGAGACAGGGGTCTCACTATGTTACTCAGGCTGGTCTGAAACTTCTGGCCTCAAGCAATCCTCCTGTCTTGGTCTCCCAAAGTTCTGGGATTATAGATAGGAGCCATTGCTCCCTGCTGGGAGCATCTGTTTAATAAACTACTTGCACATAAAGCCTTGTCTTAGGATCTGCTGTGGTAACCCAACCTAAGACACTTGTAACAGTGGCTTAAACAAGACTGTAGCGGGCCTCATATCGTGCCTTCGTGATCAGACTGCCTCAACATTGTAGTCCACATCCTCAACATGTGCCTTCTGAGGCCAAAGATAGCTGCTTTGTCTCCAGTCATCAGAGTCATGTTCTAGACAGCAGGAGGGAGACAAAGAAAGGAGGTGGGCATGCTCCTTCCACTTGAGAACACCTCATGGAAGTTTCATCCCTGACTTCTCTATAACCTTTTATGCAGAACATGGTCAGGTAGCCGTGCCTGGCTGCAAGGGCAGCTGGGAAATATAGCCTTTATTCTCAGTGGTCAATTGCACAGCTAACATTTTGGAATATGATTACTGTGGAAGAAGAGGAAACAGACATTAGGAGACAACTTGTAGTTTCAGTTACATGCTCCTTCTCATCTCTGCCTGTCCAGAGTCTTCCAAACCCAGTGCAAATGCCACTTTCACCTCAAATCCTTCCTTGAGCTACTAGTTAAAAGTTATCACTCCCTCATGGCACTTTGTGTGCCCTTTCCTTGTGACACCGCAGTTTTTCTACCTGGCTTGTAGTTACTTAAATATGCCTTCCCCACAGGACTGTAGACATCTTTAGAGTAGAGGGCAAGCTTCAGTGAATTTCTGAGTTGAAAATTGAAATACTACAATCCCATACTCTGGAGAGTGTGGTTTTGGAGCCCGACCAATCTGGTTCAAAGGCAAGCTTTATCTTTAAACCAGTTATACAACATTCATTTGCTTATTCTACAAATATTTATTGGTGCTTCCCCTCTGTCGGGCACTATTACAGGTGCTGGAAACTTGGTGGAGAACAATACAAATAAGCACCCCACTCCCATGAAGGTCATAAAGGATGAGGGTTAAGAGCACAGATTCGGCCAGGCACGGTGGCTCATGCCTGTAATCCCAGCACTTTGGGAGGCCAAGGTGGGCAGATCACCTGAGATCAGGAATTCGAGACCAGCCTGGCCAATGTGGTGAAACCCTGTCTCTACTAAAAGTACAAAAATTAGCTGGGCGTGGTAGCACACGCCTGTAATCCCAGCTATTCAGTAGGCTGAGGCAGGAGAATTGCTTGAACCCGGCAGGTGGAGGTTGCAGTGAGCCGAGATCACGCCACTGCACTCCAGCTTGGGCGATAAGAGCGAGACTCCGTCTCAAAAAAAAAAAAAAAAAAAAAAGAGCACAGACTCCATAGCCAGACTGCCTGGGCTTGCATCCCAGCTTCACGACTTACAAGCTGTGTGACCATAGATAAGTTACCTTGCCTCTCTGTTGCTCAGTTTTATCTTCTGAAACACAGAGATGTTCAGAGTGCAACTTTTCAGGATAGTGGTGGAGACTAAGTGAGTTTACACATATAAAGTACTTAGAACAGTGCCTGGCACAAAATAAGGACTACGTAAGTGTTAGTTATTAGTATAAGCTTGCAGAGCTTACATTCCAGTAGGTGAGGAAATAACCTAAACAAACAAACAAAAAATATTAGGCAGGTGATAAGTGCCATGAAGAAAATAAAAGAGAAAAGTGGGAGAGAGCGCTGCTGAGGATCTGTCTCATACCAGGTGAACAGGGAATGTCTCTATGAGGGTTGACATTTAACAGCAATGAAGTGTTTGTGGGAAGAGCTTTCAAGGGCCAGCAGATACAGGGACTGTGAAGGCAGGCCTGACCTGGCCGGCTGGAGGCTGAAGCACGCAGGTGGAGGGGAAAGTGCAGTAGGATGGTCTGGGAAGAGCTTGGGGCCAGACACCGTGGGGGCTCTGTAAGTTGGGGAAATAATTTGGATTTGATTCTTAGTACAATGGCAAGCCATTGCAGAGTTTTAAGCAGTGGAGACTGATGTTTAAAATGCTAATGCTGTCTGCAGGTGGAAAGAGAATAGCTTGTGAGAGTGTATGAGTGGAATGAAGTGGTCAGATGAGAGAGCGCGGCGGAGATGGAGAGAAGCGGAGAACTTGATGCATATTTTGGAGGCAAAATCAACAAGATTGGCTGATGGATTAAAAGCAGAAGGTAAGGTGAAGAGAAAACTCAAGGGACACTCAAATTTTTGGCTAGAACACTTTTCGGAGATGGGGAGATGTAGAGAGAGAGGTGGGTGGGAATCAAGAATTCTACTTTGGTTACATTCAGTTGGGCAAATCACTTCAGCTCTCTAGGCTTCAGTTTCCTTATCTAGAGTAGGAAAATAATAATAATAATGTCCTCTTCTGTGGACAGAAGAGCACTGTGGTTAAGGGAAGAGAAGCCTGGGCTGTTTACTAGCTATGTGACCATGTGCCAATTACATTATCTCTCTGTGTCTCAGTTTCCTCATCTGTAAAATCAGAACAATCCTAGTACCTATCTCAAATGGTTGTTATGAAGAGTAAAAGATTTAATATTTACAAAGTGCCTAAAATAGTTTCTGGCACATGGTAAAGCTACAGTAGAATCATAGATATATAAAAACAAATAGGGTAGGCCGGGTGTGGTGGCTCATGCCTGTAATCCCAGCACCTTCAGAGGCTGAGGTGGGAGATTGCATGAGGCCAGGAATTCGAGATTAGCTTGGGCAACATAGCAAGACCCTGTCTCTACAGAAACTTAAAAAATTAGCCAGTTGTGGTGGTGCACGCCCATAGTCCTAGCTACTTGGGAGGCTGAGGCAGAATTGCTTGAACCCAGGAATTCGAGGTTGCACTGAGCTATGATCATGCCATTGCGCTCTAGCCTGGGTGACAGAGCGAGACCTCATCTCAAAATGCAAACAAAAACAAATAGGGTAGAATTGAACCTTGTATTAGATAAGTGGCTCACCTCCACAAGCTAATCATTAACCATTGTTAAACAAAGAAAGAAAGAAACACTTGTCCCCTCTGGAATATACTAGAGAGATCTGCCCAATTCCACATAATCTCTTCCAGAAAATGGAAGAGGAGGGAATATTTCCCAATTCATTTTATAAAACTTGTTTTATGCTGATATTAAAACCAAATAAAGACAGTACAAAAAAAGAAAAAGGAAAGCTACAGTCCTATATCCCTCATAAATGTAGATGCAGAAACCCTTAACAAAATATTAGCAAATAGAATTCAGCAGTTTATAAAAAGCAGTATATACCATGACCAATCATGCAAGTCTCATTCAATATTCAAAAATCAGTCCATGCAATTTACCATACTAACAGGCTATTTTTTCTTCTAAATGTTTTATAGTTTTATGTTTCACCTTTAAGTCTGTGTTCCGTTTTGAGTTAGTTTCTGTGTAATGTGTGAGGTTTATGGGGAGGCTGACTTAATCAACACTCCTGATACTGGAACCCAGGAGGGAGTAAAGGGAGAGGGAAGGCAGGAAGGAGCACAGGGGGTGGAGGAGAGTCCTGGGGATGTTCTGTGTTTTATATTGTGAAATGAACACCTTACCAATTCCTAGAAAAATAAAATAACGTATGACTTGGCAACAGTTTGTTGAATCAATAGCTAGGATTTACAGACAGAATATATCCTCAGGAAAGAAGGGGATGGGGGGAAAGGCTCCTGAAGGTCCTTGGCATGCAGACTTGGAGGACATACCATCAATCTTTCCATGAATTAACCTCTAGTTTCCAGGAGCCTGAGCTGTACTCACCTGGTGAGGGCTTGGGGGTGGATAGGAATTGACAGACCCTTGTTTATGTATAGTGTCCCAGAGGAAGAAACTGGAGCTCTTTGCCTGCTGACAGGGGATGGTGGGAAGTGGGTGGCTGTGTGGGAGTGCTCTCTGGGTCATTTTCCTCAGGGCAGGGTGATGGGGATCTGGGGGAAGCTCTGTCCGGGGGCTTGGCTATTTGTCCTGCTCTGCATGGGAATGCCCAGGCAGTCCCAGATGCCCCTAGGGCAATCTCGAACCTACTGCTCTGCCCCTCTGTTGCCAAGTGGGCAACTCAGACCTGGGAGGTTAAGGGTGGGAAGGCATTATAGGGGAGAGGGTCATTTGGGTTCAGGAAGGTGGGCAGGTACAGGTTAGGAAACAGATTAAAGGCTTAGTGAAAATGGGAGGCCCTCTAAATGAGTCCCTGGGAGTTTGGGAGTGATGGCGCCAGATTCCCTTCTCTCATCTTTTGTAGGGCAACAGACTGCCTCATCTTGCCATCCTATACCACCCAAGGGGTGTGAGAGCCAGGGTGGGACATACAGGTGATACAAATAATTTGATGAGTGATTGTGTCATTGAAAAGTGGCAGCCCCCAGGATTTCTTTCACTGACTTTCTATCCAGCAGGCCTTCAGTGATGTCAATGTATAAAGTTTTATTATCTCTCAGCCTTTGTGTGGGCTTCTCCAGCTAACGCGATACAATAACTTACCCTGGCCTTCTCCCAGCTCTGGCATGGGGTGGCCAGAAGTATTTGGGGCCAGACATGTAACATATGGGAAAGGAAAGGAGAAAGGGCTGGCTGCGGTGGCTCACGCCTGTAATCCCAGCACTTTGAGAGGCTGAGGTGGGTGGATCACATGAGGTTAGGAGTTCAAAACCAGCCTGGCCAACATGGTGAAACCCCATCTCCACTAAAAATAAAAAATTAGCCTGGTGTGGTGGCAGACACCTGTAATCCCAGCTACTCAGGAGGCTGAGACAGGAAAATCGCTTAAACCTGGGAAGCAGAGGTTGCAGTGAGCTGAGATTGTGCCACTGCACTCCAGCCTGGGCAACAGAGAAAAACTCCGTCTCAAAAAAAAAAAAAAAAAAAAAAAGAGGAGAGAGAGAGTTATCATCCTATCACTGCTTGCTATGTTCCAGGTATGCTGCTAGGTGCTTCACAGGTACAAACCACTGCAACTCATTGGAAGATCTCATTGGAAGAATCAGGCAGTTGTCAAGTTCATGATGGCAGATACAAATTTTTCACAATTCTTAGTTTCGCTGGAAAGTTCAAATTTTATTACTGGCAGCAAATATCGTCAACTAATTTTCTTGAAGTGAGATTCTCTTTGCATTTCTAAGAAAGTGCCTGCAAAATACTCAGACCTGAATAATCATAGTTTGTCATTCTTTCCACTAAAAATCGTGTTTCATAAAAAATATACACAGTTCAGCTATCTTGCATGGTTGCACGAGTACTGTTTCTTGAGATACCATTGTTCTTTAGTATGCAGCAGAAACGTTTAATGTATACTTCCCATTTCTTCACAAAGATTGTTGAAAAGACATGTTCTCTTGAATCAAGATTTAAGAAAATAACTGGAAGTGAAACTGGCTTTTCCCCCTCATTGCAAGTGTGTGGCATTAGGGAATAGAATGACGACTGGGACAGTTTGGTGCCACTGCTTTGATTTGTGCTAAATGCCAGCAGTTTTACCCACCATTGCTTTTGTGTCATCGAAGAAAATATCAGAACTGTTGTTCTAGAAAAAACCATGAAAATAAAAAAAGTCAGCACTGAAAATTTTACCACCCTTTGTGTTTTTTTTTTTTTTTTTTTTGCCAAGTATTCCCATAAAAGAAAATGATTAGTTGGTGCTGACACTGGAGGAATACAAGAAAACAGCAAGTCTCCATGTGTGAGGCAAAAGTGCAATTATGTAGACAAGAGGTTAACTCAGTCTTCATGTTTGCAGCTACATGTTTAATTTGACGAGTGATTGTGTTGTTGAAAAGTGGCAGCCCCTAGGATTTCTTTCACTGATTTTTATCCAGCAGGCTTTCAGTGATGTCAATGTATAAGGCTTTATTATCTCTCAGCCTTTGTGTGGGCTTCTCCAGCTAATGCAATACAATAACTTACCCTATGAGAAGCTTCAGTAACTTTTTCATGGCCAGTTTGAAAATCTAACAATTTTTGGATTTTAAAGAGCTCACCATATCTACATTTAAAATGCTTAATTCGTTTTTCTCTAAACTCTAAATGATTGGTCTCAAAGTGATGCTGCAACTAACTATTAGAGTAAACAAATAAGTTTAGTAATAGTATTGCTAAAATACTCTTCAAAATATTCTGTTGAATAAGACATAATAAGTTGAATTATTACTATACATATAGATGAGGGAAATATAGATTTCATTATATTTTTGGTTTTTATTTAGTTTTTCACAGTTTCTTCAGAGTATATCCCTCCCTTCCGCTAGTCAGACAACTCCCTGATATGCCAATTTCATCTTTAAAAACTTTATTATTTATTTATTTTATTTTTAAATTAAATTGATATAAAAAATAAATAGAGGTGGGGTCTTGATGTGTTGCCCAGGCCAGTCTTGAACACCTGGACTCAAGCAATCCTCCCACCTTGGCCTCCCAAAGTGCTGGGATTACAGGTGTAAGCAACTCCACCTGGCCTAATTTCATTTTTTTTTTCAGTATTTTTATACTGGGACGGTGCACCTGTGGGTTGAGAAAGCAAATCTAATCAATCCATCTTATGCCAATGATAAATCCTTGACTATAAGAATAAATATATTGTAAAGAAATGGTCTAATAACAATTTTGGTTAAAATTACACAATTCATTAGGGTTTTAAAAACATTTAAAAAATGCTATTACAAAACAAGACAAAGTGTATTGTTTCTTGTGTTTTCAGATGTAAGAAAAACTTCAGAATTTCAAAATAAAAATTTATTAGATAATAGTATTGCAATTATAGCAGGTATAACTGAAGACAGCTAGGAAGAACACGGTAAGAACACAAGAAGAAACTGAGTTGTCTCCAAACAAGCATATTTGTATACCCTAAATCTACTTCTTTAGAAAAATTTGGAAAACAGTGTATACATACACATTTCATTAGCTGTCAGAGCAGTGGTGTCATCACTTGCCAAGTAGCCTCTGGAAAACTCCACTGTATGTTTGTGAGAGAGTAAGGGTGTAAAAGGCAAATAATGTCCTACTTCTATTATGAAAGTAATTTTGACCTCTTGGAACCCTACAAAGGGTTCCCCAAGGGGTTCCCTAACCACACATTGATAACTGTTAAACAAGGGTAATATTTATTCTGTGGAATGTTAGGCAGCTTTACAAAGCAATGAGATAGATATATATTGCCATGCAAAAAGTTGTACAACAATGCAACAGTGTTTACAATATGATACACACGCACACAAAGAACAAGCCTACATATTCTATACTTACATATATATATTCAAATGCATAGAAAAGCTCTAGAAGAACACACTATTAACTGTGCTTACTTTTTGGAAGAGTACAGGGATCTGGTGGCTTAATGTTGGAGAACTTTTGCTTTATCTATATTTTGTAAATGGTTACAGGGAGAATGTACTCATTACTGGTGTCATTTAAATCTATTTTATAAAGGATATTTTGTCTTCACTTTTCTTCTGGATGATGTACAAAATTTATACAATTTTGATATTTTTTTCAGATCAATTAATTGTTACTGTTCTCTGGAAAATCCTTACTAGGGCAAAGGAGTATGATTGCTAGATAAAATACAGAATACCTAGTTAAGTTGGAATTGCAAATAAAACACAAATCAGTTTTTTTTAAATGTAAGTATGTCCTATGCAATATTTGGGACATACTTATACAAAAAGGTTATTTGTTGTGTACATGAAATTCAAATTTAACCTGACATCCTGTATTTTGATTTGCAAGTCTGGCAACCTTATAAAGGGGACATAGGGAGGTGGCCCTTTAGTGCCAAGATGTGGAGTAGAACCCAGATCCATTGGCAACTTACTGATGTTAACCGAAGTGTATTGTATGCCACCTTTGACAGTCAGAGCTCACTAGAGGATAAGGAAGCTCTGACAGGAGGATAAGGAAGAATAAGGAAGGAGGATAAAGAGGATAAGGAAGCTCTGACAGGCGGATAAGGAAGCTCTGACAGGAGGATACTGGGGGCAAAGTCATGCAGGCAAGCCAACTTTTCTCCTGATAAATGCCTCTATGGCTGGTCAAGTTAGTGAGATACTATGATAATGGGAGTGGGGACTGAGTTGGAGGGAGGTTGTAAAATGTTGCAACTGGCATTTGGGCTTCATGTTTACAAATGAACAAGTCTTGCACAAAATGTAGCCCTTGGAGTTGTGCTTGCATAACTCTCCTGTAGCCACCATAAGGTTGGTAATATTCCCTGTGTTTCTGGGCTCTAATAAGGCCCCTATCTTTCTACATTACCCCATGGCTATCAAAGGCTGTGGCTACTAAGGGGGATTTCCTTAAGATGGTAAAAGGTTATTGCAAGAACTTTCTTTTCCACCTTCTTTTCTTCCCCTCAGGGGGATGTACATATACCACTTCCTCCATTTCTTGTTTTCCACACTTTTTTGTCTTATAGAATTTCACCCTAGTCAATACTTTCTCAAATGTATAAACCCTTAGTTTTTTTCCTTAGGGTTTCTTCTTCTTTTCTCAGTTTTTTACCTCTTTTCTCTCTTTCAGATTTTGCCATAGAGAAATCTCTTGCTTTTCAATCTCTCCAATTTGGGAACCAACCAACCAACCAGTCTACCAACCAGCCAACGAACCAACTACTCAACCGGTCAACTGACTCCTCCCGGAGACAAAGATTGGAGAATTGCTTGAATCTGGTACAAAGACTAAAGCAAAGTAATACTGTATCATGCACAGACCTCAACTCTGTGAAGACAGTCCCTCATGCTGTAGGAAGTCAGCCTTGAATATCTAGGCTTAGGGGAGGCTGAGAAAGGTCACCACTGGAGAAGTAAGCGGTTGGGGCAGGTCAGGATCCAGGGCTCTCAATTCTTATGGAGAGATTTTGCTTTTTTAAAACATCAGACCTGCTGGTGTTTGCACTCAGTTTTCTTTCTTATAAAAATCAACTCTATTGAGATGTACTGCCCAATCAAGATATAGAACATTTGCATCACCCTAGAAAACTTCCTTGTGCCCCAAATCACATCACTGATGTGATTTCTATCACTATAGCTGAGTTTTGTCTATCCTAGAACTTTGTGTAAATTGTCCTTTTCTTTTGACTTTATGTAGTTTTTTTCTCATGTGGAAGAAAAAGAATTATTGTAGGTTTATGGTTTTTAAAAAATATTCAAATCGGATTCATCTGACATTTATTTTGGTGTAGTGTGTGAAAGGCACAGATCTAATCTCATTTATTTTCTCCCAGAGAGCTACCTGGTTGTTTCAACATCATTTATTGACAAATGTATCTTTTTTCTCACTGGTTTAAATGCCACCTTTATCATACATTAAATTCCCAAGTGTGCTCAGGTATATTTCTGGACCGTCCGTTCTTTTCCTTTGATGTGTTTATTCATGTCTCAATACAATACTCTTTTAATTATGGTTGGTTTATTTTTAAAATGTCTCATATTTTAGAATTTTCTGCTCTATCTCTTCAATGGGTTACTTCTCACCAAGGTTCCCATATTAGTTATCTATTGCTGCATAACAAATTATCCTAAAACTCAGCAGCTTGAAAATGTGTTATCTCACACTTTCTGAGAGTCAGGAACCTGAGAGCACTGTAGCTGGGTAGTTCTGGCTTAGGATCTCTCAAGAGGTTGTGGCTATGCTGTCAGCAGGGCTGCAGTTGTCTCAAGACTTGACTGGGGCTAAGAGATTCGCTTCCAGGCTCACTCACATGATTGAGCAAATAGGCCTTAGTTCCTCACTGGTCTCAGTTCCTCGCTGGCTGTTGGCTGGAGGACTCAGGTCTTTACCACATGGGTTTGCAATAGGGATGCTCCCAATATGGCAGCCAGAGTGCTGAGAGAGAGAGAGAGGAGAGAGAGAGCAAGCCCAAGACAGAACACTCTGTTTTTTACAGCCTAACCTTGGAAGTGATGGACCATTACCTCTGGCAACTCTGGTGTGGTGTGAGAAACTTATGTGGGTGCGAGTACCAGTGGGCAGGGATCATAGTGGCCATCTAGAGGCTGGCTCCCACAGTTCCAATCCTGGCTCTCTTCTCTTTTCACTTTCTTCACGCTCCTGGGAGCTCTATTCCATTTGATGAGGCTGCTTCTACCTATGACCAATAATCCCCAAATAATTATCCTTATCGCTAACTCAGTCTTGAACTCTGGAACTATTTCCAATTGCAGGGATACCTCCTCTGAAATATCCCATAGTGATCTCCATGCCTTTAATGATGCTTTCCTGGGGAACCGTCTGAACCTTAGACCTACTTCTATTTTGACATGTATCCCTGCGTTGCATTTATCTGATTCCTCCATTAGACTATAAGCTGATTTTTATTTATTTATTTCTGTAAGCTTATTGAGGGTAGGGACTATGTTTTCATTATTTTTTTGTGTTTGCAGTACTTGGTGCCTAGCATGAAGTGGGGTCTGGAGCCTGCTTGAGTTTGGGGCTGTGGACTCATGGGTCCATCTGTTTCCATTGTGTGACAGCATCTCTGGAGACAGCCAGACTGGCAAGAATGGGTCCTCAAACTGTGCTTTGTACTTTTTTTTCTTCTTTTCCTTTCCCTCTTCCTCCTCCCAGTCTCAAGAGGTAACTTTGAGACAAACTGCATATATGTTACCTTTCATCTCGAAATAACAATCTCAGAATGTGCTGTGAACCTCCACTCCCTTTCTTTCCCATGCTATGCTCCCATGCCTTATGTATAGTTATTTACCTAAAGGCTTGTTAAGCACAAACCATGTTCTCTTATCTGCAATATATTTCCTTAGAAGCTTTGTTGCAGTAGGTAGTCAGGCAGACATGAGCAGGGCAGGAGAGAGCTCCCCACCACACACCAGGAATACCAGTTGTTATGCTGTTTCTCTAAAATAATAATTGGCCACAGCTGGTGCCAGGGAACGGCCATCTCCCAATACATAGAAACACCTGAAGCTGGTGATCAGCAGCTTCCAGATAAGATCTCAGGAGTTGGGTGAGTGGGCTCAAGCATGCACATCAAGAGGTAAAATGGCTGAGTTTAACTGGTATATGACCACCTTCTAGGAATACTCGACTGGTAAGGGAAGAATGCTTAAAGTGAGCATGCGTACAACTCCAGTAAACACACTGCACATGAAGTCCCTGTCAGGTGCTGGCAGGCCATTGCACATGCAGAATGCCAATATGTAAGAACTCAAGTCCAAGGTCAGACCTGGCACTCGATCTCTCAAGTTGCTTGCTTGGCCCTCTTTCTAGCATACTTTACTTCCTTTCGTTCCTGCTCTAAAGCTTTTTAATAACTTTTCACACCTGCTTCAACACTTGCCTGGGTCTCTCACTCTGCCTTATGTCCTTCAGTTGAATTTTTTCTCCTGAGGAAGCAAGAATTGAGGTTGCTGCAGACCTGTACGGACTCACTGCTGCTAACATACTTTAGTGCCATGTGGCTCGGATACATTCCCTAGTGGTAAGAGATCTCTACCTCTCACCTTCTTCAGCTGGAGGTGTTCAACCCCTGTACACAGTTTCCTTCTGTCTTTTCACTCTCCTGCCTACTAACCAACCCTCAGAATGATTCCTGTCAGCCACAGAGGCTCTGCTACCCCAGGCTGACCTCTCAGTTCACCCTGACCGATGGGTTGAGGGGGTAGGAAGGACCTTGGAGTCTGCATTGAGTAGCTCTGAGGCAGTAATGGCTCTCCTAGAGAAGGAGCTTACAAGAGTAGCAGGGCTAAAGCCTAAAACCATGCAATACCTGGGGTTTCCTCTGCTTTTTCAACTAAAATCCACTCTTTTCCAAAATCTTCACTGTCTATTCTCCTGTTTTCCCTGTGTGTATTCTGAAATGGCCTTGCACACCCACTGACTGTCTGCCTCAGGGGCAAGTCTGCCTCTTCTCTGGTTTCACTTCACATGCTGTGTGACTGTCTTCTCTGCCTTAAAACTCACACTCCCTGTTATTTGTGTGCCCACAGCTCTTGATGCATCTGCTCAGCAGCAAAGACATGGGCTCCATTTGTGATTACCCCAAGATTTATACTTGTATACTTGTTTTTACTCTACCAGCGCAGATGACCTCCAACCTTTCCCCTGTCTACTGGCTCACTGCTGGGACAGACATTAATTGGAACTCTGGCTCTGCCAGCTTCTTATGACTTACAATATGCTCTTCACTCCTTTTACACCCCAGGGCCAAGTTTTCTGGTGGCATTTGAAGCAGTTTGTCTGCCTGCATAGGACCTCGCTCTGCTTTTTTTTTTTTTGAGTTAGGACTCCTTTGGGAAGAGGGAAATTCTTCCTTTGTCATTTGCAAGTTCTTACCCCAAGCTCCAAGTCCTGTGGAGGTTACTCGTTTATGTCAAGAGGGCAAATAAATGTTGCTGTCTCAAATCCAAGGGCTATTTTTTGTGAGCATAAGAAGGCTTTCCTTGAGTATTCCTCTTGCTTCCTTCCACATTCTCCAGTAGCCTCCATTTCTCTAATCACTTCCACACCCTTGTCAATGTGCATCAAGACCTTCAAGGTCATATTCGAAGGGAGGGAAGTCCACCCCCTTGCGGCAGGACAAGACAGGCTTCTCATCCACTTAAAGAACATGGGAAATGGGAATCTGAGAAAAGAGACAATCATTTTGTTGCTCTGAGCGAGCATCACTATAAGGTCATGGAGACAAGGATACAGGCCAGCCCAAGGCTGCAGGATCAAGAGACCCATAGGACAGAGCTGAAGGCTGGTCCCAAGCTAACAGATAACCATTAGAACAGAGACCAAGGCAAGGTTAGAGGTACACAGTAATATCAGTTCATTCTGGAACCCCAAGGATGAACAGGGGGCCCCCTGTTCACTCCAGCATTTCCTTTGTTCTCAAGTGGGTAATTGTGACGAGATGGGACCAACGTTAAAGGTACACAGTAAGACCAATTCATTCCAGAACCCTAAGGACAAATGGGGGACACCCTATTCAGGATAATAGGAAAGTAAGAAGGGGCAGCATCTTTTTCCTTTTTCCTCCTCTGTCCTGTCTTCACAGATGGGTAATTGTGTCTCCAGACCACAGGACATGCCCCTCGGATTCATCCTCCAAAACTAGAAAAAGTTTGATTCCCCTAAACCTTAAAACAAACAAACAAAAAAAACCCTAGTTTTTCTTTATATTATTGTTTGGCCTAAAAATAAACTGGGAGAAAATACGAAAGTCAGCCTTAGAACTTAGTGCCTTTATGCAGGAAATCCTCAAATTAGCCTCCCTGGTCTTTTATAACTGAAAGCAGAATAAGGAGGGCAGGGCTAGGGAGAAAGAGAAATGCAGGTACTAGAGGCAGGCTGAACTATTAGCTGCTTTGCAAGCCCACCAGTCCCCTCCAGGTTGCCCTAAGGACACTCCTCCAGATAAGTGCCATTGGTGCTGAAAGACAGGTCACTGGAAGGCAAACTTCCCCAATGAGAAAATTGGGAAAAAGGCCCACATGGCTTGCCCTGTCTGCCACAAGCTTGGCCACTGGAGATGGGACTGTCCTGAAGGCTGAAGGGCCCCTGGGACAGAATCCCAACCACTTATGGCCCTGAGCTGAAGGGGCTCTCCACTCCAGCTGGCTTCCAAATCAGACATTGTCACCAACAGGACAAAGCCAAGGGCAACTCTGGAGGTGGCAAGTAAAATTTAAAGTTTCCCTTTTGGGTTTAAGAGCTGCCTACTCTGTGCTAATCTCCTTCTCTAAGCAACTCTCCTCCAAATCCTGTTGGGATCCACACCCCTTTATATTACTTAAGGGACTAATTACCATTCTCTCACCAGTCCCTGGTAATGTCTAGATACCCCACACCTCCTTGGGGCAAAAATATGCTTTCCAAGATGGATGCCTACTTAATATTTAGCCTATCTTTGAATTCATCTTTCCCTCTGATAGCCCTATTTCTCCCAAAAAGCTACCTAAATCTTTAACCTAAACATTTCTACCTCAGGGGTTTAGAAATAGCCCACTCTTACTCGAACCAGCCCTAGCAAAAAAATCTAACTGAGCAATCTCTTGAGAGGGATAACTTCTATAGTATGTAGACAATCTCTTTATCTGCTCTCACTTCATGGGACTTGCACAGCAACATGCAGTACAATGCTTAACTTTCTAACAGAAGGAAAATTACTTTGTTAATTCAAAGGCTATAGAGATAAAGAGGTATTTTTGGTGAGGAAGGTTATAAATAAAAGAGATTTTATATGAGAAAAGTTCTTGTATGGTAAATTCTTGTCCTAAAGTAAAATGACTGGTTGTTTAGAAAGAGAGATGTTTAGGACAAGTCAGAAAGTCCAAGAATGTTGTAGATGGTTTGTGTAAGTTGTAAAAAGATTCGTGAAAGGGAATTTGTGAAAGAAAAGTTATACAATTTTAAAGGTTAGTAGGTCTACTAAATGCTTTAAGGTCATAAGCAACTACTATGACTCTTAACTGTGCAACTTGCCTGCTTTAAAGCTATTAAATTCTAGGTAAGGTCCTGGGACATACAGAGTTAGTCACGCCCCCTAGCTATGCTGGAAAGTCAAACCTTATCTGCAGTTCTGTCTGGTGTTCTAGGCTCCAAACCTAGTACATAATTAGAATAGCTTACTTACTATGATTTTCACCAAAAGTAAAAGTTGCTAAGAGTTAACAATGTAACATGTCTAGAAAAGCAGTTTTACAGGCAAGGCGTATAAGGAAAATAGAATGTGCTTTTGGTAAAACCTTATAAGAAGGCTTGGTAATGTAGACATTTTTGCTTCGTTTAGAGGGTTAAATAATGGTTTTATGTTAGATAGAATATAGTTGAAGATTTGAGCAAGTTGTAGGAGGTCTGTGAAAGACTAATCTTGTAAAAGAAATTCTGCATGTGAACATATTAGCTAAAATTAAAGGAGCATTATTAAGTTTATCCATAAATTGAACACTGGAATAAACTTACAACATGGTTTTCTTAGAGCATTGTTCTGTTCTTTAACAGAAAATTGTAAAGGGTTGAAAAAGGTTTATAAAAATCTTACCTTATGGTCAAACTGATTAAGATTGGACAGATTTATCTACAAAGTTTTATTAAGAATTGTGTTTAACATCAATAGTATACTAATGCAAAAGTAATATTTAGCCAAAATTGTGTAAAACCCTTGTAATTCTGATATGACTTAGTATATGTTACCAGTGATAATTGTAATTGTTATGTTAAATTATTGTGTGCCACAAAGATAGCAAATTTCCTTGTCAGTTGCATCTTTGGCCGTGGCTGCCCTAAGACTTTTTGTCATCCACAGACCATTATTGTCTTCTTTTGAACCTCTGTAAAAGATGGTTTTATAATCGCTGTAGGACCCTAACAGGTGCTCTTAAATCCAGGTTTCTGATAACTTTGGAGATTGTGACATTAGAATAGATGAAAAAACTTTCAGGACTCTCATGGAGAGCTGAAATATTCATGAATATCAAGCAGAATAGGAGTTAATTGCATGGCCTGAACTAATAGAAGACTGAAATAATCCTTTTGTGACTTTTTGCTGAAAACATTGCTGATCCTTTGTTTTTCAGAGCCAAGAAAACTTTTCTCCTGAGCTGTTTACAGCTTTTAACAATTAAGTAAAATATACTGCTGTAAGCAAAATTTGGAGCATGTTTGTTTCTTTCTACGTGATTTCTTTAGAATTTGGAAACTATTTGTGAGTATTCTAAAGTTATGGCAATATAGTTGTTTGCATAAGTGCAATAAGAATCTGTTTCCTTTTGCAACAGGACACAATTGGAGAAACTGATTATTTTACCAAGGCTTTGACTAGAATGGTGTGCTTTCCTTTAAGGAATCAAATTTGACTTACAGAGCCAATAAAAACCCCTTGGGAACACTTCCCTCATAGCTTGTCTACACAGTTCTTGTACAGGGTTCTTGACTTGTGGTAAGTAGAGAATGTCACTTTCTGACAGGTCCAGGAGCCTCAAGTTATCTTGGGACCTCTAGAGGAGAGGAATTCACCCAACTCATACAGGTATTTGATGGCACAAACCCATGGCTTGTCTTAAGGCTTTAAAGTCTTATCTGGGATTCCTCATGGAACAGTTTCATCAAAACCCATTTTAAAAGGAGATTATATGGCAAATAATTATTTTTACTGTATTCTATGTAAATAATCAGGCTGAGTATAATAAGACTAAAGCTTATTTTGTAAATAAGTCAGTCCTACCATGATTTGTTTTTAGTAAAAAAAAAAAAGGGAAATTAGAGAGAGAAAAATTATGTTTCAAGAACTATGGTATACCTGTTATTAGATTCTAGTCTTATCAGTTGCTTTTGAGTTTTTTTCCTCCACAATTTAGACTGACCCTGCTTATTCCTGTGAACCAACCAGTGATCTCTGGCTGCAGCTCAGAAGAAACAAGAAGGATGGGCCATCAAGCTCCAGATGATCCTCAGTGAGGAATACCATCCTCTCAATATTCAGGAGTCACCCTTCTACAGAGGACCCCTAGAATGCTCATCAGTGGGACACAACAGAGGTGAAATTCTGCCCCTGCCTCCCTTGGACCTGGCTGAATACTGCTTTCACCAACCCATGGAGCCACCCTGCCCTGACAGCTAGCAAGAGGCCAAGACTCACAGAACAACCACCACTGCCCATCTGTCAGCAGGAGGTAGCTATAAAAGACTGATCTTTGTCCATTCTCCCCAAAGAATTGGGAGTTTTGGATGAACTCTTGATGGGGGAAGTGTTTACAGTAGGTAGTCAGGTAGACATGAACAGGATAGGAGAGGCCCCCCACTCAGGAATGTCAGGAGACCATCAGGTGATGGTCAGACAGTTGTTATACTGTCTCTCTAAAATAATAATTGGTCACAGCTGATGCCAGGGAAAGGCTGTCTCCCAATAGATAGAAACACCTGAAGCTGGTGATCAGCAGCTTCTTGATAAGATCTCAGGAGTTGGGTGAGTGGGCTCAAGCATGCTACATCAAGAGGCAAAATGTTGGAGTTTAGTATATGACCTTCTTCTAGGAATACTTGACTGGTAAAGGAAGAATGCCTCAAGTGAGCCTGTGTACAACTCCAGTAAACACACTGTGCATGCAGCCCCCTCCCAAGTGCTGGCAGGCCACTGTGCATGCAGACAGCCCAAGGTAAGAATCAGGGGAGAAGTAACACAACCCTGGAAGCCTGGCAACATATAAGACACCAAGTCAAAGGTCAAACTGGGCAGTTGATCTCTCAAGTCACCTGCTTGGCCCTCTTCTAAGTGCACTTTACTTTCTTTCATTCCTGCACTAAAGCTTTTTAACAAACTTTCACTCCTGTTCAAAAAGTTCCCCCAGTTTCTCACTCTGCCTTGTGCCCCTCAGTCGAATTCTTTCTTCTGAAGAGGCAAAAACTGAAGTTGCTGCAGACCCATATGGATTTGCTGTTGCTAACATACTTTGGTGCAATGTGACTCATATGTTCCCTAGTGGTAACATCTTTAGGTCTCAGATCCTGATAGGGACCAGAAAGCTCTGGAATTCTCTGTGCAACAAAAGATTACATCAGGGACAGAACGCACTCCCAGCTGAAGAGTGACTCAATTATTAGGTTGGTGCAAACGTAATTGCAGTTTTTGCATTGTTGAAATTTGCTGTTTGATATTGGAATACATTCTTAAATAAATATGCTTATGTTGGCCGGGCACGGTGGCTCACGCCTGTAATCCCAGCATTTTGGGAGGCCAAGGCAGGTGGATCACGAGGTCAGGGGATAGAGACCATCCTGGCTAACATGGTGAAACCCCATCTGTACTAAAAATACAAAACAAAATTAGCCGGGTGTGGTGGCAGGTCCCTGTAGTCCCAGCTACTCAGGAGGCTGAGGAAGGAGAATGGCATGAACCCAGGAGGCGGAGCTTGCGGTGAGCCAAGGTCACACCATTGCACTCCAGCCTGGGCGACAGAGTGCGACTCCGTCTCAAAAAAAAAAAAAAAAAAGAGAAAAAAAATATATATGCGCTTATGTTATATATCATTTTAATGTGCATTTCTTGCTTTGCATTTTTTTTGGCTAAGGACTTGTTACTTGCTGTTTATTTTATACTTATTTTAGACTATGGAAATGGTGTTAGACAAAAAGCAAATTTGAGCGATTTTCTTATTTGAGTTCAAAATGGGTTGTAAAGCAGTGCAGACAACTCACATCATCAACAATGCATTTGGCCCAGGAGCTGCTAACAAATGTACAGTGCAGTGGTGGTTCAAGAAGTTTTGCAAAGGAGACGAGAGCCTTGAAGATGAGGAGTATAGTGGCTGGCCATTGGAAGCTGATGACAAATTGAGAGCAATTATCCAAGCTGATCCTCTTACAACTGCACTAGAAGTTGCTGACCATTCTACATTCAGCATTTGAAGCAAATTGGAAAGATGAAAAAGCTCAATAAATGGATACCTCATGAGCTGACTCAAAGTCAAAAAAATTATTATTTTAAAGTGTCATCTTCTCTTATTCTATGCAACAACAGTGAACCACTATCCAGTTGAAAAGTGAATTTTATATGACAACCAGCAATGACCACTTACCAAAGCCAAACTTGCACCAAAAAAAGGCCATGGTCACTGTTTGGTGGTCTGCTGGTCTGATCCACTACAGCTTTCTGAATCCTGGCAAAACCATTACTTCTGAGAAGAATGCTCAGCAAATTGATGAGATGCACTGAAAACTGCAACACCTGCAGCAGGCATCGGTCAACAGAAAAGGCCCAGTTTTCCATGACAATGTCCAACCACTCATTGCACAACCAACACTTCAGAAGTTGAATTAACTGGGCTTTGAAGTTTTGCCTCATCTGTCATATTCACCTGACCTCTCACCAACTGACTACCACTTCTTCAAGTATCTCGACAACTTTTTGCAGGGAACACACTTCCACAACCAGCAGGATGCAGAAAATGCTTTCCAAGAGTTTGCTGAATCCTGAAGCATGGATTTTTATGCTACAGGAATAAATAAACTTATTTCTCATTGGCAAAAATGTGTTGATTGTAATGGTTCCTATTTTTATTACTAAAGATGTGTTTGAGCCTAGTTATAATGATTTAAATAATTTAATTATTATTATATTATTAATACTATATAATTAGTCATATTCTGTATTCCAAACCCTTTCTTTGAAAACTCCTACGTTCCCTCCACGAATTGAAGAGTGGAATTGCTTTCTACTCTTCCCCTGCTAGCATGGATAATAAAGACATCTTGCTCCCTCTTATCATAACTATTATTATTTTGACTTCTTTCCACAAGCAGCAAGCAGCTGGACTCTTTTGCTGGTTATGCTTGTTAAGTGGTATGTGCAGCATTCTGCAGAATATTACTCAGACAACAAGTCCTGCACTTCCCCTAGGTTTCCTCCCAAGTTGTGGGTGAGGCCTTTTCTGAAACCCTCCTCCAACCTTTCTGAATTCTGGGGCTATAAATTCCAGGAATCTTTGTGTTGTTCAGATAGAATCTGCAGTGCCTGAAATCCAGCCTGCTGCTTACTCACATCCTCATACTCAGCTGCAGACTGCCTGACAGAAGGGCTGCCAAACTGCACTCCAGACAGACAGGTGCACAGCCAGGTAAGCCTGGGCCAGCATCACACTGCCCAGGGCAGGCATGATGTGGCTCAGGCTGGGGCTGCCTTGCCTCACTGCCTTGGGTTGGGTCTATAATGACTGGAACTGCCCATCTTCACTCCTGTTCACTTTTTATGTTGATGCTCTTTCTTCCTGCCTCTATGTCTGCAGCTCAGTCTATTTCTTCTTTGATTATCAATACAAAGCTCTTGGGGCTATCAAAGTCCTTTGGACCACCCAAGTCAACCCCTTATTTTACTGTGATACAGATGGAGGCAAGAGGGGAACAGACTTGTCCAAGATCACACAGCTTCTGCTGATATCTCCTTAGTGCTGATGAAAAAGAGTCAAACTGTAAAATATTTGAAGAGATTTATTCTGAGCCAAATGTGAGGACCATGACCCATGACACAGGTCCAGGAGGTCCTGGGAATATATTCCCAAGGTGGTTGGGTTGCAGCTTGATTTTATACATCTTAGGAGAACAGAAGCTACAGGCAGAGACACAAATCAATACATGTAAGGATTACATTGTTTTGGCCCAGAAAGGCAGGACATCTTGAAGTGGGGGCTTCCAGGTCACAGGTAGATTTAAAGATTTTCTGATTGGCAAGTGGTTGAAAGGGTTAAGCTCTGCCTAAAGAGTTGAGGTCAATAGAAAGATATGTTTGTAGTTAAGATAAGGGGAGTTGTGGGAGCCAAGGTTCTTGTTAACGTAGATGAAGCCTCCAGGTAGTAGGCATCATAGATAATAGATTGTAAATATTTTTTATCAGATCCTAAAAGGTGCCAGACTCTTAGTTAAATCTCTCTTGGATCAGGAAAAGACCTGGAAAGAGAAGGGGATTTTCTATAGGATGTAAATTTTCCTCACAAGAGACAGCTTTGCAGGGCCATTTCAAAAAATGTCAAAGAAATGCATTTTGATGTAAAATACTTCAGTTTTTTTCAGGACCTGCTATCTGTCATGTGATGCTATACTAGAGTCAGGTTAGAATTTGGTATCTTATTGCTAAAAGTCTGTTTTTTCAGCCCTAAGATCTCCATTTTACTGTTAATGCTGGTCAGTCATGCCTGAACTCAAAAGGGAGGAGGGTATAATGAGGCATGTCCAACCCTGTATTCCCATCATGGCCTGCACTGGTTTTTTAAGTTGACTTTGGAATGCCCTTTGCCAAGCAGAGGAGTGCTTTCAGTTGGTTGGGGAGCTTAGAATTTTATTTCCTGTTTACATTATTCTCTTTTCTGATTTTCAATATTTCTAACTCTTCCATGTCTCTCATTCTTTCTCCTCTAATCTTTGTTTTCTTCCTCTACCCCCCCCACCCCTTTCCTTTTCCCTTCTCTTCTCTCTTTGGACCAGTGCTGAAGGCCATTCACCTCCAAGATGGGACTAGGTTAAGGGTGTGCCCATTCAGCTTCCCCACCCCCAAATTTGGGCATCTGAATTGATAAGCATGGAAAGGGGTATCAGAGTGGGCAGTGCCAGGCTCAGGGACCATTCTAAGCTCCCAGGACCTGTGGTCAATTCTGCTGCAGCTGACCGAGCTGACTGTTTTGGGGAAAGCATAAGTGAGTGGGGTAGGGTGAACCAGAGGCCTTGGAAGCTGCTCACTCTTCCCATCCTCCCAGGCAAAAGAGGGGCTTTGCATGGGAAGGGGAAGCAGGGGAGACAGAGGAGGCCTGACTTCATCTCTGCAGGTTGTTTACCTGCAACAGTCCAGGCAGAGTTGCCTTTCCTTACAATAGGTCAGCTTTCCTGCAAACCACATTGAGGCAAGTTCAGACAAGCAGGGCTTGGTAAGAACTGTTAGAGGCCAGAAAGGGGACAGCCAGACTTGCTGAGCTAGGAACACATCTCACAGGTGCTGTTACTCTAGCCTTCCAGCAGGGGGCGTCCTGTCCCGACAAAAGGCGAGTCCTCTTTTTCCTGCTGTCCTCCCAGCCAAGGAGACTGGATTCCTCTCAACCTCAAAAGGGGGTTAATCTGAGCTCGCAGCAGAAGGAGAGGAGTTCCCCAGGGGGGGCATAACAATGTTCAGAATCTGGTGTCCTGTTTAGAAAAGGTAGACCAATCAGGAGCTGAAACCCCTTGTCTCCACGTAATGCAAGGCTGTAAATATGACCTTGCAGGAAGGAGAGAGGCGTGAGAGAGTAAGCGAGAGCAACAGCAGGCAGAGTGGAAGCAGCTGGGAGGAAAGAGGGAGGAGGTCTAGGACCTACAAAGATTGTTTTTGGAAATACAATATCAGAAGAGATATAAATCGGAAATCAAGGCTTCCTTCCCAAAGCAAAGCATTTGGTCGCCTGCATTTTGACACTGAGTACAGACTGATATTTAATAGACAGTTTCTTCACAATTCCTGAGCAGCACCCATTCACTTATAATTTATAGATACAGACCCCTAACTCGAAGGAACTGAGTTATGCAAGAGTTGCTAAGGAACAAGGGGAGATGCAGTAGGTAAGGCAGGGGTTGCTTAGTAACCAGGAGTCCCTTGGTGATGGAGTGGCCAGAGCATGTCTGGAACTGATGAGGGTCTGTAGACAGAGTCATCCCAGGCCAGAGCCTCCTGCAAGTTCACATCTGTCGGCCCCTTGGCCCAGAGCTGCCAGAGCCTGCCTCTCTTCACCTTCCTGGCACTGTCCTGTCCCACATGAAAAGCACACTGCTAAGTCCCTGAGTGCCCTGCTAACTAACCCCTTGCTGGAACCACTCCTTCCCTCCCTCTCTCAACAGGAAGCTCATCAGATTCTTCCATTAGAGTAGGGAATGGCAGGCCAATGGGAATCCCACATAGGGGAAGGCAGGAGCCTCTGGGCTAACATGAATGTGGAGCTGGGAAATTAGGATTTGGGTGAAAGAGGGTCTCCTAGACAAGCATCCCTGGCATTTTCCAGTTCATGGTGATATATCTTCATACCTGAGTCTCCCATGCCAGATCCTCTCCCTGCCTTCACATCTGCGCATAGCTACAGAGGCACACCGTTCCCTTCTGAAGGGCCTCCTGAGGGCACAGGTCTCCACACAGCAGCCTGGATGTCTGTGGCTGGTTTAACTGGCTCAGCTCCACGGACATCCCTTCAGAGAGCTTCAATCAGCACCGGCCTGCTGGAGTCATTCAGAACTGCAGTCTGCTTTCTCAGGCATGAGCCCCCCATTCTCTGTATTCCAGGCACATAGGCATCCCTGCTCTCTCCCAAACACCCTGGACATCCACACCCTCCATTCTTCCTCTCAGCCTGTTCCCCTTGACAGGAGGATCTATCCTGTTGCTGCCCCTGTCAAAATCCTCCTCAGTCTTGCAGGTCCTATCTACCTGCAACTTTCCCAGCCTGATTAGCTCACCAGCCTTATTGAGCACTCCTGTGTTTCAAGCCCTGGGCCCCAAGAGGGAGGAGTGGAGCCTGTGTTCAAGGAACTCACATGACACTCATTACTGATCCTCTGCTTCCTGGCTAGGATACTCCATGAAAGCCCTCTGTGAACTGAATGTTTAAAATCAGAAAGTTTTGCTTATTTAAAGCAAAGCCCTTTGCATAGAACAACTTTGAGAAAGTATCTGAGATGCTGGCAAATTTTCTTCTGAGAAGGGAATTGGAGGATTTAATTTTTGAATTAAGTTTTAAGCTGCTTGAATTTTAAAATTTACCATGAGCAGGTAATCTTTACTTTTAAACTTTTAAATTGTGAATTATAACACATACGTAAAAAGTATACACATACATAGGTGATATAATATATCTTCATGGACATCATGTAGGCATCACTTGCTTATCAAATACAACATTGCCAGCACGCTAGAAGCTCTTTAGTTTGCCCCTTCTTTTTTTTTTTTTTTTTTTTTTTTTTGAGACGGAGTCTCCCTCTGTCACCCAGGATGGAGTGCAGTGGTGCAATCTTGGCTCACTGCAACCTCCAACTCCTGGGTTCAAGCGACTCTCCTGCCTCAGTCTCCCAAGTAGCTGGGACTATAGGCATGCGCCACCACACCTGGCTAATTTTTGTATTTTTAGTAGAGATGAGGTTTCACCATGTTGGCTAGGCTGGTCTCCATCTCCTGACCTCAAGTGATCCCCCTGCCTTGGCCTCCAAAGTGCTGGGATTACAGGCATGAGCCACCGTGCCTAGCCTGTTTGCACCTTCTTAATCATAACTGCCTCCCCACAGCTCTACTGCGGAAATACCCACTCTCCTCACTTTTGTGGTGATCACTGCCCTGCATTTCTCTGTATTTTTGTCACCTGTTTGCCTTCTTAAGCAATATAGAATTGTTTTACCTGTTGTTGAAACTTGTGGACTCAAATAATATGTATTCTTTTGTGTCTGACTTCTTTTACTCAACAGTATATTTTTTAAGATTCCTTTATGTTGTTCAGTGTGGCTTCAGCTCATTCATTTTCATTATTGTATAGTATTCCATTATAGAAATGCAACACAGTTTGTTTATCCATTCCACCGTTAATAGGCATATAGACTTTGATATGGTTTAGGTCTGTGTCCCTGCCCAAATCTCATGTCGAATTGTAATCCCCAATGTTGGAGGAGGGGGCCTAGTGGAAGGTGATTGGATCATGGGGGCAGATTTCCCCCTTGCTGCTCTTGTGATAGTGAGTGAGTTCTCATGAGATCTGGTTGTTTGGAAGTGTGTAGCACCTCCCCCTTTGCTCTCACTTCCTCCTGCTCCAGCTGTGTAAGTTCTGCCTGCTTCATTTCACCTTCTGCCTTAATTGTAAGTTTCCTGAGGCCTTCCCAGCCATGCTTCCTGTACAGCCTGTGGAATTGTGAGTCAATTAAACCTCTTTTCTTTATAAATTACCCAGTCTCAGGTAGTTCTTTTTTTTTTTGAGACAGGGTCTTGCTCTCTCTCCCAGGCTGGAGTACGGTGGTGCAATCTCAGCCTACCACAGCCTTGACCTCCTGGGCTCAAGCAATCGTCCCATCTTAGTCTCCCGAGTAGCTGTGACTACAGGCATGCACCACCACACCCAGCTAATTTTTATAGAGACATGGTTTCACCTTGTTGCCCAGGCTGGTCTCAAACTCCTGAGCTCAAGGGATCTGCCCACCTTGGCCTTCCAAAGTACTGGGATTACAGGTGTGAGCTACCGTGCCTGGCCTCAGTTAGTTCTTTATAGCAGTGTGAAAACAAACTAATACAGACTTGTTTCCAGTTTGGAACATTCTAAGCAGGCTTCTCTGAACCTGTGTGTACAGTCTCTTGGTGCACACATGACCTCCTGTCTGCAGGATGCAAGTTCCCTCTACAGAGTCAGAGATCTTTATTTTCAACTTCTCCGTATAATGCCAAATCATTTCCCAAAGTGATTGTACTTACCCTCTACCCAGCAGTGAATGAGAGTTTCTGTTGATTTTGCTTTTTCAACTAGAAGTGAGAGGTGACAATATGCTAGCAGCCCTTGCTCACTCTTGGTGCCTCCTCGTCCTCCACATCCACTCTGGCTGCACTTGAGGAGCCCTTCAGCCCACCACTGCACTGTGGGGGCCCCTCTCTGGGGCTGGCCAAGGCCGAAGCCAGCTCCCTCTGCTCGCCAGGAGGTGTGGAGGGAGAGGCGCCGGCAGGAGCCCACACTGTACAGGGCACTCACCGGCCAGCAGGGGCTCCGTGGGCCGGCCGGTGCCAGCTGGGCCTGACTGGGGGATGAGCTCCCTCTGGGCTGCTGGAGTGCCTGGGCTAGGTGCCGCAAAGTCCTGCAGTGTGTGCCATTGAGAGGTGAAGCCGGCTGGGCTTCTGGGTCCGGTGGGGACCTGGAGAACTTTTCTGTCTAGCTAAAGGTTTGTAAATGCACCCATCAGCACTCTGTGTCTAGCTAAAGGTTTGTAAATGCACCAATCAGCAATCTGTGTCTAGCCAATCTGGTGGGGACTTGGAGAACTTTTGTGTCTAGCTAAAGGATTGTAAATGCACCAATCAGCACTCTGTGTCTAGCTAAAGGTTTGTAAATGCACCAATCAGCACTCTGTCAAAACGGACCAATCAGCTCTCTGTAAAACAGACCAATCAGCTCTCTGTAAAATGGACCAATCAGCTCTCCATAAAATGGACCAATCAGCAGGATGTGGGTGTGGCCAGTTAAGGGAATAAAAGCAGGCTGCCTGAGCCGGCAGCAGCAACCTGCTCTGGTTCCCTTCCACGCTGTGGAAGCTTTGTTCTTTTGGTCTTCATGATAAATCTTGCTGCTGCTCACTCGTTGGGTCCGTGCCACCTTTAAGAGCTGTAACACTCACCGCGAAGGTCTGCAACTTCACTCCTGGGGCCAGCAAGACCACGAATGCACCGAGAGGAATGAACAACTCTGGACACACCATCTTTAAGAACCGTAATACTCACCGCAAGGGTCTGCAACTTCATTCTTGAAGTCAGTGAGGCCAAGAACCCATCAATTCCGTACACATTTTGGTGACTTTGAAGAGACTGTCACCTATCACCAAGTGGTGAGACTATTGCCAAGCAGTGAGACTATTGCCAAGTGGTGAGACCATCACCAAGCGGTGAGACTATCACCTATCGCCAAGTGGTGAGTACCATCAGATCCCTTTCATTTGCTATTCTGTCCTATTTTTCCTTAGAATTCGGTGGCTAAATTCTGGGCACCTGTCGGCCAGTTAAAAGTGACTAGCGCAGCCGCTGGACTAAAAACGTGGGTGTCAGGCTTTCTGGGAAAGGGATCTCTAACAACCCCTGGCTCTGTGGAGTTGGGAATGTTGTTTTGCCTGGAACCAGCTTCCGCTTTTCCTGTACTTCTGGGCTGAGCTGAGGGTCAACAGAGAGGAAAGCCATTCAGCTCCGGAGTCCCCACAACAAGTTGGTTGACCCTGCGGCCATGAGCGGAACTCTCAAAGGCATGTTGCCCAAGTGAGACTCACCTATCTATCCTATCTATCCTGACCCTTGCTCGCTGGGTCCTAATGCCTGCCAGACAAACTTTCTCTCTCCTCTCTTCTCCTAGGCTAGTCCCACTTCTAAAAAACCACTCCCTGTCTCTGGTGCTTTTCTAATTTCTCTTATAAGAATGATTTCTAGTAAAAATTTCAGGACTCTGTTACCTTCTTTAGGCACCTGGGCTCACCAATCAGAAAGACATAATTTTTGCCCAAAGCCCAGTTGTAGGGGGAACTATCTGGAATTTTAGAATCCCTCCTCAGATAAGCAGGTCTAACAAAAGCTATTCCTGAAGCTAGGATAGGGGGAGCCTCAGAAATTGTATCCTTCCTATTCATATAAGTGAGGACAAAAGGTGTCACTTTTCCAACCCTGGAGACCCCTTCCCTCCCTCAGGTTACTCTTCTTCATTTTTGGGGCATAACATCTTTATAGGACACGGGTAAGTTCCCAATACTAACAGGAGAATGCTTAGGACTCTAACAGGTTTTCGAGAATGCGTCGGTAAGGGCCACTAAATCCGATTTTTCTCGGTCCTCCTCATGGTCTAGGAGGACAAGCAAGGGTGCAGCACTCTATGTCTAGCTAATCAGGTGGGGACTTGGAGAACTTTTGTGTCTAGCGAAAGGATTGTAAATGCACCAATCAGCACTCTGTGTCTAGCTAAAGGTTTGTAAACACAGCAATCAGCACTCTGTCAAAATGGACCAATCAGCTCTCTATAAAACAGACCAATCAGCTCTCTGTAAAATGGACCAATCAGCAGGATGTGGACAGGGCCAGATAAGGGAATAAAAGCAGGCCACCCGAGCCAGCAGCAGCAACCTGCTTGAGTCCCCTTCCACACTGTGGAAGTTTTGTTCTTTCGCTCTTTGCAATAAATCTTGATTCACTGCTGCTCACTCTTTGGGTCCGCGCTGCCTTTAAGAGCTGTAACACTCACCACGAAGGTCTGCAACTTCACTCCTGAGGCCAGTGAGACCACAAACCCTCCAGAAGGAATGAACAACTCCAGACGCACTGCCTTTAAGAGCTGTAACACTCACTGCGAAGGTCTGCAGCTTCACTCCTGAAGCCAGCAAGACCACTAACCCACCAGGAGGAATGAACAACTCCGGACGGGAGGAATGAACAACTCCGGATGGGAGGAATGAACAACTCCGGACACACCATCTTTAAGAACTGTAACACTCATTGCGAGGGTCCGTGGCTTCATTCTTGAAGTCAGCGAGACCAAGAACCCACCAATTCCAGACACAGAAGCAGTTAATTAATAACTGGTATAATTATTTGTTGGTGCCTGGCATCTCATTTAACTGGGAAGCTGCATGGTTGGGGTCCAGGGCTGAGTCTGTCGTTTACTAAGGTGTCCCCGCCTCTACTGCCCAGTGCTTGACACATTGCCAGTGCTCAATGTTTGCTATGCAATGGATGGAAAAATCACCCTTGTCTAATGAATGTTGAGTCTCACATTTTAATTTGTGAATAATTTCCCCAGTTTTATAGCTTAGGAGTTTTCATGGATTGCTTTCCTGACCTGAGGTTCACATGTTTGAAATTTACCCTAACCAGCCTGACTCTCTGCCACTTTCTGTTGCTGGCCTTGTCTGTCTGGAGGAAGGAGGAGGGTAGATTACCTTCATGCTCACTGAGGCATCAGTGATAAGTGAAATTGATTCTTTCCCCCAGGCCTGATTCAGCAGGAAGCATCTCAGACACCAACCACTATGCTGTCAGCAGTTGCCCGGGGCTACCAGGGCTGGTTTCATCCCTGTGCTAGGCTTTCTGTGAGGATGAGCAGCACCGGGATAGACAGGAAGGGCGTCCTGGCTAACCGGGTAGCCGTGGTCACGGGGTCCACCAGTGGGTGAGTGCTGGATTGCCCATGGGTCCTGGCCCCTCACAGGGTCCTTGTGGCTTCCACAAGGACTCAGGGTTTTAAAGCAAGACCCAGCCTTATTTGCTGATTTCCAGAGCTGGGTAGAGGAAGGACAGTGGAGAGAGGCTGAGGCTGACTTTTGCCCTCCATCTCTGCATTCAGGATCGGCTTTGCCATCGCCCGACGTCTGGCCCGGGACGGGGCCCACGTGGTCATCAGCAGCCGGAAGCAGCAGAACGTGGACCGGGCCATGGCCAAGCTGCAGGGGGAGGGGCTGAGTGTGGCGGGCATTGTGTGCCACGTGGGGAAGGCTGAGGACCGGGAGCAGCTGGTGGCCAAGGTGAGGGGGCAGGCGGTGGAAGGACACAGAGAGGGGAACATGCAGAACCTTTCCTTCACTGCTTGGCCCTTGTGGGGTGGGTCTAGAATATGTCCTGAGACCATGACTGCACCCAGGCTGCCCAAGCTAACCTCGCTACCCAGAAGGTCCCTCAGGAAAGTGACCTGTTCGTGAGAGGACCCTCACCCCACCCCCAGGCCCGGGGAGAATCACTGTGGAGGAGGAGTCTGAAGGGGTGAGGGAGGTCCCCAGAGGGACTCCTGGAGCAGACCTTCCTCTCTCAGTGCCTGGCCCCAGGAGCCTGCCCTTGGGACACCTAGGTCATTTTCCTTTAGGAGCTCTGCAAGCTTTGCCTGAAGGCCTTATGACCTGGGCTGCCCTGGGAGGGATAGTCCTCCTCAGGCCATCTCCACACTCATCCAATCTCCTCTCCGCAGGCCCTGGAGCACTGTGGGGGCGTCGACTTCCTGGTGTGCAGCGCAGGGGTCAACCCTCTGGTAGGGAGCACTCTGGGGACCAGTGAGCAGATCTGGGACAAGGTGAGAGGCCTCCCCTGGGGAGGCGGCTGAGGGCCCGATTCCAGCTCTGCACTGGGCTCCAGCATGCCTGTGCCCACCAAGACTCTGTTTCCCTCCAGAGGTTATGGGAGAAGCAGGCCCTGGGTGGTAGTCCTGCCTGGCCAGCTGTCTCCCAAAATGTGCCCGGATGCTACTTTCTGGCTTGTTGGTTCTTAAATCTGGCCCCCACACTTTCTGCTTTGTTTTCTCTTCTCATCACTTTTTCATTTAATCATTCAGCAGGTATTTATTGCTGTCTGCCAGGCACCACTATTCCAGGCTCTAGGGATACAGCTGTGAATGGTTAGTCAGAGTCTCTCTGTAAGAGTCAAACATTTTTGTATGGTACACCCTTTTGTAGGGGAAGATACGGATACTGTGTTTTTCTTTGGTGACCTGTGCCTGTAGCGGAGACTGTCTCTCCTAGAAGGGGGCTCCTCACTGAGTCCCACACAAACTTGCCGACAGGACCAGATCCAGCCATCAGCATTCCGGGGGCTTAGACATCCCAGCCTGCTGTAAGTCCATTCAAGGATTCTGCTACCTTGTCCACAAGGGACCGGGAGAGACCTTGTAAAATGCCTTGAAGCTCATCTTGGGCCTAGTTGTTCCCCAGTGACTTCTGTTCCCTTCACTCTCATGTTTTGTTTTCTGTTCTCTCTGCCAGAATGCGTCGTGATGAATCTCATTCTTTCTGCTATTGTGAGCATTCACCACTCTGCCCTAAGCACTGGGTCAAAGTGTTTCCTGCCTTCTGGCCTTAGAGTGTTCTGCCTTCCCTAGATCCTGCACTCTCACTTGCCAACATCATCTTCAGGCTGGCCCCTCCCTTCTATCTGCCCTTGGCTGGGTGCCCTTGGCTACATCCTCAGAGATGATCTGAAATTTGAGCTCCCTGCAGCCCCTGCTGAGCAGCTTCCCCAGGCTCTTTAGCTATGTTGTTAATGCCTCCAAAGGATCATTTGTGATTTTATAGCTGGGATTTTATTGCTGACAGTCTCCTAACCCTCCTGAATCATTTTGCTGTTTAGTGTCTCAGTTCACAGGATCATGACTCTTTTTCTCGAAACTGTTGCAGTCCTCCCTCCTGAAGCTGAGGGCAGATGCCAACAATCTGACCTTACTTTCTCTGATTCTCCCCTGTTCTCCAAGGACTTGGCCTTCAGTGAGCAATTCTGTACCACTGGACAGAAATCATTGATGACTCGTCCCCGATCACATCTGCCATCACCTCAGAGGTGAAATTGTCACAAAATGAGTTTAGAATTTACCAGATGCTCTGCTTTCAACTAAATGTGTTTTCCGTAGGTGTCCTGTAAGGAGAATTCCTTACCACTCATCTTATTCTTGAGCCAGTTTTGAGGCCATCTCCAGGCAGACCCCCCTTCTTTCCAGCAGGTTGGGAAACCTCTGATCTGTTAAACTACCAAAACCACATCACCTCCATCCTTCTCCAGCGACTCCAGCGTGCGCCCTCTTTCAGGCTCATGGATAGTTCTCTGCTCAGAACTACTTGGCACACTGAGCTACTCTCTCTTACTTTCTAATGGGGCAGTTTTCTTCATCAAGGGAGGGAGTCTCACCTTTTCTTTGGCTTGGTTTTTGTTCCTGAGTCCAGGAGGGGTCTTACCTCAGCCCCTCACTCAGCCTGATGCACATGGAGTATTGGACAGATATCCTGTGGGCTGGTTGGGGTCTGTTTTGACCAGGAAACCCTTACAGCTAACCTAATCCTCAATTCCTTCTTATTAGGGACCTCAGGGTGGTACCCACTTCTGACATCTGGACCACTTCTTGCAGTCATTGGGGGTCATCCCCCACACTGGTAACCTGTCATCAAATGGGCCACAGCAACATTCAGCTTAAGTATTTCTCCTTCCCACATCCAAGGGATTGAGTGGGAGTGAGATTGGGGGGTGGAAAAAACAGTGAACAGTCCTGGTGAGTTGCAGATGTGGTCTCATTCCCTAGAGATGCAGGATGCAGCTGACCTGAATCAGGACAGATCCCTGCAGGAGGGACTCCTGGTGCCATGTCAGTCCCACCTGGCACTGCCCTAGCTCCCAGGCTCCGCCTCTGCATCTTTCCTTGCTACTTCCTCTTTCACTTCTCCCCCGTTCCCAGACCCACCAGACAGAGCTTCCAGAGTGTCAGGACATGTGTGACTTAGCCCAGATTCAGACTTTAGTCACAAGCAGGATCAGCATAGACATCTAGCTCCCAGCATGGCAATTCTCTGTTGTGTCTCCCTGTTTGTATTGGCTGCAGGAAAGCTCAGAGCCAAGTCTGCGATAAGCTGGTGTGTGTAGGCCCTTACAGCCTGCATTTTTATGACCAAATAATAGAATAAATGCTCAGTCCTTATCACATGCTGTGAACTGTAGGCACCAACCTCACTCTTGCTTTTTCTTATTTTTCTACACTGATTTTTCCTTTTCTCCATTTCTTCACACATAGTACCTATTTGATTTATTTTATGCTGTTGCATTGTGAGTATGCCTTAAATTCTATGGGGACAAGGTAAGAGGACAAGCAAATGAAAGCTCAGAGAGACAAAAAAGGCTCTTCCAGAAATCTCCCTTGCTTCTAGCACCTGCTTCCCCTCCATCAGGCTGTCTTCAGTCTTTCTCCAGAGGCCTCTGCTTACAGTGTGTTGTTGTTTTCTTTTTAAGAGACAGGGTCTCACTCTGTCACCCAGGCTGGAGTGCAGTGGCATGATCATGGCACACTGCAGCTTCAAACTCCTGGGCTTAAGGGATCCTCCTGCCTCAGCCTCCTGAGTAGCTAGGATTATAGGTGTGCACCACCACACCAGGCCAATTATTTAAAAATCTTGTAGAGACAAGGTCTCACTATGTTGCTCAGGCTGGTCTTGAACTTTTGGCCTTGAGTAATCCTCCCACCTTGGCCTCCTAAAGTGCTGAGATTACAGGCATGACCCACTGCCCCCAGTCCCCATTTTCTTTAAAAGGCCTGAACATTTCCTTCCTCGTGTCAGTCCTGAACAATTCACATTTTCAGGGCTCTGCTCACAGGCCTGTGACTTAGCCTGCCTGCCTATGAAACCATTAGCAAATTGGAAATACCTCTTGCACCAGTCAGAAGGGGGATTGGTTTCTCTTATATGCACATACATTGGGTCTACTGCACAAATTACAGGGCTCCAAGTGTCTTATGAGAGCAGGACTTGGGCTGACCATGTCTCTCTGCCCTCACCCATGCTCTGCTCTGATTTCAGATCCTAAGTGTGAACGTGAAGTCCCCAGCCCTGCTGCTGAGCCAGTTGCTGCCCTACATGGAGAACAGGTATGGCAGGGCGGGGGTGGGGACCAGTCGGAGTTGGGGACCTGAGGTGGGCACAGAAATACAGTCGGTAGCACAGCCAGTAGTGGGTAGAGGACAGAAGAGGTCTGGGATCTCCACATCCCTCATCTTCTTGTCCTGCCTCCCCATCTGTGTGGCTGCCATTCCCAATTCCAGTGGCTGCAGGATGAGAGTAGTATTCCAGGGGCCCAGGCATAGCCTCCTTGGCCTTGACATCAGCAGGTTTGGGACAAGGCTATGCTTTAACTCCTTGACCTTGTGGGCTGGTCATTGTCACCTTACCTGCTCTCTGTTCTTACCAACTTAAAACCAATGACAGGGTTAGCCCCATTCCTCTCCATAGGAAAAAGCCTGTCCCAGACCTCTCCTCATGCCTGCGCTTGGTCTCCAGGGACCCTGCCTGTGTTCCAGGTCCTGCAGATCTGACTGTACCCCTCACAGACACACCCTTAGGAACTGGCCAGGGGCTGTCTTCAGTAGAAGGAAAGTTCCTGACTGTCACTTCTGGTCTCCCTTACCCCATCTGCTCCTTAGAGGTTGCTCATTGATAGGCACTCACCATCAGCCTTGGGTGCCTCTTCACAAAGCCCACCCTGCCCTCTCCTTCAAGCACCTGGCAAGAGAGGAAGCAGAAGATAAGGGTTCTGAGCATGGACATCGTATTTATGAGAAATAGGCATGGAATCCTAGCTCTGCCGTGTATTGGCTGGTACTAAACCTTTCTGAGCCTCAGTTTTCTGAACTCTGAGATGGGGACAGTAATAGGACCTGTGTTGCTTCTGTGAGGGTTGCATCATTTAATGAACTCATGATAGTGTCACCATCAGTGGTAAGCTCTTAGCTTCAGCTTCTCTTATGTTTGTCTTGTCTCAGGAGGGGTGCTGTCATCCTGGTCTCTTCCATTGCAGCTTATAATCCAGTAGTGGTAAGTGCTTGGTCCTTGTGCTCCTGAGTGGTATAGGGTGAGGGGCAACTTTGTTCTTTTCCTCAGAGCCTTACAGACAAAGTGCCTGGGACAGACCCCCACCATCCTCCTGCTGCCCTGGGCTGAGCTTGTCTCCATGTGGGTGGGAGGGCTGCTGGGCCTGTGAGATCCCTGTAGGTGAGAAATCCAACTGATGCTTTCCCCCACTCTCCCATATCCTAATCACTCTGTCAATTCCCTTCCCAGGCGCTGGGTGTCTACAATGTCAGCAAGACAGCGCTGCTGGGTCTCACTAGAACACTGGCATTGGAGCTGGCCCCCAAGGACATCCGGGTAAACTGCGTGGTTCCAGGAATTATCAAAACTGACTTCAGCAAAGTGGTGAGGATTGGGTGTGTCTTCCATCTCCCAGTCTGGCTCAGTGGGAACCCTTCCCAGTGAATAAGGGATCAAGGGGTGACTGAATCCTTAGGTCAGCATGCCTATGACTGAGGTCCTCATTGTTCTCTGAACTCAGCCATGGTGCAGTCCATCCATCCTGAAAAGATGCTCCTTCTTTTGAGAAGGGCAAAGCTGCCCTAGGTGTTCTGCCTGGTGGCCTTCCCGGGGCCCTGCCCATCTTGTTTTAGTAGCACTGACTCCTTCATTTCTTCCCTTTGCCCAGTTTCATGGGAATGAGTCTCTCTGGAAGAACTTCAAGGAACATCATCAGCTGCAGAGGCAAGTGGGGTTTGGAGATTTGGTGGTCCATGTGTGGCTAGGCAGGGGCAGTTGAGTCTATTGCAAGAGCAGACCCCTCCCTGTCATCTGGCCATTGTTTTTGCTGAAATCTGGAGTCCACATGGCCCTGGAGGGTGCAAGTAGCCCTGCTGCATCCACCTTGTTCCCCATGGAGCCCACTCCCACCTGTCATCCGTGAGCCCCAGAGCAGCAGAATCAGAGTACAAGATGCTTGACACTGTGTCCTTCTTCCATCCAGGATTGGGGAGTCAGAGGACTGTGCAGGAATCGTGTCCTTCCTGTGCTCTCCAGATGCCAGCTACGTCAACGGGGAGAACATTGCGGTGGCAGGCTACTCCACTCGGCTCTGAGAGGAGTGGGGGCGGCTGCGTAGCTGTGGTCCCAGGCCCAGGAGCCTGAGGGGGTGTCTAGGTGATCATTTGGATCTGGAGGCAGAGTCTGCCATTCTGCCAGACTAGCAATTTGGGGGCTTACTCATGCTAGGCTTGAGGAAGAAGAAAAACGCTTCGGCATTCTCCTTAGGACTTATCTGCTTGTAGATTTGGCTGATCCAATTAACATGTGGGGTTCTTGGTGTGGGTCTGGGGAGCTGAAGGATTTTATGGAGCTGGTGCTTTGGAGGAATCTTAAGGGAAAGGAGTAGAAGCTCAGGCCTTTGAAGGATTTCAGCTCCTCCTCTCTGTAATTTGTGCTTTAAGCATTTTTTTTCCTAAAATAAACTCAAATTTATCCTCAAGTCTGGAAGCATCTGTCAAGGGTAGAGCCCAGGGCAGCATGGTGGGAAGAGGCCTCTACCGCCAGCTGCCCTGAGCTCGTCGCAGACACACAGAGGCGGGAGTGAGTGTGCTGCCTTGCAGAAGGCTTTGTGTGTGCTCCATTATCTGAACTGGGCCTGCTGGGGGCTCAGCAAGGTGGTGGTGGGTGACAGTGGAAAGATTCTGGGGTTCTCCCAGGGGTCCTCCAGGCTAATACTTCTTAATGTTTTCTGGGCCACACAGGCCTTTGAGAACCCAGAGAAAACAGTTATACCGAATCTTGTGCATAATTCCAGTTAGAGGAGAGTAGTCAGAGCTGAAGTTCCTCTTGGGGTGAACACATGGCTTTCTCAGAAAAGGCCCTGTGTATTGTCCTGAGTCATATTCGGGGGCACCGCCCTCTGTGTATGCATACTGAGGCTCAGCACAGTGGAGGGGGAACAGTGGTCCTCGAGCCATCCGTGGCCCTGAGCACCACTCTTGCCACCCATAAATGTTGTCCTGAACCAGTCCAGAGGGAGGAACTGAGACAAGGCTTCCAAGCTGACCCCCGGCCTTGGTCTCATGGAAGCCCTTCAGCAACACCTCCTCTCCACACCAGCCGGGGACGGGTCCTTGTGGTGTGAATGGTTCAATTACAAAAGCATTTGTGCATCTTACTACAAGCTATGCATTGTGCCAGGCACCCTGGAGAACACAAACGTAAATAAGACCAAACCTCCCTCCAGTTCCTTCAGTGTGGTGGGAAAACAGAAGGTAGAATAGTCATCAGAAAATGAGGCAGAACATGTTTATTCATTTGATACATTTATTGACTATCATTCTGTGCCAGGCACTGTTCTAGGAGCTTAGGGTATAGCAATGAACAAAACAAAATTTGCTGCCCTATGAGCTCACATGCTAGTCAGGAGAAACTACAATAAATAACAAACTATATTATATATAGTGTTACTAGGTACAGAATAAAAAAGATAAGGAGTAGGGCAGAGGAGTTGAGGGTGTGGGGGTTGAGGGCAAGCCAGGGTAGGCACATCATATGCAAAGCATCACAGGACCGTGGAGGACCATGGCTTCCAGTGAGGCTGGTGGAGGTGCCATTGGAGCTGAGACCTACTCATTAAACATACGAACAAATTAGGTTGCAGGAATGCTGTCTTTCAGTGGGAAGGCCAGGATCTGAACAGGTGGGACGGTTAATGGTGAAGGGATAAATGGACCTCTGGAATCCTCAAGACATGGGAAGTAATATTATAGTAATGGACAAGACCAGAGTCCGGATGTGTTTTTGGCCCTCCAGATCCACTCCCCACCCTTCTCTGCCCTGCGTGGTGCCAGGCTGACCTCTGTACTGTATCATGGAGGCTCCCTTGCCCTCAGGCTTCCACTCAGGGTTAGAACTGGGGAGGGCACGTGTTTCCCTGGCCCCCTCCCTGAAGGCAGTGTCTGTGTCCACCTATGACTATGGCTCCTGTGAGGCCACCCCCACCCCCTAATCACCAACTGGCTCCCTGCTTGGTCCCTTCAGGCTAGGAATGATTGTTGCTGGTTCCTGGTGCTTCACTACCCTTTGCTGGTTCCTTTAATCTTGCCCACCTATTATTCCTTCATTTCATTCTCTTTAACTCCTTTGAATGTGGCCTGACAAGGAAGCCACAGCCAGGTCAGGGTGGGGCAACCCTGATAGGTTTAACTATTGAAATCTTTCTAACTACCCCCAGCCAGACTGCCCTGGCCTCTTCCTTGGGTTCCTCTGGGCATTCCTATGACTCAGCAGCCAAAGGGTGAAGGGGTGACACAGCAGACTTGCCTCCTTTGTGGCCCAGGCCCTGCAGTAGAGAAAGAGCAAATGCAAGCAGATCTCTAGAGGTGCCAGGGACCTGCCTGAGATCCCCTGGGCATCACCTCCCTCCTCCTGGCCTTCTACAGCCAGGCTCCCGCTCCTTTCCAGGAACTCCATGGAAAGGAAGAGGAACAGTCATTTGGAGGTGAGCGGTGATTTCTCACTGGATCAGAAACCACTTTTTACAGCTCTCCAATGTCCCTACTTCCAAAACTATTTCTGGATGTTGAGGGGGGAGGGTCTTCTGGCTAAGCAGTGCCTGGCCCTGCCCGCTGCTCCTTCTCTTCCCACTAAGTTCTTTCTTTCCTCCTTCCTCATGGAATTGGGCCACCTCCAGCTCCTGTGCTGGGCCTCCCTAAATCCAGCTTTCCCTGCCTGGACATCTGTGCCATATCCAGGCTGCCCACTCTGGAAGGTGGGCACTACCATGCATCAGCCTCAGGCCACCCATCTCCATGGGCAGCTGAAGGAATGCATTCTTATGGAAGCACACCCCTCAGCCTGGGTTCTCCAGAAAGCAGAGCCAGATGTCAAGGCTTCTGTGGCTTCTAGAGGAAGACAGGAAGAGCCAGAATTCAAATGTGGTCTTCATTCTGTAGCCCTCCATGAGTCTTGCTGTGAGTGGCATCGTCACTGCTTGGAGTAAGTCCCCTGGTGGAGTCCTTGCCCCAAACCTGCCCTGACTGGGAAGTAAGATTGAGAGCCTCAGTTTCTGAGAAATGGCGGTCCCCCAAAATCCTTCCTGACTTCAAGGTGTGTGATTCTCATCTAATATTATTTGGTTGACAGCCCTCCCTCATTGAGCAAATGAGTGTGAATCCCTCCTATGGCAGTGTGCGGTGGGCATCCCAGGTTCCCAAGGGAGATTTGAACCAGCTACTGGGCTAGGTGCAACTTAGAAAGAATCAGGGCAGAACAGAAGAGTGTCTGAGTTACCCAGAGCCCCATACAGTTTCCAGTGGGTGAATTTATAGTGGAATCTGGCAACATAGACACATGGTTTTTCTAGTCAAACTCAGCAACTCCGGATTGAGGATGGAGGAAAATGGATAACCAGGTCTTCCTGGGTTTGGGACATGTCCAGGCCACAGTTCGGTGCCAGGATGTCACCTGACGTGGCCCAGTGGAGGGATCCCAGTACGGGGGATGGTGGGGATCCAAATTCTTCAGTGACCCAAAAGCATAAGGTCTCAGCACTGAGGCTTCAGTCAGTGTGGGGAAGGTTCTACGACCTGGATGAGCTGGGGAGACAGAGCAAGGTGTAGTAGGAGATGCAGCAGGCAATGGGAGGCCAAATTCTCCAGGTGAGAAGCCCAGGCCCAGAGAGGTGACTCACTCAAAGGTTCTGCAGCTCTGGAACAGCCAAGGCAGTGAATACGGCCCTGCCACTCTAGCTTCAGCACCATGACCTTCTCCTCCACTTTCAGGGGCTGAGTGCAGTGAAAGTAACCAGGTAAGATGGGACAATGTAGGCTTGCAGGAGAGACACTGAGAGTGGAGAGATTGGCTGCAGAGAGGCTGGTGGAACCGCAGTTCGAAAGCAGGGCAGGGGATTGATCCCTGTCCTCCCTGCAATGAGAGTAGGGAAAGCTTTGACTTCCTAGGTAAGAGCAGAGAGATGTCACCAAGACAGAAAGCCCCATTTCTGTACACAGTGGGGAGAACAGGACTTTGCACACAGCCAAGCAATGCTCAAAGGGGGGATTTGGAGTCCTGGTGACATGTGTTTTTGTGTGTGTGCAAGTGTGTGTGTGTCATGTGTGTGTGTGGTACAGTAGGGCTGACCTTAGCAAGGGGAAGGCGTTGGAGAAAGTGCAGATGAGGATGTGGGAGGTGTGGAGGGGGATTTGCACTTGATTTATGGCTCTTGCCTCTTCCTTTGTTGAAATACTCATCCTGGGTCCAAGCTGAGCCAAGCCTTGCGGAGTGAGGAGTGGGGGACAGACAGAAGGGAAGGCCTTTGTGCTCTGACTCAGCTCCTCCACCCTGCCATGCTCCTTGGGCTGTCCAGTGCCTCACAGCCCCCTAAGTGGACAGAGTGCAGTGTCTCGTGGCCTAACTGGGTAGGGTGAGGACAAGGGCTGGGACTGGTTGAGTCTCCCATCTCCTTCTCCCATAGTCTTTCTCAGGCCAAGTTTCCAGCACAGGGGCTATGGGTTGTGCATAACCATGCACATGTGCTTCCTTGGGATAAATCACCTCAGTATTTATTTGGTTTCCAGTAGCCTTGGGCGGTACTGAGACTATTACCTGGGCTAATCAATGAGAAACAACAAACAAAACAACAGCCATAGGGTTTCTGCCGGCTTGGAAGTGTCTGGGAGCTGGGCAGGAGGAAGAAATGGAACCCTGGAAGTGATGGGGCAGTGAGTGGGACTGATGAGTTTACAGCTCTTCAGGTGTGGGCAGAGCGCCTTAGGATGGGTCAGACTCTGGGGGCTGGAGTCAGAATAGCAGACTCTCCACTATGGGAGCACTTTGTTGCCTACTTGTACATTTCAGGTTAATTCCCTTATCTCTGATCTCTTAAGAGAAAAGAGAAAAAGTCCCAGGGCTATGGGGGAATTCTAGAGTGTGCAGGATGGCCACAGATAAGCATTCTGGTAAACTGGGGTGATGGCATTCCAGCCTGAGGGTTCTCTGTCTGGTGACTCCCCAGGCAACCCATGCTTGTTTGGATATTATCCCCACCCCTTGGAATAAAAAGTGGTACAAGCTGCAACCCCTGTTTTTGCTTTTTCCAGACCACTGTGTGGTTGGGGGAGATCCTCTTGTCCACTGCAATGTAGCACTCACCTCGGCACTGCGTATCTCCAGCTGTCCCTGCCCATGTTCCGCTTGTGAGGCTGGGCTCGCCCAGCAGGAGGGAGGTCAGGGCAGTGCCAGAGTGAGGAACCCAGTGCTAAATTGTATCAGAAGGTGTGGTCCCAGGGTGGCTTGAGACAGTGTGGCTGTAGCTGAAGAGTAGAACGTGAGGTTTTACGGAGGCTTGGTTCTGTGTGGTCAGGTGAGAACAGAAATGGGTGCATGCCTGAGGCAGTGTGTATTCACTGTTGACTCCAGCAGCAAACATCCTGGATTAGATTTTACCAAGAAGATGAGTTGTCCGTCCAAAGCAAATGGTCCCTTTGGTCAATTATATAGTGGGGGTAAGCACTGGCTGACTGACAAAGTGAAAGAGTGACAGGAGTAGGATGGAAATGGAGGAAAGGAGTGATCACAGGTCAAGGTTCAGAATGAAGGCCACAAGCCACAGTATGCCTCATGCTTCCTCGTGTGTAGGGCTGGGAGAGTGTGTTGAGGCAGGTGGAGGAACCTGAAGGAGCGGTGCAGGCCATGACTATTTTGTGTGCCCTGGATGGCTGGACTCAAGTTTAGAGTTTCTGTCCCTTTAGCCCTTGAAGGCTAAAAGATGCTGTCCCCTATGCAGGCAGCATTCTTATGAATCCTAGTGAGTAAAATGACTCCCCTTGCTGATCATTTTATCTGTGACTTTTGATGTTTTCTAATTGCTACCCACTCCAGAGAAGTTAATTTGTGGATATACATACACAGCTTGCAAGAGGCAAAGCTGTGATTTGAATCTGAGTCTTTTTCTTAACCATCCTTCATGACAAAATGATGGCCAAGGCTCTATGAGCCCAGTTCTCTCCTCTGGCTATTCCGTCCTGTTCTGTGTCTCTTGAAAGCAGAGCCTGAGGCTTTCAATATTTGGACAAGATATGAGAGGGAGCGTGAGTGAGGGAGGGAGTGGTGAGAGAGTTAGGGAGGCAGGAAAGCCACTACAGGGGTACATCATGGAGGGAGCCCCCACATGCCCATCCCCCTAGGACCTCTTATAAGAGTGTGGGATGCCTCTGGAAGAGTGGGATGGCAGATGGAGCATTCATCCATGGGTTCTTAGCTGCCACCTATCAAGGGTTGCCTCGGAGTTATCAGCTCCTTCACAATTCCCCCAACAGAGAGGAAGATGCATCCACAGTGCAATGAGTTGAGACCCACAGGAAATGGCCCACCCCAGCCATGTCTGAAATCAGGATGAGGGCAAGAGTCAGGGCACTCAATACATCTGCTACAAGGTCTCTGGGAAGTAACAGTCCATGGGCTCAAATATGTTTAAAAACAAAACACTTGATCCATTGCTCCTGTGAGACTCCAGGGAGAAACAAAATATTTCCTATGCACAAAATGACAGTTAGTCCACTTCCCCCAAGGGGTAGAGTTTAGAAATTTTCACTGGAGGCTTTCAAGCTGCCCAATCTCAAATCTGTCGTTAATGGTTTGAGCAGTCCCCGTGGCTGTCTCTTGGAGTTACCAAAAGAAGCCAGAGAATTAAAAGGAAGGGAAGACAGGAAAGGAGGATCAGAGAGAAAACCCTTAATTAACTAGACACATGAAAAGAGCTTGGGGGTCTTTCAAAACCAAATGTTCTATTTGTTGCAAAATAGAATTATTTAAATGCAACAATTAATACTATAAAGTTTACATGCTGATCTTAAAACTCCCTTTACTTTTCCCTAAGTAAATAACAGGACAGTTTTACAATGTGAGGACTTGGGAAGTGGAGTAATACAGGGCCTTCTCTTGTCCCATTTCAGGTAACTTGGTTTCTGGAGACCATTGGCAAAGGATGCTCATGGTAATGGTGGGTCCCTGGTGGCCTGAAGCACCCCAAATGTGGGTTTGATGTTTGGAAACCTCAGCAATAACCCTGGCCAGAGCAACAGGCAGTTTGGGTCTCGAATGTCCTGGGTCAGATTTTACCAGAAAAATGAACTGTTTTTCCATCTAAAGCAAGTGGTTCCCTGGGCCAACTGAACAGCTTACTGAGAGCACAGTCAGCCCATATCTGGAGGGGTTCTTTTAACAGGCAAGAGGAGGAAGTATGGGATGCCAAGGAAAAGAAACCATCACTTTCTATCTTAGCCTGTTCATGTTGCTATCACAAAATACTGCAGACTGGGTAATTTTTTTTTTTCCCCACTCTTGTTGCCCAGGCTGGAGTGCAATGGCGCGATCTCAGCTCACCACAACCTCCACCTCCCGGGTTCAAGCGATTCTCCTGCCTTAGCCTCGGGAAAGCTGGGATTATAGGCATGCGCCACCATGCCCAGATAATTTTGTATTTTAGTAGAGATGGGGTTTCTCCATGTTGGTCAGGCTGGTCTCGAACTCCTGACCTCAGGTGATCCACCTGCCTCGGCCTCCCAAAGTGCTGGGATTACAGGCATGAGCCACTGTGCCCGGCCGCAGACTGGGTAATTTATAAAGAGCAGACATTTATTTCTGACAGTTCTGAAGCATGAGAAGTCCAAGATCAACGTGCCAGCATTCTGTGTCTAGTGAGGGCTGCTGTCTGCCTCCAAGATGGCGCCCCATTGCTGTGCCCTCACATGCTGGAAGAGCAGAAAAGCATGAACCCGCTCCCTCAAGCCCTTTTATAAGGGCCCTAATCCCACCCATCAGGGCTCTGCACTCATGACTTTATCATCTCTTAAAGATCCCACCTCTTAATACTATCGCACTAGCCATTAAGTTTTAGCTATCAATTTTAGGGGTTACATTCAGATCATAGGACCCTCCAACCCTCAACTACAAAACAGTCTACATCAGATAGAGCCATTTCCAGAATCCTCCTCTAACTCCTTTCTTCTCTTCCCCATTGTCTGGAATTTTATCAGCTAACTTCCTGCCAGACCTTTCAGAGAGGCTCAGTTCTACTCCTGCTTTGCTTCACTTGTTGGGGTTAAGCTTTGACGCAGCTGTGGGGAGGTGTAACTGCCTGAGGATTCATCTGATGTAAGCCTGCATTCCTGCCATAAAGGCTGTGTTTTTCCTGCCAAATCTGCTGGTTTTCCTCCAGTGCCCTGGTCTCTAACCTTTTCAAGAAGAGATTGAAACCTGCCCATCACCTGCCTTGGGAGCAGCCACACCCCAGAATTAAGGAAGAGATAACTGGAAAAGATAATACAAAAGTCTAATTTACCCTCACCTTTCCTCTCCCCTGCCATTTTATAGACAAGGAAACTGAGGGCCATAGAGGGGCAAGGGACTTGACAATGTGGAGGGCTGGTGGGAGAAATTATCCAAAAATAAGGTTCCTTAATTTCCAGTGTGGGCTTGTCCATGAGAAAGCCCCATGCCAGGTTCCCCTGCTTTCTTGGTCTCCTGCATTGATGATCCTTTAAGTTCTTTTTCCTGCCCCCAGGGCAGGAGCTTCTGGATTTAAATAGGAACAGTTCTTGAAGATGGGATGGCCAACCTGGCATTAACCTCTGCCAGCCCACCGATAAGCCCAAATGATTTCACTGTCATACCAATGGGAGGTCGGAGAGCCTGGCTGATCCCCACTGCATCCCAGCCAACAGTGGGCCCATCCTCAAAGCTCCTGCCCACTGGAGTTTTAGAATATCTTCTATTAAAGGACTTTGGTGTCTCAAAAAGTGGCTGAAGTGATCCTTACTTGGTATTCAATCAATAATTTAAAAAAAAAATCAGGTCAATTTCTGTACCACTCAGGCAGTATAGTAAAAGTAAATAATTGAATTCACATCTGTACTCCTTAGTTTGAAAGGCATTCAAAAAGAAAAGCAACCCTGGCAGCCAGGCCTTAGTGTTCATAGGAGCTGGCCTGGCCCTATAGCTAGATGAAGGTGCTCTGTTCAACACAAACAATTTCAGGAAATACCCCTTCAGGCAAGGTCACTCTGTTCACTTGATGGATAAAGACAAAAATAAGATTACTCAGTAATCATGTCTGAACACAGGCAAAATAAATTATTATCTGATATGGTTTGGCTCTGTGTCCCCACCCAAATCTCACGTTGACTTTAATCCCCAGTGTTGGAGGTGGGGCCTGGCGGGAGGTGGTTGGCCCCAGTGTTGGAGGTGGGGCCTGGCGGGAGGTGGTTGGATCATCAGGTGGTTTCTGATGGTTTAGCACCATCCACCTAGTGCTGTCTCAGGATAGAGTTCTCACGAGATCTGGCTGTTTCAAAGTGTGTGGCGCCCTCCCCTCTGCTCTTTCTCTCCTGCTCTGCCATGTGAAGACACGCCTGCTTCCCCTTTGCCTCCTGTCATGATTGTAAGTTTCCTGAGGCCTCCCCAGCCATGCTACCTGTACAACCTGCAGAACCGTGAGCCAATTAAACCTCTTTTCTTTAGAAATTACCCAGTCTTGGGTAGTTCTTTATAGCAATGTGAGAATGGACTAAATATATCATCCAAACTACAAAAGTGACCAAACACACAGTCCCCCAGCTTGCTTAAGAGTGACTGCCGCTGCTTCATCAAAAGCAACTTTAACTTTGCTCCTTTCCTCTCTCTTTCTAGACTCAAACTGTTAAGATGCTCATGGTAAAGACTCTAATCAGAGAGTTACCCCTGCTTCCCGGCTGGATCCAATCCAGGGCAAAGCCTTGCTTCCTTGAATCCTCCTCAAAATCTCCTGACACAAGCTAAATCCTGTAAGTCCTTTCTAACATTCTCTTACTGAGATGCCCCACAGATACCCATGGTGTGTGTTCTTCCTTATTGTGGCAAATCAATAAAACTAGTTTTATTTGACTACAGTTGTGATCTGGTGGTCTTTGGCTGGAGGGTATTGACAGCACTTACATTTACTTAAAACATTTTTTTTGATGAATTAATTTCGTAACAAATTTAAGCACTTTGAAAGGGTGAAAAGCGAGAAGTAAGTCCTTTTTTATCCTCAAACCTTAGAATTCAGCTGCCCTCCCTGGAGGCAATCACTGTTACTAAAGCCAGTCTATGTCTGTGCAAGCAGGCATGCATAGTTGCTCATCACATTTATCATTATTACTGTTGTCCCCTTTCCATTCATCTATCCACTCAGTATGTATTTGTATTAGTCAGGGTTCTCTTAGAGAGACAGAACTAATAGGATATATATATTCTTTGAATGAATATATATATGGGATTTTATTAAGTATTAATTTACAGGATCACAAGGTCCCACAATAGGCTGTCTGCAAGCTGAGGAGCAAGGAGAGCCAGTCACAGTCCTAAAACTGAAGAACTTGGAGTCCGATGTTCGAGGGAAGGAAGCATCCAGCATGAGAGAAAGATGTAGAGCGGCAGAGACTAGGCCTATCTCTCCTTTTCACATTTTTCTGCCTGCTTTATATTCTCTGGAAGCTGATTAGATTGTGCCCACCAGATTAAGGGTGGATCTGCTTTCCCCAGCCCACCGGCTCAAATTTTAATCTCTTTTGGCAACACGCTCACAGACACACCCAAGATCAATACTTTTATCCTTCAATCCAATCAAGTTGACACTCAGTATTAATCATCACATTATTGTACCTGGGACTCCACAGCAATGCTATGAACTTTCTCAGTGAAAGTATAAAGGTGGCTCAGGATGATGTATGAACAATTTTTCTTTTTCTTTCTTTCTTTCTTTTTTTTTTTTTTTGAGACAGAGTTTTGCTCTGTCTCCCAGGATGGAGTACAGTGCTGCCATCTCAGCTCACTGCAACTTCTGCCTCCCAGTTTCAAGCGATTCTCATGCCTCAGCCTCCTGAGTAGCTGGGACTATAGGTGCACACCACTACGCCTGGCTAATTTTTGTATTATTAGTAGAGATGGGGTTTCGCCATGTTGGCCAGGCTGTTCTCAAACTCCTGGCCTCAACTGATCTGCCCGCCTCGGCCTCCCAAAGTGCTGGGATTACAGGCATGAGCCACTGTGCCTGGCCAACAATTTTTCAATCAGCAAAGGCAAGAGAAGAAGGGTTTCTGTTGTTTGTGGTGATTTTAAACAGCTACCAAAAGTTTATTTGCAAAGAGGCCTATTGGTTGCTTTTGATTCTGTCTTCATTTATAGATTAGAACATCACTGTTGATGTAGAAGTTGCAGCATTTATGACAATGAGGGGTGTCTTCGTCCATTTGTGCTACTATAACAAAATACCTGCGATGGGGTCATCTGTAAAAGACAGCTTCTTACATCTCTGGAGGCTGGGAAGTTCCATATCAAGGTGCTGGCTACAGAGGACCTGGTCTCTCTGCTTCCAAGATGGCGCCTTGGTGCTACATCCCCTGGAGGGGAGGAATAATATGTCTTCACAGGGCAGGAGTGAAGGGCAAGAGAGCTGAATGCTTGTGAAGCCCCTTTTATAAGGGCCTTAATCCCATTCATAAGGGGAGGAGTCCTCCTGACCTAAATACCTCTTAGAGTCCCACCTCAATACCATCACACTGGCCATTAAGTTTCAACACCTGGCCGGGTGCTGTGGCTCATGCCTGTAATCCCAGCATGTTGGGAGGCTGAGGTGGGTGGATTGCCTGAGGTCAGGAGTTCAAGACCAGCCTGACCAACATGGTGAAACCCCCGTCACTACAAAAAATACAAAATTAGCTGGGCGTGGTGGCACATGCCTGTAATCCCAGATACCTGGGAGGCTGAGGTAGGAGAATGGCTTGAACCCGGGAGGCGGAGGTTGCAGCAAGCCAAGATCATGCCATTGCACTCCAGCCTAGGCAACAAGAGTGAAACTCTGTCTCAAAAAAAAAAGTTTCAACACCCGAATTTTAGAGGAGACACATTCAAACCATAGCGGGGGGGGGGTTGGACTGAGGGGTACTGAAGGGTACTGAATACATTTTTTTTTTTTTGAGACAGAGTCTCGCTTTGTAGCCCAGGCTGGAGTGCGGTGGCGTGATCTCGGCTCACCGCAAGCTCCGCCTCCCGGGTTCATGCCATTCTCCTGCCTCAGCCTCCCGAGTAGCTGGGACTACAGGTGTCCACCACCATGCCCGGCTAATTTTTTGTAATTTTAGTAGAGATGGGGTTTCACCCTGTTAGCCAGGTTGGTCTCGATCTCCTGATCTGGTGATCCACCCATCTCAGCCTCCCAATGAATACATTCTTTGGTGTGACTTTCCATCAGCTTTAGGATGAGGCCAAATTCCCTTGTGTGGCAGACAACTCTTCTCAAATCCTGACCTCTACTTCCCTGGTCAGTCTTTAAAAATTTTTTTAAAAAAATAAACATTACGTGTCCTTAGGAGCATCACTGCTGCCCATTGAATGACTTATAGTGCCCCATGAGTGCCATGTGCTGTGTCCTGTCTTGTCGCGAAGCCTTTGCAGGTTGCTCCCTTTGGTGGAATTCACCTTCCAGGGCAGCCTCTAGTGTGGCACTTGTTATAGTGCATAGGCATCATTGCCGTACCTTTCTGTTCTTAGTGCGGGGATTACCTTTCATTTCTGATGGCCCTGCTTCCAACAAGGAGGTTGGCACATAGGAAGTCCTTAGTGAAGGCTTGTTGAATAAATAAATGAATTCTGAATGAATGAATTCATGTTCTGAAGGGTCAGCCTGGTGCATTGGTAGTGGCAAACCATATAAGAAAACTGTTCCTTCTTTAAAAAAAAAAGTGGAGGATTCCACCCTCCTTGCCACTCCGGAGCTACAGACCTCTCTGCCTCATGCACTCCAGGCCCTGCTGGGGTTGTCTTTCTTTTGAGAAATAAGCAAAAGACTTGTCGGAGTTTCCTAGATCTGGAAATCAGGTTGCTTCCTCAGCAGCCATTTCCTATGTCATTTCCAGTCCTACCCAATCTAGGTCCTGCCAGAGAGATGGGGGTGGGGTGTGTACTACAGACTCTCAGAGCCTTAGGGCTCAACAGAGGCGCTTCCACATCTCCAGTCGCAGCACGGGAATAGTAGCTGCTATTTATGGAGCCTTTATTCTGGGTCAGGCACTGTGCTAACAGTGTCTCAGGAGTTCTCTCATTTATAGATTATTACAGCTCTGTGAGGTAGAGGGTTACCTGTGAAGAACCTAGATTCCGGGAATGGTCAGTAACTTGCCAAAGAGTGGTCATCCCTTCAGCGCCCCCAGCTCAGCCAAGGCGGACAGGTCCCAGGAAGTCCAGACTCATCTCAAACATGCACCAGTCAGAAGCATAGGGTTAACGAGCGCGGGACACAGCATAGTTTCCCTCCTATGGGCAGGAAGACATTCTGTTAGTTTCTCAGTGGGTCCTGGTGGAATTGATTCCTGTTGCCCACAGCAGCGACCCCACACTGCATCGTTATTTATATTAGCTCTGCTTGCTGACCTGAATCTCTCTCCCTGCCCTCTCCCTGCTTCCCCCAAAGTCACATCACAAAGGATTTACCTGTCTTAGGCTCTACTTTTGGAGAAATTCAAGCAGACAGATACTCAGTGGCATAATTGGTGAAGCTCATACTTGAACTCAGGTGTATCTGAAAAAGGCTTTTTGATTTGCTTTTAGTGAGTGAGACATCCCAGGAGAAACCCAGGGTCACGAAGAGGAGGTGAAGATGAGGAGGCAGCTGGGGGAGTGGCTGCCCATGGTGGGCTGCCCCACCTGAATATGCTAGTGAGTACCACCATGCTTGTGCCCTAGCGAGGCCAGGCAGCTGGGAAGGAAGCAGTGACATTGGGCAGTGGAGGTAGAGTCCTCTTATGGTGCTGCTATATCTAGCTTCAGTGTGGCAGAACTTTATGACAAATCACATCTTAGGCTTTAGAAACAAAACCAACTCCCTTTATCACCCAAGGGAGTCGGCAAGTATAAAGAAATGCTTTGGAGAAAAGAAGACCCATATCATTTCTTTTTCTTTCTAAGAGTAAAGTTCAGACTGTACTCTTGTAGCAGTGATCCTTGAGCTGGTGCCTGAATTCCCCTTAGGAATTATTCCTTACAATTTAACCTCTGATTTCCCTGGGGGAGAATATACTTTAATTTGTTATTAGTCACATTCCGATGTGAATGGGTTTCTGATCCTCTTTGAAAGCAAGTAGTGATAGGGAGAGACAAGAAGTTGTGGGGTGCCTGAGGTAGGTAGGGAAATGGTTCCTGTCTGAAAAGCAAAGGGAGGAAAGCCAATCTCTCTTGACCTAGCCCAGCCTGATTGCAGGAGTGCAAGTGTCAGATTAGCAAGGGACTAGGTGTTTCAAAGAGCCCTAGTGACCTCCCTGTTATACTGTGAGCTTTAACTGTGCAAAAGCCAAGATTCAAGGTATGAAAGGTAGAAAAGAATGTCCTTTGTAGGGACATGGATGAAATTGGAAATCATCATTCTCAGTAAACTATCGCAAGAACAAAAAACCAAACACCGCATATTCTCACTCATAGGTGGGAATTGAACAATGAGAACACAAGGACACAGGAAGGGGAACATCACACTCTGGGGACTGTTGTGGGGTGGGGGGAGCGGGGAGGGATAGCATTGGGAGATATACCTAATGCTAGATGACGAGTTAATGGGTGCAGCACACCAGCATGGCACATGTACACATATGTAACTAACCTGCACATTGTGCACATGTACCCTAAAACTTAAAGTACAATTTAAAAAAAAAAGAAATATGCATACATGGGGCAGAGAAATGTCTATCAGAGACTGTTGGGCAACAGCAGAGACTTGTTTGTTTTGTTATCAAAGATTCTCCTAAAATGCACATGTTTTTCGGGGGGGCGGTGAGGGAAGAGCATTGTTTTCAGCTGTATCAGTTCACACCCTATCAGGAAGAAGTGGGCCCAGCGTCTTGTCAGAGTGGGAGAGAAGCCAGGCTCCATGGAGACTGGGGAGGAAGGTGTGCAGGGGGCACTGCTGCAGAGCACTGAAAGGGCAGGTGCTTTTCAGCATCTCAGCTATACTTTCCTGACTTGCAAGTTTTCCTTGGCACAGCCAGGAATCTGGAGTTGGCATCCTCTATGGCTAGAATGTTAACACAGATGATGGCATCAACCGTTAGAAAGCTAAGCTTTCTGGGCCAGTGGAATGGCTGAAGAACTGTGTCACAAGGAGGAGAATCTCTTCTGATGCCCCCAGAAGAGGCTTATTTCCCAGGAGTTTTCCCATGAGTTCGTTTCCAAGGCCAAACATCCTTTCTCCACAGATCTTTTTGATCACCATGGAGACAATCTGCTGCTCTGTCCAATGGAGAGTTTGAGCGGCAGTCACCATGACAACCTGCGGGGGTAGAAGGACAGCTCAAAGCACCCCTCAGATGAGAGCCAGGACAGGGACCGGAAGACACTGTGGTTCTCACAAGTGCAGCAGATGAAGGGGGACTCCCTTCCTCTGTCTGAGCAGTGAGCTAGAGATGGGTGTGAGGGGTGGGGCCCAGGGCTGGTGAGGTCAAGGTCTTGGGCTGCTGAAGGAAATTGGCTTTGTTCTTTTCTGACTTCATGTTTTGGTTGTCCCTGGCCAGTCCAGCTGGTAGATGTCTGGATACATGGCAAAACCAGAGCACAGCAAATCCATCTAGTCCTGGATAGAGGGCGGGGCAGGGAGGAGGAAGCAGCATCCCCCTGAAAGATGACCCAAGTGCCTTTCACAGGAGTTAGCCCACCTCTCCCAGGATGGTGGAGGCAAGAGCTTGCCGAAAAGTTGAAGCGGAAGAAAGCCCTGACCCCTGTGATGGCGCGTCCTGGCTAATCTAATCAGTAGATTTTGTGGTGTGAGGCCAGAGGCCTGCTACACCATCCCTGACCCCCGTGTTTGCTGACTCCTACTGGAGCCTGCCTGACACGGGTGGATCTGGGGACCTCTGTGTTCAGCCCATAGCTGGTTTCCTGCAGAGCTGGGCCAGGAGGCTTGCCCATCTCCTTCCTTCCTCCTGGGCTCTCTCATCCATCTGCTGACCTGGGCTTCCTGGCTCCCTGTCCAGTGCTCTTACTCCCACTATTCCATGGTTGCATTATTCAGAGAAACAGCTTGTGCCTTCACTGTAGTCTTCATCCAGGAGGACCAGGAAGGAACAGAGCAGCACTGACATCTGCCAGTCCCTGGGGTCAAGTGGCTTAAAAAAGGCACAGATGTGACCTAAATCCTGATCACTGTGCTGGGGGCTCTCCTTGTGAAGACCGCATCTTAGGGGACAGCCAGCCATCTGTAAGTGCATCCCTCAGAGCCAAACTGATATCCAAATTTTGATAATAGACACAAGTTATATGACTCCAATTCTGGAGGGTCAACTTCTTTGTGATCCAGTTTTCTCACGTGTAAAGTGGGAGTACACTTGTAGGGGTGTTGAGAGAAGGAAATGAATTAACATCTGGGCCTGGATTATGATTTATATTAGCTGTTATTATGATATCTTAATACCAAGTCTTCATACCGAGCATGGGGACACACCCTACTGATCAGTTATTCTCTGTGACGCCCCAACCTCCACCCAGCAGGGGATTTGTTTGTGCCCATCAACTCCGCGGCTGAAGAGCAGCATCTGCTTTGCATTGTGTGCACCAATTCTCTGGGGAGTGAAGGTGTCTCTTCACCCAATCCCAAAATGGAGCCTCTTACTGCTTGCCATAAGCCCTGTGTGTTGTCATGCAACCAAAGGGTCTGTTCTGTGTTCAGACGTCTGGTCTGGCCCCTGCTGGCTTTGTCTCCTTGCCCATCACCTCTCCTAAAACAAGTACCTGCCTCCATTCCCTCTGGTGTTTGGCCATCCCTGTTAGTCTGCATCCACTGAATATTGTGCAGACTGCGGTTCTTCTGAACTGTTCACTAGGAGTTCCTTAAACAAATCGCCAAGAGTGTGTCTTCAGAAGCTCCTCCATCCTGGGTCAGCACCCTTTGGCTGCATCCCATCACTGTATTCTTGTGATGTCTTTCTTCCCTCCCCATGTCAAAAATTACTCTCAGGAAGGTTCCGCAAACTCATTTATTCTGATGGGTAAGTGGCTATTAGGGCCTAGTCTTACTGAGGGTTAGAAGACTGCCAGGTAGCCCTCCTTAATGCTGTGGACTAATGGCCTCTTCATATATACAACAGCGTTCCCTGAGGATGTGCTGCCGTGGATGCTGCTGTGAGTATCACTATTGCCATTGTTATGGTAACCACTTACAAGCACCTGCTATGTGCCAGGTAAGATATTTGGCCATCGTAGTGTATAAGTGGTCAAGAGCACATGGCTTACTGATTCTGAACCTCATTTATTATACCAAAAGTTCCAGAAGGAACAAAGATTTAAATGCAATGGAGCTTGTGCCAAGACTTATGGACAAGGATACACTTTAGAGCCCCAATATAATAGCAAAAGACAGGAAACCACTGAAGGCTCGTCGACAGAAGTTGATTAAATAAGTTATAGCATATCCATTTGTAGAATACTCTGCATTAGTTAAAAAGAATGAGGCTAGGTCTGTAGCCATTGATAATGAAACAATCTCCAAGATATAAGTAAAGTGAAAACAAAGCAAGTTGTAGAAGAATATCTAGCATATGCTACTGTGTGAAAGCAAACAGAAGAGTATATGTATAGACTAATTTTAGAAAGAAAAAGGGAGTTGACAACAGTGATTGCTTTTGGGAGATGTGTTGATGATCTGGGTAGCAGGGACACTTACTTTTTATGTTTCAAGGGAGTTAGGTCCTTTTTATTCCTTACCATATGCAGGTATTATTTTTGAATTTAAAAAGTTTAAGAAATAAATGCTGTGGAGTCAGACTTGGATGTAAATCCAATTGCTATCAATTTCTAGCCATGTGGCCTTGACTAAGTTACTTACCCTCTTCTAGTCCTGGTCTTCTAGCTGCCAGAGGGGGACACTCTGTAGCTTGTGGTGAGGGTTAAGCGAGATAGTGCCTGTGAAGTTCTCAGCACAGTGTCTGGCACAAAAGCAAACCCTCAATTGTTAGATGCTTGCTCTGAACTGTTTATGTCCCTCCAAAATTCATATATTGATGTCCTAATCACCAATGTGATGGTAGTTGGAGGTGGGGTGTCTTTGGAAGGTAAATAGGTTTAGATGAGTTCATGAGGGTGGAGCACGCATGATGGGTAACCCTTATAAGGAGATGAAGGGACCAGAGCTCTCTCTACCTTGTGAAGACACAACAAGGAGACAACTGTCTGTTCACCAGGAAGAGGGATCTCACCAAGAACCCAAGACTGCCAGCCTCTAGAAGTGTGAGAAATAAATGTTTGTTGTTTAAACCACCCAATTGTTATAACAGCCCAAACTGACTAAGACAGTGCTTTACGTAAGTATCTCTAATTAGCATTCTGGATGTAGTACTATTCAGTTAAGCTATGTTCTGTGCATTAGGCACCTAGCAAAATCTGATGATGTGCAAGCAATGGAAGAGTCACACAGTGGAGAACCAACTGCAACAATCCCAGGAGCAAAGTGCTATGGGACCACAGAAGAAAGTAGGTTTCAATTTGCTGGAGGGGTATTGATGGGTATAGGGTAGGGATCCAGGAAGCGTTCACCAAAGAGGCAGCAGTGGAGATCTGGGTTTCACAGGATGAGAAGAAGCAGTTCCAGCAGAGACACCACATGAGAAAAGGCACAGGGTGGGCGGGGGGCTTGGGGCTTAGAGCCCTATATCTCCGCTATGGGGCTGGAGAGCAGAATGTGAGGAGAGATGGGCAGGGCCCTCAGGTGGAGACAATGGGCATCAGTTCCCCTCACAGCAGTGCCTTGTCCACTCCTTTCCTGTGGTCACCTCCTTGAGATCCTAACCAGTTTTGCAATGCCGCAGAACTGGGGCAAAATTATGGTAGCCTTTTTGCAAAAATGTCCTAGGGACTTCTATCCACAGCCCTCGTGTCATGTTAGCTGGGGAAGTAGCAGCAACATGTGTTCTTTAGGGCAGGAGTGATTCTATCCTATATGCTTCCAATACTGCAGTCAGTTACCTCGAGACACTACTCCCCCGAAAGAGTCATACAAAGGATTTGTATGCATGTACTGTTTTCTCTACCAATTATATATCTGTCTATAAAATATAGATATGTTTTTCTGTCTAAGCAGGGAAGGATCGATGCAGGGAACTGTGATTAAACTAGACATCTCTGACAGGAAGAAGAGCTGGAAGGACTGACAGGCTCCGGTGGCCACCCTACAACCAGAAGACAGACACCTGACAATGTATTGTCAGATGATGGATTAGCCAAGCCTGGGGAAGAGAGCTGAGTGTACAGCTTCCCTCCCAGTCTCCTGGGTGACAAAACCGCTGGATGACCCCGCCAACAATAATGAGATGAAAATGAAGAACACTGCAGTATAATGAGCATGATAAAATAGAGATGTTGCTAAATAATGGGTCGGCCATGGCTGAGGAGCAGGAGAAAGAGCCAAGCCCAAAGGAGGTGGATAAGGCCTTCCTGTGTGGTCTCCAAGCCTGACCCCCTGATGTGTTGCTGTTGCTCAACCAGGCCATAGATGGTTTTGAGTCCCTAGGGTGGCAAAGATGTCAGAGAGGGACTAGAGGGTGGGCCTAAGTGAAAATCCCCAGCAGGCTCTATCCTGGTCACTGTGGCTCTGACCTCCACCAGGGGAGGGACAAAAGTGTGGTAAGCACACATGCTGATGGTGGTTATGAATTACTGCCTTTAGTAGGAACCTGTTGCCTGCCAATGAGTATCAGCAAATGGTCTGAGTTAACGCATCAAAGTTTTTCAGAACATTGCACCTCTCATCTACATAGTGCAGAGTGGAAGAAGCCTGTTAATTATGCTTTTGTTTGTATTTTTGTTTAGTTGGTAGCTTGGAGTATCTGCCAGCAGAGGCAGCTGCCCCTAGGGAGGGAGGTACCTGGGTGCTACAGGGATGGCTGCCTGTAAAGATTTCTGGCACCAAGCCTCTCTGCAGTTTTTGTTTTTTATTTTTTAAATAATTAAATTAAGACTTATTTTTGAATAAGTAATATCTACATAGAGTACAAAATTTAAAAGGAACAAAAGGGGTGCAGGAAACATACATATCCCTTCTTCTCCCCCTATTCCCAGCCACCCATTTTCCTTCCCTCGAGGCAACCACTGTTACCAGTTTCTTCTGCAGTTTTCCAGAGATATTCTAAGCATAAATAAGTGCATGTACCTCAACCTGCAAGCATACTTACCAGTTTTTTTTTTTAAAAAAACACAAATGTTAACGTACTGTATCAACAAGAGTCCTGACAGAAAACAGATGGCACACATAAAGTGAGTCATTTCAGTAGAGTTTAATAAATGGACTGTTTACCAAGGTGTAGGAAAAGCCCAAAGCCAGCAACAGTTGAGTGAGAGGGCACAGTGACATAGTGTGAGCAACACTGCCAGTTGAGGAGCATTCCAGGGAGGTGTGGGGGCATAATCACCTGTCCTTCCTCTCCTCCCTCTGACCTTTTGCTGCAGCACCTCATGGGCTGCACTCAACCTAAGCCAGAGAACAAGAGTCTATTGATGCAGTTTAAAGAGGTCACTCTGGGGCACGGAACAGGTGGGGAAGGGCCAAGAGTGAATAAGGAGGGCAAATGTGGGCACTCAGCTCATGCACTCAGCTCCTCATCCTGTTCTTTGCTGTTTTCCACTTCACAGTCTATCTGTACATAGAGCCTCATTCTTTCTGCTAGCTTATTCTATTGCATTTCCGTTGTGGAATACCACGCCACATGCAAGAGACTGAATTGTGACCCCCACCCCAATTATATGTTGAAGTCCTAACACCCAATGTTAACTGTATGTAGAGTGAAGAAGTCATTAAAGTTAAATGAGGCCATAAGGGTGATGCCTAGAATAAGGCTTATTAAGAGGAGACACCAGAGCTCTCTATCTGTCATGTGAGGACACAGCCAGAAGATGGCAGTCTGCAAGCCAGGAACTCATCAGAAAACCCAGCAGCAGGAACCCTGATCTTGAACTTCCCAGTCTCCAGAACTGGGAGAAAGAAATGTCTGCTCTTTAACCCACCCAGTTCATGGTATTTTGTTATGGCAGCCTGAGCTAAGACACCACACACACACACACACACACACACACACACACACACACACACACACACGTAATATATCACAAAAATAATAATATATACAACCATATATTCAACTAGTCCCTCACTGATGGTCTTTTAAGATAGTTTCCAATTTTCTGCTATTACAAACAATGCTGCAAGGCAAATCCTTTTACTGCCATTTCACTGGTAAGGATACATACAGAATAAATTCCATAGGAATTTATTTATAGGAAGGGATTGTTGTATCAAAGAATGTATGCTTTAAAAATGTTGATAGATTCAGCTGCAGCACCCTGCATAGAATTTGCACCAATTTGCATGCACATTAGCAATGTATAAGGTTCCCATGCAGTTTTTAAACATCTGGGTTTCGAAGACGTGAATAAACTTATTACAGCATCTTTCCAGCAGTGCCTGTCACCTTACAAGACATAAACTTTTCTTGTTTTTGAAATTATGAGAATACATAATTCTCCTCTTGTTTTCTGTCCTGTCTTTCAGCTTTTTTCAGCAGGGATAAAATTCCTCCACTCCTGAATGAAATTCTTATGGTTTTTCTTTGGGCACAGTTCTGACTCATTTTAAGTCATAAATTAACTGCCTCAGTTAAGATGTTAAGTATCCAGTTTTTCTTTCTGGGCATGAACAAGCCAATTATATATGAAAACATACCTTAGAGACAGTTAGGAAACCCACATATGTACAGGTACCAGGACATGCCAAGGAATCATCATTAATCCCACAACATTGCTGTGGCACGCAGGAAAACATCCTTATTCTATGAAGAGGCAGTCTGAAGTATCCAGAAATGTGAAACACACGTCTTCAATCTACCCCAACACTTCAGCAAAAACAAGATGAAGCAAATATGCAAAACAGTAACAATCATTACATCTAGGTGATGGACACCTTCCTTTATGTTCAACAACTCTCATAATAAAAAACTTAGAAGAGATGTCTAGCCAAGACAATAATCAATACTTCACACTTCATCCATAGGTAAGACTCCTCCCTCTCCTCCCCCTGCTGCTCCCCAGCCAGGGCCAGCAGTGAGAGAGTCTGTGATCTAGGAAGGAGGTTGCAGTGGCTTCTGCTCCTTCTTCATTCAACTCCTCTCCTACCAGGGTTGAAGAGAGATAGTCAGAGGACAGGATGGTACTTACGTGGCTTGCTCTTTGACCTGGCAGATGTCTAAAACAGACTCTTGTAACCCTTGGGTTCGGCAGAGCCCAACACGATCTGTGATGTGGGCAATGGATTCTGTTTCTCCAGCTGCCACCCCCCCACTCCACCACCAGCCCTGATCTGGTGGTCCACAATACACCAACAAATTTTACTCTTCATGTGATCTTCTTGGGAAGAACTTAAAAGAGCTCCAGCCTGGTTTTCCCTATGCTGAGTGGCAAATATTTGTTCTATGGAAAACCTTCAACCCTCCAACAAATCCTGGAAATGCAGGTCATCTGTCTTTTGGTCACAAGCAACTTCAGCTTTCTCAGGCCTGAGTTAGGCAGGAATCTAAGATCTCCCCTCCCCAGCTGCAGAGAACACACACCAAGCTTTCTCAATGTGCCCCGGAAGCTCCCTCTCAATAGGTTTATGTTGGAAAGTAGCTTCTTATTCTCTTCCCAGAGGTGAGGGAGTGAGAAATTATCAGTGTTCTCCAAAGAAATCTCATAAATTTTCCCAATATATCTCTTGCATAATACACTTCCCCCACCATGCTATTGAATATATCTTAGTATTATTAAACATTTACTTTCATTTCACACATTAAGAGTTTTATCAATATTTATACAAGATGTGTTACATTTAATTCCATTTGTTTAAAATTGTGCTAGAAGAATGTTGTTTTATTAGTTATCTATTGTTATAATGGCTTAAGATAATGTTTATTATCTCATACAACTTCTGAAGGTCAGGAATCCAGAATTGGTTTAGCTGGGTGGTTCTAGCTCAGGGTCTCCTGTGAGGTTGCAGTCAAGAAGATGGCCAGGGCTGCAGCACCTGAAGTCTTGATCGGCTGGAGGAGCTACTTCCAAGAGGGGTCACTTACGTGGCTGTGCCTCAGTTTCTCTCTGGCTGTTATCAGGAGACCTCAGATTCTCACCAAGTAAGCTTCTCCATAAGGCTGCCCAAGACACAGCAACTTACTCTCTTCAAGAGAGCAAGAAAGAAGCCATGATGTCTTTTATGACTTAGCCTCGGAAGTGACATGCCATCACACCTGCCATATGCTATTGGTTGCACAGATTAATCATGGTACAATGTGGGGGAGAAGAGGGTGTGAATACCAAGAGACAGGGACCACTAGGACCGTCTTGGAGCTAGCCACCACACCTATTGATGTCATCCTGCATGTCCTCTCAGCTGTCAGTATAAACTATGCTTCATGGACTCGTGCTCCACAGAGTTGTATTCCATGGGAGAGAATCCCTCTGTGGTCTTAAGTGTGGCACTTTGTATAGCGCCCCCATGACATAAGTAACTGTATCTCAGAAACAGACTCCATCTTACATTTCAAAAGGCCCCTTGCCAAAAGAGAACAGATATTTTGCCTAATCAATAAAGACTACATCCAACCAGATAAGGACATAACCAAGCACACTTTTCCACTATCAGTTCTCACCAGAGGACTCTGGGGTGGCCATTAAAAGAGCAGGACCTCAGCAGCTTGAAAAGTCCACCTTAACAGACACCATCTTGCTATCACTCGTGATATGCATCTGGCATCTGCAACCCAAAGCTCTGCCCATATCAAAGACTCTTCCTTGCAAGACCGACAGCCACCACAGGCCAGACCAGAAGATTATTTTTGTCTATGTTGGTCGCCCTGGACTGGTTCATTAATGTTTTTACTATCCCTTCTCTCTTGATGATAAATGTTACTTTGTTTGTGGTGGAATATTTAATTTATAACATTTACATATTGATCAAGTATACTACTATGTATGGTTTGCAATAATGATTGATTTCCTGCCCACAGGCTTGGGCCTATGTGCCCGTGGCTCTGACAACTGAGTGAATGAGAAGTACTAAGGAGAACTGCCTTCTTGCTGAACTCCATGTAGCTCGTGTCTTTTATGTTTGAGACAGCTTCAGTAAAAGTCTGACATTGTGGAAAGACACAAATGTGCATGAACCTGGTTATCTCTAACCTTGGGCATCTCATGGGACACTTGGTCACAGGGCACAAGTACAGAGTGAAGTCTGCCCCTGTGTCTCCCAGAGGTCATGGTGATAATAGTCCCATAACTGTTTTTGCCATGAGTCTGGGCCAGAAGATAAATCTTATTGTTCTGTGTTCTTATTCCTGCCCACACAGCTCCCGCCTGCCATAGTGCCAGTGCTCTTTTGTGCCCTTACCATGGAATCACTCACAAAAGCAAGCTCTGTGGCCAGCCATGCCCGGACATGCACTGAATCCTAGCAGAGTTCAGGCTCAGGCGGGGGCACTCCTAACCGTTCCCTCCCAGCCTGTAGCACATGCATAAGGAGCCCTATTGCCTGCAGTGATCAGTGTGAAGAAATGGGGGCAAGTTGGGGGTGAAGTGTACTCTGATTGCGGCAAAGGGTTTCCATCTTCTTGTCACAGGAGAAGTGGATCCCAGCACAGGCAGTGTCCATGGAGGAGAAGAAAAGACACCAAAAGCAAAGGTACAGAGCATACACATTACCCCATGAAGAGGACCTTCGAGAATCCATGAGCATAGTCATCCTGCCTGAACTTAATTTCCCTCTACACTCTCTTTCCCCCTAGCTTCCATATCATGGAGTTATATGGAATTCGTATAACTTTATTGTGGAATATCATCTAGAATTTTAGTTCCTCCTCCACTCTTTGTTTGTTTGTTTATTTGTTTTGTTTTTAAGAGACAGGGTCCCTCTCTGTCGCCCAGGCTGAAATGCAGTGGCATAATCCCAGCCCACTGGAGCCTTGAACTCCTGGGTGCAAGCCATCTCCCCATGGCAGCCTCCTGAGTAGCTGGGACTACAGGTGCACACCACTCCCCGAGCTGACCTCCATGCTTTTAACCTCTCAGTAGTTATGATTTATCATCCATTGATTATTAGATTTGCCAACATGCTTTATTGCTCTCTTGGCCCACTACTGCTCCTTACATCTCATTCCCCTTTATGGCTCATATTCTTTCTTGCTAAAGTAATACTTTTGAAGTTCTTTCAAGTCATTCTTTCTCTTTGATGTTCTATAATTGCACTATGATGTCTCCAGTAGAAATATGGATTTGTCTTTAATTACATTGCTTGAGATTTGGTGTTTTCCTTCAATGCTGAACACTCTCAGCCATTATTCCTCAACACAGCAGTGTCTGGGAGGTGGAGACAATACACCGATCACTGCAGACAGGGCTCCATATGCGTATGCTGCAGGGTTGGGAGGGAACTCTTAGGGGTACTCCTGTTTGAGCCTAAACTCTGCTAGGATTCAGTACATGTCTGGGCATGCCTGACCACCCAGGCCTGCTTTTACGAGGGATTCTATGGGAAGGTGTCTGGGAGGTGGGGACAACATTTTATAGGATGGTCAAGAAAAGGTCTCTGGGGAGAAGATATGGGAGCAGAGACCTAAATGATCTGCAAGAGGAGTGGTCCAGGTAGAAGGAAGAGCAAACACAAAGAGTCAACAGGATTCAGGAATTGAAAGAAGGCCAGTGAGACTGAGCATAGTGAATGAGAAGGAACGTGGCAGGAAATTAGATTAGAGCAGAGATGGGGGCAGGGACCAGCCCTCGTAGGCTTCCTGGGCCCTTCATAGGAGTTTGAGATGAGAAATGAAGGCAGTTAGTGTGAGCTTTTGTGGTAGATACACCTAAATCTGAGCCTTCTTTTCTAGGCTCCAAGCAATATTGTCACCCTTGTAGTTAGATGCATCTATGTGATTGAGTTCTAAACAATGGAATGAGAACAAAAGTGATGTATACTCCTCCCAGTCCTGGCCAATAAAAAACTTGCACAGGTGCCCTCCTGCGCGCTTTCCCTTGCTTCTGGCTGCCTGGGATGGAAACAACCACATCAATCCTGAAAGCCACATGTTGCTGGTGGCAGAGTTGCCATCAGTCTGGGTACCCGAGTGACCCAGGTCACCCAAGTGACCCACTGTTTGAAGCAGAATTCTCACCACCATCCTCAACTCATCCCTTCTGACCTGGAACTGCCTTAAGGTGTTAAATATAAGACATCGATATCTTATTCTCTAAAGCATCAACCTTGTTGCTATTGTAGCATACACAGCCTAAACTAATGCAGCCAAGAGGACCTTGTCGAAGAAACTTGAAGTTGTGTGGGTCACACAAAAAGAGGATAGCGTGTCCAGGGTAATATTAAATTATACAGGTTAATAATGTATGTCACAGATGGACTTGCCTACTGAGGAAATATTTCTCCAAGACTAACTTTTTTTTTTTTTTTTGACAGTCTCACTCTGTTGCCCAGGCTAGAGTGCAGTGGCACAATCCTGGCTCATTGCAACCTCCTCCTCCTGGGTTCAAGAGATCCTCCTGCCTTAGCCTCCTGAGAAGCTGGGATTACAGGTGCCCACCACCACATCTGGCTAATTTTATATTTTTGGTAGAGACGGGGTTTCACCATGTTGACCAGGCTGGTCTTGAACTCCTGACCTCAGGTGATCCACCCGCCTTGGCCTCCCAAAGTGCTGGGATTACAGGAGTGAGTCACTGTGCCGGGCCATGAGTACCTTTTAACAGATGAAGTAATCATAGCTCCGAAGAATTAGCTGCTTCTCTTGAAGATACTTGATGGCAGAAACTTCATAATAAACCAGAACTCCTAATTTCTAGTCCAGGGTTCTTTCCCTGGGACTGAAGGGAGGGAGCTGGGGGAAGGAACAGACTTGGAAGAGAGGCGAGAATAAATCTCCACTTAGGTTCTTTGGTCACCCAAGGGCTCTGCTCTTCACTGATGCCTTTAGGACACTTCAGAAAGAACTTTATTTAGCTGCCCTTCTAAGTCTTTAGACAAGCATACTCTCCCTTCCCATGGCTGAGGACACCGAAATCCTGGCAGTAATGCTTTGGGCTCTGTCTCAGTTTAGGGTCTCAGCAGGAAACTGGTAACAACCCAAACTGTAAATTCCTTCAGAGGCCTGGGTGGGTTTAGGAAACCAACTAGGGATGATGCAATGCCTTGGGGCCTGCAATAGTGGGACCCATTGTCACCCCTAAGTCTGAAGGAGTGTATCAGTTACCTATTGGTACAAATTACCATAAATGTAGTGGCTTAAAACAACACACTCTTATTATCCTACAATCTTGGGGGGTCAGAAGTCTGAAATGGGTCCCACTGGGTCAAAATCAAGGTGTTACCAGGACTGTATTCCTTTTGGAGGCTCCAAGGGAGAATCCTTTCCTTGCCTTTTCCAGCTTCTAGAGGCTGCCGGCATTCCTTGGTTCTTGGCCCCTTCCATCTTCAAAGCCCACAGTGGCTGGTTGGGTCCTTCTAGTGATGCCGTGTCTCTGATTCTGACTTCTGTTTCCCCCTCCAAATTTAAAAGACTCTTGTGATTATATTGGGCCCACCTGAATAATCCCCACTCATCTCCTTAAAATCAGATGATTAGAAACCTTAATTCCATCTTCAACCTTCATTCTCCCCTTGTCATATAGCTTTACATATTCACAGGTTCTAGGAACTAGGAAGTGGATGTCCTTGGGAATTATTATTTGGTTACCACAAAGGACAGGGCTGGGAGCAGTTATTGGAACTGAGAGGAAGTAGCTGTGTGGACAGGGTCACCTGGCGGGAATGTGACCATTGGTAGAGAGCCAGGTTCCCCAAACCAGACACTCATGGTAGATATCATCTGGCTTTTCCACTTGACCACAGTGAACAGGCAAACCAAGGAAGGACTTATTTTATTGTACTGGTTGGGTAATCAATTCTGATTAGCATGAAGAACTAGAATTCATTCTGTATAAGGGATCATTAAAAAGAATTTCCAAAATTCAGGCAATGTATTTGGATGTCTCTCAGTACTTCTAAGTCCTATAATTACAGTCAATGGGAATTGTGCTTGGTACAACCCACCAAGCACAGGGAGGACAAGGGGCCTGAAGGGCTGGGTAACTCCACCAAGCAATCAACCTGGACCAGACTAAATGCTGGTAGGAGACAAGGGAATTTTAGCATGGGTGGTGCAGGAGAGAGATGATGGAGGATGAATGTCTATTAAGGACTCTTGTTTCACTGAACCTCATTCCTGAATTCTCCCAGGGGATTTCAACTGTGACTGTAAGGACCTATATCTCCCTCTTAGGGAAGGAGTGAGGGTGTCTTGTCTGCACACAAAAACAAAACAAACCCAGAATTGCTATAATACAGTATAAGAGTCAATATAATGGGAGAAAATGAGTGGATCTCAGTGGCGTAAGGGGTGAGTTACACTGGATTCAAGTCTGTGTCCATCCTTGAGCCTGCTGACACTAGTGGAGGATCGGACCATCGCTTTCTCTGGGAACAGGGGTCTTTCCTCTTGACCTCCACCATGCAGCTGCACTAACCATCCACAAACCCCAAGTTTCTGGCTCCTTTGACTACTTCCAGACTTGAATGAAACACTGCAATAATTCTCACTGTAGAAGGGGCCACCTAACCACACCTGGAGGTGTTGGGGAATTAACTCCTGTGGCTGAACATTGATTAACAGGAAACCAGAGATGGGAAGGAGAGTGGCAGATAAAATCTTTTTCTTGGCCCCATGGCCTACACCAAAGTGTCCTTTCTCTTTGCAGCCTCTTTGGAGGAGACCCCTGTGTTAAACAGGCATGCTTGCTGAGTAACATGCTTTGCCATGATCCTCGAGGCTTGTCATTAAGTGTCTTCCTCTTCGTCCCTGATGCCTTCTCTTTGCACTTCCCAAGTGTAATGGTTAATTTTATATGTCAATTTGGCTGGGACAGTGCATAGATATGTGGTCAAATGTTATTCGGGATGTTCTGGAGAGGGTATTTATAAGTAGCATTCATGTTTAAATTGGTAGACTGAGCAAAGCAGATTATCCTCCATAATGTGGGTAGATCCACTTTGAAGCCAGTCGACTGCAGGACAGAACAAAAGACTGATCCCCCCGAGCAAGAGGAACTTCTGTAGCAGAGGGCCTTAGGCTTGAACTGCAGCACAAACCCCTCCCTGGGTCTCCAGCCTGCAGACTTTGGATTTGCCAGTCTCCATAATTTTCTGAGCCTACTCCTTAAAATAAATCTTTTTCTGTGTAAATACACCTCCTGTGGGTTCTGTTTCTTTGGAGAACCCAGACAAATACATCAAGTAAGGCTTCAGCTCTTTCATCCTTGCCTCAGCATCTGCTTTACAGAGAGTAGGGCCAAGGTCCCTGTCTTTTGTGGACCGAAGGCCTCATCACTCTCATGTGAATATTAAAATCTCAGTCTTTTACTCCAGGTCCAACATTCCACTGATGGCTCTGGTTTCTTTTACTTTTATTTTTATTTTTAGAGACAGGGTCTCACTCTGTCACCTAGGCTGGAGCACAGCGGTGCGATCATTGCTCATGCAGCCTCAACTTTCTGGACTCAAGTGAGCCTCCCACCTCAGCCTCCTGAGTAGCTGAGACTACAGGGGTGCACAGCTACACCTGGGTAATTTTTAAATTTTTTATAGAGACAGGATCTTGCCATGTTGCCCAGACTGATCTTGAACTGCTGGCCTCAAGTGATCCTCTCACTTCGACCTTCCAAAGTGCTGGGATTACAGGCATAAGCCATTGCGCCTGGCCTGACTGCTCTAGTTTCATCTCACTCTTACCATGCTGGCTTTGGGTTCTTTATTCCTTTCTGGGACTTGAGAATTTCCTATTATTTATTATGGTCATATTATTTTATAATATAATTTCCTTTTATTAATTTCCTTTATTTCCTGCCTCAACTATATCATTTTAAATATTACTATACATTATTCAGCATATCTGTGTATTTGTAGCAGGAGGGTAACTCTGCCTCTGTATGCACATTGTGTGTGTGTCTCATAATTCCCACCATATGCAAGGTCCATTTTCCTGACCATTTCACCAGCGTTGACTATTTAGATTGATTTTCATTTTTACTGTTATAAATCATTTTATGTGTGAATATATTTATGCAAAGAGCTCTTTAGGTAGTCAGTATTATGCTTCTAGTATATTTTCCAAAAAGTGGAATCACTGCATCAAAGAATGTAAACATTTTAAAATCCAAATTGCTTTTAGCAATTATGCCTTCATGTGACTTCACTCTAGACATCTTGATTGAAGTGTGGCATCAACTCGTCTCTTCCTGCTTTGATCTGTTCCCTAAGGTGAACTTTTTAGATAGCTACTCTCATTCATTAAATATTTATTTTCACTAGTTTAAATCTCAGAGGGCAGGCTTCTATAAGTTGCATCTTTCTGGGGATAAGGATATCATCTTGCTAATGAATAAGTATCCCACATACTCTTACCATAGCGATTGTGTTTGATTTAATCTCAACTTCATGATATGTGTGTGGATATGTTACTTCAGTTTACCAGCAAACACACACATTGCAGCGGAGTGGGCAGGAATCTGAGCTCAGGGGTCAGATGTGCGTGGATTCAAATCATAGCTCTACTGCCTGTGAGTTTGTGACTTGGGAAATTATTTACCCTGACTGAGCTTTAGCTTTTTCATTTGTTGAATGGGAATCATAGTAGTACTTAACTCAGAAGGCTGCTGTGAGAATTAAGTGAGATAACGAATCCAAAGCCCTGGATAACCACATCATTAGGCACACAATATGCCCTCATAGCATTACCGTTATTAGCAAGCCAACCTCCAGTTCCAATGGCCCCTGCTTGTGGCTCCCCTTCCTGACAGCAGACAGGACTGTGAAGAGCCTGGCCCAGCCCCCCAGGGAACAGGGCATCTTCCCTCTTTTCTGCTTCTAATGGAGCTTAGTTCACATACAGCTAAGTGTATCATAATTATTTGTTTTACTCTAATTTCATTTTAGCCTTCAAAAAATTGTTTAGTCTTTTACAAGTTTGAACATCGTAGATGCCACTGAAGTCCCATCGGACAAATGCTCCTGTTCTCCAATCTCTCTCCCTGTAAATGAGTTAACTACACTCATGAATTTAGTATTTTTCCTTCCAGACCTAAAAAAAAATTGTACTCACAGAAAATGCATAGTGTATGTGTGGTGTTTTACATAATTAATATCAGGCTGCAAATAATATTTTGCATATTGTACTTTTTCACCAAATGTTTCTGAATTTATCCATGTCAGTGAATATGGATCTAGTTACTCTATTTTAATACTGTATAATTTTTCATTTTATATGTATATTTCACATTTTATTTACTCATTCTTCTGTTGATCTCCAGGATTCAAGCCTAATAACTTTTGGTAGCTTTCTGATGCTTTCAAATACATTAAAATATTTTGTCGTTTTTCTAGTTATTAGGGGGAGAGTGGGTCCTGACTTTGTTTCCAGGTCTTCAATCTGCAAAGCACATACACAGAAATATTCCCACAAAAATTTTTCCAATAAAAAGCCACAGATGAACTGTGAATAAAAATTTCAACCCTCAAGGGAGGGAGGGAAAGAAAAACAGAAGAGGAGGGGATCAACTACCTTCTTTGACTGTATTTTGAAAAATTAGGAATTAAAATAGCTAACTTTATTAAGTACTTAATAAGTGCCAGGCACCAGTCTAGATTCTTTAAATATATTGTTATTAAATTTCATTTAATCAGAACAATAGTCCCATGAAATAGGTACTATTATTATCAGTCATATACAAATGAGGGATCTGAGGTGAAATAACTTGCCCAAGTTGTCACAGGAATCATTGGTAGAACAGGGATTCAAAGCAGAGTAGTGGTTGATTCCACAGGCTTAATCACTTCAGTCTACTGCTAGGTTAAAAGTAGAATTAGAAAAAAGAACAAATACTTGCAAATTAAAAGTCAAAGAGAGAATACGTGAATTGGAGGAGAGTGCAGGATATTCTGTAGCACAGAGGCAAATAAGACAAGAAAAGAAAATAGACTGAAAGTCTTGAAATATGCCTACTGGATAATCTAGAAACTAAATTACTGAGTGAAGGCAACTGAGAGGGAAGAGGTAGGAAGCAAAAAGCAATGGCAATGATTGAATTTTGTAAAATATTTTAGTAAATGTAATTAAGGATTGAGAGTAAATTTCTTAATATACTTTTTGTGTTTTTTCTCATAGTAAAATAACATCTCTAAACAAATGGTATTAAAATAGGGTGTATGCACCCCAGATGGTTAGCAAAATAGTCTCCTGGTAATCAAAAAGAAAATATTAGAACTTTCATCTTTATATTATATTTCATTATATATATGTATATATTTTATAATTTATATAATATGTTGATAAGCAATGCATGTCTATAGTTTATAAATAAGTAATACACTTATATTGCAGGTGTGTGCTCAAAATTCATTAATTGAGTATTTGAAAATGTTGGAGACCACAGTTCTAGGCAAAATAGCAAAGAATATTGGGTCAGGGATTATTCAATGAGTAACGAAAGTATCCTAACCTTTTCGTGTTTTTAAATGAAAGAATAAAAATATTGAAAAAAATAGGATTTCATTAGAAAATTTTATGGGTATATATGGTATAAGTCAGAGTACTTACTAAGTTAGTGTAAATATCCATAGCTTCTGAACAAGCAGAAATAAAATGATAAACTATAGAAAACTTTAGAAATCTGACATTAGTCAAAAAAAGGAGTAACAACAAAGAAGCAAAGATATAGAACAAAAATAATGTGTAGTAGGTTGAATAATGGCCCCCAAAATATATGTCCACATCCTGATCTCTGAAACTTGTAAATGAGACTTTATTTGGAAAAAAGGTCTTTACACATGTAATTAAGAATCCCAAGATGAGAACATTCTGGGTTATCTGGGTGGGCCTTAAGTCCAATGACAAATGTTCTTATAAAAGACACACAGAGGAGTGACACATAGGGAGAGGAGGAGATGGCCAGGTCGAGACAGAGGCAGAGCCTGGAGTGATGCAGCTATGAGTGCAGGAATGCCGACAGCCACCAGAAACTGCATGATGGGAGGAATGGGATCTCCCCCAGAGCCTCTGGAGAGAGCACAGACCTGCCAGCAGCTTAATTTCAGACTTCCGCCTTCCAAAACTTCAAAAGAATAAATTTAAGTTGTTTGAAGCCCCCCAAGTTTGTGGTAATTTGTTATAGCAGCCCTGGTAAGCTAATGTAGATGGTAACAGAAAGCACAATAAAAACACCAAAGAAATAAATCCAAATTTATTAGCAACCATACTAAAGAGTAAGATGATTCATCTGTTAAATGACTATCAGATTGGATTAAATAAAGGAATACAAAACTCAATTATATGCTGGTTACAAGACATGGAGTAAAAAAAATTGATTGCAAAGATTGTAAATAAAAGAATGAAAAAAGATATACAGGGAAATTGTTAACCAAAAGAAAGCTGGGGTAACTATTAATATCAGATTACATAAACTTTAAGACAAAAAAGAATTAATGGGAACAAAAGGGGACAGTACATAATTATATTGGGAAGGATCCACCAAGAGGACTTTATTTGTAAATAAAGTTAAAATACAAATAACAAACTAGGGGAAAGTATTTGCAACTTATATTATAGGCTAAGGGCTAATTTTCTTAATGCATAAGGAACCTCTACACATAAATAAGAAAAAGACAACAATCTTGGAAAAATGGGCAAGAGATATGAATAAATGTTCACAGAAAAGAAAAAACCAAATGGTTCATGAATATATGAAAAAAGCTCAATCTCACTAGTAATGAAAGAAATGCAGTTATAAGCTATGCTGAGATATCATTTTAAAATTATCAGATTGATAAAGATCCAATAAGTTGATTAAATGCTGGATTAGCCAGTGTTCAGGGTGTGATAGAACAGGCCCTCTCACACATTGCTAGTGCAAACTGGGACAACCATCTATGGAGGACAATTTGGCAGTGTCTCATAAAACAACAAAAACCTTTTGATTTACAAATTTCACTTCACCCTATTTGCTATAGTCTGAAAGTTTGTGTCCTCCCCAAATTAATATGATAAAATCTTGTTTGGGGAGGTGATTAGGTCATGAGGGCAGAGCCCTCAGGAATGAGATTACTGCCCTCATAAAATGGCCCAAGGGAGCTTGTTTGTCCCTTCCACAAATGGAGGACACAGCGAAAAGGCACCATCTATGAATCAGAAGGTGGCTCTCACCAGACACCAAATCTGCCAGATCTTGGACTTCCCAGCTTCCAGAATCATGAAAAAATACATTTCTGTTGTGTATAAGTCACCCAGTTTATGGTATTTTGTTACAGCAGCCCAAATGGACGAAGACACAATTTGTCTTGCAGATACCATGAGCAAAATGATGAATTACAAAGGCTATTAATTGCACTACTATTTATAAGAGATTTGATCATATTATAAATATCCATAAAATATAAATACTACTTGTAATGATTAAAAAGAATGAGGGATTTCAGCATGCAGGGACTCATAATGATCCCCTAAGTAAAAAAAGGAATGAGCACAATGGTGTGCACAATATACTGTTCTTTTATAACAGTGGTTAAAATTACATAAGTACCATTTATGAATATCTGTATATAAATATACATTTGCTCACACCTGCACAAAATCTTTCTGGAAGGATACATAAAAAACTGGGAACATTGGTTGCCACTGGTGAGGAGGCCTGATAGGCTGCCAGAGAGGAGCGGGAGGGTGGCTGAAAAACAACCACTCAACCAAACCAACCACCACCAACACTACCCAATCGGCCCGCCTCTACCATCCTCTTATCTCCATAGGAAGAAGAATCAATAGAGATGATCAGCAAAACTAAAAGCTGGTTCTTTAAAAATGTATAGTGAAATAGACAAACCTCTGTGAAAACCTGATCAAGGAAAAGAGAAAATACACAAATAATGTCTGGTAAGGCATGTTCATTCTCCATGGTTGCCTATTGTGTGTCAGGGTTGTGGATGAATGCCATGTCATAGAGAACAGGCAAAGGAGTAGGTTTTATTGGGAAATGGGACACTTACATGGCTGAGTCATCAAGAGAAGACTGAGTCTCCCATCATCCCATGGAGAGAAGGCTGGGCCTTGCTGTGCCCACAGTGGGGATGTGCATTCCACCACAGGGTCCTCTTCCCCTTGTCACCCTCCCTTCTTAAAAGAGCAAACTTGTGAGCAGCTTTATCAGTGGGAGAATAAACAGACCGGCATCAAGAAAACTGGAGAAAATTTAAAATCATTAAAAAATTAAATCAATAGGTAAACTCTGTCTCTCTGTCCCCTCTCAATAAAAACACTAGGATGAGATGGTTTTATAGATGTCTTTTACAAACCAGAAATGGATTTTTTTTTTTTTAAAGAGACAAGGTCTCGCTCTATCACCCAGGCTGGAGTGCAGTGGCGTGATCACAGCTCACTGCAGCCTCAACTTCCCAAGCTCAGGTAATCCTCTTGCCTCGACCTCCCAAGTAGCTGGGACCACAGGTGCATGCCACCATGTCTGAATAATTTAAATTTTTTTTCTAGGGAGGGGGTCTTGCCATGTTGTCCATGCTGGTCTCAAACTTCTGGGCTCAAGCAATCCTCCTACCTTGGCCTCCCAAAGTGCTGGGACTACAGGCATGAGCCACTGTGCCTGGCCTGGGTCATCATTTTTTCATACAAGCTTTTTTGGAGGAAAGAGAGAGAGAGAATTGCTCAGCTTATTTGCATTCCATAAATTTTGATACATTATGTTTTCATTTTCATTTAATTAGAATATTTTCTAATCTCCCTTGTGACTTCTTTTTTATGCATGAGTGCTTAGCAATGTGTTGTTTAATTTCCAGATATTTAGGGATTTTCTAAATATCTTTGTTGTTTACTTATAGTTTAATCCTGTTGAGGCCAGAGAATGTATTTGTAAAATTTTAAATTTGTTGGGATTTGTTTTATGGCCTTAGATACAATCTACCATGATGAATGCTCCGTGTGTGCTTGGGAAAAACTCGTTGAGAGGTGCGTTCTATAAATGTCAGTTTGGTCAAGTTGGTTAATAGTGTTGTTTGAGTCTTCCATACACTTAATGATTTTTCTGTTTACTTGTTCTATCAACTACTGATAGAAGAGTGTGTTGAAGTTTTCAACTGTGAATATACAGATTTTTCTATTTTTCCTTCTAGTCTTGTCAGTTTTTACATTATCTATTTTGAAGCTCTGTTGTTAGACACTTACACATTTAGGATAGTTACAACTTTTTGACAATTTGATCCTTTTTTCATTACGTAATACTCCTCTTTATCCCTGGTAATATTCTTTGTTCTAAAGTCTATTTTGTTTGATGGTTAATACAGCTCCTCCAGCTTTCTTTTGATTAGTGCTTACATGATATACCTTTTTCCATCTTTTAACTTTTAACCTAGTTACCTCTTTATATTTAAAGTGAGTTTCTAGGAGACAACAGATCCATTGGGTCATGTTTTGGTTCTAAGCTGACAAGCTCTGGTTTTTAATTTGAGGTTCCCTCTGTCTCCTGTCTTTCTCATTCGCACGTGGTGAAAGCCCGTGGAAAAGAGCTCATGAGTGACAGCAGACACTCCCGTGCCTGGGTTTCCACCGTCTACACCAGTGGTCCTCAGTCAAAAGCAGTTTTGCCCCCCAAGGCACATTTAGCAATGTCTGAAGATATTTTTGGTTGTCACAAATGGGAGAGGCTGTGGTACTGGTATCTGGTAGGTAGAGGCCAGGACTGCTGCTAAAAGTCCTGCAATTCATGGGGCAGCCTTCCACCACAAATCATTATCCTGCATGTTAATAGCGCCAAAGCTGAGAAACCCTGTTCTAAACTGCTGCGATAGTCCATCCTGGCCTTTAATAATTCACGAAAATGTTAGAATGTTAGCTGCTTTTTTCTTCTCACGTTTATGGCAGTCACCTCTTCCTCCCACGCTTTGACCAAAGGGAAGCTGCTCATGTGCCATGTCTTTCTTCCGAGGGTCTTGTCACCACTCTTTGGAACTCAGTTCACGTAGTGGCCTGAACTCTCTGATGGACTGAAGAAAAGCTACAATTTTGCAGATTGTCTATATTTTTTCATTACTAGGGTGAGGGTGATGTTCTCTTGTGGCTTCGTACATCCTAAGTGGAAGCAGAACGCCTCCCATCTCATTTTTAAATAAACAACTCTAAACCAGGATAAGGACAATTATAGATTAATCTCATTGGTGAACATGGATGCAAAAATCATGAAGTTGTAATAGTATGTATACAGTAGTATATATATTATATATATTTTATATAAATAAATCATGGCCATGAAGGGTTTATCCCAAGAATACAAGGAATGTTCACCAACAAAAATTAATCATCATAATCCAGTCCAACAGATCAAAGGAATAATCCATACAATCATTTAACAGATGCAAAATTTTCTTCTATATAGTTTTAAATCTATTCATGATTTTTAAAACTTGCAAACTAAGACTAGAAGAAAATTTTCTTAAATTAGTATAAAATTCTACCAAATACCTACAATAAATACCATTTAATGGTAAATACCATTACATTCCCACTGAAGTCAGGAATAAGACAAGGATGCCTGCATCACCCCACCATCCAGCATCACACTGGAGGGTCTGTCAATACAATGAGATAAAAAAAGTAAGGCATAAGAATTCATAGAGAAGAGAAAAATTCAATATTTACCAAATGCATAGAATTTTTGAAAATATATTAGAACTAGTTAGATAATTCTGCAGTTTGCTAGCTACAAGGTCAACATGTAAAATCAATACAGTTGCCATTTAACACGGTGCCAGTTAAAAATGTTTTTTTTTTTTAAAAGGTAACATTCACAAGATCTATAAGATATCTAGGAATAAAAAGAACATAGATTTTTTTTTTCAGTATCTTCATGGAAAAACTATAAGCTATCTTTTTTTAAGAGATGGAGTCTCACTCTGTCACTCAGGCTGGTGCCCATATAAAACATCTTTGAAGAGCAAAATGAAGCTCTGACTAAGTGGAAAGACATTTCGTATATAAGAAGGCTCAACAGCTTACAGATGTCCATCTGTCCCCACTTTAATAAATGAAGTAAATGCAATTCTGATCAAAATCTCAACAGTTGTTGCTTTTAAATAATGGAACTCATATAGAAAATGGAAACTTTGAAAATAGCAAAAACAATTTCGACAAAGAAAAATAAGATGAGGGTACTTGGCTTATTATAGCCCTGTGGTAAATAAAATGTTGTGTTATTGGAACAGGGATAGACAAGTAGACCTGTAGAATGGAATAGAGAGCCTGGAAAGAGACCCTCACATAGATGAAAATTTGGGAAATGACAGAAGTGTTGTTACAAGTCATTACAGGAAAGGAAGGACTAGTCAATAAATGATAACCACATGACTGGTTTTCCACATGAAAATAAATTAAGATTCCTACTTTAAACCATATACAAAAATAAACTAAAGTTGAATTAAGAGCTAAATATGAAAAATGCAAAACTGTAAAACTTTCAGGAAAAATAATTCATTAATTTGTTCATTCATTCAACAAATATTTATTGAGCTGCTGTTACACACTGGCCTAGTATTAAGGACAGAGCAGTGAATAAAACAAAGTCCTTGCTCTAGTGATGGTTTATGTTAACAGTAAACAAATAAATATGTAACATGTCAGGTGATGATAAGTGCCATGGAGAAAAATAGAGCAGGGTAAGGGACTAGGAAGTGATCATAGGTGGGTTTGCTACTTTATACAGGGTGGTTGGTGAAGGCTGTCCTGATAGGTGACACCTGAAGAGAGACCCGAAGGAATTGGGGGAGTTTGGCACGTGGATATTCAGGCAAAAGAAATTTTCAGGCAGAAAGACCAGCTGAACAATTGCTCTGAGGCCGGAGAGTACTTGGCCTTTGAAGAACAGCGAGAAGGCCAGTGTGGCTGGGATCGGGGAGAAGGGAGTGGTAGAAGATGAGGTAAAAGAGCAAGTAGTGAGGCCAGGGGACACAGGGCCTTGAAGGCCATGGCAAGGACATCTAAAGGGCATGGCACATCATGGGAGGATTTGTGCTAAGGAGCGACAGGATATGAGTGCAGTTTATAGGATTACTCTAGCTACTGTGCGGAAAGTAGATTGGAAAGGTGCAAGGGTGAAGGGGCAGGGAGTTGTGTTAGAAGGCTATTTCAATAGCCCAGGTAAGGGATGAGGTGACAGGGGTAGAGGTGGTAAGAAGTGGATGTTAATCAAGTGTTCTGATATACTTTGAAGGTAGAGAAGATATAATTTGCTGACGTGGGATGTGAGAGAAGAGGAGAAGCCAAGGTGTGGCGACTCTGAGGCTTAAGCAACTGGGCTAACAATGGTAACTTTTAATAAGATGGTGAACTCTATGGGAGGAACAGGCTTGCCGTAGAGCATTAAGAGCTTGGTTTTAAACACGTTAAGTTAGAGACACTTATCAGACATCAAGTAGGCAGCTGAACAGTATATGAGTCTGGAGTTCAGGAAAGAGGGTGGAGCTTGAGATAGCAATTTGAGAGTGGTCGGTCTAATAAATGGTATCTAAAACCATAGGGCTGGAAGACATCACCTAGTGGGTTAGTATTTACAGAGGAAGGGTCTGAGGACTGGGCCTTGGGATACTCCAATTTTAGAGTTGGGAGGAAAGTGAAGGAACCAGTGAATGAGACTGAGAAGAAGCATTCAGTGAGATTTGAAGAGAACCAAAGAGAAGGAGGTGTGTCAAGAAGGAGCAAGCGAATATGTCAAATGCTGCTGAGAGGCTGGGTAGGGTGAAGATTGAGCATTTATCATTGGATTTAGCAAAGCACAGATTATCTGTGACCTCAATGATAGTTTCAGGGCAGTGGTGATGAAAGGCTGTTTGGAGTAGGTGCAACAAAGAACAGGAGAAGAGTAAGTGGAGAGCGTGCACACAGATAATCTTTTTGAAGAGTTTTTCTGTAGAATGAGGGAGAAAAATGGGATGGTACTTGAGGGCATCATATATTAAGGGATTGTGGTTTTTAAATATAGAAAATATACAGAGTGTTTTCATGCTGATGGGAATGATCCAGTAAAGAACAATAACCTTGAGGAGGTGTGAGAAAGGATGGGACCCAGGGAAAAAAATGGAAGGTTGGTTTTACACAGGAGCACTGACAGTTTATCCACTGTACTAGAAAGAAAAGCAGAGAATTTGGAACCTATGTAAGGGATTGGTAATACTGTTTAAGGGATTGGTAATACTTTTTAGATTGCTTCTACAATCTCAGTGCAATAAGAAACAAGGCCATCAGCTAAGTGAGGAAGTAGAAGGTGTTGGAAGTTTGAGAAAAGAGAAGTTATAAGATAATTGTCTGTAAGAGTATAAGAGAGTGAATTGACCAGGGAAGTGAAGCAAGATTGAAGGGCAGCACTAAAGACCTTCCTAAGGTCAGTGGTCATGAATTTAAAGAAAGACCCTTCACCATGCTTGTGTGTTTTTCCCTAGTCAATATCATTTGCTTGTGTGCTATTAGAGAGTAAACAGAGAGCTACGTTTCTCCAGTTTTGGGTTTTTTTTTCCTGGAAAAGTCCAAGAGAGGAAGAGAAGAGCAAGGGAACAACTACACATACAGATAAGAGACTCTCATGATGGAAGGTGGAATTAAGCTCAGTTATATAGAAGGTGAGGACACGAATGGGGTGACGGATGTGCAAAGTGACAGGTCAGTGGAGAGCGAGCAGGTTCCATTAGGTTTGAAGAATTTTGAAACTGGGCTATTGGAGGGAGGATGCTGAAAGATGAGAAGCCATAGTGAAAGAGTGAGATGCTTCTTTCAAGGTAATGGGGAGAATGCTGTTGTTGGTAATGGCAAGGTCTCACGCATGACTGTGGAAGTTGGTGGCTTGGAGGAGGGTGAGGATAGGATCACCGGGAATGAAGGGGTCAAAGAACTAAGAAGATCATGCTTATGAATGTTGAAGTCACTAATAATTGAGACAGATCTGGTCCTAGAAAGAGACAATGACCCAGGTGCTAAAATCTTCAAGGAATGAGGAATGGTAGGTAACCTGGAGGTCTTAAGATGACCGCAAAAAGTAGAAGTAAAATGAGCAAAGCCTACCAAAACAGGAGTAGGTTCAGAATATGCAAATACCTTAAAAACAAATAAGAAACAAGCAAGCAACCCAATAAGAAATGGACAGAGAACGAACAGGCAATTTACAGAGGAGGAACCCTGAATGACCCAGCAGGAAAAGAGGATCAACCTCACTGCTAATCAAGAAAATGCAAAGCAAGACAAGATGCTCTTTAACATCTACCAGAATGACACAGATGAAAATGTCTGAAAGCACCAGCATTAGGAATGATATGGAGGAATAGGAGCTTTCATACAAGTGTAAGTTGCTACAATGGCTTTGGAAAACAAATTTGGTAATATACAGTAAAAATCAAGATGCATGTGATCTTTGACCCAGCTTCTTCCTCCCAGATATAAACTCTGGGAAAAGCTCACACATGTGTGGTGCAAGGAGATATGCACAGGATACTTATGGCAGCGTTATGTGTAATAGATAAAAATTAAAACAACCTAAATGACCGTCAACAGGAAAGTAGGTAAGTAGATTGTGTTTAGTCACACAATGAGAATATTCTATGCTGGTGCAAGTGAATGAACTAGAGATGCGTATGTTGTGGTTCAGTTCCAAAAACAAGGTTGCTAAAAATCAGTAAGTTGCATAATGATAAGTACAATGTGATAACACCACCTTTGGTAAAGTTTAAAAACAAATAAGACAATACATATGATTTATGAATGCATATGTAGTAAAATGTACAAAACATGAACAAGAAGGATATATACAACTTCTGAACAGCAGCCACCTCTGGGGAGGGCAGAGAGAGGAGAATGGATCTGGAAGAAGCGCAAAGTGGAGGTTCTATTCAATTTGTAATGTTTTATTTCTTTTCTTTTCTTTTCTTTTCTTTTTTTCTTTTTCTTTTTTTTTTTTTTTTTGAGACTGAGTCTCACTCTGTTGCCCAGGCTGGAGTGCAGTGGTGCAATCTTGGTTCACCTCTGCCTCCTGGGTTTAAGCAATTCTCGTGCCTCAGCCTCTCAGTGCTGTTAGGGTGTCAATTTTAGATCTTTCCTGCTTTCTCTTGTGGGCATTTAGTGCTATAAATTTCCCTCTGCACACTGCTTTAAATGCGTCCCACAGATTCTGGTACATTGTGTCTTTGTTCTCATTGGTTTCAAAAACATCTTTATTTCTGCCTTCATTTCGTTATGTACCCAGTAGTCATTCAGGAGCAGGTTGTTCAGTTTCCATATAGTTGTGCAGTTTTGAGTGAGTTTCTTAATCCTGAGTTCTAATTTGATTGCAATGTGGTCTGAGAGACAGTTTGTTTTGATTTCTATTCTTTTACATTTGCTGAGGAGTGCTTTACTTCCAAGTGTGTGGTCAATTTTGGAATAAGTGTGGTGTGGTGCTGAGAAGAATGTATATTCTGTTGATTTGGGGTGGAAAGTTCTGTAGATGTCTATTAGTTCTTCTTGGTGCAGAGCTCAGTTCAATTCCTGGATATCCTTGTTAACCTTCTGTCTCGTTGATCTGGCTGATATTGACAGTGGGGTGTTAAACTCTCCCATTGTTATTGTGTGGGAGTCTAAGTCTCTTTATAGGTCTGTAAGGACTTGCTTTATGAATCTGGGTCCTCCTGTATTGGGTGCATATATATATAGGATAGTTAGCTCTTCTTGTTGGAATGGTAAAGGGAATTGATCCCTTTACCATTATGTAATGGTCTTCTTTGTCTTTTTTGATCTTTGTTGGTTTAAAGTCTGTTTTATCAGAGACTAGGATTGCAACTCCTGCTTTTTTTTTTCCATTTGCTTGGTAGATCTTCCTCTGTCCCTTTATTTTGAGCCTATGTGTGTCTCTGCATGTGAGATGGATCTCCTGAATACAGCACATTGATGGGTCTTGACTCTTTATCCAATTTGCCAGTCTGTGTCTTTTAATTGGGGCATTTAGCCCACTTATATTTAAGGTTAATATTGTTATGTGTGAATTTGATCTTCTCATTATGATGTTAGCTGTTTATTTTGCCCGTTAGTTGATGCTGTTTCTTCCTAGCATAGATGACCTTTACAATTTGGCATGTTTTTGCCATGGCTTGTACCTGTTGTTCCTTTCTACATTTAGTGCTTCCTTCAGGAGCTCTTGTAAGGCAGGCCTGGTGGTGACAAAATCTCTCAGCATTTGCTTGTCTGTAAAGGATTTTATTTCTCCTTCACTTATGAAGCTCAGTTTGACTGGATATGAAATTCTGGGTTGAAAATTCTTTTCTTTAAGAATGTTGAATATTGGCCTCCACTGTCTTCTGGCTTGTAGAGTTTCTGCCAAGAGATCTACTGTTAATCTGGTGGGCTTCCCTTTGTGGTTAACCTGACCTTTCTCTCTTGCTGCGCTTAACATTTTTTCCTTCATTTTAACCTTGGTGAATCTGACAATTATGTGTCTTGGGATTGCTTTTCTTGAGGAGCATCTTTGCGGTGTTCTCTGTATTTCCTGAACTTGAATGTTGGCCTGCCTTGCTAGGTTGGGAAGTTCTCCTGGATAATATCCTGAAGAGTGTTTTCCAACTTGGTTCCATTCTCCCCGTCACTTTCAGGAACACCAATCAAATGTAGATTTGATCTTTTCACATGGTCCCATATTTCTTGCAGGCTTTGTTCATTTCTTTTTACTCTTTTCTTCTTGCTTTATTTCATTAATTTGAACTTCAATCACTGATACTCTTTCTTCAACTTGATCGCATCAGCTATTGAAGCTTATGCATGCGTCATGTAGTTCTCATGCATTGGTTTTCAGCTCCATCAGGTCATTTAAGGTCTTGTCTTCACCGTTTCTTCTAGTTAGCTATTCGTCTAATTTTTTTTCAAGGTTTTTAGCTTCCTTGGGATGGGTTCAAACATCCTCCTTTAGCTTGGAGAAATTTGTTAATACCGACTTTCTGAAGCCCAGTTCTGTCAGCTCATCAAAGTCATCCTCCATCCAGCTTTGTTCCTTTGCTGGAGAGGACCTGTGATCCTTTGGAGGAGAAGTGTTGCTCTGGTTTTTAGAATTTTGAGCTTTTCTGCTCTGGTTTCTTCCCATCTTTGTGGTTTTTTTTTTTTAAATTATACTTTAAGTTTTAGGGTACATGTGCACAACGTGCAGGTTTGTTACATATATAAACATGTGCCATGTTGGTGTGCTGCACCCATTAACTAGTCATTTAACATTAGGTATATCTCCTAATGCTATCCCTCCCCCCTCTCCCCACCCCACAACAGGCCCCGGTGTGTGATGTTCCCCTTCCTCTGTCCATATCCACCTTTGGTCTTTGATGTTGGTGACCTACAGATGGAGTTTTGGTGTGGATGTCCTTTTTGTTGATGTTAATGCTGTTCCTTTCTGTTTGTTAGTTTTCCTTTCAACAGTCAGGTCCCTCAGCTGCAGGTCTGTTGGAGTTTGCTGAAAGTCCACTCCAGACCTTGTTTTCCTGGGTATCACCAGTGGAGGCTGCAGAACAGCAAATATTGCAGAACAGCAAATATTGCAGAACAGCAAATATTGCTGCCTGATCCTTCCTCTTGAAGCTTCATCCCAGAGGGGCATCTGCCTATATGAGGTGTCATTCAGCCCCTACTGGGAGATGTCTTCCAGTTAGGCTACACAGGGGTCAGGGACCCACTGGAGGAGGCAGTCTGTCCATTCTCAGAGCTCAAACACAGTGCTGGGAGAACCACTGCTCTCTTCAGAGCTGTCAGACAGGGACATTTAAGTCTGCAGAAGTTTCTGCTGCCTTTTGTTCAGCTATGCCCTGCCCCCAGAGGTGGAATCTACAGAGGCAACAGGCCTTGCTGGGCTGCGGTGGGTTCTGGCCAGTTTGAGCTTCCTTGTCTGTTTTGTTTACCTACTCAAGCCTCAGCAATGGCAAACACCCCTCCCCCTTCCAGGCTGCTGCCTTGCAGGTCAATCTCAGACTGCTGCACTAGCAGTGAACAAGGCTCCATGGGCATGGGAACTGCCAAGCCATGCGCAGGATATAATCTCCTGGTGTGCCATTTGCTATGACCATTGGAAAAGTGCAGTATTTGGGCAGGAGTATCCTGATTTTCCAAGTACAGTCTATCACAGCTTCCCTTGGCTAGGAAACAGAAATACCCCAACCTCTTGTGCTCCCGGGTAAGGTGATGCCCTGCCCTATTTTGGCTTGCCTTTTGTGGGCTGCACCCACTGTCCAACCAGTCCCAATGAGATGAACCAGGTACCTCAGTTGGAAATTTAGAAATCACCTATCTTCTGTGTCAATCACACTGGGAGCTGCAGACTGTAGCTGTTCCTATTCAGCCATCTTGAAATGGAATCCCTACCTGAAGTGTTATCTTCATCCTGGGTAAATTGTTTGTTCAACTAATTTAATATTTAGCCTTATGATTTTTTGACATCCTCAGTTCCAGTGAGCTTCAGCTCAACTTCACTTCAGCCACTTCCAATTGTGTTGGTGACTTAGACTTGTCATCACCCAGGTCCCTTCTATCTTGAAATATTAAATGTATACATCCTACTCTCTGGCCACGAATTCTTGCTTTTCCACTGGTTTCTGCTCTATTTCCTTTTACATCAGCTCTTCAACATTACAGAGAATTCTTGTTCCCTGACCTCTCTGTATTGTCCTAATCTGTAAATCCCTCTCTCATTTTATTTCCTTCTTTATATAGCCTAGACTGCACAATATATCCCTTCAGTTACTGTCTTGTAAGTTCTTTAATTGCTTTCCTCACTTCTTTTTCACTGTACACTGTTGGGAGAATATTTGTGCCTGATCAATCCAAATGTCCTTTCTTCCATAGCTAAGTTGTGGAAAGTTGTAGAAATTCACTTAACAAATTTGGCTTTTAATGTAAATTGACTTTTGATATCACTCGTCACCTTTTCCACATGATCTTACTCAGGACCACTTCCCTTCCCCATCAACACATATTTAAACCACCAGTTGTATTAGTTTGCTAAAGCTCTGTCTTTTTTTTTTTTTTTGAGACAGAGTCTTACTGTGTCACCAGGCTGGAGTGCAGTCATGAGATCTCAGCTCACTGCAACCTCTGCCTCCCAGGTTCAAGCCATTCTCCTGCCTCAGCCTCCCAAGTAACTGAGACTACAGGCATGCACCACCACACCCAGCTAATTTTTTTTGTATTTTTAGTAGAGACGGGGTTTTACCGTGTTGGCCAGGATGGTCTCAATCTCTTGACCTCATGATCCGCCCACCTTGGCCTCCCGAAGTGCTGGGATTACAGGGGTGAGCCACCATGCCTGGCCCAACTAAAGCTCTGTCTTAATCCATTTTCTATTGCTATTAACAGAATACCACAGACTAGTAATTTATTTTAAAAAGAAATTTATTTCTTCCAGTTCTGGAGGCTGGGAAGTCCACGCTTGAGGGGCCACATCTGGCGAGGGCCTTCTTATTGCATCATAAAAAGATAGAGGGGATTACCTGTCAGGGGGGCAACAGTATGTCAGCTCAGGTCTTTTTTCTTCTCTTTATAAAGCCACCAGTCCCATAATGGAGGCATAACTTGATGACTTTATCTCATCCTAATTTTCTCTCAATGCCTCACCTCCAAATGCCATAAACATATGAATTTGGGGATTTAGGTTCCAACAAATAAAGTTTAGGAGACACATTCAAACCATAGCAGGTTACCATAACACAGCACCATAATCTGAGTAGCTTAAACAACATACATTTATTTTCTCACAGTTCTGGAAGATAGAAGTTCAGAATCAGGGTGTTTTCAGGGTTGATTTCTTCTCAGGCCTCTCTCTTTGGCTTCTAGATGGCCATCTTCTCCCTTTGTCTTCACATGGTTTTTCCTCATGTGTGTCTACATCCTAATCTCTTCTTCTTATAAGGGCATTGGTTATATTAGATTAGGGCCCACCTCAATGTCCTCATTTAACGATCATTACCTCTTTAAAGACCCCACCTCCAAATACGTCACATTCTGAGGTACTTGGGGTTAGGACTCCAATGTATGAATTGGTGGCAGGGGTTAGGCTTTGGCAGATAGACACAATTCAGCCCAGGACAGTCTTCTTAAGCCTGCTCCTTTTCCACCTCGCTCTCCCTCTTTGTAGAGGAGACAGAAATAATTATCTGGCCTCTCCCACTGCCTTATAAATCTGACTGTGAGGAGTTCTCTTCTTTCCCCACCCCCTCCTATTGAGGCAGAAATTTAAAAATAAATATGCATTCATTCACTCTGAAAGTAACAGGCAAGGCAAGGGTTAAAAAGAAAAAAACAGGTTTTCCTCTGCCTAGCAGAGGAAAGTGCAGCAAGCTCACTTCAAGGACAGTTATAAGATAATACTGTTTGAGAAGCCAAGGCCAAAGGAATGGACCCCAGACACCCCCCAGCTCCAGAGCAAGGTTGAAGGAAAAAAAAAGAAAGACAAATTCTTTTACTGTTACTCCTTTCCCAGGCTTCTTAAGCATGATTATGTTTTACAAATGTCTGTATTTAGCCACTTGTTGTTTTTCTTTCAATGCAGCTACAAGGCCACCAGCTATGCAAGGCCACAAGTTATGCTATGCTATAGATTATGTGACCTATCATATTTGATAAACGTTTGGGTTTATTTATTGTAAGTCTGCTTATAAAAACCTGTCTCTGTCTTTGTTTAATGCTCAGCTTTTTGGATGTGAGTCCACTGAGCTGGCGTGTACCTACAATGAACAATCCTTCTGTACTCTCATATCAGTCTCTCTGGTCCTCAGTTTCCTGCAACATTTTTGGTGACCACAAAAGGACCAGAGACAGCAGGTTTACTGTTTCCTTTGGCTCTGGGCGCTGGAGCCCTGGGCCTCAGGAGACCTGTGACCCCAGGTACCACTGGAAGAACTTCAGCCCGGAGAGGAAATCAGCTCTCCCCTGACCCGGCGCCCCTACCCAGCAGTGCAATGGAACCTGAAAGGAGCTACAGGACAATTTCAGAAACAGCACCCTTCAGGAACTGCGGTAAGGTTTTAGGGCCCAAGGCAGGACCTGTCCCATGGGGATGGAAGGGGAGCCTAATCACCTCCTGGGATGTGCCGAATAGTTCGACCCAGAGGGGCTGGGGGCAACAGGAGTAGCTCATCAATTCGGATGAATCTCACACCCCAGTCGACACAGGATGCGAGAGTGGCTCGCTAAGTCAGCTAGGAAACTGGAGATGGTAAGAGTGGCTCGCCACCCCAACTAGGAAACTGGAGGTGGCAAGAGTGGCTCACCACCCCAACTGGGAAAGTAGAGGGGGTGAGAGTGGCTTGCCACCCCAATTACAAACACGGGAACTGGGAGTGGGGAAGTGTGTGGAAGTGTGTGAATGGAGGGGCCTAATTAGGCTCATCAGCTGTGAAGTGGGGAGTCACAGATCTCTTAGCATGGACTGTATCCTCCAAGAACGTGTGGGGCCAACTAAGACTAGTGGTGATCTGCATATGGCTAATAGGAGCTGCCCCATAGCTCAGAGTTGCAGTGAGAATAAGGACCTCTGCAAAGCCAAGCAGCATCTGAAAACTCCCATAATAGGAGATGGTATATTCGGCCGAAATGAGAGGAACAGTGAGTGTGCAAGAGTGATTGTGCTGTGTCGTAAAGGGAGGAATGGGAGGAAAGTCATCAAAAGTTACTCCATTGGAGTACATGTTACAGAACCTTAAGAAAGATTTTGCAAGGGATTATGGACTTAAGCTAAACCCCCAAAGATTGAGAACTCTCTGTGAATTAGAGTGGCCTTCTTTTGGTGTTGGGTGGCTGACTGAAAGAACTATAGATAGGGATAATTGGCTGTGCATTTAAGGTGGTGACAGGGCTTGGAGGACAGCCAGGGTACCCAGACAAATTTCCTTAAATTGATTCATGGTTAAATATAGCACAGACAAGAGCAGCCTGGATCCAGCCCTATTTAGCAGCTTCACTGGCAGACACAGAGTTAAAGGGGAAGTTCCAGAGAGAGCAAGAGAAGCCAGTTTTGCAGGAGCTGCCAGAGGGAACAGAGATTCGTCCCAGCCTACCCCCCTTTGCCAAGGCTAACAGCCCCCCAGGAACCAGATTCAGGAGCTAACACACCCCAAGTTTCACCCCAAAGGGCAGAATCGGAGCCTCGAGAGGCCAGGGAAGGAAGTCAAGATAGTCAAGCAGGCAGTCTCAGATCTGGCTGTGCTTGAGCTATGCAAATGCCTCTCAGGGAGGTGCGAGGACCCATCTATTATTATGATCAAGGCCAGGTTCAAGGGGGCAATGAACTTTCATCTACCAGCCCTTTTCAACCACTGATCTTTTAAACTGGAAATGCCACATTCCCTCCTACACGGAGAAGCCCCAAGCTCTTACAGATCTGATGCAATCCATCTTTCTGACATGCAATCCAACCGGGCCAGACTGCAGGCAGCTCCTCCTCACATTATTTAACACTGAGGAGTGCAGGAGAGTAACATAGGCAGCTCTCTGCTGGCTAGAAGCCAATGCACCAGAAGATGCAGTGAATGCTCAGGTACGTGCTCAGAGTCAGTTCCCAGACCAAGATCCCAACTGGGACCTGGTGGATGCAACACAACTTCAGCGTTTGCAGAGGTACCAAAAGGTCGCTTTTGCAAGGGATAAGAGCTGATAGAAAGCAATTAATATAGGGAAGATTTCAAAAGTGCTTCAGGGAGGTGATGAGAGCCTAAGTCAGTGGCTTTGTGAAGTATTACAGAGACTTTGTGAAGTATTCTGGTTTTACACCCCATTTCACCCTGAGGCTGCTGAAAATCAGCACATGGTAAACACAGCATTGGAAGGGCAAGCCCAGGGTAACATCAAGCAGAAGCTGCAGGCATGAATGCCACTCAGTGTACGTTAATCAGGACCAGAGAACAAAACAGAAAAGAGCAAAAGCAACAAGTGTGGTGCCAGGCAGCTAGGCACGCCAAGGGTTAAGCCCCTTTCCCCAGCCCGGCTCTATCTGGAAAAAGAGGGGGGAGGGGGGGACCAGCACCGGGAGAAGAGCAAAGGAGATGGAAGGGCATAATTCTGACATTTTGCGGCAGGCATCTCCCAAGCCTCTGGGCCAATGATGGCCCAGGGGGACTACGGTTGTGCAGACCCCACCCAGCCCAAAAGAGTAAATGTGAGAAGGGAAAGAAGAAAGTAAAAACAGAAATCCGAAAGAAACAGGAGAGACCTACGGCAGTGTGTGCGTGGGGGCGGGGCCGGTGTCATTGCCTGGCCCGCTGGCCTTAGGAACAGGAGAACTCAGGAAGGAAAAAGGAAGCAGATTGAAGGCTTAAGAAAAAGGCCAATCTGTTGGCAGCAGTCTTTATAGAGAGATTAGCAATGTGAGAGGACGTGGACGCAAATGTGGATGTGGAAGCGGTCAAGTTAGGCAGAGATTCAAGAGCCAGACAAGGCTAGAAAGAGATTAATGTGCGGGATGCAAAAAGAAAGGACACGGGAAGGATGAATGTCCAGAAGGTAATAAAGAGAGTGGTAAATGCTGTGATATAAAGAAGTCATTGGCCAAGGGCTGCCGCACGTTAGAGGAACCAGATACTGATCTGATTGGGCTGGCAAGAGCTGAAGGGTATGAGGACTAGGACAGACCAGGCTCCTTTTCATTAAGCCTCCAGGATCCCGTGGTCACATTAGAAGTTGAAGGCAGCAGGATTCTGCCACATCTGGATCCCAAATTTCTCACTGATGGCTAAGCCACTATATAAAGTTACAAAGGTTGGGTCGGGGGAAGAAAAAGTATCCTTCCTCTGGGACACTGAACTGAGAAGGAGCCATGCCTTCATGCCTTGTGAAAAACTTGCTTATAGACTTTACCGAAATGCCCCATGCTGGAGGCTGGCAGTATATGCTAGTGTTTATTTGCACCTTTTTCATGATGGAGTGAGGCTTTCCCCACTAGGACAGAAAAAGCACGAGAAGTGACTAAAGTACTGTTAAGAGACATTATCCCCGGGTTTGGACTGCCTCTAACTTTAAAGTCAGACAATGGGTCAGCATTTGTAGCTGAAATAGTGCAAGATTTAACAAGACTGTTAAAAATAAAATGGAAGTTACACACAGCCTATCGGCCACAAAGTTCAGGAAAAGTGGAACCACGAACCGGACACTCAAGCAGCTACTGAAGAAATATTGCCAGGAAATTCATCTGAGATAGGATCAGGTTTTGCCTATGGTCCTCCTCTGAGTCAGGTGCACCCCCACCAAACAAACTGGGTATTTACCCTATGAGATTTTGTTCGGTGGGCCACCCCCAAATCATAAGTCAAATTAAAGATGATCTCCAGGAACTAGGGGAATTAACTTTAAGAAAACAAATGCAGAAATAGCCATGCAAAGTGTTCATAATTAGGTACATGAAAAAAATGCCTAAAAACCTGATACCCCTTTAAACCTGGTAACTCTAGGTTAAAAAGTAGAACCCAACTTCTCTAAGACTCATGTGGGATGGGCCCCATACAGTAATCTTGTCCTTTCCCACTGCTGTTAAAGTTGCAGCTGTTGTGTCTTGGATCCACCACAGTTGGCTGAAACCGGCAGCTCAGGACAAGTGAACCAGCCAGCAGGACCCAGACCATTTGACTCGGCTGATCTTGTGACAAGACTGAGTTGCTGCTGAGTACAACAGCCCTGCTCTGGTCACTCCAGAGGCTGACCAGTCTACACACGGGTGAAGCTTGAGGAAACAACAAGCTCTGCTCTAGTCACACACCAGAAGCTGACTAGTCTATGCACAGCTGAAGCTTGAGGACTTGTCAAGCAAGTAAATGTAGTTAGAAATCTTAGGACTAGTAGTTTTCCTGTAATACTGTTTTACTATTGTTCCGTCGCTGTGCTCAATCTTCTTCCCCAGGTAAGGACCTCTTTTGTCCTTGCTGGATATGAATATGCTGTACATTGCTTTGCTGTTGTTACCCCCCTTAACCATGCTAGAAGAATCACCCACAGAAGGGTGTCTCCACCGTACACATACTACTTGGTCAGGGAACAGCATAACTAAAACTCTATTGTACCATACTTATTATGGGTGTATGGGGAATCGCTTAGGAACTTGTACTTATAGTCAAACCACCTACTCAGTTTGTGACCCAGGAAATAACCAACTTTATGTATGTTATGACCCCAAGTTTTCACCTGGTGAATGGTTTGAAATTCGTGCAGTCAAAAGAAGGTCTCCTCTTAAACCAAACCAGGGTCCCTCCCTTTTACTGAGGGACTATTTCTCTGTATTTTGATGCTCGTTAGGTAGCATACCAAGACTCACCCATCTGTGGTAACCTACCTTTGGAAAGATACTATAGAAATAACTACAAATATGTATGCACGCCAAGAGCAACTCCACATTGTTCCCCTGGGACCCCAGAGAAAGATTGTTGGTATTGCATATCATGGCACCCTAGCCACAACAAAGGTCAATTATGCTTACCAAAATGCTGGTGGACTGCAGGTTCCTCCTTACATGTCTACATACACACATACCCAGCAACCTTCATATATGTTATCAAAAAGGGAACCCAGACCCGTCTGGCCCAGCAAGGCACAAAAATGAGGAACGCTATCTATCAGAACAGATTAGCTTTAGACTATCTCCTAGCCCTAGAAGGAGTAGTATGTGGAAAGTTCAATTTAACAAATTGCTGCCTGGAAATCGATGACAATGGAAAGGCAATTATGGAAATAACTGCAAGAATGAGAAAATTAGCCCATGTTCCAGTTCAAACTTGGAAAGGGTGGTCTCCAGATTCTCTCTTTGGAGGCTTGGTTTTTATTTTTCTGAGGGTTCAAGACTTTAATAGGAGTGGTTCTGGCCATATTAGGAAGTTGCCTAATACTCCCTTGTCTCTTACCTCTCCTTGTTAGAAGCATTCAATCGAGTATAGAGGCAATAGTAGCTAGGCAAACTACCACTCAGCTAATGGCTCTGCATAAATATCAACCTTTGTCTAAATAAGAAAACTCGTCCCTTCAGGCAGAACTAAGTAATAGTGATGCCTTCTATTAAACTTCTTTTATAAAAGGCATCAAAGGGGGGAAACTGAGGCAGAAATTTAAAAATAAATATGCATTCATTCACTCCAAGAAAAGTAACAGAAAAGGCAAGGGTTAAAAAGAAAAGAACAAGTTTTCCTCTGCCTAGCAGAGGAAAGTGCAGCAAGCTCACTTCAAGGACAGTAATAAGATAATACTGTTTGAGAAACCAAGGCCAAAGGAATGGACTCCAGATACCCCCCAACACCAGAGCAAGGTTGAAGGAAAAAAAAGAAAGACAAATTCTTTTACTGTTACTCCTTTCCCAGTCTTCTTAAGCATGATTATGTTTTACAAATGTCTGTATTTAGCCGGTTGTTGTTTTTCTTTCAATGCAGCTACAAGGCCACCACCTATGCAAGGCCACAAGTTATGCTATGCTATAGATTATATGACCTATCATTTGGTTAACTGCTTTTGTTTTATTTATTGTAAGTCCACTTATAAAAACCCGATTCTGTCTTTGTTTAATGCTCAGCTTTGTGGATGTGAGTCCGCTGAGCCAGTGTGTACCTAAAATAAACAATCCTCCTATACTCTCATATCAGTCTCTCTGGTCCTCAGTTTCCCACAACACCATAAGTGAAGGCTGTTGCTGTGCTTTGAATATTTGCATGCCTCAAGAATTCATGTCAAAACTTAGTCCCCAGTGCAACAGTGTTATGAGGCAGGACATTTAGGAGGTGATTAGGCCATGAGGATTCCACTGTCATGAATGGGGTTAATGCCTTTATAAAAGGGTTTGAGGTAGTGAGTTCCTCCCTTCTATCCCTTCTGTCATGTGTGGACACTGTGTTTGTCCCCTCCAGAGGTCGCAGCAACTTGGACACAGACAGTAAGCCCTTACCAGACACCAAATTCACTGGCTCCCTGATAGTGGGCTTCCCAGCTCCCAGAACTGTGAGATAATAAATTTCTGCTGTTTATAAATTACCCAGTCTAAGATCTTTTGTGATAGCAGCAGGAATGGACTAAGTCATAAATTGGTGCCAATGAAGCAGGAAATTTCCCTGACCTTTTCGTGGGCAGGAACTGGAGTGCATAGGCACTAGAAATAGTCAGCTGCTTTGGTGCCAGCAGAGTGGACTCCACTTGCTTGGTCCCACTGCATTCCACCCCTCACAGGAGGGGGAGCACAGGTGAGTGGGTGCAGGAGCCGGGGTGAGTGCTTTTGGCCACCGGCAGGAGCAAAACTCCATGTGGCCTCGCGGCAGCATCTATGGGGGTGCCCATTATCCCTGAAGCCCTAGAAAGAGTGTTACAGTCAGTGCTCTTTTAGCTTTGCCATTCGCGGTTGGCTTAAGTGTTAACGGCTCAGTGGAGGGTCAGTGTGACAGCCTTTTGCACTGACACTCGAGTTCTTATTCAGTGTCCAGGAGGAATAAGGTTGCACAAACAAATTGGAGATGGTAAATGTGGGGGATTTTATTGCCAATGAAAGTGGTTCTCAGTGGGAAGGGGAGCTGAAAAGTGGATGGTGTGGGAAGATAATATTCCCCTAGAGTCCAGCTGTCCCTGGCTGAACTCCTCTCCGAAGCAATGCCATCAAGCCGTCCCTTTGAAGTCAAGCTGCTTCTCTCCAATGTCCAACCATAGTCTCTGATGTCCAGCTGCTTCTCCTCTTCTCCTCCCTCTGCTGATGGGGCCTGGGGATTTTATGGGAATAGGATGGGGGGTGGGGCAGGCCATGGGAGGTTTTGGAAAAGGCAACATTTGAGTGGGAAAACAGGATGTAAACTTCTCACTTTGGGCCGTGGTATTAGGCTTTTCAGCTTGTGGGTGGGGCCCTCACCATGGATTCACCCTCTTCTGCCCAGAATTTCCCTGCCTCTTGTCACTGTCTCCAAGAAGTGGGCCATGGACTCACCCTCTTCTGCCCAGAATTTCCCTGCCTCTTGTCACTATCTCCAAGAAGTGGGATGCTTCCGTAACAAATACCTAAAAATGTGGAAGCAGCTTTGGAACTGGGTAATGGGTAGAGGCTGAACCATAAAGGGCTATTTGGATGAGGACTCAGAAGAGGGCAGCTGTGGAGAGAGCCTCAATCTTCTTAGAGATTATCTAAGAGGTCATGAACCGCATGTTGTGAACAGAATATGGACAGTAAAGGCCATTCTGAGGAGGTCTTAGATTGAAATGAGGAATACCTTATTGGAAATAGGAGGAAAGGCCATTCTTGTTACAAATTGGCACAGAACTTGGCTGAGCAGTGTCCATGTCCTAGTAGTTTGCAGGAGGCAGATGTGAACTAGGATATTTCATGGAAGAAATCTCTAGGCAGAGTGTTGAGGGTACAGCATAGCTTCTCTTGACTTCTTAGAGTAAAATGCAAGAGAGAGAAATGAATTAAAGATGGAATTTATAATTAAAAGGGAAACAGAACTTAAAGAGTTGGAAAAATCTTAGCCCAGGTAGGTTGTAAGGAAATAAAAGGTATATGCAGGAGAGAACACCAAATGGTGTGCTCAAGGGAACATTTGATAAGGAGATTAGAATGAAGAGAAGGAAGCCAGATGCTATTCATCAAGACAATGGAAGTATGCCACTGAAGGCATTTTGGAGATCTTCAAGGCTGCCATTCCCATCATAGGGCCAGGGTGCTAGAGCCTTGAGGGCAGAATGGTTTCAAGGGAAGGGCGCATGGTGCTGGAGAAGCCCAGGGAACTTGTGGGACCTCCAAACTCTCTGTCCAGGGCTGCCTCAAGTTTCTGCTCCTCACATTCTGGTGCAGCATCCCTTGGCTGCCCTGGATTGGCTGAAGTGGTGTTGGTGTGTTGGGCTGCCCCTCCAGAAGGCACAGGAATAACCCTTGGTAGTTTCCACATGGTACTAACTATGCAGGTACACAGAGCACAAGACCTGGGGGGCATGGATTCCTCCACCTAGATTTCAAAGGATGCCCCAGAGAGCCTCAGGGCCCAGGCAGAGAACTGCCACAGGAGTGGGGCCACCACAGACTGGTGGAGTGGTGGGAGTGAGGCTATCCTTAAGACCCCAGGATTGTAGAGCCACAAGTATGCAACGCCAGCCTGTGAAAGCTAAAAGGCACAAGACTACAACCCATGAGAGCTGCAGTGTGGAATGTACCCAGGAAAACCAGTGAGCTCTTTCCTTCCATTCTTTCTGCCATGTGAAGATACAATATTTGTCCCCTCCAGATGTTGCAGCAATGTAGACACAGAGAGAAAGTCCTCACCAGACACAGACTCTGCTGGAACCTTAATCTTCAACTTCCCAGCCTCCAGAACTGTGAGAGAATAAATTTTGGGGCTGGGTTGCCCAGGGCCTTGGGGGACAACCCCTGCCCCAGTGTGTCTAAAAGGTGAGACATGGAGCCAAATAAGATTATTCTCAAGCCTCAGTATTTAATGAGTAGACAGTGTTGTTTGCCTTATTGGGTTTTGGACTTACTTTGGACCTATTGCTTCTTTTTTCTTTTCTATTTCTTCCTTTTGGCAGTTCTGTAAGGAGCAGTTCATTTCAGGTTTGGAAGGCTGTTGGAAGAGACATTTTCCATCCTGGGTCAGGAGGAAGGAGGTATGGGCTCCAAGAACCCTTCCTAGCTCCCTTATTTCCAGAGGCAACTATACCTTCCTCCCTTACCAAACAATTTTTACTCTGTCAGAAAAATTTTCTTAAACTTGGAAATAGGCAGAAGAGATGACAGGGCATTTACCAGTGTAGTGGGCTTAGTTTTCTATTGTCTATTGTCTTTGGGCAAAAGTTAATGTTTGGTTTTTGTTTGAGATGTGAATAATTTCTGTCCAATACAACAGATGATCCTAAAGGTTCTGGTTTGTTTTCTTGTTGGACTTTAACCAGTCTCTAACCCAGCAATCTTATGCTAATATTTTCTACAAATATCTAGCTTCTCAAATGTTCTTTGAATCAGTTATAACATCTTATTGGTTTCCTGAGTTGAATAAAACTTGAGAGTCATGAGAGTCATGATGTTACATTTTTTTGAAAATTATACTTTAACACTTTTATTGTGTACAGAGGCAAACAAAAAGGAGAAGTTATTAGACATTGCAGAACCATCTTATTAATTATGCTGCTGAACTTCTCTCTCTCTGTTTACCTTTCACATGAAGAAAAGTTTGTTCTTTTTTCTGAAGAGAAAACTCTCCAGTCATCCTTTATCATTCTGTAGCTGCCATATAATACTCTGCTTCCTCAAAAAAGTAGTTTGAAAAATTGTCTAAATTGTCTAAAAAGTTGTCTCAGACCAAATGTTAAGGCTGTACGTAAAAAATATTATGAATATGTAAAGTTGATGTTAGATAGGTTTGGAAAGTTTCATGCCTATGTAAGGTAATTACAATGACAAGAAAGGAATTCTTTGTGTGCTCCTACTGACTCTTAACTTTGCTATAAAGTTTCAACCTCTGCTAGGCACTTTCAGGATCTCCACCTGCCCTTTACCTCCACTAGCTTTAATGAGCTCTTAAAGTAAGTGAAGACTTCCAGCTGCAACAACTCTGCAAAGACTTTCTCTTGTATCGCCATAGAAACAAGACCTTCACTGTAAAAGAAAAAAATCACATTATAATGAGGAAGACTGCTATAAAATAGGGATTAATGAGTTGAATAGCAAACAGGGAGGACTTGTAGTAGGAAGGAACTAAGTGACAGCAAGGACAGTTGGAGGAAGGAGATAGGATTAATTGTGGGCCTCAGAAAGGGGAGACAAAATGTACAGTCTAATATTTGCACTATGAGCCTGAGTTCTTACATACCACAGTTTCTGAGTGCAAGCTCCCACTATGGTGATGGTGAAGCAATAAGCAAAATATTCATGACCCTGAGTTGCTTCTAGATATTATTTTTGGAGATTCAGCAAAAAATGACAGATGAGATTTAATGAGCTTAAGAAAAAGATTGTGCAAATTTATAAGAAAAATACGATGCCTAAGTAGATAATGGGCAAAATTATCAAACATAGTGCATAACAAGTATAGGAGAGGAAACATAATTTTCTCCTCCACCCTTCATATTTCTTAGCTGGGACTTTATGCAACAAAAGGCAAATTAATAAGAGAAAAACAAGCAGAAGTTTAATAACATGTATACCTCATGTATTCGGATGGTGCAAATGTAATAGCAATTTTTGCATTGTTGAAAGTTACTATTTGATATTGAAATACATTCTTAAATACATTCTTAAATGTGGTTATGTTATACACCATTTTAATGCACATTTCTCATTTTATTTTATTTTTTTGCTAATGACTTAATACTTGCTGTTTATTTTATATTTATTTTAGACTATGGAAATGATGTTAGACAAAAAGCAAATTTGAGCGATTTTCTTATTTGAGTTCAGAATGGGTTGTAAAGCAGCAGAGACAACTTGCAACATCTACAGTGCATTTCGCCCAGGAACTGCTAACAAACGTATAGAGCAGTGGTAGTTCAAGAAGTGTTGCAAAAGAGACAAGAGCCTTGAAGATGAGGAGTATGGTGGCTGGCCATCGGAAGTTGACAACAACCAATTGAAAGCTATCATAGAAGTTGATCCTCTTACAACTACACGAGAAGTTGCCAAAGAACTCACCTTGACATTTCTACAGTCATTTTGCATTTGAAGCAAATTGGAAAGTTGAAAAAGCTAGATAAGTGGGTGCCTCATGAGCTGACCAAAAATCCAAAAAACTTCATTTTGAAGTGTCATCCTCTCTTATTCTATGCAACAACATGAACCATTTCTCGATTGGATTGTGACGTGTGATGAAAAGTGGATTTTATATGACAACAAGTGATGACCAGCTCAGTGCCTGGACCAAGAAGAAGTTCCAAAGTACTTTCCAAAGCCAAACTTGCACACAAAAAAAGCATGGTCACTGTTTGGTGGTCTGCTGCTGGTCTGTTTTACTACAGATTTTTTTTTTTTGATGGAGTCTTGTTCTATCATCCAGGCTAAATGGGCTTCCAATGGAACCAAAAAAGAGCCTGCATTTCCAAGACAATCCTAAACCAAAAGAACAAAGCTGGAGGCATCACGCTACCTGACTTCAAATTATACTACAAGGCTACAGTAACCAAAACAGAGATATAGACGAACAGAACAGAACAGAGCCCTCAGAAATAATACCACACATCTCCAACCATCTGATCTTTGACAAACCTCACAAAAACAAGAAATGGGGAAAGGATTCCCTATTTAATAAACGGTGCTGGGAAAACTGGCCAGCCATATGTAGAAAGCTGAAACTGGATCCCTTCCTTACACCTTATACAAAAATTAATTCAAGATGGATTAAAGACTTAACTGTTAGACCTAAAACCATAAAAACCCTAGAAGAAAAATTTTGTGTTTTTTTAAAGCCAGTTACAAAAAAGGCAAAGAAAAACCTTTTGTAGTGTGATTGTTTTTTCTTATTGGAAGCCCGTTTAGATAATCTGGAAATTAAACTATTAAGTTTATGTCAGAGAAGACTACTGTTTAATTTTGACCTTCAAGATGAAACATTTTAGCATTAGGCTATAATAACAGAACAGGAGCTGACAAAGACTGAAGAAGTTACTATCTTAGGCCTTTTCCAGGGAAAGAAAGCTGAAGCTGTGGGACACAGCAAGTTGAACTTTTGAGATACGATTCTGAGAAGGTTTTTTATTGTTGTTGTTTTAAAGAAACATTTACAATTTTAAAAACTTATAACCAACTTAATTAAATACAAAATTTCTTTCATAAATTCCCTTTTATGAATCGTTTATGACTTACACAGACCATTTATGACATGCTTGGACTTTCTGACTTCTTCTAATCACCACTTTTTTAAAAAAACAACCAGTCATTTTATTTTAGAGTTTACTATAGAAGATTGTTTTTCTATAAATTTTTTATAACCTTCCTTACTAAAAATTCTGCTTTACCTTTTTTTAACTTTAAATGAGGTTTCAATGTTTACATTTTAGTTTGATTATAAACAATGAGTCTTATCTCAGCACCAGCAGCTTAGTAACAGCAGATTTAAAGCAGGTAGAAAAACAGAGGCAGAAAACTTTCAAAGACTTAACTCTATAGTGCAGGTTAACCATTTGAGCTTTGAGTTTTCCTGTTATAGTTTGCCAATCAGTTTGAAATGTGCACAAAAAGAGGCTGTAATAGGTAACCAGCTAGAGTTTTAAAGAGAACAACAAAATCAGGGGTTAGGATGTCAGAATCTGCCTTCTCCTTTTTAATGCTGGACCCCTGGATTGAACAGGAAAAAAAGAAAAAAAGAAAAGAGAGGAGTGGAGAGGAGAAGGTTAAGCTTTATAGGATGGCTTGTGAGCCTTCCAGCCACTGCACATTGTAGTTCAGGGCTAGCACCCCTCCCACCCTTGTTTTTCTTCCATCAGAGAGAGCCTTAGCACCCTAGACTGCAAAGTGTGGGATGAATTCTTCCCACCTCCGCAAGTCACGAGTTAAGGTGAGCTGTTTTCTTTTTTTTTTTTTTTTTTTTTTTTTGAGACGGAGTCTCGCTCTGTCGCCCAGCAGGCCGGACTGCAGACTGCAGTGGCGCAATCTCGGCTCACTGCAAGCTCCGCTTCCCGGGTTCACGCCATTCTCCTGCCTCAGCCTCCCGAGTAGCTGGGACTACAGGCGCCCGCCACCGCGCCCGGCTAATTTTTTGTATTTTTAGTAGAGACGGGGTTTCACCTTGTTAGCCAGGATGGTCTCGATCTCCTGACCTCATGATCCACCCGCCTCGGCCTCCCAAAGTGCTGGGATTACAGGCGTGAGCCACCGCGCCCGGCCAAGGTGAGCTGTTTTCAAAGATGAGAGCCCATTCAGCTGAAAGCCATTGAGGGTTGGGATTCTTTCGTGGGGGCCCTTTGGCTTTCAGGGCAGTTCCATTTCCAGTGGCCAAGCATGTAGCCAAGCAGGCAAGCTGTGTGAGGTTTTTCCCCATTAATCTCATTGAGGCAGTTTGTCTTTTAGTGGCCTGGCCCTCTGCACCAGTGGCAGTTATTTGGAGGAGTGTTTTTTTTTTTTTTTTTTTTTGAGACGGAGTCTCGCTCTGTCGCCCAGGCTGGAGTGCAGTGGCGGGATCTCGGCTCACTGCAAGCTCCGCCTCCCGGGTTCACGCCATTCTCCTGCCTCAGCCTCCCAAGTAGCTGGGACTACAGGCGCCCGCCACTACGCCCGGCTAATTTTTTGTATTTTTAGTAGAGACGGGGTTTCACCGTTTTAGCTGGGATGGTCTCGATCTCCTGACCTCGTGATCCGCCCGCCTCGGCCTCCCAAAGTGCTGGGATTACAGGCGTGAGCCACCGCGCCCGGCCCTGGAGGAGTGTTTTTAGAGTAGTCTGGAGTGGGCTGGGGCTTGTAAAGCAGCCAACAGTTTAGCCTGCCTTTTGTCTTTGCATTTTTTTTTCTTAGCCTTGTTTTCCTTATTCTGCTCTTGGTTATAAAGACTGAGGAGGCTAATTTGATAATTTTCTGCATAGAGGCCATGCTATGTTACACAAGAAAATTAGACATTTCTTTTTGAGGGTTTGGGGGTCAACTTTGTCCTAGAGCTTTAGAATAGAGCCTAGAGGCGAGTCAGAAGGAATTGACAGGGGTTTTCCCATGGTGGGACTGGAAAACACACAGCTGGGGGCTAATTGAACTGTACTTTCACTTGGGGCACTTCACCAATGAAAAGGGTTTCACTTATGTCAGCTGAGAGACTCAGGGTGCACTTTCTAAAGGGGCATCCCACCTGTTGGAAAAGACCATTTGGAGCTCAGGGGTCTTATACTAGATGGCTAGTCTAGGTACTGTCTTATACTGGGTGATTAGCCCAGGTACAAGGGAAAAATGTGTCAGGAGTTGGTTCCTTCTGGTGGGTTCGTGGTCTGGCTGACTTCAAGAATGGAGTCACAGACCTTCGCGGTGAGTGTTACAGCTCTTAAAGATGGCATGGACCCAAAGAGTGAGCAGCAGCAAGATTTATTGTTAAGAGCAAAAGAACAAAGTTTCCACAGTGTGGAAGGGGACCTGAGTGGGTTGCAGCTGCCGGCTAGGGGGTGGCAGGCTTTTATTTCCTTATTTGTCCCCTCTCATGTCCTGTTTCTGTCCTATTAGAATGCTCTTTTCTCAATCCTCCCCATGATTGATTACTTTTAGAATCCTGCTGATTGGTCTATTTTACAGAGCGCTGATTGGTGCATTTTACAGAGCACCGACTGGTGCATTTTACAATCCTCTTGATAGCTACAGATCACTGATTGGTGCGTTTTACAATCCTACCTACAAAGTGCTGATTGGTGCATTTTACAACCCTCTTGTAAGACAGAAAAGTTCTCCAATCCCCGCTTGACCCAGGAAGTCCAGCTGGCTTCAACTCTCAAAAGGGATAAAGAAAGATCTCTGCTTAGTGTGGGTCCAGGAGAGGGGGTGGGTGGGGAAAGACTCACTGTTCTGAGGCTGTCTGAGATCGCCTGATTTAGCAATGTCCAGGACAGGACAACTGGCTGAGTCCATAGGAGAATTCAGAGTGAGAAAAAGAGGGTCTAAATCACCTAAAACGTGTATGAACTCACTCTGAACGAGCTTCCACTGTTTGTTGCATCACATGTAGGGACTAGGGACTTTTCAACCAGGAAAGATAGGAGAGAGAGCCTTCCTCCCTTCTGGGCAAGGCAGCCAGCTCTGTTCACCTTTTAGCTTTCAGGCAACACCAGAGAGTGGCTTCGTCAAATATTATACCATCAATTTCCAGAGAGATACTAGAAGCCAGCTACTGAAAGACTGAAAAGAATAAGCAGAGTTAGGTCCCTCATCTGAATGAATGATGGTGGTTAGACACTTTCTCATGGACACCTTTTAGTCCCACCCTCAGTGTAGCTCTGGCCAGAGACCTGCAATCGTCTCCATGCTTAGATGCTGTCCACTGAAGGTTCCAAGTTGGAAAAAGGGAGATGGGAGAGAGTTCCCTATGAAGAGAGAGAGTTCACGTATGGGCCACCAAAATGTCTCGGGTGAGCGATGACTATTTGGGCTGGTGGTGCAGGAGTAAAATAATTTACTGAGACAGTTGTAGGTAAAGAAAGACAGATTTATCAGAGAAAGTGGGAAAACACATTGTGAGGAGGCAATGGGCAGGTCAGCAGAAGAGAAGCTGACTTCCAGGAAACAAGGGTTTGATGGAGATTTTATAGCATAATGTTTATGTTGTCTGTTGAAGAGGGCTTTGTGCAGTATTGATAACACCAAGGTTGCAGTGAGCTAACTTGCAGGTGTTTGGTGATAGTTTGGCACAGGAAGATTGTGAGTTATTTGTGCAGGAGGGCTACGTGTCTTAGGCCATAAAGAAAGGCCGACTTATAGCTTATCTGCTTTCCCTTATTCCCACTAGCCTGACTCCTTTTCCCTAATTAGGACTCCACACTAACCATGGGAGGAGTGTAGGTTATAGTTTAACTTTGAAGCAATGATGATAATAGTCTTTCCTAAAACTAACCCTTGCAAACACCTTGCTCAGTGACCAAAACTGCCTTTGTAAAACTAATAAAAGCCGATGAGATTAGGATTATGGCAGGGGCCCTAATTCTGCTAGTATGTAGGCATAGTTAGATGATAACCAGCCATTGTTCTGGAGGTCACAAACTTTGCAACTTTCCCAGTTGCTCCCATAGATAATATCACTATTGTAGTTTCTACAATAGTAATGGTAAGTTCTTTTGAGATGTTTTTCTGATTTTTACATCCTGAGACTGACTGAGTCCACCTGGACCCTTGACTCATGACTCAATCAGTCCTATGGCACCTACCCACAGGCTGACTCAGCACACAGGACCATTTTCTACACCCCTATGTTTTCATCCCCAATGAATCGGCAGTACCTATTCCCTAGCCCCCTGCCTACCAAACTATCTTTGAAAAATGCTAGCCTCTGAGTCATTAGGTAGGCTGATTTGAGTAATAACCCCTGTCCTTCCACTAGGCTGGCTTGTGATAATTAAGTTCTTTTTCTATTGCAATACCACAGTCTCAGTGAATTGGTTTTGTCTGTGCTGCAGGCAGGAAGAACCTTTTGGGCAATTATACTCACTGTACTTTAACCATATTGTTCTCTTTCTGTTTCTTCGATAGGCCAGGCTTGCTCCAGCATTAGGACAATTGCATTAGCTGTTCTCTCTTCTTGGGACACTTCTCCCTTAGATAAGTGCATGGTTTGCAACCTTACCTCATTCAGATCTTTATTCAAATGTCACCTTTGTATTGACCCCTTTATAAAACTGCACCTCTCTACCATACTTTTTTTCCTGGCTTTATTTTTCTTCCTAGCACTTATCACTATCTAACATTCTATGTGGGACCTCCATTTCAAGTCAATCTATCTACAAAGTTCATCACTGTCTAGTAGCCTTGAAAAAGGTTTTAAATTTTAAAGCCCAATTAAATTCTACATTTCATTGCACCGCAAGTTATTGCGTGTTTCTAAAAATAAGACAAAAAGAAGGACCTTTGAGTCAAATCAAGATTTACAAGGGTATTGACTCTAAAATGTGAAATTAGCTGAGTGAGAAGCCCTCTTTCCTTGTTATGTGGTAGTCACAAAGATGACTGAACTTGTCCTTACTGCAGCTTAGCTATCTCAGACCAATGTCTATTAAAGCTGGAGCTTTAGGAAACTTGTTAGAAAAATATCAGGGTGTTAGAAAATATTGGCAGTTTCTTGTGACCTTTAGTAAGGTCTTACCAAAAAACAAGCCAAAAGGATAAGATTTGAACTGAGCTGACCTGGCTGAAAGTAGAAAGGGAACAACATACAACTTTGTTAATAATTATCCCTCTGCCTATGGGTGAGATTGCTGAGGCTCGGTTAACTATGCTTCTTATAGAATTGCCAAAACCAAAATTTCCGCCCTGTTTTAAAATTAGCATAAAAGGCAAGGAGGTGTGAAACACAGCAGGGAGATAAAATTGGGATACCTGAGAGGCCAGAGAAATGAAGGAAGCTGGAGTCCCTGGGCTCTTCCCACATACCTCCTTTCTCAAACTATCTGATTCAAGGAATCTTTCTTCCTATTTGTTAGGGTTAGCCAATGGGCTGCAGGCTGGTCACAGGTGCACATCATTCTGCCTCACCTAGTGTTTCACCAGAGGTTTATTGCCTTCACCTTATTACTTTCCAAGAAGGAAATGATTAAATTTAGGCCTAGGGCTACAGGCAAAGTTCTGAGGCTATAGAGACAAGACAGAGTACAGGTCTGTGAACCCAAAGGTTCTAATGCCTATTAGAGTTTTATTGGAGTTGGTTATCAGTGAAATTCCAAGCCTAAACAAAATGGTAACTTATGTTTCCTCAGCCTCGAGGGCAGTCATAGGCCCCCACCTCTCATAAACTATGTCAGCAGGAAGTGGGCTGCTAGAGAGGTTCAGTCTCCAGAACAGATTTCTATTTTATGATGTTTTCTATACCCTTCTTAGCATGGCCATGGATAAAAGAGGTCTCCCAGTGGGACTGCAGGCAGGCATATTGGCTGACTAGTAAATTCATTCCTTTGCCGAGACAAGAACTCCATGCTATCCCTGCCCAGAAATAAGTACTTTCGGTGGATGGCTGCTGTTTGTTTCCTTTTCCAGATGATAGTATGTTTTAATTTAAAAATTTTATATTTCCTTTCACCATTTTATATCTGCTGGGGTGGTAAAATGTATCAGTTAATCATAGGTGCATAGCCATGAGGAGAAAGATTTGAAATGAAGAGGAATGCCCATATTTCAAGGATCTAGAGTTGGAGCTGGATGCAATAATAACATTACATTTGGTCATTTCTCTTTCAGAATTAGGATATTTTCATTTATAAATGGGATAGTTGCATTGCACTAGGTGGGGACATTTGTGATACTATATGTATGAGAAGAAAGAATGCTAAACATCCAAAGGGTAGAATATAGTGGATATATATTGTTCCTCTATCCAGAATCTCTTCTTTGGGGGAAACATCCTTTCCCTACTCCGTGTGCACCTGGGTATCAGCAAAAGTGTCTGCCCTATGTCTTGGTTGCACACCTGCTAGAGACTATGCAATCAGCATTCTCCATTCACCTGGCCACAGGGTTGGTTTGGGGATCGGTGCATGACTTAAGATGGGCCAGTTAGAATTGTCGCTGAACTCTTGTGATAAAGCTAAGATTTTTCTCATTCCGATTTATGATTCTGAGAGTATTTGAAATTTGGTAACTAACTATGGTGGTCTTGGAAGAAGTCCATCTGAATAAGGAGGGAATAAGGCAGAGGTTTAAAATTAAATTCAGAATTAAAAGATGAAGCGGAGGATAAAAAAGGGGATAGTTGGAGAGATAGAGATCCAAACCATTTTCTGAAAACTATTTCTGAGTGTCCCTGGGTCTATCAATAGCTGTGACAGAAGCCAGCTCTACCTGTATACTTTCCATTTATACTATACAATAAATTTCTTTTTTGTTAAATGAGTTCAAGTTGGGTTTCTAATACTTGCAACAGAAAGGGTCCTGATTTAGGCAGTAGCTACCACTCAATCTTCCATATACTGCAAAGCAGCCTGGCTCTTGTCCTCACCACTCCTCTGCAACTGCTCTTGTACCATTGACTTTCTGGTTTCTAAAGCTGATGAATCTTTTTCTGTATTTACCTTCCTAGATCTTTCTACTGAGTTTGATGCTGTTTATAACTCTTTTTCTTGAAATTTTCCTCCATTGATTTTTGAGAGATGCTGTTCTTTTTGGTTGTTGTTGTTCCTACTAAAAAAATTTTTTTTATCTTCCAGGCCAGTGCTTATCTCTAGAATGATTTGCTTCCAAGTGTTATGTTCTAGACTTTCTCATTGTTTCAGTATACAACTTCTCCCTGGGCAACTTTGTTCATTTCTGGAGCTTCTATTGCTATCTATACACTGAGTACTTCAACACTTTTATCTTTAGACTGGAGTCTCCTGATTTAAAGTCTACTGCCTTCTGGATGTATCTGCTCAGATGTCCTTCAGCCATCTCAAAATCATCATCTCTCAAATCTAACTTTATTGTTTATCCACCCAATTATACTCTTCTTCTAATGTTCCCAATCACAGTGACTGGTACCACATGTAAGCATTTGCTTTTGTAAAAAATCTGAGTATGATTGCTGACTCCTCTTTTTCACCCTGTCATCATATCTGTGGATTATGTTTCACAGATATTTCTCAGATCCATAGCTACATATCCATATCTCACTCACCAGGGCTACAGAGGCCACGCATTTCACAGCTCCAGGAGCACCAATCTCTAGGTCTCAAAATGAGTGAAATCTTGATGGCCAACGGATCTGATTTAGGTTCTCTTAATTTCTCACATAGGTTACTGCTGCAGCTTCCTAATGTTTTCTTCACATCCAGGCTCTCATTTCTCTTCAATCCTTTCTCCAAATGTGGCAAAAGATTTCTCCTAAATGCAAATGAGAGCATATCACATTTGTCCTACAAATTCCATTGCTTGCCCTACCTTTCCGCCTTAATCTCTTACCACTTCAAATATCTTTTTATACTTTTGCCTTACCAAATATTTGGAGTCCTCAAATGTGCCATGCTTTCTCCTACCAGATATATTTGCATCTATGCCCCTGTGCTTTGAAAATACATGTTTATTTATCTTGCTAACTCTTATTTATCTTTCTAGATGCAGCCCAGGATTAATTCTCCAGCCCACTCCAGTTTGGGTTGGCAGCCTTTCCTATGTCTTATATTCACACTTTACATTTACCTCTATTATAGCACATACACATCATGTTGAAATATGTTTTTACTTATCAGTCTTGTTCATTAGATGGAAGTTTCTTAGGGGAAGAGACCTTGAGTTATTTTTCTGTGTATTCCCAGAGCCTGGCAAATCACCTAGTGCATATTAAGTGCTCAATAGTCTTAAGAAACTCGGAAGAAGAAAAACAGTTTTTGGTATCTGTCCACTGCCTGCCAGCATTCCAGTCCCATCTGTCTGGAAGGTGGAAGGGAGGGGAAGATGTTCCTTAGTAATTGCTATTCATTCACTCAACATTTATCGAGTACCCTCCATTGTCAGTTATCATGCTAGGCACTTTCACACCGTCAGATCGTTTAGTTGATTCAACCACATCATCAGGAAAGCATTTTTTTTTAATTTTAGAAATAGGGCATTCTATATAGCAGCTTTTTTTTTTTTTTTTTTTTTTTTTTTGAGACATGGTCTTGCTCTGTTGCCCAGGCTGGAGTGCAGTAGCACCATCATAGTTTACTGTAACCTTGAGCTCCAGGACAAAAGCAATCCTCCCACCTCAGCCTCCCGAGTAGCTGGGACTACAGGTGTGAGCCTCTATGCACAGCTAACTAATTTTTTTTTTTTTTGGTAGAGACAGAGGTTTTTCTATGTTGTCTAGGACAGTTTCAAACTCCTGGCCTCAATTGATCCTTCTGCTTCAGCCTCCCACTGCTGGCTTGGATTACAGTAGTGACCAACCCAGCCCTACAGCAGCATTATTGAAGCTAAGGCTACCAGAGTTTTAAGTTCAACAACTTAACAATTTAGCCAATTTTTGTTGACTTAAATAAGCCATCTATTGCCAGTGTTCGATGTGCTCTCTTTGGCAGCACACATATTGCCAGGGTTTCATATGTTCTCCACTCAGCTTTAAAGACATTTTTAAAAAATGAAACTTCCACGTTTATGCAGCCAAAAGACACATGAAAAAATGTTCATCATCACTGGCCATCAGAGAAATGCAAATCAAAACCACAATGAGATACCATCTCACACCAGTTAGAATGGCGACCATTAAAAAGTCAGGAAACAACAGGTGCTGGAGAGGATGTGGAGAAATAGGGACACTTTTACACTGTTGGTGGGACTGTAAACTAGTTCATCCATTGTGGAAGTCAGTGTGGCGATTCCTCAGGGATCTAGAACTAGAAATACCATTTGACCCAGCCATCCCATTACTGGGTATATACCCAGAGGATTATAAATCATGCTGCTATAAAGACACATGCACATGTATGTTTATTGCGGCACTATTCACAATAGCAAAGACTTGGAACCAACCCAAATGTCCAACAATGATAGACTGGATTAAGAAAATGTGGCACATATACACCATGGAATACTATGCAGCCATAAAAAATGATGAGTTCATGTCCTTCATAGGGACATGGATGAAGCTGGAAACCATCATTCTCAGCAAACCATCGCAAGGACAAAAAACCAAACACCGCATGTTCTCACTCATAGGTGGGAATTGAACAATGAGAACACAAGGACACAGGAAGGGGAACATCACGTACTGGGGCCTGCTGGGGGATGGGGGGAGGGGAGAGAGATAGCATTGGGAGATATACCTAATGTTAAATGACGAGTTAATGGGTGCAGCACACCAACATGGCACATGTATACATATGTAACAAACCTGCACATTGTGCACATGTACCCTAGAACTTAAAGTATAATAATAATAAAAAAAAATTCCTGTTCAAGATGGCAGACTCAGCCCACATTTTGTCTCCACTCATTTTTGAGATGTCATTGAAATAATATTACATGAGTATAAAAAACACCCACATAGCAGTGAAGTAAATAGAATTAGATGGAGGTCATTAGTTGCTTAGAGATTGTGTCAGTTATTAAATCTATTGTCTTTCGGCTGCAAACACACCCTTTGTGCCCCTGCTTGTGGAACTAAAACATTGCCTCCGTGCAGCACAGCACGCCATGCACAGCTCCTCCTGGGGCTCCAAAAGCAGTTTCCCAGTGAGTTCCAACGGTGTGGCACCTCTGTGTGCATGGCTCCCCCCAGTATTTCCTTGATGGCTTTGTAGTGAGTTCCTAGGCACAGGACCTTCCTGAGATGCTTCTCCTGATACCCCAGAAGGTGGCTTTCTAGTCACTCTTCCTAGCACCATACCTCAATGAGCTTATCCACCACCTAGTGAGTCATGAGCCATGCAATGCTCTCTCCAACAATATCTGAATCAAAGCCCTGGGTGCAGGGGAACTTCAGATTTGCTCCTTCCTCAGGGGCTCTGTTTCAGCCTGGAGAAATGGTTGCACCCTATGTCTTCTATTCCTGTTTTGGTAAGAGTTCTGTGGAAAAATTCAAAGAGACTCCCTTTATTAAGGGTTTGAGATATACATTAGTGCAGAGACCGGAATCCTTGCAAATCTCTGTAGTGGTTTTATTTGTTGGCCAGATATGACTGTAGAAAGTGTTACTCACTATTGAGATGGCCTCCCTGATTTCAGTGGGAATAATGGGTTTTTAGAATAGCAGAGGACTGGTGGTATCACTTAACCTTCAAAAACAAAGTAGTACTTCTGTTGTAAAGAGCAACAAGGACATGCTGATTGTTAGAATGCCTCGGCTCACAGAGATATTTGGCGGAGGCAATTGATCACTGTGTTTGTAGAAAAAAGATAGATGGTCATCCTACTAAATTATTGTTTGACCTATATAATAGGAAATACTCTAGATACAGTAGTCAGAAACCTGACTTGAGTCACCACAGTGGAGAGTCATGATCTCTTACTCAGTTTCCAAATCTAAGTTAAGTCATGGATACAGAACCTCTTGATTAAAGGGGAGGCTGAGTCCTTTTGAAGAATAACCCTATATCATTTCCACAAATACATACCATAAATCTTCCTCCAAGCCTTCACCAAATGTACTGTGATAATTTACTAGGTAACTGTTCATTAGAGGAAGAAAATACCCAGACCTTGCTGGGGTTGGTAGACACTGACTCTGAATTGGCATTGACTCTTGGGGACCCAAAGCACCTCTTTGGTCTACTATTAAAGTAGGGGCTTACAATGGTCAGGGGACCAGCGGAGTCTGAGCTCAAGTGGGCCTAGTCATTCCATAGACTCACCCTGTTGTTATTTCCCCAATTCCTAAATGTCTAATTATAATAGGCATAATTAGCAGCTTGAGGAATCTCCACATTTGTTCTCTGACCTGTGTGGTTATATATATATCATATATGATATATATATGATAAAACCCATCAGATTTATAGATCTAAATATAGAAAAAATGGAAATTTAGAATATTATTTAGGTATAATCTTGAAGTGGATGAAATATTTTGAAACATGGCATGAAACCCAGAGCTCATCAATGAAAAAGATAAATATATCTGGGTATATAGCAATTTAACTTTTTTTTTTTTTTTTTGAGATGGAATCTTGCTTTGTTGCCCAGGCTAGAGTGCAGTGGTACAGTCTTGGCTCACTGGAACCTCTGCCTCCTGGGTTCAAGCAATTCTCTGCCTCAGCCTCCCGAGTATCTGGGATTACAGGCACCTGCCACTACACCCAGATAATTTTTTTTTTTTGTATTTTTAGTAGATATGGGGTTTTACCATCTTGGCCAGGCTGGTCTTGAACTCCTGACCTCATGATCCACCTGCCTCGGCCTCCCAAAGTGCTGGGATTCAGGCGTAAGCCACCGGGCCCAGCCAATTTAACATTTTTTTATATGGCAAAAGATACCGTAAACAAAGTCATAGACAGATAGTAGACTTAGAACAAATATGTGCAAACATGTAATTTATAATATGCAAAGGTTTCCTATAAATTGATTCCCAAAAAACCCTCAAATAGCTCAATAAAATAATGGATAAAAATGTGAAGAGAAAATTTACACAAGAATATAATCAAACGATCCATAAACATGAAAAGATATCTCACCCCACTAGTAACAAAAACTCAAATTAAAGGAAATATGCAATAACATTATTAGTATACCTCATGATCTTCACCTAAATTAAAAGCAATCTAAATTCCTTCTCCTAAATTAAAAGGAATCTAAAACTAACAGCCTGATTTTTACCTTTTGACATCTTTCTCTATGTGTAAAAATATGTGTAAAATGTGATTAGAAATGTAGAGAATTTTGTTTGTTTTTCTAAAACTGGTATATATCTCTGTAACTTGTTTTTCTCATGTGATAAAATATAAGGAACATTCATTCAAGTAAATAATAGATGTGGTTTTTTAAAAAGCTGCATCATAATAATAATCCATTGAATGGATATGCCATAATTTACCTAACCATTAATCCATTTATTGGACAGAGAAAATAGTAGGAAGTATACAAAAGACTAAGACTTAGATTGACATCAAACCCCTTGTCAGCAATAGTAATGTTAGAAGACAATGGAGCAATGCCATGAAAGAGGGATATTTTCTTTTTTTCTTCTTTTATTTTTATTATACTTTAAGTTCTAGGGTACATGTGCACAACGTGCAGGTTTGTTACATATGCATACATATGCCATGTTGGTGTGCTGCACCCACTACCTCGTCATTTACATCAGGTAGATCTCCTAATGCTATCCCTCCCCCCTTCCCCAACCCCATGACAGGCCCCAGTGTGTGAGGATATTTTCAACTGATAAAAGTTTACAATTCCTGTAGAAGATACAACAGTCATGAACTTTTATGTTTCAAATAAAAAGGCAGCCTGATGGCTTTTGTCAGGCCACATAACCCAACATGGCTGGAATGGGCTTGCTTACCTCTTTGAATTTCTATCCACACCAATCCCCACATAAGCGAAATTCAAATACACAGTGTGACAGGGTGACCAATAGTGAATGAAATGAGCCTTATACATTGCTATTAGGAGAATAAAGGGGTACAGACTTTCTGAAAACCAGTCTGACAGCTGCACTGAAAACCAGTTTTACAGCTGCACTGAGACTTTAAAATATTTATATCTATCATTCATTAATTCTACTTACCTGAAGCTTTATCAGTAAGGATGAGCACGGCATTACATATAATAAGGAAAAACTGAAAACAGCGTAAACACTCAACAACAGTGAAACTGTTAAATTAATTATGGACCATTATTAGGTGGCATATACATCTTTTAGAAATAGTATTTTTAAAGACTATACAACGCCAGGAGGAATTGCTCAGGATTAAGGATTTTAAAAGTCCCAAACAAAAACCCCAAGAAAACATGGATTTAAACACTGCATTGTAAAATATTTTGTAGCCTGGAAGTTTGCTTCTGGAAGTTACTGTAAAATCTCATTAGACTTTTAGTTAGAAAGAGAAAAAAATCATCACAGAACATAGACTCAACTGCAAACTTGTAAAACTAGACATTCAAGGAGAAGACAGTGGAAAAGTTTATTGCATATGAAGGGGCATTAGTGCTTTGGCAGAGAATAAGAGAGTCCCTTGCACTTAATGCACAATTTGTTTTGTTAGCTAGAATTGAATAACAATATTCTGGGTGTGTTGGTATACCACTGAGAATAAGCATAGTCACTGTCCTGAAGAAATTTAACATGCCATGTCAGAATACAGATAAGTACGTTATCAACTGAAACAGGTAATTATGGTCATTACAAAAGTGCATTAAGTGAAAAGGAGAATCATGGTTGTGTTGGTGGCTTGGACATCAAATGATTACTCTTGACATGGGGCTCACATTTAAAATCTCCCCATGGTGACCCATTATCCTGTCCTAACTTTGCCTCCCTTCCCTTCTGGGGCATTCCCACTATCACACACGGTACATGATAGTGAGAAACATCATATCAATATCATATGATACATGATAGTGGATTATACAATCCTCTGACTCCCATTTCTTCTTCCTTTCCCACTTTCACCCTAAGGCAAGCAAGAGCTCTTTGCAGGATGGAGCCACTATAGACAGATTCTGAGGGGCTGACCTATACTGGGGTGTGGCATGTGTCCACACGCATGGGCCTGAACTCAAGGGGAGTATTCTGGAGGAAGAGAAAGAGGAAAAAGAGAGAAGAAGGGGTGGAGCTTGAACCTAATGTTTAAGTATTTGTGCACAAGGGAGACAGCACCTGGGAATCCATGGATGGAGCTGACACCATTACAAAGCAACACTTCCATAAATCAGAGGCAAAGGCAATTGGGTTCTGTCCTCAGGTAAGGTAAGGTTCTGTCCTCTCCAGAGAGGCATCTTGTCTCCTAGGAATACTGGGTGGAAATGTCCCCTCAGGGCTGGGACTATGAAGACAGGCTGCTTCCTTTGTTGAGTTTACTCCCTGCACTACAGGATGCCAGAATGGAGCTGGGCGAGCGCTTGCCCTGCTCACCACCAGGAGTGACCAGATTGTGGCCAGGAAAGGGCTCATGGACTAGTCTGCAGTAGTTGTACGCCTCTGTGTGTGAAGTACACATGCTTCTCCAAGTTCTGACCCTGCCTTGTTACCCTTTGGCTATGAGGTTCTTATTAGAAGAAATACTTTCTTTTAAAACAAACTTTTTTTCCCTGAGGATAAAAAACCAAATCTCTATTGGGCTGCAGAAGCCAACAGCCACTGCCTGAGGCACTACTGAGCTGGCTTCACTCTTAGGGGCCTGGAGGCTTTCCTCTCCTCAGACCGGTACCAGTAACCGGTTCATGGCCTGTTAGGAACTGGGCCACACAGCAGGACGTGAGCCGCGGATGAGCAAGTATTACTGCCAGAGCTCTGCCTCCTGTCAGATCATCTGCAGCAATAGATTCACGTAGGAGCATGAACCATATTGTGAACGGTACATATTAGGGGTCTAGGCTGTGCACTCCTTATAAGAATCTAAGGCCTGATGATCTGAGGTGCAACAGTTTCATCCTGAAACCATCACCCTCTCTTCCCCTGCCCTGCTCCATCTGTGGAAAAATTGTCTTCCACAAAACCAGTCCACGGTGCCAAAGAGGTTGGGGACCGCTGCCCTAGGCAACTCCTTCCAGACGTCTCCCACTGATTTCCATGTCTAGGAAATGTGGGGTTGAAACAGCAGATTTGGACCATGGTAATCTTTCAGCAAATCTAAGAACACTACAGTTTTTATACAATTTGCCCAATTGCTTGTGTGCAACTTGTTCAAATCTTAAAAACAGATTTCACTATTGGAACTTTAATAAGTATTGACATTTGAAGATAAACTTTCAAAATCCTCTGTGGTGTTACAGCATATTTTTAAAGATAGGATCTTTATAATATAAAAGCCAGACTTAGAAAAGTTGGTAAGAGAAGAAAAATAGAGAGTCAAAGGAAAGCAAACGCTTGAAGCCCTATCACCCAAAGAAAATTGCTTTTGAAGTTTTGGTAAATTTCATTTCCATTTTAATAATTTCTGCCTTTATCTTTTTTATGACCTTTCTATTTTGAGTTTATCTGCTATTCTTTCGGAAGCTGCGTGGTTTAAAATAATGCTTTTACAATTTTCCATCTTTTTAAAGTGATTTCCAATGAATATATCTAAAACTAAATATCTATCTATTTTTTCCGAGTATTGCTTTGGCTATATTAAATACACTTTAAAAGTGTGGCCTGTTCTTATTGTTCATTTCTAAGTATTTATAATTTATGTTTTAATTTATTCTTTAACTGAAGAATTTTTAATAAGGCCACTTGATACAGTTGTGTTATCTATAGTTATCTATAGTTTTGCTGTCCAGTGTGGTAGCCACATGTATTAGTCTGTTCTGTTCTCACATTGCTATAAAGAAGTACCTGAGACTAGGTAATTGACAAAGAAAAGAGATTTAATTGGCTCATGGTTTCAAGGCTGTACAGGAAGCATGATGCTGGCTTCCTTCTGGGGAGGCCTCAGGAAACTTACAATTATAGTGGAAGATGAAGGGGAAGCAGGCACATCTTACATGGCCAGAGCAGGTGGAAGAGAGACAGACGGGCGAGGTGCTACACACTTTTAAACCACCAGATCTCCTGATAACTCACTCACTATACAGTACCAAGGGGGCATGACAATAAACCATTAGAACTTCACCCATGATCCAGTCATCTCCCACCAGGCCCCACCTCCAACATTGGGGATTACGGTTCAACATGAGATTTGGGTGGGGACACACATCCAAACCGTATCACCACATGTGGTAATGAGCACTTGAAGTGTGGGTAGTCCAAATTGACATAGGCTTTGAGTGTAAAACACACACCAGTTTCGAAGACTTAGCATGAAAAATTAATTACTTTTTATATTGATTATATATTAAATGATTGTATTTTGGATGTGTTAAGTTGAATAAAATAAATTATTAAAAGTAATTTCACCTGTTTCTTTTTTACTTTTTTAAAAATGTGGCTACTAGAAAAGTTTAAGTGACTAATGTGGCTTGCATTTGTGGTTCACATTATATTTCTATTTGATTGCATTAAGCCATAGTTTTATTCTTGAACTGTTGATTCCAGAGAGAGATGTGTTAAATCCATCTACTCAGATTCATAACGGATTGTGAGGGAGTGTATCTTTTATCAACATAAAAAACTGTATCCTTCTTTGTCCTTTTTAATGTCTTTTGCCTTGAATTCTACCTTTTTCTGATTTTCATATTTCTATGCTTGCTTTCTTTTCATGAGCATTTTACTTGATGTATCTTTCTCGACTCCTTTATTTACAAATGTCTTGCTTGTTTTTATTTTAGGTGAATCTTTTGTAAATCGTATATAACTGTTTTTCAAAATAAAGTTTGAAAGATTCTTCTTTTTAATATATTAATGCAATTTGTTCACATTTATTGGGATTGTTAATATGTTACAATTGGTTCCTGCAAAGTTCTTTTGTGTTTCTAATTACAAGGCTATCTCTTTTCTGACTTCTGGTATATTGGGTTAGTGGCCTTCCATTCTTATCATCATTATTCACAATGGGGGTAACACCTTTGCCAATGGCTGCCTGGCAGAGGGTAGGTACTGGGGAAGGGACCATCTTGGCCAGCTCCTCTCAGCACAGCACCTCTCAAACTGTCACCCCGACCACCTCCTACCTTCCTGTGTCTGCTGCCATCCAACTCAGGGCGCCATAACTGTTCTTACCTTTGGACACAGTCTGCTCTTCCATGACTTTGGGCGATGGTTTATCTTTCAGTGTGACTCCATTCCTCAAAAATTTTGGTTAATTGAGAACACCAGTTCATGTTTTCATGCGCTGCTATTGATTTTTTTCTTTTTCTTTTAACTTTCTTTTTTTTCTTTTTCTAATGATATATTGTGCAGGGACAGGCAGGAGTGTGGCTTAATTTATAATCTTTATCTCATTATGGTGTATTTCTGCTTTTTTCTGTATGTATTATTTTATTTTGATGTAATTTTGATTATTCAATATTTGCATACACAATGTTGTGTCCTGATTTTCCACTTAGCATTTTAACATAAGCATTTCCCCCATACTATTATGAACCATTTAAAAACTTTCATTTTACTATCTGCATAGTCCCATCAAGGAAAAATGTCCAAAATTCCTTATTATTGTGAATTTAGGTTATTTTCACTTTTCTGCTATTATAAAAAGATGATAAAGTTACTTGCGCATATAGCTATGTTTTATTTTGAATTGTAGTCCTAGGTGGAGTGTTGAGCTTCTTATAGATTCCTAGCAAAGAGTATAAGTCATTCAGATTTGCTCTAATTTTAGTAAGACAGTGTATGTGCTCAGAGCACAAAGCTTCTTTGTGCTATTGAGGTTCTTGTGTATCATGTGTCACTGAAAACCAGGAGGCTAGGACAAATCTTCAACTAGGATTAGGCCTAGATTTAGGATATAGTATTATAACTGTTTGGATGCCTGTGGATACTGTAGAATGTTCTTGGCTGACATCACTCTCAGGAGGGTGAGTTATGGCAAAATCGACCACATTTTCTGGACTAAGATGGGAACACATCTCATATGTGCTTCTTTATCTGTACTATTCAATATGATAGTCATTAGCAACATGTGACTATAGCATGTGAAATGTGGCTAGTCTGAACTGAAGCCTGCTGTAAGTATACAATGCACATATAATTTTTCAGTATAAAAAATATTTGGCCAGGCACAGTGGTTCATACCTGTACTCCCAGCACTTTGGGAGGCCAAAGCAGGAGGATCACTTGAGCCCAGGAGTTCGAGACCAGCCTGGGCAACTGTTCAATATGATAATCATTAGCAACATGTGACTATAGCGTGTGAAATGTGGCTAGTCTGAACTGAAGCCTGCTGTAAGTATACAATGCACATATAATTTTTCAGTATAAGAAATGTTTGGCCAGGCATGGTGGTTCATGCCTGTACTCTCAGCACTTTGGGAGGCTGAGGCAGGAGGATCGCATGAGCCCAGGAGTTTAGAACAGCCCAGGCAACATAGGGAGATACTGTCTCTACAAAACATTTAAAAATTTGTCAGGTGTGGTGGTGTGCACCCGTAGTCCCAGATACTCTGGATACAGAGGCAGGAGGATCTCTTGAGCCCAGAGGTCGAGGATGCAGTGAACACTGATTGCACAACTGCACTTCAGCCTGGGCAACAGAGTGAGATCCTGTCTCAAAAAAAAGTTAAATATATCATTAATGTCTTTATATTGATTTCATGTTGAAATATATGGCTCATATTATATTTATTTTGGCCGGCACTGTTATAGTTCATTCATTAGAAGATCAGGGATGTATGAAGCCATGTTTCTTACCTCCTCTTCTGTAATACCTTATAAGTAATTTTCTGATACACTTAATTAACACTGCAGAGGGACAATCTATTTCATCTGCATCAGCAGCAGCTCCGTTGCCGTCCTTGAATCTGAGCATGTGAATCTAAGGTTCATGGTTTCCTTTCTGCTCTGTACTTTCTAGCACTCCTGCTTCCTGAAGGTCAGTGGAGGTTCTCAGGGACTATGTTAGGTGCTCAAGAGCACTTGGAATAACTTCGAAACAGGAAGCTTTAGATTAAAAGTGCACTATTGCATAAAGTAGTTCCTACATGTAGGAACATGTAGATTTGCCAGTTTATTCATTCAACACTTATTTACTGAATGCTTCTATGTGCTAGTCACTGATGTAGACACTTGAGATACGCCAGAGACCAAAGACAGAGATCAGTGCCATCTTGGAGCTCACATTCTAGCAGGGGGTATGAACGGTAAACAATAAACATTTAAATAAGTCAACTACATAGGATGTTGGAAGGTGATAAGTAGGGTAGAAAAGAAAAACAATAAGAGGGATTCAGAGTGCTGGAAGTAGTGGGGATAGACTGCAACTGTAAACAGAGTGATCAGAGCGGGCTTCACTGAGAAGAGACATTTTAGCAAAGACTTGAAGGAGGGAAGGATGATAGGTGTGTAGACATTTGGAAGAAAAACATTTCAGGTAGAGGCAACAGCTGTGCACAAGGCTTCAGGCTGGAGTGTGCTCAACATGTTTGAAAAACATTAAGGAAGCAGGGGTGGCCAGGAGGAGAGCAGTAGTGATGTCAGAGGTAAGGGGGCTTCACAGATCACTGAGAGCCTTACAGGCCATTGTAAGACTTGGGCTTTTACTTTGAGGGCAACGGGAGCCACTGTGGGCTTTAAGGAAAGGAGTCACCTGCTCTGGCCTACATGTTTAAAGGATCACTCAGACCTCATGTTGAGGTTAGACTTCAGGTAGGCAAGGAGAGAGGTCATGGTGGCCCCACTAGGTGGTAGCAGTGGAAATGGTGACAATGTTACATTTTGATGTATAGTGAAGATGGAATCAACAGGATGTTCTGACAGGTTGGATGTGAGGTATGAGACAAAGATAGGAATCAAGGATGACTCCAAGTCTTGAGCCAGGGCTATTGGAAAGATGGAGTTGCCTGCCATCAACAGAGGAGGGGAAGGCGGCAGATGGAGCAGGTTTGGGAGAAATATGGGGAGTTACATTTGCGTAATTATATTATCTATTGCTCTATAACAAAACATCCCAAAATCTAGTAGCTTAAGACAATGACCATTTATTATCTCACAGTTTTTGTGGGGCAGGGATTCAGGAGTGGTTTAACTGGGTGGGTTGGGCTCAGAGTTTCTCATAAGGTTCTAGTCAGGATGTGAAGCAGGGCTTTAGTTTCTGAAAGTTTGTCTGGGGCTGGAAGAGCCACTTCTAAGATGGCTCACTCAAGTGGTCACTGGCACAAGGTGAGCCTCTTCATAGACTGCCTGAATTTCTGTGTAGCTGGCTCCCTCCAAAGCAAGGGAGCCGAGAGAAAGAGAGAGGAGAGCTTAAGAGAGAGCAACCAAGATGGAAGCCTCAGTGCTTTTTCTGACCTGGTCCCCAAAATCGCATGCTGTCATTTTCACCTTTTTCTATTCATTAGGAGGGAGTCACTCCAATTCAGTCCCATACCAAGCCCCAGATCTGAGGAGCTGCCACCAGTTCTGCTCCCGATTCTCTCCTGGCTCAGGTTTCTGAGGCTGTCTCAGTGAGTTTAGACTCACTGGCACCTGTCCCATGGGCCCCCTCTGGGCTGTCACAGGGACACCTCACCTGCCCACAGCCACAGCTGAGAGAAGACACCTCTGCCCAGGCCCCTTCCCAGCCAGAATCCAGGAGTATTCCAGGGGCTCCCACTGCCCCTGTAGACCCCATGCCTGACGTGCTCCCCTGCGAGGGCTCAGTCCTCATCTCCCCCAACCTGACCCTGTTGGCAGAGACTGGGTGCTGTGATCTGGATGAGCCATCCTGTCCTCAGGGAGGCTTTGTCCCGCTGACCAGGCCTCTCCTCTCTCCACCTGCCCCACTTTGTCTCTGTGGTTCTCACAGTCCATGACCTTCCTGGCCCATCTCTGCCCAGGCCAGCCTCTTGCTTTTATAAAAAACTGAAATTTCAGCACCTGCCCCAAACAGGGCCCCACACAGGGCTGGTGTTTATGCCTTGAGAATTCTTACCTCTACTCATTAAAGCAGAATGAATACAGCAGCCTTCTTGACTTCCTCCCCTGATATTATTTTCAGTGACCTGTTTTTCTGGAGGGTGCTGTGCCCTGCGGCGAGTCTGTGCAGCAAATCACAGTGAGGTGGTTTTTAGCCAAGTGTTCCCGGGGGGCAGGGCACATGCCTCAGGTCCCTTTTTCCTCCATGACTCAGCGGTCACATAGAGAGCAGCAGCGCAGACCCTCAGTGCCTCCCCTCAGTCTGGTCCGTGGGACTCCAGGTGAGCAGAGGTGCCGGCTGAACGGACAGGCCCCCTTCCCCTCCTCTTTCTGACTTCAAATCCCAAGCAGGAACGCAAAGGCCCTGGCCCTGCTGCTGAGCCAACCTTTGCCCCATATGGAGAAGATGGGGTGAGGGCTCCATGGGAGCTGGGGAGACTTTGCCTTGCTCTCTGCTACCCCGAGGCAACACTGGGGGATGGGGCCCAGGAAGTGGAATATCCCAAGGAGAGCAGGGTGGAGTGTGCCCTGGATGCCAGGCTCTCATGTCACTTCCTAAACCACGTCTCCAGGCTTCTTGGGCCCCACAGGATGTGACCAACACAGTGAAGGGGAACATTTGGAAAGAATGTGGCGGGCGGACTCCACACCCAGAGGGGAGCCCCAATCACCTCTGACGTGCTCTGTCGTCTGAGAAACGCAGGCCAGTGGTAGCTGCAAGGATGGGACAAGGCCATGTGGTATAGCCATGAGACCTTAACCTTTCCAGAGAGGCCAAAAGAAGCTCCTTCAGTCCCTCCCCTGCTGGGGTCTCTCATGGCGGAGCTACTCTCCACCTTTTGCCATTCGTCTGGGCTTGTTTGAGTCCAAGTCAGCAACTAGTTACTGCTCCTGCTCCGAAGTGAGATTTGCAACCCAGGCCACTCTCAGTGCATTTTCCTCCTGTGGGAGTGGCCGTCCCCAGGTGGCAGCCTCACACTGATGGCTCCATGTTCCCAGGTCCTGTTCTCCAGAATTCCAGATGCTGATTGGCCCTGCCTGGGTGCTAGTTCCTAGGAGTCCTGGGGCATCTGAGCAGGGGAGCTTGTGTCGGACCTTCTCAGCTCTAACTTCCCCAAAGAAGTCACTTCTTCCCAGAGACCCTGGCACTGTCCCTACTTTCCCTTCTTTCCTCTTCCTCAGTTCTGCCTCCTCGTCACTTGGAAGCTCATTTTCTGGAAGCAAATAGCTTCTTAATTAGGTACATCTTCCACTTGTCATGCCTGTCCGCTTCTAACAGGGGAAGGCCTGTGGTGCTGATTGCCTCTGCTGCTGTCTGTGCACCTCAAACAGTTAGTGGGGAGTTTGGGGATAGGGCAGTGGAGTGGTTGCCAGGATGAGGGAGGTAAATATTGATCCCGCATGATAGTAAAATCCAAGTGCACAACACTGGATGCCTGTCCTGCCCACATTTAAAACTGCACTTATTGCCATTATCTCATTTAGTTCCTAAAGCCCCAGGGCTGCCATGTGTGGTTGTATAGGTTGTTCACTGCACAAGGTCGCCTAGTCTAGAAACAAGTAGGAGCTGAAATCCAGTCCATGCTCTGCTTGACAAGACATGTACCCTGGCTTGGGGCTACATTCACCCGAAGAACAGGGTGGCTTTACTATTTGCTCTCACAAAGTCAGGCACTAGTGGGGCTGCATAAGCTCAGAAGAAAGTTTTTTTAAAAAATTTACACCAGGGGGCACTATAGGCTATCAGTGTCCCTGCATGACATTCCTATGACTGTCACAGAGCAGGCCTGATAAACTCCCTGTGGCAGAGGAGGAGATTGAGACATGGAGATGATAAGTGACTTGCCCAAGGGCGACCAGTCATGGTAGAGCAGGAATCTGGTCATGGGTCTCTTTAGTGCATTTCCCTGGCTCTGCACCCTAAGCAATTCTCTCTGGGCTAAGCATGGGTGAACACAGCCTCTGCCTTCCTGACTTTTCTTTAAGCCCAGGCTTCATTCCGCTCCTGCTCAGATTTTGTTCACTGGTAATTTCCTGGAGTGGAGTGGGAGAAACATGTGAGTGCAGGTGTGAGTGCTGGTGTGAGTGCAGGTGTAAGTGCAGGCATAGTCATCCTCCATAGCCTTGGGGGTCTAGCAAGAGCCCCTCTCCTCCAGCGCAGTGCACCTTATCCATTTCATTTCCTTCTTAGATGCTGGAGGCCTATACCACCAGCAAAACTGCACTGCTGGGACTCACCAAGCCCTTGGCTATAGAGCTGGCACCAAAGGGTATCCAGGTGCCCCGCCTGTTGCCAGGAATCATCAAGAACTGACTTTAACCACATGATGAGGGTTCAGCAGCTCCCAGTTGCCCCCACCAACCACTTTGTTGGTTTCCCCAGTCTGGCCATGGCTTTGTGAGACCAGCAGCCTCTCACTTCCTGTATCTGCACCAGGGCTGTCCTCTCTGGGAGCAGTCGAGGGACTGCAGACCCAGCACTGAGCAGGGCCATCTGCCCACAAGGGCATGAGTCTGCCATGGCAGCCTCTCTGGCCCTTCACAGTTCTATTTAGCACTGAGCCTCTGAATTTTTTCAGGTTGAAGATAATCTGGCTCTGCAAAACTCCTTTAAAAACCCCTGTGGATAGCAGAGACAGGTAGTCTTCTCCAGGGGAGACAGGGCTCTCGGACTGTATCCTCACCTATCAGCCCGTCCTCTCACAGAGTCTGGGGATGCACAGCCCATGAGGTGGGATCTGGAGGGCATGAGGGGCCCCACCATATCTCTCTATGGAGCCCAGGCCTCTGATGGGCCAGGGAGGTGGGATTCAGGGCTGGAGGTGGTGCTGGGCCCTATGTTCAGAGCAGCAGGACCAGCGATCAGAGTTCATTAGAGCATAGGCTGAGGCCTCAGTTCTGTTCTCTTTCCATGCAGGGGTTAAGAGGACTGTGCAGGAACCATGTCCTTCCTGCACTCTACAGATGCCAGCTACGTCACTGGGAAGAGCATCCTGGTGGCCGGCTTCTCCCAGAGGCTCTGCAGGCTGTGACTCTGGGTATAGATACTGCACTTTACCCTGGGGACCAGATAGTGATTGGATAGGAGGATGAATGAAAGCCAGGCCCTCGGGGGTGTCATAAGTAGCAGGGGCCAGTTTGCACATAGAATTCTAAGACAGACCCAGTGTAGGGCATGACTGGGGATGGGACAGAGTTGCTTCTTGAGATTTACAGAGCATGAATCTATGGGTTTTTGTGTGTTTTTCTTGGCAGCAAACTTGTTTTGAAACTCCTAACCTGGCCTCCTGGTGTGGTTGGCAAATACAAGTAGCTTCTTTGCCTACAAACACCATCACTGTCTCAGTGGCCTGTTTCCTCACCACTGCCCCCATCCTTAGGAGCTCCTTCCTCTGTGTTTGTCCCAGGATTCAAGCATCTTGAGAACCTAGAAAAGAGAAGCCTTTGCCTGAGGAGTTAAGGATGTGGATCATTAAAAGTGGTGCCAAAATGCCCAGGAGTGCAGCCAACAGCCCACCCCTAGGAGGCCAATGACTCTAAGAGGAGATTCACTCAGTTTTCTCCCTCCCCATTTTCTCACCTGGGAGCCCTGGAAATGATCCTGGATTAGGAATGGAAGATCTGCTAAGAAAGAATTCCTCCTCTGCCACCGTCTTTATCTCCCTGGGCTTCTGTTTCCCTGGCTATTAACTGAGGAGTTGGACTGATAGCCCCACGTCCTCCCCTCTGGCTTTCTGTGAGATGCCACTCAGTGTTTCCCAACACTCTGGCCTCCAGGTCACAATGGTCTCCGTGGTTCCGGCTCTCCGCAGTGGCATGTGCCACTCTGAATGCTGTCACCATTGCAAGGTGATGTCCCCTCTCATGTGGTAGCAAACTTAACCTATCAGGGAGCAAAGAAGCTGAAGAAATCTGGGGCCTTCAAGGGGCATTGCTCAGACCTCAAGCTTCACCCCACACAAAGTGTGCTGTGACACTCCAGTCCTTGTCTCCACCTTCTCCAAGCTCACACCATTAGCTCTGCTGTCTTCTTGTCTATGCTGTGCCATGTCCCCTGTCCCCTGCCTGGCCCAGCCTCCCTGGACCCTCACCTGTCTACCCCAATGGCTATTAAACTGTCACTTCCATCTACCCCTGCAGTTCCACTTCTGTCCACTCTAAGCAGTGGCCTGCCTGTGTACTCCCCAGAGAAAGCAATGGCGATGAGACGGCACTCCTTTAATCTCCCCTACTCTGATCCAAACTTACATCTGCTTCTGTTCTTACCAGAAAGTTCACATATCGGTGGAAGAGGTGCATCTTCCCTCTCCAAGGGAATCTTTCCATATTCACGTTCACTCAGAATCTCATTTTCTCCCACCCCTCTGGGCACCTCGTTCCATGAGCCATCTTCTCTCTTATCTGCAGCTTCAACCTCTTGGAGCACTTTAATCTAAAAGCAGAACAAAACCAACCAACCAATAAAACTCAGACTCTCCAATATCTAGTCATCCTCTAGCCATCATATTCCTTCACTCTTCCCCATTGTAGTCCCCCTCTCTCATGCCATCTGAAAGTTTTGTTGTTGTTGTTTTTGTTTGTTTGTTTTGTTTTGAGATGGAATCTCACTCTTTCACCCAGGCTGGAGTGCAGTGGTGCAATCTCGGCTCACTGCAACCTCCACCTCCCAGTATAAGCAATTCTCCTGCCTCAGCCTCCTGAGTAGCTGGGATTACAGGCATGCCCCACCATGCCTGGCTAATTGCAAGTTTTATTTTCCTACATTTTTGGGTATTTAGAGTTTAGAACCCTGTTACTCTCCACACACTCAAATACTCAGTAGGGTCTTCAAGGATTATTTCCCAGCCTCCCAGGAAAGCCTGTAAGCCTGTTATTATCTACGGTTTTATTTTATTTTCTGTCTTCTCAGAAATTTGCCATTTCTGGAGTATTTCTACAAGGGGGCTTGGCTGCCTGGGCAATCACCTCTTCTTTCACTTCAGTCCTGCTCCAGGGAAAAATTCTCCTAAGTCTCTGGGGAGAGGGGAGCAGCTATCTGCCATAGATTTTCTTCCCAGTTCTGGAAACAAGTTCCTGGCCATAAATGAAAGTCATTGATTTTCAGACGAACTTCCAGGACACATTCCTGACCCTTCCCAAGGGAGTTTACAGTGTGTAACCCCCTGGACAGCTCATAACAGAACTGGGCTGGCCTCTTTCTGCTGGACATAGGGGGCCCCTGTGGTCCATGCTGGAGCTCCAACCCAGCAAAGACGTGTCCCCACTCTCCCCCAGTTGGTATCTCCAGGCTCACAAAGGGGCACTCTGTTTTCCATGGCCACAGCCATGAAGCATTTGGACACCATAGAAGGAGTCATACTGGATGTGAGAAGTGGAAAATTTCCTCGCCCCCACGGAAGCATGGAGATTTACCATGTGGGAATCCCTTCATTAGGGCTTCCAAAGTATGTATTAAGATTCCCAAGCTATCCATATGTCTATGTGTAGAAAAAAGGTAAAACTATATAAGTCACAAACCATTATTTCTTTGGCTCCAGCCCATTTGCTCCTAAGGAGCATGAGGGAGTGTGGTTTCCTCCCACTCCAGTTTTAAGGCACCAGCTACATTTGCACATGGGCTTCATAGACTTTTGCAAGTGGGGGATCTTTCTCATCCTCTCTCCACCTTCTTTCTTCTGCTCATAAAGGAAAGTACATCATACAGTAGCTGAGCCCTTTCAAAAGTGCTGGTGAGGAAATGTCTACCCTTCCCTTCACTTTGTTACTTCCTCCTGTAGTCTGAGGAGGAGCTAAACTGAAAGGTCACATTACTGATGGTGTCTTACGGAAGCAAGGCAGTCTTCTCCGGCTCTATTCTTCTTGGACCACCTGGACTTAGGCAAGCAGGACTTATTTCTGCTAGAACTAGTTGGATTTCTGCTGTGGGTTAAGGATGTTTTACCTGACCTTGCTGAGTACATCAGGTCAGTCCTACTCTGCCAGTTACCTTCAATTTGGAGAGCAGGGAGAGGAAAGCCTTGTTCTCCAATTCAGCATTAACAGTACGAAGGTTACCCTGACTTTGATTCCCATCTGTCTTCTTCCATATAATTCTCAACTTCCTAGAACCCACTAGGGAAGCAAGTGTGATTAGCTCCTTCCAGTGACTATCCCAGTCAGGAAATTGATAGAATACATTTCCTTCCTCTCTGCTCCAGTTGGGCCTGCTAAGAACTCTTGGCTTACTCAGGCTGTTCTAAGGATGAAACTCCTGCTAGGACACCACTGCCTGTGGCCATGAATGTTGGTTCAGATGTGGGTCCTGCATGCCAGTGCTAAGTGTGCTACATTTCATTTACTGCCAAAGCCATTCATGTCATCTCTTGTTTCTGCTAAAGTCAAAGGCCTTGACTGCTGTGGGAACAACAGTTACCAGTTCTCAGGAGGGCTTGTGTTCTCAAAGATGAAATGCTTCTTTTTAATCACACTTACTTAAAATTTTTTACAATTTCATTTTTAAAATCTTGTCTTAAGTACTGGAATTGGACTTCAGGAAAGCTAACAACAATGTCAAGCAGAATCACTGGGAAGTTAAGATTCTTCCAAGAATACTTGTTCAGTTGGGCATACTCATTGCTTTTCAGACAATGATGGGTGAATCCGCTCCGTCAAGCTAGCATCCTTGCATTTCCAACATTATACAACAATTTCTGAATGTATCATTGCTTTAACAAGATGGCCCAGTTCCATCTTGATCTTTTGTGCCGTATAAGGCAGCACTTAGAGAACCTCTGGTTGCTGTGCCAAGGTACAGTGAAACTCAATGAGCCAGATCTACACTCAGCCTTCCTACCCCAGCCCCGCACACGATGCTGAATAAAGTAAGAAACAGAATGAAATTTACATTGCAACATAAGTTTAAAAGTATGCATACAAAATGCCAACATATATTTTAATAAGAATGTATACAAATAAAAAGATACAAATCAAGTGTATTAGAGTGGATGCCTTTGAGTTTGAGGGGAGGGCAATGGGAGTGAAGGTTGAGAATAGAAAGGAATAAGTAAATAAATAAATGAAATAAGAGTGGAGCCTTGGATACACAAGCTAGAGCAATGGAGCAATGGAACAAACCCTGGGTCCTGGGACTGGATGTCATAGCCAAGACAAGCCCTGCATGGTGGAACCACTGAGCTTATAACTCCTTGCTGCCCTCCTTCAATAAGGAAGGATCTTTATGCTTGGCTGGGGCCACAGCTGTACCATGAAGGTAAAGAACGGAGGCGGAAGTGATGAAGCAAGAGAAGGAAATGGACTGCTCCACATGAGGAAGGGCAGGGAGCCACTGGAGAAAGCAAATAAAATATCTGGGAAAATATCTGGTGGAAAAAGTTTGCAAGGGTAAAAGGAAGATGAGAGAGAGATAGAGAAAGAGGTCCCATAGGTTGTGTGTATGTGAGAAAGTACTGATATGTGGAACTTGAAGGTTGCTGGGTCCTAGAGAATGAGCAAATTTGCATAAGAAGCCCAGGAACATTCTGGGAAGACAGCAATGCATCCACATCCTCTTTCAATGGATTTAAAATCAGGATTACCTGTGGCAACTTGACCAAGGGCCAATAAAGCTTCTAGCATATAATATAGCAGAATATGTTCATGATCTCCTGGTAGGGAAATATTTCTTTAACAAGATGCAAGAATGCCAACCATACAGAACAGATTAATATATATGATAACATTAAAATTAAGAACTTTCCTTTTAAAGATGGAATCTCACTCTGTCACCCCGGCTGGAGTGCAGTGGTGCAATCATAGCTCACTGCAGCTTCTAACTCCTGGGCTCAAGGGATCTTCCCGCCTCAGCCTCATGAGTAGCTGGGACCACAGGTGTGCACCACCATGCTTGGCAAGAACTTCTTTTTCTCGATAGATGCTATTCACAGTATTAGAAGGTAAGCCACAGAGTGGGAGAAAACACAAGCAACAAACAACCCAAAAGCAAAGGGCAAGAGACTCAAGCAGACGCTTTACAAAACGGGATTTCTAAATGACCCATGAACATACGAAAAGGTGCTCAGCCACATTAGTAATCAGGGAAATTCAAATTAAAAAATGTAAGATGCACCAGAAAGTTATGAAAGCCTGACAATACCAAGTGTTAGTGAAGATATGGAGCAATAGGGAGCACAAATATACTACTATTGGAAGTTTAAATGGATACCGACTTCCACTGTGGAAAACAGTACAGCATTTTTTACTGAAGTTGAACATACCTTAAGGGACAGCAACTCCACTTCTAGGTACATAAACAACAGCAACATGTGCACCGTGTAGCTTTATTTGTAATAAACCTAAACTGAAATAATCCAATATTCATCAATAGGAGAATATACAAATAAATTGCGGTCTAGTCATAGAATGGCATACTATACAGTTATGAAAATTAATAAACTGAAAATGTATATAATATCAAAGACTGTATATATGTATATATACTCAAATGTAATATGGAGTTAAGTGAATCAGTCATAATAGAGAATATGTTGTATAATTTTATTTATGTGGTGTTAAAAGAAACAAACCCACAAAACTAAACTATAGTGCACAGGAGTACACTTAGTGCTTTGGCAGTAGGGATCTAAAGAGAAGCAAGGTGGTGGTTGGCCGTGACAGTCAGAACACTGATGGAGGGGTAGTAGAGAGAGGGTGCTCACAGGGGAGGATGAAAGGGTCTTTGGGGTGCTGGCAATGTCTGTTTATTGGCCTGGGTGGTTATATGGATATTTACCTTGAGATAATTATTGTGCTTGTGGAACATTTTTGTTTTGCAAACTCCATTGTAGGTGTGTTCTACTTCACAATCTAACTGGACCCCTACCTATCACCATATACAAAAATTAAGACAGATTAAAGGCTTAAATATATAAAACTTCAAGCTATAAAAATCCTCAAAGAAAACCCAGCAAATACTCTTCTCAATATCTGCTTTGGCAAATAATTTATGGCTAAGTCCTTACAAGCAATTGCAACAAAAACAAAAATTGCCAAGTGGGACCTAATTAAACTAAAGAGCTTCTGCACAGCAACAGAAACTATCAAGGGAATAAACAGACAACCTATAGAATGGGAGAAAATATTTGCAAACTATGGGCTGACAAAGGGCTAATATCTAGAATCTATAAAGAACTTAAATCAATAAGCAAAAAAAAAAAACCATTAAAAGGGGGGCAAAGGACGTGAACAGACACTTCTCAAAAGAAGACACATGAGCAGCCAACAAACATATGAAAAATGCTCATCATCACTAATCATCAGATATGTCCTTATGTATGCAATGTTTAGCTCCCACTTAAAAATGAGAACATGCAGTATTTGGTTTTCTGTTCCTGTGTTAATTCGCTTAGGATAATGGCCTCCAGGTGCATCCATGTTGTTGCAAAGGACATGATTCTGTTCTTTCTTATGGCTGCATGTTATTCCATGGTGTATATGTGCCACATTTTCTTTATTCATTCTACTGCTGATGGGCATCTGGGTTGATTCCATGTCTTTGCTATGGTGAATAGCACTACAATGCAAAGAATGCAGAGAAATGCAAATCAAAAGTGCAAAGAAATACCATCTCACACCAGTCAGAATAGCTTTTGTTATAAAGTCAAAAAAATAACAGATGTTGGCAAGGCTGCAGAGAACACTTATACACTGTTGGTGGGAATGAATATAAGTCTAGTCACTGTGGAGAGCAGCTTGGAGATTTCTCAAAGAGCTAAGAGTTGAACTACCATTCAACCCAGCAATCCCATTACTGGGTATATGCCCACAGGAAAATAAGTCATTCTACCAAAAAGACACGTGTACCCATATGTTCACTGCAGTGCTATTCACCATAGCAAAGACATGGAATCAACCCAGGTGCCCATCAGCAGTGGATTGAATGAAGAAAATATGGCACATATACATCATGGAATAATATGCAGCCATAAAAAAGAACAAAATCATGTCCTTTGCAGCAACATGGATGTATCTGGAGGGATTATCCTAATCAAATTAATGCAGGAACAGAAAACCAAATACTTCCTGTTCTCACTTATAAGAGGGAGCTAAATATTGGGTACACAAGGACATAAAGATGGGAACAATAGATACTGGGGACTACCAGAGGAAGGAGGGAGAGCAAGGTACAAGGGCTGAAAAATTATCTCTTAGGTACTATGCTCACTCCATGAGTAATAGATTCATCTGCCCTCCAAACCTCAGGATCATGTAACACACCTTTTAACAAACCTGCACATGCACCCCAGATTCTAAAATAAAGTTGAAAAAAAGTTGCTCCCTCTCCCTCTCCGTCTCCCTCTCCACAGTCTCCCTCTCCCTCTCTCTCCACGGTCTCCCTCTGATGCCGAGCCGAGGCTGGACTGTACTGCCACCATCTCGGCTCACTGCAACCTCCCTGCCTGATTCTCCTGCCTCAGCCTGCCGAGTGCCTGGGATTGCAGGCGCGCACCGCCACGCCTGACTGGTTTTTGTATTTTTTGCTGGAGACGGGGTTTCGCCGTGTTGGCCGGGCTGGTCTCCAGCTCCTGACCGCGAGTGATCTGCCCGCCTCGGCCTCCCGAGGTGCCAGGATTGCAGATGGAGTCTCGCTCACTCAGTGCTCAATGTTGCCCAAGCTGGAGTGCAGTGGCGTGATCTCAGCTCGCTGCAACCTCCACCTCCCAGCCGCCTGCCTTGGCCTCCCAAAGTGATGAGATTGCAGCCTCTGCCCGGCCGCCACCCCATCTGGGAAGTGAGGAGCATCTCTGCCTGGCCGCCCATCGTCTGGGATGTGAGGAGCCCCTCTGCCCGGCCGCCCAGTCTGGGAAGTGAGGAGCCCCTCCGCCCGGCAGCCGCCCTGTCTGGGAAGTGAGGAGCCCCTCCGCCTGGCAGCCGCCCCGTCCGGGAGGGAGGTGGGGGGCAGCCCCCCCCCCCGGCCAGCCGCCCCGTTCGGGAGATGGGGGGCACCTCTGCCCGGCCACCCCGTCTGGGAAGTGAGAAGCCCCTCTGCCTGGCCGCCACCCCGTCTAGGAGGTGTACCCAACAGCTCATTGAGAACGGGCCATGATGATGATGGCGGTTTTGTCAAATAGAAAAGGGGGAAATGTGGGGAAAAGAAAGAGAAATCAGATTGTTGCTGTGTCTGTGTAGAAAGAAGTAGACATAGGAGACTCCATTTTGTTCTGTACTAAGAAAAATTTTTCTGCCTTGGGATGCTGTTAATCTATAACCTTACCCCCAACCCCGTGCTCTCTGAAACATGTGCTGTGTCCACTCAGGGTTAAATGGATTAAGGGTGGTGCAAGATGTGCTTTGTTAAACAGATGCTTGAAGGCAGCATGCTCATTAAGAGTCATCACCACTCCCTAATCTCAAGTACCCAGGGACACAAACGCTGCAGAAGGTGGCAGGGCCCTCTGCCTAGGAAAACCAGAGACCCTTGTTCACATGTTTATCTGCTGACCTTCCCTCCACTATTGTCCTATGACCCTGCCACATCCCCCTCTCCAAGAAACACCCAAGAATGATCAATAAATACTAAAAAAAAAAAAAAGAAAGAAAAGAAGAAAAAAAGTTTAAAAATTGCTTTACATATATATATACACACACACACATATACATATATATACACACACATATACATATATGTATACACACATATATATGTGTGTATATATATATATAGCAAAGTGAATACAGATGTTTGGAGTGGACTTGCTTGCAAAACTCTGAAAGTTGTGGGTTTGGGTTTTTTCTCTTGTGAATTGGTGGAAGAAAAGTGGTGGTATGTGATTCTCTGGTATTTCACTTGGAGCCTCTTTTCCCTTCTTCCTCTTCTGCTGGGGCTTTTTATACCCAATTGGCAGCTGATGTTGGCAAATATGGCCAACATCAGGAAAATTCAAGCACTGGGGCATCCAAGGAAAATCACCAAGTCTCATCAACTCTAGAGTACAGTATACATTAAGGATTCAAGTTTTCTAGATGTGACATTATAGTCTATACATACTGCTCCAAGGAGTCTGTAAAGAAACCAAAAGCATGCTCCCAGAGCCCAAGAATAGCAGTGTGTGAACTTGGAGGTTTGCTGTGATACAGCAAGGCTGCAGATATTGATGCAGTGGGTACATAGAGGATCTCAGGTCCAGTGCTCTGAGACAATGTGCTTTGGAATCAAAACTACTAAAGACGAAGATAGCAAACCATTTTTAAAGGTTGCATGGTCTAGGGCTTTTGGAAGCATATGCTGTCTTTCATGTTTGTCCTGCATGATGAATTACAGAAATTAGATACGGAAAGAGTGAATTGATTGGGTATAATGCTTACCATACATTATTAGGAACCACTGATCACAAAGAAATCAGAAATCCCTTTGTGTTTTTGTTCCGGTCATATCATGTTTACATAGTGTTTAGAGGAAACTGTATAAGAGGGGAATGTGATTAACTATTTACACATTTTAACTAATGACACAGAATACTTACCATATTTGAGTTTAGGAGAAACGGAGAAATAATAACTGTGAGTCTGTGGGGGCATATTAGCTCGAGCGAGTGTATAAACCATTGCATTTTTAGATATTTTACAAAATCCTGAGACCTATTATGAGATTTTATTTTATTTTATACTTTAAGTTCTAGGGTAAATGCGCACAACGTGCATATTTTTTACATATGTATACATGTGCCATGTTGGTGTGCTGCACCCATTAACTCGTCATTTACATTAGGTATATCTCCTAATGCTATCCCTCCCCACTCCCTGGTGTGTGTTGTTCCGCATACTGTGTCCAAGTGTTCTCGTTGAGTTCCCACCTATGAGTGAGAACATGTGGTGTTTGGTTTTCTGTCCTTGTGATAGTTTGCTCAGAATGACGGTTTCCAGCTTCATCCATGTCCCTGCAAAGGACATGAACTCATCCTTTTTTATGGCTGCATAGTATTCCATGGTGTATATGTGCCACATTTTCTTAATCCAGTCTATCATTGATGGACATTTGGGTCAGTTCCAAGTCTTTGCTATTGTGAATAATGCCCCAATAAACATACGTGTGCCTGTGTCTTTATAGCAGCATGATTTATAACCCTTTGGGTATATACCCAGTAATGGGATGGCTGGGTCAAATGGTATTTCTAGTTATAGGTTCTTGAGGAATCGCCACATTGTCTTCCACAATGGTTGAACTAGTTTACAGTCCCACCAACAGTGTAAAAGTGTTCCTATTTCTCCACATCCTCTCCAGCACCTGTTGTTTCCTGACTTTTTAATGATCACCATTCTAACTGGTGTGAGATGGTATCTCATTGTGGTTTTGATTTGCATTTCTCTGATGGCCAGTGATGATGAGCATTTTTTCATGTGTCTGTTGGCTGTGTAAATGTCTTCTTTTGAGAAGTGTCTGTTCATATCCTTTGCCCAGTTTTTGATGGGGTTGTTTGGTTTTTTCTTGTAAATTTGTTTAAGTTCTTTGTAGATTCTGGATATTAGCCCTTTGTCAGATGGGTAGATTACAAAAATTTTCTCCCATTCTGTAGGTTGCTTGTTCACTCTGGTGGTAGTTTCTTTTGCTGTGCAGAAGCTCTTTAGCTTAATTAGATCCCATTTGTCAATTTTGGCTTTTGTTGCCATTGTTTTTGGTGTTTTAATCATGAAGTCCTTGCCCATGCCTATGTCCTGAATGGTATTGCCTAGGTTTTCTTCTAGGGTTTTTATGGATTTAGTTCTAACATTTAAGTCTTTAATCCAACTTGAATTAATTTTTGTATAAAGTGTAAGGAAGGGATCTAGTTTCAGCTTTCTACATATGGCTAGCCAGTTTTCCCAGCACCATTTATTAAATAGGGAATCCTTTCCCCATTCCTTGTTTTTGTGAGGTTTGTCAAAGATCAGATGGTTGTAGATGTGTGGTATTATTTCTAAGGGCTCTGTTCTGTTCCATTCGTCTATATCTCTGTTTTGGTAGAGTACCATACTGTTTTGGTTACTGTAGCCTTCTAGTATAGTTTGAAGTCAGGTAGTGTGATGCCTCCAGCTTTGTTGTTTTGGCTTAGAGTTGTCTTGGTAATGTGGGGTCCTTTTTGGTTCCATATGAACTTTAAAGTAGTTTTTTCCAATTCTGTGAAGAAAGTCATTGGTAGCTTGATCGGGATGGCATTGAATCTGTAAATTACCTTGGGCAGTATGGCCATTTTCACAATATTGATTCTTCCTATCCATGAGCATGGAATGTTCTTCCATTTGTTTGTGTCCTCTTTTATTTCATTGAGCAGTGGTTTGTAGTTCTCCTTGAAGAGGTCCTTCGCATCCCTTGTAAGTTTTATTCCTAGGTATTTTATTCTCTTTGAAGCAATTGTGAATGGGAGTTCACTCATGATTTCGCTCTCTGTTTGTCTGTTATTGGTGTATAGGAATGCTTGTGATTTTTGCACATTGCTTTTGTATCCTGAGACTTTGCTGAAGTTGCTTATCAGCTTAAGGAGATTTTGGGTTGAGACGATGGGGTTTTCTAAATATACAATCATGTCATCTGCAAACAGGGACAATTTGACTTCCTCTTTTCCTAACTGAATACCATTTATTTCTTTCTCCTGCCTGATTGCCCTGGCCAGAACTTCCAACACTATGTTGAATAGGAGTGGTGAGAGAGGGCATCCTTGTCTTGTGCCAGTTTTCAAAGGGAATGCTTCCAGTTTTTGCCCATCTAGTATGATATTGGCTGTGGGTTTGTCATAAATAGCTCTTATTATTTTGAGATACGTCCCATCAATATCTAGTTTATTAAGAGTTTTTAGCATGAAGGGCTGTTGAATTTGTCGAAGGCCTTTTCTGCATCTATTGAGATAATCATGTGGTTTTTTGTCTTTGGTTCTGTTTATATGATGGATTATGTTTATTGATTTTCGTATGTTGAACCAGCCTTGCATCCCAGAGATGAAGCCCACTTGATCACGGTGGATAAGCTTTTTTATGTGCTTCTGGATTCAGTTTGCCAGTAGTTTATTGAGGATTTTTGCATCAATGTTCATCAGGGATATTGGTCTAAAACTCTTTTTGTTGTGTCTCTGCCTGGCTTTGGTATTAGGATAATGCTGGCCTCATAAAATGAGTTAGGGAGGATTCCCTCTATTTCTATTGATTGGAATATTTTCAGAAGGAATGGTACCAGTTCCTCTTTGCACCTCTGATAGAATTTGGCTGTGAATCTGTCAGGTCCTGGACTTTTTTTGATTGGTGGGCTAGTAATTATTGCCTCAATTTCAGAGCCTGTTATTGGTCTTTTCAGGGATTCAATTTCTTCCTGGTTTAGTCTTGGGAGGGTGTATGTGTCCAGGAAGTTTTACATTTCTTCTAGATTTTCTAGTTTATTTGCATGGAGGTGTTTATAGTATTCTCTGATGGTAGTTTGGATTTCTGTGGGATGGGTCATGATATCCCCTTTATCATTTTTTATTGCATCTATTTGATTCTTCTCTCTTTTCTTTTCATCTCCTTTTTTTTGTTTGTTTGTTTTTATGAGATGGAGTCTCTCTCTGTTGCCCAGGCTGGAGTGCAGTAGCGTGATCTTGGCTCACTGCAAGCTCTGCCACCTGGTTTCATGCCATTCTCCTGCCTCAGCCTCCAGAGTAGCTGGGACTAGAGGCACCCACCACCACGCTCAGCTAAATTTTTGTGTTTTTAGTAGAAACGGGGTTTCACCATGTTAGTCAGGATAGTCTCAATCTCCTGACCTCATGATCCACCTGCCTCGGCCTCCCAAAGTGCTGGGATTACAGGCATGAGCCACCGTGCCTAGCCCTCTCTTTTCTTCTTTATTAGCCTTGCTAGTGGTCTATCAATTTTGTTGATCTTTTCAAAAAACCAGCTCCTGGATTCATCGATTTTTTGAGGGTTTTTTCTGTCTCTATCTCCTTCAGTTCTGCTCTGATCTTAGTTATTTCTTGCCTTCTGCTAGCTTTTGAATGTGTTTGCTCTTGTTTCTCTAGTTCTTTTAATTGTGATGTTAGGGTGTCAATTTTAGATCTTTCCTGCTTTCTCTTGTGGGCATTTAGTGCTATAAATTTCCCTCTACACACTGCTTTAAATGTGTCCTGGAGATTCTGGTATGGTGTGTCTTTGTTCTCACTGGTTTCAATGAACATCTTTATTTCTGCCTTCATTTCGTTATATACCCAGTAGTCATTCAGGAGCAGGTTGTTCAGTTTTCATGTAGTTGAGTGGTTTTTAGTGAGTTTCTTAATCCTGATTTCTAGTTTGATTGCACTGTGGTCTGAGAGACAGTTTGTTATAATTTCTGTTCTTTTACATTTGCTGAGGAGTGCTTTACTTCCAACTATGTGGTCAATTTTCGAATAAGTGCAATGTGGTGCTGAGAAGAACGTATATTCTGTTGATTTGGGGTGGAGAGTTCTGTAGATGTCTATTAGTTCTGCTTGGTGCAGAGCTGAGTTCAATTTCTGGATATCCTTGTTAACTTTCTGTCTCATTAATCTGTCTAATGTTGACAGTGGGGTGTTAAAGTCTCCCATTATTATTGTGTGGGAGTCTAAGTCTCTCTGTAGGTCTCTAAGGACTTGCTTTATGAATCTGGGTGCTCCTGTATTGGGTGCATATATATTTAGGATAGTTAGCTCTTCTTGTTGAATTGATCCCTTTACCATTATGTCATGGCCTTCTTTGTCTCTTCTGATCTTTGTTGGTTTAAAGTCTGTTTTATCAGAGACTAAGAATGCAACCCCTGCTTTTTTTTTGTTTTCCATTTGCTTGGTAGATCTTCCTCCATCGCTTTATTTTGACCCAATGTGTGTCTCTGCACATGAGATGGGTCTCCTGAATACAGCACACTGATGGGTCTTGACTGTATCCAATTTGCCAGTCTGTGTCTTTTTATTGGAGCATTTAGCCCATTTACATTTAAGGTTAATATTGTTATGTGTGAATTTGATCCTGTCATTATGATGTTAGCTGGTTATTTTGCTCATTAGTTGATGCAGTTTCTTCCTAGCATCGATCGTCTTTACAATTTGGCATGTTTTTGCAGTGGCTGGTACCAGTTGTTCCTTTCCATGTTATTGCTTCCTTCAAGAGCTCTTGTAAGGCAGGCCTGGTGGTCACAAAATCTCTCAGCATTTGCTTGTCTGTAAAGTATTTTATTTCTCCTTCACTTATGAAGCTTAGTTTAGCTGGATACAAAATTCTGGGTTGAAAATTCTTTTCTTTAAGAATGTTGAATATTGGCCCCCACTCTCTTCTGGGTTGTAGAGTTTCTGCTGAGAAATCTGTTGTTAGTCTGATCAGCTTCCCTTGTGGGTAACCTGACCTTTCTTTCTGGTTGCCCTTCACATTTTTTCCTTTATTTCAACTTTGGTGAATCTGACAATTATGTGTCTTGGAGTTGCTGTTCTCGAGGAGTATCTTTGTGGCATTCTCTGTATTTCCTGAATTTGAATGTTGCCCTGCCTTTCTAGATTGGGGAAGTTCTCCTAGATAATATCCTGAAGAGCATTTTCCAACTTGGTTCCATTCTCCCCATCCTTTTCAGGTACACCAATCAGATGTAGATTTGGTGTTTTCACATAGTCCCATATTTCTTGGAGGCTTTGTTCATTTCTTTTTACTCTTTTTTTCTCTAAACTTCTCGTCTCACTTCATTTCATTCATTTGACTTTCAGTCGCTGATACCCTTTCTTCCAGTTGATCGAATCAGCTACTGAAGCTTGTGCATTTATCACGTAGTTCTCGTGCCATGGTTTTCAGCTACTTCAGGTCATTTAAGGTCTTCTCTACACACTTTATTCCACTTAGCCATTCATCTAATCTTTTTTCAAGGTTTTTAGCTTCTTTGCGATGGGTTCGAACATTCTCCTGTATCTCGGAGAAGTTTGTTATTACCGATCATCTGAAGCCTACTTCTTTCAATTCGTCAAAGTCATTATCCATCCAGCTTTGTTTCATTGCTGGGGAGGAGCTGCAATCCTTTGGAGAAGAGGCACCTTGATTTTTAGAATTTTCAGGTTTTCTGCTCTGATTTCTCCCCATCTTTGTGGTTTTATCTAGCTTTGGTCTTTGATGATGGTGACATACAGATGGGGTTTTGGTATGGATGTACTTTCTGTTTGTCAGTTTTCCTTCTAACAGTCAGGACCCTCGGCTGCAGTTCTGTTGGAGTTTGCTGGAGGTCCACTCCAGAACCTGTTTTCCTGGGTATCACCAGTGGAGGCTGCACAACACCAAATATTGCAGAGCAGCAAATGTTGCTCTCTGATCATTCCTTTGGAAGCTTTGTCTCAGTGGGGCACCCGGCCGTATGAGGTGTCAATTGGCCCCTACTGGGAGGTGTCTCCCAATTAGGCTACTGGGGGTTCAGGGACCAACTTGAGGAGGCACTCTTTCCGTTCTCAGATCTCAAACTCCGTGCTGGGAGAACCACTACTCTCTTCAAAGCTGTCAGACAGGGATGTTTAAGTCTGCAGAAGTTTCTGCTGCCTTTTGTTCAGCTATGCCCGGCCTTCAGAGGTGGAGTCTACAGAGGCAGGTAGGCCTCAAGGAGCTCGAACTGGCTCCACCCATTTCGAGCTTCCTGGCTGCTTTGTTTACCTACTCAAGCCTCAGCAATGGCAGACACCCCTCCCCTAGCCTTGCTGCTGCCTTGCAGTTCAATCTCAGATTGCTGTGCCTGCAGTGAGCAAGGCTCCGTGGGCATGGGACTCTCTGAGCTGGGTGTGGATATAATCTCTTGGTGTGCCATTTGCTAAGACCATTGGAAAAGTGCAGTATTAGGGTGGGAGTGTCCTGATTTTCCAGGTACCATCTGTCACAGCTTCCCTTGGCTAGGAAAAGGGAATTCCCGAACCCCTTCCACTTCCGGGGTGAGGCGATGCCTCACCCTGCTTCAGCTCACACTCCGTGGGCTGCACCCACTGTCCAAGAAATCGCAGTGAGATGAACCCAGTACCTCAGTTGGAAATGCAGAAATCACCCATCTTCTGCATCGCTCATGCTCCAGCTGTAGACTGGAGCTGTTCCTATTTGGCCTTCTTGGAACTCTATTATGAGTATTTTAAAACAAAATATCCCACTTGTGCCTAAGCAGTATGTACAATTTGGCACAACTCAGTTTCTGACAGTTCTGTTCTGTTAGGAATTTTACAATAAATACTCAAGTGAGTGCTGGTGTGGGTAGGATTTGGAGGAATTGGCAGCCACCGGTGCTGATTCCATCCATAGACTTTTCCTGACTAGTTCATTCCTTTCACTTGACCTGCCCCAGACCACCCTTTCCTGACTAGAAAGAGGCACATATGTGCCTCAAATAATAATATATTTAAAAATATATATTGTAATTTATCTGTACAGTAGGACATTGCACTCATTAAATACTTTGAAACCAGTCAGAACTTGAGGAGTTGCTTGTGCCCTCTGTAGGATTTGAGCATGGAAAGATGACTTGGGGGCAGATGTGGAAATGGAAGCAACTTCAAGGATTATAAATCATTCTACTATAAAGACACATGCACATGTATGTTTATTGCAGCACTATTCACAATAGCAAAGACTTGGAACCAACCCAAATGCCCATCAATGATAGGCTGGATAAAGAAAACGTGGTGCCTATACACCATGGAATATTATGCAGCCATACAATAGGATGAGTTCACGTCCTTTGCAGGGACATGAATGATGCTGGAAACCACCATTCTCAGCAAACTAACATGAGAACAGAAAACCAAACACCACATGTTCTCACTCATAAGTGGGAGTTGAACAATGAGATCACATGGACACAGGGAGGGGAACATCACACATTGGGGCCTGTTGGGGAGTGGGGAGCTAGGGGAGCTAGGGAAGGGATGTAGATGACGGGTTGATGGGTGCAGCAAACCACTGTGGCACCTTTATACCTACGTAACAAACCTGCAAATTCTGCACATGTATCCCAGAACTTAAAGTACAATAATAATTTTAAAAATGTAAGGAGGCAGCATTATGCTAAACTTGAAAAAAAAAAAAAGTCTAATCTCTTCATTAGCAGTCTAATCTCAGACTACACCTTGGGACACTGAATTACAAGAAGTAATTGAATTCTGATTAGCACTTCGGGGTAGCATTTGGCTTGCATTTGGGCATATATTTGCTACACTGTCTCTTCCATTTACTGGTATTGAAGATGGTGGTGGCTGACACCTTGAAAATAGAAGCAAATTGAAGCTGGCTGAGCTTGGTCTCCTCCTGATTCACTCCTTCCCCCACCTCCCAGCTTCTCTCACTCTCTCCCACTCTCCGAAAGACCTGTGTTCCCTCAGGTAATATTAGCTGTAGATTAAGAGAAACTCAGACTTACATGACATAGCCACCTGAAAAGATTATCTTAAAGCACTACCGCAGAGTTCCTGAGGGGTGGTAAGCAAGTGCCCCCACAGATGCCAGTGATACCCCCGAAAGGCTTAAAGTTTTGCTTTTGGTTTTGTTTTTAAAATGAAACCATCCTGAACTTTCCTGGTTCCAGAGCAGTTCGCTTAGGTCAACACTGGTGACACTCAATGGTGTCTGAGTCCTCTGGACCGAGTGTAGCAAGCCCATGTTTCTTATATCGATGTGGTAAAAGGGTTTCCAATATGCAGCCTTCTTCTCTCATGTACCCTCAATTTCAAACTTTAACCACAGGTCTAGAGAAGAAAGTGCAATGAGTGCACAGGGGAAGACACAAATGACAAAGGCCCACTTTTTATGGTTAGGAGAAAATTCAATTGTTCTTATTAAGGATAGGATGTCAAAATAATTTTTCTCATCAAATCAGTTACGTAGCAGGTGTGGGAAACACCGGAAAAGTAACAATGGAACATATAAAAGCCTCTTTGGAAGGTGGAAGCCTATTTAAAAAGTGAATAAATTTGAATAATTTAATAGTAAGTGAGGACCTTAGAATTATAAGTATGTGGAGGTGAACTTAGCAAACAGTTTTCCTTGACTAAAATAATTGCAGTTACTTTATGTTCAAAGTATTTTGAAGGAGTAGAAATGTAGCAACACCTTTGAAGATAATGCCCATAGGGAGTATGTGGGAACTGGCAATCCAAAGTTACATAATTAACTAGATTCTAATTATATCTACTTTTTCTGTGCTTCAAATGAGAGGTCTCACATAAGAAAGAGGAACTAGGCCGGGCGCGGTGGCTCACGCCTGTAATCCCAGCACTTTGGGAGGCCGAGGCGGGCGGATCATGAGGTCAGGAGATCGAGACCATCCTGGCTAACACGGTGAAACCCCGTCTCTACTAAAAATACAAAAAATTAGCCGGGCGTGGTAGCGGGCGCCTGTAGTCCCAGCTACTCGGGAGGCTGAGGCAGGAGAATGGCGTGAACCCGGGAGGCGGAGCTTGCAGTGAGCCGAGATCGCACCACTGCACTCCAGCCTGGGCGACAGAGCGAGACTCCGTCTCAAAAAAAAAAAAAAAAAAAAAAAAAAAAAAAAAAGAAAGAGGAACTAAGGCTGAGGGCAGTGGCTCATGCCTGTAATCCCAGCACGTTGGAAGGCCAAGGCGGGTGGATCACTTGAGGTCAGGAGTTCCAGACCAGCCTGGCCAACATGGTGAAACCCTGTCTCTACTAAAAATACAAAAATTAGCCAGGTGTGACGGTGCCTGCCCGTAATCCCAGCTACTTGTGAGGCTGAGGTGGGAGGATCGCTTGAACCTAGGAGGCAGAGGTTGCAGTGAGCCGAGATCACACCACTGCACTCCAGCCTGGGTTACATAGTGTGACTCCATCTCAAAAAAAACCCCCAAAAAAACCTAAAACAAAAACAAACAAAAAAGAGTAACTTGGTTGAATTTGAAATTTGCAAAGAATGGGCAGATTTATGTGTTGGGAGCATCAGTCAATGCAAGGTAAATGAGGCCATAAGGGGCTGGTAATTCCTCTGATGTCACACTTTTCTTTGAAAGAATTTATTATATGATTCAAACAAATGGAAAGAGATATGTCATTGACAATGTCCTCAAGAAGATCCCTACAATAAATATGGCATCTGGTTTCATAGCTCTCATCTGCTGGTGCGTCATAGAAGAGAGGTCAGTTCTGAAGTCTGTAGAAAAGACATATAATTTCCCCAGGGATCTGTCAAACAACTCTGATAGAGAGATAAAATAGGGAAAAAGAAGGATAAGTCCTTCCACACTCATAACAATGGTTGTTATGCTCCCAAAGACTTCTATTACCCCATTCCACTGGCTGGGGCCAGTAATATACCACTGAGTCTTAGTCCTACCCTGGTTTCTGTGTCAGTCCCCTCTAAGGCAAGGACTGTATCAATAATCTCAGTCGTAACTCATCTTACCAGGCCCAGCCTCAACCACTCACGTGTTACTTCTCACATTCCCACCGCTGCCAGTCCTGGGAGCATGCGGCCAGTCCTCCAGCCACCCTTCTTCCCCTCAGATTGGCCCAGTCCATCAGCCTGGATCTCTGTGGGTTCCCAGCCCTAGGTTCAACAGAGATCACTGGTCCAGGATCTAAATCTAGGGCTTCCCCTAAACCCCAAGCAGGTAGACAAGATCCTTCTTCCCATCAGATATCCTAGGTCACAATCCCTTGCCCCAGGGAATCCCTGGTCCTGAAAATGACCAAGATAATCCCCAGTGATGAACTCCTCCCTCTTCCCGGAAAGGCCAGTTGTAAACCATGCCTGATGCACACCTGTGTGTGCCATGTTCTTTGCATAGTTGATCTCACACACAGAACCAAACTTCCAGAGTCCTATTTGGGTGCTCTCCTCATGTCAAGAACTCGCCAACTCTTGTCTTATTGCATCTGACCTATTCTGCAGGTTATATGAAGAATTTCTCAAAGACTGAAGAGAAGTGAGATCTATTACATATTCCACCTACTTTACATTTAGCAATAGCCGCTCACAACCTTTACCAAAAGGAAGAATCTCTAAATTCTTTGCTCTGCTTGTATAAAGAATAAAATAGTCCAGCTATCATGTCATTTCAGATTCAGCCAAACAAATACCAATTGATATTCACTAAAATAAGGCCTCCCTGTTAGATAATTGTTGTTCTGTGTGGCTTCTTTATATTTAAAGCAATCTCCAGCATGCCTCACTGCCTGATGGCCTGGGGTCTCTCAGGCCCTGCTGCAGCCATCTGCTCACCTGGCCCGGAAAGCAGTGTTGCAGGGCCAGGACCTGGCGAGGGGGTCGGGCACTGGGACCTAGTGGAACATGGCAAAAAGTCCAGGTCAGACAAGCACCTGTACGAGGAGTATGTAGAGAAGCCCTTGAAGCTGGTCCTCAAAGCAGGAGGGAACCAAGTCACCCAGGTCTCCAAACGCTTGGGCTTCTTAAAAAATAAACTCGGGCTTATTTTAATGAATATCAACTGGCACCGAGGCAGGTTCTGGGGGAAAGAAAGGGGAGAAAACAGAGAGGAGTAAAGGAGGATGAAAGAAAGTGAGTTCCAGGCAGTGTGGAGAGGAGGCAGAGGAAGAGCTCCAGTGTCACTTCCCTGTGAGATTAGACCTGCCTGCTGAGAAGCCTCTCACAAGCTCTTCCGCCAAGCAAGAAGCTGAACAGACACCTCTTCAAGATGCTTTGAGTCAACTGATGAGACAATTGCGGAGAAAAGACCCAAGGGCTTTCTTTTCATTTCCTGTGACTGATTTTATTGCTCCTGGCTGCTTCATGATCATTAAACACCCAATGGATTTTAATACCATGAAAGAAAAGATCAACAACAATGACTACCAGCACATAGAAGAACTAAAGGATAACTTCAAACTAATGTGTACTAATGCCATGTTTTACAACAAACCAGAGGCCATTTATTATAAAGCTGCCAAAAAGTTACTGCACTCAGGGATGAACATTCTTAGCCAGCAAAGAATTCAGAGCCTGAATTCTGAAGCAGGGCATAGACTTTATGGCAGACTTGCAAAAAAACAAAAACAAAAACAAAAAACAAGAACAACAACAAAAAAACCTTGAAAGCAGAAAGAGAACAGACACTCGCAGAGTGGGGTGGACAGAAGCTGCTGGCCAAGAAAGCTGGAGATGCTGAAGCACAAGCCTTCAAAAGTCCCAGCAAAGACAATAGAAAGACAAAGTTATGCCTGAAAATGAGTTTGAAAGCAATAATTTAGAGAGAGAGCAGAACCAGGTTGAACCGCATCGTTAAGGAATCTGAGGAAAGCTGACCAGGTGGCTTGTTAATAGTGCAAATTTGAAAGAAGAAAACCAGATGGAACAACGACCTTGGGACTTCCCCATCCTGTGGGTCCCATTGTAAGAGTCAGGCGATTGCCCTGTGAGACTGGGAATGACAACTGGAAGACTTCTGTCAGGAGTGAATACTTTGCAGGGGTTCAAAGAGGATAAATGAAACAAAGTAACTCTCGTGTTGTATTTGCACTATGAACCCTACAGTTCTTGTGCACCATATTATGACTCCACATTTGCAAATGTCAGCAAGGATGATTCTGATTTAACCTATTCAAACTATGGGGAAGGCTGATCTTCCAGGTGCTTTCAGCATCCTTAAGGTTTTGGCCACATGCCAAGATCATCCATATGTTAGTTCACTGAATGTTTTAACAAGAGGAGAACATTCCAGGACCCTACAAGAGCTGGAGATGTCATCGCCTGAAGATGAAGGTCGTACTAGGATACTTGTCACAGCAAATGAAATGGAGATTACAGAAATAGAGCCAGCAGTGCGTTTGGACTCCAATACTCAGGACAGGCTCATAGCACTGAAAGCAGTAACAAACTTTGGCACTCCAGTTGAAGTTTTGAACTCTGAAAAAGCTGTCATGTTCAAAAGAAACTTGACAAGACCACCAAATTGTTCAAGGAGCTCCAGGAAGCCCAGAATGAGCTTTTGAGCATCAGACACCCTCCCAATATGATCTGTCTCTTGGGTCCCTCATATGGAGAAATGCGTCTTTCTAAACAAGTGACCAATAATCTTAAAAAATGTGCACAGCATGTAACTCCACGTGATATTGTAAGCATGTATGGAGTTCAAAAAGCAATAGGGTTTCCATTATTTGCCTTATTGTAGAAAACAACTTCATAGATTTAACAGAAGATTTTGAAGAACCTAAAAAGATTGATGTTGCTGAGTGTGGATTCGATGGGATTTGAAGCCAACCGGTATTTGATTATATACTGTGTACACATCTTTTTTCATTCTTAACTTGGAAATGCTTTTCAGAAGATATTAAATATTTGTAAATTATGTTTTTAATTAAACTTTGGAATAATGAATTTTAATGTTCCAGAGTTTTGACTTGTATTGGGTAATAAAGCTGGACCTGGGACTCAAAAAAAGATATGTTCGCCCTCCCTCTCCTCTTTATCCATAATTACAATATTCAATATGGAAAAGAAATTTTAAAAACAAGAAAATAATTCAAGAGAAGTTGTTAAATTTGGAGATCCAATTTCCAAATAGGAGTTTCTAAAAGTGAAAAAACAGACAAAAGGATCAAAACCAATTCTCAGAGAAAACATTATTTTCGAAAAACAAAAAACAGTTACAGAGAGTACCACCAAAGTCCCACACAAAAATCAAGAGCAAAAAGCAACACCATAACATAATTTCATAAAAATTTAAAGCTGTAAGGGAAAAGATAATTCTGCAAGTTTCCGGGCAAAAAAAAGTAGGTTATTTTCATGGAGTAAAATTTCAAACTAGCTTTGACTTTTTCCACAGCAGTGAGCAATGCTGGATGACAATGTGATGACATCTTCTACAGAGGGGAAAAAGTGCAACTCAAGAATAATGAACCACATCATGCCATTTGTATAGGGAAGTAACAGAGAGATACTTGCAGACATGACCAATCTTAAAAAAATGTGGCAGCAGGGGCTTCTTTTGAAAAAATCGCTCACAGCTACAATGTATAGTATGCAAGAATAAAATTAGAGAAAGAAATTTGAATGGATAATGGCTAAAAAATGAACCTGTGAGAATTATTGATACCAACTATTGTTAAAGAAGTAAAAATAACTGTGGAAGAATTACTCCTGATACTGCAGTAATTATTTAAAATAAGACACAGAAAGTATAAAAGAAACATGAAGAGAAAAAAGTGAGAAATATCAAATTTAATTATGAATGAGAAATTGAATGTAGGGAATAGGAGATGCAGACAAAAAAAGTAACATCCTTTGTCTTTCTTGCAGGGAAGTACAGCAGGCTTTTGATTAGGGAAAGAGAGAAATAGAATGCTTATAGAACATTTCAAGATATTTACATGAGGCTTTAAAATAGATTTTTTTGTCTTCTAAAACATTTTAAAAGATAAAGGGAAAGGCTGGGCACAGTGGCTCACGCCTGTAATCCCAGCACTTTGGGAGGCCAAGGTGGGCAGATCACGAGGTCAGGAGATCGAGACCATCCTGGCTAACACGGTGAAACCCCGTCTCTACTAAAAATACAAAAATTAGCCGGGTGTGGTGGTGGGCGCCTGTAATCCCAGCTACTCTGGAAGCTGAGGCAGGAGAATGGTGTGAACCTGGGAGGTGGAGCTTGCAGTGAGCCGAGATCGTGCCACTGCACTCCAGCCTAGGTGACAGAGCGAGACTCCATCTAAAAAAAAAAAAAAAAAAAAAAGATAAAGGGAAAAACATAGTCCATATAACCAGAGACAATAAAGTTGCCTAATATATACTGAAAAAGTTAACACCAAATGTACCAAACACTGGATCTCATATAAATAATGTAAACCCACCATTAAAAGGCAGTTTCTGCCTAAACCAATAAACAAACTTAATACAAGAGATGCCAATTAGGTTAAAGTTATAAAGGTTCTAAAAGGTTAAAGTTAGAAAGGCTCATCCAATATAAGTCATTTAAAAACAGCAAATAAGTAAATAATTATAAAACCAGGACATAAAAGTTGATAAAAATTAGTGTCAAATAAAAGAGTTAGAATAAAAGTTGATTAAGCATGATATAAAGTTTCAATAATACAAACTACCAATATTCAATTTAAATGGAACCATAAAAATGGATATTAGAAATGTGAAATTTTCTATTATGATATGATCTTTCATGTTATCGAGAACTGAATCAAGCACAACTAAAAATCAGTTTTTACTCTCATTTATCTATTATAGACTTTTTGTTGATTCTATAAGCAGGAACTGATTGTATAGCAATATGTATATTCTTGGCTATTAATATTTCTGCAAACTTGCAAACTAACTTAATACTATTGCAAGGATCAGGAGACAGCATACGTAAAGCCTGCAATTGGGTAACATTGACCAGAGATGGTTAATCTTGATATTAACTATTAAAATATCATTGGATAATGATTATAAGACTTTGGTCAACTTGGTAAATATTTTCAAGAATTCTGGTTTAATGTGGCGTGATGGCAAAATGGACTTTATAGCTGGAAACAGCTTTTATGTATAATTATACAGGTACTAATTTTCTCATTTGCATTGATATTAAGGTAATATTGATATCAGTTAATATTAATTGGGAAAACTGCCACTCATATACAGAATTTTTGTAGGGAAAGGGGACAGATAGAAGAGTAATATACCCTCATAGGAACATTTCCCTTCATTTACAGAGATTACCAGAGAATTAGAGACTCTGCAAAAGATTTTGATCCTGCTCTTCAAGTAAAAGACAGCTTTAATTTTAAAGGGTGGACAGCCTGAAAACCATCATTTATCAAACCCTGAGGCATGTTCTGAAAGAAAGAGTGTGAAGAAAGGGAGCTGTCCAGGCTTTGCATGTCAAAGGGCCAAGTCTGTCCTGGGAAGAAGCTGCAGAGCTGATGCTACAATCAGGACGGTGTTTCTGCTTATGAATATTAATTTAGGCACTAAAATCCCTGGGAATTAATGTCTGTCCTTAGGAGGTATGTGTGTGGTCAATAGTTATGTAATGGATAATTAGGATTAATAAGAATACACAGAGGGCCTCACAATGACAGGAGCCTCTAAAAGGATGTGACTGGGAGGTGAATGCTCACCTGCACATTTCTACTAGACTTCCTGTGGAAGCTCTTGTGATTATTTTATATGGAATAATCTGACCTTTGGAAAGTGGACTGTAGGGCTATTACTGTGTCTCTCTGATATGGAAAGGAAAGGAGTTAGACCCTAGAGCCAGTTTTCTAACTAAGACTCAAAATCCAGAGGCAGTAAACAACAAAGAACAACACACCACATACACACACGCGCACACACACACAGAGAAACAAATTAGGATGCCTAGAAAAAATGGTTGGTTCCAGGGATGGGGCAAAAACAATATAAATTGTATTTTTAATTTTTCTTTCTTTTATATTCTGTAAAAGAAAGATTGAGGAATTATTACAAATTGAAGGACACTAAAAAGACAGGTCAACTATGCAATATGTGGTCCTGGATTGGGTCTTGGCTAGAAAAAGGACATCAGTGAAAAACTGGTGAAATTTGAATAAACTATGTTATTTCATTAACAACATTGCATCACTGTCAATTTCTTGGTCTTGATAATCGTGCTATGCTTATGTAAGATATTAACATCAGGGAAAGAAGTGAAGGGCATATGTAAACTCTCTGTACAATTTTTGCATTTTTTTCTGAAAGTTTAAAATCATTTCAAAATAAAAGTTAAAAGAAATCTAAAGGAATAAACTCCTCCTTGAGGTGGCTTTGTGAAACAATATTTGTATATTAAGCACTTACATAAATGGGAAGAACAAGAAATTTAAAACTTTCTAAAAAATTTTTTTTACTTCTTATACTTTAAATATGTGGTTCTGTAAGAAAATTTTTTCTTGGTAAAGCTGTAACAGGAAAAAAGACTTAGTGAGCTTCATTAATAGCCTTGGCTATTACAAGAAGTATCTTATTAAAAACTTTAAAGTTTTAATATCTGCTATATAATGACACAAGAAAAGAGATCACGTAATACTCCTAATTATGGTGTCCCTTTGGAAAAATTATACAGGTTTAATAATTTTGATTTAAAAATAGCTCTATATCTTTCCCCACCTTCTACCATATAAAAATAACATTAGCACAACATTTTGGTTTATGAAAGCCTTGGGTTTACTTTTTCATGAAAAGTTTAATTAATTTGAATTTTCTAAATTTCCTCTACTAGTTTTGAGGTTGAATGAACTAAAATCATTTTAAATTTATAAAATTGTAAAATTATGTGTTCAACTAAATAACTTGATAACATGTAGTCTTTATAAAAATAGGTTAATTTTTATAATTCTACAAAAGACTCAACATATTAACTTAAATTGTATTTTCTAGACCCTTAGTTAAACTTCTAGTACTTGAGATAATATAAATTTGAGTTAACTAATAAATGATCTTTGGACAACATTATTTTAATATATCTGTGTTCTTATTTAATTCTCCACATAGTAGTGATCCATTACCATATTTAAAAAGATGTATAAATGTCTGGGTTAAAAATATATTTTTTATTAATAGACATTTATCACCACAAGTTAGTATTGAAAGTAATCTTTTCTTATATCCTTCCTTTATGTTCCTATCTGGAATGTAAAACAGTCTACCTAACTTGATATGTTTGATATGTGGAGACTGGAATTTGGGAAGACACACAAGCATTTAAAACAGTACATGATGTCAAGAAGTCTGTATTGATTGATCGGAGACATTCAGGAGTAACATTATTTTTCTCTCTATTTTGCTCCATAGAATGTCAAAGAATAGACAAGTCCTCTTTGTGAACATCAAAAGCCTCTTCTGCAAATGGATGATATACACCTTATTGGTGAGGGAGGAAGTTGGTATCTATCTATTCTAACTGGTTTATTGAACATACTGGTGTTTGTGAGGTGCAAGCAGTAGAGAAAAAACACATTATTTGCTCACAACACTAACTTTCTTTCGTGCTACTTTGAATCTCCACTTTCTATGCTTTCATGAAATTGTGGGTAGATCTGATAGCTTTTCTGGTCAATTCCAGTTATTAGTGAATAGTCTCACTTTCTGGTTATTAACGAATTTGGTCCAGTTTCATATCAAAGCTTTAATCTCAACCAATTTAATGCTTCTTCCCAACCCCTGGCTCAGTCCTCACCTAGGCTCAGAAACCTAAAGCCCAGAAAAGATGTCCTGTTTGGCTTCTCACTATTTCTCCCTTAACTCTTTTCCTCTATTTCTGCTATGATTTGAGTGTGCCTCCTCCAAAATTCATGTCAAAACTTAGTATGTCCCCTCTGGAGAACGTAGCAACAAGGTGCCATCTTGGAGGGGAGAGCATCCCCCGACCAGACACCAAACCTGCTGCTGCCTTGATCTTGGACTGCCCCAGTCTCTAGAACTATGAGAAATAAATTTCTGTGGTTTACAAATTATCCGTTCTGTGGCATTTTGTTATAGCACAGAAATGGACTGAGACACTTTCTCCTTTACTCACCTTGTGACCTCCGGTTCCCTGAAGTCTGGCACAGGGGGAGGAAGAGCAGCAAAGGGTGGAAAAGATCTTTAGTGACTGAGACAGTTGTAATCTGGCTTTGATGCCCTCTGCTTGTGGCCAATGTCCAAATGCTTGACTTTTTACGAGAAGATGTTGAGGCTCACGGGAGACATTTACCCAAACTTCCTTACCCAGCCAACATGCCCTCCATTTAAAACTCCATACTCAGACCTTGGCACCCTAGATCCCCCAGCCCAGCACCTCCAGCCTGTTTTTGGAGGGATACTTTTCTTTTTATTATTATTATTCTTATACTTTAAGTTCTAGGGTACATGGGCACAACATGCAGGTTTCTTACCTATGTATACATCTGCCATGTTGGTGTGCTGCACCCATTAACTCATCATTTACATTAGGTATATCTCCTAATGCTATCCCTCCTCTCTCCCCCCACCCCACAACAGGCCCCGGTGTGTGATGTTCCCCATCCTGTGTCCAAATGTTCTCATTTTTCAATTCCCACCTATGAGTGAGAACATGCAGTGTTTGGTTTTCTGTCCTTGCGGTAGTGCTCAGAATGATGGTTTCCAGCTTCATCCATGACCCTGCAAAGGACATGAACTCATCCTTTTTTATGGCTGCATAGCATTCCATGGTGTATATGTGCCCCATTTTCTTAATCCAGTCTATCATTGATGGACATTTGGGTTGGTTCTAAGTCTTTGCTATTGTGAATAGTGCTGCAATAAACATACGTGTGCATGAGTCTTTATAGCAGCATGATTTATAACCCTTTGGGTATATACCCAGTAATGGGATGGCTGGGTCAAATGGTATTTCTAGTTCTAGATCCTTGAGGAATCGCCACACTGACTTCCACAATGGTTGAACTAGTTTACAGTCCCACCAACAGTGTAAAAGTGTTCCTGCTTCTCCACATCCTCTCTAGCACCTGTTGTTTCCTGACTTTTTAATGATCACCATTCTAACTGGTGTGAGATGGTATCTCATAGTGGTTTTGATTTGCATTTCTCTGATGGCCAGTGACGATGAGCCTTTTTTCATGTGTCTGTTGGCTGCGTAAATGTCTTCTTTTGAGAAGCGTCTGTTCGTATCCTTTGCCCACTTTTGATGGGGTTGTTTGATTTTTACTTGTAAATTTGTTTAAGTTCTTCATAGATTCTGGATATTAGCCCTTTGTCAGATGGGTAGGTTACAAAAATTTTCTCCCATTCTGTAGGTTGCTTGTTCACGCTGATGGTAGTTTCTTTTGCTGTGCAGAAGCTCTTTAGCTTAATTAGATCCCATTTGCCTATTTTGGCTTTTGTTGCCATTGCTTTTGGTGTTTTGGACATGAAGTCCTTGCCCATGCCTATGTCCTGAATGGTATTGCCTAGGTTCTCTTCTAGGGATTTTACGGTTTTAGGTCTAACATTTAAGTCTTTAATCCAACTTGAATTAATTTTTGTATAAGGTGTAAGGAAGGGATCTAGTTTCAGCTTTCTACATATGGCTAGCCAGTTTTCCCAGCACCATTTATTAAATAGGGAATCCTTTCCCCATTTCTTGTTTTTGTGAGGTTTGTCAAAGATCAGATGGTTGTAGATGTGTGGTATTATTTCTGAGGGCTCTGTTCTATTCCATTCGTCTATATCTCTGTTTTGGTACCAGTACCATGCTGTTTTGGTTACTGTAGCCTTGTAGTATAGTTTGAAGTCAGGTAGTGTGATGTCTCCAGCTTGGTTCTTTTGGCTTAAGATTGTCTGGGCAATGCGGGGTCCTTTTTGGTTCCATATGAACTTTAAAGTAGTTTTGTCCAATTCTGTGAAGAAAGGCATTGGTAGCTTGATGGGGATGGCATTGAATCTATAAATTACCTTGGGCAGTATGGCCGTTTTACCAATATTGATTCTTCCTATCCATGAGCATGGAATGTTCTTCCATTTGTTTGTGTCCTCTTTTATGTTGTTGAGCAGTGGTTTGTAGTTCTCCTTGAAGAGGTCCTTCACATCCCTTGTAAGTTTTATTCCTAGGTATTTTATTCTCTTTGAAGCAATTGTGAATGGGAGCTCACACATGATTTGGCTCTCTTTGTTATTGGTGTATAGGAATGCTTGTGATTTCTGCACGTTGATTTTGTATCCTGAGACTGCTGAAGTTGCTTATCAGCTTAAGGAGATTTTGGACTGAGATGATGGGGTTTTCTAAATATACAATCATGTCATCTGCAAACAGGGACAATTTGACTTCCTCTTTTCCTAACTGAATACCCTTTATTTCTTTCTCCTGCCTGATTGCCCTGGTCAGAACTTCCAACACTATGTCAAATAGGAGTGGTGAGAGCGGGCATCCCTGTCTTGTGCCAGTTTTCAAAGGGAATGCTTCCAGTTTTTGACCATTCAGTATGATATTGGCTGTGGGTTTGTCATAAATAGCTCATTATATTGAGATACATCCCATCAATACCTAGTTTATTGAGAGTTTTTAGCATGAAGGGCTGTTGAATTTTGTCAAAGGCCTTTTCTGCATCTATTGAGATAATCATGTGGTTTTTTCTTTGGTTCTGTTTATATGCTGGATTACATTTATTGATTTGGGTATGTTGAACCAGCCTTGCATCCCAGGGATGAAGCCCAATTGATCATGCTGGATAAGCTTTTTGATGTGCTGCTGGATTCAGTTTCCCAGTGTTTTATGAGGATTTTTGCATCGGTGTTCATAAGGGATATTGGTTTAAAATCCTCTTTTTTTGTCGTGTCTCTTCCAGGCTTTGGTATCAGGATGACGCTGGCCTCATAAAATGAGTTAGGGAGGATTCCCTCTTTTTCTATTGATTGGAATATTTTCAGAAGGAATGGTACCAGCTCCTCCTTGTACCTCTGGTAGAATTTGGCTGTGACTCTGTCTGGTCCTGGACTTTTTTTGGTTGGTAAGCTATTAATTATTGCCTCAATTTCAGAGCCTGTTATTGGTCTATTCAGGGATTCAACTTCTTCCTGGTTTAGTCTTGGGAGGGTGTATGTGTCCAGGAATTTATCCATTTCTTCTAGATTTTCTATTTATTTGTGTAGAGGTGTTTATAGTATTCTCTGATGGTAGTTTGTATTTCTGTGGGATGGGTGGTGATATCCCCTTTATCATTTTTTATTGTGTCTATTTGATTCTTCTCTCTTTTCTTCTTTATTAGTCTTGCTAGCAGTCTATCTATTTTCTTGATCTTTTCAAAAAACCAGCTCCTCGATTCATTGATCTTTTAAAGGGATTTTTGTGTCCCTATCTCCTTCAGTTCTGCTCTGATCTTAGTTATTTCTTGCCTTCCGCTAGCTTTTGAATGTGTTTGCTCTTGTTTCTCTAGTTCTTTTAATTGTGATGTTAGGGTGTCAATTTTAGATCTTTCCTGCTTTCTCTTGTGGGCATTTAGTGCTATAAATTTCCCTCTACACACTGCTTTAAATGTGTCCCAGAGATTCTAGTATGTTGTGTCTTTGTTCTCACTGGTTTCAATGAACGTCTTTATTTCTGCCTTCATTTCATTATATACCTGGTAGTCATTCAGGAGCAGGTTGCTCAGTTTTCATGTAGTTGAGTGGTTTTGAGTGAGTTTCTTAATCCTGAGTCCTAGTTTGATTGCACTGTGGTCTGAGAGACAGTTTGTTATAATTTCTGTTCTTTTACATTTGCTGAGGAGTGCTTTACTTCCAACTATGTGGTCAATTTTCAAATAAGTGTGATGTGGTGCTGAGAAGAATGTATATTCAGTTGATTTGGGGTGGAGAGCTCTGTAGATGTCTATTAGTTCTACTTGGTGCAGAGCTGAGTTCAATTCCTGGATATCCTTGTTAACTTTCTGTCTCGTTGATCTGTCTAATGTTGACAGTGGGGTGTTAAAGTCTCCCATTATTATTGTGTGGGAGTCTAAGTCTCTCTGTAGGTCTCTAAGGACTTGCTTTATGAATCTGGGTGCTCCTGTATTGGGTGCATATATATTTAGGATAGTTAGCTCTTCTTGTTGAATTGATCCCTTTACCATTATGTCATGGCCTTCTTTGTCTCTTCTGATCTTTGTTGGTTTAATGTCTGTTTTATCAGAGACTAGGATTGCAACCCCTGCTTTTTTTTGTTTTCCATTTGCTTAGTAGATCTTCCTCCATCCCTTTATTTTGGGCCTATGTGTGTCTCTGCACATGAGATGGGTCTCCTGAATACAGCACACTGATGGGTCTTGACTGTATCCAATTTGCCAGTCTGTGTCTTTTTATTGGAGCATTTAGCCCATTTACATTTAAGGTTAATATTGTTATGTGTGAATTTGATCCTGTCATTATGATGTTAGCTGGTTATTTTGCTCGTTAGTTGATGCAATTTCTTCCTAGCATCGATGGTCTTTACAATTTGGAATGTTTATGCAGTGGCTGCTACCAGTTTTTCCTTTCCATGTTTGGTGCTTCCTTCAGGAGCTCTTGTAAGGCAGGCCTGGTGGTGACAAAATCTCTCAGCATTTGCTTGTCTGTAAAGTATTTTATTTCTCCTTCACTTTTGAAGCTTAGTTTAGCTGGATACAAAATTCTGGGTTGAAAATTCTTTTCTTTAAGCATGTTGAATATTGGACCCCACTCTCTTCTTGCTTGTAGAGTTTCCACCGAGGGATCAGCTGTTAGTCCGATGGGCTTCCCTTTGTGGGTAACTCGACCTTTCTCTTTGGCTGCCCTTCACATTTTTTCCTTCATTTCAACTTTGGTGAATCTGACAATTATGTGTCTTGGAGTTGCTCTTCTCCAGGAGTATCTTTTTGGCATTCTCTGTATTTCCTGAATTTGAATGTTGGCCTGCCTTGCGAGGTTCGGGAAGTTCTCCTGGATAATATTCTGAAGAGTGTTTTCCAACTTGGTTCCATTCTCCCCGTCACCTTCAGGTACAGCAATCAGACATAGATTTGGTCTTTTCACATAGTCCCATATTTCTTGGAGGGTTTGTTCATTTCTTCCTACTCTTTTTTTACTAAACTTCTCTTCCTGCTTCATTTCATTCATTTGATCTTCAATCACTGAAACCCTTTCTTCCAGTTGATTGAATCGGCTACTGAAGCTTGTGCATGCCTCACACACTTCTCATGCCATGGTTTTCAGCTCCATCAGGTCTTTTAAGGTCTTCTCTATGCACTTTATTCTAGTTAGCCATTCATCTAATCTGTTTTCAGGGTTTTTAGCTTCTTTGCGTTGGGTTCAAACATCCTCATTTAGCTCGGAGAAGTTTGTTATTACCGATCTTCTAAAGCCTTCTTCTCTCAACTCGTCAAAGTCATTATCCATCCAGCTTTGTTCCATGCTGGAGAGGAGCTGCGTTCCTTTGGAGGGGAAGAGGCACTCTGATTTTTAGAATTTTCAGCTTTTCTGCTCTGGTTTCTCCCCATTTTGTGGTTTTATCTAGCTTTGGTCTTTGATGATGGTGATGTACAGATGGGGTTTTGGTGTGGATGTCCTTTCTGTTGGTTTGTTTTCCTTCTAACAGTCAGGACCCTCAGCTGCAGGTCTGTTGGAGTTTGCTGGAGGTCCACTCCAGACCCCGTTTGCCTGGGTATCACCAGCGGAGGCTGCACAACAGCAAATATTGCAGAACAGCAAATGTTGCTGTCTGATCATTCCTCTGGAAGCTTTGTCTCAGAGGGGCACCTGGCTGTATGAGGTGTCAGTCAGCCCCTACTGGGAGGTGACTTCCAGTTAGGCTACTTGGGGTCAGGGACCCACTGGAGGAGGCAGTCTGTCCATTCTCAGATCTTGAACTCCGTGCTGGGAGAACCACTACTCTCTTCAAAGCTGTCAGACAGGGACGTTTAAGTCTGCAGAAGTTTCTGCTGCCTTTTGTTCAGCTATACCCTGCCCCAGAGGTGGAGTCTACAGAGGCAGGTAGGCCTCATTGAGCTGCAGTGGGCTCCACTTGGAGAGATACTTTTCAATTCCAGTTCCGTTCCACAAGGACCACCTCAGACCACAGGAACACTCATCCCATCGCTGGAGGAGGTAAGGCTGCACCCATGCATATTAAAACTATACCCAAGGGATTCTATTTAATGGAGGTGACCGATTGATGGCACAGGAAGAAATTGATGCCACTGAAAGAAGAATTTATTATGTATATTTCCTAAAAGAAGGAGACATGTCACACCACCAAGACCACAGGGGAAATACCAGGTTTGGACAGGCAGAAGCAAGAGTGAGGGGAAGGCCTAGGCCACAGCCTTTGTTGAAGTTTCCATGGGAAAAGCAAGAAGGGCAGAGTAAGCACTTTAGGATTGGCTATTTGAATAATTCCAGAGGGCTTTGAGGCATAGGGGTTGTCTCTAGTTGCCTGGTACCTGGCCTGGGATGATTTAGGGCAGGAGGGTGGCTTAGCTTGGTATGTGAATTAGATACGGAGGTGGTTGGGGCTATAGACTTAGGATTTGTTGGTTTGCAATGAAAGATGTGCTTGTAGGCAAGTTGTTATTATCTTTAGGAATTAGCAAGCCCTGGGAGGCAGTTCTCTCACTGGGTCTATAAGGCCTGCAAATACTAGAGCATTAAAAATACAGAATATAAGGAAAATCTTATTAGTATAATTGGACCTGTAGTGCCAAATAGGCCAACACAGAATCTAAAAAAAAACACAGAACACCATGGCAGCCTCTTCTCACTCTGCTCACAGAGGGAACTTTGTCACAGACTGTGGCCTTTAGACTGCTTTCCTGGTAGTGACTCAAATACTAGTTTCTGTATCCCAAAATTTCAAGGGAAACATGACAACTTCTCTGGGTGACTCTTAAGAACCAGCATCGGGAGATATACCTAATGCTAGATGACGAGTTAGTGGGTGCAGCGCACCAGCATGGCACATGTATATATATGTAACTAACCTGCACAATGTGCACATGTACCCTAAAACTTAAAGTATAATAATAAAAAAAAGAACCCCCTCATTTGGCTTAACCTAAGAGGAAAACAAGCTCTAAAAAGGAGAAATAGTACATGGCTCTGACAACTCTCCAGTCTCTCATGCTCTAGAGAAACGCTGTCTCCTAATATTCTACCTCTCCATGAACTCTTAGTCTTCTCTTATGTAACCTGGAGGCAGAGGAGAGGCTAAAGGTGGAAAGAAAACAGGTATTAATGTCTCTTTGCATGTCCCAAATAGCTGATTCATCACTTAGAGTTTGGTCTTTGAGGCCTTTGCTGAAAATCTAAGACAGGAAAAGTAACATCTAATATCCTATTATGTCATCAGAATTTAAAAATGCACATTTCTTTGGGCACAGCAATTCTTCTTCTCTGCATTTGTCTTACAGATACAAACATACATATACAGAAAGACATATGTACACAGATATTCATTGCAACTGTATTTGTAAAAGCAAGAGTTTGAAAACAATATGAATGTCTCTTGATAGGGGATGTATTTTGGCACATCCATTCAATAAAATACCATGTAGGCATAAAAAGAAAGAGGCAGCTTTAATTTACTGATATAGTATAATTTCCAAGATAGATCTTTAAGTGGAAAAAGCAAGGCACTAACATGCAAAAATGTACCCAATAAACAGTCTATGTGTAAGAGTCTTTGTTAGTAAATGCACAAAATATCTTTGGAAAAATAAATTAAAATTTGGTGACAGAGTTTGTCACTAAGAGGAAAAACTAGGGAGTGGGTGGAAAGGAGACATATTTTTCACTGTATATGCTTTGTTATGTTTTGAATTTTTTTACCATGTACATCTATTAATCTTCCAAAATGCAAATTAATAGCTTTCCCTTCTGTACCCTGCCTAGCTATCCCTTGTAAGGTTCTGCACTCTATTTAGGAACAGAGGTTTTCCTTGTGATTTCTGTCTATTTTCCTACCCTAGTTACCAGGGCTGATTAATGTAGAAGGAAGTCCCAAAGTCCATTTTTTCCTTCTACCAAAAAGCCTAGGTTTTAGGACAACTAGAATTACCCAGCTGGTGGGTACCCCTGGTGCCTTCCATAGTTCTACAAAACTGTGTACCCCTAAATTGCCCTCCCCCACAAGACCTATCATTCCAGAAGGCAAAGAGAAGGAAAAAAAATGGAGAAAGCTCTTGTAATTGGTTTTAAGAATTTACAAACTTTCTGGCTCCAGACCTGGGTTATTGTCCATTGGTGACTTTACTGTAGGTTCTTGCTATTAGGATACTCTTCTCCTCCTTTCTTCAGAAAGAAAGTCAATGGGTGGGGAAACAGAATATGATACCAACCCTTGGTTCTTTTTCTATCTCTGCTTTGAGTTAGCTGTGAGACCTCGTCAGTAGTAGTTATAATATAATAGCACATTGGCACTGAAGCTCACCCTGGCTCAACATGCCATGTATCCTATGTGCATTACTCACCCAATCCTCCCAGTGACCCCATGAAATAGTGACCATTATTAATTCGGTTTTATAGATAAATTAACTCTCTCACCCAAGGCCATACAGCAGAGCTAGGACTCTCATCCCTGACTGCAGAATATCTGGGATAATTTGCCCAACTCTCTTATATTCTCATCCCTTATTCATAAGATACAGAGATGAAACAAAGCTTCCATGGCCCTTCCCAGCTCAAGTTATGGCAAGACTGTAATGCTATGACTGCCTAGAGCCTGGACTTTGTCTCCCTTCTCTGTCACCTGAAGCCTCCCAAATATTAGATCTGAGGCTTTTCTGCTCAGCCCAGAAACGCTAATGGCTTAGCCCAAGACTTCATGGCTCTGCCACTTCCTTCTGTGCTTCTAATTTGGAAATCCTGGAACCCAAATCAGCTTGCTTGTCAACAGTGATCAACAATCCTTTCAAGTGTCTTGGTAAACATCTCTTCCCTTTCCCCACAAAGGCCGAGGCACAACTTCACACTCTCCTCACATCCTTCACTCACCCCATCCCATGGCCCCCACCCTTTCTGAGACCTAGGTTCATGGAGATATATGAGAGGTCTTCAGAAATTTCATGGAAAATGAGTATTATGAAAACACTATGCATAGATTTCAAAAATTTTTTGTACCAAAATAAACTAAGTTGTTTTAACATATCTTAACCGGATCTAGTTTGAGGTACTAAAAAACATAAGACATTAGTTTGAGAAGAGCCCCCATCAGAGCAACATGAATGCTGTTAAAATTAAAGCAAAAACAAACCTCAAATTTATGGTGAAGCTTGTGTGGAAGAATGACAATTTATGAAAACTTTATAGGGAAAATGCCTCAAGGAAATTAGCAGTTTACAAATGGATAACCTGTTTTAAGAAGAGGCAAGAGGATGTTGAAAATGAAGGCCACAGTGGCAGACCATCCACATCAATTAGTGAGGAAAAAATTAATCTTGTTCATGCCCTAATTGAAGAAGACTGATGATTAACAGTAGAAAAAATAGCCAACACTATAGGCATCTCAATCAGTTCAGCTAACACAGTTCTGACTGAAAAGTTAAAATTGAGCAAACTTTCTACTTGATAGGTACCAAAACTGTTGTGCCCATATCAGCTACAAATAAGAGCAGAACTTTCAGTGGAAATTATCCAAGTGAGATCAAGTGAGGTCAAGATCCTGAGACATTTATTCAAAGAATTGTAACAGGAGATGAAGCATGGCTTTCCTAGTACTGTCTTGAAGACAAAGCACAATCAAAGCAATGGCTACCAAGAGGAGGAAGTGGTCCAGTCAAAGCAAAAGTGGACCAGTCAAGAATAAAGGTCATGGCAACAATTTTTTGGTATGCACAAGGCATTTTGCTTGTTGACTTTGTGTAGGACCAAAAAACAATAACACCTGCTTTTTATGGGAGTATTTTGAGAAAGTTAGCCAAGTTTTAGCAGAATAATAACCAGGAAAGCTTCATCAGAGTCCTTCTCCAACATAACAATGCTCCTGATTATTCCGCTCATCAAACAAGGGCAATTTTGCAAGACTTTCAATGGGAAATCATTAGGCACCCAGCTTACAGTACTGATTTGGCTCCTTCTGACTTATTTTTGTTTCCCAATCTTAAAATCTTTAAAGGGCATCAATTTTTCTTCAGCTGATAGTGTAAAAGACTGTATTGACATGGTTAAATTCCCAGGACTTTTGCTTCTTTAGAGATGGACTACATGACTGATATCATTGCTTACAAAAAATGTCTTGAACCTGATGGAGCTTATGTCAAGAAATAAAGTTTTAATTTTTTATTGTTATCTTTTTTGGAATTTTTGATATATATATATTTTAATCTTCTAATCCCTTTTTTTCCACAAGCTTTTTGAAGTCTCCTCATATGAGGCAATGCCGTGTAAAGTGCTTCAAGTTTCTCTTCCTTTCAATCTTCTCTGTGAACTTCTGTGATTCCCAAGGCAGAATCAGGTGCTCCTTCCTCTATCACATGTGGCCCCTCTTCATTTGTAAGGAAGACTCTAGGGATCTTTTATATCATAGTATTATTACTTATCATTGTATTATAACTGTTTGTCTTCACCAGATTATGAAATTGAGGGTCATGTTTATCAAACACAGGGTCATGTTTATTTTTCTAGCTCCAGCAAATTACCACAGAGCCTGACACACACACCACAGTCTCCATGAATATGGCAAAGTTTTTGCAGGATAAAAACTTAATATTATATGCATTTTAGAAAGATCATTCTGACAGCAACATGGAGGATGAACTGAGAGGAGTGAGATGTCAGACAGGGAGAACAGTTAAGAGGCCATAACCCAGGCCCCAAATAGCTGGGATCTGAATCAGGGTAGGGGGAGCAGAAGGTAGATACAATTGGGCAATTCTTGGAACCAATTTGATATTGAGGGTGAGGGAGGTGGAGCTTTATATATTGTAGTTCCTGGTTTGGGCAAATGGATGGATGCTGTTGCCACTGATTGAGATAAGAAATCGTTAATTGACAATAAAATATCAAGCTCCATTTTAGTCAGGTTGATTTTGAGGTAAATTTTTCAGTAGATAGTTGGCTATTTGGATTTAAAATATAGAGGAGAGGTTTGGGTTAACAATATATTTGGAATGCACCAGGATCTACAAAAATCATACCCTTAAGAATTTCAAGACAGAAGAAAACAAAATTATTAGTAAGAGATGACATTATTTGATGAAAAAATATATATATGCCCTTAGGAAACATAGTTTTCTGTGTTGCCCTTTCCTTCTTTATTGAACTGTCTTCCATTTCTACAGGAGTACAGCATAAACCATCTAAACACTATGGGAAATGGTTGTCTTCTATGAAGTATGTTTTCAAGGACCCACATTGCAATTCCCTTAGCTGGATAGGGGATGCCAAACGGCAACCCAGAGCCCTGATGAATAGGGCACTTCCTACTAGAGATTCAAAGAATCTTTCTCACAAAAAGGAAAGAAACCAGATTCTATTAACCAAGTTGAGCCCTGACACTGAAGGGATTTTTCTGTCTATAAAGGTGAAGAAAAAGAAAGAATATTTTAAATAATTCTTAAGAGGTGGTGTGGTTACTTTTTTTTTTTTTTTTAGGTTTTTAGGAGTCTTGCTCTTGTTGCCCAGGCTGGAGTGCAGTGGCATCATCTTGGCTCATTGCAACATCCACCTCCCAGGCTCAAGCAATTTCCTGCCTCAGCCTCCCAAGTAGCTGGGATTACAAGTGCCTGCCATCATGCCCAGCTAATTTTTGTATTTTTAGTAAAGGCAGTGTTTTACCATGTTGGCCAGGCTGGTCTTGAACTCCGGAACTCAGGTGATCCGCCTTGGCCTCCCAAAGTGCTGGGATTACAGGTGTGAGCCACCATGTCCAGCCGATTACTTTGTAATAATAACACAAGATAGCAGCCAGCAGGTTATCCCATAGAGTTTGTGTATCTGGACTGCTGCAGGCTTTTTAATTTACTCAAATAATTTAAATTTCAGTCCTAGTAAATCTAAAATTAGGTTTATCATTCAAAAGTTGCTGGAATGAATGTTTCCATCAGCTAGTGAGATCTTTGTTCTGGTGCAGGACAGCCCAGAGTATTTGCTTCTGGTCACAATGGACCATCAAAGAAAATGTCCATGACCTACAAACATTTTCTTGCATGTGCAGACAAGAATACTTGAATTTCCAGAATCCAAAGATAAAGGAGTAAAACAAACAGCAAGGCACATAAGCATTTGCATTTTTACACTAAAATCTATTTATCTCTCTATCCTTAACAAATGGAAGTCATCAGTTAGGAAGAAAAGAATCCTAAATAGCTAAGAACACTAATAAAATTGCAGAATTTTGAAGAACAAAGAAATGATGAATTATGGACTCTTTTTGTCATGAATCACGGATAAACTGCTAAAAATTAAATAATTTCTTAGAGCTGTTTGTAAAAATTTGGGGACAAAGCCTAAGAAGTATTTATTTAGAAACTTTAAACAGCTGGCCAACAGGCATCACCTGAATTTTATTACTACAATGTCAGTAGACAAAGCAACCAAACTGAGAATAAAGGAGAATCTGATACACCAACAGATGATGATTTTGGTGGAAAGCAAAATGCAACAACAAATGGATATTGTTAAATTACTGGGAGAGGAAATTTCCGAAGCAGATCATTTCACTAGTGGTTCAGAACAGAATAAACAACAATGCCTTGAAAGAAATTGCAAATATTGTGCTTTGGACAAATGCTTAAATTGCACTCCAAGAAATAAAGGCTTTAGGATAATTTCTATTTCTTTTAAGTTGCAAGCCTCTCTTAAGGCCTTATGGAGAACCTTCATGAACTGTTGGTGTAAGCTGATGTCCATGGCATGTGGGTACACAACCAGTCGGTGATACCTTATTGAGATATTTTACTACCAAAACATTTATCCCTCTAAAACAGTGACCCCCCACCTTTCTGGCACCAGGGACCAGTTTCATGGAAGACAATTTTTCCACGGACTGGGGAGGCGGCGGGGGGATGGTTTCCGGATGAAACTGTTCCACCTCAGATCATCAGGCATTAGTTAGATTCTCATAAGGTGTGTGCAGCCTAGATCCCTCGCATGCGCAGTTCACAATAGGGTTTGCACTCCTATGAGAATGTAATGCCCCTGCTGATCTGACAGGAGGCAGAGCTCAGGCGGTAATGCTGCAATGCTTGCTTGCCTGTTAGTCACCTCCTGCTATGTGGCCCGGTTCCTAACAGGCATTAGACCAGTACAGGTCCTTGGCCTGGGGGTTGGCAACCCCGTGCTCTAAAAGGCTAACATGGTCTCCATCTTGTTACATTTTGTAGACACAGAAAACTTTTTTGGTATGTTTGTTTAATTTTACAAAAAAAAAAAAGGGATAAAACTAAACATGTTATTTTGCAACTCATTTACATAGTTTTCTGTTCTACAGATACCTTGAGTTGCTAAACCTTTCATCCATTGTTAGATTTTCAGGTTGTTTCTATATATATATTTGCACATTTCTATAGGATAAATTCTGAAAAGAGAGGTTGCCGACATCAATATGTTAGTCATATAAGTTTTGGCACAAAATAATTGAGTAATATTTGCTTTAAATACTTTAAAGATTTTGGATTTGAAATACTCTTTATTTATAAAAAAATCTGTGTTGTTATAAACACAAGTAGTTTTATTTCATTCCTACACTCTGGCTTCGATTAATAAAGAATTATATAAACTTTCTAATTATGTGCTCAGAAATATATAAAATATAAATTTTGATTTTATTTTTCTTTAAGAAGTATAAAAACAAGACTACTAAAATAGTGATGTAGATATGATTTGTCATTTGGTATTGTGCTTTTAGTCTGTTACTTTTTGTGTTTAAATATGAAAGGGAGAAATAATAGGTTTAATTACAGAAGCATTATATTAAATAATTCTCCAATGAAGAGTTATAATAAACTCTAATCATATTTCTGAATTAAAAATCTTAAACATTTTTTCTCCAACTTTAATTTGCAGAAGCAGTAACAGGTGATTCAAAAATAAGTAAATACATTCAGAAGAGATACAGATCCAGAGCTGCAGGCATTTCATGTTTAAACAAAAACTAACAATACTATTGGCTGTTTCTCATCAATAATAATGAAATTACTTTCTGTAATTAAAATGTTACCCTATAGTAAATTTGAAAAATGCCTCTATTTGTGGTTATAAAAAGATAATTTTTCTAATATACTTGAAAGCAGATTCTGAAGAAATTATGTGAGGTGGTAGGCATGTGAATGTTACAGGCAGAGTAAAAATATTCACTTGCTTAAATTAATCTTTCCTTGTACAGTAAATGTATATGTGAAATCAAGTTATTTCATTTACAGATCTCAATAAGTAAGATAGAAGGTTGAACTTTTAAATGGAAGAAATCTCATAGTAAAAGTTTTACTTTTAAAATATTCAAAACTCATGCATGCCAAAAACCATAAATAATAAAATAGTATGATATTCGTGTAGAAATAGAAAAGTTGAACCATCAGAACAGATGAGAGAGTCTAGAAACAAACCCTGTGTATATGTGAATCCAATACATTATTAAGGTGGCATTTAAATCAATGAGGAAAGAATGGATTATTTATTTGGGGAAACTGACCACTGAATGGGCAATCAATAAAATTAGGTCTTTACCTCACATCATACGCACAAATAACTTTAAATGGATTAAATATTTAAATATAAAAAAATCAGAGTGGTAGGTCAAAGCATAGGAAAGCATTTCTATAATCATGAAACAGGCAAACAATTTCTTTTTTTCTTAACTTTTAGCTTAAGTTCAGGGGTCCATGTGCAGGTTTGTTGTATGGAGAAACTCATGTCACAGGGGTTTGTTGTACAGATTATTTTTTTCACCCAGGTACAAAACCTAGTACCCAATAGCTATTTTTTCTCATCCTCTCCCTCATCCCACCCTCCATTTTCCAGCAGGCCCCAGGGTCTCTTGTTCCCCTCTTTGTATTCATGTGTTCTCATCATTTAGCTCCCACTTATAAGTGAGAACATGTGGTATTTGGTTTTCTGTTCCTACATTAGTTTGCTAAGGATAATGGCCTCCAGCTCAATCTAGGTTTCTCCAAAGGACATAAACTTGTTCTTTTTTATGATTGCATTGTATTCCATGGTGTATATGTACCATATCTTCTTTATCCAGTCTACCATTGATGGGCATTTGGTCGATTCCATGTCTTTGCTATTGTGAATAGTGTCAGGCAAGGAATGTCTAACTTAAGCCCCCAAAACCACAAACAAAAGATCTATCGATTTGATTATAATCAAACTTAAAATTTTAGCATAGCAGAAAATACACAGGTGAAGTAAAAAGACAAATCACCAACTTGTAACAACGTGTTAGCTACTATTTCCACATAGGGAAGTCAAAGCCTACTCTCATTAGTGCTTACAGCAAGCTACAAGGAGACATGCCAACTCATTCCAGATTCTATGCCACACATATTTACAGGGTGTGTGTTAGGTGCCAGCCATGCTCCAAGGCACTAATGATACACACCTTGTTAAGACATTGAGCTTTATGGTGAGAGCAGGAGGGCATTGTTAAAGCGCTTTAAGGAGTTCAGAAAAGTTCATGCTCAGATTTAAATTTTAGTTATTTTATTTTATTTTAATGAGATTGCGTTTCACTCTGTCGCCAAGGCTGGAGTACAGTGGCGCGATCTCAGCTCATTGCAACCTCAGCTTCCCAGGTTCAAGCAATTCTCATGCCTCAGCCTCCCTAGTAGCTGGGATTACAGGCACACACCACTAGGCCTGGCTAATTTTTGTATTTTTAGCAGATATGGTGTTTCACCATGTTGCTCAGGCTGGTCTCGAACTCCTGGGCTCAAACGAGCCACCCGCCTTGGCCTCCCAAAGTACTGGGATTACAGGTGTGAGTCACCATGTCCGGCCCAGATTTGAATTTTAGAACAGTTGTGCTGGCTGTGGAGCAGAGAACCATTTGGAGGGGTGGTTGGGTAAGCAGATTTGAAGGGAGAAAAACCAGGTGGGATGCTGTGGCAATAACCCTGGTGGAGATGACAGTGACCTGATCTAATTACGGGATGTGAGGATGGTGAGAGAAAGTAGACTAGACAAGACTTTGTGAATTGCATATGGGGGTCGAAGTAGATGCAGAAATAAAATACCATGCACACGTTTCTACCTTGAGCAACTGTGAGAAAATGGTGCCATTTCACTAAAATAAGGAGGCCAGGCGGAGGAGAGGAGCATAGAGGGAATAGGACATCAGGTGTTGCCATGTTGAGTTGTCAATGCCACGAAACATCCAAGTGGAGAAGTCCAGAGCATAGCTGGATGTGCAGTTTAGTAGAACAATCTGAGCTGGAGAGCTGTGTATCCCAAGTGCCTCAGGCTGCAGCATCCAAGGAGAATAGGTTTAGTCCTATTACTATTATTTCCCAAGTTTCATGTGTTCAGGCATAACATCTATATGATTATAGAAAGTCTAGTCTGCTGTACCAGCTCTCTCTCCAAGACTCCTCCTAGAATACTTATAAATGTCCAGGAATGGAATCTATCCTTTCCTTTTTAGGTTAGAACGGTTCCTGTCACTCTTACCATACATATGTTTGGCTGAGCTGGGAAAGTACAACATGAAATGCTGGTGAAACTGGGAGCACGAGGGCCATACCACTCCACTGGTCACACTCAGCCTGTGACGGGGTATTTGAGCATGTCTGTGTCAGTGTCCACAGCCCCTCTCCTGTAGCATACACTCTGGGAAGGTGATCAGATTCCGATGAGTTTCCATGTCACCTGCTGCCCTCCTCCTCCTAGACCCAGCCCTGCCCTCTGATATTAGTCACCAATGCTGATCCTAGTTCTTTTTGCCTCTGGCCCTTACGTTGAACTCTCTTCAGGGTTCCTTGATGTCTGTCCCAGCAACCTCCCTCCTCCAAGTCTTCCTCAGCCATCAGACATTTTTTATATATCTGAAGTGCAGGGACCTTTCAGCCCTTGTGGAAATAAGTAGCTGTGGATAGGTAGGGGGAGAAATGTCATTTGATCTCCTTCACCTGACTCTAGTTGTTGCTGGAACAGGACTTTGTTGTATATTCAATCCTGTAATGCCCTTGTCTAAGATGAAGCCCCAAAAGTCTCATTCAAGACCTTCTACATTCTGGCAGGGGTCTATCTTTACAAACTTCCATCAACACCAGATCACATCATCTTCCACTCTGTTGATGTGTCTGGTTATGGGAGTCCTCATCCTGCCACATCTGTTCCTCTGAGTCTTATCTGCCTCTCAGGGACTGTCTAGATGCTATGGCAGACAGCCATATGAAAAATCAAACTCTCTCATTCCAGAGACCCATCGCACTTTGAACTTTTGGTATAACCCTCTTCATTTATTCTTGCCACAAATATTCATGGAACAAAATTACTGAAAGGCAATATGAGTAATGGTGAGGAGCACTGGAGTAACACTGTCTGGATCTATCCTAGATTTGCCACTGACTAGTTGTATAAGCTCTGGCAAGTTACTTCATCTTTCTGTGCTTCGGTTTCCTGCTATATAAAAATAGCGATAATGATAGCACCTCCCTCTTAGGGTTATTAGATAATGAAGTAGATTTATTCATGCAAAGCACTTAGAATAGTGCCTGCACAAGTAAGTGCTCAATAGGTCTTGGTTATTGTTATATATTTTATTTTTAAAATATAGTAGAGCAACAGAGCTGCTTTTCGGTCAGCTTCTCTAGATCAGCATATAGGACAAATACAAAGCTTACCATCTGCCTCTGATCATACTGAACCTGACAAGTGTTCTTGAAGAATGCTTTGCCTTCACTTTTAACAATCTTTATCCAGCAGTGAATTGACCCAGAATACATGCTCTGAATACTCTTTTTGTTCTGACTGCATTGGCTTTTGCTGGCTTCAATTCTCATTGAATGATAATTATTTAGTACCCGCTATATGCTGGGGCTATGTTAGGATTAGATAAGCCATCATAAGGAAAACATATGTGATCCTGTCATCAATGCAATTTAAAGGTATATGGGCATTAAATAAATATAAAGATAAATGCCCAAATAAACATATGATACAAAACTGTGGTAAGTGCTGTGAAGAAAGGAAGAGTAAAAAGGAAACAAAACAAGAAGCACCTAATTTACATTGGGAGGTCAGTGGCATCCATTGAAAGAAGTGATGTTTAATCAGTTAGCTTGGAATAGCCACGTGAAGAGAGAAAGGAAGACCTCAGGTGTGCACAAAGGCAGGAAGGAAAGGAAGAGCTTGTTGAGATGAGGGAGATGGAAGGAGAGTACCGTGACCTCAGCCCAGGAAATGAGATGAGATAGGAAAGAGAGGCAGGACCTGGTCACCTGGGGGTTCTTAGGCCACACTAGGTATCAGAAATTCTATTCCAAGAGTACTGGGAAGCCACTAAAGGGTTTTATGCAGTGGAGTGACGAATAATTGAATTTATGTCTTTAAGACATTGCACTGGCTGCAGCGTGAGTGTGGATTGGAAAGCAGTGAAAAGGGAGGAATAATAAGCTCCCTACAACGCCAGACATGACTCCCAAAACTTAGTAGTAAGCAAAAACACCAAGTCACAGGAGAATGCATTCTCATTGATTCACATAAAGGTCAAAAAACAGGCAAAACCAAGCAAAACATTAAGAATCTCTGTGTGTGTGTGTGTGTGTGTGTATTTATTAGATAAAGAAATATAAACAAACACAAAGAAACACTAATCCCCAAATTCATGAGAGTGGTTACTCCTGGGGGGCACAGCAGAGTCTCTAGTTTGAAAAGTTGCACATGGGAGACTTCAAAAGTGATTCGAAATTTTCTATTTCTTAAGCTGAGTGGTGGGTACATGAATATTTATTCTTTAAAATGTTCATTTGCATAATATATACTCTTCTCTATGTATGCTATACACCATAATAAACATTTAGATTACCAAGCTCAAAAATTCATAAAATATTAAAATATGAAAAAGTTGGGGGGCAGATGCCTATGGGTGTATATTATATTATTCTTTATATTTTTCCAAAAATAAAAATAAATAGCAAAGGGAAAATAGATCCAAGGAGGGAGGAAGAAGGAGGAAAGCAGCAGGGCCTCCAAGCTGGGTGATTCCAAGGGCACCTTCTTAGTGTAAACTATCACTTGTAGTGATGTGCCCCAGGGGGTGCACGTACCTAGGCTGCGACATACACGTTGCCTCCTGAGGCCCCGCAGTGCCATGGCCTGGACACCAGCGGGGAAGCTCCTGCAAAAGTCCAGGCTATAGATAACTATGACTTGGACTAAGATAGTGGCAGTGGGGTTAGAGAAAAATAGACATATTCAAGCTATATTTAGGAGATAGAAGAGAGGTCTTGGTAATAGATTGGATGTCTCGCTGTATCAAAGAGATGGGCGGTACCGCTTCCCCCATGTCATTTGGCTTTTCGCAAAATCCTATGCCAAGAGCTGGGCGTCTGCTAGGTCACAGATGCCTCACAGACACTGATCATGCCTCACTGGGAGATTTCAAAACTTTAATTCTGTCAGGTTTGGCAGTTTTTCCAATGTCACCCCAAAGAACTTTAAATTCTGCTTTCATGCCAGATTTCCCAGCAGCGACTGCCAAACAGCTGCAGAGGGAGCCTGAAACAGAGAAGGGGCTCCTCTGGCCCCCCAGAAGCTAGGCTGATTTCGGAATGCCTCTAGAATCCAGCGTGCTTGCCCATCACTCATAAACTGTGAGTGTAAACCGCAGTTAAGCTCATATGCTTCAGTTCCTAAATTACAGTTGCACTTGGGGGAAATAGCTGCTGGTATTTATCACAGTGCCCTCCCCCTAGAAAGTGGCCCACACAGTCAGTTATTACTTGGTCCTGCTCCTCAACCCGGAGCAGCCTGGGTTATCACTTGGCCAAGCAGTTATTACGTGGCCAGCCTTCCTGATGCACCTGCGTCAGCAACCTGCAAAGGAGCCACCTGCTGTGCCCTGGTTATGGAGGAAGCAGAGTCCAGTGTCCCTTCTCACCAGCACAGCCTGCCCTCGAGGTATAGACATTCATGTGGTGATTGAAAAGAAGTTTATTTGGCATTGTACTCTAAGCTCATCTCATCTGGGCTGGACTGTGCAGTTCTGAATTATGTTCCTCCACCTCTAGGGCACTGTGATGTGGCTTGTAAGAACTCAGGACATCCCTGTGTTATCTGACAGAACAATAGAATGTGTGAAAGCGCCCCAATCATCTCTCCTTCTTTCAATCAAAAAGTACTTATTGAGGGCTTGTCTGATGTGAGGCACTGGGTCAGACTCGGTACAAAAAATGAATAAGGCAGTCAAAATGCTAGCTGTGAAGGCATTCATATCCACTTGTACTTTGCAAATGTGCTTCGAGTGTTTGGGGAGCTAATGTGAATCATCACTGGCTTTCCTACTCATGCACTAAATTTTTCTACCTTCCTTAAAACTTTTACTTGTGTTACAGCCTTTAATCCATTTTACTGGGAGGGTTTCTATTCAATTGGTCATTATTTTTAGCAATGGGATATTACTAAGCTGATTTTCCAAAACCAATTTGCTATTTTCTGTCCGTAAGGTATTTCTACTAGAAGCATTTTAAAGCCTATGGTCCTAAGCTGATGCTAATGATCTGATGGTATTTCTTCTGCCTTATCTTACCAAGGGTCAAAGGAATATTAATGATGTGTGTGCTTGGGGTCCTTAGGCAACTGATGAGCGGGAGACTGAGTGTGAAACACCACAGCAGCCAGAGTCCATTCAATATACCCACATGTAGTGAGCAACCTTTAGTGAGGAACATTATTATTTATATTAACACTCATACTGAAGCCTGACAAAGAAAACAAATGAAAAGAATATTATACACAAATTTCAGTAGTGAATATAGCTTGAAAAAGTAAAATGTCAGTACGACTACATTCAACAGTATGTTAAAGAATAATATATGACAAAGGAGTTTTTATTTCTGAAAGGAAAATATAGCTTATTATAAAGAAATTTATTATATTCATAAATTACAAGAGACAAAAACAATGAAATCATTTCCGAAGATGCCAAAAGGAGCATAATATAATTTAACAGGCATTTCTAATTAAATAAAGGCTATTAGAGAGTATTATGATAAAAACGATATAACAGAAATCCAAAGCAATGTTAGATTAACAGTGAAACACTAGAGGCTATTCCATTAAAGTCAGGAAGAAGACAATTTTACTCACTATCACTACTATTTAATGTTGTGCAGGAAACCAATTTAATAAACCGTGTTTTCAGAAAACCTCTAAAAATATTAGAAAAGACAAACTTTGTATTATTTTCAGATGCTATCATTGTCTTCCTAAAAATCCGTGAAAATGAATGAAAATTATTGGAAAAATAAAAGATTATAGCATGGTAACAAATTACAAGAAAAATATTCTGAAATAAATAGCTTTCTATATACCAGCAATAGTCAGTTAGAATTATGACTGAGAAGAATCCATTCACAATTGCAACAACAAAACAGTAAAATGTTCAGGAGTAAATGTAAATTGAAAATAAATGTATAAAATCTGTAAAGAAAAGTGTTCAACATTGCTGAAGGACAAAGAAGAAAACTTGATTATGGAGAGTGATATACCATATTCATTGATGAGAAAACTCAATGTTGTCAACATGTCAACTTTCCTCAAAATAGATTTTTAAATTTAAAGACAGTCCATAAAAATCTTCTACATTTGAAATTATGGAAATTTAAAATCTACATAAAAGATGAAAAATAGTGCAATAAGCACTTGTATAGCCCTCACTGCAATTTATTTGGTTGGTGCAAAAGAAATTGCAATTTTGCCATTAGTTGCACTAACCTAATATCAACTGTTAACATCCTGCTACTTTTACTTCATCTCATACACTTTTGTTTTCTGTGCTATTTGAATGTCAGTTGCAGACATCCATTGCACTTTACCCCTAACCACATCAACATGCATTTTCTAAGAATTAAGGCATTTTGACACAGTTTCACACTTGAGACAATTAACAATTGTATAATACCACAGAAAATGGTGCTTGTCAGACTTTATTAAGCATGCAAGTCACCTGAGGATCTTGTCAAAATGCAGATTCTGATTCAGTAGGTCTGTGATGAGGGCTGATGTTCTACCTTTCTAACAAGCTCCAAGGTTATGGTGATGCTGTTGGTCTGCGGACCACACTTTGAATTGCAAGAATCTGCTAAACATTCCAAATGCAGTTTTCTCAAATGAGCACTCAAATGGCTTTTGGTAGCTGTTATTTTTCAATTCAGGATCCAGTCAAGTTTGACACATCACAGTTGATTGCTGTGCATCACCAGTCTTCAGAAATCTAAAATGGTCATTCGTTTTTTTATTCTTTTAAAATTTTTTCTTATTTTTTTAAATAAACATTTTAAGACATATGCTGTTGTTGTTGTTGTTGCCCAGGCTAGAGTGCACTCACTACAGCCTCAAACTCCTGAGCTCAAATGATCCTTTCCCCTCAACCCCTTAGTAGCTAGTTCTCCCTGACTCATTTTTAATTTTTTTTTTTTTTTTTTTTTTTGTAGAAATGGGTTCTTGCTATGTTGCCCAGGCTGGTCTCAAACTCCTGAGCTCAAGCAATTCTCCCATCTCTGCCTCTCAAATTACTGGGATTACAGGCATGAGCCATCGCATCCAGCCTTTTTTTTTTTTTTTTTTTTTTTAAGAGGACAGGCCAGGTTTTAGCAGAATGACCCCTAGTTTTTATTTCTTTGATGGTTTATTAATAATTACATTCAGGTTAAATTGTTTGTCAAGAACATGACACAGTTGATGTTATGCACTGGCTACTGCAACACAGCAGGACACAAGCATGCCAGATGTTGCTCTATTGTTTTGTATTTTTTACTTTAAAAAACTATCAGATTAGATTTACATTTACAGAAAAGTTGCAGAGTGAGTACGGTGAATTTTCATATACCTCACCCTGAGTTTCACCTATTGTTAACACCTTACACTAGTATGGTAACTTTGTCACAATTGATCAACCAACACTGATACATTGTTATTAACTGAAGCCCATACTTTGGCTAATCAGATTTTCTTAGCTTTAATCTAATGTCTTTTTCTGCTCCAGAATTCCATCCACGATACCACATTATATCTCCTTAGACTCCTCCTGGCTGTGACAGTTTCTCAGACTTTCCTTGGTTTTGATGACATTGATATTTTCCAGAAGAACTTGTCGGGTATTTTGTCAAATGTCCTCAGTTGTGATTTGTTTGATGTTTTCTCACAATTAGATAATTTTCATTTGTGTATGTCACTTAAGGTTTTTTACTGGCCAATTTCTTCTCTTTTTTCTTTCTTTGTTCTAACTCTGGTTTTATTTTATTAGAGCCTCATTGCATGTAGTTTGTCCATATCAGCATGTATAATCTGTAATTCTTTCAAATCTGCAAGTAGCTTTCTTTATATTATGAAATGGTTTAAACATAAAGTACAGAAAGTGACATAACGAACAGCCAGGTACCACATCCCAGCTTAAAAAATTAAACATTACATATAGAATTGATTCCCTCTATTCTACCTTTCCAGCTTCTCCCCTTTCTTTCTCTAAAGATGAAACCCTTAACCTAAATTTGGTAGAGGTTATTCCTATGCCAGTCTTCATACCTTGTTACATATATGTATCCCTTAACTATATATAGTATTTTCCATATATTTAAACTTTATGTATGATAGCACATTGAACATATTCTTGGGCAACTTGCTATCTTTGTTCAACATTATGTGAGGTTTATTCTGTAGATACATGTAGTTCTGATCCATTTATTTTAATTTCAGTAAACATAAAAGAGAAAAAAGAGAGATGATTAAAAAACATTATGTATTAATGCCCATTTGTGAACTTAGTATTTCTATGTGGTATGCTTGGGTTTAATCTTAATTATTTTATTCACTGTGTATTTATTGAGGACCCACTATCAGCCAGATAGTGTGCAAGGCACTAGAGACACAATGATGAGCAAAACAGACTAAGTCGTCTGCTCTCAAGAAGCTTACAGTCTGGTTGTAAAGTAAGGGTCAGACATGAGTCAAGTGCTCACACTCATTTATTAATTACAAACTGTGATGATTGAGGTCTCCTCCAGTTAGGGAAGCAGACCTAAGAGTCTGGGGAGACTGGAGCAGCTAGAATTTGCAGGACAGAGGACTGGAGAGGAAGGAGCTGCAGGGAGATGTTCACAGGTTTACAGAAGGTTCCTCTCGAGTAGTCAGAAGAGTACTGATCAGCACACATATGTGAGGAAACCAACCAAGGCCAAGGAAAGAACCATAAGAAAGGTGGCAGGGTGCTCCCACAGGGCCAGGAATAGTGCCTCTTCCCACAAGCCAGACTGAAAAACCTCATAATTCATAAAGCACTGGGCTTAGTGCTCAGAGTAGTCTTCCCTTAGGAGTGGAGAATAATTATCTCTAGAATGAGCCCTGCTCTGAACCCATTTAATAGACTTTAGGCAAGGATCAAACTGTTCCCTAGTAACTTAACTGCACCCCAGAACAGAAATAAAAAATATTAATAGGAATACTAAAATATCCAGCATCTAACAAGATACAATTCACAACTTCTGGCTTCCAATTAAAAAATGTAAGGCATACAAAGGAGCAGGAAAATACAATCATAATAAGGATAAAAATAAATCAAGCAAAATGAACACAGAACTGAGATGTTTGAATTAGCAGAAAAGAACATTAAAACAGGTGTTACAGCTGTATTGCATATGCTCAAAAGTTATGTAGAGACATGAAAGATTTTTTTTTAAATCCAAATTGAGGTACTAGAAATGAAAACTGCAGTGCATAAGATAAAAAATACACTGAATGGGATTCACAACAGGTTAAACACTGCAGTAGAAAGAAAATAGTTAATTTGAAGATGTAGCAATAGAAATTATGCAAACGGAACACACACAAAAAAATTTAAGAAATGGACAAACCATCAGTGAGCTGTGGGACAACTTCAAGTAACACAATCTACATTTTATTGGAGTCCCCAGAGAATAGGAGGTAGGAGGAGAAACAGGAAAAAAAAATTCAAAGAAATCATGGCTTAGAAATTTCCAAATTTGATTAAAAAAACTATAAAGCCACATAACCAAGAAGCTCAATGAATCCCAAACACAAGAAACAAGAAGAAAACTATACCAAGGCATATTATAGTCAAATTTCTCAGCACCAATGATTAAGAGATCATCTTAAAAGAGGTTAAGAAAAAAGGACATATTACACACAGAGGAACGAAAATAAGAATGACAACACATTCTTATCAATGCAAGCAAAGCAAGCAAGAAACAGTGCAAGCAAGAAGACAGTGGGGCAATGTCTTTAAATAACTGGGAGAAACTGTCAGTCGACGATTCTATATACAATGAAAATATCTTTCAAAAACAAAGGTTTTCACTTTTTCAGACAGGGCAAGGATGCTCTTGCTCACCACTTCTATTTAATGTTGTATTTGGGGTTCTAGGCAGTGCAATAAGCCAAGAAAAAGAAACAAAATGCATCAAGATTGGGAAGGATGAAATAATCTAGATTGGAAAGAAAGCAGTAAAACCTTTTTTACTCACAGATAACATGATTGTCTAGTACAAAACCCAATGAAATCTACTCTAGCTACTAGAAGTGTTAAGTGAGTTTACTAAGGTTGCATACTGATACAAGGTTTCTAAGGTTGCATATTGATACAACATCAATATACAAAAATCAATTGCATTTCCATACACTAGCAATGAACAATCAAAAGTTAAAAATTTCTAAAAACCACTTAAAATAGCATAAAAGTATTAAGTATTTGGGAATAAATCTGACAAATATGTACAAGACTCATACACTGAAAACTCCAAAACATTACTGAGATAAACTAAATAAGACGTAAATAAATGAAAAGTATCACGTTTATGAATTGGAAGGCTCAATATCCTTAAAATATCATTTCTCCCCAAATTGGCCTATAGAGTCAATGTAGTCCAATAAAGAACCCAACTGCCTTTTTTGGTGGAAATTGAAAAGCTGATTCTAAAATCCATATGGAAATGCAAATGACTAGAATATCCAAAACAACTTTATAAATGAAGAACAAAATTGGCAGACTAACACTACCTGATTCCAAGACATACATAAAGCTACAGTAATTAATACAGTGTTGTGTTGGTGTAAAGACAGACAAATAGATTAATGGAACATAGTAGAGTCTAGAAAGAGACTGACATATATATATATATACACACACACACATATATACACATATGTATATACACACATATATATTTATATATACATGTATATATATAAATCATGTGATATATAAATATAAACTGATTTTCTGATTTTGCCAAAGGTGTAAAGGCAACAGAGAGAAGAAAGAATTGCCTTTTCAGTAAATGTTGGGAACAACTGGCTAAGTATATGTAAAAAAAAGAAAAGAAAAACTTCAATCCACACTTTATACTATGTACAAATATCAACTCAAAATGGATCATAGGCCTAAATGTAGAACCTAATACTATATAATTCTAGGGGAAAAAATGTAAGAAAAAAATCTCTGATCTTGGGATAGACAAAGATTTCTTAGATACATGTCCCATGTGCCTACCATAAGCATCTCTTCTGAGAAGCCCTTTCATGCTTGAACAGTTTGCTTTTTTCTTTTCATTCTTCCTTAGTGCTTTATACATGATAATCATTAAATTATATTGTAAGTGTGTTTATATTTCTCTATTCCACTGAGTATCCCTGGAGTAGAAAACATGTTTTAATCCTTTTAATATTCTCCAAGTCCAATAAATGTTAATTACATGATATCTTCAACACCAAAATTAATCAGAGAGCCTCCCAGAATATTTCCCCCATGTCTCACTGGCCATAGGGTTGCCCCTACGCAAATCATTAGTAAAGATTAATGGGATTACTATTATTTCCTTGGACGAATTATGTTTTGCTCTTTGGCGATGGGCTTATTTTCTCTAAGGAGCTTTGGCTATTGGGTAGTCTGGATGCAGAGCCTGCCACGGGGAACCTAACGGAAGTGTGATGGGAAAGCTGGTGACACTAACCAGGCTGCTTAATTTTCCACTGTGAAGGTATAATTGACAAACAATCTTACCTTATGTTTAGATTTTGGAGGAATAAACTGTCAGATATCACTTTATTTGAAAATAAAAAGAATAACAGCCATACTGCAGTAGGAAGAGTGAAATCATTCATCTTAAACAGCAAGCCTTTGCACTGAGCTTTTTATAGCTTTTTAGATAATGTCTCTATAGAAAGAAACTCGGTAAGCTTTACTGCTGAATCATTTATATCAACTCACACAATTTTGAATATTCATTAATTTTCACAATAGCCACCAGTTTAGAACTTATGTTATACAAACATCTTCACAAAACTAACTCAAGCACAGATATCTTTATTGTAAATGTCAGAAACAAAAAAAAATCTAATTGGTGCTGTGGGTATTGAGAGTTTGTATTTTCTCTGTGGATGTAGGAGCTTACAGAAAATAGAGTGCAAGAAAAAAATGTGTAAATGTTGTTTCTAGCCTAACAAATCTGGCCAGCGAGCATTTCACTTCAAAAAAATTAGCTTCTTTTTTTAAAATTCATATTTTTGATATTTTGTACTTTTGTGTTTTTTTTTTTTTGTATTGCTACAGAGGATCTCTTATTTTTATCCCATGCTCTGAATCTCAGGCTCTACCTCAACCACATCAGGATATGGAAGCACTAGAAGCAACTGCTCAGGCAGAGTACACGAAGGGATAGTTCTCAGGTCTGGGGACAAGCCAACTGGGGGAAAAGGGGGAATCTGGAGCTTCATTTTCATCCCCTCATCCCAACCCTTCAATGATTTATGCCTTTAGAGGCCTGAGAAACTTTGTGGGTAATCTGCTTCAGTTGCTCTTCCCCTAATCCATTGTCAGAGGAAAATCTCCCAGCTCCAAGACCAAACTACCTAGCTACCAAGTTCCCCTTAGATGAATCTAGAAACTTCCAGAAGGGTCAAAATTGCCATCAAATCTACCCTGGCTGGTCTGTGAGGTTTGATTAGCCCTCCTTCTTTTGACTGAGAAGAGACAGTAACCAAAATTGCTAACCTTACAACAGGCTCTCTATGCAGCCCCATTTCTTAGGAACCTGTGCCCTTGGGTCTAAAGAGTAAGCAGTAGATGGGGTTCAAAGCTTCAGTTGTCACTGTGAGTTGAAAGAAGGCACAATCTCAAGAAGGGACATCATCTGAGATTTTCCAGTCTAGTGGCCATGAAGTCCAGGATAGCACCAACTGGAGCTGGAGATCGAAGGGCAAAAATGATGCTTCTGGAGCTGGAGATTGATGGGCAAAAATGATGCTTCTAAGGACCATTCCCCTTTATGGACCCCAGGTCCATGAGATACCTGGGGTTTCAGGACTCCAAGATCCTCAATCCAGAGCAGCAGAGCTTGAGGCCATAGCTCCTCAGTTATCAGTTCTGTTCACCAATTATCCAGGATTGGACAATGGTAGATGGACCATATCATATTCTCCAAGGGCTTAAAGAGCATCTTGTGACTGTATTGTCCCCCAAAGCTCTGGGGCTTGAGGATATAGTGCTATAGGATCCTGGGTGCAGGAGGGAAGATATGGGCTGGATTATAAATCTGGAAGGCCCTTGACAATGATATCAGGGCAAGTGTAGTTTATTGTAGCTGTAATCTACAGTGTAGATGTAACAAGATGCTAACTTCCTGTGGCATTCAGAGGCTCATAAAAATAATTTGCAATATTTGCATAATCCAGATGTTAAGATGAAATAACTCTGTTATTTCAGAAAAAAATAAAATTGTATTTTGACATTCCGTGGAAAAGCCACTGTCCACATCCTGCCCCCATTTCTGCAAATTTCTAGTATCTTAGGCTCATAGACACAGGCTCTGAGCTCCTGCTTTTAATTTGCTCTTGGCCCCAATCACAACTCTCTTGCTGAGACTGGTTCTTCCATTTTTCTATTTTAATGCCTTTCCAGATGCATAACTCAGTCACCACTGCTGCCAGCTAAATGCAAATGCTTCTTGTAGTCTTCTTGTCTCCTTATCTTATGGGAAGCTGAGAGAGAAAACCAGATCAATCCTGAAGGGAATTCTGAGGGTTTTCCACCAGCTCTAGGGAAATATATTGAGGTAGAGATTTGCCTTTACTCCTTTAATCTTTGTTTATTCACCCTCATTCCTCATAGGATTTTCGATGAGTATGGGTGTGGCTTTCCTTGGTGGCAATAGGAAGGTATATTAGTCCATTTTCACGCTGCTGATAAAGACATACCCAAGACTGGGTATTTATAAAGAATAAGAGGCTTAATGGACTCACAGTTCCACGCGGCTTGGGAGGCCTCACAATCATGGTGGAAGGTGAAAGGAACACCTTAAATGGCAGCAGACAAGACAGAATGAGAGCCAAGAAAAAGGGGTTTCCCCTTGTAAAACCATCAGATCTCGTGGGACTTACTCATTACCACAAGAACAGTATGGGGGAAACTGACTCCATGATTCAATTATCTCCCACCAGGTCCTCCCATAATATGTGGGAATTATGAGATCTACAATTCAATATGAGATTTGGGTGGGGACACAGCAAAGCCATATTAGGAGGACAGCAGGACTTGGTATTCACAAATCATTTTAGGCCAACAGTTTTTGCTTTCTTTTCTTGTTCACTAACTCATGGAAATTTTTAAGTAGCCTACAAGAGCAGAAAAACCCAGTCAGTAAGTGTATGTCTGAACCTTTCTGCCGTATACATAGACCAGCAATTTTTGAAACAAACATTTGTACTTTTGTTTACTGCTTCTAGGGTGGGAGCTTCATTTCTGGTAGTACTAGTTAAGGGTAGGGAATAGGTGGTATGAAGACTCTTGGGATATAAGTAAAGGAATTCCAAGAGCACAGAAAAGCTAAGGACAGGGTGATAAAGCAACCAATGAACACTTTGAAACATTATCCCACTACACAGAGCTACAAGAAATAGATGGTTTGAGGGGTTTGTTTTTGTTTTGTTTTAAGCTAAAAGAGAAAATTTTGATAATCTCTGTGCTAATACATTTACAAATCTTCATGAAATGGATAATTTTACAGAAATACAAATTTAGAAACTGAACTCAGAAGAGGAAGAGTATACTGGGTGTATTGGGAAAAGGGTCAAAGTTCTATCTCCAGAAAGGCATAAGACACATGTAATCGTGCAAAATATGAGTCAAGAAGAGCAATGGAACAGAATACAAAGCCCAGAAGAGTGTATATGTCTGTGTGTGTGTATATATATGTGACATCTAAAAGGATGAATTAAAAAATCATGTGGTACAGTTGGTTAATTATTAGAAAACAAAGAGTTTTATCTTACAATATACAGTGGAATACATTTCTTCGAGGTTAAATATTCAAATAAAGAAACAAAATCATGTTCTGGCTCCCATTAATGGTAGAATAGCTTATACCAAGCTCACCTTCCTGCTAATTATAACTATAAACTTTAGATACAATTTAAAACAACTGTTTGAAGACATTGGAGAGAGACCAAAACTAAGCAGAAACTAATGAAAATTCAAACCTTGAAAGAAGTGTCTCATGCTAAGTGAGGTCCACATTTTTGTGTGTGTTGCCTTTGAAAAATACTCTCAAGTTCAGTGGTGCACAAGGGATAGATCTTGAGCAAAAAGCAACATTAAAAAAAAACTTTTATTTTAGGTTCAGAAGTACATGTGCAACTTTGTGACATAGGTAAACTTGTGTCTCGGGCATTTGTTGCACAGATTATTTCATCAACCACATATTAAGCCCTGTACACAATAGTTATTTTTTCTGCTCCTCTCCTTCCTCCCACACTCCACCCACAAGTAGACCCCAATATCTGTTGTTTCTTTCTTTGTGTTCATGGGTTCTCATCATTTAGCTCCCACTTATAAGTGAGAACATGAGGCATTTGGTTTTCTGTTCCTGCATTAGTTTGCTAAGGATAATAGCCTCCAGCTCCATTCTGTTTCTGCAAAAGACATGATCTCATTCTTTTGTATGGCTGAAAGCAACATTTTTACTGGGCTAAGAAGCCAGAGGTTGGATTTCATGGGCTGCCAGCGTAGCTGGAAATTGAAGAGGAAAGTTGTGGAAAGTAGGAAGCTACAGAGAGGAAGCTTCTGTATCAAAACTTCCCTCAAATCCTTGGCTATTTCTAGAACTGAGCATGAGGAGACCAAGAATGTAATGAACTCAACAGATGGCAACATCTAGGGGTGGTGGCAGAAATTTCAAGTTATCTAATGCTCAGGAGAGGGGTTTTCCATTGGACTCCCAAAAGGGACATGCACTGTTGGGGTTTTAAATTTATGTACAGCTAAAATATAACATGGCAACTGCACAAAGGATAGGACTATGAGTTCAATAAAATTATGCAGTTGAAGTGTTTTTATATTACATACCTGTGGAGTGTTATAATATTAAACCAAGTTAGACAATAGTAAGCAAACACTGCATGTGGTAATCTCTATAGCAACCACTAAAGACATAATACAAAGGAAAAAGGTTTGGCTAAAAAGCCAATAGAATAGATAGAATCAAATAGTTAAAAAAACTTGATATAGGAATGGTAACTTTACTTATAAATATTCTTAAACAAACATTAATAATGTAAGAAATAAACATAAAGATTATAATTTTTCTTAAAAGATAGCTTTATTTCATGCCACTTTAGATCAAAGAAACATTTTATTTACAAAAAAGTTGTCATTTTAATGAGGCTTGAAGACTATGGTCATATGCTTTTTGTCAAAACATCAAAAATAACATCACTCTAAAATATGATTTATCTATAACACAAGTTTGTACTGTTGTCCTCATGAAAAAATTGTAACAGTGAGAAAATTATGACAGTGAAAGAGATCTGACCCAACCAACTCCATCTTGCTTCTAGCCTCCAAACTGTCCTTGTTCACTCCTGGTCATAGCCTGAACTAATTTTGGGAGGAACTTAGTTTATAGTTTAACTTTGAAAGAAAAATTATAACAGCCCTTTCCTGAAACAAACCTCCTTCTTTCTTGGGGTCTAGTCTGCATTTGTAGGACTAACAAATCAGCCATAAGATTAGAAATATGGTTTAGGAGTCAAGCAGCCAGAGGCCCAGATGATGTGAACCTCCCCAAATTGCTCCTGGGGACAACATCGCTGTTGTACAACCTGAGATCAGTTCCTGAGATATTTTGTAGATCCTGCATACCGATGCACCAGCCGAGGCCACCCAGACTGGTAATCTGGCTCAACCAATTCTGCAATCCCACCCAGGAACAGAAGGTACCAAGAGAAACTCTCTTCAACCCCCTATGATTTAATCTCTGACCCCACCAATCAGCATTCCTCACTTCCCAATCCCATACCCACACCAAGTTATTCTTTTTTTTTTTTCTTTTCTTTTCTTTTTTTTTTTTTGAGACAGATTCTTCCTCTGTCGCCCAGGCTGGAGTGCAGTGGCATGATCTTGGCTCACTGCAAACTCCGCCTCCTGGGTTCAAGCGATTCTCTTGCTTCAGCCTTCTGAGCAGCTGGGACTACAGGCATGTGCCACCACACCTGGCTAATTTTTTTTTTTTTTTTTTTTGTATTTTTAGTAGAGACAGGGTTTCACCATGTTGTCCAGGATGGCCACCAAGTTATTCTTACCAACCCCAATCCCCAAATTTGGGGGGAGACTAATTTGAGTAATAATAAAACTCTGGTCTCCCATACCACCAGCTATGCTTGAATTTAACTTTCTCTATTGCAATTCCCTTGTCTTGATAAATTGGCTCAGTCTAGGCAGTGGGCAAGGAGAACCCGTTGGGTGGTTACACTCAAAAGCAATAAAATTGCTTTTGAAATTACTGGTTTAACTTGCCTATCTAAAAGTAAGGTATTAAAAATGAAGTTAATTTTTCATTTTGTAGTGTGTGTAGCTGTTTCACCATTTTTTGGTGAGAAAATAATTAGATGTTTTGGCAAGAATGAGGTGTCTTACCATTTGAGGGTGTCTACAACTTTGTTTATTGTTTAGTGTATATTACTACAAAAGGAGTAATACATTTCCCTGGTCTAGTTCTTTAGAAAAATACCAAAAATGCTATATAGTTATATTCATTAATATTTTTCATAAATGAGTTTTAAAATTTCTCATTACATGGAAAAATGTGATATAATTTATTGATAAAGTAATTTTTGGTTAAAAAAAATACTCGACTGACCCAAGAGGAGACAGGAACAGAGGAAAGAACAGAGATGACAAATAAAAATCAAATAGCAAGAAAGTAGACTTGAAACAAATTATGTTTACATTACATTAAGTGTACATGAATTACACACTTCATTTAAAAAACAGAAATGGTCAGATGGATAAAAAAGCAAGACCCAACTATACACTGTTTATGAAAGACAGTATAAAGGTACAGATAGGTTGAAAGCAAAAGATGTATCTTGGAAATGCTAAGCATAGAAAAGCTGACACAGCAATGTTATTATCAGGCAAAATGAATATGTGACCCACAGACAATAAGAAGAAAGTTCAAGATAGCCCAAATAATAGAGTTAGCAATCAGCAATTTTAAGGTATGTGTATTAGTTACATATTGCTGCATAACAAATCACCCCAAATTTCGGGGCCTAAGAAACAATAAACATGTATTATCAGGAATTTGGGAGAGGCTTACCTGAGTAGTTCTGGTTTACAGTCTATCATGAGGTTGCAGTTAGGATGTTGACTTGATCAGGGCTGCAGAATCCGCTTCCAAGAGGCTGAAAAGTTGATGCTGTTGTGAGCAGGAAGCCTCAGTTCCTTGCCACTTGAACTTCTACACAGCATAGCTTAGGAGCCCTCATGGCATGGCATCTGACTTCTCCAAAAGCAAGTTATCCAAGGGAGAGCAAGGCAGAAGGCTCAGAGCCTGGACTAGTGTGAAGGCTGAACCTAAAATTGCTTTGTATGATAAAGTGTTGGGAATTTTGAGTTTTGCCCTGAAGAGGAAGAAAGATAAGGAATGGAGCCTGGGACCTTAAGAAGAGTGATCTCTCACATGCCTTTTTGACTTGTTGCCTGATCTGATCTGAGCAGTATTCTCTTTGTATTATCTCAATCTTCATGAAAATCTCTTACACGTAAAGATTTTGTGTTATTGTTCATTTGGGGGAATGCAACAGGCAGTCAATGCAACCTGTTTTATCAGCAAGGTCTTTATGACCTGTATCTTGTGTTGACCTCCTATCTCATCCTGTGACTTAGAATGCCTTAACTGTCTGGGAATGCAGCCCAGTTGGTCTTAGCCTTATTTTGCCCAGCTCCTGTTCAAGATGGGGTTTCTCTGGTTCACATGCCTCTGACAGTTCCCCCCTCCCTTCTATAAAAGAACCCTTAATCCTAAGGGTTGCAGAGGGACGAAGATCAATCTTTTGTAACTTCTTCAGGATGAATAGGGGCAATGATATTCCTATCTAATTATTAGGGTCTCTTACATTCAGGGTAGAGAGGAACTCAGTCAGAAAGTGTTGGTATGGCGAAGGTCGTTCATAACTGAGTTTTGACAAAAGGTGCTATATGAAAGATTAATAAATGTTCAGATTAAGAAAACATTCAGTAAGCTTATCCTGCATTCCTACACAAAGAGTACAACAGCAATATCTTCCACAAGAGTAAAACAAAATAAGAAAAAATATGCCAAATAAACTAAATTGTGAGGCTTTCCATGAACTGGGAAACTGTTGGAACCAAGCTGATAGCTGGCTCCAGTGTGCCCAAAATTAGACTACCGATCCAGATTTTTATATTATCCATCCCTCTTGTTTCTTCTAAGCAGCAGTCAGAGAGCCCTGCTTGGTTCACAGGAACAAGCAGTCTTTCAAAATTGCAGAAACAAACTTAAAAAAACTGATGAGACTAGAATTTAATAACAAGGGTACCATAGTTCTTGAAACAAAATATTTCTCTCGCCAGTTTCTCATTTCTACTAAAGACAAATCATGGTAAGACTGATTTGCTTTATTATATTTGGCCTGATTATTTGTATAAAGTGCAGCAAGGATAATTTTTCACATAATCTCTTCTTAAATTGACTCTGATGGAACTTGGTTGTATAGAAGGAATCTCAAATAAGGCTTTTTTAGAGCCGAACCCTGTCATGGGTTTGTACCCTCAAATACCTAGGAGTTGAGTAAATTTCTCTCCTTTTGAGGTCCCAAGATAACTTGGGGCTCCTGGACATGTGAGAAAGTGACATTCTTTACTTACCACAGGTCAGAAACCCTGTACAGGGACTGTGTAGGCAAGGTATGAGGCCAGTTCCCCCAGGGGCTTTTACTGGCTCTGTAAGTCTAATTGCTTAAAGGAAAGCACACCATTCCAGTTAAAGCCTTGGTAAAATAACCAATTTTTCCAATTGTGTCCTGTTACAAAAGAAAACAGATTCTTATTGAATTTATGCCATACTATATCACCATAAATTATGGCAACTCTATTGCCATAAATTAAGAATACTCAGAAATAGGATGTGAGGGTGATCTTGCTGCAACATCTGTCACCCCATTGATTGTCAGGGTTGATTCAGCTGATCTGGCTATCACTCCTTGTGTGTTCCTCCCACAGCTGTGTGCTCAGTTGAAGAGGATGACCATCCCCAGTAGAGGAGGACAGGTCTTCGGTCAAGGGTATATGAGTAGCCGCTCTCCCCTGCTAGAACCTCCAAACAAGCTCTGACGAATACTCAAAAATATTTTCCAAATTCTGGAGAAATCAGCTACAGTGAAACAAATATGCTCCAAATTTTGTTAATAGGAGTATACTTTACTCAATTGCTAAAAGCTGTAAATAGCTCAAAAAGAAAAGTTTCCTTGAGTCTGAAAAACAAAACAAAGGATCAGCCACATTTTAAGCAAAAGTTAAAAAGATTACTTCAATTTTTTATTGACTCAGTTAATTTAGTTAACTCCTGTTTGGCTTGATATTCATGAACAATTCAGTTCTCCATGAGAGTCCTGAAAGTTTTTTTTTTCTCAATTCTGATGTCACCATCTCCAAAGTCATTTTAAAAACCTGCGTTCAAGAACACCTGCTAGAGTTCTTTTTTTTTTTTTTTTTTTTTTTGAGACAGAGTCTCACTCTGTCACCCAGGCTGGAGTGCAGTGGCATGATCTTGGCTCACTGCAAGCTCCGTCTCCTAGGTTCACGCCATTCTCCTGCCTCAGCCTCCTGAGTAGCTGGGACTACAGGCGCCCACCACCATGCCCAGCTAATTTTTTGTATTTTTAGTAGAGACAGGGTTTCACCATGTTAGCCAGGATGATCTCAATCTCCTGACCTCGTGATCCACCCGCCTTGGCCTCCCAAAGTGCTGGGATTACAGGTGTGAGCCACTGCGCCCAGCCTAGAGTTCTATAGTTGATTATAACCCACTTTCTAAAGAGGATTAAAACAGACAACAATTGTTTGTGGATGACAAGAAGTCTTAGAACAGCCACTATTAAAGCCACAATTGATAAGGAAATTTCGTTACTTCTGTGGCATACAAAATTTTACAGAACAATTACAATTATTACTGATGATGTACACTAAGTCCTGTCAGAATTATAGGAGTTTCTCATGATTTTGGAATACATACCAATAACATATTTATATAAAAACAGCCTAAAGAAAACCAAACACCAAACATTTCATATTTGACAATGCTTCCTGTATGATTTTTATATGAAATAAGCCAAATTTCACTTCTACATTAGTGTACTATTAATGTTAAACCCAATTCTTAATAAAACCTTATAGACATATCTACCCAATTTTAATGTTTGACCATAAGGTAAGATTCTCATAAACCTTTTATAACCGTTCACAATTTTTTTGTTAAAGAGCAGATTAGTTAGTGCTCTAAGAAAAATCTGTTGTGCTTTTATTCCAGTGTTCGGTTTACAGAAAAAACTGAATAATACCCCTTTAATTTTAGCCAATATGTTCACACACAGAATTTATTTTACCAGATTAATTGTTCACAAACCTTCCACAAATTGTTTAAATCTTCACCTTTATTCTATCTAACTTAAAACAATTCTTTAACTCTCTAAACTTAGGCAAGAATCCACATTCCCATGAGTTTTTATAATCTTTCACCAATAGTACATTCTACTTTCCTTACATGCCTTGCATGTAGAACTATTTTTTCAGTAGTCTCAATTACATGTTACAGTGCTAACTCTTAGCGACTTTTACTTTTGGTGAAAACCTTGGTAAGTAAGTAATTTATATTATGTACCAGGTGTGGAGCCTGGCCTAGGACACACCTGGCAGAAGTGCAGATAAAGGCTGACTCTCCAGCGTAGCTAGGAGGCGTGGCTAACTCCACATGTTCCCAGGCCTTATCCAGAATCTAATGTCTACAAGGTAGGAAAATTGAACAATTTTCAAAAGTCAAAGAAGCAGTTTATGAACTTAAAGCATTTAGCAAACTTAATATCTGACCTGCATAATTTAGACCAAATGTTTACATTTTTAAAGATATTTTTATTTTACCAATGATCTTTAAAACTATCTTATTTCCCAAAGTTTACTTAAGTCACACGAACTAAAAGGCATTACACTTTTACTTTTCTGACAAAATATTTGATTTAGGCTCTTATTATTATTAAACCAATTAATTAAAGCTTTTTAATATATAAACATTACACACATAATACATATAAATACCTAGACAGACAGAAGATTCCCTAAGCCGGGAATTAAACCTTGAACCCCTGGCTACAGTTTAAGACTAGCCTCACAAATTCTTTTTCCCATTAATCAAAACTTTACAGGAGATAAACGGTGATTTTTTACCATTCATTCAACCAGTTTGCACAGGAAGAGAAAGAGGAAAGCATTGCCTGGGCAGGGTGGGGAAGGCGAGGCACTCAGAGAGGCCAGAGAAAGACCCATCCATTGCAGCAACACTGAAAAGTTCAGGCAGCAGCCTGTCAGTAGCAAAGGGATATTTTTTAGCAGTCTCATTGGCTCTTAAGTTTCCTCTTTTATGGAGGAAAAAGCTCCCCATGTCCCACGATCCTGTACATGTCTAATCCTGTCACCCACAGCCATCAGCAAAGAGTGCAAGGCAGATTGATCCAAAGAGAATAGTGGCTAACATCCCACAGTGCTGAACCCATTCTTAGCCAAAAGGGACTTTACCGAGAGGGGCCTCTAACCCCCTAAATCTTAGGAACGGACTCTAACCCTACTAAGTTGGGCCTCTAACCCAAGGTCAGTCAAGCGTCCTTGCCTTTTATTAAGAGGGGCATCTAACCCACTCTGTCTTAGGTGAGACTCTATCTGCCCTATGTTGGGCCTCTAACCCAATCCCATTCTTTACATGGGTACCCCATCACTTACCCAAAGTCATCCAATCAGTGCTGTAGTCTATTTCCTTTGGGTTGGGGGGGATCTCCTCAGTATCATCCCATCCATGGTTCACCAGAAAAATGTTATGAAATCCCATCACATATCCAAAGTTAGCCTTTGGGTTGAGGGTTTCCACACTATAATCCCTTTGTGATCACCAAAAAGATGTTACAGGATAGAGGTCCCAATCCAGATCCCAAGAGGGGGTTATAGGATATCACAAAAGAAAGAATTCAGGGCGCGTCTGTAGAATAAACTGAAAGCAAGTTTATTAGGAAAGTAAAGAAATAAAAGAATGGATACTCCATAGACAGAACAGCCCATTTTTATGGTTATTTCTTGATTATATGCTAAACAAGGGATGGATTATTTATGCCTCCCCTTTTTAGACCATATAAGCGTTAACTTCCTGATGTTGCCATGGCATTTGTAAACTGTGATGGTGCTGGTGGGAGTATAGCAGTGAGGATGACCAGAGGTCACTCTCGTCACCATCTTGGTTTTGGTGGGTTTTGGCCGGCTCTTTACTGCAATCTGTTTCATCAGCAAGGTCTTTATGACCTGTATCTTGTGCTGACCTCCTATCTCATCCTGTGACTTAGAATGACTTAACCATCTGGGAATGCAGCCCAATAGGTCTTAGCCTTATTTTACCCGGCTCCTATTCAAGATGGAGTTGCTCTGGTTCACACGCCCCTGACAGATGTGTTGATATATTATTATTTCTGGTATTATAATACTATCTACATCCTGTAATGTGGCTAAACATCTGCAACATTCACATCATGCATGCTCAGCTATTCTTCATTACTGATGGTTGAGAGTTATCCCAGATAGTAGAAATCTGGGCATACATAGTAAAAGACCCATCTAGATTTGAATCCTGTGCATAATGTATTTAATTTCTGCTGTTATCTGCCATTCTTATGTTGGCTTTCTTCTTATCAATGTATTACTCTCTTTCTTTGGAATTATTAATGCTTGATAGCACCGCTTCACACATTTTGTCCCCTCCTTCACCTTTAAAGCCCAAAAATTGCAGTGACTCTTTCTGAATTAAAGATAAATATACTTTTAGAATTTTTTTATAGAGATGGAGTCTTGCTATGTTGACCAGGCTGGTCTCGACCTCCTGGCCTTAAGCAATCCTCCCATCTGGGCCTCCCAAAGCTGGGATTACAGGTGTAAGCCACCACACCCAACCCACAATATACTTTTAATTAGATATCTCTCACTCCCTGAATCAGATGTCTTTTCTGTCTAAATATAACCCAGTTTCTAATTGGGTTTTCATCATCAAGAAATAGGGTGTGGCTGTGATTCAGTTTATGGAGGGGGCTGAGAATCTCTCTCTCTCTCTTTTTTTTTTTTTTTTTTTTTCGAGACAGTGTCTTGCTCTGTCACCCAGGCTGGATTGCAGTGGCTCGATCTTGGCTCACTGCAACCTCTGCCTCCTAGTTTCAAGCGATTCTCCTGTCTCAGCCTCCTGAGTAGCTGGGATTACAGGCGTGCACCACCATGCCTAGCTAATTTTTATATTTTTAATAGAGATGGGGTTTCACCATGTTGGTGAGGCTGGTCTTGAACTCCTGAACTCAGGTGATCTGCCTGCTTTGGCTTCCCAAAGTGCTGGGATTACAGGTGTGAGCCACCGCACCCAGCCCTCTTTTTTTTTTTTCTTTTTTTTTGAGACAGGTTCTCACAATGTCAGGCTAGTGCAGTGGTGTGACCATAGCTCACTGCAGTCTTGAACTCCTGGGCTCAAAAGATCCTCCTGCCTCAGCCTTTCAAGTAGTTGGGACTCCAGGCTTGTACCACCATGCTTGACATTTTATTTTATTTTATTATTCTATTATATTTTATTTTATTCGTAGAGACAGAATCTCACAATATCTCTATATTTATAAAGTTCCACAGGTATTCTGACATGTTCCTGCAGTTGAGAGCCACTGAACAAGAGAACTCCATATCTGCTTCTCTCTGCATCTCTGCTCCATTACTGTCTTGCTACCAAATGGACATTTGTACTGTGAAGCAGAGGATATTTCAGCTATGAAAGTGGGCAAAAGACTCACCATAACTGAGAACTACCTTGGTTCTGGAGTAAGTTGCAGACTGGATGAGAGTGTCCTTTGCAATCAAAGGGCTTAAGTAAAACAACTAGTATGCTGTGGTGATTAATTGCTGGGCCATGGCATCCAGATGTTTGGTCAAATACCAGTCTGGATATTGTTGTGAAGGTATTTTTTAGATGAGATTAACATTTAAATCAGTAGGCACTGAGTAAAACAGATTATCCTTCATAATGTGATGGGCCTCATCCAGTCAGCTGAAGGCCTTAAGAGGAAACAGAATGAGGTACCCTGAGGAAGAGGGAATTCTGTAAACAGACTGTCTTTGGATTCAGTGACATCAGTTCTTTCCTGGGTCTCCAGCCTCCTGGCCTATCTAGCAGATTTGGACTTGCCAGCCTCCACAATCATAAGAGCTAATCCTTTAAAATAAATCTCTCTGACTCTCTCTGTCTCTGTCTGTCTGTCTCTCTCTCTCTCTCTCTCTGTCTCTCTCTCTCTACACATGCATACACACATACATACAGACAGAGAGTCCCCAACTTACCATGGTTTGACTAACAATTTGTTGACTTTATGATGGTGCAAAAGCAATACACGTTCAATTAGAAACCATATCATTCTGCTTTTCACTTGCAGTACAGTATTCAATACATTACATGAGATATTCAGCACTCTACCATAAAGTAGCCTCTGTATTACATAATTTTGCCCAATAGTAGGCTAATGTAACTGTTCTGAACGTGTAAGTGTTCTGAACACGTTTAAGGCAGACTAGGATAAAGCTATGATTTTCAGTAGGTTAGGTGTATGAAATGCATTTTCAACTTGTTATATTTTCAGCTTACAATGAGGTTATATCCTTATAACCCCATTGAGGTTATAAATTGAGTTATAAATTGAGGAGCATTTGTGTGTGTGTGTGTGTGTGTGTAAGTTTCTGTTTCTCTGGAGAACTCTAATACGTGGGCATTTCTTGGTTTCCCACCGTTGTCCTTTTCACTTTGTTAATAGGTTTATCTCTGTGTTGTGATTACTTGACTTTTTTTCTTTGGATATAGCCCCGGGGGAAAATCATGAAGATCACTTTCCTGCAGAAGGTCAGATCTTGATTCCCGAGTTAGCCCAAGCCTGAGGTTATCTCCTGGGGTAAGCCTGACCCTTGGTAGTGTAGAATCATGACCCTTGGAAGAGGTGGTTGTCTTTTGAGAATATGAAGCAGACTCAGCAGAATAGGACTGCTATTCTGAACATGTCCCCCAAAATGCATGTGTTGGAAACTTAATCCCAATGCAGCAGTGTTAGGAGGTGAGGCCTAATGAGAGATGTTTAGGTCATGAGGACTCTGCCCTCATGAATAAATTAATGCCACTATAAAAAGGGCTTTCAGAAGTGAGTTTTCCCCCTTCCACCTTCTTCCATGTGAGGAGACAGTATTCCTCTTCTCTGGGGGACACAGCAACAAGGCACCACTTTGGAACCAGAAGCTAAACATATCAGCACCTTGACCTTGGACTTCCCAGCCTCCAGGACTATGAGAAATAAATTTCTGTTCTTTATAAATTGCCTGGTCTGTAGTATTCTGTTATAACAGTACAAGATAGACTAAGACGGGGACCCAAGGGCTGGAACAAATGTTGGTATTGACACTCTCGTAACTATTATGGGATTTAACACCGAGTACAATGAATAACTGAAGAGATGTGCGTAAATAAAAAGAGTACATTATCAATATAAACAGATATCTGGTTTAGTTTGCCTTTTTCCTTCATTCTTTTGTCCCTGGGAATCTTGAGAAGCAAAGTCCTCCTGACATTTGGACTTATGACTTTCAATGACAAATTTCTGATATGATTAAATTCTTTCCAACTAGCTTTCTATAGAGTTCACAACATAAGCAAAAATTTCCATGTCATTTCAGCTAAAATGTAGTACTAAAAGAAAAAAAATACTCCTTTTCACACTTTTTTCTTCAATTTTCATGAGTCTTTCTGCAAGCTCCTTTTGTTATGTGGCACAGAAATATTCCTGAAAATGTGGCAACCTGTGAATCAAAGTGAGAAAAATACTCACTTTCAGGCCAGCTATTTATCTTGGGTGCTTTTCTAAAATGCATTCGTCACTTCTGTGAGCCCATGCTTTTATTCATTCTCTCTATGCCTCTTCCAATGGTGCTTCAGTTTTCCCTAGCCTCTCCACACTCAACTAAATGCAAAAGAATAAAAACCAAATTGATAATTTCTTGAAGAATTCTCAGATAAGTCATTATTTTCCATACAAACAATTCAGATGATAGTACTTAACTTAGAAGTGAAATGTTATAAAAGTATTTTGACTCATTGGCAGTTATCTGCTTCTTTCCCTTTTTTCTTTCCTATTCTTCCTTCACTCACCCAGGAATTCAGTTAATGTAGGAATCGTTCCATTAGCTCTGCTACTCTGGCTGCAGGCTCTAATGTAACCCCAGTGATTCTCAGTGTATGGGAGACTTCCTGTCTCCAACATTCGGAAACCTATCCCAGGCTTCTCAGCCTGATGGGGAACCCTGGGAGAAAGGCTGTTTAGGGGAAGGAAGGACCCTGGATTCTCACTGTATTCTGGTTCTCACAGACCTCCCTGAAGCTCCTGTTGCCGGCAACCGCCCTTCTCCCCTACCCCAGTGATTAAGTCATCATGGAATTCCAAATCTAACTGCACAAGGGGCCTTGTCTGTCAAAGCTGCGAGGAAGACAACTACTCTACACTTTTATTTCTGCCTAAGCAGGATCATAAACTTTCCAACTTCTAGCCTTCCTAGCTAAGTACAGTGAGTTGGTGCTCTGATGATTTGGTCAGAAGCCCATTTTGACCTAAATCAAGTCAATAACAATAACATATTCTAGCACCTTCATCATCACACTTTTATAAGGAGAACCTAATATGAAAATTTGCTAGGCATGGTGGCACATGCCTATAGTCCCAGCTACTTGGTAGGCTGAGGTAGGAGGACTGCTTGAGCCTGGGAGGTCAAGGCTGCAGTGAGCCCAGATCACGCCACTGCCCTCCAGCCTGGGTGACAGAGAGAGACCCTGTCTAAAAAAAAAAAAAAAAAAAAGAAGAAGAAGAAGAACCTAACATACACTCTACTATTTTGAGGCAACAGTGAGGAAATTATGACTCAGACTAAAACAGACATCATATAACATTGAAAATGTGTACCTTTGCTCCATTCCTGGCCTCAGAATGAGCCTTTGGGAGTTCAGCTGTGTGGTCCTGTGGTGTCTGCTACATACATTACTTGAATTTTTTTTAAACCCTTTGATGGGGGGATTGGATGGGAGGTTGGAAAGCTGTGCCTTTAGGGGAAAGTAAGGATAATTGTTTAAAGAATATTGAGATGCAGCAACTCTTTCTTCCCAAGGCTCATGATGGGGTGGGTATTAACAGCAAGGGATCATGTCTTTTCAAAGAAATCTCTTCACAAGCCTCTTCAAAATGGAGTATGTCCCTTTCCATACCCTGATTCCTTTTTTATGTTCTTAAACTAGGTGGGCGGTTTTTAAAGTCATGGAACAGATTTTTAAACATTTTCTTTAAATATTTGTATATGATGATCTGGCTTTGTAATTTCACATTTATAGTATCTTATGCCTTCATCAAAACTTCAATTTTAACATCCTGTTTTATATATAAATTAAGAAATAGAATTACAGGGAAATAAAGGCAAATACATAAACATAGGAGGAGATTCTACCACATTTTTAAAAAACTGACACCAAGTAGACAACATCAATAAATACATATCAAATATTTAGAAATAAACCTAACAAAATATGCACAAATTCTTCATAGGAAAAAATTAAAATCTGTATTGAAAGATACAGAACAAAAGGCAAATGTAAACAAATGTTTATGTTTCTAGATGAGAAAACAACACTGTAAAGATGTTAGTTATCCCCCAAATTAGCCTACAAATTCAATGCAATCCCAACTGAAACTTCAGCAGGATTCTCAGGAAACTGTTCTAAAATGGCAATGGAAAAGTCAAGGCACTCAACAGCTTAAACAATTTTAAAAGCAAACACAGGTGCGTGTGTGTGAGAAAGATTTGCTTGTCCTATTAGCCAAGATGTATTGAAGGTTCTAGAATTCAAAACAATGTGACGTCATCACAGGAGAAGAGAAACAAACCATGAAACAGAGTAGAGGGCTCAGACACGGATCCATACTCATGTGGGACCCAGTGGACAGTAGAGGAGGCATCCAAGCTCAGCAAGGAAAAGATCAACTATTCAGAAGAAAGGCTGGGAAAACTGGCACACCTTTTGGAAAAAAATAGAATTAGATCATTATTATTATAATCATAGTTAAATTATATAACTAGAAAAAATAGATTTTGGATCACTGAAAGCAAATACAACTTTTAAATGATTAGAAAAGTATGTAGAAGTGTATCTCTGTGATTTGGAGATGGGTGAACTTCCTAAACAAGATATAAAAACGAAAACTGCAAAGGAAAAGATCAATATATTGGATAATATTAAAATGTAAAACTTCTGTGTGACAAAGGATACTATAAACAAGCTTAAAGGACAAGTGGCAGTCCATAATAGCACATTTGCAACAAATAACAAGTGAAGGATTGGCTTTCAAATATACAAATAGATCTTACAAACATAAAGAAAAGACAGTATAGAAATGTGGCCGAAAGAGAGGAGCAGGCAATTCACAGAAGAGGAAACCAAAACAGTAAATGAAAATATAAAAGATCCTCAAACTCCTAGTAACTATGAAGAATAAAATTAAAACTAATTTATGTCTTTTTTCACTAATTGGAATGACAATAATTTAAAACATTGTTATTACAAATGTTGGGAAAAATGGCAACTATGGACTACAAATTTATACAGTATTTTTGGAAAACAATTTGACATCAATGATAATTTTAAATGTTCCTACCCTTCAATCCTCAGCAAGAACCATCCATTCCAAAAGTTTCTATTTACTTTCTTGTCCAAACCAGGACATTCCTTGAAAAACTGCTGTCTCTGCTATCTCGATTTCTGTGACATACCTGAGGCCCATGGAACTTTCAACATTCTTCCTTACCAGTCCCCACCCTGGCCCAGGGCCTTGGAAAGCAGAGGACTGTCTCTGGACTTCCCTTATCCTACACACAAAACACTTTTGTCTGCAGGACTGCTGCACCCTAATAGCCTAGAGGCTACTCCTGTTGTTTGCTGCTTGGAAGGATAGCCTGAGTTCTCTCTCTCAGGCCCTAAACATTAAGGGGAATTATATCTGGTCGTTAGTTACCCCAGCTCTAGACTAAGCAGGAACAGGGCACTTACACCACTGCCACTCTCCATCTCCACTCCAAATTCTTCTCTCTCCCTAGCTCATAGGAATTTTCTAGTCTGTTTATTGGCTTGTATTTTTTTCTGGTTTCTTTTTGTGCGTGTATCCAAGACCTGGACCATACCTCTTGAATTTAGAGACTAAAAATGTGATACTTTATTCACTGAATTATCCCAACCGCTCTCTTACAGGTATGGTGGTTTTAAAATATCTTCATAATTTCATTGACATCCCTCTCTTCAAGTGGTAGAACCAAATTTATCTCCCTTTGAGTGTGGACTGGACTTAGTATCTTGCTTCTAATGACTAGAATAGAGTGGAAGTGACGCTATGTACTTGGGAGATGTTATAGTCTGTTTCATTCTGCTATAACAGAATACCTGAGAGTGGGTAATTCATAAAGAACAGAAATTTATTTCTTACACCTCTGGAGCCCAGGAAGATCAAGGCACTGGCAGGTTTAGTGTCTGGTAACAGCCTGGTCTCTGCTTCAAAGATGGCGCCTTGAACACTACATCTTCCAGAGAGGATGTAGTGCTATTACTCACACAGCAAAAGGGTGGAAGAGACAGAACCCATTTCCATAAGCCCTTTTTATAGCAGCATTAATTCTTTCATGAGGGTGTGGCCTTCATGACCCAAATACCTCCTAAAAGGCCCCAAATACCAACACTATTGCATTGGGAATTAAGTTTCTAACATGTGAATTTTGGAACACACTTTGAAACCATAGCAGGAAAGTAGGTCATAAAAGGTACTGTAACTTCCTGCTCACTCTCTTTTAGATCATTCATGCGCACAGGCAGGCCAGAGGCCATAATGTGAGGTCACTTAAGCAGCCTATGGTAAGGCCCAAGTAATGAGGAACTGAGGCCTACTGCCAACAGCCATGTGAGTGAGCCATCCTAGAAGCAGATGCTCCAACCTATGTCCACCCCAGCTGACACCCTGAGACTAACAACATGAGAGTCTCTGAGCCATCACTACCCAGATGAGCTCACCCACAAAAACTGTAAGCTAATAAATATTTGTTTTTTTAAGTTACTATGTTCTGGAGTAATTTGTCACACAGAAATAGACAACTGATAAACTGAGGGAATTGGCAACATCTTGTCTCATGGCCAGAATGGGGGTAATCAAAGATAGAAGAAAAGGACATCTAGATTCATCTTTGTTAGGAGCTGAGTTGTGTCCCCACAAAATTGATATGTTGAAGTCCTAACCCCCAATACCTCAGGATGCGGCTGTATTTGGAGACAGTGTCTTTAAGAGGTAATTGAGATTAAAGGAGGTCATTGGAGAGAGCCCTAGCTCAACGACTCGTGTCTTTATAAAAAGAGATTAGGATACAGACATGCATAGAAGAAAAGACCAAGGAGAGAGGCCTCACAGTGAAACCAAACCTGCCAGCACTTTGATCTTGGGCTTCTAGCCTCCAGAACTGTAAGGAAATAAATGTTGATTAAGCCACCCAGTCGGTGGTGTTTGTTATAGCAGCCCTAGCAACTAATACAGTATTCCAAATTATTATTGTATCATGTTCTTCCATTAGTGAATATTTGCCTCCTAATGCAAAAAAGCACACTCATATGGAAGTTCCAAACTCTCTTCCAAACAGGCAGAAATTAGGACTCTGTCTAAAACTGTGCTGTCCAGTACAGTAGCCACTTGCCATATGTGACTACTGAAAACTTGAAATGTGGACAATGCGACGAAGAAACTATATTTTAAATTTTAATGAAATTTAATTTTAATTTAAAATTGATGCCCAGTTCAGTTATGGGAAAACTTCTGTGTTGAAACAGCTTGGAGCTGTGAATCTATTTTTTTCAACTATAAATGTTATGAAATCTAAATATATACCAACTATTTCTGATGAAATTTAGCATTTGAATTGAGATGTGCTGTCAGTATAAAATACATATTGGATTTCAAAGCCTTCAGGGAAAAAAATAAAAAGGCCTAGGTGCGGTGGCTCACACCTGTAATCCCAGCACTTTGAGAGGTTAAGGTGGGTGGCTCACTTGGCCAGGAGTTTGAGACCAGCCTGGAAAACATGGCAAAACCCTGTCTCTACAAACAAACAAACAAACAAAAATACAAAAAAATTAGTCAGGCACGATGGCATGCACCAGTAGTCCCAGCTACCTGGGAGCCTGAGGTGAGCAGATGCCTGAGCCCAGGAGGTAAAGGCTGCAATGAGCCGTGATCATGCCACTGTACTCCAGCCTGGGTGACAGAGCAACACCCAGTCTCAAAAAATAAAATAAAATAAAATATCTCCTTAACAATTTTTATGTTGACTGTATGTTGAAATAATATTTTAGATAAATTGGGCTAAATAAAACATATTCTTTAACTTAATTTCATCTATTTTTTTCCATTTTTGAACCATACTACTAGAAAATTTAAAATTATATGTGTGGCTCATGTTATATTTCTATATTTTTCTGATTGGTCAAAGATTGCCCCACAGGGCATTCATTAATTCTTCCACATCCACACTTAGGAATTGTATTACTTGGCTCTTCTGAGCAGTGGCATAGCAGTATAGCCCTTAATGTAGCTCCAAAAGTAGAGAACAAAGCCAGGACCATGTTTAGCCAGATTCTGCAAGATACAGGCAGAGGGTCAGAAGGCAGAAATGAGGAGTCAGAGCGGAAGCTCAACATGGAGAATCTCCTGGCCTTGACTAGAACATAGGCTGAGCTGTAGACCCTGGTGTAGAAAGAGTTGAAGCTGCTCTTCAGAGTACATAGAGGAGGCGTGGTCCAGCTGCTCAACTGCTGCTGGAGAAGCCACTGACCAGCTGCAGCTCATTTACTCAGGCACTGGTGAATACCCTCCATGCAGCTGATGTGTATCCACCCAGTCTGGTACGGTAAGAAGGAAGTAGATGGAACTCTTCACTGAGCAAGAGGCCTAGGCTTGGAGATGGTACAACTGAAAGAATCTAGGAAGGGGTGGCATAACTGGATGTGGTATGTCCTGTGAACTGTCAATTTCATTTAGGGGCATACACCCTAAAGAGATCTTCATTCATATGTGTGAAAAAACATGTTCATTATAATATTGTTGGTGATAAAGAAGAGTTAAAAACATTTGTCTATCAATAGGCAAATAGGTAAATAAATTGTGGTATATTTATACAATGAATACTATCCAACAGTTCAAACAAATTAATCAAATGGAACTTTTAGAACTAAAACCTATGATAACTGATTTAAAAAAAATTAGCCAGGTATGGTGGTACATGTCTGTAGTCCCAGCTACTCAAGAGGCTGACATGGAAGTAGGAGGATCGTTTGAGACCAGGAGGTTGAAGCTGCAGCAAGCTATTATTGTGCCACTGCACTCCAGCCTGGGTGACAGAGTGAGATCCTGTCTCATGAAAAAACAAAACAAAACGAACAAACAAACAAAAAACACCTCACTGGATAGACTCAATAACAGAACAGTAATTGAATCTGAAGATAGTCCCAGAACGAGATGGGACTTAAAAAAAAAAGAAAAAAAGAAAGAATGTCTAATAACTTCCCAAATTTGACCAAAGACATAAACCTACAAATTCAAGAGAGTAAGAGAATCCTCAACAGAAAGACAAACAAATAAAACAAGCTACATTGAGGCATCATAAGCCAATTGCTGTAATCTGAAGACAAAAAATCTCAAAAGCCACCAGAAGAAAACAGCATATTACCTAGAGGGGACAACTCAAATGACTGTAGATTTCTCATCAGAAACTGTGGAGCCACAAGGAAGTGACACAGCATTTTTTAAAATTCTGAAAGAAAAGACCTGTCAACCCAGAATTCTATATTCAGTGAAAGTGTCCTTCAGGATTGAAGGTAAAATAAACATTCTCAGATAAAGGAAAACTAAGAGAATTCAGAGCCAGCATATCTGTTCCAACAGACTTGCTAAAGGAATTCCTTCAGGCAGAAGAGAAATGATACAAGAAAGAGACTTTGAACATTAGGAACAAAGTAAAGGCTACAGAAATGATTAATAGTGGTTAAATATAATAGACTATTATTCTCTTGCATTTTAAAAAATATGTTTGATGGTTGAAAGCATAAGTCATAACACTGTCTGATAGAATTTTCAATGTATGTCTTCTATGCCCATTTTTCTTCCCCTTCCCAAATTTAAATAGTCAGGTTTGGAGCCTTCTACCCTAAAGGTTATGAATCTCATCTCCTTTCCTTTCACCCGCCCTACATTATACCACTTTTTTATAATTTAATATTTTAAAAACTTTTAAATATTCCCAGGTATAACTTATATGTTAAGTATATTAAGCAGTTTCTCCACTATAATTTTTTTGAAACAAGGTCTCACTCTGTTGCCCAGGCTGGAGTGCAGTGGTATGATCATGGCACACTGCAGCTTCAACCTCCCCAGGCTCAGGTGATCCTCCCACATCAGCATCCTGAGTAGCTGGGGCTATAGGGATGCACGACCATGCCTGGTTAATTTTCATATTTTTTGTAGAGATAGGGTTTCACCAAGTAATATATGACAACTATAGCATAAAGTAGAGAGGGTAAGGGGTCCTATAAGGTGGTAAAGCTTCTATATTCCAATTAAGATGATAAAATGACTGTAAATAGATAGTGAAAAGCTATGTATTTTTTAATCCCTACAGCAACCACCAAGAAAAGTATACAAAGAAATATAATGAAAATCATGATTGATAAATGCAATATTTTAAAAATATTCAAATAACTCAAAAGAAGACAAGAAAGGAGAAACAGAAGCAAAACACAGCAGGAACACACAAAAACAAATTTACAATGTGGCACATCTAAATCCAAATATATCAGTACTATGAGTACATTATAAAGAATGAGATAAATCTACATCCACTAATATAGAAAAATCTCTATGATGTATTGTTATGTAAAAAGCAAGTTATAGAACAAAACACCCATTGTAATACCAGTTAAGTTTTTAATATATTTTTATGTGTTCATGCACATTTGATTTCTAGCTCAATGAAAATGTATTAGGAAAGGTCTGGAAGTATACTCAAAGTTAAAATTGTTCTTGAAAGGTCACTGCAATTAGGGAGAAGTAACAGAGTCAAAAAGGACTTTTTCTGTATAATTTTAATTTTTACAATGAGAATATATTTATGTCTTACTTTGTCATTAAAAATAAATGAAATGAAATTACTTTTAAAAGAACATATTGTTCACCATGTGCTGGTGATACTGCCATCTGGGAATTAGACATTTTTAGGTCTCCTGACTGAGGAGCGTACTCTTCTGTTTTCAGCAGAATTTGTCAAATGAAGTTATTAGTGTTTCGATCTATTTCCTATCTACACCATTTATCTTCTATACACATTTTTCTTCCCCTTCCCAAATTTGAATCCTCAGGTCTGGAGCCCTCTAACCCTAAAAGTTATGAATCTGATCTCCCTTTCTTTCACCCACCCTACATCATTTCACTTTTTGATAATTTAATATTTTTAAAACTTTTAAATATTCCAAGGTATAACTTATATGTTAAGTATATTAAGCAGTTTCTCTACTACCAATTTTTTTTTGAAACGGGGTCTCACTCTGTTGCCCAGGCTGGAGTGCAGTGGTGTGATCATGGCTCACTGCAGCTTTGACCACTCCAGGCTCAGGTGATCCTCTCACATCAGCCTCCTGAGTAGCTGGGACTACAGTCATGCGCCATCATGCCTGGCTAATTTTTGAATTTTCTGTAGAGAAGTGTTTTCACGATCCTGCCTCTGGGCTCAAGTAATTCACCTGCCCAGGCCTCCCAAAGTTCTGGGATTACAGGCACTAGCCACCATGCCCAGTTTCCACTACCATTTTTTAAAGTAGCTGTGGAGGACTGTTTTTCAAATTGCAGGTCTCAATCATTAGTGGGTCATAAAACTAATGTTGCAGATTTCAATTAACTTTTCAAAAAATGTGTTCCATGCATTTTAAAAAGTTTTTTTAAGAGCAGTTTTAGGTTTACAGCAAAATTAGGAGGAAGCTACAGAGATTTTCCATATATCCACTGTCCCCCTACCTGCATAGCTTCCCCTATTATCAACATTCCCCATCAAAGAAATACAATTGTTATAATTGATGATCCTACATTGACAAATCTTAATTACCCCAAGTCCATAATTTACATTAGAGTTCATTCTAGGTGTTGTATATTCTATGGGTGTTTACAAATGTATAATGACATTTATTCATCATTAAAGTACCTGCAAACCTCATTTTGTTATTCTTCACTTTCTAGCACTTTGCAGATATTGCGTTTTTTACAAATTGAAGGTTTGTAGCAAACTTGCATCAAGCAAGTCTATTGGCACCATTTTCCCAAGAGCATGTGCTCATTTCGTGTCTTGGCATCACATTTTGGTAATTCGCACAATATTTCAAACTTTTTCATTATTATTATTATATTCGTTATGGTGATCTGTGATGTTACTATTGCAATTGTTTTGAGGTGCCACAAACTGAACCCATATAAAATGGTTAACTTAATCTATACATGTTGTGTGAGTCTTGACTTCTCCACTGAACAGCCTTGTCTTTCCCTCTCTTCAGACCTCACTATTCTCTGAGATACAACAATATTAAAATTAAGCCAACTAATAGCCCTGCAATGACCTCTAAGTGTTCAAGTGAAAGGAAGAGTCACACATCTCTCACTTTAAATCAAAAGCTGGACATGAGTAAGCTTAGTAAGGAAGGTATGTTGAAAGCCAAGATAGACTAAAAGCTAGGCCTTCCATCAAACAGTTAGCCAAGTTGTGAATGCAAAGGAGAAGTTATTGAAGGAAATTAAAAGTGCTATTTCAGTGAATACAGGAATGATAAGAAAGCAAAACAGCCTTATTGCTGATATGGAGAAAGTTCTAGTAGTCTGAATAGAAGATCAAACCAGCCACAACATTCTCTTAAGCCAAAGCCTAATCCTGAGCAAGGACCTAATTCTCTTCAATTAAAGAGAATTATGACACCTGACAGAGGTGAGGAAGCTTTAGAGGAAAAGTTTGAAGCTAGCAGAAGTTGGTCCATGAGGTTTAAGGAAAGAAGCCATCTCCAGAACACAAAAGTACAAGGTAAAGCAGCAAGTGCTGATGTAGAAGCTGCAGCAAGTTATCCAGAAGATCCAGCTAAGATCATTAATGAAGGTGGCTACACCAAACATCAGATTTTCAATGTAGACAAAACAGCCTTCTATTGGAAGAAAATGTCATCTAGGACTTTCATAGCTAGACAGAAGAAGTGAGTGCCTGGCTTCAAAGATTTGAAGGACAGGCTGGCTCTCTAATTAGGGGCTAGTGCAGCTGGTGACTTTAAGTTGAAGCCAATGCTCATTTACAATTCCAAAAATCCTAAGTTCCATAAGTATTATGCCTGTGCCCTATATAAAAGGAAAAACAAAGCCTGCATGACAGCACATCTGTTTACAGCATGGTTTACTGAATATTTTATGTCCACTATTGAAATCTGCTCCTCAGAAAAAAAAGATTCCTTTTGAAATATGACTGCTCATTAACTATCACAAGGACAGAAAACCAAACACCACAAATTCTCACTCATAGGTGGTAACTGAACAATGAGAACACTTGGACGCAGGGTAGGGAACATCACAAACCGTGGCCTGTCATGAAATGGGGCACGGGCAGAGGGATAACATTGGGAGAAATACCTAATGTAAATGATGGGTTGATGGGTGCAGTGGGCCAGCATGGCACATGTATACCCATGTAACAAGCCTGCACATTGTGCACATGTACCCTAGAACTTAAAGTATATATATAAAAAAAAGAAATAACCCAATATACAGGGATCTCCATTGCCCATCCCCTCCTCTAAGGTAATTATCTGTAGGCCATCGCCATATGTCTTCTTTGTTTCAGAAAGACAACATCTTTTGTTATCATTCATGTTAATATTATTGAAAGCAAATAAAATGGAATTTTACATTCTTTTCTTCACATGCCAAAAAAAAAAAAGAAACATGACTGCTCATTGACAATGCACCTGGTCACCCAAGATCTCTGATAGACATGTACATGGAGAGAATAATGGTGTTTTCATGCCTGCTAACACAACATCCATTCTGTGGCCCATGGATTAGGAGTAATTTTGACTTCCAAGTCTTTTTTTTTTTTTTTTTGAGACTGAGTCTCACTCTGTCTCCCAGGCTGGAGTGCAGTGGCACAAATCTCCGGTCACTGCAACCTCCGCCTCCCAGGTTCAAGAGATTCTCCCCTCTCAGCCTCCCGAGTAGCTGGGATCACAGGCATGCACCACCACACCTGGCTAATTTTTTGTATTTTTAGTAGAGACGGAGTTTCACCATGTTGACCAGGCTGGTCTTGAACTCTTGACCTCAAGTGATCCACCTGCCTCGGCCTCCAAAGTGCTGGGATTACAGGCGTGAGCCACCACGCCTGGCCTGACTTTCAAGGCTTATTACTTAATTAATATATTTTGTAAGGCTATAGCTGCCACAGACTGTGATGCCTCTAACAGATTTAGGCAAAGTTAATTGAAAACCTTCGAGAAAAGATTAACCACTGTGGTTTCCAGCTTCATCCATGAGGGGGGAGGGATAGCATTAGGAGATATACCTAATGTTAAATGACGAGTTAATGGGTGCAGCACACCAATATGGCACATGTATACATATGTAACAAACCTGCATGTTGTGCACATGTACCCTAAAACTTAAAGTATAATAATAAAAAAAAGATTAAGCATTGTGGATGTCATTAAGAATATGTGTGATCTTAGGAGGAAGTCAAAATATCAACATTAACAGGAGTTGGGAAGACATTGATTCCCAGCCCTCATGGATGACTTTGAAGGGTTAAAGACTTCAGTGAAGGAAAGCAAGTAATAGCTGATGTGGTGGAAAAAGCAAGAGAACTAGAATTAGAAGTGAAGTCTGAAGATGTGTCTGAATTGTTGCAATCTCCTGATAAAACTTGAACAAATGAGGAGTTGCTTTCTATGAATGAGCAAAGAAAGCAGTTTCTTGAGATGGAATCTACTCCTAGTGAAGATGCTGTGAACATTGCTGAAATGACAACAAAGGAATTAGAATATTACATAAGCTTAGCTGATTAAGCAACAGTAGGGTTTGAGAGTATTGACTCCAATTTTAAAAGAAGTTCTATTGTGAGTAAAATGCTATCAAACAGCATCACATGCTACAGAGGAATCTTTTGTGAAAGGAAGAGTCAATCAATGCAACAAACTTCACTGTTGTCTTAGTGGAAGAAATTGCCACAGCTACCCTAACATTTAGCAACTACCACCCTGATCAGTCAGCTGCCATCAACATTAAGGCAAGACCCTGTACCAGCAAAAAGAGTGTGACTTGATGAATGCTCAGCTGATTGTTAGCATTTTTTAGCAGTGAAGTATTTTTAAATTCAGGTATGTACATTGTTTCTTAGACATGGTGGTACCGCCCACTTACAATACAGTAGAGTGTAAACATAACTTCTGTATGCACTGAGGAACCAAAAAAATTCCCGTGACTTGCTTTATTGTAATATTTGCTTTATTGTAGTGGTCTGGAACTGAACCTACAGTATCTCTGAGGTATGCCTGTACACATACTGGGACTTTGGTTCACTGTTATTTGGTTCCATCATGCTTGCCAGAGCAATGTTTCTCTTTTCTTTTTTCTTTTCTTTTCTCTCTCTTTTTGAGGCAGGGTCTTGCTCTGTTGTCCAGGCTGGAGTGCAGTGGTGCAACTACAGCTTACTGCAGCTTACTTCAACTTCCCAGGCTCTAGCCAACCTCACACCTCAGCCTCTTGAGTAGCTGGGACTACAGGCATATGCCATCATGCCTGTCTATTTTTTTTTTTTTTTGAGATGGAGTCTCACTCTGTCACCTGCACTGGAGTGCAGTGGTGCCATCTTAGCTCACTGCAACCTCTGCCTCCAGGGTTCAAGCAATTTTCTGCCTCAGCGTCCTGAGTAGCTGGGACTACAGGCACCGCCACCGTGCCTGGCTAGGTTTTTTTTTGTTTTTTTTGTTTGTTTGTTTTGTTTTGTTTTGTTTTGTTTTTGTATTTTTAGTAGAGATGGGGTTTCACCACCTTGGCCAGGCTGGTCTTGAACTCCTGACCTCGTGATCCACCTGCCTCGGCCTCCCAAAGTGCTGGGATTACAGATGTGAGCCATCATGCCCGGCACCTGGCTAATTTTTTACTTTTATTTTTTGTAGAGATAGGGTCTCACTGTCCTGCTAGGGCTAGTCTGAAACTCCTGGCCTCAAGTGATCCTCCCACCTTGGCCTCCCAAAGTGCTGGGATTACAGGTGTGAGCCATCATGTCCAGCCAAAAGTAATGTTTCTAGTCTTTTGAAGATTTCCTTTCCATTTTGGACAATTTTGCTCTAAAGAAGTTTTATTCCTAAAGAGTCATTTGGGAGATATTATTTAGGAGTCAACTAAGAAAAGAGCAGTTTATTTCAGGAATACAGAGTATGCACAAATTTGGCAGGTTATAAATATATAGGTTCATACTTTTCTGTGGGCATAACACTGCTTAAAAGCATTATTGGTTCATTTTATTCAGTTCAAATCACTTCAACGTTCTGGCTCTTACTCTCATATAATCCTTGAGATTGCTCTGACCCTTTCCCACAAGTTCATTCTTATATTCCTCTAAAAACAGGATACCTCAATAAAGAATCAGAGACTCTCTGGTGTGGAACTGTCTTTGGATTATCTACTTAAAACCTGTCGGAGGTTCATTCCCTCTGCAACCTTACAGCAAAGTAGACCTTCCATCCTCTCTTGAAAAGCTCTCGTGACATGGGAAATTCCTATTACCCATGGCTATATTTCCTCTTTGGGGATTTGAAAACATCTTTTTTTTATTTTTTATTTTTTTATTATACTTTAAGTTCTAGGGTACATGTGCACAATGTGCAGGTTTGTTACATATGTATACATGTGCCATGTTGGTGTGCTGCACCCATTAACTCATCATTTAACATCAGGTATATCTCCTAATGCTATCCCTCCCCGCTCCCCCTACCCCACAACAGGCCCCATGAGTTCATGTCCTTTGTAGGGACATGGATGAAGCTGGAAACCATCATTCTCAGCAAACTATCACAAGGAAAATATCTTTTTAATAGGAGCAGAAACCTTTCTCCATATACAGCTTCTTCCCATTGGTATTAGATGCATCCCTTGTACTTACATCATTGAGCATTATTATTATTATTATTATTATTATTATTATTATTATTATTGAGAGAGAGTCTCTGTCACCCAGGTTGGAGTGCAGTGGTGTGATCTTGCCTCCCGGGTTCAAGTAATTCTCCTGCCGCAGCCTCCTGAGTAGCTGGGATTACAGGTGCGTGCCACCACACCCAGATAATTTTTGTATTTTTAGTAGAGACAGGGTTTCACCATGTTGGTCAGGCTGGTCTCCAACTCCTGACCTCATGATCCGCCCGCCTCGGCCTCCCAAAGTGCTGGGATTACAGGCATGACCCACCGTGCCCAGCCAACATTGAGCATTATTGAGCAAGTCAATTTTCTCTTCTCTATGACAGCCCTTCAAACCATGAAACAGGTTATGTTATCTTCACCTATCCCAGTTTTGCCTGGCCTTCTCTCTGCTAAGCATTCCCAGTTCCCTCTCAATCACTTTTGGTCATCAGACAAGAAACATCTCCCAGAGTCATTTTATTTATTTTCTCAATTTCTGTAAAGTGTCTTATAAATACAGTTTTAGGCCCCTCCACTACCATTCACCCACAGCAAGGCAGTGTGCAGCTCCCAAACTAGTCCTGATTGCAAATTCTGGAGCCACTGAGGATAGATCATCAAGACCTTTACTAGGTTCTTCATACAATTATTACTAATAAAGGTAAATTTACCTAATGCTTAATATGTCATTTAATCATCAGACACATATCATTTAATCATCAATTTATAGATGACAAAAAAATTGAGACTTTAACTTTACCAAAGTCACTCACATAGTAAGCAATAGAGAGAAGATTTGAATCCAGTCCACCAATTCCAAAGCCCATGTTCTTAATATTAAGCTATACACCAAATTGAGGCACGACTCCTGCTTTTTCCCTCCCTCTAAATTTTTTACACTTCTAGTATTCAGCATGACAGAATTGATGCTTCTTTTCTCAAAACCCAATTCCAGAGTCCACCAGACTCCACCCACTCTCAGATGGTTAACACAAACCCTCACTGTCTCGCAACCTCAGCTGGGCCAGGAAGCATCATCATCTGGAAGGAGCTGCAAGATACAACTTATTGCCATTCCAGTGAAGCTGGCTTTGACCCCTATAGAGAAACATAAGCCATGAGAGAATATAGAAGAAAATGGATAAATGAGATGGGTGGTATGTCGAAAAAAGAAGGAGAATTAAGACTCAGGACAAGAGTGTGTGGAGACCAGACCTGAAACAGGAAACATGAATTACATAGTCAGACAAAATCTCAGGGAACACCTATCCCCAAATGCTGAAACACAGAGTAGACATGCAGGAATGGATTTATTTAAAAGACCAGAGAATGCGTAAGTTGACTGTGATACAGAGGATACTCCCTTTACTAAAAGAATGAGAAATCAACTAGAAAAGGGAGACTGCATTGCTGAGAAGCTCAAGGGTCTTTTTTGTAAGCAAAGAATGACAAGGAGGAAGGCATCTGTGGAGCTCATGTCCCTTTTATCAGTATGATGAAAGAAATCTAAAACAGGAAAGGCCAATCAGTTCTAATTACTCTATTAAGCAGAAAAACTAGAATGGTAGACATGGGACTCTGAGCCACAGGGATTTATGACAATGGCTAATAGACTATGGTGTTCAGAGAAACAGAGCAGCTGAGCAGAAGAGTGACGTCAGCTGCAACAATGAAAGATCACAGTTCTTTACTCATCTTGCTCATTTCCTGCCCCTGACCTGGAATCAGGCGCATCTCTAAGAAGATGGGGTCTTTTGGTGGGAAACGATATTCTAAGACCATAATCTGAATGCCAGGGATGCAAGCGCTTTGGGTTGGTTGATGTTTCTAGGCTTTTTCTTTGGATAGAGCTAAGAAAAAAATTATCATGAGTTTAGTGACACTCCCGAGTCAAATTAGAAACCACACAAAGGCCTGAGGAATACAAAACTATTCTATTACCACTATTTTTGAAAATAGCTACAATTTTCCTTTGCAAGTGCCATCTCCAACCTCTCCTTCATTTTTACAGTTGTACTATACCTATATTATCAAATCATACAGCCATTACATACCATACTCCCTCTCTTATAACTCTCATTTAGTTTTAGTTCTATAAGTAACTGATATGGTTTGGCTGTGTCCCCACCAGAATCTCACCTTGATTTGTAATATCCCCACATGTCAAGGGCGGGCCAGGTGAAGATAATTGAATCATGGGCGTGGTTTTTCCCCTACTGTTCTCGTGGTAGTGAATAAGTCTCATGAGATCCAATGGTTTTATAAATGGCAGTTCCCATGCACAAGCTCTCTTGCCTGCCACCATGGAAGGTGTGACTTTGCTCCTCCTTTGCCTTCCACCATGACTGTAAGGCCTCCCCAGCTATGTGAAACTGTGAGTCAATTAAATCTCTTTTTCTTTGTAAATTACCCAGTCTTGGGTATGTCTTTATTAGCAGCCTAAGAACAGACTAATACAGTAACTATGTTAAGTTTTATTGTTTTGTTTTGTTTTGTTTTGTTTTGGAGGCAGAGTCTTACTCTGTTGCCCAGGCTGGAATGCAGTGGCACGATCTCAGCTTGCTGCAACCTCTGCCTCCCAGGCTCAAGTGATTCTCATGCCTCTGCCTCCCCAGTAGCTGGGTGGGAGTACAGGCACACACCACCATGCCTGGCTAATTTTTTTGTATTTTTAGTAAAGACAGGGTTTCACCATGTTGGCCAGGCTGGTCTCGAACTCCTGACCGCAAGCAATCCTCTTCCCTCAGCCTCCCAAAGGGCTAGGATTATAGGCATGAGCCACTGCACCTGGCCAATATTTAGTTTTTTTATAGTTCTGCTGTATCTATACCATCAGAGAAGAAAGCCATTATACATCACACTGCCTTCCTTTTAAACTCATTTGTTTTAGTTCTTCAAGGAACTATAGTATTCACTGTCAGTCCTTACGTCAATGTCCCTGTAGTTATTTTGGTTGTCGAAAACTTGACTTTCGGGGAATTTCTCAGGAAGGGCCGATGAGAGCAAGTCTCTAGTTTACTTACATGTTATGTTGGTTTGTGCCCCTTTATACAGGCCTATCTCTGTCCAGGAGAGAAACACGAGGGCTTGAGGTGGGGAGACTTCCGTGTATCTGGCAGTTATTCACCAAAGATGTCTTTGATCCCAATGTGGGCCAAAGGGATATGGGTGGGGCACTCAAGGTCTGGCACTGTTCCTGACTTTCAAGCAACAAGGGTTTAAATTGTATGAGAGATGATAGTTACTGCCATGGCACTTATCTGTGGAAGGCTGAATTGTGTGAATGCAGGTAGACCAGAGCCAGACTTTTAGGATAAGGATCTGAGAGAAGAATGAGGACTGCAGGGGCTGATCTTTCCTCTCAAATACAGGTTCCATGCTGATCCCTTCCTGTTGCACCAACACACTGGGTTCTGTTTCTGATCGTGGCCTAGCCATGTGCCCTCAAAGCATTTTCCTTAAATTGCTCCAAGTCATCAGGCTCACAGAGATGTTTAGGAGACAATCCACATGACAGCATCCAGCAGCATGTTCAAAATGCCTTTTTCCTTTCCTTCCTTTCAGCTCTCTCTCTCTGCCTGACTTTAGCTCCTTTCCTTAAAACTCCCAAGAACACCATTTAGTTTCTGGTGAAGCTGACATCACTCTCTCTGATTTTAATGATAGTTTCATAGCACAAGCCCTCTTGTGATATGACATCTTTCTGATGTTCTTTACTATTTCTACCTGTGACAGTTTTGAATCAAAGTGTGTATTTGGAGCATGGACCCACTGTTAACAAGGTGTTGCAGTGGGGTGGCCCAAGGACCCCCTGAAGCTCCTGCACCAGACACAAGCCCAAGCTCAGAGCTCCTGACCCTCAGAGGTGAGGGGAAATGCTGGCCACCACAATGTTGTCTCCAGTGATGTGGCCGGTGTCTGGAGAGCACAGGAAGGACACAAGCCCCACACAGTCCCCACGCCACCCCACTCTGCATGGAAAAAGGAGGTGGGGCTGAGACTAATTACACCTTCCTCATGAGCCCTGGGTTCCCATGGGATGCTGTGAAGTCAAGACCCCTGTGGGGGTGAGCAAAGGGCTGTAAGTGAAGAGATGTGGGCTTTGCAGGGACCTGCAGAGGTCATCCCAGGCCTGAGAGGACTGTCAGACCCCAGAAAGGGGAATGGGTAAGGCTGTGAGGGATAGTGTGTGATCTTTCACTCATCATGAAGGTTCTGAGGTCATGTTAATCCAGCTCTACAAGGGATACTGCCTCTCCGCAACTCACCTCTGTACTCTGAAGAGATTCTTCGTGTGATCCCTCAAGACCAGGTCCTCAAGTAGCTACAGGAAAGGTAAAAAAGTCAGTGCCACTCCTACAGATGGAGTCACATCACATAGGCTGTGCATCTTGCAGGCCTGTGTCCTTGTGAAAGAACTGTTGGGGTGGCCTCTCACAAAGAACTGATTCTGATTCTGCTGCTGATCCCAAAGGCTGTGGATATCAGAGCAAAAGTCCACAGGTCCAGGCCAGAGAGTCCAGCTCTCTGTGGCACATGGCCTGGAAGGAAAAGGTACACTACTGCTCAGGGGATAGGAACAGGAGCTACCCGTGGTCCTCACCACTGTGTTGAAGCATATGTCACAGTGAGCCACTGTGCCCGGTCCCTGGATTTTGTTTTTGTAGGAAAAACTTTGACTATACATTACATTTATTTAATGGTTATAGGACTGGTCAGGTTTTCTATCTCTTCTTGAGTCAGTTTTGGTAAGATATATAAGTTTAAAATTTTTTTCTATTTCATTATAACTTCAGCATAAACATAAGTTTGATGTAAAAATTTCTCTTTGGCATTATCATTCTTTTCATGCCTTTTTATTGTTCTCAGGATCTGTATCTTTTGTTTCTATTCCTGATATTGGCTATTTATGTCTTTCCTCTTTTTCCTTGATCAATCCCATTGGAAATTTGCCAGAAACATTCATTTTCTTAAAAAATAGGGTTTTTTTGGTTTTTTTGATCCCTATATTGTATTTTGTTTTATTTTCCATTGATTTCTGCTCTACATTTTTTTCTTTTTTCATACTGAGTGCTTTCTCTCCTGAACATTTCAGCTTTGACTTTTACTTAGCATTGACAATATAATACTTTGGTTACCATCAAGAAAGATACACTTTAATTCTGTAAAGAAGGATTAAAATGTGCATTTTAACTACAGCAGTTGAGCCGAGTACACATTGTAAATGTGCTTGAGGTTTATCTGTCCTACTTCAATTTCTTGATTGCCAGCCTTTCCTAGAACTATACATTTCCTAGAGCTGTTTCTATAAATAAATTTCTATAAACTCATTCAACAGAAATGAAAAATTTAATAAAATATGTCATTTCTGTCTAATCAGATTTAAAATTTTTGATTTAAAAATCTAGCTTGACAATCTTTATATTTTAACTGTCATCACTGATATACTAGGATTAATGTCTAGCATCCAATTTTGCACTTTTTAAATATTCCCCCAGTTCTTTGTTTTGTTTTCTGTCCCTTCTTGCTTTTTTTTAGATTATTTTTTCCATTTCCACTTCCCTCTCTATTAATTTGAAAATATACTTCATACTCCATTGCCATTCTTGTAGCTTTGCCCTATAAAGTTAAACAGGCCTGTTTTGCTTATCAAAGTTTAAGATTAATATCCTTACCCTCTCTCTAACAACATAAAAATCTTCTTACACCTTAACTCTATTTCTATCTCCTGATTTAAATATTGTTTTTGCATATTTAACTATTTGTGGAGTTAATTTTTTTAACTCCACAAAACGATTTCTTTTTACAAGAAGTGGTTTAATTTGTTCATGTTACTATGTTCTGTGTTTTTCATTCTTACTTTCATCTTAGATTTTCCGTATGAAATCATTTCTTTCCTTCTGCCTAAAGTACCATTTAAAATTTCCTTTAGTGGAACACTTTTACACTGTTGGTGGAACTGTAAACTAGTTCAACCATTGTGGAAGACAGTGTGGCGATTCCTCAGGGATCTAGAACTAGAAATACCATTTGACCCAGCCATCCCATTACTGGGTATATACCCAAAGGATTATAAATCATGCTGCTATAAAGACACATGCACACATATGTTTATTGTGGCACGATTCACAATAGCAAAGACTTTGAACCAACCCAAATGTCCAACAATGATAGACTGGATTAAGAAAATGTGGCACATATACCCCATGGAATACTATGCAGCCATAAAAAGGATGAGTTCTTGTCCTTTTTAGGGACATGACAAACTATCGCAAGGGCAAAAAACCAAACACCACATGTTCTCACTCATAGGTGGGAATTGAATAATGAGAACACTTGGACACAGGAAAGGGAACATCACACACCAGGGCCTGTTGTGGGGTGGGGGGAGGGGGAAGGGATAGCGTTAGGAGATATACCTAATGTAAATGATGAGTTAATGGGTGCAGCACACCAACATGGCACATGTATACATATGTAACAAACCTGTATGTTGTGCACATGTACCCTAGAACTTAAAGTATAATAAAAAAATTTTAAAAATAAAAAATAAAAAAATAAAATTTCCTTTAGTGAAGATCTTCTGGTAGTAAACTTTGTTTTCATTTCTCTGAAAATGTTATAAATTTGCCCTAATTTTTGAAAGATATACTTGATAGATATGGAATTCTAGGTTGATGGTTATATTCTTTTAGCATATGGGAATCGCCATTTAAATTGGGTTAGGAATAATAGGATTTTGGCAAGTAGATAAGAATAAATAGAAACAACTTAAGTGGAGCTTCCTTCATAAAGTCCTGCCTTATCCACAAGGTTGGAGAAAGCAATCTTTTACTTGCTCAGATCTCACAACTAATAGTAGTAGTAGTAGTAATAATATTAATAACGTTTATTGTAAATATTGAAACCAATTAAATTATTATTAAATGTTATTTATACTACTTATGTGATAATTTATACTGTAGTTAATATTTATTTTCTTTACTTTTTTTAACTCTTATTTTAAGTTCAGGGGTAAATGTACAGGTTTGTTACATAGGTAAACTTGTTTCATGGGGATTTGTTGTGCAGATTATTTTATCACCCAGGTATTAAACCTAGTACCCACTCGTTATTTTTCCTGATCCTCTCCCTCCTCCTACCTTCCACCCTCTGATAGGCCCCAGTCTCTGTTATTCCCCATTATGTATTCATGTGTTCTCTTCATTTAGCTCCCACTTATAAGTGAGAACATGCAGTATTTGCTTTTCTATTCCTGCATTAGTTTGCTAGGGATAATGGCCTCCATCTCCATCCATGTTCCTGCAGAGGACATGATCTCATTCTTTGTTATGGCTGCATAGTATTCCACTGTGTATATTTATCACATTTTCTTTATCCAATCTGCCATTAATGGACATTAATGGACATCAATGTATTTGCTATTGTGAATAGTGCTGCAATGGACATACGTGTGCATGTGCCTTTATAATACAATGATTTATATTCCTTTGGTTATATATCCAGTAATGGGATTGGTGGATGGAATGGTAGTTCTGTTTTTAGGTCTTTGAGGAATCACCACACTGTTTCCACAATGGTTGAACTAATTCACACTCCCACCAACAGTGTTTAAGTGTTCCTTTTTCTCTGCAACCTCACCAGCATCTGTTATGTTTTGACCTTTTAATGATAGCCATTATGACTGGTGTGAGATGGTATCTCATTGTGGTTTTGATTTGCATTTCTCTTATGATCAGTGATATTGAGATTTTTCTCATATGCTTGTTGGTCGCATCTATGTCTTCTTTTGAAAAGCATCTGGCCATGTCCTTTGCCCAGTTTTTAATGAGGTTGTTTGTTTTGTTCTTGTAAATTTGTGTTAGTTCCTTGTAGATGCTGGATATTAGACCTTCGTCAGATGCATATCTTGCAAAAATTTTCTTCCATTCTGTAGGTTGTCTGCTTACTCTGTTGATAGTTTCTTATGCTATACAAAAGCTCTTATGTTTAATTAGATCCCATTTGTCAATTTTGCTTTTGTTGCAATTACTTTGGCTTCTTTGTCATGAAACCTTTGCCCATGCCTACATCCAGAATGATATTGCCTAGGTTGTCTTCCAGTGTTTTTATAGTTTTGGGTTTTAATTTAAGTCTTTATTCTATCTTGATTTAATTTTTGTATATGGTGTAAGGAAGGCATCCTGTTTCAATCTTCTGCATATGTCTAGCCAGTTATCCCAGCACTGTTTATGGAATAGGGAGTCCTTTCCCCATTTTTTGTTTTTGTCAGCTTGGTCAAAGATCAGATGGTTGTAGGTGTGTAGCCTTGTTTCTGGGCTCTCTATTTTGTTCCATTATTCTATGTGTCTGTTTATGTACCAGTATCATGTTGTTTTGGTTACTGCAGCCCTGTAGTATAGTTCGAAGTCAGGTAGCGTGATGCCTCCAGCTTTGCTATTTTTGCTTAGGATTGCTTTGGCTATTTAAGCTCTTTTTTTGGCTCCATATGAATTTTAAAATAGTTCCTTTTCTAGTTCTGTGAAGAATGTCATTTGCAGTTTAATAGGAATAGCCTTGAATCTATACATTGCTTTAGGTAATATGGCCAATTTAACAATATGGATTCTTCTAATCCATGAGTGTGGAATGTTTTTCCATTTGTTTGTGTCATCTCTGATTTTTTTTTTAGCAATGTTTTGTAGTTCTCATTGTAGTGATCTTTCACCTCCCTGTTTAGCTGTATTCCTAGGTATTTTTTGTGGCAGTTGTGAATGGAATTGCATTCCTCATTTGGCTCTTGGATTGGCTGTTGTTGGTGTATAAGAATGCCAGTGAATTTCGTACATTAATTTTGTATCCTGAAACTTTGTTGAAGTTGTTTATCAGCTTAAGGAGCTTTTGTGCCGAGACTATGGGGTTTTCTCAATATAGGATCATATCACCTGCAAACAGAGATCGTTTGACTTCTTCTCTTCCTATTTGGATGTCCTTTATATCTTTCTCTTTCCTGATTACTCTGGCTAGGACTTCCAATACTATGTTGAATACGAATGATGAGACAGGACATCCTTGTCCTGTGCTAGTTTTCAAGGGTAATGCTTCCAGATTTTGCCCATTCAGCATGATGTTGGCTGTGAGTTTGTCATAGATGGCTCTTATTATTTTGAGGTATGTTCCTTCAATACCTAGTTTATTGAGAGTTTTTAACAGAAATGGTGTTGAATTTTATCAAAAGCCTTTTCTGAATCTATTAAGACAATCATGTGGTTTTGTCCTTAATTCTGTTTATGTGATGAATCACATTTCTCAATTTGTGTATGTTGTGCCAACCTTGCGTCCCAGGGATAAAGCCTACTTGATCATGGTGCATAAGCTTTTAGATGTGCTGCTGGATTCAGTTTGCAAGTATTTTGTTGAGGATTTTTGCATCAGTGTTCATCAAGGATATTGGCCTAACATTTTTTTTCTGTGTTTCTGACAGGGTTTGGTATTAGGATGATGCTGGCCTCATAGAATGAGTTGGGGAAGAGTTCCTCTCCCTAAATTTTTTGGAATAGTTTCAGTAGGAATGGTACCAGCTCTTCTTTGTACAGCTGGGAGAATTCAGCTGTGAATCTGTCATTCCTAGGCTTTTCTTGGTAGGCTATTTATTACTGATTTTATTTCGGAGCTCATTATTGGTCTGTTCAGGGATTCAATTTCTTCCTGGCTCAGTCTTGGGAGGGTGTATGTGTCCATGAATTTATCCTCTTCTTCTAGATTTTCTAGTTTATGTGCATAGAGGTGTTCATAATATTCTCTGATAGCTATTTGTATTCTGTGGGGTCAATGACCCCTTTTGTCACTTCTAATTTTGTTTATTTGGATTTTTTCTTCATTAGTCCAGCTAGCAGTCTATTTTATTAAGTTTTTTCAAAAAACCAACTCTTGGATTCACTGATCTTTTGAATGGTTTTTTTGTGTCTCAATCTCCTTCAGTTCACCTCTGATTTTGGTTATTTCTTGTCTTCTGCTAGCTTTGGGGTTGGTTTTCTCTTGGTTCTCTAGTTCTTTTAATTGTGATGTAAAGTTCTTTCACTTGTAAAGAACTTTAGTTTGTGACGTTCTTGTAGCTGTGAAAATGATAATATTCATTTTCCAATAATTTTTTTTGAGACAGCGTCTCACTTGATCACCTAGTTGGAAGTACAGTGGTGTGATCATAGCTCACTGCACCCTTGAACTCCTGGGCTCAAGCGACTTTTCTGCCTCAGCCTCCCAAAGTGTTGGGATTACAGATGTGAGCCTCTGCACCCGGCCAATGTTTATTATTTACTCTAGTAAATATATATAGACACAGTCTTTACTATGTGCATAATCAACATATTTTATCATGCCAATTAATGTCCACAAGAGGTCTGCCAAGCATCATTATCCCACTTAATAGGTAAGGAAACAAAGGCCCAGAGAGTTTAGTTAGCAAGCATATGTAGCTAGTGACAGAGCAGGGTTCTAAAGGTAGGTCTCTCTGACTCCAAAGCCCATGCTGTCTTCATTACATTTGTAGTTTGCAACAAGTTTTGTGAAGCCAGATTCTGCAAGAGGTGCCCAGTACCAGGAATAGGGACCAGATGGTTAAGCACCAGGCCCCTATTCCAATTTTAAGCTGGGCATTTCTGCTTTTGTCTGTTTTATATATTGGACTCCTATGGAGGTTATTCTTTGACAAAAGGTTTCTGCCATTAAAAACAATTTGAAAACCATTGTATTGTGTTCAACCACATAAATTACTGTATTTGGCCATTTTCTATCAACAAAAATGATATTTTTTGTCCCTCCCACTTCCTCTTACACTGGCCTGTCCTCCTCGACCTTTTCCCAGCCCCTGCCAGTCATTTCCCAAATTAGGAAGTCTGCTTCCTTGCTCTCTCCACAGCCCATGGTAGATGCATCACCTGTGGGATGGGCCTAGGGTTGTCTCTTCCTGTCAATTCCCCACTGTTCTCAGTGACTCGGGACCACTGAGATTCAATCTAATATCACACCATGTCTGTGTTAGCACTGGAAGGGGCCTCAGAAGTCCTCATTAGTTAGAAGTCCTGGTTGTGTTTCACAGATGATCACACAAGTCCAGAGAAGCAGCCCAGTCTATACTAGCTGCTCAGTACATGCTTGCTGAATTCAGTGGCTGCTCCAGAATGTCAATACGGGAACTGAAGGGAAGCAAAACAGTTGGGAAAAGAGTCTTAAAACTACATCTATCTGCAAAGCACTTTACCTGAGACTGAGGAAAATTCACTTTACCTCCACTGACCATTTTAAAGAAGAGAGTGAGGGCAATGCTGGTGGAGATAACTGGGTGGCCCTGACCTTCAGAGGAGGCATGGCTAAGTGAGGGGAGATGTTTAAGAGGCTGGGGCATGGCCAGAGGGATCTATTTTAGAGCAGGAATGAGACAGGCCTAAGGTGTGTTCCTAAGGTGGTCAGAAAAATGAAACCTTCTAATGATTGGGCTGAAATCCAAGAATGAAAAAGGAACTCCCAGGAGCACAGGCAGATTGTTCCAACCCTAAGACAAATGGCATGGGGAGAACATCTGGGAACATCCCGAGTCGCCAAGACCAGTGGGGAATTGACAGCGAGAGACAGCCGTAGGCCCATCCCACAGGTGATGCTTCTATCACGGGCTGTGAGGACAGCAAGGAAGCAGGCTTCCTAATTTGGGAACTGACTGGTGGGAGCTGGGAAAAGGTCGGGTAGGACAGGTGTAAGAGGAAGCAGGAGGGATAAGAGTTGAGTGGGACTGGGAAACAACTGCTCTAGTTACAGGCCGGCTATGGGGTGTCTCAGGGTCATCAGCCTGAACTCTTGTGGCCAGAGCTCCTGTAGCCCAAGGGTCTCTGATTCCAAGACTGTTGTCAGGACTCTGGGACCTTCTGTCTGTGGATCCTTCCTCCTTATTCCAGTCAAGTCCTTGCCAGACCCCCTGGGCACTCCAGATGTGAGAGATTGACACTAATGGATAGAACTTTTTTTTTTTTAGCTGACCCAGAAGCATGAAAGCCACACACTCACCATTCTTGTATGACCGGCTCAGCTAAGCCTGTTTCCCAGTAGGAATGTCTAACTCTCAAATCGGCCCCCTCTCACTCTAGTTCCCCTGCTGCCTGTTTGATATCAAGCAGCTACCTCCCTATTCCCATTTCCCACCCTCACCCCATCTTCTCCGTGTGGGGCAGCAGCTGGCTCAGCAGCAGGCTGGGGCCTTCACAGTGATGTTTAGGATCTGAAATCAGAGCAAACAGGAGATGGGGGAGTGGAGATGCAGTCAGTCCAGCAGTCTCACCATATTAGGAAATGTACCAGGTTAGGATGTGGGCATGATGGCCTCTGACACCCATAATGTGGGTGGAGTGTTGGCTTTCCTGTGCATTCATGGAAATGGGGGCATCCTGAAGATACAGGAGTAAGTGGATTAGGCTGAAGACTCTTCCAGCAGAAGACCCCAGAGTCTATGGGTTGTCTCCCCATGTTTCCAAGCACACCAGTTTCATCTGGAGCAGAGGAGGCATCAATAGCTGAGTCTGGGGAAGGCTAGATTTTGGGGTGATAGCCAGGAGGTACCCGTGTTAGGGATTAGGCTGTCATTCCCTTCTCTGTGCCCCATATTTTTTGTGACTATTTGGTTTTTGGTTGGACATTCCCTGCAGACTGGTAGCTCCTGAACAGTGGGGACCAAAACTGCCACTTAGACACTCCTACATCCATCTCACAGATGGGGAAATTGAGGCTCAGAAAGTCCAAGCCCCAGGCCTCACTCTGCATCAATGAATCTGTCATGGGAAGGTGGATGTGTGAGAGCTGAGGATCAGCTCTGGATGTGTGAGCCTAGATGGAGAGAGGGTTACATGGCAGGAAGGTGAGGATGAAGTCCGGCCTGCCCCCTCCTGGCTTCCCCAGACCTCACCTTGTCCCAGACCTGCTCACTGATCCCCAAGGCACTTCCCACCAAGGGACTGATCCCTGCCACACACACCAGGAAGTCCACACCCCCACAGTGTTCCAGGGCCTGAGAGTGAGAAAGGGACATAAAGGAATAAGGTTACGGAAGAGGAAGGTGTCTGCAGCAGTGGAAGGTGACTCCTGTTTAATGTCCCAGAGGCTGTACCTAGGTCAAGTTCAAAGCACAGGAGAGCAATATCATGTGAGGATGGAGATTATCTCTTTTCCTTTAGGAGCCAGGTACGGAGCTTCTGGATAAAAAGCGGTGGAGCATCACCCAGTACCCTTTCACATCCTCCTTCTAGTCCCAGGCACTGTTTGCTACCCGTCCCCAAACACATCTCTCACCTGCACTGTGTCTTGAAATTTCACTGTCCCCTCTCCATTTCCCTGAACACTCTACCTCTGACTGTAAGATGAGGGCTTCCTTCTGTACATCTCTGTCCCCTCAGACTCCTCCTCAGGAATCTTCCAGGAGGGCCTGGCTGGCTCCACGGAGCTGGTGGAGAAGCCAGCTTCCTCTTTCCTACCAGCATGGTCCCCACCCCAACATCTCCCTGAGTCCCAGGCCACATGCACTCCCTCTCTCCCTGAGGGAGAGAACAAACCTGGGTGGAGAAAGGACGCCCTCCCTGAACTGGTCCTTTCTGTGCCCAGGTCTGTTAACTGGAGACTGGGCCTCGTGGACAAGGCTCAAGTGACACATAGTTGACCCGATTCCTGTGATGGTGCCTTTATCCCTCTGCCCTACTGTGGGTCATAGTATCAGAATCCCTGAGCCTGTCTGCACCTCCTTCTATGCCTCTCACCATGACCACCAGCCACTCCCAGTCCTCAGCCTTCCCCGTGTGGCACAGGGTGTCTGGCACATGCTCAGCCCCTCCCCCTAGAGCGTGGCCACAGCCCAGTCCACGTTCTGCTGCTTCCCGCTGCTGATGACTACGTGGGCCCTATCGTGGGCCAGACGCTGGGCAATGGCGAAGCCGAACCTGGGGGCAGAGATGAGGAGGAGGTGACAATTTAGACTAGGACTGAGACTTTTCTTGCTGCATTTCTAGCCCTGAGGCACCAAATGAATTCTCTCCACTAACTCAGAGCAGCTAACCTCATGCTGTACTATGGATGGTCAGAGGACCAGAAGAGATAAAGAGGAAATAGGTCAGTCCACAGATGCATTGAACCTCCTATGTCCACATCAGATCTTCTTGGCCTCCCCTCCCACTAGAATCCCTACTATGAAAACTCGTTCTCAGTTCCTCAAGGCTTTGGTTTGCTTTGCAGCTGCAACCAGAGAGCTCCCTGCCTCAGGCATGTGAAACCACTGAGTGCTCACCGGCATGCAGCTTGAAAGTGTGAGGCATTAACCCACATAGGGCAACTCTTGACTGACGGAGGAATTCTCTCCTCTTCCACTGATAGATGCCTCTGAGATGCATTTCCTGCTTCCTAGAAGACCTTTGAAACCCATCACCCAGTGGCCTATAGTGGGCCGACTCCATTACACATCCTGCACTGGTTTTGTCTCCTTTTCCAGTTTCCTTTCCTTTTCCTCAATATTTCTCATTAAGATCACCTTCCCAAAAATCTACTAGCAGTTAAATCTAGTAGGCTTTGCTTTGTGGGGATGAGCCTAAGAAAATGAGGTCAACAAGACCCAAAGATACCCACAGTTCCCAAATTCCCAAAGAGTTGCTCTCACCTGTTTGTAGATCCTGTGATCATGGCAGCTTTGATGGCTAGTTTGAGCCTATAGTTGGCTCCACTGCTGGTGCTTCTCATGCAGAGTGGAGCCACGGGGGACATGAGGCCGCCCAACCCAGGGTCAGAGGTCTAAGTAAACATGGTGGTTTCTGTTTGATCTTCCTCTTGTTGAACTCAGTCCAAGGAGGGAGCCTCTAAAAAGGCAATCACAGTTCCAGTAAGCAGTTCTTGTAAGCAATAAGCAGTTTTGGGCTAGAACTGGGTGGGTCTGGGAATAGCTCCCGGAAGATCAACCTCGAGCCTGCTCCTTTAGCCTTTCCAGTGATTTTATGAACACAGAATTTCATATGTGAAATCTCTTCTCTTTAAATTAGCTTGAGTGGCTTCTGTTATCTGGTATCAAATTCTGGCATATGCACACATAGGTTTGAGAAAAGAAATAATTTTTATCTGAGGAATACAAATCTTTTTAATTATTAGGCCCAGAGAGACATTAAAAGGAGGCCACAATCCCACACCCTACTCCCCTCTTTGAGCTAAGTATTCATCTCTTGACACTGCTTGCTATTGCCACAAGTAGCTGGAAATTAACTTAATAATGCCACACCAGACACTATAACACACACTCTGTAGTTTATAAATGTGTAGCCAGTCACTAATCAATGTTCTTTGTGTAAACCAATGAGAATTTCTGACAAACAGTTTTGTAACAGTCCATTTCCTTCCCCATTTTTTGCCTTTAAAAATCCACTTGTAACTTCTGCTAATTGGAGCGTATATTCAGGGCAACTTGAATCTATGCTCCTGGGTTGCAATCCTCAGGCTTGGCCCACATAAACTCTCTGCTTGTATTAATTTTGCCTCAGCTTCATTCTCTTAGGTCAACATATCCAATAAATATTTATTCATTGAGAACCACTAGGATAATGAACATCTACTTCACAGGTTTGTTGTGAGAGGCCCAAATAAATTAAGATGTGAGAGGGCTTTGTAAACTATCAAGTGCCTAAAGTTCCACAGCTGCTTAAGAGTGATGTGTTTTATCATTTTGTCCTCCATGAGTCTCTAGCCTCAAGCTTCAAGACACATTTGACTCCCTGCTCCCAGTGCTCTCTGCTCTGCCTGCTTTTCATCCCTCAGCCTCTTCTTCTAGACTTGTCTTCATTTTCAGCACATGAGGGGAGTCTTCCTGACACCCCAAAGCTGATTCATTGTCTCCTCCATGTGACCTGATGCCCTCCTGTGCTTACTCCTCACATTCATCTTTCTAACTCTAAGTGACCGTGTTACATTTGTCACTTCTAGCAGGGTGCCCGGCACCTAGCAATGGCTTCATAGGTATTTGTTGAATGAATGAATGAATGAATGAATGAATGCAGATTTGGCTGCAGTGATGTAATGGTTTCTTAGGGGCCTCACTGGACCTACAGGTCAAATTCCTTAGTTACTGCATGTCAGACCCTTCCCCTGTGCAGTCAGTGGTGTCAGTTCAGCTCTGGTCTTAAAGCATTTATCGTAAAGTACCCATTCTTGATTTTTAAGTATTCAGGCTTTGGGGGGCATCAGGCATTGTGTACACTGTGAACTAGTGCTTTCCTGATATTTAGAATACTGAGTCTCTGTTCAAATCTTCACAAATCTGTAGCTATGAACTTATTTACATAAACCCAATTCCCTTATTTAAGTACTTCAACCTTAGTAAATCTTAGGTAAATATCAGAGCAGATAAATGCTTTTGAAGCAAACTTTAAAGATAAATTCACAATTCTTTTTTTCTCTGAAATTTGGCTCCTACAATCCCTGCTCATTCATTATGGTTCCCTACCTCCCTTGTAGCCAAGGATTCAAAACAGTGTTGGGTTTCCTTCTCTTCCTACTCAACATTTTGTTAATGTCACTCCAAACAGTTTATTTTTAAAAGCTAAGCATCTCTCTCTCTCTCTCTCTTTCTCTCTCTCTCTCTCTCTCCTTCTCTCTCTCTCTCTCTCTCCTTCTCTGCCCCAGTCATATATATATATATATATATATAATTTTGGCAAAATATACAGAATCTATGCATGCCCTAGTCTCTTCATTCATTCAGTGAGCATCTACTGGGAACCTGCTATGGGCTGGGCGGCCAGAATACAAAGATGACTCATGATTTTGGTACTCAAAGCACTCACAGCCTGAGCTGGGCCTGCAGAAAAATATGACTATAATACATTGTGGTAGGAGGAACATATGAGTCACACAATTTTATGGGAGCACAGGAGAAGGAATGGCGCCTAACTTAACCTTGGGGTGGCAGTGGTTAGATAAATAATCTGGAAAAGGTGACACCTAAGTCAATTGAGGAAAAGGAGCTTCTAATATTGCATTTGTTTGTTTTTTAGGAGGCATGCTTTTTTAATTAAAAAAGGATATATGTTCATTATAAATTGGTTTTAAAATATTTGTAAAATATTTGTAAAAATGTATAAGAAAGTTGAGGGAAAAGTTGCAAAAGACTCTAAAACAGACCTGACTTTGAAATGGACTCTGGGTATCTTCAGTGAAAAACTAGGTGTTATCTAGCTACTCTTCTAGGTGACCTGATTCTGTGGGGTCTCTGTATCTTACATTGCCTTTGAGCTATTTACAACTCAAGAGTTTTAGATAACTAATAAATATTTGCATCTATCCATAGATGCATATAAATTTCATCTGGAGGAGATTCAATTTTCCTTCTACACTGGAGGAAATCAGCTTTGCATCTATTAAACAAACTTATTTTACTCTTCCCTTTGTCCTATATATGTGTGGTTCTTTGAATTTACCTTTGAATCAGTTGTAATGGCTTTGTGGTTCCCCTCATTAATTAATGAGTTTTTTAAATGTTGACACTTGTTCATTTTACATTTGTATGGGAGTCATTATCTTACCTTCTCAAAAATTATCCAACATAAGAAAAAATTTGATATTTCACTGTTAACTATTATTATTATTTTGCCATTCTTTAAGTCACCTCTCCAAATAGCCATTGTCATATAATAGCTATGTGTTCAATTTTGCATGAATGGGACCACAGTATACATGACTTGTTTTTTTTTAAATTTTTCAGGGCTTATTCTTGAAGGAGAATGGAGTAAGGAGTTTGGAAATATAGAAGGCCATACCAAGCAAGGAAGTTAGCACGTGTAAGGGCAAGGGGGAGAAAAACAGCGCAGAGTGAGAGAAACTACCAAGAGTTTGTTATCCTTGGAACAGCAAGTATGAGATGGGGAGTGGCTGGAGATGAAGCTATAGAATTGGTCAAGGGCTGGATAGTGGTGGTTATTGCATGCCAAAACAAAAAGCTTAGACTTTACGTAGAGGGCAAATGGGAGTTACTGAAATTTAATAAGAAATGCAAAGGGGTCAGATATTGATATGGTCAGATTTTTGCCATATAGAGACAACGTTAGCATGTGTGTATATGCAGGTGCACTTATTTGATGTGGCAGCCAGGAGATTCTTGCAGCAAGAGATACTAAGGTCTTGTGCCCATCAGATACTGTCAGGAAATAGATGGCATATTTAAATTGGGTAAATTGAAGAGAGTTTCATGAAGGGGCTATTTAAGAGGCAAAGTATGGGGTAACCACAAGAGATAGTGCAGCACTGGAGCCAGGCACAGGGAGGTTTTAATACCATCCAGGCCTGAAAGTGCAAGAGGAGGAAGTGAGTTACCCCAACAAGGACAAAAACAGACGGCTGCCTGTCAGGGGCTGTGACCTTTGGTTAAGTGTCATAGTAAGCCAGAGACACCCCTGCAGAAGGAAACCATGTGAATAAATACCACAACCGCATTTCCCTCCTTTCCTCTGATCTATCGGGTTCTCTATTAGCAAAACCCTTCTGGAAGTGAGATGTCATCCACACAGCTCAGCCTCCAAGAGCATGGAACAGAGTGGAGCATGCGCCTGGAGGGGCCAGTAGAAGGTATCCAGCCAGGCCCTGAACTAGTCAGAAGTAGTATAGATGCAGAAAATAAGTTAGATTTGGGAAATCTAACTTTATTAGTTAAAATTATCAGCCCTTCGTGAGAAATTGGTCACCCTCGGAGCAAAAGGAGCTAAAAACGAGGCCCAGTTTTCCAGCTTGGGCACCTGAGTACTTAAAATGTGAATTTCATGTTAGTGCATTATATTGACGACATAATGTTAACTGGACATGATGAGCAGAAGTCAAAGGAACTCTGAATGTCTAAGTAATACATATGTGCCTCAGAGGGTGAGAGGTAAATCCTACAGAGATCCAGAAACCCATCACATGAGTGGTTTTTAGGATTCCAGTGGTTTGAGGCATATTGAGACTTTCATTCAGAGTTGAAAGACAATGAAAATTTGGTAGTGCTCTTCAGGTTTGGGGGACATTGCAAACCATTCTTGGAAATTCTGCTGCAACCTATTTATTGGGTGATTATGAAGGCTGTCAGTTTTGAGTGGGGCCCAGGGTAAGAGAAGGCTCTGTGGCAGGTGAAGATGTTGTATAACCAGCCCTGCCACTTGGGCCACAGGACCTAATGGATCTCATAGAGTCCCAGATATTTGTGCCAATAAAGCTCTATTGAGTAATCCTTGGTAAGCCCCAATAGGGAGTCTTAGCACAGAACCCTAGGGTTCTAGTGCAAGGCAATGCTAAATGCAGCACGAAACAATAAAACATTTGAAAAGTAGCAAGTAGCACCTGATCCCTGGTAGAGACTGAGTATCTGACCATGGAATTTCTTTTCTTTTTTTTTTTTTTTTTTTGAGATGGAGTCTGTCGCCCAGGCTGGAGTGCAGTGGCATGATCTCAGCTCGCTGCAACCTCTGCCTCTGGGGTTCAAGCAATTCTCCCACCTCAACTTCCCGAGTAGCTGCGATTTCAGGCTCGTGCCACCACGATCAGCTAATTTTTGTATTTTTAGAAGAGACAGAGTTTCACCATGTTGGTCAGGCTTCTGACCTCAGGTGATCCACCCACCTCGGCCTCCCAAAGTGCTGGGATTACAGGCGTGAGCCACCACGCCCAGCCTGACCATGGAATTTCAAAGGATGGTGTGACTAGAGCTACTCATCATAACCTGGGCTTTCTCAGTCTTAAAGTTAGGAGGACACAGCAGCAACCCACCATTTGAAGGAAGTGATACAATAGGGATCAGGTCTAAGTAATACCAAAGTAGTTTACACAAATCACATAAGCTGGTGCCCCGATTCCCATGCCACCCACCCCTGTTGCATGGATGCCTCCCTCTCAGCTTATATACTCTCAACTTCTAAGCCATATGTGTTACATGGTCTTAAGGCGGTGTCCCCTATGAGCAGATGGCAAAGGAGGAAATAACCTGGTCCTGGGGCCACCTGAGATTAGTGATCATGGAGGCAGATTATGGACGTCATGATGTGACTGGATGAAAGAAACTCTAACTATCTTTCTGGTTAATTCATATTGAATCTGAAGAAGTCATTTGAAATTTGATTCATGGCTTTGTCTAATATATCTTGAAAACTTTGGCAGTCACTAAACCCGTGTCACTAGGTGGTTCAGCTTCATCTTTTCACAGGTGACTTTTCTCCCCTGGCTAATAACACAACCTATGGGTGACTGTTGAGAAGAGCTGAAAAGGATTGCACACATGTAAATACCTGGAAAAGCTAGTGGCAGCACTGAATGTTGTATATCCATGCTATTATTGCTAATCTCTTGTGGAATTCTCCCCAGCTGTGTTCTTTGATAAGAGCTGAGGTATGGAAAGGTGAGGTCCTTAAAGGAAAATTGTCAACACGTCCACTGCCGCATTCTACCATATATCCGAATTCAGAACATCCCAAAGCAGGTTAAGACATTTAATTTCTAATACAAGGCTATACTCTTCACCAAATTAAGTAAAAAAGAGAAAGATAACAAGCCATAAGGCATGAGTCATTAAAGGAGACATCTCAGTAACAATATTTAGGATGGTCTTACTGTTGGCAGCTTGAAGGTTTCTTCACTCAACACTCCATTTTTACCATAGTAAAAATAAGGATAGGAAAAGAATATGACTCTCTTCCTTTTTGAGTAGGCCAACTAAAAGGGGAGCTAGCAAAGTGAATTTTACATAAGCAAGAACAGGTGCTTTCTCAGGCAAATCATATTTAGGAAAGACCACACATGGAAGTTGAAGATCTGAAAATTTATTTCTTTTTTAAGAAATAATTTTATTGACATACATTTTACATATCATAAAATTTAAGTCTGCAATTCAATGATTTTTGTAACTTTACCAAGTTGTGCAACCATCACATTCGGTGAGTTGTAGAACACTTTCATGGCTCCAGTAAAACCCCTCATGCCCTTTACAGTTGATCCCTCTTCCTAGCCCCAGGCCCAGACAACCTTTATCTATTTTGTCTCTATAAATTTTATAAATTTGCCTTTCTGAATCTTTCATACTAATGAAGAAATTGATTAAAAATATATATATATGGCTACTTACATCTTGGAAAGTCTTTGCATATATACTGTTCTATAACATTCTCTTGCCCAAGGGATGGGACACCTGTCTCAGGCCTATGGTATTTTTGGAAGAATATCTATTCATATCTCTGTATCTCTATAGATCTATTTATATAAAATATTCAACATACAATCTTCTTACCTTTATGGTGAGTCCCAGTTGCTTTGTCTAGGGCACAGAAGGAATCCCAGCAACAGGAGTAGCTCAAGATTGGGCAGGTCCTGGGGTGTCTGGGCAGCTGCTGTTCTCTCTCCTCTCTAAGTCAGGGCATCCTTTCCTTTCTCCTCCCCCTAGGACACACCAGGAGGTCTCCCTGCCCTCTTTCCAGACTTCACTTTGTTGAGTCATCAAAGCCCCAAACCAGGACCGAGACTCCTTCTGAAAGACACCAAATCACATTCTGTCCATCACGCAGGGCGTCTTTCACAGCTTTGCTTACTGCCACAGTGCACGTGGACCTCTATGAGTCACTATGGACTGTGCACATCAGCTCCCAGGAACTCTGGTCCTTTCCTTGCATTTTCTATGTTAACATATGGGCCCACTATCCATTCAGTTGTCTAAGCCAGAAACCGCAGTCAGCCAAGATCCTTCTCACTTCTTCCATACCCAATTGTCACCAAGGCCTGCTAATATGATATCTGCTAGCTTTTAGTTGATCTTCTCCTGATTCCTCAGTCACTGCATTTTGTTGGAGTGGTCATCTGTCTTGCCTGAAGTGTAGCTGTAGCTTCTGTTTTGCTCTTACTTCGAAACCAAGCTGGAGGAACCTTTCCAAGGTGAAAAGCTGATCAAGTTCATCTCATTGTGGAGATTCAACCATGGCTTTCCATTGGCTTTGATGATAAAATGTACATTTCTTGCCTTCCCACACTGGGATTTTGTTGATTTGTTCCTGATTCTTTTCCCTTTGCCTTCACAAGCTCCTTCTACTATAAACATAACAATGTTCTTGCATTTCATACTTGCATCTTCTCATTCGCTGGATTGTTCTACTCTTCCCTCAGACTCAGCAAAGGCATCCCTTCTTCAGGGAAGCCTTATAAATACATCTACTTGGTTTTACATGGCTGTCTCTCCAAACCAAATTTCAATGTTTCCCCTGCACCTCTTCCCACTGCCACCAGGCTGACAATATCTTAAGGGCAGAGTTCGTATTTTATATTTCTCCAGAGTCATTGCACATGATAGATAGCCATTCATTATTTGGAGTTTCTTAGTCTCTTAAAAAATAATCACATCTCTGTCTTAACATGTGCCTTCTGTAGATGCCTTGAGCCTCCTATGGGGTCACGAGGATTGTGTGTTGGGACCCAGGGAGACACAGTGAAGATTCAGCTGGAGAAAGGGGTTGTGCAACACAGCTTATGTTTGTTCTCTGTTAAAACCCGGCTCTTTCCTCCTAAGGAGAGTTCTAGAGCAGCTGTTTTTATTACTAATGGGTCCGTGTTTTGTAGTATGTTCTAAGTACCAAACTAAGGCACATTTGGTGTTTTTATCTTTATGCAAACCCACTGAGGTGGGTGGTGCTATCCCCCCTTGAAACGTAAGGAAGCAATCAGAGAGAGAGAAGTTAAATAACCTGCCCGGCCTATTATAATTATTATTCCTTAGCACTGAGATTTGTCTTCAAGCCGCATACTCTCAACTTCTAAGCCATATGTGTTATGAAACGGATAAAATATTGTGAACTAAAAGGCAAATAATTTTGCATCCTGGCCCAACATGCCTATTGAAGTTAGTAGAGTGTCTAAATGCAGCTATGGGTGGGAAACCAAGTGAACTACGAAACCTCTTGCCCCGTCATGTCTTCAAGTGTGCCTCCCCAGTCTCAGCCTGGGTTGCTCTGAACATATTTTCGTTCCTATCATTTTCCTGGTCTCCATTCCAAACACCTTGGTATAGAATATACCTGTTCTTTCTTTTTTTTTTTTTTTTTTTTTTTTTTTTTGAGACGGAGTCTCGCTCTGTCGCCAGGTAGGAGCACAGTAGCGCGATCTTGGCTCAAAGCAACCTCCGCCTCCTAGGTTCAAGCAATTCTCCTGCCTCAGCCTCCCAAGTAACTGGGACTACAGGCGAGTGCCACCACGCCCAGCTAAGTTTTGTACTTTTAGTAGAGACAGGGTTTCACCATGTTGGCCAGAATTGTCTGGATCTCTTGACCTCGTGATCCGCCTGCCTCGGCCTCCCAAAGTGCTGGGATTACAGGCATGAGCCACTGCGCCTGGCCTTACCTGTTCTTTTTCAAGTACTACATGTCTAAGACTTGTTAGCAAGATACAGTCTTCCATTGCCAGTTTTGGAGTCAGGCTTAGATGTGTGGAAACAATTAATCCCTCTATACCAGGCAGTTTCTTTCCAAAGTATGCCTACCTTTATCTGGTTTTCACAAGCTTTAAGTCCGCATATGCTTTTGAAATGAAAAGTGGTTTGCATCCTTGACAAAGTAATTGTCATTAGAACCTAGTCTTGCAAATTTGTTTGACTTTTTAACTTTTAAATTCAGAGCAAATAGTAATATGACTCAGGTCTTGAAGCTATAACTCAGTGTTCTTGCCCCAGGAAAGAACCAGTTGATTCTATCTTCAGGAAGAGAATTTATATACACATACACATTTATATAGTCTACATAGTCTATACATATATATGCACACACATGCATTATATATGAAAATTTTTTGATAACTGCAAATTGCTGTACGCATAATGGGTATATTACTTTGTTAATTTTGTCATTTTGTATACAGCAGCTGTCATCCCATTTGCTATATTTAAGAGTTTTATTTTTCTTAAAATTCCTTTCCTTTCCATGGCTTTTAAAGAAGCAACTTTTTTGCTTCTGTTCTCTCCCCAGTTTACTGTAAAGAGGAAAGGAAAGCATTTCTCTATGACATGCAACACTTTCAGCACTTCTGTGACCAAATGTGTGGGAGTTTTCCTGATACCAACCAATTCTCCTACTCTCTGGACACCAACTGGGCATCCTATAATTCAACCGTGACACCAACTACCTGGAGTTGGTGCAGATGCCACAGGTTAAGGGCTCAGTCCCACAAGACTGCCCCCACTTCAGATGCCAATTTCAAGTAGCGAATCCCCAGGTTACCCACACTTCTATCAGCCTTGGCTACAAATGGAGGGTTCTCACGACTCCCTCCTCAGTTTTGATGATTTGCTATGATGGCTCACAGAACTCAGGGGAAGATGTTTACCAGTTTATTATTAAGGATATTATAAAGGACACAGATAAACAGCCAGATGAAGAGATATATAGAGAGAGCTCTGGAGGGGTCCTGAATACAGAATTTCTGTCCCCATGGAGTTGGAATGCAACCCCCTCCTAGCACATAGGATGTGTTCACCAACCTGGATGCTCTCTGAATCCTGTCTTTTAGAGATTTTTTGGGGGGGCTTTGTCACATAAGCATGATCAATTATAAACTCAATCTCTAGTTCCTCTCCCCTACCTGTTGATGGGGGATGAGAGAGAGTTCCAAGTCTCTAACCATGCCTTGATCTTCCTGGTGACCAGGCTTCATTAAGGAACCCAGCAAGAGTCACCTCATTAGAACAAAATATGCTCCTAGCACCTTTATCACTTGGGAAATTACAAAGGTTTCACGAGCTCTGTCCAAGTTCTGACCAGGGAAGATGACCAAAATAATTTTTTATAAGGACTGATATTTTCCTATGGATCTATTTACTGTAGCCAATTTATCAGCCTGCTCTTTTTGTGTGGTCCCCCTACCCTCCACCCCACAAAGAATAACCCCTCTACTGCAAGTCAGTAATGTAGGTGAGAAGATCTCAGTTTTTCCTTTTAATAAATTCCTACCTGATTTTCAAAAAATCTTATCCAAATAGACTTCAAAGTTTTATTTATAGTATAAGACATGCTGATGAGGTATGGGACATGGTATATGATACATGCAAGAGTAGTTATTTCTGCTATTTAAAGCTAACAAATTTTTTAAGCCAATCTGTCTTGAATATAATCAGGTAGCTCCAAGACTGGATAACCTTTCTTGAAATTAATCTTTCCTTCTTTTTCATAAATTTAAAAAATTCTTAAGACAAACATAATACATTTCCCTTAAATAACTGTCTTAAACCAAAAGGAATTGAATTTGTGAAAGGTCATCTTGATAGATTTATTTAAATAAGTTATAAATTTATTTTAATTAATGTTATTTACTGTATAAAAAATTTTGCCAGTATTGAATAGCAAAGCAATTAATCACAAGCCAAAGCAATATAAATAAAAATATAGTGTAAGACATCTTATTAAGACTTAGAAAAAAAAGTTTCTCACTGAGTAACATGATCAGACTCAAATAAAGGTCTAGCAGTTATAAATGTATTATATACATGTATTAATTTCTTGATCTCTTTTATAGGTCCATATGTGCATAGAAAATAATATTTTTGAAGTTAAAAATAAATAATAAAATTTATGTCTTTCATCTAAAACTTATGCTTACTTTTCCTCTGTGCAAATACTGAACCCTGAATACTGAATTTGTGATAAGCATACATGAATACTATTTTCACCTGAAATGAGATAATATCCCAGTTCTTGATGGTTGTTCAAACAAGAGAAAGCTCACTCCCCTATGTGAAAAGTGGAAAACTGCAGCCAAATGCATATTTCTTTAGGAGTGGTAGAATACTGTTTCACAGAAATCCAAACTTTTCTTAGGTCAGGTCAGTGATTCTCACGTGATTTACTTCAATTCACAAAGTTCTTCATCTTCTTATCAAAGTCAGGTTCCCAGAATGAGCCAAATACTGTATCCAGAGCTAGAGTCAGGATCCTTTACTTGGCCATAAGCTTGTGTGAAAAAGGAGGAAAATACTATTAAATTGTGTTCTGTAGTTTTCCTACTTGTTTTTTAATAACACTTGAGAATTGCTACGTAGTAAAAAATTTAACCTTGTCCAAAAGATGTCTGACTGCTTTTTCCCCCCACTCTTTGCTCCTGGGAGGTGGTCTCTAAGCCCTTGGAATGTCCCACCTGGGAGTGGCTTTGTTTGCTTTGGGGTCTTGGGTGAGCCAGACAGTAACATAGTGATTTATGGTGGGGGCTTTGAGCCCCACCAACAATGTGATTTAGGGTGGGGGCTTTACTTCACACAGTAGTTGACCTCCTTGGGGACTGGAAACTGACATCAGCCACTGGGAAGTCAAGCATGCCTACATGAGTCCCAGTAAAGACTTTAGACACCAAGGATTGGATGAGCATCTCTCATTGCCGGTATTCTGTGTGTGTTGTTATGCACCCGTGCCAGGAAAGCAATGCTATCCTTACTTCATGGGGAGAAGAAGCTTCTCATATTTGGTAACTTTCCTGGATTCTGCCCTATGTATCTCTTCCCATGGCTGATTTTTATGCGTGTTATTTGCCTATAATAAATTGTAACTGTGGGTATAATAGATTTAAGTGAGTTCTGTTAGTCTTTCTAGTGAATGACTGAAGCTGAGGGTGCTCTGGGGATCTTCACACTTGCAACTGATGTCAGAAGTGAGGGGGTCTTATGATCTATTCTCCCAACTTCATAGTTAAGTAACTTTTGCAGTTGGCCTCTGGACCAGGATTCACTAGATCAACCCTGACTCACTGAACTATGTGATTTGGATAGAGAAAGGAAATAAGGGCAGGGATTGGTGAACCTTTAATTCTAGGTGGCTATCTGGTCATCCATGGTGTGGAACTATAACTGCACTGTGATCAGTTATGAGCGGCAAAAGTAATCAATGAAATTTAGAAGTGGTAGACCCGGCTCCCAAGGAGTTGGCTTACTTGATATGCAAGAAAATGCAAAATAATAAGAAATAACGGACAAATTATGCTGGGACAACAGACATCATGTCTACAACCTCTGGTCACCAGGGAGGTTGTCCAGGTGGAGGGAGGGTAAAAACAAGAAACTGCTGAAACCAGGGGATAGTGTGAAAGACTTGTCTCATTTTGTGGATCATTACCGTCAATTTTTTTGTAAAGCCTTTACTGAAATGATTGTGAAAATGACTAACATAGTGGCAGCATCCTTGACTTTGAACACTGCAGATTAGAAGAACATGTTTGGGTTGCTGTAAAATCCACAGCTCTCTTTTGAACATTGTAGATGTGTATCATCCAGACACATAGCAGGTACAGGTAGCCTGGAGGACTGGATAAAGGCTACTGTAAAATGTGTTTACATTAAGAAGGGGGATTGTTTTACTACAAAAAAAAATGCCAAATGGAATTTTCCAAATAAAGGAGCTGATATACTTCATATGCAAGCCATGTTGGATTAACATTATAATGATCAGGTTATTTATCCACTAAATATAGCCCTTACCTACGTCATGGTAAATATCAAGATTTAAGGGGGACCCTTTTGCCTGGGACCCCATATAATCTTACTGCTATAAAATCAAACAATGGTAAGAGAAACCTCATCAGATGTGTTATCTTAGCTTACCCTTATGGGCTTTACAAATGCTTAGAAAATTAGGGTGATTCACAAGAAAGTGAGGAAAGACAAATGGAAGAGTCAAGGGACATGTCCCAGCAGAGCGGAAATATTTAAATGATGAAGAAATGGAATGAATAAAGCTGACATTGATGGAGTTAAAACAAAGGTCTTAATGAAACACTGTGGAAGTTAGGTGGGCCAATGGGAAACCCTCCTGACCCCTCAATATTAAAGGACCTTAAGTAACTCTGCTCTATTTACCCCTGTTTTGAGGAATTAAAAAACAACAACAAAGGACAAAGATGACAGTGATAAACCTGAACTTGAATTACCTGTCACAATGGTCTGCCAGATTAATCAAAATGAAGATTGACTAGAAAACTAGGTCTTCTGTGGGGCAAAATGACCAGGAGTAGAGAAGACTTTTCTAGGACTCCTTGACTAGGGACCCCAATACATAGTGATTTCAAAACCTGTTAATGAAGTCTTAATGGGAGCTACAATTAGATTGGGAGGGCACAGACATGCAGTGGCTCATGGGATTAAGGTGAAAGGTCGAATATAAGTTAGAATGTTTTACATTTGTGTTGTTGAAATTGTCCAGTAGAAAAAAAAAAAGAATCGGAATGTTTGGAAGGATTTCATGTCTCCTTTATCTAAATGTGTTATTGGTATGGGTATTAGTCTGACTATGGAACACTTTCCCTATCTACTGTTGTAAAACAGAAAGCATCTAAGTCTGCCCTCAGTCAAGTCTGCCAGTCTTGATGGGACATGCTAATTGGGAACAACTAGAGCTGCTCAAGCCCTCATAGGTTTTAGTTTGAAACATTATAGGACATCCAGTGCACAAAAAGAAATCAATGATATGTTAGTAGCTGAAGTGCTGGTATACATGAATTTTTTATACAAAGCTCTGTATGGCTTGTGAAAAAAGCAGATGGCTCATCTGGACTAATAGTGGAATATTGAGGCTTGAATAAACTGGTGCCACCCATAGCACTAGTAGTCTTGATATTGCTTCAATGCCACAAAAAGTACAGCAGGCTAAAGAGTCTGGTACTTAGTGACTGATTTTGCAAATGCTTTTTTTGTTCTATGTCAATCTTAGAAAAAAACCAGTTGCAGTTTGCCCTGACATGGAAAGATTATGTTGTTATAGGATTATTTAAATTCACCAGCTTCTACAATAATTTGGTTAAAAGGGATTTGGATTAAAGCAGGTTCTAAGTGTAATAATACACTGTATTGATTATATCCTGATAATATCTGAAACTGAAAACCAGGTGAGGAATGACCTAAATGCAGCAGTGACACACATGACCAGCAGAGGCTGGCTGATAAGTCTAGCAAGGGTCAAGGCCTCTCAAAATGGTGGAATTCTTAGGAATAACCTAGGCAGGTGCCACCCATGACATTCCATAGGTAAGCACAAATAAACTGATCTCATTACTACTCCTTGAAATAAACAAAGAAGCCCAATGTTTCATTGGTCTATTTAGATTTTGGAGGATGCATATTCCACATCTAGAAATGTTACACACTGCTATCCATAAAACTACCCAAAGAGTGCTGTATTTGAATGAGGGACCAAAAAAGCAAGCCATGGCTGAATTGCAAAAAGTAGTTCCTCTCTCAATGCTTATTTTGTCCTTCCATACCATATATGATCTTGGAAGTGTCTGTAACACATGCCTATTATATGTAGACTGGAGATTACTGCAAAAGCCTGTGAGTACCACTCATAGGTGACCACTGGGATTCTGTATCAGAATATTCCTAAATGGTATAGTAAGATACACACAATTTGAGAAACAGCTACTACCTTACTATTGGACATTAATGGTAAAAGCCCCTGTGAGTGAAGGACATAAAATGCTCCTGAAACCTGAAATACTGAGATTGTCTTGTGTTATGTCAGAGAAACAATCTAATAAGGAAGACAGCATCCAGAAGAGTTCCATAATAAAGTGGAAATGGGAGAAACATGTTACTGGGTGGACACAGAGGTACCCATTGTATCTACAAGCAGGTAGACTCTTTCCCTCTAGGACTGACTTCTCGGATTGACACCTGAGGAACTACTGGGTCCTATCGCCACCTGGACAGTGCCCTGTTAATAGATCTCTATTAACCATCAAAGAGCTGCTTGGTTCATGAATGGCAGTTCCAAGGTGGATGAATAGCCTCCTGTTTGGAAGGGACCACACTAAGACTGGCAGATTGAAAGACTCTGATTGAAAAAGATAACAAATTAGTTCAACGGACTGAGTCGCATGCTGTTTTCCTGGCAGTGAAGGGGGAATTGAACAATAATAAAAGCTTTTAAGTTTGGGTTTTACTGACTTATGACAGTAGCCCATGACCTGGCTCTATAGTCAATGGAACACTGGCCTATTAAGTAGACGCCTGTATGGGGCACAACCTCATGGAAATTACTATAGGAATTTAAGGAGCACATTAAAGTGGAATATGATAATGTTCATCAGAAGAGATCCTTTCTAGGGTCAGAAGGCAATTAGAATTGGCAAGAGTATATCCTGTTGTGTTTGCTTGAGATGGCCACCTGGGTCCATGAAATGAGTAGATGTGGTACTTCAGCAATGCAGAGATGGGCTGAATCTAGACATATTCTTCTTGCAGAAAATGCCAACAAGATCTGTTCTGTGTGCCAGTGAGAAAGACAGACTGCAGATGGCTCTGGGACAGATTTCCTGAGGGGAAAAGCCCTTAACACAGCTGGCAAGTCAGTTTCATTGGCTCAGTGTGGGTAGACTTGGGAGCAATTAATGGGTCCTGACAGGAATAGACACTTACTCTGGATTGGGTTTTGCATAACCAGTGGTAGATGAAATATTAAAAATACTATAAAAAGACTGAGAAAAGAATATTATACCAATATGAACCAAGACACATTTCTTCAGACCAAACAACATAGTCTCATCCTTAGAGTTAGGGTTTGATAGAGAATTCAAATGGTCAGTTGAAAATTTGTTATCTAAAACGGAGGAAAATAAAGGCATAAAAGGCTGGCTTACACACCTTCACAAATGTGTGCTCAAATTATACATGGGAGGGGCTACTGAGGGTCCCCACTAGATAGATTCCTCTATTGTTCTAGGGGATCTGAATAAGAGGAGAGAGAGCATAATGACATGACTATAGAAACCTTACCATGGGGAAGGATGTTGGTGTGAGCAGACAATTCTCCCCTGCATCACCTTGACTTTATTTTTCCTACCTGATGCAGTGATCCCAGGACCAGGGCTGCAACTATAGATAATGGAGGCAGGGATGATCCCTAAGTAAGAAAATGTACTGTATTTTGAAACTTTTAGATCAGAATTCCTAAGATCTTGATAAGGTAGATTGTGCCTTCACCCCATCTGCTAAAATTGGGATTGACAGTGAATGCACCAGCCGGTATTCCTCCTCTCTCCAATAATCAATAATCCTTTCTGACCTTTGAAGAGATGTGGGTTTCAGCCACTGTCCTGGTCCAGATGTCCAGAAGCAAGACTAGTGTAGTGGGTGTCTCACCCTCAGTTCACTTTTGTTGACATAGGATAGGGTTACAGAGGTATAGATATCATAGAGAGGTATAGATATCATACAGAGGTATAGATATCAATGGGATATCATTATCATAGGAAATGTTTTCTTTAGACTGCTCTCTCTGTGTTCATTATTTAGGTTGGCATAAATGGTGTCACAACTGGGATCTGAAGAAAAATCACTATTGGAAGGAATCAGTGATTCTTGGAACTGGTGTGCAGTACGCCAGTGTGCAGAACTGATGTGTTAACCCTTTGAGCTCTCCACTTTTACGGCTCACCTTTTCTGCTCTGGTGAGACTTCTCTCAGGCTGAGCCTCCCTCCTTTTGGTAGTAGCTTTTCACTTTATTTGGGATTTGATTTTGTTATAAGGCCCCCTTAAATAAAGGAGCTTACATCCCTCTGGAGGGATAAAAGACTGTATTTTCTAGCAATTCTTTTCTGCTATAAGTACAAATATCCTTCTAGTTTGAGTATTCTGGCTTCCCTAGAATTTTCATTTTGTCTGCAGGACATATCTTTTTTTATTTTCTTTTTTCTTTTCTTCTTTTTTCTTTTTAATTGTCTTTCTTTTTCCTTTTTAGTTTTCTCATTTTATTTTATCTTATTTTTTTTCTTTTATTTTAGGTTCACAAGTACATGAGAAGGTTTGTTATATGGGTAAACTCACAGGGATTTGTTGTACAGATTACTTTCTCACCCAGGTACTAACCCCAGTACCCAGTAGTTATTTTTTAGATCCTCTTTCTTCTCCTACTCTCCACCCTCAAGTAGGCCCCAGCGTGTGTTATTCCCCTCAATGTGTCCATATGTTCTCATCATCTAGCTCTCACTTACAAGATAGGATATACACTTTTTGGTCTTCTGTTCCTGAATTCATTTGCTAAGGATAATGGCCTTCAGCTCCATCCATGTTCCCACAAAGGACATGATATCATTCTTTTTATGTCTGCATAGTATTCCATGGTGTATATGTACCACATTTTCTTTATCCAGCCTGCCATTAATGGGTATTTAAGTTGATTCCATGTCTTTGCTTTGTGAATAGTGCTGCAATAAGCATACACATACATGTGTCCTTATGGTAGAACAATTTATGTTCCTTTGGGTATATACTCAGTAATGAGATTGCTGGATCAAATGGTAGTTCTGTTTTTAGGTCTTTGAGGAATCACCACACTGCTTTCCACAATACTTGAACTAATTTACACTCCCACCAATAGAATATGAGTGTTCCCTTTTCTTCACAACATCGCCAGCATCTGTTATTTTTTGACTTTTTAATGATAGCCATTATAACTGGTGTGAGATGGTATCTCATTGTGGTTTTGATTTGCATTTCTCTAATGATCAGTGATATTGAGCTTTTTCTCATATGCTTGTTGGCCACATGTGTGTCTTCTTTTGAAAAGTGTCTGTTCGTGTCCCTTGCCCACTTTTTAATGGGGTTGTTTTTGTTTTTGTTTTTGTTTTTTCTTGCAGATTTGTTTAAGTTCCTTATAGATGCTGGATATTAGACCTTCATCAAATGCATAGTTTGCAAAAATTTTTTCCCATTCTATAGGTTATGTTTACTCTGTTGATAGTTTCTTTTGCTGTGCAGAGGCTCTTAAGTTTAATTAGATCCAATTTGTCAATGTTTGCATTTGTTGCAATTGCTCTTGGTGTCTTTTTTTGTGAAATCTTTGCCCCCTCCTATGTCCAGAATGGTATTGCCTTGGTTGTCTTCCAAGGTTTTTATAGTTTTGGGTGTTACGTTTAAGTCTTTAATCTGTACTGAATTGATTTTTGTATGTGGTGTAAGCAAGGTGTCCAGTTTCAATCTTCTGCATATGGCTAGCCAGTTATCCTGGCACCAGTTATTTGAATAGGGAGTCCTTTCCCCATTGCTTATTTTTGTCAGCTTTGTCGAAGGTCAGATCGTTGCAGGTGTGTTGCCTCATTTCTGCCCTCTCTATTTTGTCCCATTGTTCTATGTGTCTGTTTTTGCACCAGTACCACACTGCTTTGGTTATTGTAGCCCTGTAGTACAGTTTGAAGTCAGGCAGCATGATGCCTCCAGCTTTGTTCTTTTTGCTTAGGATTGCCTTGGCTCTTTGGGCTCCTTTCTGATTCTATATGAATTTTAAAATAGTTTTTTTCCTAGTTCTGTGAAGAATGTCATTTGTAGTTTAGTAGAAATAGCATTGAATCTATACATTGCTTTGGGACATATGGCCATTTTAACAATATGGATCCTTCTTTTCCATGAGCATGGAATGTTTTCCCATTTATGTCATCTCTGATTTCTTTGAACAGTGTTTTGTAATTCTCTATGTAGATATCTTTCGCCTCCCTGGTTAGCTGTATTCCTAGGTATATTTTATGTGTGTGGTCATTGTGAATGGAATTGCATTCTTCATTTGGCTCTTGGCTTGACTGTTGCTGATATATAGGAATGCCAGTGATTTTTGTACATTGATTTTGTATCCTGAAACTTTGCCGAAGTTGTTTATCGCTAAATAAACTTTTGTGCCATGACTGTGGGGTTTTCTCAATATAGAATTATGGCATTTGCAACAGGGATCATTTGACTTTTCTCTTCCTATTTGGATGGCTCTTATATCATTCTCTTGCCTGATTACTCTGGCCAGAACTTCTAGTACTATGTTGAATAGGAGTGGTGAGAGAGGGCATCCTTGTGCCAGTCTTCAAGGGCAATACTTCCAGCTCTTGCCCATTCGATATGATGTTGGCTGTGGGTTTGTCACAGATGGCTGTTATCATTTTGAGGTGTGTTCTTTCAATACCTAGTTTATTGAGAGTTTTTAACATGAAGGGACATTGAATTTTATCAAAAGCCTTTTCTGCATCCATTGAGGTAATCATGTGGTTTTTGTCTTTAGTTCTGTTTATGTAATGAATCCCATTTATTGATTTGCATATGTTGAACCAACCTCACATCCCAGGGATAAAGCCTACTTGATTGTGTTGGATTAGTTTTTAGATGTGCTGCTGGATTCAGTTAGCCAGTATTTTGTTGAGGATTTTTGCATCAATGTTCATCAAGGATATTGGCCAGAAGTTTTCTTTTTTGTGTGTGTCTCTGCCAGGTTTTGATATCAGGATGATACTGGCCTCATAGAATGAGTTGGGGAGGAGTTGCTCCTCCTCAATTTTTGGAATAGTTTCAATAGGAATGGTCCCAGCTCTTCTTTGTACATCTGGTAGAATTCAGCTGTGAATATGTCTGGTCCTGGACTTTTTTTGGTTGGTAGGCTATTTATTACTGATCCAATTTTGGAGCTCATTGTTGGTCTGTTCAGGGATTCAATTTCTTCCTGGTTTAGTTTTGGGATGGTGTATGTGTCCAGGAATTTATCCATCTCTTCTAGATTTTCTAGATTGTTTGCTTAGAGGTGTTCATAGCAGTCTTTGGTGGTTGTATTTCTGAGGGGTCAGTGGTAACATCCCCTTTGTCATTTCTAATTGTATTTATTTGTGTCTTCTCTCTTTTCTTCTTTATTAATCCAGCTAGCATCTAGACTAATTAAAAAAACTTACTTTAAAAAAAAAGTCCTGGATTTATTGATCTTTTGAATAGTTTATCATGCCTTAATCTTCAGTTCAGCTCTGATTTGGGTTATTTCTTGTCTTCTACTAGCTTTGGGATTGGTTTGCTCTTGCTTCTCTATTTCTTTTAATTGTGATGTTAGGTTTCTAATTTGAGATCTTTCTAACCTTCGATGTGGGTGTTTACTGCTATAAATTTCCCTCTTAACACTGCCTTAGCTGTGTCCCAGAGATTCTGGTATGTTGTATCTTTGTTCTCATTAATTTCAAAGAACTTCTTGATTTCTGCCTTAATTTCATTATTTACACAAAAAGGTTATTCAGGATTGGATTGTTTGATTTCCATGTAATTGCATGGTTTTGAGCAATTTGTTTAGTCTTCATTTGTATTTTTATTGTGCTGTGGTCCAAGAGTGTATTTGGTATGATCTCAGTTCTTTTGCATTTGCTAAGCATTGTTTTATGTACAGTTGTGTGGCCAATTTTAGAGTATGTGCCATGTGGCAATGAGAAGAATGTATACTCTGTTGGTTTGATGTGGAGAGTTCTGTAAAGGTCTATCAAATCTATTTGGTCCAATGTTGAGTACAGCTCCTGAGTACCTTTGTTAATTTTCTGCCTTGATAATCCATCTACTACTGTCAATGAAGTGTTAAAGTCTCCTACTATTATTGTGTGGGAGTCTAAGTCTCTTTGTGGGTTTCTAATAACTTGCTTTAGGAATCTGGGTGCTCCTGTGTTGAGTGAATATATATTAATGATACTTAAGTCTTCTTGTTGAATTGAACCCTTTACCACCATGTAAAGGGTCTTTTTTGATCTTTGCTGGTTTAAAGTCTGTTTTGTCTGAAATTAGGATTCCAACCCCTGCTTTTTTCGATTTCCATTTGCTTGGTAGATTTCCCTCCATCCCTTTATTTTGAGCCTAAGGGTATCACTACGTGTGAGATGGGTCTCTTGAAAACAGCATACCATTGGTTATTACAAGGCTTATCTTTTCTGATAAATTTACTTTTTGTCCTTTTTGCAAGCCTAATTCAATATTTTGTTTGATCTGCATGCCTGGGTTAAAAGTTTTGTGAACACTCTTATCTTGGTTCCATTTTGGCTTGGTTATGCCCATCTGTAAATGATTTGGCCCTTTTCCCTTGCTTGTTTCTAAAAATCATCCAAGAGCAAAAATAAACATTCTAGATGGTGTATGCAAGATAGCTAATTGAAAGCCACTAGTGTGGTCCCCATCATCTAAAACACTGGTCCAAATTCTTGATATTTTATGAAAGAATTTATAGCATTTTCTTTGTTTTTGAGAAATTAATAAGAAACAGAATTTTCAAACATTAAAGCATGCCAAGTTTTCTGGGACTCCCACTGTCCACATATTATGGCCTATTCTCATGTGCAATTTAAAAATTGATGGGCAAATTACATCAAGAAAAATTCAGAGCCCAAATTATCATTACTCAAGCTGTTTTTTAAAAAACCTTGCAACTATAGAGTTAACATGTAGAGCCTTCTAACCTCCCTATCTCTATTTCTTTTCTGCCGACTTTTAATTTGTCAACTTTTCTACTGATGTTGAGATAAAACTCATTGCTTGTGGCATTTCAGCCAAGGTTTTAAAAGAGTCTCACAGGACTTTCCGTTTAATGGCTTTACTAATTAAAATAGCTCCATGGTAACCAACAACCTAGACACCTTTTGGAAATGCATATTTAGGTTTGCTTGACTAGCAGTTGTTTATGGTGATGGAACAGTTCATCCAAGGATTGATAGTCTGAAAGGGAAGAACTAGACAAATGTTTTTGAAAGTTATACTCTCAGATCAAACAGGTCAAATTCTTGAGCTCAGTGCAATAATATAAGGTGTCTTTGTCGGGCGTAAATTTTGCATTGTCTGCTATGCAGAGGCCAAAAAGAAAAGAAGCAAAGAAAACCTGCTAAAATGTTTCTCCACCTGCATCAACTGTCAAGCAAACCAAACCAGCAAACAAAATATAGGTTTGTTGCTAAAAAGACTATTTGGAGATTTGGGGGTTTTTTTCTTATAAAATTCAGCCAGTCCTAGCTAAAAAGTAAACATTGAAAATTTAACCCTAAACTCATTTGAAACCTTAAAAAATAGAAAAAAAGAAAGAGGGTTGTTTTTTTTTTTAACCACATTGCTTCACCCACAGTTTTGGTCTGCAGCCTTATTAGATTACCTATAAGGGCAAATAAAGTTTAGCCATATGAACAGATCCCATCTTGCCAAAAATATAATTTTGACCCAACTGTCAAAACTGGCGAATCTGTAAGTTTTGTGTCTCATGCCTAAAATTCTAAAGTGAAAGCTATAAGATCTCTGTGTGTATGTATATATGTCTAGGTGTATCTACCCATATGTGCATATATTATGTTATATGCTATATTTACATGTTATAATCTGGCATACTCATCCAGAAATCCCTTAAGGAATTATATTCAGATTGACTTTAATAAATGAGCACTCATATAAAATATGTAGCAATTAACCCAAATACCTTTTAGTTTATATGACTTAAGCAAATCTTTGATAAGTAAGCTGGTTTTTTAAATGTTGGTTAAAATGAAAAATAGAAATGCCTTAAAATTTTTCAGCATACATTTTTGCCTGTGTTTACTGGTCAGACAGCTTTATAGTCATCTCTACCAAAAGTTTTAAGGTGTTAGAGTTTGACATAAAGATTATAAAACTGTAAACTGAGCTTAAAACAAAATGATCTTTGTGCAATTCTTTGATATGTAAGACTAATATTATTGGTTTAATAAAAACAGCTGTAACTTCTGAGTTATTGGCAAAATACCATATATTTAACTTTAAGGTTATTACTTAGGTGAACACATGATATTCACAGGTTATAAAATGGCTAGCAGAAAAATAACAAGATGATGACTAGCTTTGTCTAACTTAGTTTTCATGATTAATCTAGACACAATTGTTAGAAATAAATACATTTGGTAAATGTAAATGGGATACATTTCATAAATGACCTATTTATGTGATTTGAAATCTTAAAGTTATGTTAAATCAAGTAATAGAGACTCATTGAATTTGGATTATAATCCCAAAACACACAATCTGGAATGCCATAATTCCAAATGTCAAAATCCCAAAAAATCAAAATCCCTGAAGTCTAAATCCCTAATGTCTAAAATCCTGAAAATCACAATTACAGGAAAATTGCATCATGTTAGATGGAAGTATTACCTTGTTGTTGTCTTTATGTGGAAGAAAATGGATTTCATTTGAATCCCCAAACCACAATAATATATTTGGAATTAGGTACAATCAAGGCTTCTAAAAGCAAATTTGAAGGTGTTACCAACAAAGTTTTGTTTTTTCCACTCAGCCCAATGCATTTGGCATAAAATTCAGATGATTGAGTTGGCCACAGAATATGGCAACAACAAAAACTTTAGTTTAAAATTGCCTGATTTGCTCACATTAGTATTCTATCCAGCTGATGTTATTTGAGGAGCTTTTAATAAATTAAAGTCACATTTGCCTGAAGAAGCCAGCAAAGTTACTGACTGGTTCAAAAATAATTATGTTCCTGGTAGAATGAGAAGACACTCGCACAACGGTGTTGCTGTTTGGTCACCATTATTGTTTCTGCCAAATTTGTGGTCTGTATATTAGCACATGAAGAATGGATTTCTGCACACCTGAAACAACATAGAACTATGGCACAGAAGATGGGAAAATTTAACAGGGGATGCTCAAGTCAGTGTACATCAAATAACAGAATTTCAAACAGAGCAGTGCCATGTAGAAATGAACATGAACATAATCTCTGAGGAGAGCCATGTCCTAAAAGAAAAGAAAAACAGTTATTCCTCGAGATGTAAAACTTTTAAACATAGTTAATAATCATGAAAGTTGGCCAGCTCTGATGGACTATTTCCAAGCAACTGCCCATAGTCTATGCCTGTGCACTTTTTCATATATTGAATTTTTTTGTTTTATTCTTTTTAAGGTTTTTTGTTTTACTATTTTAAATTATCAGCATTATTTTTTGTAATTCACTATGAGATGTATTTTATCTTCACATCACTTCCAGTACTGGAGATATAAATAAATTAAGGAGTTTTAGAGAGTTCTAATTCATTTTGTGCATTTTTCGCAAATGTGACTCCATGAAAGTGCATTAACACAACAGTGGCTTTGTGTGTAAGCATTGTGCTTGTACACAAAAACATTGAAATGTCCTCAGTAATGAAGAGATGTTCTTTTTTGTACATTTGCATTTGTGAAAGATAAAATTTCTGGAGATCTTGGCTTTTTGGGTTACTGGTGCGGTGATGATACGGCGGTGACACATCTCAGGTTTTTAATCACTCTCATCAAAGGACTTAGACTTCCCTTCACAGTATTTCAGATGACTGCAGTTATACAGCTGGGTGTACACAATTACCAACCATAGTGATATGCATTTATACCTTTCACTTTTTGGCCTATTTCTTTTTGAATATGGTTTTTCTGCTGATAAATGTTATGCCCCTGTGATTGTCATTAGTATACCTGAGTGTTTATGCTTGCAAAAATATGTATGTTATTATTGCCTATTTTATTGTGTAAAGTGGCCTATAAAGTGTTCTGTCAAGTTTTTGTATGTTTCTCAAATAAATCCCCTTTTGGAAATGTAAATAAATATCTTTTAATTTTTAATTGTTTTTTTCCAGAATTATTGTTTGAGGATTTGATCTTTTGGGATTTCAACATTCAGGATCATGGCATTCTGGATTATGTTTTTTGGGATTATGATTGGCTCTCATACTCATTAAATGTCTGAGTCATTCCCACATAAGAAAAAAAAACTGAAAAAAATCGCTGAACATAAATGTACATTTCTCCTTGGCTTCTTAAAGTTTATAGAGACTGAATATTTTTGGGTCTATTAATACACATAAAAAATTATGTTATGGGAAAATATGATCCTAAAAATTATAAAATCATTCTCATCTATAAAATACTGATGTGACACAGTTCAAAATTGCTTGCTAAAAATTAAGGTTACTAAGGGATAAAATTCTAATATATATATAGTTCTGTATGTAAAATGTATTTCAAAAATAAGATGTTTTATTTTTAAAAATTATAAGAAAGACATAAAAATGTATTTAAAAATAATTTTTAATTCAAAGGTGATTTAAAGGTTGTTCCAAAAAGTAAATTTTAAAAGGAAATAAAAAAGAACAGTAAATAGGAGAAAAAGACATAAAAACAGTTATGCGTATGAGAATAAATTTCAGTAAAGAAGGTTTAAAAGAAAAGAGAATAATTTTGTATGAGTAAGAATCTTGCATGGCAAATTTTTGTCCTAAAGTAAAATGACTGGGTATTTAAGGAAGAGGAAGTTTAAAACAAAGCAGAAAATTTAAGTATGTTGTCAAAGACCTGAGTAAGTTGTGATAAGGTTTGTGAAGGATAAATTTATGAAGGGAATTTTGTGTGAGCAAGTTGGCCATAATTAGAAAGGAATTATCTATAAGTCTTTCTAAAGATTGAGCTTTGATATTTAAAAATACACTAATATAAGCCTGGGCATCATGGCTCACACCTATAATCCTAGCACTTTGGGAGGCCAAGGTGGGAGGATCACTTCAGGCCAGGATGAGTTCAAGACCAACCTGGGCAACATAGTGAGACCCCAACTGCACAAAAAAAATTGTTTTAAAAATTAGTCAGGTGTGGTGGTGCACACCTGTAGTCCCAGATACTTGGGAGGCAAAGGCAGGAAGATCAGTTGAGCCCAGGAATTTGAGGTTACAGTGAGCTATTATGCCACTGCGTTCCAGCCAGGGTGACAGAGGAATGCCCTGTCTCCAAAAAAAAAAAAAATACGCTAACAGAAAACTAAAGGTTTGGTACTCTATATTAAAACAACAAGGTGTTTGCTTGTTTGTTGTGTATTGATCTGCTCTTAGTAAAATTTACAAGATGTTTTTATTTTTAATTATCTGCTGCTTTTTTTAATAGAAGTAATTTAATTTCCCTATTTTCAGGTTAGAAATATGTCTTTTTCATTCAGAATGGTAATTTTATTTCTTGAGGTAGAGTTTTCCTCTTGAAGCTTCTCATATTCATATCTTCAAACTTCAACTTCTGATGTATTTCACAGCACATGATTTGCAGGTCATGCATCATTGCCTGCAACTCTTTCTCCCTTTGAAAAAGCCTGGGATGATAACAATCTCTCTTTCAACTTTTTCATCAGCTACTGTAATTTATTCTCTCCAGTTCTAACTCTGCTTTTGTGACCTGTTGCTGAAATGTTTATCTTGAAGACCTAAAAAAGTGATGTTTTCCTCCAGTATAACTTTATCCTGTACTCTTGGCTTCTCTTGATGTATCTGAATTGTTCCACATAACCAGGAAACTTCCCATGCTATTGCTAAGAGTACTATATTCCCCTACTCAAGATACTAGTTTTCTTATTTACCTTCCTCTATAATATGGTATACACACATTCTTCCTGTGACTGATTAGATTCAGATACCTTTTAAATTAGGTTCAATTTCCAGGGTATCCAAATGGGCTGCCCATGAGGAGAAGCAAGCACACTGCATGAGGTTTTCTTTACCTTTTTGGGCACTGACCTAAAGAAAAAAAAGAGAGGGAGAGAGAACTTATGTTTTATCAAGATAACTTTCTGTGTTGTCTTTACTAGGTTTCTGATTACTTAGGAAAACTGAGCTTTGAAAGTGTTAAGGTTTTTAAAAATCCATATAACTTTCTGTATTGCTTTTGAAGTTGTTTATCACTCTGGTTAAATGCATGGCTATTAATTTACAGTGACCCATGATCCTGTTTTGATCAACTGTTTCAAAACTGTTTTCCGTCTTTGGCTTGCTTCCCCAGGATCAAAATTCTAAATTAAATCATTTTGACCTAGATTTCACTTTGGAATTTTCCAGTTGAGCCCCTGGAGAGTCTCAAAGGATATACTTCTCATCTTGTAGAGATATTAAATGATTAGGCTTATTTGGTAAATTTTATAGGGAACACTGTCAAATGATGAGTGATGCTAGATCTTCTTTCAGTTGCATTCATGAGTGTGTTTTTGATATGAATGTTCTGAAACTTAATAAGACTCTTAGAAATCTGTCATCAGTCATAATTCTGGATATAATGTTGTATGCAACAAAAATAACTGAATTTCCTTGTCAATTGCTGATTACAATGAACTTTCATCAGATTTTTAATCATGACTAGTCTAAGTTTGGGTCATCCACAGTTATTGTTTTGATTTTTCTCTAAAAGCACTTGAAATAAGCTACACTCCAAAATTACTTTTCATAGAAAAGACTCTAGAAGTACTCTTAAATACAGGTTTTTAATAACTTTAAGATCAATGGACTAGATTAAAATTTCCCAGAACTCTAGTAAAGAAACTGATGAGTTCATGAACTTGCTAATCAAGATCAAGCAAGACAAAAATTAATTATGTGAGACTGAATAACTGACAAAGATAATGCTTTTGTGTTCTTTATTTAAATCATTTTTGGCCAGGCACAGTGGCTCACGCCTGTAATCCCAGCATTTTGGGAGGCTGAGGTGGGCAGATCACGAGGTCAAGAGATCGAGACCATCCTGGCCAACATGGTGAAACCCCATCTCTACTAAAAATACAAAAATTAGCTGGGCATGGTGGCGCGTGCCTGTAGTCCCAGCTACTCGGGAGGCTGAGGCAGGAGAATTGCTTGAACCTGGGAGGTGGAGGTTGCAGTGAGCCGAGATTGCACCACTCTACTCCAGCCTGATGACAGAGTGAGACTCCATTTCAAAAAAAAAGCAAAAAAAAAAAAAAACTACAAAACAATAAAACATTTTTGATCCTTTACTTGAATGTTTTGTTTTTCAGATTTAAAGAAATTTTCTCTCTCAAGCTATCTGTAGCTTACAGCAACTTGGTAAAGTATACTTTTGTGAATAAAGATGGATGCATTTGCCTTTTCTCTCCACTTGATTCCTCCAAAATTTGGAAACTATTCATAAGTATTCCTATGGCAATGTGGTTATTTGCATAAGTCCAGTGAAAATCTGCTCTCTCTTTACAGCAGGATACAATTAGAAACATTGGCTATATTGTCAAAGCTTTGATGGAAATGTCATTTTGAGAATGTGCATGGAATGCCTGGCTTCCCAGGCATTCTGGTTTCCAGCCTTACCATGAGTAGATAAAAACGATCACTTCTTGGAATACTCAGGAACCCTAATAGTTTAAATTTTAGATTTAGATTTTAATTTAGATTTTACTAAAATCTAAAGTCTGCCTTGGTTTGGCTTTCTAACGTCAAGAGGTTTTTAAATCTGAGATTCTTACGTGATCTATGTGGAGAGAAAAAGTTATGTTTCCAACAAAAAGCTAAAACATCTGTTATTGGGTTGTAGCGCTGCACTTTTTCAAGTTCTTGCTATCTGCCTATAGACTACACTAGACCCTGAATTTGTCTAGATTCCTCCAGTCCAACTTTCTTCCATGAAATTACTAAAAACAGTAACTTCTCTGTTTCTAAAGCCCTATAAGCTGAAACTTGACAAATTTTTAAAAACGAGTCCTGTGCCTAATGTATATGCCACACAGAAAGTTCACCAAACTACCCAGTGCTATATCCAGAGACATTCAAACTGCAAATCAGGATGAGAAAAGTTAACTTTTTCTTTTTCTTTTCTTTTTCTTTTTCTTCTTTTTTTTTTTTTTTTTTTGAGACAGTCTTGCTCTGTTCTCCAGGCTAGAGTGCAGTGGCATGATCTTGGCTCACTACGACCTCTGCCTCCCAGGTTCAAGTGATTCTCCTGTCTCAGCTTCCTGAGTAGCTGGGATTACAGGCGTGTGCTACCACACCTGGCTAATTTTTGTATTTTTAGTAGAGATGGGGTTTCACCATTTTGGCCAGGCTTGTCTCAATCTTCTGACCTCAAGTGATCCGCCTGCCTCAGCCTCCCAAAGTGCTGGGATCACAGGTGTGAGCCACCACACCTGGCCAAAAAGTTGACTTTTTCATATTGTTAACAGCTTTTCCCAAGACATCAGAATAAGACTCTATATTGTAATGAGACTCTCACCCTCTTAATGCCTACCTTTTTCATTTGACAGGATAATGGTCATTTGATTTATTCAATTGGTTACTTAGGTTCATGGCTCAAAGCCATTATGCAAACTGGTATTGTCATACTACCATTAATTTTACTTTGTATTTTTCTTTTTAAACTTTGCATCTGTTATTGCTAAATTTTGCAGAAGTGCAATTCCTGACAGAATAATGCTGGCTTAGCGCTTTAAAATGATAACAAATGCCTATGAAACACAAAAATAAACTTAACAATGGACTCCAGGTATACTCAGCCTGAGAGCCACTCCCTTCAAACCTCTTTTGTTGCTCAAATTTTGGCTAAAAGGGTTTTAACACTGACTTCTCACTGTCATTCGCTTTCTCCAACATGGAACCGTCTAGACCAGCAACCAAGGACAGGTTTATCTCAGCACCAAAGAGTATCAAAACCTCATTACAGGATGACTTATTAGTGATGCTTTTGGAGAAAGATCTTGATCAAATGGGGAAAATGTGAAATTTGTCAGAATCAAAATGGAATCACTTATGTTTAAACACAAAAAAACAAAAACAAAATTTGACAAATAGAGCTAGAGAAAGCAATGAAGAGAGAGTTTTGCTGGGCATGGCAGCTCACACCTGTAATCCCAGCACTTTGGGAGGCCAAGGTGAGCGGACTGCTTGAACTCAGGAGTTTGAGACCAGCCTGGGCAACACAGTGAAACTCTGTCTCTACAAAAAATTAGCTGGGTGTGGTGGCACACACTTGTAGTCCCAGCCACTCAGGAGGCTGAGGTGGGAGGATCCCTTGAGCCCAGGAGGCAGAGGTTGCAGTGAGCTGAGATAATACCACTGCACTCCAGCCTGGGCGACAAAGCCAGAACCTGTCTCCAAAAAAAAAAAGAAGAAAGAAAGGGTTCTTATGCATCAATGCCTAATAACAAAAACTATCACAAAAGATTCTGTAGAAACTGCAGTCTTGCACAAAGGCCATTGAAATCTTACAAAAAAAAAAATACATCTGCAAGAAAATCTGCCCAGCAACTGCCTATACAACCTTGGACTGGCATCACTCTTATTATTGATCCTTGTAACAAAGGATAATTATCTTAAAGCAATTATGAAATCATCCTCATTTTTTCTTTAAAAATCTTTGTCTTCCTTTGTCTCCCTGAATATGCATGTAGTTTACTATGGCATGCATATTTCCATTGCAATGCCCTATTCTAAAAAATGTATAATTTTTTAAAGCCTCTCTCACTGTGTTTATTATTTAGGTTGACAGCAGGAATCATGTTCTTAACATCCTACATTTTCAAATATTTGGATTTATATTAGATAATAATTATATTTAGTTGCCAAATGTCCTAAAGCTCATCTCAGTGCAAGGACTTGGTGTCTTTTGGAGTTAACTGGTTCAGCGTTCAATGCATTGGTCAATATCCCACATTAGAACACTCCATGGCACCATTTTCTTTTCTTTGGTGGGAAAGGATATGAGAGTGGAACACATACTCACACATGCAATTAACTAGTAATAGCATAGGCCTGCCAAGGGGCATGACACCTGAATTTGGCAGGAAAGTTGTTGAGCAGTAGCTAATCTCTTCTTAAATTGGTGATTGGTTCATAGGTTTTGACTATGGCCTAAAGGTGATCCCAGTGACAGGAGTTATTCTTAAGGTTGGATAGGTCCTTGGGTGTCTGGGCAGCTGTTGCTCTCTCTGCTCTTAAAGGCAGGCTATCCTTCCCTTTCTCCTCCTCCCAGGACAAACCCATGACGTCTCCCTGCCCTCTTTCCAGACTTCACTTGGTTGAATTATCAAGAGCCCACATCACCTCCTCTGGAAGTGATTACTTCTGAGAGAAAGCTTTCCTTGCTTGTCTGTCCTTTCAACCACACTCTGTATCTTCAGCATCTAGCCCAGTACATAGTCTAAAAACAGATGCTCAATAAATGTCTGCTGAACTAACAAATGAATACCACTCATTTGAACCTCATCTACTGCTTTGTCTTGTTCATTTCCCCCAATTTTTTTTCTGAATTTGACTACAAATGCATTAAGGATAAGATGTTAAAATTTGTTGCTTTCCTAAAGAGTCCATATTTGCAGTTTTGGTTAGCCATTATATGTTTGCGAGTTCCTTGAATCCTTCTCCAAAGCACAAATCTTTTGCTTAAGAGAGGTCATTTTTAGGAGAACCCAGTCTTATATTACATCATAATGAATTGTGTGTAGGGCCTAGAGAGAAGAAAGACATATGAAGAGATGCCTTGGATGGGCCTCAGATCCATTAACTCATTTTTTCATTTCATTTTCATACTAACCTCACTGGATTAGTAAGGTTGGTGGCACTAATCCACTAGGTTGGTTGATTATCTTTAAAGCCCATGTTCATAACATCTATGTCACTCCTAGGAGTTCAATTATGAGTAGATGAAATATGGTGAATTCAAATTTAATCCATGTTGAATACTGAACCCTCAAGCACCTATAGAAGCAGGAGGATATCTATGTGCAGGCAGAGGCCGCATAGGACTTAATCAAATCCTAGCTGGTCTTATCTTAATTGGGCCTCCCCAACCCGTTGTCCACATTCTGAGCTGCTTTTGAGATTGGGCAATTAGTATTTACCCTAGTGTGAATTAGAAAAGAGTCCTGTCTGGGCAAAGTACTAGGGATGCACAGCTTGTTGACTGGGTGGCACTGTTGTTCAAATTAGGAAAAGCATCTCCTCTGGGTGGACAGCTGAGAAGATTTGAGTCTGAGCAGGATTCCAGGCTCCCCCTCCATTTTCTGGGCTCCCTCTCCATTTCCGACAGTCCTGATGACTCTGCTCTCTACCTTCTCAAATCCTTGGGGTCTCAGCCATTCATATTTGCAGTAAGCCATCCCTCTACAGGAACCTGTAAACCACCACTGGCCCTAATCCTTATCTCTATAAAGATCCCATATACAGAGTTACTGTCTTCTCATAGTCCGTGCATATGGAAAAGATAAGAGTCCTTTCCAGGTTTTTAATTTACTTTGGCCCCATTTAAATTAATCACTCAAATGTTATGAGACACACAAGGTAATTGGCACATGCAAGCCCTTGGGATTACCATCACATCTTCTCACAGTCACCTGAAAACATATTTCAGTTTATATGAATGTGGTCCCTAAAACAAAAATAAGAGGTTTAGAGTGGTTTTCTCTTTCCCAACCCTTCTTGCTGCATTCAGTCTGTACAACTATCACTATTCTTATCCCTGCAGAGCCAGCGAGATGATTATTCTCTGATAAGAAGCAGTTGTACCTCTGTCTGACAGGAGAGCCATGTGAGGGGGAAAAAGAGAGGGTGTGTGGTAGCTGTGAACTGCTGGCCTTCCCTTCTGTTGCCTTCCCCACCCATAACCTGAACTCTCCTTTCCCCTCTACTCTTCTCCCTGTCAAATACTAACAAGGAAGATTTCAGCTTCTTAGAGTAGAAGGTATCTTGGCTGTGCCCAGATAAGATGGATGAGCATCAGCATTGACTGTGAGTTTGAGTTCCTGTAGGGCCTTGAGCTTCTTTTGATGGAATATAATTCCACTCAGTCATCTTCCAGCCTCTCCAGGAAATTCATCCTGTCCTAGCTTTTACTGGAGCAGAGACCTTTTGTGTTTCCTGCTTCCACCCCATGCCCAAATTAGTGGTTCAGGCCCCTGGATGAAAACTCACAACCTTGCGAACCCTGCTGTCCTAATCTTCAGTCCCAACCTCAGGACAGAACTCATGAAGAATGGGCCTGAGGCTTCCACAGTGTCAGCAATGGTGATGTGGAAAGGGGAGCCCTGAGATTCACAGCGGGTTGTCCAGGCTTTTTTCCTCTTCATAAGTACAACATAATGAAATAAAGTATCTCCAAGGGAGAAGCCATAAATACTTGGGGCCCAGATTCTCGTTGGGGCTGGGATTCCTGGAGTATCTCACTTTAGTAGGGTAACCACCAGTCTGAAGTTTTCCTTTAGCTTGGCATGTTCATATCTTCACTGTCATCTTATTCATGAGTGATCAGACCACTGGAAAATGCCTCCAGCTTATAACCTTATTGAAACAGATTTGTGTCAGGACATTCTATTCCCATAAATTTATCAACTGAAGGGTTAATGATGTCATGTCAGCCAGTCAGAGCCTCTTTCCCCAGGAGAGTAATCTGACTGGAGAACACAATTCTTATCAAAAATTTGCTTGGAAAATATGGGTTCAGTAAATAGAACTGTACTATTTTAGGAGACACTTTGTTCAAGTCGATAACCAATTTGTCGTTCATTTCAACTAAGATTCTCTAAGGAGACTGTGTTAGTCCATTTTGCACTGTTATAAAGGAATACTTGAGACTGGGTAATTTATAAAGAAAAAAGATTTATTTGGCTCACAGTTCTGCAGGCTGTACAAGCATGGCACCAGCATCTGCTCAGCTCCTGGTGAGGTCCCAGGAAGCTTTTATTCATGGTGAAAGGCAAGGAGGAAGCAGGGATGTGACATGGTGAAAGAGGGAACAAGAGAGAAAGAAGGAGGTGCTAGCCTCCTTTAAACAACCAGCTCTTGCATGAACTAATAGAGTGAGAACTCGCTTATCTCCAAGGGCATGGCACCAAGCCAATAGTGAGGGATCCACCCACCATGACCCAAACACCTCCCACCAGGCCCCACCTCCAAGATTAGGGATCACATTTCAACATGGTATTCGGAGGGGACAAATATCTAGACTATATCAGGCACCAAGTATTTGCATTGTCTTTCTCCTTACAGCTTGCTTAAGAATCTTTTGCATTTTTTACTGTGAACCATGTCCTGCAACAACACTTTGTAACTTGTGATGACTTTCAAGTTTGTGTATAAAACTTTGGATTGCACTGAGATTTACCAGGTCGTGGTGATATGTAGAATGACCCCTTAATCTTCACAGGAAGGTAATTCAGTTTATTCCACATTACACATTTTTCTACTAGACTGTTAACACTTTTCATTTGCCTCTACTTCCACACACTAAAGGATTTAGTCTTTTTATCATATATGTTGCAAAAAATATTTCTCAATTTGTCTTGCCATTTACCAACTACAAGTTTTAAATTTTTTCATAATAAAATTGATCATTCTTTTGTGGCTTGGAAAATTAGATTGTCAGTCTTAAAAGAGTATTGATTAAAATGCCTGAAATGAAGGGAGAAAAGGGAAGTTGAGGCAGTTGCTCCTCAAGGGCTGAACAAATTACAATAAATACAGAGATTATATATATATATACATATTTTACCTATGTATCTCTTATCTACCTTATAATCCACCCATTCATCTATCTACCACGGTACTAATAGAATGTGCCTTGAAGGTCTACAATAACAGGGAATGTAATTAAGCAGAGGCTCCGACTGCTGCACTCTGAAATCCACCTGGGCATTTCCTGGGGATCTATGCCCTCCCTCTGCCCCACTCTCCCACCCCACCTACTTCCTGGCTACTCCTAGCCAATGACTGATCACAGCAGGGACACTAAGGCAGGCTTATTCCTGGGAGATGCAGAGCTCCTCTGACAGCAGACTTGGGCCTGAGGACTCCTAGCAGCCTTGCTGAACTTTCCTAGACTGTACAGCAGTATAGAACAATTCCACCTAGCTTTCCTTTTCTCTCTTTTTTTATTCAGAGTCAAACATACATGGCAGTCTGATGCTCTCCCAGCACTCTGGATCCTTCCTCATTTTCTCTTACAAGTATTTGTCCTAATAAGGTCCTTGCACCCTTAATCTTATTTTGGTATCTGCTTCGTAGAAGACTCTGGCTAACATATTACGATGCTCTCTCATTTCTTAATTGTGTGGCAGCTGCCTAGCTCCTCATGGTAATTTGAGGTCAATTTCCTCTCTTATGTCGTGATTCCTTTCTTTTCCTATTGACCCATTGCCATGAGGAGCCCAGAATGATGAGGTGGTACTCACAGCTTTGAGTACAGAGGACCCTTACTGACTCCTCCTGTGAAAGTGTCCCCCTGGTGCCACTGTCCAGGAGCTAGCACTTCTGATTCAGCAGTGCCTGAGGTTATGGGATCAGGAAGTGTGCAGTCCACAGTGGGTCAATGGGCTTGATCATAAGAGAGGCTGCTACTACTTCTACTCATCAGTTTGCAGATCCATGTATTCTAGATATTGGTGTATATCATATATATACCATATATAATGAGTGTACATACTGACTGAGGACAGTTCCAATCCTACAGTGTCTTATCCACAGCTAGTGACTTAGATTAGCCTTTGAAGGCCTTTCCATTGTTCTAGCAGATGGAAGGCTTCCAGTGTATGGTAGGACCAGTGGATCCTATGGTAATATCTCTGTGACCATACCTCTTTTGCCATTAAATGAGTCCCTTGATTTGAAGCAATGTTGTGCAGAATCTAGTGCTGACAATTCAGTCATTCTGTAAACCCTAAGATAGCAGTGCTGGAAGAACCATGAAAGTAAGAAGGCAGAACATATTAAGGAAGGAGAAATCACTGCCTCCTCCAGGGTAGGAGTCCAGTGCAATCAACCTGTGCCCAGGAGGCTGGCTGCTCTCCTTGAAGAATGGTTTTATACTGAGGGTATACAGGGCCAGTCTCTGCTTCTGGGAAGTTGGGAATTCAGTAGTGCAGATAGCTAGATCAGTGTTAATGAAAGGGAGTACATGCTGTTGGGTTCATGCACAGCCTCCATCCCTGGCTATCACTGGCCATTGCATGAGCACTTGAGTAATCAAAGGGAGTTGTTCTGTTTATTTTGTTTCTGCATGCCTTCTCTATGGTGGTTGCTCTCTTGTGGGCACTGATGTAGACACAAACATCTGCACAATTTGTCCCCACTGCCACAGATCCACCCACCTGTGTTTTTCCCAGATCTCCTACTCTCTGACCAATTGGGGGGTGGGGTGTCACACACTTTTAAACAACCAGAACTCAAAGCAAGAATTCACTCATTATCGTAAGGAGGGCACAAAGCCATTGATGAGGGATCTGTCTCCATGACCCGAACACCTTTCATTCAGGCCCCACAACTAACATTGGGGATTACATTTCAACATGAGATCTGAAAAGGACAAACATCTAAACCATATGTCTTGTATGGTGAATTAGGGTTGTAGGTTTTTTGTAGCGACATGGGGCCGTAGGTTCAGGCCATAGCCATTTGGTTACCAAAAGCAGATGGCCATGGATTTTTTGTATGAGTCATCAGGGAGGCTCTGGGCCCTGCAAAGGGCTGCCCCAGGAAGGACTTAGACATGGAAAAGAGGAAGCTCCTGCCCTTTCTGGACCTCACTCTGTTGGATCTGGGCTTTGAAGAGTCTATTTATGCTTGAGGGCACTACCAAGCTGCAAGGGAAAGATAGACTATGCCACATGAGAATTATGTGTGTGTCAGAGTCACATTTGAGACTTCTAGGCAGTCTGAGATTTGAGAAGGAAATAGATGCTGGCTGAATTATTGAGCCATGACATCTGCCCAGGCTTAATTTACCCTAAGGATTCTGCTAATAGCATCCATAAGACACTTTACTAATACACAAGGGGTCACAGGACTTTGATAGTATCCTGTGTACCTTCCACCCTTGACATAAGTATTTGGTTTAATTTGCTTATACCAGATTGTCTTTGTCAATTAGACATCATCCCTACCCTTTCTGCATTCTCCTCTGCATTGCAGGGAGGTCTGGAACATCATTTCCCAGTGTCACTTTCCTGTATGGCCTTGGGTTAGAGTCTGCCAATTAAAGGCACTCACGAGGCATTTGGAAAGCAGAAGAGAAGTCAGTATCCCTGTTGTCAGCTGTGAACAGATGCTTGGACATATGACAGGCATACGATTTGCTCCAACTTCCGGGCAACCTCCTGAGAATCACCTGCTTTGGTATTGTAGACAGCTGGGGTTATTTTTAGCAGCTTTACTGGAATCCAGCCCTTCTTAATTTCATGAAGGTAGCAGCAGTTTCCATATTGCTTCCCCAACCCCTCTAATCATTGTGTAAGCTTCTGATTTCCTATTTTAAAACCCTTTCTCCTTGCAATGCAGATGTGCTTCTCTTTCACTGAGAGAACCCTGACTGATAGAACAGTGCTGCAGCCTCCCATCTCCCGTCACTTCATGATGATCATAGTGGTGGTTGGGGGCAACCTTTAGGAGTAAGAACTCCTAGCAAATGTTTCAGTATAGCAGAGCAGGCAGCTTCTAGATAATTCCTCCATCTCTGTGACCAGAGACCCCTTCTGTACAATAGCGGTCACCCCTGGTGGTGCAGAACAAATAGGATTAGATTTTATTTCTCCTCTTGTGGCCTTCCATTGGCTAGAGTTCAGCATGACTAAGGTACTTCACTTAAGAGGACCTAGCTGGCTAATGCATGATCTGGCTGCAGTCTAAGATATTTGCAGTGAATTATGCAGAATTAAAGGGATAGATATCCACTCTTAGACTCTAAGCCATACGGGGAGTGCTTCCTCAAGCAAACAGATATGAGTGTATGTGTCACACAAGGAATTTGTCCATTATCACAGATCTCATATTTCCTTTGTTTTTAACACAAATATGCCCTTAGGGAAGTTGATTGTCAGGGATAGAGGAAACTAAGGATGACGTGGGGATGTGGATGTCTCAGTGTATGCCAGCCTTGTTATATGATGAGGACCACTGCAGCAGACACTGCTGGTGCCCCAACTATTTTCCCTTTCTGCATTCGACATTCCCACAGACGGCAGCTGAAGGTAAGTACCTGTGGCTATGCTCGAGGGCTTTGGCTGGCCAAAGGACATTCAGCTTGGGAGCAGGGGAGGCCAGAAATGCCAGGGGATTGGCCTGGCATTTCTCATATCTCAACTAATCATATGCTCAACTAATGATTGGAGCAGGTAGATAAATAATCCCATCGTCTTTGCCCACCACTGGGACAAATCTGGGGCCTGCTTTGTCTCTGAGTCAAATTCCATGAAAGTTTCTCTGGGGAGACTGAGCCCCAGTAGCTAGGGTTGCCAGATTTAGCAAACAAAAATACAGGACACCCACTCAAATGTGAAGTTCAGATGAATGATGAATAATGTTTAGTATAATTATGTCCATCGTAATACTCAGGACATACACATATTAAAAAATTATTTGATGTTTGTTTGAAATACGAATTTAACCAGGAGTCCTGTATTTTATCTGCCAAACCTACCAGGAGTCCAAAGCAGTCACTTGCTCATTAGAGCTCCCTGTACTGGCTTCCTGCCCTTCTGTGTTCCACGTGCCCCAGCTCCTTGCTGGAGCTTCCTGGGGTCGCCTCTGAAATAGACTGCTTGCCCTCCATCTCACTCTTAAGAGTCTGATCAAACAGCTCCTCTCAACTACTGCTGTGGCACTGGGAGGTCCTCAGAAACGAAAGCCCTGAGGATGCCTTGAATTGACTACGGATAACTTTCTGGAAGCTATCAGAACAGTGGCTCAAAATAAAACTTAAGCTTCGTTACAAGAGAATAAAGCTACATTTCTCGAACAGCTGAGTTTGTTGCCTGAGCTTTGTACGTGCAGTCCATGTCTTAAATCTTCACAAAGACGCTATGGGCTAGGGACTATTATTCCACACGTAACCATGGCCATTTCAGGATGCCAAGTGATTTCCCCAAAGTCATAGCTAGTAAGTGGCAGAGCCAGGATTCAAACCCAGACCGTCTGCCTCCAGAGCCTGTGGTCTCATCCACATGATACACTGGGAGCCATGTGGGGAAAAATTAGGTTTTAGTTGTGCCACCAAAAGATGGTTAGGGTCTAGGCTAAAGCAGTGGCAGCAGGGATCCAGGGGAGGTTGCTCTGATTGCACCTGTGGGTTCTGGTGGCTGGTTGGTTGTGAGAGTCGTGAGAGCACCCCCTCAGTTTTATCTCTTGCCATATACCCTGCCCCACATTCCAGCAGCACTGGCCTTCTTTCTGGTTCTCATAAATATTCATGTCTACACCCAAGACAGGAGTATGCTTTTCCTTGTGCCTAGAAGTCTGTTTCTGGCCCTCTTCCTTGTCTATCTCACACTCATCTTTCAAGCCTTGGCTTATTTTTTTTATTATGGTACAATATACATGGCATAAAATTTACTCACCATTGTAACCATTTGTAAGTGTTCAGTTCAGAGGCATTAAGTACATTCACACGGTTGTGCAACTGTCACCACTATCCATCTCCAGAATATTTTCATCTCGTCAAACTGAAACTCTAAACCCATTAAACAGTAACTCTCCATTCTGTCCTCCTCCAAGCCTATTGTAACCACCATTCTACTTTGTCTCTATGAATTTGACCACTCTAACTACTTCATAAAATGGACTCATACAGTATTTCTCATTTTGTGACTGGCTTAGTTCACTTAGCATAATGTCCTCAATGTTCATCCATGTTATAGTATATTGCAGAATTCCCTTCCTTCCTTTTTAAGGCTGATTAATATTCCATTGTATGTACGTATCACATTTGGCCTATCCATTCATCCATTCACAGACTGGGGTGCTCCCACATTTTAGCTACTACAAAAAATGCTGCTGTCAACATGGGTGTACATGTCTCTTTGAGTCCCTGCTTTCAAGTCTTTGGGATATACACCCAGAAATGAAATTGTTGGATCGTATGGTAATTCTGTTTTTAGCTTTTTGTGGAAATGCCATACTGTTTTCCACGGTGGCTGCACCATTTTACATTCCCACAAGAATTCCATTGTCTCCATATTCTCAGCACCTCGGCTTATTTGTAGTTTTTTCAAGGAAGCCTCTTCTGACCCTTTTTACTAAGCTTACTCCCGCCCTGCTCCTCGCCACATCTTCATTGAGCTTATCATAGTTGAAATTTAAATGTTTATTTTTATGATTTTTTGCTTAACGTTTGGCTCCCCACTGGACTGCAAGATCTATGTGAGCAGGGACCATGGCTACCTTGATTATAGTAGCTTTGTTCCCAGTAACCAGCTCAGTGTCTAGCACATCATATGTTCTTGATGTTTCTTCTGGATAAATGAACGAATGATACTTCTATTTTGGGAGAATGGGTGGAAGGTGATGGGTTCGTACGATAAAAATGCAAAGTGAGTTAAGTAGTATGGAGTGGTCATCACAATTCCCTAACTGGCTGGCTGGGTCCCTGTCCCTCCTCGGACCTGTTGTTCCAAATCCCCACCAGCTGTCTCGGTGTCTGACCTAGGATAGGACAGATGAGTTTTTATGACAACTGAAGAGAGTCTGTAGAGAATGGCTATTTTAAATGGCCTCAAAAGTACCTTCCTAGAAACAAATCTCTGGGAAGTCAAAGAGAGCAGCAACTTGGGGGCCTGTCATTCCTCCAGACACAAGGATTTTCCATCTGGTGGCCACATTCATGCTTACTAAAGAGCCCCTCAGTCTTCTAAGGACAAGAGAAGAGCAGTGTTACAGTGTATGGTCCAATTAGTCCTTAATGGTTTTTTAATTGTTATTCAGCACTCAAGACAACCCACCTGGATTTAAATCATTTATATGTTTCTCTGACTATATATATTATACATTATATATTATTTTATATGTTTTAATATATTAATGTATTATATATAATATGTAAATATTATATAATACTATATATAAAATACATAAATATGTATCCCTAGTCAATCAAGTGCATCTGGCCATCAAAAAAAACTTTGATGCTGGAAGAGGTCTTGGAGACCATCTTGTTCAACCTGTAAATTTTCCAGGTTAAATCTCCAGGCTCAGTGAGATGAATTTTGTCCATAGTCCCTGTAATTTAGGAGCAGAGGAAGAACCTTGATTCAGCTTTCTACTCTAAGTTCAAGTGGATTTTTTCCTGACTAGATAATGGCTATGTCAAAACAAAAATTGTACCAAAGTTAAATAGGCAAAGGAGGCTTTATTCAAGGTTGTCGCAATAGGAGATAGAGGCCAGAACTCAGTCTGAACACAATTCTGCTGAAACAAAAGGAGTTTTTAAGAGATGGGGTAGGGAGGAGTATTATAGGCCATCTATGTTTGCTAACCAACTTTACCCAAACAAAAAGCAAACTTTCTCATATCTTCATGACAGGAGGTTAGTTTTACAACTTGGAGCAAGGCACCCATTGAAGTGAGGCTCCCACTCCCTCCCACTCCCCACAGAAACTGGAAGATAGGGCACTATCTCCCTTGATGCTTACATTTCAAAGAGATGGCTCCAAGGTCCTTGAGAAGGCCATTCCTGAGTTATAAAATTAGCAAGAGGCTTAAAAAAAAAATACTTACCTCTCAAAGGGGCAGAGAAGGTATTTACAATTACAGGTTTTCAAAAGTAAGTGCTCCAAGAAAAGGGAGGTCAAGGGGCTCCAGAGTCAGGAAGAAGCCTGTCCAAAATTTAGTGAAGCTGAGGGGAATGTTAAGGCCATCTTGGTCAGATACCACAATATCTACAACTTATTCTCATTCCGAGATTGTCCCTTTTCCAGAACTTTCAACTCAGCTATAAACTGGCATATTTTTCCAAGTTTCCAGTGGTTCACTTTAAATCACTACCAATGAATGACAGTGGCATGGCACAGACTGTCCTTCAGTGATGACTCTTCCACATCCCTGCCAATGTCACCTTCCATATGGATTCCCTCCTTTCCCTCCCTCTCTCACTTCCTTCACCATTCATTCCTTTTCAAAAATTAACTTTCCAAATGAAAATCGTCACTGTTTCCCACCCCCTAACACATTTTGAGTCCGTTATATAAGCAAAACCAAGCCTATCCAGGTGGAGAGAATATTTTCTGACCCCAGAAGGTTCACGTCCCCACCAAGGGGCAGTGGGTGGGAACTGCTGAGATGGAACTGTGGTACCATCATGGCAGCCTGTTCTGGTCTTGCAATCCAACCCAGCAACCCACTCTGCCCAAGTCAGAGACAGTGCCTTGATAAATATGCTTGATTGTTCCCTGTTTTCTCATGTTGGCATCTTTCTGTTCATTATTATTATAAACCAGTTTAAATCCCTGTGCAAATATCTTGTTTAATTTTATTAATCCATTCAAAAGAGATTAGTTGAGGTTTTTTCCCTGAAATTTCCAAATTCTTTCACTGAAGTCTAATCCACAATAGATGCTAAATAAATATTGGCTTAATGAGTGATCGAAGGTCATTGTTTATAAAAAATTGTTTCTTAATATTTGTATTCCTACATGATTAAGAATCTGCCAGTTAGTCACTAAACAAGACTTGTGTAAGTATCAGAAAGAAAGAAGGTAAATTGCATCAAGTTCTGTGCAATGTTTTCACTTAAGCAGTGTTTTCCAACTTTTCCTTTCCTCCTTCTCCTACCTCTTCCTTTACTTCAACCAATAGAAAGAAGTACATTTTCTATTGCAATCTGCTACACACACACACACACACACACACACACACACACACATGAATAAAACAAAAATTTCATAAAGAAATTTTCACTTTCACTATAGTTTCAAAGCACTGTGATATTTTCCATTCCATTCCATTACTGGGTATACACCCAAAGGATTATAAATCATCCTACTATAAAGACACATGCACACGTATGTTTATTGCAGCACTGTTCACAATAGCAAAGACTTGGAACCAACTCAAATGTCCATCAATGATAGACTGGATAAAGAAAATGTTGCACATATACACCATGGAATATTATGCAGCCACAAAAAAGGATGAGCTCATGTCCTCTGCAGGGACATGGATGATGCTGGAAACCATCATTCTCAGCAAACTAACACAAGAACAGAAAATCAAACACCGCACATTCTCACTCATAAGTGGGAATTGAACAATGAGAACACATAGACACAGGGAGGGGAACATCACACACCAGGGCCTGTCAGGTGTGGGGGGCTAGGGGAGGGATAACATTAAGAGAAATACCTAATGTAGATGATGAGCTGATGGGTGCAGCAAACCACCATGATACATGTATACTTACGTAACAAACCTGCACGTTCTGCCCATGTACCCTAGAACTTAAAGTATAAAAAAAAATTAAATGTGTCAAGATAATGAGAAGATAATCCAGAAACTGGGAGAAAATATTTACAATATACATATCTAATAAAGGATTTGTATTTTTAGATACAAATGTATTTTCTTATTGTTGAGTTTTAAGAGTTCTTTTTATACTAAAATATAAAAAGAACTCTTAAAACTCAACAATAAGAAAATAAATAACCTGATTAAAACATGAGCCAAAGACCTTAACAGACACCTCACCAAAGACGATATACTGATGGCAAATAAGCCTATAAAAAGATGCTCCATGTCATATGTCATCAGGAATATTCAAATTAAAACAAAAAGGTATTACCACTACACACCTATTAGAATGACCAAAATCCAGAACACAGACAACATCAAATGCTGGTGAGGCTGTAGTGCAACAGGAACTCTCATTCATTACTGGTGAGAATGCAAAATGGTACAGCCTCTTTGGAAAACAGTTGGGTAGTTTTTCACAAAACATAAACACTCTTATTACACAATCTAGCAATAACTGTTCTTGATATTTATCCAAAGGCGCTGAAAACTTATGTCCACTCAAAAACCTACACTTGGGCGTTTATTCATAACTGCCAAAATTTTAAAGTAGCCAAGATGTTCTTTAGGAGGTGAATTGATAAATAAACTGTGATATACAGTTTCCAGGCAATGGAATATTATTTAGTATTGAAAAGAAATGAGCTACAAAGCCACAAAAAAAAAAAATGGAGGAATCTTAAATGCATATTACTAAGTGAAAGAAGCCAATCTGAAAAGCTACCTACTGTATGATTCCAACTATATGACATCCTGGAAAAGGCAAAACAACATAGACAGTGAAAAGATCAGTGGTTGCCAGAGGTTTTAGGGGAGAGAGGAGCAAATAGGCAGAGAGCAGAGGATTTTTAGGACAGGAAGAAATATTCTGTGTGATACAGGCATACCTCAGAGATATGCGGGTTTGGTTCCAGAACAACATAATAAAGCTAATATCTCAGTCAAGGAAGTCACACAAATGTATTAGTTTCCTAGTGCATATAAAAGTTATGTTAATAGTATACTGTAGCCTATTAAGTGTGCAATAGCATTATGTCTTTTTAAAAAGTACATACCTGAATGTAAAAATACTTTAGTTCTAAAAAATGTTAACAAACATCTCAGCCTTCCATAAGTCATACTCTTTTTGCTGATGAAGGGAGGGTCTTCCCTTGATGTTGATGGCTGCTGACTGATCAGGGTGGTGGTTGCTGAACGTTGGGGTGCCTGTGGCAATTTCTTCAAACAAGTCAACAGTGAAGTTTGCCGCATCAGTGACCCTTCCTTTAACTAAATATTTCTCTGTAGCATGCAATGCTGTTTGATAGCATTTTACCTACAGGAACTTCTTTCAAAGTTGGAGTCATTGCTCTCAAATCCTGCTGCTGCTTTATCCACTAAGTTTACATAATATTCAAAATCCTTTCTTGTCAGCTGGGCACGGTACCTCACATCTGTAATCCCAGCACTTTGGGAGCCGATGCGGGTGGATCACCTGAGGTCAGGAGTTCGAGACCAGCCTGGCCAACATGGTGAAACCCCATCTCTACCAAAAATACAAAAATTAGCAGGGTGTAGTGGTGCACACCTGTAATTCCACCTACATGGGAGGCTGAGGCAGGAGAATTGCTTGAACCCAGGAGGCAGAGGTTGCAGTGAGCCAGGATCATGCCACTGCACTCCAGCCTAGGCAACAGAGCAAGACTCAAAAAAAATTATTTCTTGTCATTTCAAAGCATATTCACCCAAGGAATATGTTTCATCTCCAGAAACCATTTTCTTGGCTCATCCATAAGAAGCAACTCCTCATACATTCAAGTCTGATCATGAGATTGTGGCAATTTAATCATATCTTTGGGCTCCGCATATAATTCTAGTTCTCTTGCAATTTCTGCCACATCTGCTGTTCCTTCTTCCACTGAACTCTTGAACCCCTCCAAGTCATCCATGAGGGTTGAAATCAACTTCTTCCAAACTTCTGTTAATGTTGATATTTTGACCTCCTCCTGTGAATCACGAATGTTCTGAATGGCATCTAGAATAGTAAGTCCTTTCCAGGTTTTCAATTTACTTTGCCCAGATCCACCAGAGAAATCACTATTTTGGCAGCTGCAGCCTTATGAAATGTAATTTCTTAAATAATGAGACTTGAAAATTGAAATTACTTGTTGATCCATGTGCTGCAGTATGGATATTGTGCTAGCAAGCATGAAAACAACATTAACCTCCTTGTACATCTCCATCAGAGCTCTTGGGTGACCAGGTACATTGTCAATGAGCAGTAATATTTTGAAAAGAACCTTTTTTACTAAGCAGTAGATCTCAACATTGGGCTTAAAATATTCAGTAGGCCATGCTGTAAACAGATGTGCTGTGAACCAGGCTTTGTTATTCCATTTATAGAGCACAGGCAGAGTAGATTTAGGGTAGTTCTTAAGGGTCCTAGGATTTTGGGAATGGTCAGTGAGCACTGGCTTCAACTTAAAGTCACCAGCTGCATTAGCCCCTAACAAGAGAGTCAGCCTGTCCTTTCAAGCTTTGTAGCCAGGCCTTGACTTCTCTCTAGCTATGAAAGTCCTAGATGGCACCTTTTTTCAATAGAAGGCTGGCTTGTCTATCTTGAAATTCTGTTGTTTAGTGTAGTCACTGTCACCAATTCTCTTAACTAGATCTACATAACTTGCTGCTGCTTCTACATCAACACTTGCTGCTTCACCTCCCACTTCTTTTTTTTTTTTTTTTTTTTTTTTTGAGATGGGGTTTTGCTCTCATTGCCCAGGCTGGAGTGCAATGGTGCAATCTTGGCTCACCACAACCTCCACCACCCAGGTTCAAGCAATTCTCCTGCCTCAGCCTCCTAAGTAGCTGGGATTACAGGCATGTGCCTGGCTAATTTTGTATTTTCAGTAGAGACAGGGTTTCTCCATGTTGGTCAGGCTGGTCTCAAACTGCCAACCTCAGGTGATCCACCCGCCTTGGCCTCCCAAAGTGCTGAGATTACAGGTGTGAGCCGCTGCACCCTCACTTGCACTTTTGTTATAGAGATGGCTTCTTTCCTTGAACCTCATGAACCAACCTCTGCTAGCTTCAAACTTTTCTTCTGGAGCTTCCTCACCACTATCAGCCTTCACAGAATTGAAGAGAGGACCTTTCTCTGGATTAGGCTTTGGCTTAAGGGAATATTGTGGCTGGTTTGATCTCCTATCCAGACCACTAGAACTTTTTGCATATCAGCAATAAGTCTGTTTTGCTTTCTTACCATTCGTGTGTTCACTGAAGTAGCACTTTTAATTTCCTTCAAGAATTTTTCCTTTGTGTTTACAACTTGGCTGTTTGGCGCAAGAGGCCTAGCTTTCAGTCTATCTTGGCTTTCGACATGTTTTCCTCACTAAGCTTAATTATTTCTAGCTTTTGATTTAAAGTAAGAACATGCAATTCTTGCTTTCACTTGAACACTTAGAGGTCACTGTAAGGTTATTAATTGGCTTAATTTCAATATTGTTTTGTCTCAGAGATTGGGGTGGCCTGAGGAAAGGGAGAGAGACAAGAGAACAGCCAGTGACTGGAGCAGTCTGAATGTACACTTTATCAATTAAGTTTGCTGTATTACCGCATGTTCTCACTTCTAAGTGGGAGCTAAATGATGAGAACACATGGATACATAAAGGGAAACAACACGTGCTGGGGCCTTTCTGAGAGTAGAGGGTGGGAGGAGGGAGAGGATCATGAAAAATAACTAATGGGTACTAGGCTTAATACCTGGGTGATGAAATAATCTGTATAACAAACCACCATGACACAAGTTTACCTATGTAACAAACCTGAACTTGTACCCCTGAACTTACCATTTAAAATTTTTTTAAGTTTGCTGTATTACATGAGTGCAGTTTGTGGATCCCCAGGACAATTTCAACAGGACCAAAGATCACTGATCAGAGATCACCATAATAGATGTAATAAATAATGAAAAAGTTTGAAATATTGTGACAATTACCAAAATACAACAGAGATATGAAATGAGTACACGTTGTTGGGAAAATGGCTCCGACAGACTTGCTAGATGCAGGGTTGCCACAAACCTTCCATTTGTGAAAAACACAGTATCTGTGAAAAACAATAAAGTGAAGCATGACTACTTGAAAGTCAGTATCACTGGATATGAAACCCTTTGTTCACATTTTCTTTCTTTGTGTAAATGAAGCATAACTATATGTGGGGATGTTATTCTCCCCCACATATCTTTTTGGATAATAACTATATTTTTTTACTTTTAGATTCAGGAGGTACACGTGCAGGTTTGTTAGAAGGGTATGTTGTGTGATGCTGTGACGTTTGGGCTTCTATTGATCCTGTTGCTCAAAGAGTGAACACAGTACCCAAAAGGAAGTTTGTCAGCAATTCTCCCCCCTCCTGTCGTCACCTCTTTTAGAGTCACCAATGTCTATTGTTTCCATCTTTATGTCCATACGTACCCAATGTTTAGTTTCCACTTATAAGTAAGAACACGCAATACTTGGTTTTCTGTTTCTGCATTAATTCCCTTAGGATAATGGCCTCCAGCTGCATCCACATTGCTGCAAACAACATGATTTAATTCCTTTTTATGGTTACATTGTATTCCATGGCGTATGTGTATCACATTTTCTTTATGTTTTTGAATAATAACTTTAAATGACATTTGACTGTGATCTTTTCCTATACTAATTTTATGTGAATTTTGTTTTCCTGAATTTTTAGAAGGAAACATCGTTCATGATAAACTGTATAAGTTCAAACTGCCCCATAGTCCATGGTTTTATGCATTATTTAAAAATAAAATAGTCCCTTAAAATGTCCCGGCTCTATTCTCATTGCCCTACTTTTACCTGGCCCTCTCTTTCTTCATCCATGTTGCCCCCGCCCGGCTCAATTTTGCCTCCACTCCTGGCAATCTCTCCTCAATGTGGGACTCTGCCCTAGAAACAAACCTGTGCAGGTCCTTTTCAAAGTTCACAGGGTCTGGACAATGCCAGCCCCTTCATAGTCTACCAGGCACTCCTCGCAGTCACCCAACACTGGGCTGAACAAAGCCCCTCCCAGTTTCATCAGCTGTTTCCAAAGATGTCCACTGTGCTTGCCGGTGAACTATTGTCAGCTCTTTGGAATTCTCTCTTCTCAGATCCTTCATTGACACTGCCCCATTACTTCTGTCTTCTTTTCACACAGATGTTACTACCATGCAGGTCTTGTAGCTGTTGGGGATTTGTCACCAGTTCTATTTCGGGGTTTGTGGAGATGGCTTGTCATGGAGGTTTATAAATGTTTTCCATGGGCTTGAGGCTTTGCTATCCAGCTGCTCTGTTTTAAAGACAGAATTTGGGTTGACATCTTAGTGTGTTGGTTACATTGTTTAGAGCATGAGCTCATGAAACTTGACATGACAGTTGTATAAACCTATAAGGGCTCTTTGTCAGGATAAGAATGTGCCTGGGGCTTGTGTGCTTGGTTTCCAAGCCCTCGGCACTCCACAGAGCTACTGAGAGCGAAGCCCATGCTCCCAACATAGCAGATCTGCTATGGCCAGGCATGGTGGTTCATGAATGTAATCCCAGCACTTTGGAAGGCTAAGGCAGGAGAGAATTGCCTGAGGTCAGGAGTTCAATACCAGCCTGGGCAACATAGCAAGACCCCACCCCTGAAAAAAAATTTCAGTGGCCCATGCCTGTAGTCCTAGCCACTCAGGAGTCTGAGTTCTAGCTACTCAGGAGGATTGCTTGAGCCCAGAGGTTTGATATTACCATGAGCTATGATCATGTCACTGCACTCAGCCTGGGCAACACAGTGAAATCCGATCTAAAAAACAAACAAAAAAACATATTTGCTATTACTATGGGAGGAGTGGGAAACTCCTGCCCAAGACCAACCTTAGATCTAAATCTGAGTTTGGTTGCCACAAGGAAGAACAGCAATGCTGAGAAAGCCCCATCATTAAGGCCCAAGCACACAGAGAGGGCGTACCCAAGACTGAAACAGAACCAGGACAACAGATAATTTCCCCTGCCCTCACCACAAGCGTAGCACAAAATAATAAACTGTAGTAGTCTGCCACTAGGAAAGGGGAAAGAGAATGAAAAGAAAACCCTCTTTTGCACGAGCATATAGGGATGGCTAAATGCTGAAGGTGAAGTATGGAAACCGAGAAAAATCCTCTGACCTCAGCTTCAACCTTAAGCAGAAGGCAACAAAAGCACAGCACTAGAGGGATTTAACTCAGTGGTATAAAAAAAGTAAAGAGAGCAACAATAAAACCCAAGCTTAACTAGCTAGGTGTTGTGATGTTCATCTGTAATCCCAGCTACTCCGGAGGCTAAGGCACAAAAATCACTTGAACCCAGAGGTGGAGGTTGCAGTGAGCCAAGACCACGCCACTGCAGTCCAGCCTGTGAGACAGAGTGAGATTCTGTCTCAAAACAAAACAAAAACCCAAGCCTACCTCCATTTCTGACGAGATTGACTCAACCTCCCACACTGTCTAACAGAAGAAAAGGCATGTCTATTTCCATACATAAATACTATTTAACTTAGTGTCTACTGTTCTACACATTATGTTCACCATGCAATCAAGAACTATGAGACACACATATGTCAATTTAAATAATTCATTGCAAGGAGATAAAGCAATCAACAGAACCAAACTCAGAGATGACCTAGATGTTGAAACTATGAGACAAGTGCTTCAAAATAACTGTGACTAATACTTTTTTAAGGCCTATTGGAAAAAGTAGCTAGCATGCATGAGTAGATGGGGAATTTCAGCAGAGAGATGGAAACTATCCTCAAGAGTCCAGTAGAAATGTTAGAAATGAAAACATGACATCAAAGATGAAGAATTCATGCTAGGCGCAGTGGCTCACACCTGTAATCCTAGCACTTTGGTAGGCCAAGGTGGGTGGGTCATCTGAGGTCAGGAGTTTGAGACCAGCCTGGCCAACATGATGAAACCCCATCTCTACTAAAAATACAAAAATTATCCAGGCGTGGTGGCGTGTGCCTGTAATCCCAGCTACTTGGAAGGCTGAGGCAGAATCACTTGAACCCAGGAGGTGGAGGTTGCAGTGAGCCAAGATCACACCACTGCACCCTAGCCTGGGAGACAGAGTGAGACTCTGTCTCAAAAAAAGAAAAAAAAAAAAAGAACAGAACATCCACAAGTAGTGGGACAATATAATCTGTCTAACATATGTGTAATTGGCCAAAATGAGAAGACAGACAATAGAGCAGAAGAGAAATAGTTAACGCATAACAGCCAAGAAGTTTTTGAAATCAATAAAGATATCAAACCAGAGGTACAAGAAACTTAGAGAACCTCAAGCAAAATAAAAACAAATAAAACCACACACACACACACACACACACACACACACACACACTTACCCCTAGATAGATGACATTCAAACTTCTGTGTATCAAAGATAATAAGGAAATCATGGAGGCAGTCAGAGCTAAAAGAAATATTACATACAAAGGTTTTTAAAGAGAATTATAGTATATTCGCATTAGAAACAATTCAACAAACCTGTTAGTATTGCATTGAATCTGTAGACAAACTTAAGGAAAATGTATATAATACTGAGTCATCCAACCACAGACATAATACCTCCCTCCATTAAGTAAGATTTGTAATTTAAATAGACTTCTGCACAAAAGGCTTGCACATGTTGTGCTTTATTTATTCTTAATTATTTAATATTTTATGCTATTATTAATAGCATCTTTCTTTTTATTTTGTTTTCTACCTCTTTGCTGCTAATATATAATAATGTAAATTATTTTCAAATATGAAGTTTGTTCTGTCAACTTGTTAAATGTATTAATTTTGATAATTTATCTATAGAGTCTTTCGGATTTTCTAAATATCCAATCATCAGATGATCCATGAATGATAACACCTTATTTCTTCCTTTCCAATATTTATGCCTTTTACTCATTCTCTTGAATTACTACACTGGGTAGGATTTCCAGTATAACACTGAAAAGGTGTAGTATTTGTGGGCATTTTTGTCTTGTTCCTGAACTCAAAGGCAAACTTTTCAATGTTTCTTCAATTCCATGTGTTGGCACAGAATGTGAAGCAATGAGAACTCTTATATGCTGATGATAGAAGTATAAATTCATACAGCTATTTTATAAATAAAGTCATTAACTATTAAAGGTAAAGATATAATACTCTATGAGCTAAAAATTCCAATTCGGCCGGAAACTATAAAACTACTAGAAGAAAACATTGGGGAAATTGTCCAAGACATTGGTCTGGGCAAAGGCTTCTTGAGTAAGACCTGAAAACCACAGGCAACCAAAGTAAGAATGGGCAAACGGGATCACATCAAACTAAAAAGCTTCTTCACAGCAAAGGAAACGAATAGCAAAGTGAAGAAACAACTTATAGAATGGGAAAAAAATTGCAAACTATTCAACTGGCAAGGGATTAATAACCAGAATATATAGGGAACTCAAACCACTCAACAGCAAGAAAACAAGTAATCCAATTTTTTTAATGGGCAAAAGATGTGAACAGACCTTTCTTGAAAGAAGATATACAAATGGCCAACAGGTATGTGAAGAAAATGTGCAACATCATTAATCATCAGAGAAATGCAAACCAAAACCACAGTGATATATCATCTAAACCCAGTTAAAATGACTTTTATCAAAAAGACAATAAAACAACAGGTGCCAGTGAGGATGTGGGGAAAGGGGAATGCTCATACGCTATTGGTAGGAATATAAATTAGTACAGCCATTTCGGAAAACAATATGGGGGTTCCTCAAAAAACTAAAAATTAAGCTACCATATGATCCAGCAAATCCCACTGATGGCTATATATCCAAAAAAAAAAAAAAGGGAAATCAGTGTATCAAAGAGATATCTGCACTTCCATGTTTATTCACAAATAGCAAAGATATGGAATCAACCTAAGTAACCATCATTGGACGAATGGTGGTACACATACAACAATGAAATATTATTCAGCCATAAAAAGTAATGAAATCCTGTCATTTGCAACAACATGGATGGAACTGGAGGACATTATATTAAGTGAAATAAGCCAGACACAGGAAGACAAATATCACATGTTCTCACTCATATATGGGAGCTAAAGAGTCGATCTAATGGAAATAGAGAGTAGGTTGATGGTTACCAGGAGCTGGGAACTGTGGAGGTGATTAGAGGATGAAGAGGGGTTGGCTAACAGGTACAAAAATACAGTTAGATAGAAGGAGTAAGATCCAGTGGTAACACAATAGGGCAACTATAGTTAATAGTAATTTTTGTATATTTTGAAATAACTAGAGGAGTGAAATTGGAATGTTCCTAACACAAATAAATGATAAATGCTTGAGGTGATGGACACCCCAATTACCCTGATTTGATCATTATACAATGTATGTTTGTATCAAAATATCAAACCCCATAAATATGTAAAACTATTATGTAGCTATAAAAAATTTTTTGGCCCAGCGCGGTGGCTCACGCCTGTAATCCCAGCACTTTGGGAGGCTGAGGCAGGTGGATCACAAGGTCAGTAGATTGAAACCATCCTGGCTAACACAGTGAAACCTCATCTCTACTAAAAATACAAAAAATAAGCTGGGTGTGGTGGCAGGTGCCTGTAGTCCCAGCTACTTGGGAGGCTGAGACAGGAGAATGGCGTGAACCCAGGAGGTGGAGCTTGCAGTGAGCCGAGATGGTGCCGCTGCACTCCAGCCTGGGCGACAGAGCGAGACTCCATCTCAAAAAAAAAAAAAAAAAAATTTAGGAAATTTCAATTCTGGATATATGCCCAATAGAACTGCATGCACATATGCCCTAGGAGGCATGATAAGAATGTTTTATAGCAGCACAATTTATAGAAGTGCAATTTATATAACTGGAACAAGTTACATTTCTATCAACAGTAGAATGGATCAATTGTGGTACAGACATCAATGAAATATGTATTGGTTGTCTATCATACTACCCCAAAACTTAGTGACTTTTCATTGAGTTCACAATTTTATGGATCAGCAATTTAGACTGAATTCAGCTGGGGAGTTCTGGTCTCAACTGAGCTGCCTCATGCATCTGTGAGATTCTTTTAATTTCTGAGGGCTTAGCCCACACAACCAAGCTTACTCAGCTGTGTTCCACATACATCATTCTCCAGCAGTCTAGCCCAGCCTTTTTCATGTGGCTGAGGCAGGAGTCCTGAAATACAGAGCAGAAGCACACAGGCTGCTGGAGGCCTATGCTCAGAATAGGCGTGTGGTCACCCTGACCATATTCTATTGGCCAAAGGAAGCCACAATGCCAGCCCAGATTCCAGGGAAGAGAACTAGACCCCATTTCTTCATGGGAGGAGCTCTAAAGTCACATTGCAAAAGGCATGGGTATTGGAAAGAGTGAAGGACTGTGAGTGTTTCTTTAATCTACCACTGAAAACTGGGATTGAAGTGAAAAACAATAACCTGCTACTACACATAACAACATGGATGAATCTCATCAATAATGTTGAGTGAAATAAGCCAGGCTACACAGAATGCATACTGTATAATTCCTTTTATATAAAGTTCAAAAACAGGCAGAACTAAAGTGTAGGGTTTATAAATATATGCTTAATAAAGTATTTTTAAGTGGGAAATTAATCATCATAAATGTCAGGGTGCTAGTTACTTTGGGAGGATGATTGCCTTAAGATAATGGAAAGGCATCAGAAATTGAGCAACACACAGGGGCTTCTGGGTTCTTGGCAGTGTGCTTTCTTAACCTGAGTGGTAATGAGCTAGGCGCTCATTTTGAATCACTAAGTGGGAGATTTATGTTTTGTGCATTTTTCTTTGTCTTATATCTCATGATAAAAAATTAAATAATGTATGATACTGGCACAAGGACAAAACATGGACAATGGAATATAACAAAGAACTGAGAAAAAGTTTGTACCCATAATAAGAACTTGATATACAGTAAATCTTGCATCACAGTTGATTGACAAAAGGACAAATTGTTTACGAGATGATGTTGGAAAAACTGTCTCATTAGAGGTAAAAAATCAAACTGGATCCCTACTTACCAGAGTATATATACAAGGAAATCTCTAGAAGGATTAAAGACTTCAAGGCAAAAGATTATAAGTCAATGGTAAATATTGTGGGTTAATATCTTCCTAACAATACCAGGCAGGGAAGGACTTCTAAAGAACAGCAGAAGAACAAATCATAAGGCCAAAGCTGATTAAGTCAATTGCATCAAACTAAGAAAATTTATTCAAGGAAGTACAACATGATCAAAGTTAACAAACAGGTGACAAATTTTGTGTTATTTGCTATCCCTAATGTTTTTTAAAAACTAACACAGTATCTAAGATATACAAGAAGCTATTAAAATTAAGATTAAAAAGCAGAAAATCCAAAAGAAAAATGAACAAAGGAAATAAACAATTTGCAAAAAGAGGAAATCAAATAGGCTGGCAAGTATATAAGGAGAGGCCCAAACTGGCTATGAGAATAATTCAACTTTTTAAAATAACACGACATTACTTTATTATGCTGGCAAAAATTATAAAGCTGAACAATGCCAAGTATTAGCAGAAATGTGAGGACAGAAGTGTCCTCTTATGTTACTGGTGGGCATGTAGACAGGCGCAGCCACCCTAAAGAGCAATCTGACAGTTCTTAGTTCTATATCATTGTGCTTCATGACCATCAAGATCCACTTTTGGATGTGTACTGGAAAAAAAAAAAAAAAAAAAAACCTCACACTGTAGCTTACTTGAGTACCTGTATGAGGATGTTTATTCACACTGTGATGGAGAGGAACTGAAAGTGACCCAGATATCTATCTAGAATAAAGCAGATAGGAAAAATGTGGAGTACCATCAGCAGTTAGAAGCAACGACTACACACACCCAGAGTGTCATGCATTATGCTGAGTGAAAAAATAGGATCCATCGCACATATCAGTTATAAAAATGAATACAACATACCAAACAGACAATACACATTTTACAAGAATACATGCAAGTAATACCACATACATTAAACAGAAGGGTTTTCTTTAAAGGAGAAGGAGGCAAATGAAAGTGGAGAATGAGGCCTGTCATTCTCTAAGGGGCCTGTCTAAACCAATGACGGGGCATGCCATGAACTGAAGACTGTGTTTAACCCAACCCTGTATGTCCAAAAGAAGAAAAAGCTCAAATAAAATATTCCTCCATGGCTTTTTTCTCCATGGCAACTGCTGTTAATGTGTGTGTGTGTGTGTGTGTGTGTGTGTGTGTGTGTGTTGTACATTTCCTAGAAAAATGCTGAATGCATCTACTAGCATGTCTTTATGGCCATGTAATTCTCATTTACATCATATTACTCTGTACCCTGTTCTTTATGTTTCATAATATACTTTGGACATCTTTCCCTTTCAGCACTTACAAATCTACCTCACTTTTAAACAGCTGTATTATTTTTATATACTCCAATTTAATTTTCCTATCAATAGATACTTAAGCTTGGCTTTTTAAGTTGCTTGCTATTAAACGAGTTTGCTTTTTAAATTGTTCGCTGTTGCCATTCAAAAGACCACCACGATGGTTAAATAGCAGAAAGGAGAGCTTTATTGGTGATATTGGTTTGTAAGTTGGGAAGAGAAACCAGCAAACCAGCACGGACTGACGGTGGTCTCTCTTTGTAGGGGGAGGGAACAGCTTGGGTTTTACTCCTCATGGGTCTGTGTTACACAATAGAGCCATACATATTCAGCAGGTTTGGGGAAAAGCTATACATATTTATGAGGGGAGCTGAGCAAATGAGCAACGAGTAAACACACGTTACATACATCTCAAGTTTACTTTGAAACAGGGTTTTAGCACTGAAATGAGGTGGAATTTGGCTCTTTACATCAAAAGGTTAACCGTACGGCACAAAGACCGTTTGTCCACAGCCTCTATAAGCTGACTGAAACTGGCTTAATGTTTACAGTAGCTTATCAGAAAAGAGTGTTTGTAAGGCCAGTCCTCTGTCCAATCAGAATTACAGTAGTCTGGGTTATAAATCAGATTTAGGAGAGGTCCAATGGCTGCTATTGTTAGGAAGTTTAGAGTCCTGGGAATTTAGAAATTTGCCGTGCCAGCTGGGCTCTGAATGCTCCACTCGTAGGTAACTTTGTTTCCTTAACCTTAGAGTCTATCTTAGTTGATAAAGGGGCATTTATTTTGGGCTCTCAGATCACACTATTAAACCGTAGGGACCAAGGGAAAACTTCCCCTTTGCCCTCTGAAGGTTCACTGAAAATCAACTGACAAAAGGCAGACTTAAGGGAGGAAGGGCATACAAAATGTATTAACATGCGCATGTATTCACAGGAGTCATACAAAATATAAAACTCAAAGAGCCAGATTGTTGATGCTTTTATACCATCTTGAGGTTACAGAAAGAAAAGAGCTTGGAGCACCGCAATACAGGTTATGGGAGGTAGAGAAGAGGAAAGGCATGGCTACCAAAGGCAGTCTTATTAGGTAGATGAAACCTCGCAGGTAGCAGCTCTCAGAAAGAGTAGACGGTAGCCTGCGCTTGAGTTAATATTTCCTAGATCTGGACTAAAAAAGGGTGCCTCAGAGAAAGCCTAGCTTTATTTCACTAATGTAGATTTTTCTCTACAGATGAAATCTCCTCCAGAAAAGGCAGCTTTTCTGGGCTATTCTTGTCTGCAGGCCCTCTGAATAACCATCTTAAAATACATCTAAAATGTATATTTGGGAATAACATTTTTGTTTCCTTTAAAACAATGCCTCTGCAAATATTCTTGCACATACACTAATAGGAAATTTTATCAAGCATATTCACAATGTAAATCCCAAGCAATGAAATTTCTCAGTCAAAACAGTCAAAATACACATACACTTAAATATTTGATAGATGTTACCAAATTGCCTTCCCAAAGGTTGCAACAATACAAAATCTCATCAAAAAATCTGAAAGTACCTATTGCTCCATACTTTTTCCAGCTCTAGATAGTATAAAGGTTTTTTAAATTTTTTACCAATCTATAAGTTGAAAGATTCTATCTTACTGATGTTTTTATCTCCATATTTTAAATACGTGCAAGACTAAGTATATTTCCATAATTTTACAGGCCATTTATATTTTTCCTGTGAACTGTCTGTTCTTATAACATGTCTATTTTCTTCTGAGTTGTTTTACTTTCTCATTCATTTGCATGAGTTATTTTGCAAATTAAGGCAATTAGCCATTTTATCATATGTTCTGCAATTACATTTTCAGTCTGTCTTGTCTTTTGCCAAACAGAAGTTTTAAATTTTAACACAGTTAAATTTATCAATCTGCTCCTTTATGGCTTCTAGAGAATAAATATTTTAAATTTTATTTTGTGACTTGGAAGCTTAAGTGCTTTTCTGAGAGGATTGATTAGACTGAGGTGAAGCGGGAGGAGGAGAGTAATTGAGACAGTTGCAACTTAAAGGCAGAACGAAGACTTTAAATGAAGAGCTGGCAGAAGTGCTGGTGGCAACAGCCATAGCAGCCCAGCTGAGGCAACTTCCAGGGCAGTGGCATTCTGGTAGGGCCTGTTGGATCCTTCCACATCAAGGAAGTTCTTAGTGATACTGGTGAGCAGCCCAGGCTGGTCCTGAGCCTTGAGGTAACTATCAAGTGCTTTCTGGACATATCAGGGAAGGGAACTCCTCAGGGGAAGTAGACTTCATAATTATTTGGGTTTTGGAGAATACTGGAGAAATAATAGCTTTCTTTATTAAGTTGGCAAAACTGGTTACACTTGTAATATTAATCTCGCAGTCTGGTTTTCTCTACCATGGTTGTGAGAGAGATTAAGATTTTTTTTAATTATATTTATTTAAGTTCTCTTTTTTTCTTCTGTTTTCTATTTCACTTATTTCTGCTTTAATATTTATTATTTCCTTCCTTCTGCTAACTTTGGGCTTCATTTGTTCTACTTTTTTTAGTTCTTTGAGATGTAAAGTTGGATTGCTTATATGAGATATTTCTTTTTTCTTAATGTAAGCATTTATAGCTATAAATTTCCCTTTTAGAACTGCTTTTGCTACATCCCAAAAGTTTTGGCATGTTTTGTTTCCATTTTCATTTCTCTCAAGATTTTTTTGATTTTCCATTTTATTTCTTCTTTGACCTATTGGTCAGGAGTTGCATTGTTTAATTTCCACATATTTGTAAATTTTCCAATTTTCCTTCTGTTGGATAATCTAAAAGAAATGGATAGATTCCTAGCATTATATAATCTACCAAGAATGAATCATGAAGAATTTAAAAATCTGAATAGAGCAGGAACAAGTAAGTAATAAATAAATAAAGGAGACTAAATTAATAATTTTTTGTTTTGTTTGAGATGGAGTCTCACTCTGTTGCTTAGGCTGGAGTGCAGTGGCACGATCTGGGCTCACTGCAACCTCTGCCTCCCAGGTTAAAGCAATTCTCCTGTCTCAGCCTCCCAAGTAGCTGGGATTACAGGCATGCACCACCACGCCCAGCTAATTTTTGTATTTTTAGTAGAGACGGGGTTTCGCCATGTTGACCAGGCTGGTCTTGAACTCCTGACCTCAGGTAATCTGCCCACCTCAGCCTCCCAAAGTACTAGGATTACAGACGTGAGCCACTGTGCCCAGCCTGAATTAATAATTTTTAATAAAACCTCCCAACATGAGATTTAAGCTTACTTCTTGAAAAAAAAAAAATCTCCCAACAAACAGAATTCCAGGACCAGCTAGTGTCACAGGTGAATTCTACCAAACATTAAAAGAAGAATTAATGCCAATCCTACTCAAAATTGTCCAAAAAATTGAAGAGGAAAAAACTCTTCCAAACTCATTTTATAAGACCAGCAATACTCTGACACCAAAGCCAGATAAAAACACTGTAAGAAAATAAAATTTCAGACCCATATCCCTGATGAACATAGATGTAAAAATACTCAACAAAATGCTAGCAAACCACATTGAACAGCCTACTAAAATGATCATTTACCATGATCAAGAAGGATTTATCCTTGGGATGTGAGAATGGTTCAACACATACAATCAACAAATGTGATACACTATGTTAATAGAATGAAAACTAAAAATCATATGATCACATCAATAAATGCAAAAAAAATGCATTTGATGAAACACAACATCCTTTCATGGTAAAAACTATTAACAAATTAGGTATAGAGGGAATGTGCCTCAACATACCAAAGGCCATATATGACAAGCCCACAGCTAGTATCATACTCAACAGTGAAAAGTCAAAAGCTTTTCTGCTAAGATTAGGAATAAGACAAAGATGCCCACTCTCATCATTTCCATTCAACGTAGTACTGTAAGTCCTAGCCAAGCAATGAAGAAGGAAGGAAGGAAGGAAGGAAGGAAGGAAGGAAGGAAGGAAGGAGATAGAAAGGAAGAAAGAAAGAAAAGGAAGAGGAGGAGGAGGAAAGGGAGGAGGAGGAGGAAATGAAGGAAGGAAGGAAGGAATCAAAATAGGAAAGGAAGAAGTAAAATTGTCTCTGTTTGAAGATGACATGATTTTATATAAGAAAACTCTAAAGACTCCACCAATAAACTATTAAGACTAATCAACAAATTCAGTAAAATTGCAGCTACAGAATCAACACCAAAAAAATTAGTTGCATTTCTATACACTAACAATGAAATATCTGAAAAAGAAATAAAGAAAATAATTCCATTTATAATAGCATCGAAAACAATAAAATACCTAGGAATAAATTTAACCAAGGAGGTGAAAGACTTGTACACTGGAAACTATAAGATACTGATGAAAGAAATTGAAGAATATACAAATAAATGGAAAGATATTCCATGTTCATGGATTGGAAAAATTAGTATTGTGAAAATATTCACGCTACCCAAAGCAATCTACAAATTCAATCAAATTCCTGTCAAAATTCCAATTGCATTCTTCACAGAAATAGAAAGGACAATTTTAAAATTCGTATGGAACTACAAAAGACCCCAAATAGCTACAGTAATCTTGAGAAAGAAGAGCAAAGCTATAGGCATCACATTTCCTGATTTCAAAGTATATTACAAAAGCATTGTAATCAAAACAGTATGGTACTGACATAAAAACAGATAAATAGATCAATAGAACAGAATCAAGACCCCAGAAATAAACCCACACATATACAATCAGTTAATATTTGACAAAGGTACTAAGAACACACAATGGGGAAAGGATCATCTCTTCAATAAATGGTGCTGGGAAAACTGAATGTCCACATGCAAAAGAATAAAATTGGGCCTTTATCTTACACCACTCACAAAAATTAACTTGATTTGAATTAAAGACTTTTAAATGTAAGATCTGAAACCATAACAATTCTAGAAAAAAATAGAAAAAAAAGTTGCTTGGCATTAGTCATTGCAATTACTTTTTGGATATGACACCAAAAGCAAAAGTAACCAAAGCAAAATAAATAAGTAACTACATCAAGCTAAAAAGTTTCTGCACAAAAAAAAGAACAATAAAACAAAAAGGCAACTTACCGAATGGGTGAAAATGTTTGTAAGCCATATATCTGATAAGGGATTAATATCTAAAATATACAAAGAAGTCATACAACCTAATAACAAAAACTTATAATCCAATTTTAAAATGGGCAAAGAACCTGAATAGATATTTCTCCAAATAATGCATACAAGTGGCTAACAGCTACATGAACAGGTGCTCAACATCTCTAATCACCAAGGAAATGTAAATAAAAACCACAATGAGATGTCACCTCTCATGTCAGGATGACTGTTATCAAAATAGACAAAAGATATATGTTAGTAAGGATGGAGAGAAACAGGTACACTATTAGTGGAAATGTAAATTGATATGGCCATTATGGAAAACAGTATGGAGTTTCCTCAAAAATTAAAGCTAGAATAACCATATGATCTAGCAATCTCACTTCTGAGTATATATGCAATGGAAACGAAATCAGTAGCTCGATGAAATACCCGCCCTCCCATGTTCATTTCAGCATTACTCACAATAGCCAAGACTTGGAAACTACTAAGTGTCAATCGATGGATAAATGCATAAAGAAATTGTGGTGTGTGTTTATATATATGTGAGTGTGTGTGTATGACAAATATTCAGCCATTAAAAAAGGAAACACTACCATTTGTGACAACATGAATCAACCTGAAGGACAACATGTTTAATGAAATAAATGATACAGAAAGACATATACTGTATGATCTCACTTATATGTGGAGTCTAAAAGAGTTGAACTTATAGAAACAGAGAGTAGAATAATGGTTGCCAGCGATGGGGGTTAAGGAGACATAGGGAGATGTTGATCGAAGAGGACAAACCTTCAGTCATAAGATAAACAAGTTCTGGAGAGTTAAAATACAGCATGGGTGGTGACAGATGTGTTAATTTGATTTTGATAATTATTACACAATGCATTTATATATAAAATCGTCACATTGTACACTTCGAATGTGAGATACACAATCTAAATTGTCAATTAAATATTTGAAAATAAGAGAAGAAAAAATGATTGAAAAAAATCAGCTGTTGAACTTTGCAGTTTGGGTGATACTGAGGTTTTCCAGTGAAGGGCAGTGACAGAGCAGCCACGTTGGCAATTTTTTTAGAAAGCTTTCTGTCCTGTGCGGCAGTGAGATGCAGAACTGTGGTCATTTGGTTGCATCCGTTCTCAATATTTAATGTAAGATAAAAGAGGGTATTGATAAATGGCAAGCACTGCATTGCACAAAAGGAGGGAGGGTAGGCTGCCGATGTCAGTATATCCCCCTGGATTTTCCTCCCTAACCTTCCCTGATAAACAACTGACTCCCTGACAGTAGTGAACATGCTCGACAGGGGCAATAGAAAATCAGGAGCAAACTTTCATGCCCAGCAGCTGCCCCACAAGAGCTTTACTCTTCTAAATGTTAAAAAAATTTGAATTATGTAAGCTAGAAGTGAATGTACTGTGAACTTCTTTCAATTTCTTGTAATTCTCTCGCTGACAAGATTTATGGGAAAGAACTGCAGTCATCTAGATCACTTCAGTGCACTAATACAAAAAGTTGTGCTAGGAACTAAATTTTGTGTGCCCCCAAAATTCATATGTGAAAGCTCTAATCCCCAATGTGATGGTATTTAGAGGTGGGACCTTTGGGAGATAATTAAGTCATGAAGGTGGAGCTCTCATGAATGGGATTACTGCCCTTATAAGAAAAGACACAAGCTGGCTGGGTGCAGTGGCTCATGCCTGTAATCCTAGCACTTTGGGAGGCCGAGGCAGGAGGATCACTTGAGCTCAGGGGCTCAAGACCAGCCTGGGCAACATAGTGAGACCCTATTTCTATTTAATTTTTTATGAAAGAAAGAAAAGAAAGATAAGAAGAAGAAAGAAAGAAAGAGAGAGAGAGAAAGGAGGGAAGGAAGGAAGGAAGGAAAAGAAGAAGAAGGAAAGAAAGAGAGAGGGAAGGAGGGAAAGAAGGAAGGGAGAGAGGAAGGAAGGAAGGGATAAAGAGAGAGAAAGAAAGATGAAAGAAAGAGAGAGAGAGAAAGAAAGAAAGAAAGAAAGAAAGAAAGAAAGAAAGAAAAGAGAAAGAAAGAAACAAAGAAAGAAAGAGAGAGAAAGAAAGAAAAAGAAAGAAACAAAGAAAGAGAAAGAAAGAAAGAAAGAGAGAAAGAGAGAAAGAAAGAGAAAGAGAGAAAGAAAGAGAGAAAGAGAGAAAGAGAGAAAGAGAGAAAGAAAGAAAGAAAGAAAGAAAGAAAGAAAGAAAGAAAGAAAGAAAGAAAGAAAGAAAGAGAAAGGAGAAAGGCAGGCACAGGAGAGATGACTGCTCTTCCTCACCATCATACAAGGATACAAGCAAGAAGGTGTCCTTCTACAAATCAGGAAGAGGACCCTCACAAACTACAGTTTATTATAGAAGCTGAAGGCAAAGGACAGGCATTTGAGGGGCAAGATTACATCCCTTAATATACCGGCCACTCCCTGGTCTCTGACCAAGTCTCTCTTAGAGCAAAACAAATATAACCTTAATATTTGGAGGAGCCAGTAAGGGATAGAAATATATTACAAGAAACAGTTAATCCATCCTATAAAGCCATTGCATACAATTGATATATTAATACTGATTTGGTTACATTTCCCCCCTTCATCTACCACTATTTGTATCTTGTGATAAATTTGTGCAGAACTATTTAACATAAAAATTAGCTTATGATTAGCTAACTCCAGTTCTTCCACAAGGCAGTCATTTTCCATCAACATTACATTCTAAGGAGCTTTAACCCCATTTCCCAATGAGAGGTGACAGCGTGCTGGCAGTCCTCAGAGCCCTCGCTTGCTCTCGGCACCTCCTCTGCCTGGGCTCCCACTTTGGCGGCACTTGAGGAGCCCTTCAGCCCACCACTGCACTGTGGGAGCCCCTTTCTGGGCTGGCCAAGGCTGGAGCCCACTCCCTCAGCTTGCAGGGAGGTGTGGAGGGAGAGGCGTGAGCGGGAACCGGGGCTGCGTGCGGCACTTGCGGGCCAGCTGGAGTTCCGGGTAGGCGTGGGCTTGGCGGGCCCCGCACTTGGAGCAGCGGGCCAGCCCTGCTGGCCCTGGGCAATGAGGGACTTAGCACCCGGGCCAGCGGCTGCGGAGGGTGTACTGGGTCCCCCAGCAGTGCCAACCCACCGGCGCTGCCCTCGATTTCTCACCCAGCCTTAGCTGCCTTCCCGTGGGGGCAGGGCTCGGGACCTGCAGCCCGCCATGCCTGAGCCTCCTACCCACTCCAAGGGCTCCTGTGCGGCCCGAGCCTCCCCGACGAGCACCACCCCCTGCTCCACGGCGCCCAGTCCCATCAACCACTCAAGGGCTGAGGAGTAGGAGCACACGGCGCGGGACTGGCAGGCAGCTCCACCTGCAGCCCTGGTGGGGGATCCACTAGGTGAAGCCAGCTGGGCTCCTGAGTCTGGTGGGGATGTGGAGAGTCTTTATGTCTAGCTCAGGGATTGTAAACACACCAATCAGCACCCTGTGTTTGCTCAAGGTTTGTGAATGCACCAGTCGACACTCTGTATCTAGCTGCTCTGGTGGGGCCTTGGTGAATCTTTATGTCTAGCTCAGGGATTGTAAATACACCAATTGGCACTCTGTATCTAGCTCAAGGTTTGTAAACACACCAATCAGCACCCTGTGTTTAGCTCAAGGTTTGTGAATGCACCAGTCAACACTCTGTGTCTAGCTGCTCTAGTGGGGCCTTGGAGAACCTTTGTGTCTATACTCTGTATCTAACTAGTCTGATGGGGACTTGGAGAACCTTTATATCTAGCTCAGGGATTGTAAACGCACCAATCAGCACCCTGTCAAAACAGACCACTTGGCTCTACCAATCAGCGGGATGTGGGTGGGGCCAGATAAGAGAATAAAAGCAGGCTGCCCCAGCCAGCAGTGGCAACCCACTCGGGTCCCCTTCCACACTGTGGAAGCTTTGTTCTTTCGCTTTTTGCAATAAATCTTGCTACTGCTCACTCTTTGGGTCCACGCTGCTTTTATGAGCTGTAACACTCACCTCGAAGATCTGCAGCTTCACTCCTGAACCCAGCGAGACCACGAGCCCAACGGGACAAACGAACAACTCCAGACGCGCTGCCTTAAGAGCTGTAACACTCACCGCGAAGGTCTGCAGCTTCACTCCTGAGCCAGCGAGACCACGAACCCACCAGAAGGAAGAAACTCAGAACACATCTGAACATCAGAAGGAACAAACTCCAGACGCGCCACCTTAAGAGCTGTAACACTCACCGCGAGGGTCCGTGGCTTCATTCTTGAAGTCAATGAGACCAAGAACCCACCAATTCCAGACACACCAATACATTGATCATCAGTATCAGTTTACAACCTTACCAGCAATACCAGTGTCATACTGTTTTTGCAGAATGGTAGATTACCAGAATCTCACTCAGTCATTAACAGTTGATTCAGTTTATCATTAATTCATATGCCCAAAATGTCTCCCAGAGCAATGCCACTCAGGTTTGCAGGCTTCTATTCTAGTTTGTCAGGTTCCAAAAGCAGAAGTGGTCTTGGCAACAAATGGCCTCACCCTTTCAGACATCTGATATGATTGAGCTAAGAGAGACAATATCATCTCTTGCTTTGAGCCTCTCTTGAGGTACAAATGTAATAGTGGATTTTCCTCATTACATAGCTCATTTATTCATTCATCTTCAACTGCTATTCCTCCTCTCTCCCTTTATCTTTTGACCCATCCTTTGCCACCTCTGAGAGACGTGAGGTTCAGCCACTGTCCTGATCCAGATGTCCAGCAACAAGATTAGTCCAGCAGGTGTCACACCCTCGGCTCACTCTTGCTGACATAGGGTAGGGTTAGACAGGCACAGAACTAGTGGGGCATCATTACCACTAGGCAATATTGTTGCAGTCACTGTCAACCCCAATTCTGCAGGATGGGGTGAAGGCACAATTCATTTCATCAGGATCTTAGGAATTCTGATCTAAAAGTTTCAAAGTACAGTTACAGTTTCCTGCTTAGGGATCATCCCTGACTCCTGAATCTGCAGTCACAGCTCTGGTGCTGGGATCACTACATCAAGTAGGAAAAAAGAAAATTGAAATGATACAGAAAAAAAAAAAATGAGGTGATCTGGAGAAGAATTGTAATCAACTTGTCAGCTATGGGAGGACCCTCTCCCAGGAAATCTGTCCCATAGCCATCTGCAGTCTTTGTCTCTTTTATTGGCACACAGACCAGACCAGATCTTGTTGGCAATTTCTGCAAGAGGAAAATGGCTGGATTCAGTCCATCTCTGCATTGCTGTAATACTTCCACATCCTTTCATTTCAGGGACCCAAGTAGCCACATCAAGCAGCAAACCAGGATATATTTTTGTCAATTCTAATTACCTTCTGACCCTAGAAAGGAGCTCTTCTTGTGGGCATCAACATGTCCTATTTTAATGCACTCCTTAAATACTCAGGGGTATATTTTAATATACTGGCCACCCCCTGGTCTCTGACCAAGTCTTTCTTAGAGGAGACTTGCCTAATTTCCATAAGGTCATGCCCTATGTGAGCATCCATTTAATAGACCAGTGTTCCATTGCCCATCTACTTGACCATATAGCCACGCCACTGGCCACTGCCCATGAGTCAGTAAAAACCCAAACCTAAAGGCTTTTTTATTGTTGTTCAATTCTCCCATCACTGCCAGGAAAACAGCATGTAATTAAGTCTGTTGAGTTAATTTGTTACCTTCTTCAAACAGAGCCTTTCAATCTGCCAGTCTTAGTGTGGTGGCCTTCCAGACAGGATGCCATTCATCCATCTTGGAACTGTCATCTGCAAACCAAGCAGCTCTTTGGTTAATACAGATCTGTATTTGTTGGTTAACGCAGATCTGTTAACAGGGCACTGTCCAGGTGGTGATCGGATCCAGCAGCCTCTCAGGTGGTTCTGAGGCAGGATAAGTAAGGTTAGAAGGCCATACTGACTTGTCCTCCTGTGTGAAGCCCTGTGGGCTTTTTTCACAGCAGACTCTGCATCCCTTGCAAACTCGTGCATCAGCACCTAATATATTGTGCAAGATAAGCAGTCCTCCAGGATACCAGCAGCTGCCAGATAGTTACAAGTTCCTGATATCCAGTACAGCCTGGGAAAGAGAACAAAAGCCCCTTATTCCTGATGTAGCTTCCCCAATCTCCAGCCAATCAAATTTCTGCCTTAGGGGAAATAGGCACTTCTCAAGGGTCCTGCATGAGCAGCTAGGCTCAGGTTTAGTTTATAATGGCTTTTTCCTCATTTTGATAGTAAAAAACACACCCCTAGGTGGAGATTTTATATGCTAATGATACATGTGATCCATGTTAGAGCATGTAGATACTGAGCACACATGCCAATCGCAGGTCCACCTTTGCATATTTGCCCTCACCAGTACTTTATGAATACTCATGGTGTACTTTCACTTTGCAATAAACTTATTTGCCTACTTACTTTGGACTCATTCTGAAATTCTTTTGTGTGGCAAAGTCAAGAACCTGAACCAGCCCACTGACAACAGTTCCAAAGTCAGTGGTAGAGGGAAAGAGCCTACCTGCTTGTAGATACAATGAGTCCCTCTGCATTCCCCCAGTAACATGTTCCTATAGAACCCATTTCCATTTTATCATGGAACACTTCCAGACACTGCCTTCTTTATTAGAGTGTTTCTCTGACATCACCCAAGACATTACGGATATTTCAGGTTTCAGGAGTATTTTACATCCTTCAGTCATAGAGGCAGTCTCCATTAATTCCCAATAGCAAACTAGAAGTTGTTTCCCTCCTGGCATATATCTTACCACGCCATCCAAGAATGTTCTAGTACAAAATTCCATTGGCCCCCTCTGGGTGGCACTCATAAGCTTTTACAGTAACCTCCAGTCCACGTAAGTATGTTACAGAGACTTCCAAAATCATGTATGAGTGTGGAACATAAGGGCCCAAAAGCATCTGGAGAGAAAATACTTTTCACACTTCTGACATGGCCTGATTTTGTTTGGGTCCCCATTCAAGTATGGCCCTCTTTGGGGGTAGTTGTATGGACAAAAGCTAGCAATATACCCAATGTAGAATATGCATCCTTCAAAACTCAAAGCTACCACACAAAAGTTGGACTAGATTATAACTAACATTCTTAGTTAGATCTAGGAATAGATATTGACAGCAGTTTGTAGTCACCTGTATAATGTCATGGGTGGCTCCTACCCAGGTTATTCCTAAGAATTTCACCAATTGAGCAGGCTCTTTGACTTTTGCAGGAGTTATCAACAATCCTGTGCTGGTCAAGTGTGTCATCCCCCATTTAGGTCAGTCCATCCTGGTCTTCAGTTTCAGACATTATCATGATATCATCAACATAGTGTAATATTACACTCAGAACCTGCATCAATCCAAACCTCCTCTCACCAGTTTATGACAGTACCTATAGCAATTCGGTAAATGTAAATTGGAATCATTCTCACAGAAAGGCAAACTCCAATTTATTCCTTTTAGGATTGAGACAGAAAAAGCATTTGTAAGATCAATTAAAAAGCCACTCCTACCAGACAGGACATTCTAAGGGCTTAGAGACCACCTCCCAGAAGCTGAGAGCAAAGGGGAAAAAAAAAAGGTGGTCAGACATCTTTTTGGATAAAGTTAAATTATTTATTATACAGAAAGTCTCAAGCCTTATTGAAAACCATCAGGAAAACTGCAGAACAAAATTTAACAGTATTTTCCTTCCTTTCCACACAAGCATATTGCAGGATAAGGATCCTGTCTCCGAATCTATGTATTCTGCTCATCCCAAGAATTTGACTTTGAGAAAGAGGAAGAACTTTGTGAAGTAAACCACGTGAGATTTCCTGATCTGCCCTAGAAAAGTTTTGTATTTCTGTAAGAGGATCCTACCACTCATAAGAAAACAATGAACAATCTGCTGAAGTTTTTAATTTCTTACACGTGTAAGCAAGCTTTCTTTTGTTTAACAACCATCAAGAACTGGGACAGATGTCGCCTCGTTTCAGGTGAAAATGATATCCATGTGTGCTTATCACGAGTTTGGCCCAGAATTCAGTATGTATTTATGCAGTAAAAAGTAAGGATATGTTTTAGATAAAAGATGTGAATTTCATTCTATATTTTTAACCTCAGAAAAACACTTTGTATGCACATATAAGCCTATAAAGGAAATCAAGAAACTAATATATGTGCATAATAATTTTGCATCTGCTAGACCTTTATTTGACCTTTATCATGTCACTCAGTGAAAAAAACTTCAAATCTTTAATAAAATAATGTCTTAAACTATATTCTTACTCATTTTGCTTTGGCTTGTGATTAATTGCTTTACTATTCAATACTTGCAAAAATTTTTATATAGTAAATAACAGTAATTAAAATAAATTTATAATCCTTATTTAAAGAAGTCTACCAAGCTGACTTTTCAAAATTCATTTGCTTTTTGGTTTAAGCCAGCTATTTTTTTTTTCAGAACAATATGTTTAATACAATCCAACATATGTAATAAAAACATAAAAGATTCATAGCACCTATATGTGTAAATAGATACAGATATATAGAAAAAGTCTGGAAGGGTCCACTGTGAACAGCTAATCATTGCTTCCCATAGAAAGTATGATGTGCTTATGAACGTGACATGTTTTCAGAAAAAAAAAAGTATGTTGTGGTGAGTCTCAACCCTATCGGGCCTGAGGAGAGATGAACTGAGATTTTGACTTTTGTACCCTGTATACCTCTGTACTGTTAGAATCTGTTAGAATTTTTAGACAATAAATGTACATTTGTTGTATAAAAAATTAATTATAAAAAGAGAGAAATGTAATTCATATAATGTATAGAGCATTGTTGTTTTTCTTTTTTTTTCTGGTAGTTTTTTTTTTAATTTTTTTAGTATTTATTGATCATTCTTCGGTGTTTCTCGGAGAGCGGGATTTGGTAGGGTCATAGGACAATAGTGGAGAGAAGGTCAGCAGATAAACATGTGAAAAAAGGTCTCTGGTTTTCCCAGGCAGAGGACCCTGCGGCCTTCCTCAGTGTTTGTGTCCCTGGGTACTTGAGATTAGGGAGTGGTGATGACTCTTAACGAGCATGCTGCCTTCAAGCATCTGTTTAACAAAGCACATCTTGCACCGCCCTTAATCCATTTAACCCTGAGTTGACACAGCATATGTTTCAGAGAGCACGGGGTTGGGGGTAAGGTTATAGATTAACAGCATCCCAAGGCAGAAGAATTTTTCTTAGTACAGAACAAAATGGAGTCTCCTATGTCTACTTCCCTCTACACAGACACAGGAACAATCCGATCTCTCTTTCTTTTCCCCACATTTCCCGCTTTTCTATTCGACAAAACCGCCATGGTCATCACGGCCTGTTCTCAATGAGCTGTTGGGTACACCTCCCAGACGGGGTGGCAGCCAGGCAGAGGGGCTCCTCACTTCCCAGACGTGGTGGCAGGGCAGAGGGGCCCCCCCCACCCCCCAGACGTGGCGCCCCCCCACCTCCCAGACGGGGTGGCTGCCGGGCGGGGGCGCCCCCCACCTCCCAGATGGGGCAGCCGGTCGGAGGCACTCCTCACTTCCCAGACTGGGCAGCTGCCAGGCGGAGACACTCCTCACTTCTCAGACGGGGCGGCTGCTGGGCGGAGGGGCTCCTCACTTCCCAGATGGGGCAGCTGCCGGGCGGAGGGGCTCCTCACTTCTCAGATGGGGTGGCTGCCGGTCGGAGGGGCTCCTCACTTCCCAGATGGGGTGGCGGCCGGGCAGAGGCGCTCCTCACCTCCCAGACTGGGTGGCGGCCGGGCAGAGGTGCTCCCCACATCCCAGACAATGGGCGGCCAGGCAGAGACGATCCTCACTTCCTAGACAGGATGACGGCCGGGAAGAGGTGCTCCTCACTTCCCAAACTGGGTGGCCGGTCAGAGGGGCTCCTCACATCCCAGACGATGGGTGGCCAGGCAGAGACGCTCCTCACTTCCTAGAGGGGGTGGCGGCCGGGCAGAGGCTGCAATCTCAGCACTTTGGGAGGCCAAGGCAGGCGGCTGGGAGGTGGAGGTTGTAGCGAGCCAAGATCACGCCACTGCACTCCAGCCTGGGCAACATTGAGCACTGAGTGAGCGAGACTCCATCTGCAATCCTGGCACCTCGGGAGGCCGAGGCGGGCAGATCACTCGAGGTCAGGAGCTGGAGACCCGCCCGGCCAACAGGGCGAAACCCCGTCTCCACCAAAAAATACAAAAACCAGTCAGGCGTGGCAGCGCGTGCCTGCAATCCCAGGCACTCGGCAGGCTGAGGCAGGAGAATCAGGCAGGGAGGTTGCAGTGAGCCGAGATCGTGGCAGTACAGTCCAGCCTCGGCAACAGAGGGAGACCGTGGAAAGCGGGAGACGGAGAAGAGCAAGAGGGGGAGACCATGGAAACCGGGAGATGGAGACGAGGGAGAGGGAGAGGGATGTTTTTCTTTTTTTTTTTTTTTTTTTTTTTGAGAGCTAAGCCAGTTATTTAGAAGAAATATATTATGTTTATCTTAAGGGTTTTTAAAATTTATGAAAAAGAAAGAGATGGATTTTTCAAAGTTATCCAGTCGTTAGCTACCTGATTTTATTCAACACAGGTTGGTTAAAAAAAAGTTAGCTTTAAATAGGAGAAATAATTACTCTTGCATATATCATATACCATGTCCCATACCTCATTAGTGTGTCTTATACTATGAATGTGTGATAAAACTTTGAAGCCTACTTGGATAAAATTTTTCAAAAATCAGGTAGGAATTTATTAAAAGAAGAAACTGAAGTCTCCTCACCTACATTACTGACTTGCAGTAGAAGGGATATCCTTTGTGGGGCAGAGGGGAGGGGGAACACACAAAAAGAGGAGGCTGATAGATTGGCTACAGTAAATAGATCCACTGAAAAATATCAGTCCCTATAAAAAATAACACTGACAAATAATAGTAGGTTATTACATCCATAGCTCACTCTCATAACAATGACCCATAGCTTTAGATGTAATTATATTTATGCAGGGATTCCCGGAGACCTGAAAATTAACTCAAGCATTTCTTCAAAGTAGAAAGATTGAGAATGGACTAGAACCTACTACCACTGTGTCAGTGTGACTTGGGTTTCTGTGCCTTCTCGTTTGCTCATGTTCTGATTCCCGAGGACTCTGAAGAGCAAAGGTCTACTGACCACTGACCCCAGGCCACTCAAAAGGCAGGATCTGTTATGACATCGTTTTGCACAAGTAGAGCACTAGTGCCCAGTCGGGCGTCAGCTCCACTGCAGGATTGAAACATGGCTGCTAGTCTCCCCGTATTCTTATGAGTGCCTTCCGTCAAAAAGTGCAGAATTGCTCTTCAATGAGGTAAATATACCATGTGCTGATTCAAAAATATATCTGAGACACATTAACATGAAAAAGACAAGTTAACAAATGATGTGTAGCATGTAAATACATTTATGTAAACGTACCAAATGATGTAATTATATGAGTTCCTGTCTGATTGTATGTTCAGAGACACAGAGGGGAAACTAAAAGTTGTGATATTATGACATAAGAAATTTACATTTTGATCTTCTTTCCCAGCTATTGGCCATAGCTCCTAAAACCTTTGTAATTGTCTAAGCCATAAAGGTGCTAGGAGTGTCTTTTGTTCTAATATTTGATTTTTGACCCCAGTTTCAGACACAGAGATCCTAAATGCCTTGGAATTTCCTGTGTAATAGGAGCATCTTTTCTTCTAATGAGGTGACTCTTGCTGGGCTCCTTAATGAGGGCTGGTCTCCAGGAAGACCAAGCCGTGGTTAGAAGCTTGGAACTTTCAGCTCCACTCCCATCCTTAGGGAGGGGAGAAGAGATAGAGTTTGAGTTAATAATTGATCACGCCTACATGAAGCCTCCATAAAAATCCCTAAAAGACAGAGTTCAGAGACCTCCTGTGTTGGTGAACACACCCATGTGCCCAGAGGGCAGTGCACCCCAACTCCACGGGGACTGAGCCCCTGCATTCAGGACCCTTGCTGACCTTGCTCTATATATGTTTTCATTTGGCTATTCATATGTATCCTCTATCATATCCTTAATAATAAACCAGCAAAAGTGTTTCCCTGAGTCCTGAGAGCCAACACAACAAATTGTCAAACTTGAAGAGGAGGTCCTGGGTTTTGTAGCGAAGGCTGACAGAAGTGCGGGTAACTTGGGGATTCAGCACTTGCAACTGGCTTCTGGAGCAGGGACAGTCTTGTGGGACTGAGCCCTTAACCTATACTAACACTAACTCCAGGTAGTTGGTGTCACAATTGAACTATAGGATGCCCAGCTGGCATCCAAAGAATGGGAGAATTGGTTGGTGTGGGGGAGTGTTGGGGGAAGCCACTCGTTTGGTCACGGAAGTGTTGAAAGTGCTGATTGTCATAAAGAAAATTTTTTGTTTTCCTCTTTAGGGCAAATTGTGGGGATGGGGCATGTCAGGGAAAGAACAGAAGGGAAAAAATGCCTCATTAAGAGCTTTGAAAAGGCAAGGAATTTTAAGAAAAATAAAACCGCTAAATACAGCAAATAGTATGAGAGCTGCTATATACAAAATGACAAAATTAACAAAGTTACATACCCAGCATCTGTATAGCAATTTACAGTTGCCAAAACATTTTCACATATATATTCATGTATACATACATGTATGTGTATATTCATGTATATGTGTATATATATAATTTTATGTGGTATTCCTAGAACTTCTCTACCTAAAGAGGAGCACACTTCTTCCCTCCTGGTGCAGGAACACTGAGTTATACGTTCAAGACCTGAGTCACATTACAATTTGTTCTGAATTTTAAAAATCAAAAAGCCAAACAAACACTGACGAGACTAGGTTCTAATGCCAACTACTTTGTCAAGGATGCAAACCACTTTTCTACTCAAAAGAATTTATAGATTCACAACTATGAAAGCCAGAAGAAGTTAAGCATACTTTGGAAAGAAATTGCCTGACATAGAGGCATTTTCCACATATTTAAGCCTGACTCCAAAACTGTCAATGGAAGCCTGTATCTTGCTGACAAGTCCAAGAAAACCTGTTCAGAGCAGCCCAGGCTGAGACTGGGAAGGTGCACTTGAAGGCAGGACCAGGCAAGAGGCTCTGTAGTTAACTTGGTTTCCCACCCTCAGCCAGCATTTAGGCACCCCACTAACTTCAATGTTCATGTTGGGTTAGAATACAAAATTGCTTGAATTTTAGTTCACAACACGTATCCAATTCATAACTGAATTCATAAAACATTATGGCTTAGAAGTTAAGAGCATGGGAGCCTGGCCATCATGGTGAAACCCTGTCTCTAAAAAAAAAAAAAACTATAAAAATTAGCCTGGCATGGTGGTGCATGCCTGTAGTCCCAGCTACTCAGGAGGCTGAGGTGGGAGAATCGCTTGAACCCGGGAGGCGGAGGCTGCAATGAGCCAAGATGGCATCACTGCACTCCAGCCTGGGCAACAGAGTGAGATCCTGTCTCAAAAAAAAAAAAAAAAAGTTAAGAGCATGGGGTTTAAAGACAAATCTATGTGTTAATGAATAATGATTATATTTGTTGGGCAAGTTATTTAACTTGTATATGACTCAGTTTCCTATGTGTCAAGCAGGGATAGTACCACCCACTTCAGTGGGCTTGCATGAAGATGAAAACACCAAATGAACCTCAGTTAGGCACATAGAATATACGCCAAAAAAATGGACTAATAGTAGAAATAACTGCTCTAGAACTCACCTTAGGAGAAAAGAGCCTGATTTCCACAGAGAACAAACATCAGCTGTGCTACAGCCTGCTTTATCCAGCTGAATCTCAGCTTTGTCTGCCGGGATCCCAGCACACAATCCTCATGATCCCATAAGAGGCTCAAGGCATCTACAGAGGACAGACATTAAGACAGAGATGTGACTTTTTTTCTAGGTTCAGGAGTACATGTGCAGGTTTGTTATGTAGGTACATTGCATGTCACAGGAGTAGTTTTTCCAGCCTCACCCTCTTCCCATCCTCCGCCCTCAAGTAGACTCTGATGTCTGTTGTTCCCTTCTTTGTATCCATATGTACTCAATGTTTAGCTCCCACTTATAAGGGAAAACATTAAGTATTTGGTTTTCTACTCCTGCATTAGTTTTCTTAGGATAATTGTCTCTAGCTCCATGCATGTTGCTGCAAAGGACACGATTTTGTTCTTTTTACTGCGGCATAGTATTCCATGATGTATACATACCACATTTTCTTTATCCAGGCTACCTTTTTTTTTTTTTTTTTGAGACAGAATCTCACCCTGTTGCCCAGGCTGAAGTGCAATGGCGTGATCTTGGCTCACTGCAACCTCCGCCTCCAGGGTTCAAACGATTCTCCTGCCTCAGCCTCCCAAGTAGCTGGGATTGCAGGCGGCCACCACTATGCCCAGTAATTTTTTTTGTATTTTTTGTAGAGACAGGGTTTCACCATGTTGGCCAGGCTGCTCTCTCCAGCCTACCATTGATAGGCATTTAGGTTGATTCCATGTCCTTGCTATCATAAATTGTCCTGTGATAAACATACGTGTGCATGTGTCTTTATAGTAGAATGATTTATATTCCTTTGGGTATATACCTAGTAATAAGGTTGCTGAGTTGAATCGTGATTCTGTTTTTTAAGTTCTTTCAGAAATCACCAAACCACTTTCCACATTGGCCAAATTAATTTATATTCCAAGCAGCAGTGTACATGTTTCCCTTTCTCCAAAAAAAGGTGTGTTTTTTTAAGAGACTAAGAAACTCCAAATATTGAATGACGTCTATCACGTGCAATGACTCTGGAGAAGTATAAAATACGAACTCTGCCCTTAAGATATTGTCAGCCTGGTGGCAGTGGGAGGAGGGGCAGGGGAAACACTGAAAGTTGGGTTGGAGAGACAGCCATGTAAAACCAAGTAGATGTATTTATAAGGCTTCCCTGAAGTAGGGATGCCTTTGCTGAGTCTGAGGGAAGAGTAGGAACAATCCAGGGAATGAGAAGATGCAAGCATGAAATGCAAGAACATTGTTATGTTTATAGTAGAAGGAGCTTGTGAAGGCAAGGGAGAGGAGTCAGGGACAAATCAACAAAATCCCAGTGTAGGAAGCCAAGAAATGTACATTTTATCATCAAAGCCATTGAATCTCCACAATGAGATGAACTTGATCAGCTTTTCACCTTGGAAAGACTCCTCCAGCTTAGTTTGGAAGTAAGAGCAGAACAGGAGCTACAGCTACACTCCAGGAAAGACAGATGACCACTCCAACAAAATGCAGTGACTGAGGAATCAGGAGAAGATCAACTAAAAGCTAGCAGATATCATATTAGCAGGCCTTGGTGACAATTGCATATGGAAGAAGTGAGAAGGATCTTGGCTGACTGCGGTTTCTGGCTTAGACAACTGAATGGATAGTGGGCCCATATGTTAACATAGAAAATGCAAGGAAAGGACCAGAGTTCCTGGGAGCTGATGTGCACAGTCCATAGAGATTCAGACGGGTCCCTGTGCACTGTGGCGGTAAGCAAATCTGTGAAAGAGGCCCTGCATGATGGACAGAATGTGATTTGGTGTCTTTCAGTATAAGCCTCCATCCTGGTTTGGGGCTTTGAGGACTCAACAAAGTGAAGTCTGGAAAGAGGGCAGGGAGACCTCCTGGTGTGTCCTAGGGGGAGGAGAAAGGAAAGGATGCCCTGACTTAGAGAGGAGAGAGAACAGTAGCTGCCCAGACACCCCAGGACCTGCCCAATCTTGAGCTACTCCTGTTGCTGGGATTCCCTCTGTGCCCTAGACAAAGCAACTGGGACTCATCATAAAGGTAAGAAGATTGTATATTGAATATTTTATATAAATAGATCTATAGAGATACAGAGATATGAATAGATATTCTTCCAAAAATACCATAGACCTGAGACAGGGGTCCCATCCCTTGGGCAAGAGAATGCTATAGAACAGTATATATGCAACGACTTTCCGAGAGGTAAGTAGGCATATATATGTTTTAAAACTCAATTTCTTCATTGGTATGAAAGATTCAGAAAAGCAAATTTATAAAATTTATAGAGACAAAATAGATAAAGGTTGCCTGGGTCTGGGGCTTGAAACAGAGATCAACTGTAAAGGGCATGAGGGGTCTCATTTGAGCAATGAAAATGCTCTACAACTCACCAAATGTGATGGTTGCACCTCTTGGTAAAGTTACAAAAATCATTGAATTGTAGACTTAAATTTTATGATACGCTTCAATAAAGTTGTTTCTTAAAACAAGAAATCAGTTTTCAGATCTTCAATTTCCACGTGTGGTCTTTCCTAATAACCTGCCTGAGAAAGCACCTGTGTTCAAGGTGATGTAAAATTCACTTTACTACCTCCCCTTTTAATTGGCCAAGCTCAAAAAGGAGGAGAGTCTTATTCTGCTCCTATCCTTATTTTACTATGGTGTGTGAACTCGAGTGAAGAAACCTCCAAGTTGCCAACGGAAAGGCCATTATAAATATTGGTTACTGGGATGCCTTTTTTAATGATTAATGCCTTAGGGCTTCTTATCTTTCCCTATCTTAATTTGGTTAAGAGTGTAGCTTGGTATTAGAAATTAAGTGTTTTAATCTGTGTTGAGATGTTCTGAATTTGGATATATGGTGGAATGTGGCAGTGGATGTGTTGACAATTATCCTTTAAGGACCTCACCTTTCCACACCTCAACTCTTATCAAGGAACACAGATGGGGAAAGTTCTACAAGAGATGAGCAATGATAGCATGGATACACAACATTTAGTGCTGCAACTAGCTTTTCCAGGTATTTAAATGTGTGCAATCCTTTTCAGCTCTTCTCAACGCTCACTGATAAGTTATGTTATTAACCGGGGGAAAAATCACCTTTGGACAGATGAAGCTCAACTGCTTAGTGACACTTTCACAGTTTTCAAGATATGTTGGATAAAGGCCAAGAATAAAACTTTTACCTGACTTCTTCAGAGCCAATATAGACCAGTCAGCAAGGTAGTGAAAGTATATTTTACCCATTCACATCATGAAATCCATAATCCAACTCCACAATCCCTAACTTTGGGTGGCCCATTGATGCTGCCCAGCTTCACACTTTATCTGCATTCATACTCCCATTCCCTTGACAACTGTGTGATTCATCCATGGATGCTGAAGTCCCCTGTATAAAATGGTATGTTATTTGCATATAGCCTATGTGCATCCTCCCATGTCTCCTCAAGCCTCTAGCTCCTCACTCTCCGCTGATGACCTCTCCTCCTATTTCTCTGAGAAAATTGGGCAATTAGAAGAGAACTTCCAAGCTCTCACCACATATCTCTCCACCCAAACACATCTCTTCCCATTCACTCTCTCTTCTCTCCACTGACTCTAGGTAGATTCTAGGTGCTCCTGGCTAAAAGTACCCCCACCCTGTATTCTGGTCCTATCTCCTTCTGCCTATCCCAGGAAGCTCCTCACTGGTCTACCCTTGCACCCCTGCATTGACCAGCTCACCCTCTATCCTGGATCACTGGGATCCTCCTCATTGGCCTATTCTCCCCCAACTCCCACATTTTTTAAAACAACACAACTCTTTGAAAGGGTTGTCTACATCTACTGTCTCTTATTTGTTTCCTCCCCATTTTCAAGTTCAGTCAAGTTTTGTGCCCCTCCCACTCCACTGAAACCTATCTTGTCAAGGTCGCCAATAAATTTCACACCACAAAAACCAAGAGTCAATACTCAATCCTCATTTTACTTCAACTATCAGCAGCATCTGACACAGCTGATAACTCTCCTCCTTGGAAACTATCTTCACTTGGCTTTGAGAATGCCAAATGCCTGATTTTCCTCCCACCTCTCACCTCTGCAAACAAATACTGAAAGGTCATGTTCTCTAAACATTGGTGTGACCCAGACCTCAAGTCTTCTTTTTGTAACTTATACTCACCTACTAGGTAGACTCATCTATTCTATATGATGATGACTCCTAAATATATGCTTCTAACCTGGACCTCTCCCAACTCCAGAATTGTGTATCCAATTGCTTACTCTACATCTCCACTTGTATAGTCTCTTAGCACCTCAAATTTAATGTAACAAGGCTTGCTTGCCCTAGGAGGTGACCAGACCTTTAACCTGGATGAATCAGAGCCCTTGCTTTCCTTTGTCAGGCCACCATCCCTGCAATTGTCTGTTCATGGTTAATACAAGGCATGGGACCACCAACAGATGCCCAAATGGATCCCTTGAATTTCAGATATATTGTTCTGTGTCACCGTTTAGTATCAGGTATCCAACTTCTTTATGGTGATCAGAGGCAATTATATCTCTGTTGTTCTACTAGTATGAGATTTCCAAAATAATCAAAGGGTAATCATACCTTTAGATTCAGGGTAACCTTTATTGTGTTTTCTGGTGGGAGCATTTCCTCCTAACAGATAACCAAGTGCTCCAGACTCACTATCTTAGTCCATTTTCTTTGCTATAACAGAACATCAAAAATTAGGTAATCTATAAAGAAGAGAAATTTATTTCTTACATTTCTCGGGGGGTTCCAAGGTTGAGAGGCTGCTGGTGGTGAGGGCCTTCTCACTATGTCATAACATGGCAGAGGACATCACATGGTGAGAGGGAAGTGTGTATGCCAGCTCAGGTCTCTCTTCTGCTTCTTATGAAACCACCAGTCTTATCATGGGGGCCCCACCCTGATGATCTTTTCTAATCTTAATTACCTCCCAAAGGCTCCACCTCCAAATGTTATTAACCTCCTGCAAATGCCAAAATCTCATATAACCTAAGCACAATCTCCCATATACTTTAAATCATCTATGTATTACTTACAATACCTAATACAATGTAAGTGCTATGTAAATGGTTGTTGTACTGTATTGTTTAGGGAATCATGACAAGAAAAAAAGTCTGTACATATTAAGTACAGATGCAAGTTTTAACAAAACATTTTCAACCTGCCATTGGTCAAATCCATGGGGTGCAGAACCCATGGATACAGATGACTAGCTGTACATCCATAAAGTAGATTTCTGTGTCAAGGACTTATATCAATGTATACCTGAAGAGATTCCCCATATTGCCTTCTCAATGTGTTCCTTCCTGACCCCACTTAATGACAAGGGTCATTCAGTCCTGTGAGGATGAGAATTCTCTATTTCCCTGCTGTTCTTTGTCACAAGAAGCTCAAAATAACCAAATGGCAGCCATAGATTATAGCTGAATAAGGCTTTTGCTTATTCCCAAATAAAAGCATTCCCCTTTGAGATCTAAGACCTCTAAATTAACAGAGTCCACAGATGTAGGAATGCAGCAGGGTACGGGGTGGGGGATGTCCCCAAGTTGGCCACTGGGCATGATGGTAAACAGAGCCACTTCTGCTTCTACCCCTTGGTTCCCAGGGAAACTGGAAAGTCAAGATCTGGGGGCATCAACTCTGATATGTGTCAGGGTCCCACTTCTTCCCACCCAGATCCCCTGTCCTTGGCATAGCAGACCCACCTTATGTGGGAGTTTAACCTCCTTTGGAGCTCCTCTACTCTTTTTTAAAAGGTCCTCCAGCTTTGACAGTTTTTTTTTTTTTCTTTAGCGATGTCTCGCTCTGTCACCCAGGCTTGAGTGCAGTGGTGCAATCTCAGCTCACTGCAACCTCCACCTCCTGGGTTCAAGCAATTCTTCTGCCTCAGCCTCCCCAGTAGCTGGGATTACAGGTGCCTGCCACCATGCCGGGCTAATTTTTGTTTTTAGTAGATACAGGGTTTCTTCATGTTGCCCAGGCTGGTCTCGAACTCCTAACCGCAAGTGATCCACACCACCCCCCAACGCCTCAGCTTCCCAAAGTGCTAGGATTACAGGTGTGAGCCACCATGCCCAGCCAACACTTAGCTTGTAATACCTGATTAATTACTTTCAGCTTTTTATTATCCTTTTCCTGAGTGTCAGTATAGTTACCACACCCCCCATATTTCTCAAATGCCTAATACCTTGTTCCAGTTAATGCACTCCCTTCCACAAGTATACCATCGCAGCTCATCACCAGTGAGCGACTGCACCACCACCTTCTGCTACTAGCTATCGATGCCCCATCTACCACCAGTGATGCCAGCTGGGTGGCTGGTAATCCCACTCTAAGACACTGTCTCCTCATCTGCTTTCCAAGAACATCCCTGGAACAACACACTGTCCCTGTTTAGGTTTCCAGGAAGCAGACTCTGAGATGGAGGTTAGCATGCAGGAGGCTCACTGGGGAGTGCTTTGAGTATCAACACCTGTGAAAGGGAAGGGAGGGACGTGGGAATGGGCAGATGATGAAGTTCAGCTGCAATGCAGTCTCAATGAATGCCTCAGCCAATCCTGCAGAGAGTTCCGAAGATGGGGTGGCCATCAGAGCTCTCCTGAGTTGGGGTGTAAGAGCTGGGCTCTATACCACTCATTAGTCAATCCTGGATGTGGGCTACTGGGAAGGGGCATGACCCTGGGCATGATGGCTCTCTTCAGTTTAGGAAATCACAGAGGAGGTTGATGGGTGAGGGCTCTCTGCCAGCAGCACTGCCAGCAGCTGGGATAATAAATCCTCTAACCCTGAAGGGCGATTGGGTAGCAAATATCAGCAACCACCACAAAACCCAAGTTACTGAAAATAGACATACCTGTTATATACACCCTTAGGTACTGTGTGTCAATATAAAAATGTGCCTGGGGATTGTGTGCTCTGTCCTCTGCTCATTTTCCTGTACCTGGGAATCCCGAATTTCAGAGTATCTCTGACATCTGGGAGCCTATGCCCTCACAGGTGGCAGAATCCATTACAATAATCTCTTTATGGATCACTCATGTGGCTGTTGGCGGGAGGCCTCAGTTCCTCAACACACAGCACTCTCCTTGGGTTGGCTTGAGTGTCCTCACAACATGGTAGCTGGCTTCCCCCAGGACAAGGGGTTGGAGAGAACAAGACAGGAAGCCTCAACACCACTTACATCCTAGTCTCAGACATCATAAATCATCACTCCTGCCACATTCTATGCTTTAAATGTGAGTCACTAAGTCCGTCCTGCACTTAAGGTGAGGGGAGTGGGTTCCACCTTTTGAAAGAAGTCATATCAAATAGTTGTGGACATATTTTTAAAACACTATCTATAGAGAGAAAGATATTCTCCAAATCAACAGTGATAGATACTTCTGAGGCAGGGTGTAGATGGGAGGAGTAAAGTAAAAGGAGGCTTTTGTTTTTTCTCTGTTTTTTATAAGAAGAATTTACTTTTGTAAATAAAAAATAAGAATATTCTTGATTGTTGAAAACATGGCAACCAGTGAAACTGGGTGGGAAAAGAGATGCTTATCTATGGAGCAGATTGTGATTTACTGTTCTCCTCTACCATGGTTTATCCTGCCTGACCCCATCCAACTAAACACAAAAGAATGAGAAACTAAATGATCATTACCAGCAGCTTCTCCGAGGAGTCATCATTTTCCTAGCACGTGAACAAGGAGTCTGATGACTGCACTATATTGAGATGTGAAAGGTTGGGGAAAAACATTAGAGCCATTAGTCTGTTCCTGCATCCCTATCCTTCATCCACAATTTCATTTAATGCAGAAATTATCTTATTAGCTTTGATGGCTTGATCACAGGCTCTGGCTGGGGCACAGACATCCCAGGAATATCCAAGAGGGCAGAGCTACTCGGTGGGAGATTCTACACCCTCGTGGCCCCTTCCATCCAGGCCCTTGGGTGCACTCCCTCTCCTGAATCCCACATAGACTGCCATTCTCCGACATCTAGGGCCAGCCCAAGTATCTCCAGGCAGGTAGGGAACGCTGTGGGAGGATCTGTCAATGTCCAGGCAGAGAAATCACACAGTTGCTGGATAGGAGCTGTCTGTCTCCTGGGATTTTTTTTCCCTCCTGGGAGTCAAGATGTCTCCACCCTATCTGGGCCTTTGCTGGCCCCTTCAGGCAAGGGAAGGAACTTCAGCTTTGTCCGCAATCACAGAGCTCATTCCCATCTCCCCAGGCTCCCACACCTCCTTCACCTGGTCCTTTGCATTAGAAAGACAGAGTCCCCAGATGCTAAACTATATGGAGGAAACCTGGCCTGTCAGAGCAACAATAGGAACAAATAAGACCTTCTCCCCTGCCTATAGGAAAGTACTCTGTAAATGTGGGCTATCCCTGTCAATTTACAGATCAAGAACCATCCTGTGAGCCTCGAAGGCATTGCGAGAGATACCCAAAGCTCAACCACTAGCTATCCCCAGTCTCTATTTGTCTTGCATTTGTCATTTGTTTATGACTCTCTCCCTTTTGAAGGAGATCACACTGAAGAATTCCCGGTCTTGGAGACATTTCTGGATTGGGCAAGGCTGCTTCCACAAATTGGGCCTACTGTCGGTGTGGGCCAGACTGCAGACAAGAGGCAGCCACTCTAGAGAGTGTAGGCAGTCACAGTGTCACTCCAATTCCATCTGCTACCCCTGCAGGACTTAAGAGGAAAATCTCCCTCTGACCCCGTTCCCTATCATAATACACCCTATCTCTAGACACCCTGCTTTTCTGAGAATGTTCACCAGGGTCAAGGTCTGGGGTCAACAAAGCTCAAGGGTCTACCCTACTTTAGGAATGAGAGTATCACCTCAGCGGCTTCCGTAGAAGTAGCTCCACACATAGGCCCTGATGTTTGCTTTCAGCAATCAGGTGGTGAGGATTTTCCCAGCATCTCCCTGGTCAGACCACAGATATGATTAAAGATGAGTTAACAAAGGGCAGACTGACGCCTTCGAGCTAAGGATTAGCTTTGCACAAAATCGTAACAATCATCTAAAGGGTCATCCTTCCCCCAGCTGCCTAAGCCCTTTATTCAAGAAAAAGCATGGCCCATGTGAGAAAGGGCTTAACATGTTTAGGCTGCTATACTGGGGATGCCTTATAATCCCATACAGGAAGTGGATGACTTCTGCCCAGTGAGCTTTTTCATATAGTATCCAACCTGGAAGTTGTTCCGCTCTCTTCAAGAGCCAACACTACGTATAAATACCTCAGGGCAAAGCAGAAGGAGATAAGCCTTTCCTAGATACTAAGCAATATGCATTTTCACAGAGCGAACAATATACCATCTACAGTAGACCGAATAATGGCCCCAAATATATCCACATTAATCCCCAGAGCTTGCAAATGTTTTCTTATGTGGCGGAAAGGACTTTGCAGGTGTGATTAAGTTGAGGATCTGGAGATGGGGAGATTATCCTGGGCTGAGTGGGCACTAAATGTAATCACAATGTAGTTATAATAAATGTACTTGCAAGAGGGAGAAGAGAAGAGGAGGTGATCTTACCACAGAGGAAAGAAGGTGATGTGATGCAGAGATTGAAGTAACTCAGTTTGAAGATGAGGAAGAGGCCACAGAGAAGGAAAAGAGGTGGCAAGCAGATGTTGAACAATACAATAGATTCTCCCCTAAGATGCTGCAGAAGAGATTGGCCCTTCCCACACCTTGACTTGAGTCCAGTGAGACGATCTTGGTTGGACCTTTGACCTGCAGAACTGTGAGAGAATACACTTGCATTGTTTTAAGCCACTAAGTGTGTGGTAATTTGTTACAGCAGCAACAGGAAAGTAATATACCATCTTTAAACCCACCATTTTGTGTATTTTTAACAGCTTTATTGAGGTGTAACTGACATATTTAAATGAGCTGCACATATTTAAACTGCACAATTTGATAAGTTTTGACATATGTATACATGCGTGAAACAATCATCATAGTCAAGATAGTGAACATATTCATTATCTTCAAAAGTTAACTTACACACCTCGTAATCTGTAACTCTTGGTCCTCCCTGAGCCCTTGCCTTCCAGGTAACAGCTGATCTGTTTTCTGTCACTATAAATTAGTTGCTTTTATGTATAAATAGAGTCATATAGTATGTACTCTTTTTTGTCTGGCTTCTTTTGCGCAGCCTAGTTATCAAGACCCAACCGTGCTGTTGCGTATATCAATATTTCATTCCATTTTGTTGCTAAGTAGTATTCCATTGCTTAGATATATTTTAAGCACTCACCTGTTAGTAGACTTTTGGATTATTTCCATTTTTTGGCTCTTTAAAATAAAGCTGCTACGAACATTCATGTAAAAGTCCTCATATGCTTTCAATTTTCTTTGATAAATACCTATGAATGGAATGGTTGGATTGCATGGTCGATGTGTATTTTACTTTTTAAGAAACTGTCAAACTGTTTTCCAAAATGGTTGTACCATTTTACAGTCCCAGCAGCCACCATATCTTGTTTTTATGTTATTCAAATTATTTTTTTTTCGTTAATTGAAGCTCATCTCCATCCCTAAATAAGGTAAATAAATGCAGTATTACTTTTTGTTTGTCTGTTTGGTTTTGGTTTTGGTTTTTGGTTTTTGTTTTTGTTTGTTTGTTTGTTTGGAGATGAAGTCTTGCTCTGTTGCCCAGCCTGGAGTGCAGTGGCATGATCTCTGCTCACTGCAAGCTCTGCCTCCTGGGTTCACACCATTCTCCTGCCTCAGCCTCCCCAGTAGCTGGGACTACAGGCGCCCGCCACCATGCCTGGCTAATTTTTTTTTTGTATTTTTAGTAGAGACGGGGTTTCACCATGTTAGCCAGGATGGTCTCAATCTCCTGACCTCATGATCTGCCTGCCTTGGCCTCCCAAAGTGCTGGGATTACAGGCGTGAGCCACCGCACCCAGCTGTATTACTTTAATAGTAATACTTTAAAACAACAGAGAAAAAATTGAGTATCAGATGGAGGAGACAGGGATAGAAAGAAAAAATGGTAGACACGGAGAGGAAATTGGAGGAGAGGAGTGAGACAAAGGAGAATAAGAGAACAAAAAAGAAAGAGGGAGAAAAAGTGAGAGAGAAACACAACAAAGTACTATCAATTAGAGTCCCCACAAGAAACTGATGGCTTGTGCACAGACTAGTTGAGGAATTTTTAATAAAGGGACTATGACAAATATGTAGGAAGAACTTCTGAAACCAACAACGTGTCATGTAGTTCCTTGGTTACCATCTCTAAGCATGAAGGCTGTCAGGGAAGAGAGATTTTGGGCACCCTGAGAGAGCAGCTACTGAAAAGGACCACCCACCAGAAGTGGGATGAGCTAACCCTCTTGAACTGGAAGGGAGTGAGCTGCAGTAATAAACTCCCCAACTCACTCTGCACGCCACCTCCCAGTGCCTGCTGATGACTTCCTTTAGCCAAACCCAGCTAGAAGCCAGAAAGCATAAGTCTGTTGATGATGTTCATTTGGGCCAGCCTCTCTCCCTGGCCTGGAGTGGACAGGTAAAATGTGGATCTAGAAAGGAAAGAGAAGACACCTAGTACAGGAGCCAACAGAGGAAAGGGACAAGGAGCTGAACTGCTTTAACATCTTCCTCCATTTGTGACAGGAAAAGGTTGACAAAACAACATGTAAGTATTGAGAAACATGCCTGGGGGTGCAGTGCCTTGTGATGCACAGGGCTGCTTACTCTGTGCACCAGAATTCTGACTACAGTTGTCAGCATGGGCCATTCCATTTTGAGATCCGTTTTGAAAGGTTATTAACTTGGGCTTTACAAACAAACAAGTCTAATCGTATCCTCCTTAGAAAGGGAAACCCTCTTCTAAATCATGAAACAGTGTCGTGGCTTTGTGTGAAGTGTGGACTATGGAAGCAGGGTCTACAGCAGGAAGGCCCGGGACTCATAACACTGGAGACGCTTTATGGGGAAGACAAAAAATGTCCTTAAACCTTGGAGGAGATAGATGCACACATTTTAGAAGGACAGGTCATCTCATCGGGTGTTTATTCTTCCAATTTATCAGATGACCTGCCTGTCCGGGGTTAATCATCTCCATTTTATCCATTTTAACACAAGGACTGCAGGCAAAAAACAAGATGATCAAAAGCAGAATTCAAGCACCTGTCAGATCCACTGGAAGAGCTGAAAACTTTCTTTCTCTGCAACCTTTTTATCTTTTATGTTTTACTTTATTTATTTATTCGTTTATGAGGCAGGGTCTGGCTCTGTCACTCAGGCTGGGGTGCAGTGGTGCAATCTCAGCTCACTGCACCCTCCACCTCCCGAGCTCAAGTGATCCTCCCACCTCAGCCTCCTGAGTAACTGGGCCTACAGGTGCACGCCAACACTCCCAGCTAATTTTTGTATTCTTTGTAGAGATGAGGTTTTTCCATGTTGCCCAGGCTGGTCTCTAACTTCTAGGCTCAAGGGATCCGCCCACCTCAACCTCCCAAAGTGTTGGGATTACAGGCGTGAGCCACTGCGCCCGGCCCTTTTTTATTTTTTAATCTCATAAAACTCTAAAATTTATCTCCTTTAAATTATATCTACATTTCATCTTTTATGAATCTTTGTGATGACCATAAACAAGCCATTCATAATCAGATTTTTAAAATTTTATTGTTTTATACATTTTTTATTTTATTTTATTTATTTATTTATTTATTTATTTATTTATTTATTTATTTATTTTGAGATGGAGTCTCGCTCTGTCACCCAGGCTGGAGTGCCGTGGCATGATCTCGGCTCACTGCAAGCTCTGCCTCTGGGGCTCATGCCATTCTCCTGCCTCAGCCTCCCAAGTAGCTGGGACCACAGGCACCCACCACCACGCCTGGCTAATTTTTTGTATTTTTAGTAGAGACAGGGTTTCACTGTGTTAGCCAGGATGGTCTCGATCTCCCAACTTCGTGATCCACCCGCTTCGGCCTCCCAAAGTGCTGGGACTACAGGTGTGAGCCACTGTGCCCCGCCAAATTTTTTTTAAAATTTAATACTTCTATAAAGACAGGGTCTCCCTGTGTTGGCTAGGCAGGTCTCAAACTCCTGGGCTCAAGTAATCCTACTGCCTTGACCTCCCAAAGTGCTGGGATTATAGGCATGAGTCACCATGCCCAGCCAACAAGATATTTTTAGAACACTTTCTTATCTCAGGTGGGAATACCGAGGTGTTTTCTTCTCATCTATTCTATGAACATATCAGTGGCTAATATTAATACATTTTCCATCCATTTTTTACAACATAGACACTGAAGGGAAACCTGGAGGGTTGGTAGTAATTTTAACAAATGGATATGCAGTCAAGTTCCCTTTAATTGGAGCTTTTTGTGATCTGAGTTCCTTGTTCTCTTTGTTCAGAACATCTGAAGGGGAAAGTTGAGAAAAGTCGAGCTTACTGCTATTAATTGCTTCTCCCAGTTTCTGCAGTCCAAGAATCACATGAGGTGATACGATATGGATTCCAAGTAGCTTGGTATGGTTCCAAACATTTTGATAAGTGGAAAGATAGTCAACAAAATTTCCTATTCACAAATGTGAGCCAATTCACAAATGTGAGCCAATTCACAAATGTAAGCCAATTCAGGGTGGAGTGGAAAGAACAGCTAGATATGAGGTCAGGAGTTTGGCATTCTAATTCCAGTTATTCTGCTAACTAGCTGTATGTTCTCAAGTAACGTTAACTTAATTCCTCTGTGTCTGTTTCCTATATCCTTCTAGCAGAATTATTATACTTACCAAGACTAATATACCTGAAAGTGGGCATCAAGCCATTCAACAGAAACAACCTTACAGGCGGGTACTGCCCAGGAGAGGCTTAATGGTGTTAAACAGGAAAAACGAAGGTAAGGAATGACCTAGAACAGCACAGCAGTTAAAAGACCAGGCTAGGATGTGGTACAAAGAAAGCAGGCTTTTTAAAAAGGCTTGAAGCAGAGCAGCAGCACAGGCAGAATCCCCACACCACGGAGAGCCAGAAGCCTTCCCCAGATGAGTAACTTAGTAGCAGGGATTTTGTAAAACATATTAGAGTCTCCTCGGGATTACAACCGATTACGACTCTGGAGAGGCAAACTTTGAGCAAGTGCATAAGCAAAGGCCCTGACATCAGATGGAGCCCTGTACAGAATGACATGGGGCAAAAATAATAAGAGACACCAAGAATAAAAATAAGCAGAACATGAAAACACAAGAACAAGGGAAGTCCCGGCAGAGCAAACAGTATTCTCTCAGCCCTGGGTAAGGGTTTTTGCCAATCCTGTGAGGGTGAATCCACTTCATTAATTCATTCAACAAAAGTATGTGGAGCATCCTCTCTGTACTAGGAACTTACCAGTTTGGGGGCAGGGATACAACCATGAGCACAAACAGCTGACCTTGGAGCTTACAGCTAATAGGGAAGACAGAGCAAGGACCATGAAGGAAAGCAGCCAAAGTGCTGTAGGAACACATAGACCAAAAGGCTAGGGAGACGACAGATCCAAGCACAGAACAGCAAGGGGAGAGGCCCAGACAAGACAGCAAGTGCATTCAAGAAACTGAAGGGCTAGCCCATGAGAGCAAGGAGCAAGGGCTGTGTCAGATGAGGCCAGACAGGAGAGGAGCTGGGCCATGCAGGACCCAGAAGGCCTGGTTAGGGATTTTACTCTTTGCCCTGAGAATAGGGGGAGGCCACTGAAAGGTTTCAAGCACACATGTGTTTTGGTAAGACCACCCTGGCCCATTTGGAAAACAAATCAGAACCCCCTGTACATCATTTAAAGTTCATTCTCTGAAAGCATGACCACATTACCTGTATTCCTGTGGTGTTGTTTAATAAAGAATTTGTCTGGTCTTAGTCCAGGGTTCCTGGCATGGAGCTTCTAGAACCCTTGGAATTTCCCAAGCGACAGAAGTGTCTTCATTATTCATGAGCCAGCTGAGTTCATGCTAATGAGAAAACCCATGGTAGCCCCCTAGATAGCTTCAGGATGGGGCTGTTCACCAGAAAGACTCAGCAGAAAGACCAACCACATGATTAGAGGGTTGGGACTCTGAGCAATGTGATGTTAGCTCAGCCTGACCTCTGGAGAGGAAAGGAGGGTGGAGATTGACTTCAATCAGTTGGCCACTGATTTAATGAACTATGCCTACATAATGAAACCCCAATAAAAACTCTGGACACCAAATATTAGTGTAGCTTCCTGGATGGTGAACACATTGATGTGTCAGAAGGGTGACAGCATCCTGATTCCACAGGAGAGGGCACAGAAGCTCCACACTCTGGACTCTCCCAGAACTCACCCTGTGTATCCCTTCCTTTGGCTGCTCCTGATCTGTATCCTTTATAATAAAATTGTAATTATTTTTTTAAAAGTGTTTTCTCAAGCTCTGTGAGACATACTAGTGAATTTTTTAACCTGATGGGGTTGTGAGAACTCCCAAATTTGTAGCCACTTGGTCAAAAGTGCAGGTGGCTTAGGGGCCTCTGAATTGCAGCTGGCAGCTAAAGTGAAGGAAGTCTTATGGAGGACTGAGCCTGTAACTGATGGGGTCTGCACTAGCTCCAGGGGGTTACCACCAGAACTGAATTGTAGTATGCCAGGTGGTGTCAGACCAGCTGGGGTTGAAACAGAATGCATGCTAAATTTTATTTTAGTCATTCTTAATTTCAAATCCAAGAATCCTTTGTTTAAGGAAGAAACAAACAAAATTCTCGTCCCAAAACTAAGAAATGGGAAGATTTGTCTAAATTGGAGAAAAAACACTGGCTTTGGACAGCTCAAAACTCAGACCTTGTTGCCTAGCACCAAGCAGTGAGCCCCCAGTGGGTTCAATACGATTGATGCTTTCTTGTTACTAGCCCTAAAATAACTTGGGGGGTAAAATCTTGTTATTCCCACACTTCAGCCTCTTCTCATTTGTTTTTGAGAAGTGTTTTCCCATGGCCTGAGTGTGCACCCCTGCCACCTCAGACGGTCCTGCCGTGGGCTCCCCTCCCAACAGCTGATGTGGACTCCATGTTTTGGTAACCTTTGAAATGGAACTCTAAACTTTCATACCTTTAAAAAACTAGCTGCCCACTTGATCATGGTGGATAAGCTTTTTGATGTGCTGCTGGATTCGGTCTGCCAGTATTTTATTGAGGATTTTTGCATCAATGTTCATCAAGGATATTGGTCTAAAATTCTCTTTTTTGGTTGTGTCTCTGCCCGGCTTTGGTATCAGAATGATGCTGGCCTCACAAAATGAGTTAGGGAGGATTCCCTCTTTTTCTATTGATTGGAATAGTTTCAGAAGGAATGGTACCAGTTCCTCCTTGTACCTCTGGTAGAATTCGGCTGTGAATCCATCTGGTCCTGGACTCTTTTTGGTTGTTAAACTATTGATTATTGCCACAATTTCAGCTCCTGTTATTGGTCTATTCAGAGATTCAACTTCTTCCTGGTTTAGTCTTGGGAGAGTGTATGTATCGAGGAATTTATCCATGTCTTCTAGATTTTCTAGTTTATTTGCGTAGAGGTGTTTGTAGTATTCTCTCATGGTAGCTTGTATTTCTGTGGGATCGGTGGTGATATCCCCTTTATCATTTTTTATTGTGTCTATTTGATTCTTCTCTCTTTTTTTCTTTATTAGTCTTGCTAGCGGTCTATCAATTTTGTTGATCCTTTCAAAAAACCAGCCCCTGGATTCACTGATTTTTTGAAGGGTTTTTTGTGTCTCTATTTCCTTCAGTTCTGCTCTGATTTTAGTTATTTCTTGCCTTCTGCTAGCTTTTGAATGTGTTTGCTCTTGCTTTTCTAGTTCTTTTAATTGTGATGTTAGGGTGTCAATTTTGGATCTTTCCTGGGATGCAAGGCTGGTTCAATATACGCAGATCAATAAATGTAATCCAGCATATAAACAGAGCCAAAGACAAAAACCACATGATTATCTCAATAGATGCAGAAAAAGCCTTTGACAAAATTCAACAACCCTTCATGCTAAAAACTCTCAATAAATTAGGTATTGATGGGACGTATCTCAAAATAATAAGAGCTATCTATGACAAACCCACAGCCAATATCATACTGAATGGGCAAAAACTGGAAGCATTCCCTTTGAAAACTGGCACAAGACAGGGGTGCCCTCTCTCACCACTCCTATTCAACATAGTGTTAGAAGTTCTGGCCAGGGCAATTAGGCAGGAGAAGGAAATAAAGGGTATTCAATTAGGAAAAGAGGAAGTCAAATTGTCCCTGTTTGCAGATGACATGATTGTATATCTAGAAAACCCCATTGTCTCAGCCCAAAATCTCCTTAAGCTGATAAGCAACTTCAGCAAAGTCTCAGGATACAAAATCGATGTACAAAAATCACAAGCATTCTTATACACCAACAACAGACAAACAGAGAGCCAAATCATGAGTGAACTCCCATTCACAATTGCTTCAAAGAGAATAAAACACCTAGGAATCCAACTTACAAGGGATGTGAAGGACCTCTTCAAGGAGATCTACAAACCACTGCTCAAGGAAATAAAAGAGGATACAAACAAATGGAAGAACATTCCATGCTCATGGGTAGGAAGAATCAATATCGTGAAAATGGCCATACTGCCCAAGGTAATTTACAGATTCAATGCCATCCCCATCAAGCTACCAATGACTTTCTTCACAGAATTGGAAAAAACTACTTTAAAGTTCATATGGAACCAAAAAAGAGCCCGCATTGCCAAGTCAATCCTAAGCCAAAAGAGCAAAGCTGGAGGCATCACACTACCTGACTTCAAACTATACTACAAGGCTACAGTAACCAAAACAGCATGGTACTGGTACCAAAACAGAGATATAGATCAATGGAACAGAACAGAGCCCTCAGAAATAATGCCGCATACCTACAACTATCTGATCTTTGACAAACCTGAGAAAAACAAGCAATGGGGAAAGGATTCCCTATTTAATAAATGGTGCTGGGAAAACTGGATAGCCATATGTAGGAAGCTGAAACTGGATCCCTTCCTTACACCTTATACAAAAATCAATTCAAGATGGATTAAAGATTTAAACGTTAGACCTAAAACCATAAAAACCCTAGAAGAAAACCTAGGCATTACCATTCAGGACATAGGCATGGGCAAGGACTTCATGTCCAAAACACCAAAAGCAATGGCAACAAAAGCCAAAATTGACAAATGGGATCTAATTAAACTAAAGAGCTTCTGCACAGCAAAAGAAATTACCATCAGAGTGAACAGGCAACCTACAAAATGGGAGAAAATTTTCGCAACCTACTCATCTGACAAAGGGCTAATATCCAGAATCTACGATGAACTCAAACAAATTTACAAGAAAAAAACAAACAACCCCATCAAAAAGTGGGCGAAGGACATGAACAGACACTTCTCAAAAGAAGACATTTATGCAGCCAAAAAACACATGAAAAAATGCTCATCATCACTGGCCATCAGAGAAATGCAAATCAAAACCACTATGAGATACCATCTCACACCAGTTAGAATGGCAATCATTAAAAAGTCAGGAAACAACAGGTGCTGGAGAGGATGTGGAGAAATAGGAACACTTTTACACTGTTGGTGGGACTGTAAACTAGTTCAACCATTGTGGAAGTCAGTGTGGCGATTCCTCAGGGATCTAGAACTAGAAATACCATTTGACCCAGCCATCCCATTACTGGGTATATACCCAAATGACTATAAATCGTGCTGCTATAAAGACACATGCACACGTATGTTTATTGCGGCATTATTCACAATAGCAAAGACTTGGAACCAACCCAAATGTCCAACAATGATAGACTGGATTAAGAAAATGTGGCACATATACACCATGGAATACTATGCAGCCATAAAAAATGATGAGTTCATGTCCTTTGTAGGGACATGGATGAAATTGGAAATCATCATTCTCAGTAAACTATCGCAAGAACAAAAAACCAAACACCGCATATTCTCACTCATAGGTGGGAATAGAACAATGAGATCACATGGACACAGGAAGGGGAATATCACACTCTGGGGACTGTTGTGGGGTGGGGGAGGGGGGAGGGATAGCATTGGGAGATATACGTAATGCTAGATGACGAGTTAGTGGGTGCAGTGCACCAGCATGGCACATGTATACATATGTATCTAACCTGCACAATGTGCACATGTACCCTAAAACTTAAAGTATAATAAATAAAAGAAAAAGAAACTGAACTGACCCTCTAAAAGAATGACGATATAAAAAAAAAAAAAAAACTAGCTGCCTACATAAGCATCATTTGTCAACTCCACAATTCCTCATTTTCATACCCTTTCTGGATGAGCAGACTCATTAGTTATCTTCTTAACAAATTAACAAGCATTGAATTGGGCTTGAGAGCAATTCATCTAAAAATTTTTATTGAACATTTCCTAGGAATGACTATAGTAAAAATTCAAATTAGTAGTGGGCAGGAAGTACCAAAACCAGGGAATAAAATACCTCTTACAGAATGGGGTCTTAATAAGGCATTTCAGTCCAGATAGATTATATTAATAGGCTATACACTTGATATGCCCCAAACAAGGCACATTAATTAGCAAGATACTGGTATTTATAATTAACACATCATTTTAAAAATTCTGTCACGAGTGGTCTTTAGGTTTTTATAATCATTTGTATTATAAATTTGTTTATCAAATTTTTCCTAATTTGAAGTAACATCTCATTATAAGTGATTCTCAATAATCCTTCTATTCCATGTTGTCCAAAGTGGCAATACTTCTGGTCCCAGCAGTAATCTGTGTCATAATCATTGTCCAGAAGGAAAACACCTAGTTGTTCATTCTCTTTATCATAGATGGAGCTGGAAGAACACAACGAACCTTGGAGTAATTCAATTTTTTTCCCACTCTTTTACAGCAAATGCCATTTTACCGCTTTCTTCTCCCCTCATGTCCTTGGATATTCCAATCATTCCTTCCAGAAAAACACATACTGAAAAAATGTTTTTTAATGTTTAGAAGTTGGAGATAGAAGGAAATGAGCTAGCTAGTATTGTCTTCCTTGTCTTATTGGGTGTAGAGCTCTTAACTAACTCACTTCACAGTCTCCAGGCTTCCTTCTGATTCATCTCCAGAGTCTACACCCTTAGTTACTGCTGTTATCTACTGGTTTTACAAGGACCACATAGAACCACAGGGCAGAGAAGTAGCTAGTGGACTCTACCCACAGTTTCCTGGGCTAGTCCTCCCTTATTTTATGCCACCAAAACTAACACAAAACTTAACTACAGTTTCTTACTTTGGGTCGACTTTATCAAGATTTCTAGGGGATCACTAAAAATATGTAATTACCTATTGCGTTCCTGAATATAAAGAAGAGAATTATAATATTCTCTATTTCAGAGTAGAAGAAAGAAAGTATAAGGCATATAAAAATGTGTGTGTGTGTGTGTGTGTGTGTATGAACACACACTCTTTATTTATATTTTGGCTCTGTTTTGTTTCTATGCGACTTGTGATTCTGTACTTCTTCACCCAGCTTTTCACTTTTTTCAAAACATTTTCCCTAAGAGACTATATTCAGAGATACTTTCAGGTATCTCTGATGCAGGTAGCAGTTACCAGTATCGAGTGTATCCTGACTAATTAGAAAGTCAAAGTGCTGTAGGCTGGGCACAGTAGTCCACACCTGTAATCCCAGCATTTTGGGAGGCCAAGGTGGGCAGATGGCTTTGAGCTCAGGGGCTCGAGACCAGCTTGGGCAACATAGTGACACCCCTCCCCTGCCATCTCCACAAAAAATATAAAAATTAGCTGGGTGTGGTGGCACACACCTGTAGTCTCAGCTACTCAAGTGTCCGAGGTCGGGGGATGGCTTGAGTCCTGGAAAGGGGAGGTTGCAGTGAGCCAAGATCATGCCACAGCACCCCAGCCTGGGTGCTCAAAAAAATAATAATAAAACAACAACAAAAAATCTGGTAATGTCATTGATGAGGTTTTTGTTATTTTTTAATCCTTGACTACATGACAGAGCCAGCTAAGATTTTTAAGTGTTATTTTCATTCCCATTAAGAGATAAAACATTCTTGGTCACAGCAAGAACCCGGACAACTATTTCACCTCTCTTTGCATGAATTTCACCTCAAACACACACATACAAAAATCTACTTCAAACAAACCATTATCATTAACTTTAAAAAATCCATAAACTCAGCAGAAGAGAGCCTTTCTCCATGCCATGACAGAGAAAAATACACCACTATTATTCAAGAGACCTGGGGAAAAAGGTTTGAAATTTTTTCCCCTTGAAAATAATAAGAAAAGCAAATAACAGTCTTTTAGATTCTGTGAATAAGGCAATATAGCTGAAATTTATTATACAAGATCTTCATAAAATCCTCATGCTACTTCAAATTTCATTTTAGGGCTTTGTTAAATCTGATGGCAGAAATAATTAAAACACATGCGTTAAGAAATGAAACAATAAATTTTCCTCTGCTAAGTGATAAGTTAGCAGAGGAAAGTTCTGTGGAACTTCTCATCCACAGAAATCAGTTGTTATTCCCCAGGATCTAAAACAAGACTGCACTGGTATTTGTGTAAAGGGCTCAGGGTAGACACCAACCAGCATCATCTGGTGCAGCTGGAACTCATGAGAGCAGGATCAGCCCAGCTAGGTCCCTGCCCTCCCAGCCTCCTGTTGAAAAGTGTGCTTGGGCCAAATGGATAAATGTGCCATGGGGATGCCAGCACGGAAACTCCACCCCTTGATATTCTTCCATTTAATGAGGTATGTATAAAGGTAGTCTTGCGTGGGGGAATAAACATGTTAGATAACACACCAAGCAGTTTCAACCTGACATGTCTACTGTGTAGGAAAAGTCTCTCAGATGTCACTGCATCCAGAACTTGGAGACCTTGGGAGCCCTCCATCCCAAGGGACATTGAGTCTGAGAGCTGGCTCACTGTCAGGCAACTTAGAGGCCCCAGGGAAAGGGTCAGATAGTGCTGCTTGTCTCCACAACTTCCAGCAGTATAGAGTTGGGTATACACACACAACGTATACAAGTATATAGCTGTGTGTTTGTAACATTTGAATTTAGACAAATTTGCTTATACGTGCCTTTTCAAACATGTCTCATAACATATGTAACCTAACATATATGGGTGAAAACTGTTCACATGATTTTTTTTACAGATCCCACCTTGAAACTGCAATTATTGGTCCCCTCAAAGATTCAAGAGAGCTCATCAGAAGTGTTAGCAATGACAGCCTTGCTTACAGGCAAATTATTAAGAGAAAAAACTCATTGACATCCACTGGGTACTTCACATTGCATTGTTGTCCTAAACTTAAGCACACTGGTCTTCCTCCTCTTTTCCTTTCATTTTTAGTAGTTTTGCCATCACCCTAGCTAAAAATATAAAGTCATCTTTGCTTTAACTTCATCCATCTCCCCCATCAGTCACCAAATACTGTGACCCTCCTTCCCAAGTTGGAGGGGAGTGTGACCTTCCCCCAGCACCTCCTGCTGCCTCTGTCCACACTCTCATTGCTCCCACCTAGGCTAGTGCAACAGGCCCTGGGTTGTCTCCCTGATGCCCCTCTGGCCTCCATAGTCTCCGGCGTTGTCTTTCACTCATTTCACAAATGCTCATTGATTTCTTACTATGAGTCAAAAGATGGGTGACTTACTGATGACACAAGGATGAACAAGACCCCCGCCCCCGCCCCGCTGTCAAGGACCTCGAAATCTAAAACACAAATTCCATCCCCGCCCCCGCCCCGCTGTCAAGGACCTTGAAATCTAAAACACAAATTCCATTTTGTCGCTCACCTGCCTAAAATTCTCCAGGGGACCACCATGGCCTATAGGATGAAATCAGAATGTATTAGCACAGCACAAACTGTTATTGCCCATACTCAAGGGATCTGGCCCCAATCTGCTCTGTCTCATCTCCCACCATTCTGCCCCATGTGCCCAGGTTGCAGCCACCCCAGCTACCTATAGCCTGTTCACCCTTCCAAGACTCAAGCAAACCACACCCTCTACCTGGAATGCCCTTCCTCTAGCAAACTTCTAGGCAGCAGCACCCTGAGCAGGTTCACAGAGTCTACCGTGGATGAATCAGAATGCCAAGTCAGCGATTTTCCATAAACCCCACAAACGTGTGTACGGCACCTACCAGGCCAGGCACTGAGGGCCCTTACATGATTTATCATTATTCCTCACAAGGAACAGGAAGCTACTCTTAGTATCCCATTTTACAGATGAGGAAACTGATACAAAGAACATCATATAATTTGCCCAAGGTCACCGATAGGAAGTGGCAGAGCCAGAATCTCAACCTGGTTCCAAAATCAGTGCTTTTAACTACTTTGGTAAACAATGAGAATTTCTGGAGGACAGAAAGTTCTATCCCTGAGGGGCAGGCTACAAGGGAAGCCAAATAACGCTATGAGAGGTTACGTGGTAACCATGCAATCGGAAAAGCGTTACTGTAACTCAAGTGTTTGATGGGGGTCAGGGTAGCATAAAACATCCTTTTCCACAAAAACACAATGCCTGTTTCTGGACCCAGAGACACCATGGCCTTGGGCTGGGCACTTCACCTGAGCGGGGCATAGACTAGCATGTATGCCTGCCTCTCCTCCTCCTGGGGTCTGTGGGTCTTTAGCTCTTGTTCTAATTAACAAAATACCTTCATTCAGGCCTGGGAGTCACTCCACCTCCTTAATGTGACTGGGCCCCTCTCTGCTCTGATGAGTTATGCTGGTTTTACAGTTTACAGCTCAGAGAGCGCTTATGTCTGCTATTTCTTGCAGATGTTTTCACTCTTGCCTCCACGAGGCGGCTAATATTACCCATTTTGAGGATGACAAAATAGTGAGGAAGGTCACAGAGCTGGTCCTCAAAGCGGGACTTGAACCTCGGCCTTCTGACTGCCAATCCTGTTCTTTCCATGCTACTCGTTGTTTAAGAGAAGAAGCCTTCAAGATCTGCAGCTAACCCAACCCCACTGGCTCCGCAACCCTGGGCCCAGCCTGTGCGTCTGCTTCCTCCCCAACTCGCACTGGTCTCAGCAGCCATCCCAGGAGGCGCCCCGGCTCCACGCTTCCCTGGTGCCTCAACTTTATGCACCCAGCATGTCTGGCCACAGCAGCCACCCACTGCATGCACCATACCTCAGTGTCTGTCCACACTACACCACAGTGAGCGGTCCTGGCCTGCCTTGGCGCCACCCTGCGGCTCCTCTCCTTGCCATCCACTCACACTCTTCCTCTGCCGTCTGTGCCACCATCTTTGCAGTTTTCTGCTCCCTTGGCCACAGCTCCAAGATTCTACCTGGTCTCCACTGCTCCATCTGGACTCCTAGGCAGGCTCACTCCCACCTATTGTTCTCTTTTTAGCCTTGGCATTGTCTCCACTCTCTGCCTTTCCATTTATATGGCACAGTAACTAAATGTTTTGCATTTTCCAACACCACACTGACTTCAACTCTTCTGTCCCACCATCAGACCGTTGGGGAAATTTTACAGGTCAGAAATATGTAGATTTATTGTGCCTAGACATCATGTTTTCATTGGCACCACACGCAAAGAATACAAAATCCAAAAGGCACCAACGAATATAGCACATATAGTAAAATTAAGTCACTTCCTAGCCCTCTTCCCCAGGCCCACAAGCCCCCGCTTCCCCTACTCAGGGGCAGCAACTGTAAGCAGTTTCTTATGCTTCCAGACATAGTCCGTGAACCTCTGACTTGGGCGGGATTGCCAGTGTTTCAGCAGCAGCATTGGCAACTTTCTAACCATTTGTAAATGTAATAGTATATAAAGATTTTTTAAAATTCAGCTTCGATTCCACCACCCTAAATTAACTCATGTCATTTCTCTACATTGCATCCCAATTTTTATCTACATACACACATTTTTCATTGTTTTAATCATAGTATGGTTAAAAGTTTAGTTCTACTTCCATTGCTAATTTCTTACACATATTTCATCTTCATTATTTTTAACAGCTACATAATATTCATTTGGGGTAAAACTCAGTTCTTCAGTTTTTATTCCAAGTTTTCACAATTGTAAATATCAGTATAACAATCTATAATTTTTTCTTCTTTGAATTATTGCTTTAGGACAAGTTCCCGGAGTGGTAGTATTGAATCTAAGGAATGTTTCATGTCACATTTAGCCAAATAACTCTCTTAGAAAGGTCAGAGCAGTTGTAATTCCTCATACAGGTATAAGGACACATCTTACTTTTGTTCCATCAAATACAATAATTATACTTATCAACAAAAAATGCTTCCTCATGATGTTCTGTTTATATATTTCTGTAATAAATAAATAACTCAGGTCAATGTCTTCTCTTTAGGTTTCTGTGTTTAATGCAGACTTCTGTTAGAAGCAGTCCTCAGAGCCTGTTGGAATAATGTGAGTGAGTGACTGGTTGGATTTCTAGGACCTCAAAGAGCTTTTAGTTCTTTGTCGCGCCCCACATGAAAGGCAGTTTGGCAAGGTCAAGTATGGTGGGGATGCATTCTCTCTCTCTCTCTCTCTCTCTCTCTCTCTCTCTCTCTCTCTCTCTCTCTCATCCTTGGTAACATTGTTTCATATCCACTGAGCTCTTTTTATGTTACTAGAAAATCCAATCGTGTTTCCAATGTATATTCTTTTAAGAGATCTTCTCTTTTTGCATGTCATCAAAGATGTATTTCCCTTATTATTTAAAATATATATAAGACCCCTCCCACTTTGGAGAGCAGGACCTGGACTTGAACTTGGACTCTTCACTTACTAGTTATATCCCTTGGGCAAATCACTCAGTTTCTTGGAGGTTAATTTCTATCTGTAAGATGGGAGATTAATAATATCTGTCTACCTCACATTGTTGTAAAAATCAAATGAAAAGATGTATAAGTGTGAGAACTGTTTCCTAAATGTTCGTAACTATTCTGTTAGACCATGTAACTCTTCTCTATTTCAAGTCTAATCTCTTATTGATTCTGGAATAAAGTATTCCTGCATCTTTAGTTATTGATTTAGGACCTTTTCTTTCTTTGGCTTACTCAGGAAGTCTAACTATTCAGAAATTGCAATACTCAGATCTATTCCCCAGATCTGCCCTCCTGAAGTGTTTCATTTCTTAATTTAGTTTCTTTAAATTCTGGATCTATTGCTCAGGTTTCTTTACTGATTTAAGTGCCATTTCTGCTTTGTGCAGTTTAAACATGATTTTCAATGTGTCTTTTGCAATAATCATTACTTTCATTCTTTTTTATTCTGACTTTCACTAGGGAGGATGTAATGTCCACTTGATTTCTTTGAAAAGAGGCTCCAGCCATTTTCTGAATTCTGTGTATGGTTCCCTGTGGTTGTTTCTTTCTTTGGGATTAATTAAAATAAAGTTTTTTGTGTGGGCTCATTGGGTGTTTTTTGAAACTTTTTTAGAAAACCCACATTGATTTTTTTTCAGTTTAGTGCATTCTCCCTTAAGTTACTTCAGTGACTGGTCTTTGCTGTACTGCTGAAAATTCTTTAGTAACATTTTTCAATTAATTTTAAGAGAATTTGCAATTAGGAGTTTGACTGGTTTTCTACTCACTCCAATATTTTCCCGGATAATTTTTTTCTACCATGTCAGGCCTTTCTATCTTCTGATTCAATGGAGTCTGGAAAGAATCCAAAGTCTAATTATGGGATTAGAACAAGAAAGCCAAGTACTTTCAATGGAAAACTGAAAAATGCCTTTTTGTGCTTTGTTGCTGCTGTTAAGGCTCAGGCTGAGTCTAAGAAAAGGGAAGAAAGATTGGAATACTGAAATAAAATCTTACCAAAAACGCTTTAATAACCTTACATATTAGCTGCATTCCTAAAGGCTCTGAACCTTCCAGGCATCTCGCAAGCGGCAAGGGCCGCATTCATTTCTTTGGCTATAAATGAAGGGATGCTAAATTATTTCCAAGGTCACTTTTCCATCTCTGAATTTCTACAACATTAAATAATGTTTAAGCTGCGAGTTCAGGCATGAATTAATGTAACCAGAATTATTCCCACTTCTTGCTACCCTGCCCACAAAATGCACACACACACACCCCCACTTTGATTTCCCGATTTTTAAATTGTTCAAATCAATTGTTATGAAACATAAAATGAAGCCGGGAGAGAGAAAATGAGGGAACCGAATACAAAATTCCTCCCTTCTGGAATCAGGGCAGCCTCTGCACCCCCAGATCTCCTCCAACACATGAGGTACTTAAGAGGAGACCCCTCAAGGCAGCACCCTGCCAAGGCATGGTTGAGTCACCAAATCTCAGCCGTTTGGACTGTGAGGGGAGACCCTGCAGCCCTCTGGTGGACAAAAGTGGCATTACAGCCTTCTCTGCATCCAAAAGGTCACAGCCCATCTGAGATGGAAGCGTGATGGATCTATCTGCAAGCGTGACCTGAAATCCTAACCAAGGGCCAACCTGCCCAGGACAGGCTGGATCTTTGCCTCAGAAATGGTGCTTTTGTCATTTTGAGAAACATTATCCCTGCAGATTTCAGATTTGAAACTCAAGAAGGCTATGGTGGATTTCAAATAGGGTAATGTTAAATGGCCTACATTTTTACTAGTATTGTGGGCACTCCTACCAGAAGAAAAATTTTTTAATTCCATATAATTCAGAATGAAGTTAATCAGAATGAAGTTGTTCCCCACTCCTTTCTTGTGTCCTTCCAGCCCTCAGGATGGTAGCAGCTTCCGCTGCCACTAATATGTGGTTGTTTCACCAGCCCATTTGGCTTCTCAGCCCAGTCCAACGTGTAACCAATTTCCTGTTTTAAATTCCCTCTTTGAAATGCCTACAATGATTTTGTTGTGCTTGGCAATAGGAATATGGCAGTGACCAAGACAGACTTCGTTCCAGATCTTATGGAGCTCATAGTCTAGCTCAGGAAAATAAATATTAAATAAGCACTCATTCAGTTAATAATTATTTCAAAAAGGAAGTACATGAGAATGCATAGCAGAGGAACTTAACCTGGAATAAGGATAAATTTTGTAGTTCCACAGGTGACACTAGAAGCTAGAAACTCTAGGCCAGCAGGACTTTACACAGAGACAGTCCCACAGCTATGATGGAAGCACAGAAAGTTGTGATGTTGCCTCTCCTCCTCCCTGGGTCCAGCAGGGAAGAAAGGAAGGGTTCCTAGCCAAAGGCGGAAGTGGAGGATTTCAGGCAGGATTCAGTGCACAGTAGTGACAGAGAAGCAAGGATGGAGTTCTTCTGACAGCCTGCAGGCACCCAAGAAAACTTGGCTCTGCTAGATCTGGCCAGGAAAGAAACCAAAATCTTGAAGGAATGTGTCATCGCCCTGGCAACCTCCAAGCCACGGGAGTCAGACAATGTCCAGACCAAGCCTGACTCAAAAAATGCTTTCCCAAAGATTTAACCTATAATATCACAATATTTCCCCAGTCTCCTCCTGACCAGCATCATATGATAGGGTACGAGGATGGGAGAACCAGCCTGCTGCTGTGCTCTCTTGTCCCAACAGGTGTCTGCTCCTGTCTTGATGAGCTCAAAACATCCTTATCTTCTCTACCTGTCAATACTGATGAACACCAGATTACTCAACACCCTGATGCGCCATGCCAAATCCTAACAACTCTCAATTTATATCAGATGGGATAGGCATACTTTATTCAGCTTTGCTATTTAGATCAGGGGTCCCCAATCCCTGGGCTACAGACCAGACAAGTCCATGACCTGTTAGGAACCAGGCTGCACAGCAGGAGGTGAGTGGTGGGCGACCAAGGGAAGCTTCATCTGTATTTACAGCCACTCCCCATCACTCGCATTACCGCCTGAGCCCTACCTCCTATCAGATCAGCAGAGGCATTAGATTCTCATAGGTGCATGAACCCTATTGTGAACTTCATATGCAAAGGATCTAGGTTTCACACTCCTTATGAGAATCTAATGCCTGATGATCTGTCACTGTCTCCCATCACCCCGATGGGGCCATCTAGTTGCAGGAAAACAAGCTCAGGGGTCCCACTGATTCTACATCATGGTGAGTTGTACAATTACATATATATATATATATATATATATATATATACATATATATATATATGTATATAATATATAATGTAATAATAATAGAAATAAAGTGCACGATAAATGTAATGAGCTTGAATCATCCCAAAATTATCCACCCGCAAACCCCACAGTCCATGGAAAAACTCTTCTACGAAACCAGTCCCTGGTGCCAAAAGATTGGGGACTGCTGATTTAGATCACTGTTTACAAGATCTAAAGTTTTTTGAACAGAGAACTTCTACTCCCTTACCACAGAGGGAAGTCATTACTCGCCGTCCTGCCTTACAGAGTCCCCGATAAGGAATGAGGGAGAGAGCAAAGTTTCAAGTCTTCTCTCTCCAAGTTCACTGCCTATTCTAAGTTAATATTAGATGACCTTAGAATGCCTAAACAATTATAACTCCACATATTACCCCCCACAGGGCCTTGGTCTGTCCTTTGAACTCCAATTACATTTAGTGTACACTGTCAAACTCATGACTCAAGAAGTCATTATGGGTTAGTTGCAGCAACTGAGGCAGGCCAAGAAAAGGAGGGAGCTCTGATGTTGCTTGAGACCCTTGGATGAGGGCCCAGAGCAGCCCTTCTCAATCTGGGCTACATGAGCAAACTAAGCCCTAATGCCCAAAGGCATCTATTTTATGTAATGAATTAACTTATATTTCTCGTTCTTCTAGAATGGAACTAATTATGTCACATCCTAGAGAAACTGAGAAGACAGTCACTCAAATAATGTTCTGTAGACCTTAATTCTTTCCTGGAAATCCTGTTGAGAAAGGCTGGCCTAATAGCAAAAGTAGGTTCCAGTAATACTTTTGTCACTCTCTTGAACCTGTCTAATTCAGAGGACCGTACACAAATGATGACAGTCACACAAGCATCAGCACAACGAGGGAGAAATGTATATTGAAAGGACATGGGTATAAAGACATAGCGAGAAAACATGGAAAAGCTACTAGGCAACCAGAAGAGCCCCAAGAAGGCCACACCCAGGTCTCCCGATGGCCTTTTATCTTCCTTCTGCACAAATGAGATACAGCAGATGCTTATCAATTTAACAAGAGATATCTGACCCCTCCAACTAACCAGACCCATTCCATTTTAGCAGAAGACAACCGAAGAAATTAAACCTATTTTTATCTAGCATGATCGCCTTTGCAGTGTCCATTTTCTGGATATATCCACACAAAACCAGCTTCTCCCCTCATCACCCTCACACTCTCCCACCCTCAGTCCACTGAGCCCTGTGGGAAGGAGTGAAGGGGTGCAGAGGAACTAGTTACCAACAGTGACTATGTTCCATGGGATAAAGAAAGAGTGGGACACTGGAGGGAAGATTCATATGATCTGCCTCGTGGTCCCAGAGTTCTGCCGACTGGGGCAAGGTTGAGCCACTCTGTGGGAGAGATGCAGTGGAAGGGTGGAAAAGAGGTGCTGATGAATCCCACTTAGTTTAGTGCTTTTTTTGGCAGTTGTTTTCTAGGTGTTTCACTGATGCGTCCTATTTCCTCAGCTAGCTTGTAAATTCCTTCAGTGCAAAGATGAAGTTTATGCTGTAAATCTTTAATTTTCTACAGTGTTTAGCACACTGCTTCTCCTGCAGATGCTTGATCAGCATATTGTTGATTAATTAGAATCTGCTTGGGAGGAAAATGGTGTATCCTTGCAACAATTACAGTTAAGGTTTATGTTGAAGTACTGTATGAATATCATGTAGCTTAAAATATTTAATACTTGTGCACTATGAGCCAAAGCTCTCCCCCACATCCTGCCCTGCTATGCTTCATGGGAACCACCCACCTTGAAAATTGGACAGAAACAGAATACTGAGTGGGGAGGGGGCCTCCTCACTGCTGGAATTTAGCAGAGCTCCTCCTGGAAACAGCCCAAAAGTCTCTTTCTCATCTAACTCTTCGGGAACAGCAGGCAAACCAGAAACTGACCGCCCATCTCCTTTCCACCCCTGCTGCCCCCTCCAGTCAGAGGTTTGTCTCATGCTACCCCCATGTGAAAGCAACGCTTTGCTGCTGAACTCTAGAGTCCCAGCAACACTCACCTCTTGCTACTCGCAGTGAGCAATCAGCTTGCATAGCCCATCCCCAGGGCCTTCAGGTCAGCCTCCGGACCACCTCTGGTGGGGTCCTAGTGCTCCTCTGTGGTCTGAAGCCTGTGAAATCTGACTGCCAGTTTCAGGCTGGGGATCACAGGGCCCTGACCCCTGCTGTGGCTCCCAGATCAGCCAGGAGCTTGGATATCAAGACCTTGGAGGGAGTTTGATGCTGAAAACTGACACCAAACTCCCTCCAAGGTCTTGATATCCAAGCTCCTGGCTGACTGGTTCAGAGACTTTAGGAATGCAGCTAAGTAACCTAAACACACATAAAATTGACTGATTCTCAAAACCCAGTGGAGTGGCCTGATGCCTGTAATCCCAGCACTTTGGGAGGCCAAGGCAGGTGGATCACTTGAAGTCAGGAGCTCAAGACCAGTCTGGCCAACATGGTGAAACCCTGTCTCCACTAAAAATATAAAAATTAGCCAGGCATGGTGGTGCGTGCCTGTAGTCCAAGCTACTTGGGAGGCTGAGGCAGGAGAATCTCTTGAACCCCGGAGGCAGAGGTTGCAGTGAGCCGAGATTGCACCAGTGCACTCCAGTCTGGGCAACAAAGCCAGACGCTGTCTCAAAAACAAAAATAAACAAATAAACAAACAAACAAAAAACAGTGGATTCAGTTTCAGTGGGGAACATGCCCTTCCAGTGATGAGAAAAGTTGTTGTCCATCATCCATCCCTCCAACCTGGAGTAATAATTAGAAAGTAGCAGAGTGAACATGGAACCAGGAGAGAGAGTTGGCTGGTACTGAAGGATCTTTCAACCAGACAGGAGGACAAGCCTGCAAATAGCCTTGGCTGACCCTCCTTTGCTTGCAATTCTTGGGCAGAATGTACAGAGAATGCAACATTCTGAGATAGGAGGAAATGCCCAGAATAGCCCAGGCTTTGTCTCCGTCATTCCTAGAACAGCCTGCAATGCTTGGCTCACCAATCCAAGTGGCCTCTGAGGTATAAAACCAGAGCAGAATGCTTTCAGGGTCCCTCAGTAGTGGTGCTATATCAGTCCATTTTGTTTTGCTGTAAAGGAATATCTGGGCAATTTATACAAAAAAGAAGTTCATTTGTCTTACGGCTTTGCAGTCTCTACAAGAAGCCTAGCACCAGCATCTCCTCAGCTTCTGGTGAGGTCCTCAGGAAGCTCCCACTCATGGTGGAAGGCAAAGAGGGAGGCAGCATGTCACATGGCATGAGAGGGGGCAAAAGAGAAAGGAGAAGGTGCCAGGTTCTTTAAAACAACCAGATCTCACATGAAGTAATAGCTGAGAGCTCGCTCATTACCACGGGGAGGACACGAAGCCATTCATGGGGGATCAACCCCTCTGACCCAAACACCTCCCTCCAGGCCCCACCTCCACACTGGGGATCACATTTCAACATGAGATTTGGAGGGGACAAATATCCAAACTATATCAGATGTATAGTGGAGCACATACAGATAAGACTGCATCCACCCTGGGCAGCCTCCCTAAGCCTTGGGGGACCAGCACATCATGGATCCTAGACTTCTGTTGGCCCTTGCTCCCTGCCTGGGAGTACTAAACTTGCTTTGCCTGACATGTTGCACAAGTGCTCTGTCTCACCAAACTCATACACTGGCAGCTGGGTTTGGGCAAAACCTCCTGCCAGATCTAGAAACCTGCCAGATCTAGGAACCTTAGTAGAAGCTGGCAAGGTGTTTAGAGTTCTCCTCTGGGATTCTTAATAGTCGCACAGAATTCCCCACCAGGGATTAATACCCATGCACAGTATTCTGCTTAACAGAGGTGCTGGTGATGCTGATGTGCACCCACTCTCCACGCTGCATCACACCTTCGGGATGTCCAGAATATTCATGCCTACCAGAACATATGGATCTTCTTTGGGACAATATTAAACTCTAAAAATTCCACTTTTTTTAGAGACAGGATCTCACCCTGTCACCCAGGCTGGAATGCAGTGGCACAATCATAGCTCACTACAGCCTCCAACTCCTGAACTCAAGTCATCCTGCCTCCTCAGCCCGCTGAGTAGCTGGTAATACAGGTGCACGCAACCATGATCAGCTAATTTTTTATTTCTTGTAGAGATAAGAGTCTCACTATATGGCCCAGACTGGTCTCAAACTCCTTGCCTCAAGTGATCCTCCCATCTCTGCTTCCCAAAGTGCTGGGATTCCAGGCGTGAACCACTGTGCCCAACTCCCTATAAATTCTTAACTCACAGCCATCTTCATCCTAAATTTGATGAGTTTAGATCTCCCTCCTTGTGTCTTAATCATTCCATCAGATTTTTGAACATATTTTTGCTCTTTTCTAAACGTGTAGACAATGTTACGTCATGCACTGACAAATAAGGGTCATCAGCGGACATATGTGATGGCAGGGATCCCACGACTTCCCTGAGAAGATGAGTCTCCTGCCCTTTCCTTTGCACTACCTTCCAGATTTCATTTCCACTGTACTTAGAAATGATGTCCTCAGCCCTCCACTCATGGCCTCCGGTGGATTCTGGCAGTCAGGACTGCCCCAGGATCCCCACAAATCTGACAAGGATTTGTGTGACGCCTTTGCTAGGTCTCATTGGTTGGTAGTGAGTATGTGGTGTGTTATCTTCCCTTCTTTTAACTACCTTGTCTTTGGGGGTAAATGCAAAGCAATTCTGTACACCTTGCCTCTCTCCATCTAAGCCAAGCTGAGGGTCAGAGTCCTGGCATGACTATCCTGCCCTGTGGTCAGGCACACCTTCTGGCTCTGCTACAAGGCAAACCTGGTCTTCTCGTTTCTGCTAGTCTGCAAAAAAATTAACACTCAACTAACATGACCTTTACACCACACTTATCAACTTTGGCAAAGGGAAGCCTGAACTTTGGAAACTGTTTAGTAGGGTTGGCTGCCCAAGAAGTCAAAGACCAGCCTAGCCAATAGTATCAAAATTGACTGTGTTCTTTACAGCCATAACTAACACTTGTTGTTGTTGTTGTTGTTTGTTGTTGTTGTTGTTGTTTTTGAGATGGAGCCTTGCTCTGTCACCCAGGCTGGACTGTAGCGGCCCGATCTCAGCTCACGGCAACCTCTGCCTCCCAGGTCCAAGCTATTCTCCTGCCTCAGCCTCCTGAGTAGCTGGGACTACAAGCACATGCCAGCAGACCCAGCTAATTTTTTTGTATTTTTTTTTTTTTGGTAGAGATGGGGTTTTGCCACATTGGTCAACCTAGTCTCAAACTCCTGACCTCAAGTGACCCACCCACCTTGGCCTCCCAAAGTCCTGGGATTACAGATGTAAGCCACCGTGTCCAGCCTAGATTTTTATTAACGTATTTTAAGTCACTGTACTCAAATAAGCAATAAGATTTGGAATCTGATCTGCAGTGCTTATTTGGGGGCATCAAGAAGAATTTCCAGCTCAGTGAACTATACCCAAACAGGCAGTTTAATGTAGTATAGAACAGCCAGTATAGAGCTTTCAAACTGGCTCCACACTAAGAAATACATGTTAAATGATAACGGAATGCATGCGCACACACACACACACACACACACACACACTCTCTCTCTCTCTCTCTCTCTCTCTCTCCTACATCACTACAACAGAAGCTTCTTAAAGCAGTGCTGCCCTAGAGGAAGATGAACATGAAAGTGATTTATTAGGAACTATTCCCAGAGAAAAGACATATGGGAGAAAGTAGGAGTAGAAAGGGGCCAAGTAAGGGTACAACATCAAGCCAAGTCCCATGGAAGGCAATTTTGATACATTCCCTCAGAGGGCTTGGGGAACATCATAGGTCACACCTCAGTCATCCAGTGAGAGGGCAAAAGAGCTAGAGTATGTCTATCCCCACCCCCATCAGTCATTGGTTAAAGGCATGAGGGGAGGGAAGGGACATAAATTCCCAGGCACTTCTGGCTCTCTTGTACCTTCCAACAGTATGCTGGCTTTTGGGAAAGAATGCACACTGGGATTCAACTGGTCTACACAGAGATAGCAGAGGGATCCCAGGTGACGTAGGTGGAGCAGGAACAGCTTCTGCTACAAACACCCTAACCATAGGTGATGAATTGTGGTATTTTCTATTCTGATTTTTTAAATTGCTGGTCATCCATTTTAATCTCAATCCAGCCACTTTTAGGTGTTATTTAAACTGCCTGAGGCATTTTCCTCATTTCTAAAATGGGAATATCAACTTTGCTCATTGTGGTGAAAATTAAAAATGACATAGATACCCCTATGTCTATGGGATAACAGTAGGTATTCAACGTGTAGCCATTATGATTAATAAATGTGTCCTCAAAATGCCTCAAAAGAGTAACATGAAAATTTCTTTATCCTCTTAACTGTGCTCAAGACACGCATGCATAAAAACACCAGTGGTGGAGCATGAGTTCCTTCGCAGAGACACGATGCAAATGTGCACAAATATTTACCACCTCCATGACTTTGTTCTTTATTCCCTTTGCCCAACGTAGTGCTCGTCATTCAAGCTTCACCTTAAATGTCCCTCTTTCATGAAGCTTTTTCAGACCCCAACTAAAAATACTCTCTCCCACCTCTGAACTGCCATACTCTTCTATTTGAAGTTATTTTATGGCAATTTTAGCACTTTCTTTTTCCTCTTTGCAATATCTATTAAAATCCTGACTTGGGAACAGACAGACAAATCAATAAAATGAACTAGAGTCCAGAAATAGGCTCAAATACATATGGTAATGATAAAGAAACCAAGGCATGGAAGAGTTACTCAGACAGTGCTGAGACAACTGGTTAACCATTTGGGAAAAAAACTAACCCGGATTTCTATCTCACTTCCCACACAAGCACAAATATCAGATGGCCAAAAGATTTAAACATACATACACACACATTGAATAACTACAGGAAATCTTATAATTGAATATCTTATACTTTTGGAGTAAGAAAGGCCTTTCTAATCATGACACAAAACTCAGAAGCCATAAACAAAAAACTAAATAAATTTATTCCATAAAGATTTTAAACTTCTACAATTCATTAAAAAGACATAAATTCAAAAGTCAAAATGGTAAAAATATTCACAACATATGACAATCAAATGGTTAATTTCCTTTTATAAAGAGTTTATAGGAATAAATGAGAAAGAAGTAAACCCAAATAAAAGTAGACAAAGGTCATGAGCAGTTCATTTAAAAAGAAATACAAATATCTATAAACATACGAAAAGATAATCACCTTAATATCATTAATAATTAATATTTTCTCCCACATCAGCAAAAATCTGCATGTTTGTTAAAGCTGAGTGTTTTAAGGGTGTGATGAAATGGACACCATTACACAGGACTGCCTTTCAGGAAGGTTCTCTGCCACTGGAAAAGGGTACAGCTTTTCTAGAGGGCAATAGGTGATTTCTATTAAAATATCAAAGACACACTCCTTGCCCTTGTACTTCAACTATTTATCTGGGCTTAGTACAAGTTCTCCTAGCTACATGTACAAGGATGCTACTGCAACATCATGCCTTAGAGAAAAAGGCATAGTATATTTGGTATTGTACCAATGTCAATTTCCCAGAATTGATATTATACTACAGTTGTCACCACTGGGGGAAGAGTACTCAGGGACTCTATGTACTACTTTTGCAACTTCCTATGAGACTATAATTACTTCAAAATAAAAAGTGTTTCTTTAAAAAAATCATGGTGCATAAGTATTTATGGTTTCTTACAAAGTATGAAAAGGTAAGGGCAATCCTTGTTTAATTAAATTCAAAATGAGTGAGCAGAACATATGTAACCAGAAGGACAAATCCACCCTTCCCTTTTGTCAAGCACATCTGTGTGAAGAGACCACCAACAGGCTTTGTGTGAGCAACAAGGCTGTTTATTCACTTGAGTGCAAGTGGGCTGAGTCTGAAAACAGAGTCAGTGAAGGGAGATGGGGAAGGGGTTGCTTTATAGGAGTTGGGTAGGTAATGGAAAATTACAGTAAAAAGTGGTTATCTATTGTTAGCAGAGGAGGGGGTCACAAGGTACATGGTGGGGAGATGATAAGACCCATTGTCCAGAAGAAGACTGTCACAAGGTCGATTGATCAGTTAAGGTAGGACAGGGACAGGTCACAATGGTGGAATGTTGTAATGTTGGTTAATCAGTTAAGGCAGGAACTGGCTGTTTTACTTCTTGTGTGGTTTTTCAGCTGCCCCAGACTTCTTGGCTCCTGCAGGCCATCTGGACATATATGTGCAGGTCACAGGGGTTACAATGGCTGAGCTTCGGCTCAGAGGCCTGACACCTCTTACTTCTGAGGGATTGCTCAAGGTAGAAGGTTAATAAATTCTTAAACTACCCCCCACTTTCACTACAGAGATTAAGAGTACAGTTCTGTCCAAGGATTTGATCTGGCCCAACAAAGAGCCTTCTTCAGAAGTGGATTAGTTTTGTCCTTTGGTGAGGCTTGTGATGGGCCTTATTTATTCGTATTGTAGGCCTCTTATACTATTCCAAAAACAAGACAAGGGAACTGAAACCACTTTGCATAATAATGTCACCTATTATCTCCAGTGAGGCTAGTCTGGTCACCTCTGGATCAATAGTACTCTTTTTTTTTTTTTGAGATGGAGTTTTGCTCTTCTTGCCCAGGCTGGAGTGCAATGGCGCGATCTTGGCTCACTGCAACCTCTGCCTCCCGGGTTTAAGTGATTCTCCTGCCTCAGCCTCCCGAGTATTTGGGATTACAGGCGCCTGCCACCATGCCCGGCTAATTTTGCATTTTTAGTAGAAACGGGGTTTCTCCATGTTGGTCAGGTTGGTCTCTAACTCCTGACCTCAGGTGATCCATCCGCCTCAGCCTCCCAAAGTTCTGGGATTACAGGCGTGAGCCACCACACCTGGCCATAGTTGTCTTTCTTATTGTGGATTTAATCTGCATTGTCCCTAAGAACTCAGAATTACTGTTGATGCTTCAAAAGGGTGTGTGTGTGTGTGTGTGTGTTCAGTTAATCCAGAAATTCCTCCCAGGAAAATAGAAGACCCCAGGAGGAGTGGGGCAACAACTCTTTATCTGCTACGGGCAGACAGATCTTCATGAAAACACACATGAACCTCCAGAACTCGATGTGCTCCACCAGCCGGCCTTAGCTTGTCAAAGCCAACCTTGGAATTTCCTGCTGAAGCCCCCATGGAATAGCTCAGCTAGCAGGAACTGTAGAATAGAGGATCCTTACTTCAGTGCATCTTGATGTTCTGAGTGAAGGAACAGCACAGACCCTCTGGGAGACCATCCCTGTGTGTTAGTGAGGTCTTGCATTGTAAAGATCTTGAAGAAAGGAGACTGTGTCTGTGAGTCCTCAACAAAGCAGACACCTGATTGGAGTTAGGAGTCCAAAGGGTTTATCCGAAGTGGCACCTGTGAAAGGAAAAGGAAGGAAGCAGGATTGAGAAGAAAGTGTTAGACCATGAGATGCAGGTCTGACAAATGCCTGAGAGCTCCAAAGCAAAGAGGACCTTTAGAGAAGCCACATGTTGGGCAGAAATAGTGAGGTCCTTGACCACACTGTCCTGCTCAGTAAATGGCCAGAGCCGCCCTGAGAAGAACGTAACCTCCTTCCAGAAGCTGAAGTAGACCAGAAGGAGTTAACAGCTGGACACTCACAGCTAATCAGGCTCTCAGCAGCTGGGCCATGAGTCCTGTCTAGAAGGAAAACCTGAGCTTTGACCTGCGTCTCCACATCTGCCACAGGGACTATCTCTGGAGGACAGAGGAAACCTCAGTTTTGAAAGCAGGGCTAGGAATTTGCTGGTGCCAATAAAAGACCCAATGGGAACTTATATTAGGCATGCTATGCCTGGTGGATTTGTCCCTCTGTATTGTGATTCATTCTGCCCCCAAATCTTCAGTGAATTTCTTAGTGCCACGGCATTGTGAGGAATAAAGAATAGGCAGCTGGGGAAGTGTGTGAGTCCATGTTACATTGCTATAAAGGAATACCTGAGACTGGGTAATTCATATTGAAACAGGGTTTATTTGGCTCACAGTTCTGCAGGCTGTACAAGCACAGTACCAGCATGGAGGAGGTCCCAGGCTCCTTTTAACAACCAACTCCCACATGCACTAAAAGAGAGAGAACTCACTCATCACCAAGGGGAGGGCACCAAGCCATTCATGAGGGATCCACCCCCATGAACCAAACACCTCCCACCAAGCTCACCTCCAATATTGGGAATCACATTTCAGCATGAGATTTGGAGGGGACAAACATCCAAACTGTATCAGGAAGTATGGTATTCCCCATCTCATCCCTGCCCCAAAGCCTGCATCTCAGCATCCATGTAGAAATAATGTAAGGGCCATAATCTTGGAGTTCCCAGAAGTGGCCAGCCCCAGAGAGTGCTGAGGCCCAAGATGGAGCCACCTGCTATTTGAAAATAGACTGTGGAACTGCACAGACAAACCCCCTTCCCATACCACCCCTTCCCAAATACAGCAGAAGAAAGCAATCCTAGGCATGAGGGGAAAGAGAAGCCCATACTTGTTTTATAAGAATATTCTGCCTGCTAGGACCATGCAAATACTGGGATATTTCCAACCAGTATTCACAAACAACTGCTTAAATACTTGGCACTCAGTGAAAAAAACTGAAAAACCAAAAATTTGAGTAAGCTACACAACAGAGTTACAAAATTCTAGGAGTCGCTTCCAAGATGGCTGAATAGGAACAGCTCTGGTCTACAGCTCCCAGCATGATTGACACAGAAGACAGGTGATTTCTGCATTTCCAACTGAGGTGCGTGGTTCATGTCACTGAGATTGTTTGAACAGTGGGTGCAGCCCAAAAAGGGTGAGCTGAAGCAGGGCAGGGCGTCACCTCACCTGGGAAGAGCAAGGATTCAGGGGATTTCCCCTTCCCAGCCAAGGGAAGCCATGAGTGACTGTACCTGGAGAAATGGTACACTCCTGCACAAATACCGCACTTTTCCCATGGTCTTCGCAATCAGCAGACCGGGAGATTCCCTCCCGTGCCTGGCTCAGCAGGTCCCATGCCCACAGAGGCTTACTCACTGCAAGTGCAGCAGTTTGAGATTAACCTGGGATGGTGGAACTTGGTGGGGGAGGGGCGTCCACCATTGCTAAGGCTTGAGTAGGTGGTTCTATGATCACAGTGTAAACAAAGCGGCAAAAAAGCTCAAACTGGGCAGAGCCCACCACAGCTCAGTAAGGCCTACTGCCTCTCTAGATTCCACCTCAGGGGGCAGGGCGTACCTGAATAAAAGGAAGTAGACAGCTTCTGCAGACTTCAACATCATTGCCTGACACCTCAGAAGAGACCAGTGGTTCTCCCAGCATGGCATTTGAGCTCTGATAATGGACAGACTTCCTCCTCAAGTGGGTCCCTGACCCCTGTGTAACCTGATTGGGAGACACCTCCCAGTAGGGGCCGACAGACACCTCCTACAGGTGGGTGCCCCTCTGGGACAAAGCTTCCAGAAGAAGGATCAGGCAGCAATATTTGCTGTTCTGCAGCCTCCGCTAGTGATACCCAGGCAAACAGAGTCTGGAGTGGACCTCCAGCAAACTCCAAAAGACCTGCAGCTGAGAGGCCTGTCTGTTAGAAGGAAAACTAACAAACAGAAAGGAATAGCATCAACATCAACAAAAAGGACATCCACGCCAAAACCCCATCTGTATGTCACCAACACCAAAGACCAAAGGTAGATAAAACCACAAAGATGGGAGAAACCAGAGCAGAACAGCCAAAACATCCAAAAACCAGAACAACTCTTCTCCTCCAAAGGAATACAAGTCCTGGCCATACAGGGAACAAAATTAGACAGAGAGTTGACAGAAGTAGGCTTCAGAAAGTCAGTAATAACAAACTTCTCCGAGCTAAAGGAGCATGTTCTAACCCATCGTAAGGAAGCTAAAAACCTTGAAAAAAGGTTAGACAAATGGCTAACTAGAATAACCAGTGTAGAGAAGAGCTTAAATGACCTGATGGGGCTGAAAACCACAGTAGGAGAACTTCATGAAGGATACACAAGCTTCAATAGCTGATTTGATCAAGCAGAAGAAAGGATATCAGTGATTGAAGATCAAATTAATGAAGTTAAGTGAGAAGACAAGATTAGAGACAAAAAGAGTAAAAAGGAACATTCATTCAGGAAATACAGAGAACACCACAAACATACTCCTCAAAAAGAGCAACCCCAAGACACATAATTGTCAAATTCACCAAGGTAAAGGGAAGCCAGAGAGAAAGGTTGGGTTACTGACAAAGGGAAGCCCATCAGACTAACAGGGGACATTTCAGCAGAAACCCTACTATTGCGGGATCTGGCCAGCAGCCCGCAATGCAACAGGGCTCTCTCTTAGTTCCCAGGTGGATCAGCAGGTTGAGAAATAATAGACACACACAAGACAGTGAAAGCTGGGTCCAGGGGGTCACCGCCTTTTGGTCCCGTGGTGCCAACAACGCACTGGATATACCAGCATCTATTATTAAGTTTAGTGAGGATGGGGGTAGGTTAGTGAGGGATTTAGGGTCATTTGATTATGATGTGAGATGGTCACATGGTGATGAAGTAATTCTTTAACATAACATCTGTATGCAGAAGTACAGTATACAGGGATAAGGATTTACAATATAGTGTGTACATCAGTAATTTCTAACAGAGCCTTAAAACAGAAACACAGTCTTTTCATAACCCATGATTAGCAAGATATTAATCAGCAGTAACAGTTGCAGCAAAAGATGGTTACGAACAATCCATAGAAACAGGACCTGAAGCTAGACAACCGGTTAGACCAGAAATTTTCAGAAGGGAGTATGCCTTAACCCTAAAGAGGCCTAGAAGAGCCATGGCAAGATGAGGGCATTTATAGCCCTATCTTATCTATATGGACAGGTGCCCCCCATGCATCCATTTATAGGCTCTCCACAAGGGCCGCATTCCATTCCCAGAGCTATGAACATCTGCTTTTCTGGGATAGGAATCTTGGTGATGTGAAACCTCCCTGACTGCATGTCCATTCATAGGCTCTCTGCAGAGGGAAGCACATCACGTGCTGTTGGTTCATTCTGGCAGTCCAACCTGGCATTGTCTTTAGACAATCCTGCATGCAATTTTGTATTTACAATAATCAGGAGCATTTCATCTTTTATTCCATAGCAATAGTTTCAGGGGGTCTTCCTACACCCTACAAGCCAGAAGAGAGTCAGGACCAATATTCAACATTCTTAAATAAAAGAATTTTCAAAACAGAATTTCATATCCAGCCAAACTAAGCTTCATAAGTGAAGGAGAAATAAAATCCTTTACAGACAAGCAGATGCTGAGAGACTTTGTTGTCACCAGGCCTGACTTAGAAGAGCTCCTGAAGGTAGCACTTTACATGGAAAGGAAGAACCTTTTTGTTTTGCCACTGCAAAAAACATACCAAATTGTAAAGACCATTGATGCTATGAAGACACTGTATCAATTAATGGGTGAAATAACCAGCTAACATCATAATGACAGGATCCAATTCACATATAGCAATATCAACTTTAAATGTAAATGGGATAAATGCCCCAATTAAAAGACATAGACTGGCAAATTGGATAAAGAGTCAAGACTCGGCCGGGTGCAGTGGCACATGCCTGTAATCCCAGCACTTTGGGAGGCCAAGGCGGGCGGATCATGAGGTCAGGAGATTGAGACCATCCTGGCTAACATGGTGAAACCCCGTCTCTACTAAAAATACAAAAACTTAGCCAGGCATAGTGGCACCAGCCTGTAGTCCCAGCTACTTGGGAGGCTGAGGCAGGAGAATGGCATGAACCCAGTAGGTGGAGCATGTAGTGAGCCGACATTGTGCCACTACGCTCCAGCCTGGGTGACAGAGCGAGACTCTGTCTCAAAAAAAAAAAAAAAAAAGGAAAAAAAAAGAGTCAAGACCCATCAGTGTGCTGTATTCAGGAGGCCCATCACACATGCAAAGACACACATAGGCTCAAAATGAAGGGATGAAGGAAGATCTACCAAACAAATAAAAAGTGAAAAAAAGCAGGGGTTGCAATCCTAGTCTCGGATAAAACAGAATTTAAACCAACAAAGATCAAAAGACACAAAGAAGGCCATCACATAATGGTAAAAGAATCAATTCAACAAGAAGAGCTAACTATCCTAAATATATATATGCACCCAATACAGGAGCACCCAGGTTCATAAAGAAAGTTCAAACAGACCTACAAAGAGGCTTACACTCCCACACAATAATAATGGGAAACTATAAACCCCACTTTTAATATTAGACAGACAAAAAGACAGAAAATTAACAAGGATATCCAGGATTTGAACTCAGCTCTAGACCAAGCAGACCTAACACACATCTACAGAACTTTCCATTACAAATCAACAGAATATACATTCTTCTCAGCACCTCATCATGCTTATTCTAAAATTGACCACACAATTGGAAGTAAAACACTCCTTAGCAAATGTCAAAGAACAGAAATCACAACAAAATGTCTCTCAGACCACAGTGCAATCAAATTAGAACTCAGGATTAAGAAACTCACTCAAAACTGCACAACTGCATGGAAACTGAACAACCTGCTCCTGAATGACTACTGGGTAAATAACAAAATTAAAGCAGAAATAAAGATGTTCCTTGAAATCAATGAAAACAAAGACACAATGTACCAGAATCTCTGGGACACATTTAAAACAGTGTATAGAGGGAAATTTATAGCACTAAATGCCCACAAGAGAAAGCAGAAAAGATCTAAAATGAACTCCATAACATCACAACTAAAAGAACTAGAGAAGCAAGAGCAAACAAATTCAAAAGCTAGCAGAAGACAAGAAATAACTAAGATCACGGCAGAACTGAAGGAGATAGAGACACAAAAGAAACCTTCAAAAAACCAATGAATCCAGGAGCTGGTTATTTGAAAATATCAACAAAATAGATAGACCGCTGGCAAGACTAATAAGGCAGAAAAGAGAGAAAAATGAAATGGACACAATAAAAAATGAAAAAGGGGATATCACCTCCCATCCCACAGAAATACAAACTACCATCAGAGAACACCTCTACACAAATAATCGAGAAAATCTAGAAGAAATGGATAAATTCCTGGACACATAGACCCTTCCAAGAGAAAATCAGGAAGAAGTTGAATCTTTGAATAGACCAATATCAGGTTCTAAAATTGAGATAATAATTAATAGCCTACCAACCAAAAAAAGTCCAGGACCAGATGGATTCACAGCTGAATTCTACCAGAGGTACAAAGAGGAGCTGGTACCATTCCTTCTAAAACTATTCCAATCAATAGATAAAGAGGGAGTCCTCCCTAACTCATTTTATTAGGTCAGTATCATCCTGAAAACAAAGCCTGGCAGAGACACAACAAAAAAAAGAGAATTTTAGGCCAATATCCCAGATGAAAATCAATGCAAAAACCCTCAATAAAATACTGGCAAAACGAATCCAGCAGCACATCAAAAAGGTTATCCACCATGATCAAGCCGACTTCATCCCTGAGATGCAAGGCTTGTTCAACATATGCAAATCAATAAACGTAATCAATCACATAAACAGAACCAATGATAAAAACCACATGATTAATTATTTAGATACAGAAAGGCCTTCGATAAAATTGAACACCCCTTCATGCTAAAAACTCTCAATAAACTAGGTATTGATGGGATGTATCTCTAAATAATAAGAGCTATTTATGACAAAGCCACAGCCAGTATCATACTGCATGGGCAAAAACTGGAAGCATTCCCTTTGAAAAAAGGCACGAGACAAGGATGCCCTCTCACAACTACAACTCCTATTCAACATAGTATTGGAAGTTCTGGCTAGGGCAATCAGGAAAGAGAAAGAAATAAAAGGTATTCAAACAGGAAGAGAGGAAGTAAAATTGTCTCTGTTTGCAGATGACATGATTGTATATTTAGAAAACCTTATCGTCTCAGCCCAAAATCTCCTTAAGCTGATAAGCAACTTCAGCAAAGTCTCAGGATACAAAATCAATGTGCAAAAATGACAAGCATTCCTATACGCCAATAACAGACAATAGAGAGCCAAATCATGAGTGAACTCCCATTCACAATTGCTACAAAGAGAATAAAATACCTAGGAATCCAACTTACAAGGGATGTGAAGGACCTCTTCAAGGAGAAATACAGACACTGCTCGAGGAAATAAGTGAGGACACAAACAAATGGAAAAACATTCCATGCCCATGGATAGGAAGAATCAATATCGTGAAAATGGCCATACTGCCCAAAGTAATTTATAGATTCAATGCTATCCCCATCAAGCTACCATTGACTTTCTTCACAGAATTGGAAAAAACTACTTTGAATTTTATATGGAACCAAAAAAGAGCCAATATAATGAAGACAATCCTAAGCAAAAAGAACAAAGCTGGACGCATGATGCTACCTCACTTCAAACTATACGGCAAGGCTACAGTAACCAAAACAGCATGGTACTGGTACCAAAACAGATATCTAGACCAATGGAACAGAACAGAGGCCTCAGAAACAACACCACACATCTACAACCATCTGATCTTTGACAAACCTAACAAAAACAAGCAATAAGGAAAAGATTTCCTATTTAATAAATGGTGTTGGGAAAACTGGCTAGCCATATGCAGAAAACTGAAACTGGACCCCTTCCTTACACCTTATAAAAAAATTAACTCAAGATGGATTAAAGACTTAAACATAAGACCTAAAACCATAAAAACCCTAGAGGAAAACCTAGGACATACCATTCAGGACATAGGCATGAGCAAAGACTTCACGACTAAAATACCCAAAGCAACAGCAAAAAAAGCCAGAATAGACAAATGGGACTTAATTAAACTAAAGAGCTTCTGTACACCAAAAGAAACTATAATTAGAGTGAACAGAGAACCTACAGAATGTGAGAAAATTTTTGCAATCTATCTATCTGACAAAGGGCTAATATCCAGAATGTACAAAAAACTTAAATTTACAAGAAAAAAAAACCATCAAAAAGTGGGCTAAGAATGTGAACAGATACTTCTCAAAAGAAAACATTTATGCAGCCAAGAAACATGAAAAAATGCTCATCATCACTGCTCATTAGAAAAATGCAAATCAAAACCACAATGAGATACCATCTCACACCAGTTAGAATGGCAATCATTAAAATGTCAGGAAACAACAGATGCTGGAGAGGATGTGGAGAAATAGGAACGCTTTTATACTGTTGGTGGGAGTGTAAATTAGTTCAACCATTGTGGAAGACAGTGTGGCCATTCCACAAGGATCTAGAACTACAAATACCATTTGACCCAGCAATCCCATTACAGGGTATATATCCAAAGGATTATAAATCATTCTACTATAAAGACACATGCATATATATGTTTATTGCAGCACTGTTCACAATAGAAAAACCTTGGACCAACCCAAATGCCCATCAATGATAGACTGGAAAAAGAAAATGTGGCACATATACACCATGGAATATTATGCAGCCATAAAAAATGATGAGTTCATGTCCTTTGCAAAGACCTGGATGAAGCTGGAAACCGTCATTCTCAGCAAACTAATGAAAGAACAGAAAACCAAACACTGCACGTTCTCACTCATAAGTGGAAGTTGAACAATGAGAACACATGGACACAGGGAGGGCAATATCACACACCATGGCCTTTTCAGGGGGGTGGGGGGCTAGGGGAGGGATAGCATTAGGAGAAATACTTAATGTAGATGATGGGTTGATGGGTGCAGAAAACCACCATGGCACATGTACACTTGTGTAACAAACCTGCACATTCTGCAAGTGTATCTCAGAACTTAAAGTATAATTATTTAAAAAAAGAAATTAAAAAGTGGGGATTGGAGCATAGAAGAAAGAAAAGAAAAGAAATTTGAAGGACAGTATGTATAGTGTCATTTCAATTGTGGAAAAAATTTTTAAAAGAAAAATGCATGTAAATGTACAGGAAACTTCTGGAAGGATACACAAAGCCAAGAGCTATATGGGAAGAAGGTAAAAGAACCATAGGGAAGAGTTACCTTTTACTTTTCAAATAATTTTCTGTCCCTTTTTAAAATAATGTGTTATTTATATAATTTAATGAGTAGATGTGTTGATTTGAAAAACACACTGATCCTGAAAGTTTAAATTCCAGTTGAGAGAAAATTGATTTCTATGAAAACTATGGATTGCCCAACAATGCCAGAAAACTGAAGTGTAACTATGCAACACACACAGTGGTCAAGGTTGTCATCAGTCACTCTGATTTCACATAGAGAATTTAAAACACCTAATTGGGTGCAGTGGCTCACGCCTGCTATCCCAGCACTTTTGGAGGCCAAGGCAGGAAGATCACTAGGTCAAGGGATCGAGATCATCCTGGCCAACATGGTGACACCCCGTCTCTACTAAAAATACAAAAATTAGCTGGGTGAGGTGGTATGCACCTGTGGTCCCAGCTACTTGGGAGGCTGAGGCAGGAGAATCACTTGAACCCAGGAGGCAGAGGTTGCAGTGAGCTGAGATTGTGCCACTGCACTCCAGCCTGGCGACAGAGCAAAACTCTGTCACAAAGTAAAAAAAAAAAAAGAAGAAGAAGTTAAAATGCCACAGTCCTTGGTGGACTTAACAAAAGAAGATGAATGTGGGAATAAAGACAAAGACAAAAGAGTATTTTGGAAGAAGGGGTCAGGAGGCTCCTTGCTTCTAGTGAAGAAGGGCCCTGAGCTTCTATAGCCCTTTGTATTTATTGAGTAAAGGAGATAGGGAGAAGGGGGTAGTTGTCAGTCAGCTGCTTGGCTTAGTGCAGGCTTGCATGACTGCATTCTTTGAACAGTAGTCTCCAGATGTTCCTGTAGATAACCTCAAGGAGCACAGCACCAGGGAGTCATTGCCCTCAGCAAACCTTCTGGTAGCAGGCGCAGAAGTGAGTTTGCCCACATTCTGCATTCATGATAAACAGTTTGCTGTTAGATCATACAGCCTTCAGTGGAATGCTGAGTTGGTCACGACCCTCAGGCCTTTGGCTCCCTACATTAAAACACCCATTTCACCAGACTAAAAATATTCAATAAAATTTATAAAAAGCACTTAACGCTTGCCAGCATTTAGTAAGGAAGTGCTCAATAAATACTGTTAACACTCTTACTATTACTTTCTCTGCTTGGTAGTTGTCCTAACCCCACACCAGCCCTCCCACATTGCCTAATTCTGACTTGTGTCAGTGATGCAGGACTCGACTCAATCTAGGACAGCTATTGCAAAACGCAAGACTTAAATTCCACCCCAGGTGAAATCTCTTCTGGACCGCAGGCAGCCCTTGAAAAGGATGGGAGTAGTGCCCTCACTCATGAAGGCATTTGTCCCTCAAGATAGGCAGATGTTACCACCTCCATGTAAGAACAATCCCATTGCCTGTTACAGTTCCCATTTCAAAGAGATACTCCCACATATGCATGTATTTCCCTGAAAGATTTCCCGTTATTTATTTATTTATTTATTTATTTATTTATTTATTTATTTAGATGGAGTCTTTCATTCTGCTGCCCAGGCTGGAGTGCAATGGCATGATTTTGGCTCACTGCAACCTCTGCCTCCCACGTTCAAGCAATTCTCCTGCCACAGCCTCCTGAGTAGCTGGGATTACAGGCACATGCCACCAGGCCCGGCTGGTTTTTGTATTTTTAGTAGAGATGAGGTTTCACCATGTTGGCCAGGCTGATCTCGAACTTCTGACCACGCCCAGCTAATTTTCGTATTGTTAGTAAAGAGGATTACAGGTGTGAGCCACCATGCCCAGCCCAAGATTTCCTGTTCTTATCTCCAATAAGCGAGCTTGATGAGGAGTAGTGCTAGAGAGTCCCATACTTCTTGACTTCCTTCCATCCTTTTCTGCTCACAGGCCCCCTCCCTAATGTCCCCTGTGCTCTCCACAAAAGAAATAGTGCTAGAGGCCAAATAGCAACCCTGCCCACACAAGGAAGGGCCATGTAATGTTCACCAAGCACCCAAGCCACAATTCTCTCTTCCCAGAATCCTTTGCTCTTTGAAGTGTAGTCTTCCTCACCTTCCTGCCAACCTCAGCCCCTGAGTCCACCTGTCTACCTCTGAAGAGAAGGGAAAGAGAGATCAAACGCCCCCTGCAGGCCTGTCCCTTTGAACCAAGCCCTGAGAACCCCCGCAGCCGTCCTCCTGTGTACCCTCCCCCAGCCGCACACACAGATGGAGAGCCCTGGGAAGGGTTCCCACAGTGCGTTAGCTCCAAACAGTGCAAGAGGACAAGCAGTGTGGCGCTTCCAGCCTCTGTCAATAATTCATGAGGCTCAGACTGAGGAGCACCAGTCAGAGTCAGCCTTCCCTGGACATGGGGAAAATTATACTGAAGCTCTCCTGTCTCATCGGGATCTGCTGAGTAGCAAAGCAGAGTATTGCAGCTGTAACTTCTTGGCTGAGGAAAACACTAGAATTCCAGTGCAGGCCGTTCTATTACTTGCTCACCATACACCCCCTTTTGAATGTTGAAACCCTTTTTCAGCTGCTCAGCTTACCTGCACATATACTAAATGAATCTTGAGCAAACATGAATTCTATTCAAAAGTCATGCCTAGAACTGGATTTCACAAACCAGGATTCTTTCCCCTTTAATTGTAGGGACTGGCATAAGGCTGCCAAACTGGTGATTTCACCAATAACACATCTCTAAACCTACCCATCTGCTTTCATCATCTTTTCTAAAAGAAAACACTAACACACACACACACACACAAAAAGAAGCAAACGTATACTCCACAATAAAGGACTGTTAAATAAGCTTAGCTTTATGAAACTCACTGTAATTGTTTCCTTTTCTCATTTTGCCTTGAACTAGTGAAAACGCTGCCATGAACCAGCACTGCTTCTCAGTCTGGCTTTGGAGGCCAGTGGGTTAAACCAATTCAGATGCTTGCATTTGGGTCTGTTGGGGCCTTTCTACACTGTACCATAAGCCATCCAGATTTCTTCATTCTCCCGGAAACCCAGGAGGGAGATCATTTCAGCCCACTTGGCAGAAGTGCAGACTGAAGTCTTGGACACAGAATTTATAGCTGGCAAGGACTTTATTCATCATCCATACCCTCAGTAATTTACAGATGAAGAGTCTGGCCCAGGGCACCAATAATAATCACTACATGGTGGCAGTAACTACTATGTGCTTAGTAGCTTACAGTTCATAAAGAGATTTTGCATTCAACAAATATTTATTGAACTAAGATGGCGGCTAAGACCTGGGGACAGAGTGGTTAGGGAGAACTTGAGTGCCCCGAGTTCTTTGCATTTCCACCACTGCTTGAGGGACTGTCCAGCCTCCTCGCTACCACTTAGCCCCTGTAAAGGAGGAAGTCCCTTTGTCAACGGACATGAGAATGCTGTTTGGCCAATGACCATAGTCTGCCCTCCAGGGCCCGTGAAGATGGAAGAGACCTTGGGCAGAGTGAAGGGCAGTGCCAGGCCTGGCGCAGCTACTCCCTATCACGTCTCTCTCCCAGGCTCTTCCAGCCTCACCTGGTGGACTCCATGGCGACCACAGGCCTCACCTCCATGGGCAGTCTCAAAACATTTGCCCTCCTGTGGGCTGTCACACACATAGACCCAGACTTTCTTGGAGAAGGAATTCTGAAGAAGCAAAAGCAACCAACTCAAAACCCCCACTTCCCAGAGAAGAAAAGGTGGGCAAGCAGATGCAGAAAGGCAGCAGCCAAAGCCTGCGGGTTCCTGCAAGGGCCAGGGGAGGGGCGAGCCCTACAGGCAACTTGAACGGAGAGCTCACCCGCCAGCCCGGAAAGGCAAGCCCCAGTCAGGCGGAAGGTAGATGGTGGAGGGGCGCCGCGGCGGATGGAGGTGCCCAGGGCCACAGACCGCTCACAGCGGTACCGGGGCGGGGAGCAGGGCGGGCAGGGAATCGGCCCGCCCTTCGTCCTGCCCCTCGCCCTACTCTGTCACCGCCCCTGGGAAGAGTGGAACCCATACTTGCTGGTCTGATCCATGCACAAGGCGGGGCTGCTAGGCCTCTGTGCCCGGGCTTGGAATTCGGTGCGGATGGCCAGCTCCGGGATGACCCGCCGGGACCCGCTCGCAAATAAGGTGGCCCTGGTAACGGCCTCCACCGACGGGTGAGTGCTCCGGCCGGAGTTTCTGAGGCCCTGGCTGCCTGGAAACAGGCACTGGCCTCTCATCCTCGGCCTCCGGTGCCCCTGTCCTCAGACCTTACACGCTGCCAAAGTCTGGCCCTGGAAAAAAGGTAGCCACGTGGTCCGCCTGAAGCCACTCCGAATCCCCTAGCCCTGGACCCTCCCTTGCCAGCCCTCCTGTCCCTGCTACCTCTGGCACAACTGTGCCACCTCTGTGCAGCCCTATCGATCTAGTCTCCCCAGTGTTCTGGGCTGCCCCAGTCAACCAGCGCCACCTAGCGTCTGGGAAGACCAGAAACTGGAAATCCAAGGAAATCTGGATTTCAAAATACTATCCCACGGCCTCCAGCACTTTGAAAATGTACCAGACATTCTATTTGGGCACCGGAAAGTCCCCCGGAACCCCTCCCCCTTACCTAGATGGGACACCAGAGCCATATGTCGAGATTTTTGTTTAGGTCGGTACATCTGGGCCGACCTTGCCCAGCCTGTTTCTCACCCACCATTCTTGTCTATCCTGGTCCTCATTTCTACAGGACTTTGCTAGATGCCAGCTCTTCACAAAACTAAAATACAAATGTAGGTAAAATGCTAATAGCTGACAAATGCAAAATGTGTAACTCTTCCTCCCAAGGCAATATTTACATTTTTGACCGGAGACCATCTTTTCACATGCACCCCAAAAAATAACTAAGGATAGAATTTTGAGAATGATGTAGACGAGTAAGAAAGAAACCTGGGGGCAGGGCTGTTCTGAGTGAGACCCTCAAATCACGGAAGTGGCTGCTGCTGCAAACCCAGCTCATTTCTCACCTCTCAGTCCCAAGAGGGGATGAAGCCTGTCACCCATGGTGGGAACTGTAGAAAGTGATGTCAGTTCTTGGGAACTGAGGCTGTGGTCCAGGTCATAATAAAAACAAGTAAAGGAATGCCAAAAATGGCCATGCCATTAAGCCTGTTTTACACATAGTAGGCACACGTAGGGGTTATATAGAGAAAGAGCCAGAATTCAAACCCGGGCAGTCTTAACTTCAGAGCTCATACTGTCGACCTCTTCCCCTGCACAGGCCTTAGCAGTCTTTGTCTCTTTCTGCTCACAGGATCGGCTTCGCCATCGCCCGGCGTTTGGCCCAGGACGGGGCCCATGTGGTCGTCAGCAGCCGGAAGCAGCAGAATGTGGACCAGGCGGTGGCCACGCTGCAGGGGGAGGGGCTGAGCGTGACGGGCACCGTGTGCCATGTGGGGAAGGCGGAGGACCGGGAGCGGCTGGTGGCCACGGTGAGCTGCAGGGAAATGGGCACAGAGCCAGGAGGTGGAAAACGGAGCCAGCCTGAGCCTCCTTCCCTGCTTTCCTAGACAGCAGCACATTTTTACTGTGTGCCTTTCTATTATGTCCATATACTAACGTCAGAGAATCATCCCATCTCAGTCAGAGAATTTTAAAACATTCTAATGCTTCAACCCTGCATCATCCCTTGAGTACCCCAAAGAAACAGCTGGTACTGGTTCTGCAGTAATTTTCAATCTAATTGAACAGATGTGAAGGGTAAATACAATCACAAAATACATGTTCCCACCCATGAGTTAATAAACATTCCCCTCTTCTTCAGCTTATAGAGTCAAGTCCCTGGGAACCTCAGGAAGCAGCCCACCATGTTTCAGCCACTTACTATGTGCCATTTCCTGTGTTCAGAGCCTTACACAGGTTATCTCTAGACCTGACAACAACCCAAGCAAGGCAAGGACTATTCTCTCAGTCTGCAGACCCTGGCTCAGATAGCTGGAGCAACTTCCCAAGGTCCCACAGCCAGTAAGGAAAGACCCAGACCTCCCAGGCTCCCTTCCTTTATTGGCTGCCTGTGGACTACCGGGTACTGGACTTTAGTCTCAAAGAAAGTATATAAGTCGATGTCAGAATTAGTAGTGGACACCAGCCTTGCAGCTGCTGAAGCAAATATGAAGCATTCACAAAGGAAGCTCCTCTTCCCTTGAGGCTCACGGCATACACTTTATTTCCCAGAGTGGAAGGGAGAATCTACCCAAAAATGGAAAGTACAGGATTCTGCTAACAGATTGGAAGGTTGGCAGAAATAATTTGCATAATCTTAGAAGAGGAGGATCTTAAGCAATAGTAGACAGTAGTATGGTAGACAGAATAGGGTAATTCCATTTTTAAGGAACTGTCTGGCAAATGCTCAAATGTGCATTGGAAAGAGCCAAATATGAGTCCAAGAAAGTCACAAATGTGAGTCCAAAAAAGCTTGGCTTAGGCTGATGGACAGACCCCAAGATTGGGGCCTTGATCCTGATGGTGGAAGGAGCCGTTTGGGAGTCTGGATCAATTAGCACTAACCATATGACATGTAGCAATGTAATGTGAAAATCCTCCCGGAAAAACATCCTGTGGCCCCCACCAGGTTCACTTAACATGGCCTACAGGCCTGGCCCAGAGGTGGTACTTGAGCTAAACCTTAAGGAATGGATGGGAATGGACAGATGGAATAGTGATGAGGTTCCAGATAACTCTGCAAAATGAGCAGACAGCCAAGGAGGAACTGAAGGAAACAGAGGAGCACTGTCAGGCCACAGTGGAGAGCACAGGCTCAGGAGTACTGCTGGGGAAGGGGCTGCATTGGAAAGATAGAGGCCATGGGCCTCCATATCCTTTTTTTTTTTTTTTTTTTTTTGAGACAGAGTTTCATTCTTGTTGCCCAGGCTGAAGTGATATGGCACAATCTCAGCTCACTGCAACCTCCGCCTCCAGGTTCAAGCAATTCTCATGCCTCAGCCTCCCGAGCAGCTAGGATTACAGGCATCCACCACCACGTCCAGCTAATTTTTGTATTTTTGGTAGAGACAGGGTTTCACCATGTTGGCCAGGCTGGTCTTGAACTCCTGACCTCAGGTGATCCACCCCCTCGGCCTCCCAATGTGCTGGGATTACAGGCGTGAGCCACTGTGCCCGGCCATAGCTTCTTAAAAGGATACGTTAAGGACCTTAAAAGGATATGGCCTCTTAAAAGGATATGTTTACACACCCTTGTAGCAAATAAGAAGCCATGTGAGGTTTTGAGCAAGAGAAAGATGGTTATTAGGAAAGCTAATCTGGCTCTGGTAGGAAGGATATACAGAGGAGACACCGAATCCAGGGCATCAGTGAGGAAGCTGTTGCTGTCCTCCAGGTTTAGAGCAGTGGCGGTGGGACTGGAATAGATGTGCCCAAGAGACATTCAGTGGAAACGAACCAAGATTTTCCAACCCCATGTCAAAAAGTGGGAAATAGAGAAGTCAAAAATGACTCTCAAGTAGTTTGTATGACCATTGTCAGAGAGGAGAATGATAGAATACTTGTCAGCAATTTGAAATGTCTTCTGCCAGTTGCCACATGTTACCCTGCAATGAGAAAAGCCACTTTCCTGAGAATGGATACTACCCAGTGGCCTCCTCATCTGGACACCACGAAGCTTCTCACTGGTGTTGTAAGTGGAAACCAGAGTAGCTGCCTATCTCCTTGATTATATTTTTTCTTAAAAATGTATAACTATCAGAACACAGAACAAACAGCTCCTAACCGCTTTGGTGTAGTGATCACACAATTTAGAATAAGACTTAGAAGACTTTCCTTTTTTTTTTTTTTCCAGAGACAGGGCCTCCTTCTGTTGCCCAGGCTGCAGTGCAGTGACATGATCATAGCTCACTGTAACCTCGAAGTCCTGAACTCAAGCAATCCTCCCACCTCAGCCTCCCAAGTGGCTAAAACTATAGGCATGCACCACCACACCAGTTCATTTTTTAAATTTTTTGTAGAGTTGGGGCTGTATTTCCCAGGCTGTTTTGAACTCCTGGCCTCAAGTGGTCCTCCCCACTGGGCCTACCAAAGTGCTAGGATTATAGGTGTGAGCCACCACACCCAGCCTCATTCATCTTTTATGGTTTGCTGTCTCTGTTCAATCAAAACCCAGCCTCCTCCCATCTCTGTGCTGACAGACCTGGAAGGAGAGGAGTATGGGGTATACAGCAGAGTAGAAAATGTCTCCAGGTGATTCTAGAGCAATCCATTGTCTCCTCCCAGCCCAAACACATGTGTACTGAGCACGGCGCACATCACTTATTAACTTACTCTGCACCTCCCTAGTAACAAGTCCATTGGTGAGACTTACACAGAGCCAAGGCAGGTGACTTGGCTTTGTGCCAGGATACCAAAATTTAAAGGGTGCAAGAAAGTATTAATACTGGTTTTAAAAGATTATGTGACTGTAAATTTTGTTAGATTTACACATTGACAGCCCAGCATTCCTTCAACTGTCTAGAAACAACTGAGCTTAGCACCTAGTTAACAAGAATAATTAGTTAAAACGGGAAGCTAGCAGATGGTGTACATTGTTAGTAACACCCCTCTGTGTGCCAAATCCGGAGCACAAAGTTGACCGAGGGCCCGTGTACTGCAACTTGCCCAAGGCATCAAAATTGCCAGTTCCGGGCAAACGGAAAGTCTGGTTTCAGGGTGGCTTTGTACTGAAAACCCTTGTTGGCAGATTCTGCTTGGCCATTCATTACTCTAGCACAGGCCTCACTATCTACTTATAACTTATTAAGGAGGTGAGATGTTGCCTTTCTTCGCCTTCTCAATTTAAATTTCAGTTTCTGCCTTGAATCTTTCATGCCTCCAGGTCAAAAGAGAGAGACAGAGACAGGGAAAATGACATCATAACCAAATATGGAATTGCTTTAAATTCAGGCTGGTATCTTCTCCCATCACGGCTCTCCTGGGCAACCAGTTTCCTGATGACCCCAACTCACTTTCAGAGGGCTCTTATGAATTAGCTCTGTGCTACAAAGTGGGAGACTGACCTCAGTTCTTCCACCACTAACTAGCTTTGTGCCCTGAAAACATCACTTCACCCCTCCCAAACACAGAATAAGCAGGCCTCCTGTTCTTACCTAGCCCCAGTGTGCCACTACTGAACTATAAGATCTTGAGAAAATTCTCTGAACCTATTTCATCATCTCCACCTTAAGGACACTGGAATAGATGATCTCAAAGGCCCCTCCAGGGTAACTTTCTACAGCTCTATTTAAGCCAGTTTTTCCATTCAGGTAAGTGTGGACAGATTGACTTTGAGATAATGGTAACTTATTCAAGGAGAACTGGACAGTAAGCACTTGGAGAAATGTGGGTGGAACTCAGTGTGAAAGGAAGAGGAGGGGTCTGGAAATAGATTTTGGGGTGAGACTTGAAATCATGAGAATGAAGGAGCTTCCCAAAGGGGAAGTGTAAAGAAAAGAGCGTCAGAGACAGCCTTGGAAGAATAGGAGGTGGGAAGAAAACACTGCAAAAGAAATAGGGCCAACTTCCTGGTGGGTCGCGCCTGTAACACTTTAGGATACTGAGGCAGGTGGATGGCTTGAGCCCAGGAGTTCCAGACCAGCCTGGGCAACATGGCAAGACCCTGTCTCTATAAAAAATACAAAAATTGCCCGGGTGTGGTGGCACGCACTTGTAGTCCCAACTACTTGGGGGGCTGAGCCAAGAGGATGGCTTGAACCCAGTAGGTCAAGGCTGCAGTGAGCTGAGAACATGCCACTGTGCTCCAGTCTGGATGACAGAGCAAGACTCCGTCTAAAAAAGAAAGAAGCCAACCTTAAATGGTTAGCGGCAGATCTTAGGGTAGTTTTCAAAAAAGATGTTTTAAGAAATAGAAGTTATTTTGACGATAGTTCCTAAGTAGGAAGATTTTGTTGTCATTGTTGTTGTTGTTTTTAATATAAAGATAAGGTCTCGCTGCATGGCCCAGGCTTCTCTCAAACTCCTCAGCTCAAGTGAGCCTCCCACCTTGGCCTCCCAAAGTGCCATGATTACAGGCATGAGCCACAGCTCCTTGCCCAGAAGGAAGTTTTTATCAACATGGGTAAATGCACCTCCCTTACTTACTGCAGCCCTGGTCCAGAACTTACCCCTCTCTCTAGGCTGTGAAGCTTCATGGAGGTATCGATATCCTAGTCTCCAATGCTGCTGTCAACCCTTTCTTTGGAAGCATAATGGATGTCACTGAGGAGGTGTGGGACAAGGTGAGAGGGGATTAAAGCAGGGGGGCCGGGGGGGGCGCCTTGGAACACATTCAGCACAAACTCCATCTGCTTTTAGAATGCATTTCTCAAGGGCAGTGTAAATGTGAGGACTCTTTGCCACGTGCCACACACCTGGAGCACACCTTGCAAAGGGCGGGTGGGGGTGGCTCTATCCCTGCCCTTCTCATTCGTTTCTGCTACTCCTAGTTCTCTCTGCTTCTATCTGCTCTTCACTAGCCACAGTCTGCTCCTCTCCCCAGGCTTTTTCCCTGGCATGCTCTTCTGCCTTGTTGATTTCCAACAGAGACGTAGGCAGCTAATATGCCAACAACTACAACACTTAATTTACACACCCACCTGTCCCCTTTTCAGCTGACAAAAAGTAATTATTTTTTACGAGTTGGGAAATATTAAATGCTGCTCCTTATTTAAAATACTAATTCTGGTGAAATGACCAGTTGCCACTTTATAACATACATCCTTTAAAAAAATAAAATAAAAACCTATATTATTTTCTTCTTAACTGCAATGTCAAGAAAATCTGAGATCCAGATGTCTAAATTCAAGTGGTAGAATATTGGGTTTTATGTGAAAGTGTATAATTACATTATATTCGTAATATATTTCACACACACTCTTTAATTACAAAGCTTTAATTAAAATATTTGTCTTTGTTTATTAAGGTTAATATTCCCACATGATTGGGAAATGCTAATTTTTATGATCTCCCATGGTTCTGCGTTTTACACTGATGTTGTATTAGTCTGTTTTGCATTGCTATAAAGGAATATCTGAGCTGGGCAATTTATAAAGAAAAGAAGTTTGTTTTGGCTTACGATACTGCAGACTGTACAAGAAGCATGGTGCCAGTATCTGCTTCTGATGAGGCCTCAGGAAGCTTACAATCATGGCAGAAGGAAAAAGGGAGCAAGTGTGTCACATGGCAAGACAGGAAGCAAGAGAGAGATACCAGTCTCTTTTAAACAACTAGTTCTGGCATGAAGTAATAGAGTGAGAACTCACTCACTGCCACAGGGAGGGCACCAAGCCATTCATAAGGGATCCACCCTCATGACCCAAACACCTCACACCAGGCCCCACCTGGAACACTGGTGATCACATTTCAACATGGGACTTAGAGGGGACAAACTTACCAACTATATCAGATGTCATCAAAATTTCTCAACACTAAAGTATCAGGTTGCCAAAATACTATGATTTATTTACCAGTGTTTCATACACATAAAGACCAAACTGCCAAAATGTTCTTCAGTGAGCTAGTTTTTGATTCTAGTTTGAGCTAGTTTGAGAGAAGGCTGGGCAACACAGCGAGACCTTTTCTCTATATTAAAAACAACAACAACAACAATGACAACAAAACCTTCCTTCTTAGGAACTATCATCAAAATAACTTCTCTTTCTTAAACCGTCTTTTCTTCAAAACTACCCAGAGATTTGCTGCTAACCATTTAAGTTTGGCTTCTTTCTTTCTTTTTTTAGACAGACTCTTGCTCTGTCTTTTTTCCTTTTTTTTTTTTTTTCCCTCGCTGTGTCATTGAGGCTAGAGGGCTGTGGTGTGATCTCAGCTCACTGCAACCTCAGCCTCCCAGGTTCAAGCGATTCTTGTGCCTCAGCCTCCCAAGTACCTGGGACTACAGGCATGTGCCATCATGCCTGGCTAATTTTTTGTATTGAGATGCGGTTTCACTGTGTTGCTCAGGCTGGTCTCAAATTCCTGGCCTCAACTGATCCCCACACCTCAGCCCCCCAAAATATTGGGATTGCAGGCATGAGCCACCACACACAGCCAGATTCTGATAGTCTTTAAAATAGAGGAGCATCATTCATGAACAGTCTGAATAGAGACCATATGAAAGTCAGTTTTAAACTAAGTACAGGCACGCCTCAGAGATATTGTGGGTCTGGTTCCAGGCCACCACACAATAAAGTGAATATTATAATAAAGTGAGTCACATGAATTTTTTGGTTTCCCAGTGCATATAAAAGTTAGGTTTACATTATAATGATCATCTAATGGAAGTCTATTAACTGAGCAATAGCATTATGTTTTAAAATATATATACGTATCTTAATTTTAAAATACTTTATTGCTAAAAAAATGCTGACAATCATCTGAGCCTTTACAACTTGTAATCTTTTTGCTGGTGGAGGATCTTGCCTCAACATTGATGGTGGCTGACTTAGGGTGGTGTTGCTGAAGGCTGGGGTGGCTGTGGCAGTTTTTTCAAATAAGACAGCAGTGAAGTTTGCCACATCAGTTGACTCTTCCTTTCACAAGAGATTTCTCTGTAGCATGCAATCCTGTTTGATAGCATTTACCCACAGTAGAACTTCTTTCAAAATTGGAGTCAATCCTATCAAACTCTACCACTGCTTACTCTACTAAGTACCTATAATATTCTGAATCCCGTGTTGTGATTTCAACAATATTCATGGCATCTTCACCAGAAATAGATTCCATCCCAAGAAACCACTTTCTTTGCTTATCCGTAAGAACCAGCTCCTCAGCCATCTACATTTTATCGTGAGATTGTAGCAATTCAGTCCCATCTTCCAGCTCCGCTTCTAGTTCTCTTGCTATTTCCACCACATCTGCAGTTCCTTCCTCTGATGCAGTCTTGAACCCTTCCACGTCATCCATGAGGGTTGGAATCAACTTCTTCCAGACTCCTGTTAATGTAGATATTTTGACCTCCTCCCATGAATCACAAATATTCTTAATGGCATCTAAAATGGTGCATCCTTTACAGAAGGTTTTCAGTTAACTTTGCCGAGATCCATCAGAGGAATCACTATCCATGGCAGCTATAGCCTTACAAAATGTATTTCTTAAATAATAAGTCTTGGAAGTCAGAATTACCCCCGATCCATGGGCTGCAGAATGGATGTTGTGTTAGCAGGCATGAAAACAACATTAATCTCCTTGTACATCTCCATCAGAGCTTTTGAGTGACCAGGTGCATTGTCAATGAGCAGTAACAGTTTGAAAGGAATCTTTTTCTGAGCAGTAGCTATCAACGGTGAGCTTAAAATATTCAGTAAACCATGCTATAAACAGATGTGCTGTTATTCAGGCTTTGTTGTTCCATTTGCAGAGCACAGGCAGAGTAGATTTAGCGTAAATCTGAGGGCCCTAGAATTTTCAGAATGGTAAATGAGCATTGGCTTCAACTTAAAGTCACTGGCTGCATTAGCCCCTAACAAGAGAATAAGCCTGTCCTTTGAAGTTTTGAAGCCAGGCATTGACTTCTCCTCTCTAGCTATTAAAGCCCTACATGGCATCTTCTTCCACTAGAAGGTTGTTTCATCTACATTGAAAATCTGTTGTTTGCTGTAGCCACCTTCATCAATGATCTTAGCTAGATCTTCTGGATAACTGGCTGCAGCTTCTACATCAGCACTCGCTGCTTCATCTTGCACTTTTATGTTACAGAGGTGGCTTCTTAAACCTCATGAACCAACCACTGCTAGCTTCCAACTTTTCCGGAGCTTCTTCACCTCTCTCAGCCTTCAAAGAATTAAAAATTAGGGCCTTTTACTGATTAGGCTTTGGCTTAAGGGAATGTTGTGGCTAGTTTGATCTTCTGTCCAGAACATAAGAACTTTCTCTCCATATTAACAATAAACCTCTTTTGCTTTCTTATCATTTATATGTTCAGAGAAGTAGCACTTTTAATTTCCTTCAAGAATTTTTCCTTTGCATTCACAATTTGGCTAACTGGTGCACATGGTCTAACTTTCAGCCTGCCTCAGCTTTCAACATGCCTTCCTCACTAAGCTTAATTGTTTCTAGCTTTTGATTTAAAGTGAAAGATGTGTGACTCTTCCTTTTGCTTAAACACTTACAAGCCATTGTAGGGTTAATAGTTGGCCTAATTTCAATGTAAATGTGTCTCAGGGAATATGGAGGCCCACAGAGAGGGAGAGAGATGAGAGAAGGGCAGAGCAGTCAGAACACACAACATTTTTCGATTAAGTTGACCTTCTTTTCTGGGTGTGGTTTGTGGTACCCCAAAACAATTATAATAAAACCATGAAAGATCACTCATCACAGATCACCGTAACAGATACAATAATAATGGAAAGGTCTGAAATATTCCAAGAATTACCAAAATGTGACCCAGAGACAAAGTGAGCACATGCAATTGGAAAAATGGCTCGAATTAATGCAGGGTTGCCACGAAACTGCAATTTGTAAAAAAAAAAAAAAAAAAAAAAAAAAAAAAAAAACACAATATCTGCAAAGCATAAGAAAATATGTGTCTATAACTTTTCTTTTAATTTGTATATTTTTTAAACTATCACAGTATGACAAATCCAAACATAATGGCTGATCCTTGATTGAACTCTGGACTTTAAAAAACACACACACACATTTGGGGGATAATTGAGGCCAATATGTTAGATAAAATTATCATCATTGTCAAACTCTTGGTTGTGATAACAGATTATGGTTGTGTAAAAGAAAATCCTTACTCTTTGGAAATGTATGCTAAGTATTTGGGGATAGAACATTGTACTATCTGCAACTGAGTTTACTTATTTTATTTTAGGTTATTTATTTATTTTTGTGATGGAGCCTCACTCTGTTACCCAGGCTGGAGTGCAGTGGTGCTATCTCAGCTCACTGCAACCTCCACCTCCCGGGTTCAAGCTATTCTGCTGTCTCATCCTCCTGAGTAGCTTGGATTACAAACACATGCCACCACGTCTGGCTAATTTTTGTATTTTTAGTACAGACGAGGTTTGCCATGTTGCCCAGGCTGTTCTCGAACTCCTGACCTAAAAGTGATCCACCCATCTTGGCCTCCCGAAGTGCAGGGATTGCAGGCATGAGCCACCATGCCCAGCCCTGAGTTTGTTTTTTTTTTTTAATTTACATTTTTTTATTTTTGTTCTTTGTAATTTTTGATTTTATTATATAAAATCTTTCAGAAAACTTGCAACTGAGTTTCAATGGTTCATTTAAAAAACTGTACAGATCTACAGAGAGGACAAATAGGACAAAATGTGAACAATTGGTGAATCTAAGTGAAGGATATCTAGACATTCATTGTACTTCTATCTCCAATTTTTCTGTAAGATTGAAATATTTTAATATAAGCAGTTGTCTAGAACAGTGTAAACAGGGTCATACATTTGTTTTAGATTATGGATGTGGGGATTCTGATTGTAGCCTGTCCCCCAGCTTCCCCAGAAGGTGACTCCTCATGATCCCACTTTCTAACCATGCCTAGCCAGACAGTCCTTCCTAGAGGGCCAAGAACATCTCACTCCCTAAGCCCAGAAGCCAGAGAAGTGCTAGAACAACCCCACATATCCAAGGTCAGGCCACATTTTCCCTGAGAAGCATGGCCTACTCTAGGGCAGGTAGTCTAGGGCAGGTCCAGGAGGCTGACAATTCCAGGCTCTACCTACTTGGAAGAAACAGAGAAAACACAGCTCAAATCCAAAGGCCCCTTCTGGCCCAAATCATACTTGGCTGATTATGAAACAAGATGAACCAGGCTCCATTTTTGCTCACCTGAACCTAATGTATCAATATCTAGCTGAGCAGCTGGTGAGAGCTACTTCTCCCTGAACCTCAGTTCCTTCATGTGTAAGATGCAGGTATATCATCCTAAGATCTTCGTCAGCTCTGACAAACATCCTAGGAACCCACTCTAACTCCTCATTTTTTCATGCCTCCTCCAGTGCTCTTCACTCATGCTGTTTCCCCTTCTTCTCTTGGCTTCAGACTCTGGACATTAATGTGAAGGCCCCAGCCCTGATGACAAAGGCAGTGGTGCCAGAAATGGAGAAACGAGGGTACAGAGAGTGAGAGAGAGCCTGGGTGAGAGGGGACACCACACGGGCTGAGGGCACTGGTCCACAATGGGAAGATGGTCAGCTCTCTTCTTTTTCCAGAGGCGGCTCAGTGGTGATCGTGTCTTCCATAGCAGCCTTCAGTCCATCTCCTGTAAGAACCCTTTTGTCTACCTCTTCCATCCCACCCTCCACTCCACATCTTTCCACCCCTCCTATTACCCAAGGAAGTTTGTGTCCCCTTGTAGAATCACACCACCAAGTCCCTGCCCACAAAATAGATGCCTTGCCTCCACAAACCACAACCTAGGGGAGGTTTAGCCACAAGACAGTTCCCTAACTCTGCCCCTCCCTTACAGGAGATCCCTATTGAGCACTGCCCTCTATGTCTAGTTATTAGAACCAAGAATGACCTGGAAACTATGAGTCTAACACATTCTCTTCTTTCTCCAGGGCTTCAGTCCTTACAATGTCAGTAAAACAGCCTTGCTGGGCCTGACCAAGACCCTGGCCATAGAGCTGGCCCCAAGGAACATTAGGGTGAACTGCCTAGCACCTGGACTTATCAAGACTAGCTTCAGCAGGATGGTGAGGAAGGGGAGCTTTGCATTTGACTGGGACCCCTTGAAAGGCATCCATCTTCTTGGACAGGGAAGCCCACTACCTGAGTCCTGAGCTCTCAGCCACTCCATTCTCCTTCCCTGGACTTTCCCATATTCCCTCTCTGTACCACCTGCCCTATACAAGCCACACTCTTATCACACCTTTTCTGAGGTATAGGCTGGAGACTGAGGTATTCAGACTGTACTCACACTGTTTCCTCCCTCCTTACATGGATGAGAATTGGAGAGACGCAGCAAAATGCATCACTAGAACCTGAAACAAATGAAACAGATGAGGGCAGTGGGGAGAGCTGGGAGCTAGAAAAAAATAGGAAGTGAAAGAGGGAAGTCTCTCTCCCCATCCCTCCTCTCAGTTACCATGAGGATGGGCAGTTTCTTCCCTTTCCGTTCTTCACTTTCCTCTTCTTAAACATAAAGAGATTTCTGGGTGGGGTGGCTCATGCCTGTAATCCCAGCACATTGGGAGGCCGAGGCGGGCAGATCACGAGGTCAGGAGGTCGAGACCATCTTGGCTAACACGGTGAAACCCCGTCTCTACTAAAAATACAAAAAATTAGCCGGGCGCAGTGGCGAGCGCCTGTAATCCCAGCTACTCGGGAGGCTGAGGCAGGAGAATGGCATAACCCGGGAGGCGGAGTTTGCAGTGAGCCAAGATAGCGCCACTACAGTCCGGCCTGGGCAAAAGAGCAAGACTCCGTCTCTAAAAAGAAAAAGAAAAAGAAAAAAAAAACATAAAGAGATTTCCCTTCTTCCTGCAGCTCTGGATGGACAAGGAAAAAGAGGAAAGCATGAAAGAAACCCTGCGGATAAGAAGGTAAACTGTCATGAGGGCAAGGGCACTAAGAGACATGAAGATGGGAAGGTCTGGTCCCTAGCAGCCCACAGCCCGCTGTCTCAGTCCCACAGATAACACAGGCAGGCTCTCTTCTGCCTCACAGACCACGAATTCATAAACACTATCACTACAGTGACCTGAGCAAGAAGTCAGCTTCCCTTTCAAAAGGTAAACACAGAGACATCGGGGTTTCAGCAGTGCAGAGCTCTGGGAGAAGCCCTGAGTCCTCTCTCCACCTGGGGGATTGCCTCCACCTCTGAGCATCCATGGAGACCAGGGACCATAACCAAAACCATGCTTTGTTAGTCCCCTTGAATAATGACACATGTTTACAAAACTCAGGTTGATGATCTACAATCCAAATGAAAAGAATGAAGAGTTTTACTAAGCCCCAAACTCCCCTTGCCTAAGGAGTTACTTTCTTCCCCAGTGAGCTGGGTGAACTGTTCAAGCACCTTTGTCGGGCTCCCTTTCCTCTAAGTTCCCTGCCTCTCTCTACCTTCTGGCTTCAAGGACAAATGCCAGTAATGCCTAACTCTGTACTCGTCCAGACATCCCAAATCTTCCCAAAGCCATTCTGATGTGAGACATGAGCTGCAGGCCTGGTTCATAACTCATTAATAAGTGAGGGGATTGTCAACCTAGAGCACCAATGAATGATCTAGCCCATGTAGCTCAATACTGGATTCACATTAGAATCACCTGGGGAGCTTTTTAAACTGCAGGTGCTCAGGCCCCACCCACTCCCAGAGATTCTTTTTAATTGGTCCAAGGTAGGACTTGACCATCTGGGCTTTTGTTTTTCTTTGTCTTTTCTTTTCTTTTCTTTTTTGGTTTAAGCCTCTCAAATGATTGCAAGATACAAGTAGAATGGAGAAGCATTAATTCAGCCCTTCTAGGTTTGAGTTACTCACTCTGCCCACCTCTAGAGCATTCTATGGCAGGGAGATTAAAGTGTCTCCTAACTATGCAGTCACTGATAAAATAAGAATTAGCACATTCTCACTAAATGAACCTGACTTTAAGGCACAAGTATAGATTCCTGAAAAAGTTCTAAGCTGAACCTGTACAAATGGAATCATTTTAAACACACCATTTACTGTCACACAGACTCCCTGATACTTTAGTGTGTGCACATGTGAAACCATTTTTTTGAAGTATGAAATAATTGCTCACCATTTTATCTATATAACTTTGGATTTTGGTGTCCTGAGCTCTCTAAAAACCGGTGTGTTTCTATAGTATTTGAATATTATGGGTAATAGTTTTGCAGAGTACAGTATGCTTATACTAAATTATAACAGCATATCCTCGTGGTAACCCTATTTGATAGGCAGAAAGCTTGTACACTGACCCTGAAAAAGCCATCTGATAATTCTTGATTAAGCAAATTTAACTCCCTGTGTCCCAGGTGAGGGAGGCAGAACTGTTTGATTTTTACCTCCTTCCTTGCTTCCCTTATTCCCCAGGTTAGGCGAGCCAGAGGATTGTGCTGGCATCGTGTCTTTCCTGTGCTCTGAAGATGCCAGCTACATCACTGGGGAAACAGTGGTGGTGGGTGGAGGAACCCCGTCCCGCCTCTGAGGACCGGGAGACAGCCCACAGGCCAGAGTTGGGCTCTAGCTCCTGGTGCTGTTCCCGCATTCACCCACTGGCCTTTCCCACCTCTGCTCACCTTACTGTTCACCTCATCAAATCAGTTCTGCCCTGTGAAAAGATCCAGCCTTCCCTGCCGTCAAGGTGGCGTCTTACTCGGGATTTCTGCTGTTGTTGTGGCCTTGGGTAAAGGCCTCCCCTGAGAACACAGGACAGGCCTGCTGACAAGGCTGAGTCTACCTTGGCAAAGACCAAGATATTTTTTCCCGGGCCACTGGGGAATCTGAGGGGTGATGGGAGAGAAGGAACCTGGAGTGGAAGGAGCAGAGTTGCAAATTAACAACTTGCAAATGAGGTGCAAATAAAATGCAGATGATTGCGCGGCTTTGAATCCAATTGACCTGTTCATTTCTCAGTGTTGGGTGCTTAGCTGAGCAGAGAGCAGAAGTCTATTCAGGCTGGATCTCTGGATCCCCCAGCCCTCCTCCCTGTCTCCAGAACTTGAGCGTGATGTTCACGGGTGGAGGTGTCTGCAGAGCTGCCAGCTGGAAGGAAGGTGGCACGGGAACTCCCAGGACGCCACGGGAATCCCCGAGGCAGCGCGAGCCCGGAGAGAGTGGGGAAGGATGAACTCTCTAACACCTCCCCGCCCCTTGCCTCCCAGATCAGGCCAGGTCCTCTCCCCGCATGGCCCTACGACCCGAGTTCCCTCCCGAGTCAGCAAGTACAAGCTGGATGGGTCCTGAGCCGGTGGGGAATAGAGAAAGGCCCTGCAAGGTACCCAGGCCCACAAACAAAAGCAATGGGTTCTGCCCACGGGCCCGAGGATTCAGTAGAAGGAAAGTGGGGACGCTGTCCCCCGCCCCAAAGGCACTGACACTGGGCGACACACGCTGAGCCTCTCACGCCGACGGGCCTCTCACGCCGGAGCCGGCAAGAAAGGTCGGCGCCAGCCCGCGGGCTCTCAGGAGGCTCGGCAGCGCGACGCGCATGCTCAGTCGGGCAGCTCTCCGGGCCGGCGTGGGAGCCCGCGCTCCAAGGCCCGGTGGGGGGAGGGGCGCTCACGCAACCGCCACTGTCTGGAGCGGGCTCGCCTCTGCGGCAGCCCTCACCGCCCGGGCTTTACTGAAGCGGAGTCTAGCATGTGCGGCTGCTCCACAGCGGTGTGGGTGGCGGCGGCTCCTCTGCAGCAGCCTCGGCAGTAGGGGTCAGGGTGGCCAAGCCCACCGTGGAGCTCATCTGAGAGTTGTAAGGTACGGGACTGCCTCGGTCTTTGGGACGCCCCGTCTGGTAGCATCCCAGATCCAGCACGTTCCTTCCGGCCCTGCACCCCGGCCCGGTGCCTCACACCCCGCTACCCCAAGCATCCAGACTCTAAGGCAGCCCCTGCATCTCAGTCCTGACATCGCTGTCCCTGGAGCATCCTCCGCTGGAGCTGGAGCTTGACAGGTAGGGTGGAGAGGGCGGTGGGGGGCGGGGGGCCGAAACTGCATCAGTTAACGGGGCCGTGGGGGAGGGAAGTCCTCCATTGCTAAGGCTTCAGTAGGCGTTCTATGATCACAGTGTAAACAAAGCTGCAGGGAAGCTCTAACTGGGCGGAACCCACCGCAGCTCAGCAAGGCCTACTGCCTCTCCAGATTCCACCTCAGGGGCCAGGGCATATCTGAACAAAAGGCAGCGGACAGCTTCTGCAGACTTCAGTGTCCTTGCCTGACATCTCTAAAGACAGCAGTGGTTCTCCCAGCACGGAGTTCGTGCTCCGATAACGGACAGACTGCCTCCCCGAGTGGGTCCCTGACCCCCATGTAGCTTGACTGAAAAACACCGACCAGTAGGGGCGGAGAGACACCTCATACAGGTGGGTGCCCCTGTGGAACAAAGCTTCCAGAAGAAGGATCAGGCAGCAATATTTGCTGTTCTGCAGCCTCCTCTACTGATACCCAAGAAAATAAGGTCTGGAATGGACTTCCAGCAAACCCCCAAAGACCTGCAGCTGAGGGGCCTGTTAGAAGGAAAACTAACAAACAGAAAGGAATAGCATCAACATCAGCAAAGGACAGCATCAACATCAGAATAGCAAAGGACATCCACACTAAAACCCCATCCATAGGTCACCAACATCAAAGACCAAAGGTAGATAAAACCACAAAGATGGAGAGAAACCAGAGCAGAAATGCTGAAACTTCCAGAAACCAGAACGTCTCTTCTCTTCCAAAGGAATACAAGTCCTCACCAGCAAGGGAACAAAACTGGATGGAGAATAAGTTTGATAACTTGACAGAAGTTAAGCTTCAGAAGGTCAGTAATAACAAACTACTCCCAGCTAAAGGAACATGTTCTAACCCATTACAAGGAAGCTAAAAACCTTCAAAAAAAGGTTAAACGAATGGCTAACTAGAATGAAGAATGTAGAGAAGAGCTTAAATGACCTGATGGAGCTGATAACCACAGTACAAGAACTTCATGAAGGATACACAAGCTTCAATAGCTGATTCAATCAAGTGGAAGAAAGGATATCAGTGATTGAAGATAAAATTAATGAAATAAAGTGAGAAGACAAGATTAGAGACAAAAAAATAAAAAAGAAACATTCAAATTCAGGAAATACAGAGAACATCACAAAGATACTCCTTGAGAAGAGCAACCCCAAGACACATAATTGTCAGACTCAGCAAGGTTAAGGGCAGCCAGAGAGAAAGGTTGGGTGACCAACAAAGGGAAGCCCATCAGACTAACAGCAGATCTCTCAGCAGAAACCATACAAACCAGAAAAGAGTTGGGACCAATATTCAACATTCTGAAAGAAAAGATTTTTGAAACTAGAATTTCATATCCAGCCAAACTAAGCTTCGTATGTGAATGAGAAATAAAATCCTTTGCAGACAAGGAGATGCTGAGAGATTTTGTCACCACCAGGCCTGCCTTACAATAAGAGCTCCTGAAGGAAGCACTAAACATGGAAAGGAACAACGGGTACCAGCCACTGCAAAAACATACGAAATTGTAAAGACCATTGATGCTATGAAGAAACTGCATCAATTAATGGGCAAAATAACCAGCTAACGTCATGACAGGATCAAATTCACATATAACAATACTAACCTTCAATGTAAATGGGATAAATGCCCCAATTAAAAGACACAGACTGGCAAATTGGATAAAGAATCAAGACCCATATGGTGTGCTGTATTCAGGAGACCCATCTCACATGCAAAGACACACATAGGCCCAAAATGAAGGTATGTCTGGAATTGGTGGGTTCTTGGTCTCACTGACTTCAAGAATGAAGCTGCGGACCCTCGCGGTGAGTGTTACAGTTCTTAAAGGCAGCGTGTCTGGAGTTTGTTCCTTCTGATGTTCAGACATGTTCAGAGTTTCTTCCTTCTGGTGGGTTCGTGGTCTTGCTGGCTTCAGGAGTGAAGCTGCGGACCTTCGCAGTGAGTGTTACAGCTCTTAAGGCAGCATGTCTGGAGTTGTTCGTTCCTCCTGTCTGGAGTTGTTCATTCCTCCTGGTGGGTTCGTGGCCTCACTGGCCTCAGGAGTGAAGCTGCAGACCTTCACGGTGAGTGTTACAGCTCATAAAGGCAGTGTGGACCCAAAGAGTGAGCAGCAGCAAGATTTATTGCAAAGAGTGAAAGAACAAAGCTTCCACAGTGTGGAAGGGGACCCAAGCGGGTTGCTACTGCTTGAAGGGGTGGCTTGCCCCTCCACACCTGTGGGTATTTCTAGTCAGGTGGGACAAGAGACTGAGAAAGAGAAATAAGACACAGAGACAAAGTATAGAGAAACAACAGTGAGTCCAGGGGACCGGCGCTCAGCATACCAAGGACCTGCACCGGCACCGGTCTCTGAATTCCCTCAGTTTTTATTGATTATTATCGTCATTATTTCAGTAAAAAGGAATGTAGTAGGAGGGCAGGGTGATAATAAGGAGAAGGTCAGCAACAAACGTGAGCAATAGAATCTACATCATAATTCAGTTCAAGGGAAGGTACTATGACTGGACGTGCACGTAAGCCAGATTTATGTTTCTCTCCACCCAAACATGTCGGTGGAGTAAAGAATAACAAGGCAGCATTGCTGCAAACATGTCTCGCCTCCCACCATAGGGCAGTTTTTCTCTCATTTCAGAATTGAACAAATGTACAATCGGGATTTATACCGAGACATTTAGTTCCCATGGGCAGGCAGGAGACAGTGGCCTTCCTCTATCTCGACTGCAAGAGGCTTTCCTCTTTTACTAATCCACCAGAGCACAGACCCTTTATGGGTGTCAGGCTGGGGGACAGTCAGGTCTTTCTCATCCCATGAGGCCATATTTCAGACTATCACATGGGGAGAAACCTTGGACAATACCCTGCTTTCAAGGGCAGAGGTCCCTGTGGCTTTCTGCAGTGCATTGTGCCGCCAAGGCCACACCCACCCAGAACTCGTGCTGGCCTGCAAGTGCTGCGCACAGCCCCAGTTCCCGCCCATGCCTCTCCCTCCACACCTCCCTGCAATCTGAGGAAGCCAGCTCCAGTCTCAGCCAGCCCAGAAAGGGGCTCCCACAGTGCAGCGGCGGGCTGAAGGGCTCCTCAAGCGTGGCCAGAGTGGGTGCTGAGGCTGAGGAGGTGCCAAGAGTGAGCGAGGGCTGCCAGCACACTGCCACCTCTCAAAGGGATGGAGGAAGATCTACAAAACAAATGGAAAGCAAAAAAAAGCAGGGATTGCAATCCTGGTCTCTGATAAAACAGACATTAAACCAACAAAGATGAAAGGAGACAAAGAAGGCCATCACATAATGGTAAGGGGATCAGTTCAACAAGAAGAGCTAACTATCCTAAATATATATGCACCCAATACAGGAGAACCCAGATTCATAAAGCAAGTTCTTAGAGACCTACAAAGAGGCTTAGACTCCCATACAATAGTAATGGGAGACAGTAACACCCCACTGTTAATATTAGACAGAAAACATGACAAAATTAATAAGGATGTCCAGGACTTGAACTCAGCTCTAGACCAAGTAGGCCTAATACACATCTACAGAACTCTCCACCCCAAGTCAACACAATATACATTCTTCTCAGCACCACATCACACTTATTCTAAAATTGACCACATAATTGGAAGTAAAACACTCCTCAGCAAATGCCAAAGAACAGCAATCACAACAAACTGTCTCCCAGACCACAGTGCAATCAAATTAGAACTCAGGACTGAAAAACTCACTCAAAACTGCACAACTACATGGAAACTGAACAACCTGCTCCTGAATGACTACTAGGTAAATAACAAACTGAAGGCAGAAATAAACATGGTCTTTGAAACCAATGAGAACAAAGACACAGTGTAGCAGAATCTCTGGGACACATTTAAAACAGTGTGTAGAGGGATATTTACAGCACTGAATACCCACAAGAGAAAGCAGGAAAGATCTAAAATCAACACCCTAACCTCAAAATTAAAAGAACTAGAGAAGCAAGAGCAAACAAATTCAAAAGCTAGCAGAAGACAACAAATAATGATGATCAGAGCAGAACTGAAGGTGATAGAGACATTAAAAAAAAAACCTTCAAAGGATCAATGAATCCAGGAGCTGGATTTTTGAAAAGATCAACAAAATGGACTGCTAGCAAGACTAATAAGGAAGAAAAGAGAGAAGAGTCAAATAGACACAATAAAAAATCATAAAGGGGATATCACCAGTGATCCCACAGAAATACACACTACCATCAGAGAATACTATAAACACCTCTATGCAAATAAACTAGAAAACCTAGAAGAATTGGATAAATTCTTGGACACATACACCTTCTGCAGACTAAATCAGGACGAAGTTGAATTGCTGAATAGACCAATAACAGCTTCTGAAATTGAGGCAATAATTAATAGCCTACCAAACCAAAAAAGTCCAGGACCAGATGGATTCATAGCCGAATTCTACCAGAGGTACAAAGAGGAGCTGGTACTATTCCTTCTGAAACTATACCGATCAATAGAAAAAGAAAGAATCCTCCCTAACTCATTTTATAATGCCAGAATCATCCGGATATCAAAGCTTGGCAGAGACACAACAAAACAAAGAAAATTTTAGGCCAGTATCCCTGATGAACATCAATGCAAAAATCCTCAATAAAATACTGGCAAACCGAATCCAGCATAAGGATGCATTCTCTCACCACTCTTATTCAACATAGTATTGGAAGTTCTGGCCAGGGCAATCAGGCAAGAGGAAGAAATAAAGGGTATTCAATTAGGAAAAGAGGAAGTCAAATTGTCTCTGTTTGCAGATGATTTCACCGTATATTTAGAAACCCCATGATCTCAGCCCAAAATCTCCTTAAGCTGATAAGCAACTTCAGCAAAGTCTCAGGATACAAAATCAATGTGCAAAAATCACAAGCATTCCTATATGCAAATAATAGACAGAGAGCCAAATCATGAGTGAAGTCCCATTCACAATTGCTACAAAGAGAATAAAATACCTAGAAATCCAACTTACAAGGGATGTGAAGGACCTCTTCAAGGAAAACTACAAACCACTGCTCAAGGAAATAAGTGAGGACACAAACAAATGGAAGAATATTGCATGCTCATCGATAGGAAGACTCAATATCATGAAAATGGCCATATTGCCCAAAGTAAATTATAGACTCAATGCTATCCCCATCAAGCTACCACTGACTTTCCTCACAGAATTGGAAAAAACTACTTTAAATTTCATATGGAACCAAAAAAGAGCCAGTATAGCCAAGGAAATCATAAGCAAAAAGAACAAAGCTGGAGGCGTCACACTACCTGACTTCAAACTATACTGCAAGGCTACAGTAACCAAAACAGCATGGTACCGGTACCAAAACATATCTAGACCAATGGAACAGAACAGAGGCCTCAGAAATAATGGAACAGAACAGAAGCCTCAGAAATAACACCACACATCTTCAACCATCTGCTCTTTGACAAACCTGACAGAAACAAGCAATGGGGAAAGGATTCCCTATTTAATAAATGGTGCTGGGAAAACTAGCTAGCCATATGTAGAAAGCTGAAACTGCATGCGTTCCTTACACCTTATACTAAAATTAACTCAAGATGGATTAAAGCCTTAAATGTAAGACCTAAAACCATAAAAACCCTAGAAGAAAACCTAGACAGTACCATTCAGGACATAGGCATGGGCAAAGACTTCATGATAAAAACACCAAAAGTAATGGCAACAAAAGCCAAAATAGACTAATGGGATCTACCTAAACTAAAGAGCTTCTGCACAGCAAAAGAAACTATCATCAGAGTGAAAAGGCAACCTACAGAATAGGAGAAAATTCTTGCAATCTATCCATCTGACAAAGGTCTAATATTCAGAATCTACAAAGAACTTAAATAAATTTACAAGAAAAAAAATAACCCCATCAAAAAGTGGGTAAAAAGTATGAACAGAAACTTCTCAAAAGAAGACATTTACACAGCCAACAGACATATGAATAAATGCTCATCATCACTGGTCATCAGAGAAATGCAAAGCAAAACCACAATGAGATACCATCTCACAACACTTAGAATGGCAACATTAAAAAGTCAGGAAACAATAGAAGCTGGAGAGGATGTGGAGAAATAGGAAGGCTTTTAGACTGTTGGTGGGAGTGTAAATTAGTTCAACCATTGTGGAAGACACTGTGGCCATTCCTCAAGGATCTAGAACCAGAAATACCAATTGATCCAGCAACCCCATTACTGGATATCTACCCAAAGGATCATAAATCATTCTACTATAAAGACACATACACACATATGTTTATTGCAGCACTGTTCACAATAGCAAAAACTTGGAACCAACCCAAATGCCCATCAATGATAGACTGGATAAAGGAAATGTGGCACATGTATACCATGGAATACTATGCAGCCATAAAAAAGGATGAGTTCGTGTCCTTTGCAGGGACATGGATGAAGCTGGAAATCATCACTTTCAGCAAAATATCACAAGGACAGAAAACCAAACGCTGCATCTTCTCACTCATAAGTGGAAGTGGAACAAGGAGAACACATGGAAACAGAGAGGGGATCATCACACACCAGGGTCTGTTGGGGGCTGGGGGGCTGGGAGAGGGATAGCATTAGGAGAAATACCTAATGTAAATGACGAGTTGATGGATCCAGCAAACCAACCTGATACATGTATACCTATGTAAAAAACCTGCACGTTGTGCACATGTGCCCTAGAACTCAAAGTATAATAATAAAAAAAGAAATTCTAGATAGAGCAATATCTCACAAAATTAATAATCCATTCCATTTAAATAGACTATATCAGTCAGCCTCTGGCACCTACAAATCCATTCACTGTTTTCTTTTCTGGGTTCTTTTTTAAGTAAATAATTGGCTTACATTTAAAATTTAAATATTTCCTATTGCCATCTGGATTTCTAGCTTCTGTTTAAATACCCCAAGGGCTGGCAGTGCTGAGCCAGCATTCTCAATGACAAACATGAGTGGAACTGGGTGTGCCTCAGATCTGCAAGTTGCAGTTCTGCAAGTTGGCCACTGCGACCTAAAGTGTGTTACCATTTTATCACTGAGCTTAAGCCACCACCAAAGTTTAAGCCATTCTATATACTATGCATAAGGGAGTAGAGCAGCAGGTAAATTCACTTTACGGGGAAAAATTCATCAAAACTGCTTAAATCTGTGAAAATAAATAAAATTTAAAAGCTGTGGGAACCCCCAAAATCACTTTAAGCCTTGAGACGTGACTGTGATCTGAGTCGTATGTGGTTATAACTTCTGTTCTCAAATTATAGATGAACTAGCTTTCTTATTTTTCTTCTTCTGTACAATGACTAGAGAGAATTAAATGACATCATGGAAAAAAACCTCTGGCCTTCTTAATTAATGACCCTTGTTGTATATTAATTTCCCATTGTTGTCCTGCTTTGCTTAGACCAGATGACAAAAACCCACAATTATTGCACCCTCTAAAAAACATGTTAATTGTATCCTTCCCAAAAATAAACACTGCGTATAACTGATCAAATGGCTGTAACTATGTGCCAACCTTGTACAAATAATGTTATAATTTTGCTAAACACTCCTCTCTCTCTGGATATAAAATTGAAACCTTAACTTCTCCACTTCAGAATGCTGACTGCATTCCTTTGGATTTGATGTTTCCAGATGGTCCATCCTCACACTTTGCACTTCAATAAACACTCCTTAAATTCAATTCTCACCCTTTTATTATTTTAGGTTGACAAATCTTTTTTAAGGTAATTTGACCATCATAGCCATCAATTTAAAACTTTGGCCCAGCGTACAAATGTATTTGTACCAAACACACAAAAATACATATTCATCCAGTGTTGTTCACCATAGCATTGTTTGAAATAGCAAAACACTGGAAGCTACTTAAATATCCATCAGTAGGAGACTAGCTAAATAAATTATGGAATAGCCACACAATAGAATACTGTACAGCTATTTTATAAAAGAAGAGAGAGAATAAAGTAGGTCTATTATGTACCACTCATTAGCCAAGAATGTATTTTAAAAAATAAAAAGGGTGGCTGACAAGATGACCAAATAGGAACAGCTCCAGTCTGCAGCTCCCAGCGAGATCAATGCAGAAGGCAGGTGATTTCTGCATTTCCAACTGAGGTACCTGGCTCAACTCACTGGGACTGGTGAGACAGTGGGTGCAGCCCATGAAGAGCCAGCTGAATCAGGGTGGCCATCACCTCACTCAGGAAGCACAAGGGGTCAGAGGACCCCCTCCCCTAGCCAAGGGAAGCTGTGAAGGACTGCGCCATGAGGAATGGTTATGAAGCCAAACTAAGCTTCACAAGTGAAGGAGAAATAAAATCCTTTACAGACAAGCAAATGCTGAGAGATTTTGTCACCACCAGGCCTGATGTACAAGAGCTCCTGAAGGAAGCACTAAACATGGAAAGGATCAACCAGTACCAGCCACTGCAAAACCATACCAAATTGTCAAGACTATTGACACTATGAAGAAACTGCGTCAACTAATGGGCAAAATAACCAGCTAGCATCATAATGACAGGATCAAATTCACACATAACAATATTAACCTTAAATGTAAACAGGCTAAGTGCCCCAAGTAAAAGACACAGACTGGCAAATTGGATAAAGAGTCAAGACCCATCATTGTGCTGTATTCAAGAGACCCATCTCATGTGCCAAGACACACATAGGCTCAAAATAAAGGGATGGAGGAATATTTACCAAGCAAATGCAAAGCAAAAAAAAGCAGGGGTTGCAATCCTGGTCTCCGATAAAACAGACTTTAAACCAACAAAGATCAAAAGAGACAAGGCCATTACATAATGGTAAAGGGATCAATTCAACAAGAAGAGCTAACTATCCTAAATATATATGTACCCAATACAGGAGCACCCAGATTCATAAAGCAAGTGCTTAGAGACCTACAAAGAGACTTAGACTCCCACACAATAGCAATGGGAGACGTTAACACCCCAACACCCCACTGTCAGTATTAGACAGATCAATGAGACAGAAAATTAACAAGGATATCCAGGACTTGAACTCAGCTCTAGACTAGGCAGACCTAATAGACATCTACAGAACTCTCCACCCCAAGTCAACAGAATATACATTCTTCTCAGCACCACATCGCACTTATTCTAAAATTGATCACATAATTGGAAGTAAAACCCTCCTCAGCAAATGCAAAAGAATGGAAATCATAACAAACAGTCTCTCGGGCTGCGGTGCAATCAGATTAGAACTCAGATTAAGAAACTCACTCAAAACCACACAACTACATGGAAACTGAACAACCTGCTCCTGAATGACTATTGGGTATATAATGAAATTATAGTAGAAATAAATAACTTCTTTGAAACCAGGGAGAACAAAGACACTATGTACCAGAATCCCTGGGACACAGCCAAAGCAGTGTTTAGAGTGAAATTTATAGCACTAAATGCCCACAGGAGAAAGCAGGAAAGATATAAAACCAACACCCTAACATCACAATTAAAAGAACTAGAAAAGCAAGAGCAAACATATTCAAAAGCCAGGAGAAGACAAGAAATAACTAAGATCAGAGCAGAACTGAAGGAGACAGAGACAGGAAAGAACCTTCAAAAAAACCAGTGAATCCAGGAGCTGGTTTTTTGATAAGATCAACAAAATAGATAGACTGCTAGCTAGACCAATAAAGAAGAAAAGAGAGAAGAATCAAATAGGTGCAATAAAAAATGATGGAGGGGATATCACCACTGATCCCACAGAAATACAAGCTACCATCAGAGAATACTATAAACTACTCTATGCAAATAAACTAGAAAATCTGGAAGAAATAGATAAATTCCTGGACGAATACACCCTCCCAAGACTAAATCAGGAAGAATTCAAATCCCTAAATAGACCAATAACAAGTTCTGAAATTGAAGCAGTAATGCATGGCCTATCAAACAAAAAAAAGCTCAGGACCAGACGGATTCACAGCTGAATTCTACCAGAGGTACAAAGAGGAGCTGGTACCATTCCTTCTGAAATTATTCCAAACACCAGAAAAACAGGAACTCCTCCCTAACTCATTTTATGAGGCCAGCATCATCCTGATACCAAAAGCTGGCAGAGACACAACAAAAGAAAGAAAATTTCAGGCCAGTATCCCTGATGAACATCATTGAGAACATCCTCAATAAAATACTGGCAAACTGAATCCAGCAACACATCAAAAAGCTTATCCACCATGATCAAGTTAGCTTTATTCCTGGGATACAAGGCTGGTTCAACATAAGCAAATCAATAAACATAGTCCATCACATAAACAGAACCAATGACAAAAACCACATGATTATCTCAATAGATGCAGAAAAGACCTTTGACAAAATTCAACAGCCTTTCATGCTAAAAACTCTCAATAAACTAGGTATTGATAGAACGTATCTCAAAATAGTAAGAGTTATTTATGACAGACCCACAGCCAACATCATACTGAGTGGGCAAAAGCTGGATGCATTCCCTTTGAAAATCGGCACAAGACAAGGATGCATTCTCTCACCACTCCTATTCAACATACTATTGGAAGTTTTCTAGCCAGGGCACTCAGGCAAGAGGAAGAAATAAAGGGTATTCAATTAGGAAAAGAGGAAGTCAAATTGTCTCTGTTTGCAGATGACATGATTGTATATTTAGAAAACGCCATCATCTCAGCTCAAAATCTCCTTAAGCTGATAAGCAACTTCAGCAAAGTCTCAGGATACAAAATCAATGTGCAAAAATCAGAAGCATTCCTATATGCCAATAATAGACAGAGAGCCAAATCATGAGTGAACTCCCATTCGCGACTGCTACAAAGAGAATAAAATACCTAGGAATCCAATTTACAAGGGATGTGAAGGACCTCTTCAAGGAGAACTACAAACCACTGCTCAAGGAAATAAGTGAGGACACAAACAAATGGAAAAACAGTCCATGCTCATGGATAGGAAGAATCAATATCGTGAAAATGGCCATACTGCCCAAGGTAATTTATAGATTCAGTGCTATCCCCATCAAGCTACTAATGACTTTCTTCACAAAATTGGAAAAAACTACTTTAAATTTCATATGGAACCAAAAAAAGAGCCCATATAGCTGAAGGGGGCCAGCCCCTCCACACCTGTGGGTATTTCTTGTCAGGCAGGATGAGAGACTGAGGAAAGAAATAAGACACAGAGACAAAGTATAGAGAAAGAAAAGTGGGCCCAGGGGACTGGCACTCAGCATACAGAGGACCCACACTGGCACCAGTCTCTGAGTTCCCTCAGCATTTATTAATTACTATTTTTACTATCTCAGCAAGAGGAATGCAGCAGAAGAGCAGGGTGATAGTGGGGAGAAAGTCAGCAAGAAAACATGTGGCAAAGGAATCTGTGTCACAAATAAGTTCAAGGGAAGGTACTATGCCTGGATGTGCATGTAGGCCAGATTTATGCTTCTCTCCACCCAAACATCTCAGTGGAGTAAAGAATAACAAGGCAGCATTGCTGCAAACTTGTCTCACCTCCTGCCACAGGGTGGTTGTTCTCCTAACTCAGAATTGAACAAATGTACAATCGTGTTTTATACCAAGACACTCAGTTCCCAGGGGCAGGCAGGAGACAGTGGCCTTCCTCTATCTCAACTGCAAGAGGCCTTCCTCTTTTATTAATCCTCCTCAGCACAGACCCTTCATGGGTGTCGGGCTGGGGGACGGTCAGGGCTCTCCCATCCCACGTGGCCATATTTCAGACTATCACATGGGGAGAAACCTTGGACAGTAACCAGCGTTGCAGGGCAGAGGTCCCTGCGGCTTTCCGCAGTGCATTGTGCCCCTGATTTATTGAGACTGAAGAATGGTGATGACTTTTACCAAGCATACTGCCTGTAAACATTTTGTTAACAAGGCACATCCTGCACAGCCCTAGATCCCTTAAACCTTGGTTCCATAAAACACATGTTTCTGTGAGCTCAAGGTCGGGGCTAAAGTTACAGATTAACAGCATCTCAGGGCAAAGCAATTGTTCAGGGTACAGGTCAAAATGGAGTTTCTTATGTCTTCCTTTTCTACATAGACACAGTAACAGTCTGATCTCTCTTTCTTTTCCCTACATATAGCCAAGACAATCCAAAGCAAAAAGAACACAGCTGGAGGCATCACGCTACCTGACTTCAAACTACTGCAAGGCTACAGTAACCAAGACAGCATGGTAATAGTACCAAACAGATATCTAGACCAATGGAATGGAACAGAGGCTGCATAAATAACACCACACACCTACAACCATCAGATTTTTGACAAACCTGACAAAAACAAGCAATGGGGAAAGGATTCCCTATTTTATAAATGATGTTGGGAAAGCTGGCTAGCCGTAGGCAGAAAACTGAAACTGGACCCCTTCCTTACACCTTATACAAAAAAACTGAAACTGGACCCCTTCCTTACACCTTATACAAAAATTAACTCAATTTTATTATGTTGTATTAAATTAAGTTGGGTTTAATTAAGATGGATTAAAGACTTAATTATAAGACCTAAAACCATAAAAACCCTAGAAGAAAACCTAGGCCATACCATTCAGGACACGGGTATGGGCAAAGACTTCATAACTAAAACACCAAAAGCAATGGCAACGAAGTCCAAATAGACAAATTGGACCTGATTAAACTAAAGAGCTTCAGCACAGCAGAAGAGACTATCGTCAGAGTGAACAGGCAACCCACAGAATGGAAGAAAATTCTTGCAATCTATCCATCTGACAAGGGGCTAATATCCAAAATCTACAAAGAACTTAAACAAATTTACAAGGAAAAACACAAACAACCCCATCAAAAAGTGGGCTAAGGATGTGAACAGACACTTCTCAAAAGAAAACATTTATGCAGCCAACAAACATGAAAAAAAGTTCATCATCACTGCTCATTAGAGACATGCAAATCAAAACCACAATGAGATACCATCCCACACCAGTTAGAATGGCAATCATTAAAATGTCAGGAAACAACAGATGCTGGAGAGGATGTGGAGAAATAGGAACACTTTTACACTGTTGGTGGTAGTGTAAATTAGTTCAACCGTTGTGGAAGACAGTGTGACCATTCCTCAAAGACCTATAACCTGAAACACCATTTGACCCAGCAATCCCATTACTGGGTATATATCCAAAGGATTATAAATCATTCTACTATAAAGACACATGCACACATATGCTTATTGCAGCACTGTTCACAGTAGCAAAGACTTGGAACCAACCCAAATGCCCATCAATGATAGACTGCATAAAGAAAATGGGGCACATATACACCATGGAATACTATGCAGCCATAAAAAAAGATGAGTTCATGTCCTTTGCAGGGACATGGATGAAGCTGGAAACCATCATTCTCAGCAAACTAACACAAAAACAGAAAACCAAACACCACATGTTCTCACTCATAAGTGGGAGTGGAACAATGAGAACACATGGACACAGGGAGGGGAACATCACACACCAGGGCCTGTTGGGTTTATAGGGGGCTGGGGAAGGGATAGCATTAGGAGAAATACTTAATATAGATGACGTGTTGATGGGTGCGGTAAACCACCATGGCACGTTTATACCTATATAACAAACCTGCAAGTTCTGCACATGTATCTCAGAACTTAAAGTATAATAATTTAAAAAAAGAAAAAATGTAAAAAAAAGAAATTAAAAAGAGTTGGAGCATAGAAGAAAGAAAAGAAATGCAATTTGAAGGGCAGTATGTGCAGTGTAATCTCATTTGTGGAAACAATTTTTAAAAGAAAAATGCATGTAAATGTATAGGAAACTTCTGGAAAGATACACAAAGCCAAGAGCTGTATGGGAAGAAGGTAAAAGAACCATAGGGAAGAGTTACCTTTTACTTTTCACATAACTTTCTTTCCCTTTTTAAAATAATAAGCATGTTTTATTTTTATAATTTAATGAACAGATGTGTTGATTTGAAAAACACACTGATCCTGAAAGTTAAAATTCCAATTCAGAGAAAATTGATTTCTATGAAAAGTATCAATCCCCCAACAATGTCATCAAAATGAAGTGTAGCTATACAACACAGACAGTGGTTGAGGTTGTCATCACTCACTCGACTTTCACATATAGAATTTAAAACACCCGACCGGGCGCAGTGGCTCATGCCTGTAATCCCAGCACTTTTGGAGGCCAAGGCAGGAAGATCACTAGGTCAAGAGATGGAAACCATCCTGGCCAACATGGTGAAACCCCATCTCTACTAAAAATACAAAAATTAGCTGAGCGAGGTGTTGTGCTAGCTCACCAGGTACTGTAGTCCCAGCTACTCGGGAGGCTGAGGCAGGAGAATCGCTTGAACCCGGGAGGCAGAGGTTGCAGTGAGCCAAGATTGTGCCACTGCACTCCAGCCTGATGACAGAGCAAGATGCCATCTCAAAAAAAAAAAAAAAAAAAAGAATTTAAAATGCCACAGTCCTTGGTGGACTGAACAAAAGAAGATTAACATGGTAATAAAGACAAATGAGTACATATGGAAGAAGGGGTCAGGGGGCTCATTTCTTCTAGGGAACAAGGGCCCTGAGCTTCTATACCCCTTCGTATTTACTGAGTAAAGGAGATAGGGAGAAAGGGGTGGTTGTCAGTAAGCTGCTTGACTTAGTGTAGGCTTGTATGACTGCATTCTTTGAACAGTAGTCTCCAGAGGTTCCAGTAGATAACCTCAAGGAGCACAGCACCAGGGAGTAATTGCCCTCAGCAAACCTCCTGGTGGCAGGTGCAGAAGCGAGTTTGCCCACATTTTGCAATCATGATAAACAGTTGGCTGTTTGATCATATAGCCTTCAGTGGAATGCTGAGTTGGTCACGACCCTCAGGCCTTTGGCTCCCTACATTAAAACACCCATTTCACCAGATTAAAAATATTCAATAAAATTTCTAAAAAGCACTTAACACTTGCCAGCACTTACTAAGGAAGTGCTCAATAAATGCTGTTAACACTCTTACTATTATTTCTCTGCTTGGCAGTTGTCCTAATCCCACACCAGCCCTTCCACATAGCCTAATCCTGACTTGTGTCAGTGATGCATGACTCAACAGTGAATCTGGGACAGCTATTGCAAAATGCAAGACTTAAAATCCATCCCAGATGAATTCTCTTCTGGACCGCAGGCAGCCCTTGAAAAGGATGAGAGTAGAGCCCTCAATCATGGAGGCATTTGTCCCTCAAGATAGGCAGATGTTACCACCTCCATACAAGAACAATCCCATTGCCTATTACAGTTCCCATTTCAGAGAGATACTCCCACATATGTATGTATTTCCCTGAAAGGTTTCTTGTTCCTCTTCTTTTTTTATTTTTTTGAGATGGAGTCGCTCCTTCTGTTGCCCAGGCTGGAGTGCAGTGGCATGATCTCAGCTCACTGCAACCTCTGCCTCCCAGGTTCAAGCAATTCTCCTGCCTCAGCCTCCTGAGTAGCTGGGATTACAGGCACATGCCACCAGGCATGTATTTTTAGTAGAGACAGGGTTTCACCATGTTGGTCAGGCTGGTCTTGAACTCTTGACCATGCCCAGCTAATTTTTGTATTTTTAGTAAAGACAGGATTTCACCATGTTAGCCAGGCTTGTCTCAAACTCCAGACCACACCCGGCTCATTTTTTTATTTTCAGTAGAGACGAGGTTTCATCATCTCAGCCAGCTGGTCTCAAACTCCTGACCTCAAGTGATCTGCCCACCTCAGCCTCCTAAAGTGCTGGGATTACAGGCATGAGCCACCATGCCCACCCCAAGATTTCCTGTTCTTATCTCCAATAAGCCAGCTTGATGAGGAGTAGCGCTAGAGATTCCCATACTTCTTGACTTCCTTCTATCCTTTTCTGCTCACAGGCCCCCTGTGAGAACACTGCATGTTCTCACTCATAGGTGGGAATTGAACAATGAGAACACTTGGACACAGGGTGGGGAACATCACACACTGGGGCCTGTCGTGGGGTGCAGGCATGGGGAAGGGATAGCATTAGGAGGAATACCGAATGTAAATGATGAGTTAACGGGTGCAGCACACCAACATGGCACATGTGTACATATGTAAAAAACCTGCACGTTGTACACGTGCACCCTAGAACTTAAAGTATAATAAAAAAAAAAAAAGAAAGAAAGAAAGAAAAAGAAATAGTGCTGGAGGCCAAATAGCAACCCTGCCCACACAAGGAAGGGCCATGTGTTGTTCACCAAGCTCCCAAGCCACAATTCTCTTTTCCCAGAATCCTTTGCTCTTTGAAGTGTGGTCTTCCTCACTTTCCTGGAACCCTCAGCCCCTCAGTGGGCCCGTCTACCTCTGAAGAGAAGAGGAAGAGAGATCAAATACCCCCCTGGAGGCTTGTCCCTTTGAACCAAGCCCTGAGAACCCCCGCAGCAGTCCTCCTGTGTACCCTCCCCCCAGCCCCACACAGATGGAGAGCCCTGGGAAGGGTTCCCACAGTGCATGAGCTCCAAACAGTGCAAGAGCACAAGGAGTGTGGCGCTTCCAGCCTCTGTCAATAATTCATGAGGCTCAGACTGAGGAGCACCAGTCAGAGTCAGCTTTGCCTGGACATGGGGAAAATTATACTGCAGCTCTCCTGTCTCATCGGGATGTGCTGAGTAGCAAAGCAGAGTGCTGCAGCTGTAACTTCTTGGCTGAGGAAAACACTAGAAATCCAGTGCAGGCCTGTTCTATTACTTGCTCGCCATACACCCCCTTTTGAATGTTGAAATCCTTGTTTTTTTTCTTTTTGTTGAGACAGAGTCTCCATCTGTCGCTCAGGTTGGAGTGCAGTGGCGTGATCTTGGCTCACTGCAAGCTCCGCATCCCGTGTTCATGCCATTCCCCTGCCTCAGCCTCCCGAGTAGCTGGGACTACAGGCAAGTACCACCACGCCCGGCTAATTTTTTGTATTTTTAGTAGGGACGAGTTTCACCGTGTTAGCCAGGATGGACTTGATCTCCTGACCCCGTGATCCGCCCGCCTCGGCCTCCCAAAGTGCTGGGATTACAGGGTGAGCCACCACGCCCAGCTGAATGTCCAAATCCTTTTTCAGCTGCTCAGCTGACCTGCACATATACTAAATGAATCTTGAGCAAACATGAATTCTATTCAAAAGTCATGCCTAGAACTGGATTTCACAAACCAGGATTCTTTCCCCTCTAATTGTAGGGACTGGCATAAGGCTGCCAAACTGGTGATTTCACCAATAACACATCTCTAAACCTACCCATCTGCTTTCATCATCTTTTCTGAAACAAAACACTAACACACACACACACAAAAAGAAGGAAAGGTATACTCCACAATAAAGGACTGTTAAATAAGCTTAGCTTTATGAAACTCACTGTAATTGTTTCCTTTTCTCATTTTGCTTTGAACTAGTGAAAACGCTGCCATGAACCAGCACTGCTTCTCAGTCTGGCTTTGGAGGCCAGTGGGTTAAACTAATTCAGATACTTACCTTTGGGTCTGTTGCGGCCTTTCTACACTGTACCATAAGCCATCCATATTTATTCATTCTCCCGGAAACCCAGGAGGGAGATCATTTCAGCCCACTTGGCAGAAGTGGAGACTGAAGTCTTGGACACAGAATTTATAGCTGGCAAGGACTTTATTCATCATCCATACCCTCAGTAATTTACAGATGAAGAGTCTGGCCCAGGGCACCAATAATAATCACTACATGGTGGCAGTAACTACTATGTGCTTAGTAGCTTACAGTTCATAAAGAGATTTTGCATTCAACAAATATTTATTGAACTAGGATGGAGGCTAAGACCTGGGGACAGAGTGGTTAGGGAGAACTTGAGTGCCCCGAGTTCTTTGCATTTCCACCACTGCTTGAGGGACTGTCCAGCCTCCTCGCTACCACTTAGCCCCTGTAAAGGAGGAAGTCCCTTTGGCGAGGGATATGAGATCCTGTTTTGCCAATGACCGTAGTCTGCCCTCCAAGGGCCCGTGAAGATGGAAGAGACCTTGGGCAGAGTGAAGGGCAGTGCCAGGCCTGGCGCAGCTACTGCCTATCACGTCTCTCTCCCAGGCTGCTCCAGCCTCACCTGGTGGACTCCATGGGGACCACAGGCCTCACCTCCATGGGCAGTCTCAAAACATTTGCCCTCCTGTGGGCTGTCACATACATAGACCCAGACTTTCTTGGAGAAGGAATTCTGAAGAAGCAAAAGCAACCAACTCAAAACCCCCACTTCCCCAAGAAGAAAACGTGGACAAGCAGATGCAGAAGGGCAGCAGCCAAAGTCTGCGGGTTCCTGCGGGGGCCAGGGGAGGGGCGAGCCCTACAGGCAACTTGAACGGAGAGCGCTTTGATCACTCACCAGCCCGGGAAGGCAAGCCCCAGTCAGGCGGAAGGTAGCTGGCTGCGGGGCGGGGCGACTGGCGGGCGGCGGGAGGCGCCAACCGCCACAGACGACTCCCAGCTGGCCGAGGGCGGGAAGGGGGCAGGCAGGGAAGCGGCCCGCCCTTCGTCCTGCCCCTTCGCCCTACTCTGTCACCTCCGCTGGAAGGAGTGGAACCCAGACTTGCTGGTCTGATCCATGCAGATGGCCAGGCTGCTAGGCCTCTGTGCCTGGGCACGGAAGTCGGTGCGGATGGCCAGCTCCAGGATGACCCGCCGGGACCCGCTCACAAATAAGGTGGCCCTGGTAACGGCCTCCACCGACGGGTGAGTGTTGGTGCCGGAGTTTCTGAGGCCCTGGCTGCCTGGAAACATGCACTGGTGTCTCGTCCTTTGCCTCCAGTGCCCCTGTCCTCAGACCTCACATACCGCCAAAGTCTGGCCATGGAAAAAAAGTAGCCACGTGGTCCGCCTGAAGCCCCTCCGAATACCCTGGCCCTCCCTTGCCAGCCCTTCTGTCCCTGCTGCCTCTGGCACAACTGTGCCACCTCTGTGCAGCCCCATCGATCTAGTCCCCCCAGTGTTCTGGGCTGCCCCAGTCAACCAGCCTTACCTAGCCTCTGGGAAGACCAGAAACTGGAAATGCAAGGGAATCTGGATTCAAAATCTTATAACAAGGCCTCCAGCTTTTTGAAAATGTACCATTCTATTTGGGCTCCAGAAAGTGTCCCGGAACCCCTCCCCCTTACCTAGATGGGACACCAGAGCCATGTGTCGAGACTTTTTTTTAGGTCGGTACATCTGGGCCTACCTTGCCCAGCCTGTTTCTCACCCACCTCTCTTGTCAGTCCTGGTTCTCATTTCTACAGGACTTTGCTAGATGCCAGCTCTTCACAAAACTAAAATACAAATGTAGATAAAATGCTAATGGCTGACAACTGCAGAATGTGTAACTCTTCTTCCCAAGGCAATATTTACGTTTTTGACCAGAGACCATCTTTTCACATGCACCCCAAAAAATAATTATGGAAAGAATTTTGAGAATGATGTAGACTAGTAAGAAAGAAACCTGGCGGCAGGACTGTTCTGAGTGAGACCTTCAAATCACGGAAGTGGCTGCTGCTGCACACCCAGCTCATTTCTCACCTCTCAGTCCCAACAGGAGATGAAGCCTGTCACCCGTGGTGGGAACTGTAGAAAGTGATGTCAGTTCTTGGGAACTAAGGCTGTGATCCAGGTCATAATAAAAATAAGTAAAGCAGTGCTAAAAATGGCCATGCCATTAAGCCTGTTTTACACATAGTAGGCACACGTAGGAGTTATATAGAGAAAGAGCCAGAATTCAAACCCGGGCAGTCTTAACTTCAGAGCCCATGCTGTCGACCTCTTCCCCTGCACAGGCCTTAGCAGTCTTTGTCTCTTTCTGCTCACAGGATCGGCTTCGCCATCGCCCGGCGTTTGGCCCAGGACAGGGCCCACGTGGTCGTCAGCAGCCGGAAGCAGCAGAATGTGGACCAGGCGGTGGCCACGCTGCAGGGGGAGGGGCTGAGCGTGACGGGCACTGTGTGCCATGTGGGGAAGGCGGAGGACCGGGAGCGGCTGGTGGCCATGGTGAGCTGCAGGGAAATGGGCACAGAGCCAGGAGGTGGAAAAGGAAGCCAGCCTGAGCCTCCTTCCCTGCTTTCCTAGACAGCAGCACATTTTTACTGTGTGCCTTTCTATTATGTCCATATACTAACGTCAGAGAATCATCCCATCTCAGTCAGAGAATTTTAAAACATTCTAATGCTTCAACCCTGCATCATCCCTTGAGTACCCCAAAGAAACAGCTGGTACTGGTTCTGCAGTAATTTTCAATCTAATTGAACAGATGTGAAGGGTAAATACAATCACAAAATAGATGTTCCCACCCATGAGCTAATAAACATTCCCCTCTTCTTCAGCTTATAGAGTCAAGTCCCTGGGAACCTCAGGAAGCAGCCCACCATGTTTCAGCCACTTACTATGTGCCATTTCCTGTGTTCAGAGCCTTACACAGGTTATCTCTAGACCTGACAACAACCCAAGCAAGGCAAGGACTATTCTCTCAGTCTGCAGACCCTGGCTCAGATAGCTGGAGCAACTTCCCAAGGTCCCACAGCCAGTAAGGAAAGACCCAGACCTCCCAAGCTCCCTTCCTTTATTGGCTGCCTGTGGACTACCAGGTACTGGACTTCAGTCTCAAAGAAAGTACATAAGTCAATGTCATAATTAGTAGTGGACAACAGCCTTGCAGCTGCTGAAGCAACTATGAAGCATTCACAAAGGAAGCTCCTCTTCCCTTGAGGCTCAGGGCACACACTTTATTTCCCAGAGTGGAAGGGAGAATCTACCCAAAAATGGAAAGTACAGGATTCTGCTAACAGATTGGAAGGTTGGCAGAAATAATTTGCATAATCTTCTTAGAAGAGGAGGATCTTAAGCAATAGTAGACAGAATAGGGTAATTCCATTTTTAAGGAACAGTCTGGCAGACACTCAAATGTGCATTGGAAAGAGCCAAATATGAGTCCAAGAAAGTCACAAATGTGAGTCCAAAAAAGCTTGGCTTAGACTGGTCGACAAAGCCCAAGATTGGGGCCTTGATCCTGATGGTGGAAGGAGCCGTTTGGGAGTCTGGATCAATTAGCACTAACCATACGACATGTAAGTAGCAATGTAATGTGAAAATCCTCCTAGAAAAACAACCTGTGCCCCCCACCAGGTTCACTTAACATGGCCTACAGGCCTGGCCCAGAAGTGGTACTTGAGCTAAACCTTAAGGAATGGATGGGAATGGACAGATGGAATAGTGACGAGGTTCCAGATAACTCTGCAAAATGAGCAGACAGCCAAGGAGGAACTGAAGGAAAGAGAGGAGCACTGTCAGTCCACAGTGGAGAGCACAGGCTCAGGAGTACTGCTGGGGAAGGGGCTGCATTGGAAAGATAGAGGCCATGGGCCTCCATATCTTTTTTTTTTTTTTTTGAGACAGAGTTTCATTCTTGTTGCCCAGGCTGAAGTGATATGGCACAATCTCAGCTCACTGCAACCTACGCCTCCAGGTTCAAGCAATTCTCATGCCTCAGCCTCCCGAGTAGCTAGGATTACAGGCATCCACCACCACGTCCAGCTAATTTTTGTATTTTTAGTAGAGACGGGGTTTCACCATGTTGGCCAGGCTGGTCTTGAACTCCTGACCTCAGGTGATCCACCCCCTCGGCCTCTCAAAGTGCTGGGATTACAGGCGTGAGCCACTGTGCCCGGCCATAGCTTCTTAAAAGGATACGTTAAGGACCTTAAAAGGATATGGCCTCTTAAAAGGATATGTTTACACATTCTTGCAGCAAATAAGAAGCCATGTGAGGTTTTGAGCAAGAGAAAGATGGTTATTAGGAAAGCTAATCTGGCTCTGGTAGGAAGGATATACAGAGGAGACACCGAATCCAGGGCATCAGTGAGGAAGCTGTTGCTGTCGTCCAGGTTTAGAGCAGTGGCGGCGGGACTGGAATAGATGTGCCCAAGAGACATTTAGTGGAAACGAACCAAGATTTTCCAACCCCATGTCAAAAAGTGGGAAATAGAGAAGTCAAAAATGACTCTCAGGTAGTTTGTATGACCATTGTCAGAGAAGAGAATGATAGAATACTTGTCAGCAATTTGAAATGTCTTCTGCCAGTTGCCACATGTTACCCTGCAATAAGAAAAGCCACTGCCCTGAGAATGGATACTACCCAGTGGCCTCCTCATCTGCACACCACGAAGCTTCTCACTGGTGTTGTAAGTGGAAACCAGAGTAGCTGCCTATCTGCTTGATTATATTTTTTCTTAAAAATGTATAACTATCAGAACACAGAACAAACAGCTCCTAACCGCTTTAGTGTAGTGATCACACAATTTAGAATAAGACTTAGAAGACTTTCTTTTATTTTTTTCCAGAGACAGTGCCTCATTCTGTTGCCCAGGCTGCAGTGCAGTGACATGATCATAGCTCACTGTAACCTCGAAGTCCTGAACTCAAGCAATCCTCCCACCTCAGCCTCCCAAGTGGCTAAAACTATAGGCATGCACCACCACACCAGTTCATTTTTTAAATTTTTTGTAGAGTTGGGGCTGTATTTCCCAGGCTGTTTTGAACTCCTGGCCTCAAGTGGTCCTCCCCACTGGGCCTACCAAAGTGCTAGGATTATAGGTGTGAGCCACCACACCCAGCCTCATTCATCTTTTATGGTTTGCTGTCTCTGTTCAATCAAAACCCAGCCTCCTCCCATCTCTGTGCTGACAGACCTGGAAGGAGAGGAGTATGGGGTATACAGCAGAGTAGAAAATGTCTCCAGGTGATTCTAGAGCAATCCATTGTCTCCTCCCAGCCCAAACACATGTGTACTGAGCACAGTGCACATCACTTATTAACTTACTCTGCACCTCCCTAGTAACAAGTCCATTGGTGAGACTTACACAGAGCCAACCCAGGTGACTTGGCTTTGTGCCAGGATGCCAAAATTTAAAGGGTGCAAGAAAGTATTAATACCGATTTTAAAAGATTATGTGACTGTAAATTTTGTTAGATTAACACGTTGACAAACCCAGCATTCCTTCCACTGTCTAGAAACAACTGAGCTTAGCACCTAGTTAACAAGAATAATTAGTTAAAACGGGAAGCTAGCAGATGGTGTACATTGTTAGTAACACCCCTCTCTGTGCCAAATCCAGAGCACAAAGTTGACCAAGGGCCCACATACTGCAACTTGCCCAAGGCATCAAAATTGCCAGTTCCGGGCAAATGCAAAGTCTAGTTTCAGGGTGGCTTTGTACTGAAAACCCTTGTTGGCAGATTCTGCTTGGCCATTCATTACTCTAGCACACGCCTCACTATCTACTTATAACTTATTAAGGAGGTGAGATGTTGCCTTTCTTCGCTTTCTCAATTTAAATTTCAGTTTCTGCCTTGAATCTTTCATGCCTCCAGGTCAAAAGAGAGAGACAGAGACAGGGAAAATGACATCATAACCAAATATGGAATTGCTTTAAATTCAGGCTGGTATCTTCTCCCATCATGGCTCTCCTGGGCAGCTGGTTTACTAATGACCCCAACTCACTTTCAGAGGTCTCTTATGAATTAGCTCTGTGCTACAAAGTGGGAGACTGACCTCACTTCTTCCACTACTGACTAGCTTTGTGCCCTGAAAAAATCACTTCACCCCTCCCAAACACAGAATAAGCAGGCCTCCTGTTCTTAGCTAGCCCCAGTGTGCCACTACTGAAGTATAAGATCTTGAGAAAATTCTCTGAACCTGTTTCATCATCTCCACCTTAAGGACACTGGAATAGATGATCTCAAAGGCCCCTCCAGGGTAACTTTCTTCAGCTCTATTTAAGCCAGTTTTTCCATTCAGGTAAGTGTGGACAGATTGACTTTGAGATAATGGTAACTTATTCAGGGAGAACTGGACAGTAAGCACTTGGAGAAATGTGGGTGGAACTCAGTGTGAAAGGAAGAGGAGGGGTCTGGAAATAGATTTTGGGGTGAGACTTGAAATCATGAGAATGAAGGAGCTTTCCAAAGGGAAAGTGTAAAGAAAAGAGCGTCAGAGACAGCCTTGGAAGAATAGGAGGTGGGAAGAAAAGACTGCAAAAGAAATAGGGCCAACTTCCTGGTGGCTTGTGCCTATAACACTTTAGGATACCAAGGCAGGTGGATGGCTTGAGCCCAGGAGTTCCAGACCAGCCTGGGCAACATGGCAAGACCCTGTCTCTACAAAAAATACAAAAATTGCCCGGGTGTGGTGGCACGCACTTCTACTCTCAACTACTTGGGGGGCTGAGCCAAGAGGATGGCTTGAACCCAGTAGGTCAAGGCTGCAGTGAGCTGAGAACATGCCACTGTGCTCCAGTCTGGATGACAGAGCAAGACTCCATCTAAAAAAGAAAGAAGCCAACCTTAAATGGTTAGCGGCAGATCTTAGGGTAGTTTTCAAAAAAGATGTTTTAAGAAATAGAAGTTATTTTGACAATAGTTCTTAAGAATGAAGCTTTTGTTGTCATTGTTGTTGTTGTTTTTAATATAAAGATAAGGTCTCGCTGCATGGCCCAGGCTTCTCTCAAATTCCTCAGCTCAAGTGAGCCTCCCACCTTGGCCTCCCAAAGTGCTATGATTACAGGCATGAGCCACAGCTCCTTGCCCAGAAGGAAGTTTTTATCAACATGGGTAAATGCACCTCCCTTACTTACTGCAGCCCTGGTCCAGACCTTACCCCTCTCTCTAGGCTGTGAAGCTTCATGGAGGTATCGATATCCTAGTCTCCAATGCTGCTGTCAACCCTTTCTTTGGAAGCCTAATGGATGTCACCGAGGAGGTGTGGGACAAGGTGAGAGGGGATTAAAGAAGCGCGGAAGGGGGCCTCGGGACACATTCAGCACAAACTCCATCTGCTTTTAGAATGCATTTCTCAAGGGCAGTGTAAATGTGAGGACTCTTTGCCACGTGCCACACACCTGGAGCACACCTTGCAAAGGGCAGGTGGGGGTGGCTCTTTCTCTGCCCTTCTCATTCGTTTCTGCTGCTCCTAGTTCTCTCTGCTTCTATCTGCTCTTCATTAGCCACTGCTCCCCTCCCCAGGCTTCTTCCCTGGCATGCTCTTCTGCCTTGTTGATTTCCAACAGAGACGTAGGCAGCTAATATGCCAACAACTACAACACTTAATTTACACACCCACCTGTCCTCTTTTCAGCTGACAAAAACTAATCATTTTTTATTAGTTGGGAAATATTAAATGCTGCTAGTTATTTAAAATACTAATTCTGGTGAAATGACCAGTTGCCACTTTATAACATACATCCTTTAAAAAAATAAAATAAAAACCTATGTTATTTTCTTCTTAACTGCAATGTCAAGAAAATCTGAGATCCAGATGTCTAAATTCAAGTGGTAGAATATTGGGTTTTATGTGAAAGTGTATAATTACATTATATTCATAATATATTTCACACACACCCTTTAATTACAAAGCTTTAATTAAAATATTTGTCTTTGTTTATTAAGGTTAATATTCCCACATGATTGGGAAATGCTAATTTTTATGATCTCCCATGGTTCTGCGTTTTACACTGATGTTGTATTAGTCTGTTTTGCATTGCTATAAAGGAATACCTGAGCTGGGCAATTTATAAAGAAAAGAAGTGTGTTTTGGCTTACGATACTGCAGACTGTACAAGAAGCATGGTGCCAGTATCTGCTTCTGATGAGGCCTCAGGAAGCTTACAATCATGGCAGAAGGAAAAAGGGAGCAAGTGTGTCACATGGCAAGACAGGAAGCAAGAGAGAGATACCAGTCTCTTTTAAACAACTAGTTCTGGCATGAAATAATAGAGTGAGAACTCACTCATTGCCACAGGGAGGGCACCAAGCCATTCATAAGGGATCCACCCTCATGACCCAAACACCTCACACCAGGCCCCACCTGGAACACTGGTGATCACATTTCAACATGGGACTTAGAGGGGACAAACTTACCAACTATATCAGGTGTCATCAAAATTTCTCAACACTAAAGTATCAGGTTGCCAAAATACTATGATTTATTTACCAGTGTTTCATACACATAAAGACCAAACTGCCAAAATGTTCTTCAGTGAGCTAGTTTTTGATTCTAGTTTGAGCTAGTTTGAGAGAAGGCTGGGCAACACAGCGAGACCTTTTCTCTATATTAAAAACAACAACAACAACAATGACAACAAAACCTTCCTTCTTAGGAACTATCATCAAAATAACTTCTCTTTCTTAAACCATCTTTTCTTCAAAACTACCCAGAGATTTGCTGCTAACCATTTAAGTTTGGCTTCTTTCTTTCTTTTTTTAGACAGACTCTTGCTCTGTCTTTTTTCCTTTTTTTTTTTTTTCCCCCTCGCTGTGTCATTGAGGCTAGAGGGCTGTGGTGTGATCTCAGCTCACTGCAACCTCAGCCTCCCAGGTTCAAGCGATTCTTGTGCCTCAGCCTCCCAAGTACCTGGGACTACAGGCATGTGCCATCATGCCTGGCTAATTTTTTGTATTGAGATGGGGTTTCACTGTGTTGCTCAGGCTGGTCTCAAATTCCTGGCCTCAACTGATCCCCACACCTCAGCCCCCCAAAATATTGGGATTACAGGCATGAGCCACCACACACAGCCAGATTCTGATAGTCTTTAAAATAAAGGAGCATCATTCATGAACAGTCTGAATACAGACCATATGAAAGTCAGTTTTAAACTAAGTACAGGCACGCCTCAGAGATATTGTGGGTCTGGTTCCAGGCCACCACACAATAAAGTGAATATTATAATAAAGTGAGTCACATGAATTTTTTGGTTTCCCAGTGCATATAAAAGTTAGGTTTACATTATAATGATCATCTAATGGAAGTCTATTAACTGAGCAATAGCATTATGTTTTAAAATATATATACGTATCTTAATTTTAAAATACTTTATTGCTAAAAAAATGCTGACAATCATCTGAGCCTTTACAACTTGTAATCTTTTTGCTGGTGGAGGATCTTGCCTCAACATTGATGGTGGCTGACTTAGGGTGGTGTTGCTGAAGGCTGGGGTGGCTGTGGCAGTTTTTTCAAATAAGACAGCAGTGAAGTTTGCCACATCAGTTGACTCTTCCTTTCACAAGAGATTTCTCTGTAGCATGCAATCCTGTTTGATAGCATTTACCCACAGTAGAACTTCTTTCAAAATTGGAGTCAATCCTATCAAACTCTACCACTGCTTACTCTACTAAGTACCTATAATATTCTGAATCCCGTGTTGTGATTTCAACAATATTCATGGCATCTTCACCAGAAATAGATTCCATCCCAAGAAACCACTTTCTTTGCTTATCCGTACGAACCAGCTCCTCAGCCATCTACATTTTATCGTGAGATTGTAGCAATTCAGTCCTATCTTCCAGCTCCGCTTCTAGTTCTCTTGCTATTTCCACCACATCTGCAGTTCCTTCCTCTGATGCAGTCTTGAACCCTTCCACGTCATCCATGAGGGTTGGAATCAACTTCTTCCAGACTCCTGTAAATCTAGATATTTTGACCTCCTCCCATGAATCACAAATATTCTTAATGGCATCTAAAATGGTGCATCCTTTACAGAAGGTTTTCAGTTAACTTTGCCAACATCCATCAGAGGAATCACTATCCATGGCAGCTATAGCCTTACAAAATGTATTTCTTAAATAATAAGTCTTGGAAGTCAGAATTACCCCCGATCCATGGGCTGCAGAATGGATGTTGTGTTAGCAGGCATGAAAACAACATTAATCTCCTTGTACATCTCCATCAGAGCTTTTGAGTGACCAGGTGCATTGTCAATGAGCAGTAACAGTTTTAAAGGAATCTTTTTCTGAGCAGTAGCCATCAACGGTGAGCTTAAAATATTCAGTAAACCATGCTATAAACAGATGTGCTGTTATTCAGGCTTTGTTGTTCCATTTACAGAGCACAGGCAGAGTAGATTTAGCGTAAATCTTGAGAGCCCTAGAATTTTCAGAATGGTAAATGAGCATTGGCTTCAACTTAAAGTCACTGGCTGCATTAGCCCCTAACAAGAGAATAAGCCTGTCCTTTGAAGTTTTGAAGCCAGGCATTGACTTCTCCTCTCTAGCTATTAAAGCCCTACATGGCATCTTCTTCCACTAGAAGGTTGTTTCATCTACATTGAAAATCTGTTGTTTGCTGTAGCCACCTTCATCAATGATCTTAGCTAGATCTTCTGGATAACTGGCTGCAGCTTCTACATCAGCACTCGCTGCTTCATCTTGCACTTTTATGTTACAGAGGTGGCTTCTTAAACCTCATGAACCAACCACTGCTAGCTTCCAACTTTTCCGGAGCTTCTTCACTTCTCTCAGCCTTCAAAGAATTAAAAAGTTAGGGCCTTTTTCTGATTAGGCTTTGGCTTAAGGGAATGTTGTGGCTAGTTTGATCTTCTGTCCAGAACATAAGAACTTTCTCTCCATATTAACAATAAACCTCTTTTGCTTTCTTATCATTTATATGTTCAGAGAAGTAGCACTTTTAATTTCCTTCAAGAATTTTTCCTTTGCATTCACAATTTGGCTAACTGGTGCACATGGTCTAACTTTCAGCCTGCCTCAGCTTTCAACATGCCTTCCTCACTAAGCTTAATTGTTTCTAGCTTTTGATTTAAAGTGAAAGATGTGTGACTCTTCCTTTTGCTTAAACACTTACAAGCCATTGTAGGGTTAATAGTTGGCCTAATTTCAATGTAAATGTGTCTCAGGGAATATGGAGGTCCACAGAGAGGGAGAGAGATGAGAGAAGGGCAGAGCAGTCAGAACACACAACATTTTTCAATTAAGTTGACCTTCTTTTCTGGGTGTGGTTTGTGGTACCCCAAAACAATTATAATAAAACCATGAAAGATCACTCATCACAGATCACCGTAACAGATATAATAATAATGGAAAGGTCTGAAATATTCCAAGAATTACCAAAATGTGACCCAGAGACAAAGTGAGCACATGCAATTGGAAAAATGGCTCGAATTAATGCAGGGTTGCCACGAAACTCCAATTTGTAAAAAAAAAAAAAAAAAAAAAAAAAAAAAACAATATCTGCAAAGCATAAGAAAATATGTGTCTATAACTTTTCTTTTAATTTGTATATTTTTTAAACTATCACAGTATGTCAAATCCAAACATAATGGCTGATCCTTGATTGAACTCTGGACTTTAAAAAACACACACACACATTTGGGGGATAATTGAGGCCAATATGTTAGATAAAATTATCATCATTGTCAAACTCTTGGTTGTGATAACAGATTATGGTTGTGTAAAAGAAAATCCTTACTCTTTGGAAATGTATGCTAAGTATTTGGGGATAGAACATTGTACTATCTGCAACTGAGTTTACTTATTTTATTTTAGGTTATTTATTTATTTTTGTGATGGAGCCTCACTCTGTTACCCAGGCTGGAGTGCAGTGGTGCTATCTCAGCTCACTGCAACCTCCACCTCCCGGGTTCAAGCTATTCTGCTGTCTCATCCTCCTGAGTAGCTTGGATTACAAACACATGCCACCACGTCTGGCTAATTTTTGTATTTTTAGTACAGACGAGGTTTGCCATGTTGCCCAGGCTGTTCTCGAACTCCTGACCTAAAAGTGATCCACCCATCTTGGCCTCCCGAAGTGCAGGGATTGCAGGCATGAGCCACCATGCCCAGCCCTGAGTTTTTTTTTTTTTAATTTACATTTTTTTATTTTTGTTCTTTGTAATTTTTGATTTTATTATATAAAATCTTTCAGAAAACTTGCAACTGAGTTTCAATGGTTCATTTAAAAAACTGTACAGATCTACAGAGAGGACAAATAGGACAAAATGTGAACAATTGGTGACTCTAAGTGAAGGATATCTAGACATTCATTGTACTTCTATCTCCAATTTTTCTGTAAGATTGAAATATTTTAATATAAGCAGTTGTCTAGAACAGTGTAAACAGGGTCATACATTTGTTTTAGATTATGGATGTGGGGATTCTGATTGTAGCCTGTCCCCCAGCTTCCCCAGAAGGTGACTCCTCATGATCCCACTTTCTAACCATGCCTAGCCAGACAGTCCTTCCTAGAGGGCCAAGAACATCTCACTCCCTAAGCCCAGAAGCCAGAGAAGTGCTAGAACAACCCCACATATCCAAGGTCAGGCCACATTTTCCCTGAGAAGCATGGCCTACTCTAGGGCAGGTCCAGGAGGCTGACAATTCCAGGCTCTACCTACTTGGAAGAAACAGAGAAAACACAGCTCAAATCCAAAGGCCCCTTCTGGCCCAAATCATACTTGGCTGATTATGAAACAAGATGAACCAGGCTCCATTTTTGCTCACCTGAACCTAATGTATCATTATCTAGCTGAGCAGCTGGTGAGAGCTACTTCTCCCTGAACCTCAGTTCCTTCATGTGTAAGATGCAGGTATATCATCCTAAGATCTTCGTCAGCTCTGACAAACATCCTAGGAACCCACTCTAACTCCTCATTTTTTCATGCCTCCTCCAGTGCTCTTCACTCATGCTGTTTCCCCTTCTTCTCTTGGCTTCAGACTCTGGACATTAATGTGAAGGCCCCAGCCCTGATGACAAAGGCAGTGGTGCCAGAAATGGAGAAACGAGGGTACAGAGAGTGAGAGAGAGCCTGGGTGAGAGGGGACCCCACACAGGCTGAGGGCAGTGGTCCACACTGGGAAGACGGTCAGCTCTCTTCTTTTTCCAGAGGCGGCTCAGTGGTGATCGTGTCTTCCATAGCAGCCTTCAGTCCATCTCCTGTAAGAACCCTTTTGTCTACCTCTTCCATCCCACCCTCCACTCCACATCTTTCCACCCCTCCTATTACCCAAAGAAGTTTGTGTCCCCTTGTAGAATCACACCACCAAGTCCCTGCCCACAAAATAGATGCCTTGCCTCCACAAACCATAACCTAGGGGAGGTTTAGCCACAAGACAGTTTCCTAACTCTGCCCCTCCCTTACAGGAGATCCCTACTGAGCACTGCCCTCTATGTCTAGTTATTAGAACCAAGAATGACCTGGAAACTATGAGTCTAACACATTCTCTTCTTTCTCCAGGGCTTCAGTCCTTACAATGTCAGTAAAACAGCCTTGCTGGGCCTCAACAATACCCTGGCCATAGAGCTGGCCCCAAGGAACATTAGGGTGAACTGCCTGCACCTGGACTTATCAAGACTAGCTTCAGCAGGATGGTGAGGAAGGGGAGCTTTGCATTTGACTGGGACCCCTTGAAAGGCATCCATCTTCTTGGACAGGGAAGCCCACTACCTGAGTCCTGAGCTCTCAGCCACTCCATTCTCCTTCCCTGGACTTTCCCATATTCCCTCTCTGTACCACCTGCCCTATACAAGCCACACTCTTATCACACCTTTTCTGAGGTATAGGCTGGAGACTGAGGTATTCAGACTGTACTCACACTGTTTCCTCCCTCCTTACATGGATGAGAATTGGAGAGACGCAGCAAAATGCATCACTAGAACCTGAAACAAATGAAACAGATGAGGGCAGTGGGGAGAGCTGGGAGCTAGAAAAAAATAGGAAGTGAAAGAGGGAAGTCTCTCACCCCATCCCTCCTCTCAGTTACCATGAGGATGGGCAGTTTCTTCCCTTTCCATTCTTCACTTTCCTCTTCTTTTTTTTTTTTTTTTCTTTTTTAATTATTATTATTATTATACTTTAAGTTTTAGGGTACATGTGCACATTGTGCAGGTTAGTTACATATGTATACATGTGCCATGCTGGTGCGCTGCACCCACTAACGTGTCATCTAGCATTAGATATATCTCCCAATGCTATCCCTCCCCACTCCCCCGACCCCACCACAGTCCCCAGAGTGTGATATTCCCCTTCCTGTGTCCATGTGATCTCATTGTTCAATTCCCACCTATGAGTGAGAATATGTGGTGTTTGGTTTTTTGTTCTTGCGATAGTTTACTGAGAATGATGGTTTCCAATTTCATCCATGTCCCTACAAAGGACATGAACTCATCATTTTTTATGGCTGCATAGTATTCCATGGTGTATATGTGCCACATTTTCTTAATCCAGTCTATCATTGTTGGACATTTGGGTTGGTTCCAAGTCTTTGCTATTGTGAATAATGCCGCAATAAACATACGTGTGCATGTGTCTTTATAGCAGCATGATTTATAGTCATTTGGGTATATACCCAGTAATGGGATGGCTGGGTCAAATGGTATTTCTAGTTCTAGATCCCTGAGGAATCGCCACACTGACTTCCACAATGGTTGAACTAGTTTACAGTCCCACCAACAGTGTAAAAGTGTTCCTATTTCTCCACATCCTCTCCAGCACCTGTTGTTTCCTGACTTTTTAATGATCGCCATTCTAACTGGTGTGAGATGATATCTCATAGTGGTTTTGATTTGCATTTCTCTGATGGCCAGTGATGATGAGCATTTTTTCATGTATTTTTTGGCTGCATAAATGTCTTCTTTTGAGAAGTGTCTGTTCATGTCCTTCGCCCACTTTTTGATGGGGTTGTTTGTTTTTTTCTTGTAAATTTGTTTGAGTTCATTGTAGATTCTGGATATTAGCCCTTTGTCAGATGAGTAGGTTGCGAAAATTTTCTCCCATGTTGTAGGTTGCCTGTTCACTCTGATGGTAGTTTCTTTTGCGGTGCAGAAGCTCTTTAGTTTAATTAGATCCCATTTGTCAATTTTGGCTTTTGTTGCCATTGCTTTTGGTGTTTTGGACATGAAGTCCTTGCCCACGCCTATGTCCTGAATGGTAATGCCTAGGTTTTCTTCTAGGGTTTTTATGGTTTTAGGTCTAACGTTTAAATCTTTAATCCATCTTGAATTGATTTTTGTATAAGGTGTAAGGAAGGGATCCAGTTTCAGCTTTCTACATATGGCTAGCCAGTTTTCCCAGCACCATTTATTAAATAGGGAATCCTTTCCCCATTGCTTGTTTTTCTCAGGTTTGTCAAAGATCAGATAGTTGTGGATATGCGGCATTATTTCTGAGGGTTCTGTTCTGTTCCATTGATCTATATCTCTGTTTTGGTACCAGTACCATGCTGTTTTGGTTACTGTAGCCTTGTAGTATAGTTTGAAGTCAGGTAGTGTGATGCCTCCAGCTTTGTTCTTTTGGCTTAGGATTGACTTGGCGATGCGGGCTCTTTTTTGGTTCCATATGAACTTTAAAGTAGTTTTTTCCAATTCTGTGAAGAAAGTCATTGGTAGCTTGATGGGGATGGCATTGAATCTGTAAATTACCTTGGGCAGTATGGCCATTTTCACGATATTGATTCTTCCTACCCATGAGCATGGAATGTTCTTCCATTTGTTTGTGTCCTCTTTTATTTCCTTGAGCAGTGGTTTGTAGTTCTCCTTGAAGAGGTCCTTCACATCCCTTGTAAGTTGGATTCCTAGGTATTTTATTCTCTTTGAAGCAATTGTGAATGGGAGTTCACTCATGATTTGGCTCTCTGTTTGTCTGTTGTTGGTGTATAAGAATGCTTGTGATTTTTGTACATTGATTTTGTATCCTGAGACTTTGCTGAAGTTGCTTATCAGCTTAAGGAGATTTTGGGCTGAGACGATGGGGTTTTCTAGATAAACAATCATGTCGTCTGCAAACAGGGACAATTTGACTTCCTCTTTTCCTAATTGATTCCTCTTCTTAAACATAAAGAGATTTCTGGGTGGGGTGGCTCATGCCTGTAATCCCAGCACATTGGGAGGCCGAGGCGGGCAGATCACGAGGTCAGGAGGTCGAGACCATCTTGGCTAACACGGTGAAACCCCGTCTCTACTAAAAATACAAAAAATTAGCCGGGCGCAGTGGCGGGCGCCTGTAATCCCAGCTACTCGGGAGGCTGAGGCAGGAGAATGGCATAACCCGGGAGGCGGAGTTTGCAGTGAGCCAAGATAGCGCCACTACAGTCCGGCCTGGGCAAAAGAGCAAGACTCCGTCTCTAAAAAAAAAAAAAAAAAAAGAAAGGAAAAGAAAAAAAAACATAAAGAGATTTCCCTTCTTCCTACAGCTCTGGATGGACAAGGAAAAAGAGGAAAGCATGAAAGAAACCCTGCGGATAAGAAGGTAAACTGTCATGAGGGCAAGGGCACTAAGAGACATGAAGATGGGAAGGTCTGGTCCCTAGCAGCCCACAGCCCGCTGTCTCAGTCCCACAGATAACACAGGCAGGCTCTCTTCTGCCTCACAGACCACGAATTCATAAACACTATCACTACAGTGACCTGAGCAAGAAGTCAGCTTCCCTTTCCAAAGGTAAACACAGAGACATCGGGGTTTCAGCAGTGCAGAGGTCTCGGAGAAGCCCTGAGTCCTCTCTCCACCTGGGGGATTGCCTCCACCTCTGAGCATCCATGGAGACCAGGGACCATAACCAAAACCATGCTTTGTTAGTCCCCTTGAATAATGACACATGTTTACAAAACTCAGGTTGATGATCTACAATCCAAATGAAAAGAATGAAGAGTTTTACTAAGCCCCAAACTCCCCTTGCCTAAGGAGTTACTTTCTTCCCCAGTGAGCTGGGTGAACTGTTCAAGCACCTTTGTCGGGCTCCCTTTCCTCTAAGTTCCCTGCCTCTCTCTACCTTCTGGCTTCAAGGACAAATGCCAGTAATGCCTAACTCTGTACTCGTCCAGACATCCCAAATCTTCCCAAAGCCATTCTGATGTGAGACATGAGCTGCAGGCCTGGTTCATAACTCATTAATAAGTGAGGGGATTGTCAACCTAGAGCACCAATGAATGATCTAGCCCATGTAGCTCAATACTGGATTCACATTAGAATCACCTGGGGAGCTTTTTAAACTGCAGGTGCTCAGGCCCCACCCACTCCCAGAGATTCTTTTTAATTGGTCCAAGGTAGGACTTGACCATCTGGGCTTTTGTTTTTCTTTGTCTTTTCTTTTCTTTTCTTTTTTGGTTTAAGCCTCTCAAATGATTGCAAGATACAAGTAGAATGGAGAAGCATTAATTCAGCCCTTCTAGGTTTGAGTTACTCACTCTGCCCACCTCTAGAGCATTCTATGGCAGGGAGATTAAAGTGTCTCCTAACTATGCAGTCACTGATAAAATAAGAATTAGCACATTCTCACTAAATGAACATGACTTTAAGGCACAAGTATAGATTCCTGAAAAAGTTCTAAGCTGAACCTGTACAAATGGAATCATTTTAAACACACCATTTACTGTCACACAGACTCCCTGATACTTTAGTGTGTGCACATGTGAAACCATTTTTTTGAAGTATGAAATAATTAATTGCTCACCATTTTATCTATATAACTTTGGATTTTGGTGTCCTGAGCTCTCTAAAAACCGGTGTGTTTCTATAGTATTTGAATATTATGGGTAATAGTTTTGCAGAGTACAGTATGCTTATACTAAATTATAACAGCATATCCTCGTGGTAACCCTATTTGATAGGCAGAAAGCTTGTACACTGATCCTGAAAAGTCATCTGATAATTCTTGATTAAGCAAATTTAACTCCCCGTGTCCCAGGTGAGGGAGGCAGACCCGTTTGATTTTTACCTCCTTCCTTGCTTCCCTTATTCCCCAGGTTAGGCGAGCCAGAGGATTGTGCTGGCATCGTGTCTTTCCTGTGCTCTGAAGATGCCAGCTACATCACTGGGGAAACAGTGGTGGTGGGTGGAGGAACCCCGTCCCGCCTCTGAGGACCGGGAGACAGCCCACAGGCCAGAGTTGGGCTCTAGCTCCTGGTGCTGTTCCTGCATTCACCCACTGGCCTTTCCCACCTCTGCTCACCTTACTGTTCACCTCATCAAATCAGTTCTGCCCTGTGAAAAGATCCAGCCTTCCCTGCCGTCAAGGTGGCGTCTTACTCGGGATTCCTGCTGTTGTTGTGGCCTTGGGTAAAGGCCTCCCCTGAGAACACAGGACAGGCCTGCTGACAAGGCTGAGTCTACCTTGGCAAAGACCAAGATATTTTTTCCTGGGCCACTGGGGAATCTGAGGGGTGATGGGAGAGAAGGAACCTGGAGTGGAAGGAGCAGAGTTGCAAATTAACAACTTGCAAATGAGGTGCAAATAAAATGCAGATGATTGCGCGGCTTTGAATCCAATTGACCTGTTCATTTCTCAGTGTTGGGTGCTTAGCTGAGCAGAGAGCAGAAGTCTATTCAGGCTGGATCTCTGGATCCCCCAGCCCTCCTCCCTGTCTCCAGAACTTGAGCGTGATGTTCACGGGTGGAGGTGTCTGCAGAGCTGCCAGCTGGAAGGAAGGTGGCACGGGAACTCCCAGGACGCCACGGGAATCCCCGAGGCAGCGCGAGCCCGGAGAGAGTGGGGAAGGATGAACTCTCTAACACCTCCCCGCCCCTTGCCTCCCAGATCAGGCCAGGTCCTCTCCCCGCATGGCCCTACGTCCCGAGTTCCCTCCCGAGTCAGCAAGTACAAGCTGGATGGGTCCTGAGCCGGTGGGGAATAGAGAAAGGCCCTGCAAGGTACCCAGGCCCACAAACAAAAGAAATGGGTTCTGCCCACGGGCCCGAGGATTCAGTAGAAGGAAAGTGGGGACGCTGTCCCCCGCCCCAAAGGCACTGACACTGGGCGACACACGCTGAGCCTCTCACACCGACGGGCCTCTCACGCCGGAGCCGGCAAGAAAGGTCGGCGCCAGCCCGCGGGCTCTCAGGAGGCTCGGCAGCGCGACGCGCATGCTCAGTCGGGCAGCTCTCCGGGCCGGCGTGGGAGCCCGCGCTCCAAAGCCCGGTGGGGGGAGGGGCGCTCACGCAACCGCCACTGTCTGGAGCGGGCTCGCCTCTGCGGCGGCACTCACCGCCCGGGCTTTACTGAAGCGGAGTCTAGCATGTGCGGCTGCTCCACAGCGGTGTGGGTGGCGGCGGCTCCTCTGCAGCAGCCTCGGCAGTAGGGGTCACGGTGGCCAAGCCCACCGTGGAGCTCATCTGAGAGTTGTAAGGTACGGGACTGCCTCGGTCTTTGGGACGCCCCGTCTGGTAGCATCCCAGATCCAGCACGTTCCTTCCGGCCCTGCACCCCGGCCCGGTGCCTCACACCCCGCTACCCCATGCATCCAGACTCTAAGGCAGCCCCTGCATCTCAGTCCTGACATCGCTGTCCCTGGAGCATCCTCCGCTGGAGCTGGAGCTTGACAGGTAGGGTGGAGAGGGCCGTGGGGGGGGTGCGGAAACTGCATCAATTAACGGGGCCGTGGGGGAGGGAAGTCCTCCATTGCTAAGGCTTCAGTAGGCGTTCTATGATCACAGTGTAAACAAAGCTGCAGGGAAGCTCTAACTGGGCGGAACCCACCGCAGCTCAGCAAGGCCTACTGCCTCTCCAGATTCCACCTCAGGGGCCAGGGCATATCTGAGCAAAAGGCAGCAGACAGCTTCTGCAGACTTCAGTGTCCTTGCCTGACATCTCTAAAGACAGCAGTGGTTCTCCCAGCACGGAGTTCGTGCTCCGATAACGGACAGACTGCCTCCCCAAGTGGGTCCCTGACCCCCATGTAGCTTGACTGAAAAACACCGCCCAGTAGGGGCAGAGAGACACCTCATACAGGTGGGTGCCCCTGTGGAACAAAGCTTCCAGAAGAAGGATCAGGCAGCAATATTTGCTGTTCTGCAGCCTCCTCTACTGATACCCAAGAAAATAAGGTCTGGAATGGACTTCCAGCAAACCCCCAAAGACCTGCAGCTGAGGGGCCTGTTAGAAGGAAAACTAACAAACAGAAAGGAATAGCATCAACATCAGCAAAGGACAGCATCAACATCAGAACAGGAAAGGACATCCACACTAAAACCCCATCCATAGGTCACCAACATCAAAGACCAAAGGTAGATAAAACCACAAAGATGGAGAGAAACCAGAGCAAAAAGGCTGAAACTTCCAGAAATCAGAACGTCTCTTCTCTTCCAAAGGAATACAAGTCCTCACCAGCAAGGGAACAAAACTGGATGGAGAATAAGTTTGATGACTTGACAGACGTAAGCTTCAGAAGGTCAGTAATAACAAACTACACCCAGCTAAAGGAGCATGTTCTAACCCATTGCAAGGAAGCTAAAAACCTTGACAAAATGTTAAACGAATGGCTAACTAGAATGAAGAATCTAGAGAAGAGCTTAAATGACCTGATGGAGCTGATAACCACAGTACAAGAACTTCATGAAGGATACACAAGCTTCAATAGCTGATTCAATCAAGTGGAAGAAAGGATATCAGTGATTGAATATAAAATTAATGAAATAAAGTGAGAACACAAGATTAGAGACAAGAAAAGAAAAAAGAAACATTCAAATTCAGGAAATACAGAGAACATCACAAAGACACTCCTTGAGAAGAGCAACCCCAAGACACATAATTGTCAGATTCAGCAAGGTTAAGGGCAGCCAGAGAGAAAGGTTGGGTTACCAACAAAGGGAAGCCCATCAGACTAACAGCAGATCTCTCAGCAGAAACCATACAAACCAGAAGAGAGTCGGGACCAATATTCAACATTCTGAAAGAAAAGATTTTTGGAACTAGAATTTCATATCCAGCCAAACTAAGCTTCGTAAGTGAAGGAGAAATAAAATCCTTTACAGACAAGCAGATGCTGAGAGAGTTTGTCACCACCAGGCCTGCCTTACAATAAGAGCTCCTGAAGGAAGCACTAAACATGGAAAGGAACAACCAGTACCAGCCACTGCAAAAACATACGAAATTGTAAAGACCATTGATGCTATGAAGAAACTGCATCAATTAATGGGCAAAATAACCAGCTAACGTCATGACAGGATCAAATTCACATATAACAATACTAACCTTCAATGTAAATGGGATAAATGCCCCAATTAAAAGACACTGACTGGCAAATTGGATAAAGAATCAAGACCCATATGGTGTGCTGTATTCAGGAGACCCAATCTCACGTGCAAAGACACACATAGGCTCAAAATGAAGGTGTGTCTGGAATTGGTGGGTTCTTGGTCTCACTGACTTCAAGAATGAAGCCACGGACCCTCGCAGTGAGTGTTACAGTCCTTAAAGGCAGCGTGTCCGGAGTTTGTTCCTTCTGATGTTCAGACACGTTCAGAGTTTTTTCCTTCTGGTGGGTTCGTGGTCTCGCTGGCTTCAGGAGTGAAGCTGCGGACCTTCACAGTGAGTGTTACAGCTCTTAAGGCGGCATGTCTGGAGTTGTTCGTTCCTCCCATCCGGAGTTGTTCATTCCTCCCACTGGGTTCGTGGCCTCACTGGCCTCAGGAGTGAAGCTGCAGACCTTCACGATGAGTGTTACAGCTCATAAAGGCCGTGTGGACCCAAAGAGTGAGGGGCAGCAAGATTTATTGCAAAGAGCGAAAGAACAAAGCTTCCACAGTGTGGAAGGGGACCCAAGCAGGTTGCTACTGTTTGAAGGGGTGGCTTGCCCCTCCACACCTGTGGGTATTTCTAGTCAGGTGGGACGAGAGACTGAGAAAGAGAAATAAGACACAGAGACAAAGTATAGAGAAACAACAGTGAGCCCAGGGGACCGGCGCTCAGCATACCAAGGACTTGCACCGGCACCGGTCTCTGAGTTCCCTCAGTTTTTATTGATTATTATCGTCATTATTTCAGTAAAAAGGAATGTAGTAGGAGGGCAGGGTGATAATAAGGAGAAGGTCAGCAACAAACGTGAGCAATAGAATCTAATAATTCAGTTCAAGGGAAGGTACTATGACTGGACATGCACGTAAGCCAGATTTATGTTTCTCTCCACCCAAACATCTCGGTGGAGTAAAGAATAACGAGGCAGCATTGCTGCAAACATGTCTCGCCTCCCACCATAGGGCGGTTTTTCTCTCATCTCAGAACTGAACAAATGTACAATCGGGATTTATACCGAGACTTTTAGTTCCCAGGAGCAGGCAGGAGACAGTGGCCTTCCTCTATCTCAACTGCAAGAGGCCTTCCTTTTTTACTAACCCACCGCAGCACAGACCCTTTATGGGTGTCGGGCTGGGGGACAGTCAGGTCTTTCTCATCCCAGGAGGCCATATTTCAGACTATCACATGGGGAGAAACCTTGGACAATACCCTGCTTTCAAGGGCAGAGGTCCCTGCGGCTTTCTGCAGTGCACTGTGCCCCTGGTTTATTGAGACTAGAGAATGGCGATGACTTTTACCAAGTATACTGCTTGTAAACATTTTGTTAACAAGGCACGTCCTACACAGTCCTAGATCCCTTAAACCTTGATTTCATACAACACATGTTCTTGTGAGCTCCAGGTTGGGTCAAAGTGGTTGGGTCAAAGTGGCTGGGGCAAAGCTAAAAATTAACAACATCTCAGAAAAGCAATTATTTAAAGTACAGGTCTTTTTCAAAATGTAGTCTCTTATGTCTTCCCTTTCTACATAGACACGGTAACAGTCTGATCTCTCTTTCTTTTCCCTACATATCCCCCTTTTCTTTTTGACAAAACTGTCATTGTCACCATGGCCTGTTTTTGCTGGTCACTGTCTTTCTGGAACTGCTGGATACACCTGTAGACTAACAATAGAGAGGGCAGACATACAAGGATTAATACAAAATTTGCAATAGTGGAATTTCCAATGGTTTTAACCCAAGTGATGGGGGCAAGAGGACAGTGTGGGTGCTCCGGCACCCAGGCAGTCTCCCTTCTCCTTTGTCTCTTAGTTGTTGTTTCTCATAGTTTTCAATCTTTCTCCTCACCTGCTCACTCGCACTTTTTGTTTCATTGTCTCCCTTCTCTTATGGTCTCTCTCTCTTTTTCTCTTTTTCTTCCTTTTACACTATTTCTTTTCCCAGTCTCACTTTCTGTGTCTCTCTCTGATCTCTGTCTTTCTCTTTTACATTATTTTTTTCCCCAGTCTCACCTTCTGTGTCTTTCTCTGATCTCTGTCTTTTCCAGTCTCTCTCTTACTCATTTTCTCCCTCTCTTTCTCTCTCTCTCTCTCTCTCTCTGTCTGTCATCCCGTGTCCTCTCTCCTTCACACTCAGTCTCTTTTTCTTTTTCTTTTTCTCCCTGGCTCTCCACATCTGCCGTTTTCTCTCCTTTCTCTTTCTGATTTCTCTTCTCACTTTCTCTCTTCCTTTCTTTCCCAGTTTCTCTTTTTTCTCTGTTGGTCTTTCCCAAATAATGAAAAGGAGTGGAGGTCTGAATGTTATCAGATGCTATTGTCAGGCCTGCGTTTGCAACCTCTGTCTGCAGAAATGTGTAACAGTCAATTAATTTGTCTCTCGTTTCTGCAGCACTCAAAATATCATCAACATAATGAATAATATAACAGTCTGAAAACTTGTCTCTAACTGGTTGAAGAACTTGAGCTACAAAAGTCTGACAAATAGTTGGACTATTAAGCATTCCCTGAGGCAACACTTTCCGCTGAAATCTGGTGGCTGGTTTTTTATTATTTATGGCTGGTATAGTAAAAGCAAATTTTTTTAAATCCTATTTTGCCAGAGGAATGGTAAAAACGCAATCCTTTAGCTCAATTATAATTAAAGGCCAATCTTTGGGGATCATGGCCGGAGAAAGCAGCCCAAGTTGGAGAGTCCCCATGGGTTGAATTACTGCATTGATGGCTCTCAAATCAGTTAGGATGCACCATCTGCCTGATTTTTTCTGAATTACAAACGCAGGAGAATGCCAAGGTGAAAATGAAGGCTCAATGTTTCCCTTTTCTAATTGTTCCTTTGCCACTAAGTGTAAGGCCTCCAGTTTTTGCTTTGGTAGTGGCCACTGATTTACCCATACAGGCTTTTCTGTTTTCCCAGTTAATGGAATGGGTTTTGGAGGCTCTACAGTGGCCACTCCTAAAAAGGATACCCTATTTCTTTTTTTTTTTTTTTTTTGGATTTTTTTAGCCTCAATTGGGACTTTAATGCCTTCTCCATTTTTCCCTAGTCCTTTACCAGAGAGATATCCCATTTTAGTCATGATTTTTTGACTCGTGGGGCTGTATAGGGAGACTGGAATAGTAATCTCTGCATGCCACTGTTCTAACAAGTCTCGGCCCCATAAGTTAATTGGAATAGAAATAATCATAGGCTGAACTGTACTCTCTTGATTATTAGGGCCTAGACAATGTAAAATCATGGCACTTTGATACACTTCTGAGGCGGTGCCCACACCAACAAATCCTGTAACAGGCTTTTGTTTAGGACAATTTTTTGGCCATTGATTTAAGACAATAATAGAAACATCAGCCCCAGTAGCCACTAATCCTTCAAACTGCTTTCCCTGAATAGTGACTGTACACACAGGTCTATTCTCTGAGAGCTGACTAGCCCAATAAACAACTTTTCCAGCAGGGTTGGTACTTCCAAACCCTCCTGTTCTTTCTGTTTTGCTATTCCCAATTTTAATATAAGGCAAAAGCAATAATTGAGCAATTCTATCACCTGGATTGGCACTCCAGGGAACAGCAGAGCTGATCACTAACTGAATTTCCCCTTTATAATCTGAATCAATTACCCCAGTATGAATTTGGACTCCCTTTAAATTTAGACTTGATCTTCCTAAAATAAGGCCTACCATCCCTTCTGGCAGCAGGCCATACACCCCAGTAGGAATCTTTTGAGGGAGCACTCCAGGGAGTGAAGAAACCATTTGAGTAGAACATAAATCTACTGCTGCGCTGCCTGCTGTGGTGGGGGATAACTGTTGTATTGTTGTAATTGGCTGATTCCCTGGAATGGTGGTATTTACTGTGGGGGTTGTTGTCCCTGAAAACCCTGAGGAACAAATGGCTGAATCAAGAATGCCCCACTTTGTTGCGGGGCCTGGGGCTGGTCCCTCTTCTCGTTTCCTGACAATGGTTGCCCATTTTTATCAAATTTAGAACAACATTCCTTAGCCCAGTGTTTTCCTCTTTCACATTTTGGACACAGGCCAGGTGGCTGTTTATTTTTGTTCTGTTTATTTAAGACTGGGCAATTCTTTTTTAGATGACCGATTTGACCACAATTATAACATTTTCCCCCAAATGTTTTAACTTGTCCTCCTAAAGCAACCCCCGTAATTGCTTGAGCCAGTAGCATTGCCTTATGCATAGTTCCTCCAATCCCATCACAAGCCTTCACATATTCTGTAATTACATCAACTCCTGCTGAAACCTTTCCTCTTAATGGCTTTATGGCCAATTGACATCCTGGATTTGCATTTTGATAACCCATTATTTCTACAACAACTTTTTGGGCGTTATCATCTGCAATCGATTTTTGAGCTGCATCTTGCAACCTTGCCACAAAGTCTGGATATGGCTCTTTAGAGCCTTGTCTGATTGAACTAAAAGAAGGGCAGGAGGTTCCTGGGTCCTGAATCTTTTCCCAGACCCTGAGGCAAATAGCCCTTAATTGTTCAATAGCCTCATTCTGCATTACTGATTGTTGGTTAATAGTGCTCCAATTTGGACCTGTTTCTGGCAATTGGTCTGCATCTATATTAACAACAGGATTAGTAGCCTGATTTTTCCATACCTGTTCTTGTACTCCGTCAATCCACCAGGTTTTAAATTGTAGATACTGAGAGGGTGAAAGAGAAGATTTAGCCAAAATTTCCCAATCATAAGGAATAAGTCTATTCCCATTAGCAATGGAATCTAATAATGTTCTCATATAAGGAGAGTTGGGTCCATATTGTTTAACTGCCTCCTTCATATCTTTTAACATTTTCATGGTGAAAGATTCATATCTAGCCTCAGTTTGGACAGACGCTCCTGCTTGACTCCGTTTTCCAGCCGGTATTGGTTGTAAAATTACCAGGAACTGCCCTGCCTCAAGATCTCCCTGTTTTCTGGCTTTATCAATGATTTTTTGCAGTGCACTATCTTGTCCACTAGGTGGTAGTGTAGGATCAAACACCATCGCCATGGGTTGTTGCTATACTGCCCTGCTATTTGGCACAGGACACAACACCTGGGATCTATACTGAACCACTGGAGACGGCCGATACTGAAATTCGGCTGATGGCTGGTGTTCATAAACTACTGATGGTTGGGTTTTATTTTCTACCGGCTGATATTGTGGATACTGTGTCTGGATTGGCATTTGAGGTTGTAATGTCACAGGCATCTGAACCGTGGGAGAAGGAGTTGTTGGCCATCGTGGTCTAAACTCTGATGGACCAAATAATTCTGGACCTCCTTCCTCCAATTTTGATGATTTAGGATATATTACCTCCTGTAATTGATTATAGTCAACATTTTGTGTTGACCGAACCATTGCAGACTCTACTACATTTTTACAATGTGAACTTTCTGTTCCATTCTTGAACTGTCTTCCTACCTCTTCTTCACAAACTATTACACAGCTTTCAGGGGCATCAGAAACTGAAATGCTATCTTCTTCTATTTGAAATAGTTCTCAAGTTGCTTTAATAATAGCCCAATCATTCCATGCTGTAAGTGGGATGATTTTACCTTCCCTACTTGCTTGTTTTAATTCTTTGCTAATTTTTCCCCAGTCTTTTAAATCTAAAGTTCCCTGTTCTGGAAACCATGGGCAGAATTGTTCTATTGTTTGAAATAGCATAATTAGATTCTCTGTAGAAGCTTAAACTCCCTGTCTTAAGAGAATTTTAATGAAGCTGAGATAAGAGGCATATTTACTTCCAGTTTGCCCCATTGTTACCCTGGATTCCTCCAAGTGCACAAGCTTACCGCAAGGCTGACCGTGGATGTACTCGGGAATCTCTTGTTGGCTGTCCTCAATACTCACTTAGCGTACTTTCACCCTAGAGAAAGGCCCCATGTTGGATGCCAGATGAAGGGGTGGCCTGCCCCTCCACACCTGTGGGTATTTCTAGTCAGGTGGGATGAGAGACTGAGAAAGAGAAATAAGACACAGAGACAAAGTATAGAGAAACAACAGTGGGCCGAGGGGACCGGCGCTCAGCATACCAAGGACCTGCACCAGCACCGGTCTCTGAGTTCCCTCAGTTTTTATTGATTATTATTGTCATCATTTCAGTAAAAAGGAATGTAGTAGGAGGGCAGGGTGATTATAAGGAGAAGGTCAGCAACAATCATGTGAGGAATAGAATCTACGTCATAATTAAGTTCAAGGGAAGGTACTATGACTGGACGTGCATGTAAGCCAGATTTATGTTTCTCTCCACCCAAACATCTCAGTGGAGTAAAGAATAACAAGGCAGCATTGCTGCAAACATGTCTCGCCTCCCACCATAGGGCGGTTTTTCTCTCATCTCAGAACTGAACAAATGTACAATCGGGATTTATACTGAGACATTTAGTTCCCAGGGACAGGCAGGAGACAGTGGCCTTCCTCTATCTCAACTGCAAGATGCTTTCCTCTTTTACTAATCCACCTCAGCACAGACCCTTTATGGGTGTCAGGCTGGGGGACGGTCAGGTCTTTCTCATCCCATGAGGCCATATTTCAGACTATCACATGGGGAGAAACCTTGGACAATACCCCGCTTTCAAGGGCAGAGGTCCCTGTAGCTTTCCACAGTACACTGTGCCACTGAGCCCACACCCACCCAGAACTAGCGCTGGCCTGCAAGCACTGTGCACAGCCCCAGTTCCTGCCCATGCTTCTCCCTCCACACCTCCCTGCAAGCTGAGGGAGCCAGCTCTGGTCTTGGCCAGCCCAGAAAGGGGCTCCCACAGTGCAGCATGGGCTGAAGGGCTCCTCAAGCATGGCCAGAGTGGGTGCCAAGGCCAAGGAGGCGCCGAGAGCGAGCGAGGGCTGCCAGCACGCTGCCACCTCTCAAAGGGATGGAGGAAGATCTACCAAACAAATGGAAAGCAAAGAAAAGCAGGGATTGCAATCCTGGTCTCTGATAAAACAGACATTAAACCAACAAAGATAAAAGGAGACAAAGAAGGCCATCACATAATGGTAAAGGAATCAGTTCAACAGGAAGAGCTAACTATCCTAAATATATATGCACCCAATACAGGAGAACCCAGATTCATAAAGCAAGTTCTTAGAGACCTACAAAGAGGCTTAGACTCCCATACAATAGTAATGGGAGACAGTAACACCCCACTGTTAATATTAGACAGAAAACATGACAAAATTAATAAGGATGTCCAGGACTTGAACTCAGCTCTAGACCAAGTAGGCCTAATACACATCTACAGAACTCTCCACCCCAAGTCAACACAATATACATTCTTCTCAGCACCACATCACACTTATTCTAAAATTGACCACATAATTGGAAGTAAAACACTCCTCAGCAAATGCCAAAGAACAGCAATCACAACAAACTGTCTCCCAGACCACAGTGCAATCAAATTAGAACTCAGGACTGAGAAACTCACTCAAAACTGCACAACTACATGGAAACTGAACAACCTGCTCCTGAATGACTACTGGGTAAATAACAAAATGAAGGCAGAAATAAACATGGTCATTGAAACCAATGAGAACAAAGACACAGTGTACCAGAATTTCTGGGACACATTTAAAACAGTGTGTAAATGGATATTTACAGCACTGAATACCCACAAGAGAAAGGAGGAAAGATCTAAAATCAACACCCTAACCTCAAAATTAAAAGAACTAGAGAAGCAAGAGCAAACAAATTCAAAAGCTAGCAGAAGACAGCAAATAACGATGATCAGAGCAGAACTGAAGGAAATAGAGGCATTAAAAAAAAAACCTTCAAAGGATCAATGAATCCAGGAGCTGGATTTTTGAAAAGATCAACAAAATGGACTGCTAGCAAGACTAATAAGGAAGAAAAGAGAGAAGAGTCAAATAGACACAATAAAAAATGATAAAGGTGATATCACCAGTGATCCCGCAGAAATACACACTACCATCAGAGAATACTATAAACACCTCTATGCAAATAAACTAGAAAACCTAGAAGAATTGGATAAATTATTGGACACATATACCTTCCCCAGACTAAATCAGGAAGAAGCTGAATTGCTGAATAGACCAATAACAGCTTCTGAAATTGAGGCAATAATTAATAGCCTACTAAACCAAAAAAAGTCCAGGACCAGATGGATTCATAGCCGAATTCTACCAGAGGTACAAAGAGGAGTTGGTACCATTCCTTCTGAAACTATACCGATCAATAGAAAAAGAAAGAATCCTCCCTAACTCATTTTATAATGCCAGAATCATCCGGATATCAAAGCTTGGCAGAGACACAACAAAACAAAGAAAATTTTAGGCCAGTATCCCTGATGAACATCAATGCAAAAATGCTCAATAAAATACTGGCAAACCGAATCCAGCGGCACATCAAAAAGCTTATCCACCACGATCAAGGTGGCTTCATCCCTGGGATGCAAACCTGGTTCAGCATAAGCAAATCAACAAACATAATCCATCACACAAACAGAACCGACAAACACCACATGATTATCTCAATAGATGCAGAAAGGCCTTCGAACAAAATTAAACACCCCTTCATGCTAAAAACTCTCCATAAACTTGGTATTCATGGAATGTAACTCAAAATAATAAGAGCTATTTATGACAAACCCATAGCCAATATCATACTGAATGTGCAAAAACTGGAAGCATTCCCTTTGAAAACTGGTACAAGACAAGGATGCCCTATCTCACCACTCCTATTCAACATAGTATTGGAAGTTCTGGCCAAGGCAATCAGGCAAGAGGAAGAAATAAAGGGTATTCAATTAGGAAAAGAGGAAGTCAAATTGTCTCTGTTTGCAGATGATTTCACCGTATATTTAGAAACCCCATGATCTCAGCCCAAAATCTCCTTAAGCTGATAAGCAACTTCAGCAAAGTCTCAGGATACAAAATCAATGTGCAAAAATCACAAGCATTCCTGTATGCCAATAATAGACAGAGAGCCAAATCATGAGTGAAGTCCCATTCACAATTGCTACAAAGAGAATAAAATACCTAGAAATCCAACTTACAAGGGATGTGAAGGACCTCTTCAAGGAAAACTACAAACCACTGCTCAAGGAAATAAGTGAGGACACAAACAAATGGAAGAGTATTCCATGCTCATGGATAGGAAGACTCAATATCATGAAAATGGCCATATTGCCCAAAGTAAATTATAGACTCAATGCTATCCCCATCAAGCTACCACTGACTTTCCTCACAGAATTGGAAAAAACTACTTTAAATTTCATATGGAACCAAAAAAGAGCTGGTATAGCCAAGACAATCATAAGCAAAAAGAACAAAGCTGGAGGCATCACACTACCTGACTTCAAACTATACTGCAAGGCTACAGTAACCAAAACAGCATGGTACTGGTACCAAAACAGATATCTAGACCAATGGAACAGAACAGAGGCCTCAGAAATAACACCACACATCTTCAACCATCTGATCTTTGACAAATCTGACAGAAACAAGCAATGGGGAAAGGATTCCCTATTTAATAAATGGTGCTGGGAAAACTAGCTAGCCATATGTAGAAAGCTGAAACTGCATGCGTTCCTTACACCTTATACTAAAATTAACTCAAGATGGATTAAAGCCTTAAATGTAAGACCTAAAACCATAAAAACCCTAGAAGAAAACCTAGACAGTACCATTCAGGACATAGGCATGGGCAAAGACTTCATGATAAAAACACCAAAAGTAATGGCAACAAAAGCCAAAATAGACTAATGGGATCTACCTAAACTAAAGAGCTTCTGCACAGCAAAAGAAACTATCATCAGAGTGAGAAGGCAACTTACAGAATAGGAGAAAATTCTTGCAATCTATCCATCTGACAAAGGGCTAATATCCAGAATACAAAGAACTTAAACAAATTACAAGAAAAAAAAAAACAAATAACCCCATCAAAAAGTGAGTAAAAAGTATGAACAGAAACTTCTCAAAAGAAGACATTTACACAGCCAACAGACATATGAATAAATGCTCATCATCACTGGTCATCAGAGAAATGCAAAGAAAAACCACAATGAGATACCATCTCATGACACTTGGAATGGCAACATTAAGAAGTCAGGAAATAACAGAAGCTGGAGAGGATGTGGAGAAATAGGAAGGCTTTTAGACTGTTGGTGGGAGTGTAAATTAGTTCAACCATTGTGGAAGACACTGTGGCCATTCCTCAAGGATCTAGAACCAGAAATACCAATTGATCCAGCAACCCCATTACTGGATATCTACCCAAAGGATCATAAATCATTCTACTATAAAGACACATATACACATATGTTTATTGCAGCACTGTTCACAATAGCAAAAACTTGGAACCAACCCAAATGCCCATCAATGATAGACTGGATAAAGAAAATGTGGCACATGTATACCATGGAATACTATGCAGCCATAAAAAAGGATGAGTTCATGTCCTTTGCAGGAACATGGATGAAGCTGGAAATCATCACTTTCAGCAAAATATCACAAGGACAGAAAACCAAACACCGCATGTTCTCACTCATAGGTGGAAGTGGAACAAGCAGACCACATGGAAACAGAGAGGGGATCATCATACACCAGGGTCTGTTAGAGGCTGGGGGGCTGGGGGAGGGATAGCATTAGGAGAAATACCTAATGTAAATGACGAGTTGATGGATCCAGCAAACCAACCTGATACACGTATACCTATGTAAAAAACCTGCACGTTGTGCACATGTGCCCTAGAACTTAAAGTATAATAATAAAAAATGAAATTCTAGATAGAGCAATATCTCACAAAATTAATAATTCATTCCATTTAAATAGGCTATATCAGTCAGCCTCTGGCACCTACAGATCCATTCACTGTTTTCTTTTCTGGGTTCTTTTTTAAGTAAATAATTGGCCAACATTTAAAATTTAAATATTTCCTATTACCATCCGGATTTCTAGCTTCTGTTTAAATATCCCAAGGGCTGGCAGTGCTGAGCCAGCATTCTCAATGACAAACATGAGTGGAACTGGGTGTGCCTCAGATCTGCAAGTTGCAGTTCTGCAAGTTGGCCACTGCGACCTAAAGTGTGGTACCATTTTACCACTGAGCTTAAGCCACCACCAAAGTTTAAGCCATTCTATATACTATGCATAAGGGAGTACAGCAGCAGGTAAATTCACTTTAGGGGGAAAAATTCATCAAAACTGCTTAAATCTGTGAAAATAAATAAAATTTAAAAGCTGTGGGAACCCCCAAAATCACTTTAAGCCTTGAGACGTGACTGTGATCTGAGTCGTATGTGGTTATAACTTCTGTTCTCAAATTATAGATTAACTAGCTTTCTTATTTTTCTTCTTCTGTACAATGACTAGAGAGAATTAAATGACATCATGGAAAAAAACCTCTGGCCTTCTTAATTAATGACCCTTATTGTATATTAATTTCCTATTGTTGTCCTGCTTTGCTTAGACCAGATGACAAAAACCCACAATTACTACACCCTCTAAAAAACATGTTAAATGTATCCTTCCCAAAAAGAAACACTGCGTTTAACCTATCAAATGGCTGTAACTATGTGCCAACCTTGTACGAATAATGTTATAATTTTGCTAAACACTCTTCTCTCTCTGCATATATAATTGAAACCATAACTTCTCTACTGCAGAATGCTGACTGCATTCCTTTGGATTTGATGTTTCCAGATGGTCCATCCTCACACTTTGCACTTCAATAAACACTCCTTAAATTCAATTCTCACCCTTTTATTATTTTAGGTTGACAAATCTTTTTTAAGGTAATTTGACCGTCATAGCCATCAATTTAAAACTTTGGCCCAGCGTACAAATGTATTTGTACCAAACACACAAAAATACATATTCATCCAATGTTGTTCACCATAGCATTGTTTGAAATAGCAAAACACTGGAAGCTACTTAAATATCCATCAGTAGGAGACTAGCTAAATAAATTATGGAATAGCCACACAATAGAATACTGTACAGCTATTTTATAAAAGAAGAGAGAGAATAAAGTAGGTCTATTATGTACCACTCATTAGCCAAGAATGTATTTTAAAAAATAAAAAGGGTGGCTGACAAGATGACCAAATAGGAACAGCTCCAGTCTGCAGCTCCCAGCGAGATCAACGCAGAAGGCAGGTGATTTCTGCATTTCCAACTGAGGTACCTGGCTCAACTCACTGGGACTGGTGAGACAGTGGGTGCAGCCCATGAAGAGCCAGCTGAATCAGGGTGGCCATCACCTCACTCAGGAAGCACAAGGGGTCAGAGGACCCCCTCCCCTAGCCAAGGGAAGCTGTGAAGGACTGCGCCATGAGGAATGGTTATGAAGCCAAACTAAGCTTCACAAGTGAAGGAGAAATAAAATCCTTTACAGACAAGCAAATGCTGAGAGATTTTGTCACCACCAGGCCTGATGTACAAGAGCTCCTGAAGGAAGCACTAAACATGGAAAGGATCAACCAGTACCAGCCACTGCAAAACCATACCAAATTGTCAAGACTATTGACACTATGAAGAAACTGCGTCAACTAATGGGCAAAATAATCAGCTAGCATCATAATGACAGGATCAAATTCACACATAACAATATTAACCTTAAATGTAAACAGGCTAAGTGCCCCAAGTAAAAGACACAGACTGGCAAATTGGATAAAGAGTCAAGACCCATCATTGTGCTGTATTCAAGAGACCCGTCTCATGTGCCAAGACACACATAGGCTCAAAATAAAGGGATGGAGGAATATTTACCAAGCAAATGCAAAGCAAAAAAAAGCAGGGGTTGCAATCCTGGTCTCCGATAAAACAGACTTTAAACCAACAAAGATCAAAAGAGACAAAGTAGGCCATCACATAATGGTAAAGGGATCAATTCAACAAGAAGAGCTAACTATCCTAAATATATATGTACCCAATACAGGAGCACCCAGATTCATAAAGCAAGTGCTTAGAGACCTACAAAGAGACTTAGACTCCCACACAATAGCAATGGGAGACGTTAACACCCCAACACCCCACTGTCAGTATTAGACAGATCAATGAGACAGAAAATTAACAAGGATATCCAGGACTTGAACTCAGCTCTAGACTAGGCAGACCTAATAGACATCTACAGAACTCTCCACCCCAAGTCAACAGAATATACATTCTTCTCAGCACCACATCGCACTTATTCTAAAATTGATCACATAATTGGAAGTAAAACCCTCCTCAGCAAATGCAAAAGAATGGAAATCATAACAAACAGTCTCTCGGGCTGCAGTGCAATCAGATTAGAACTCAGATTAAGAAACTCACTCAAAACCACACAACTACATGGAAACTGAACAACCTGCTCCTGAATGACTATTGGGTATATAATGAAATTATAGTAGAAATAAATAACTTCTTTGAAACCAGGGAGAACAAAGACACTATGTACCAGAATCCCTGGGACACAGCCAAAGCAGTGTTTAGAGTGAAATTTATAGCACTAAATGCCCACAGGAGAAAGCAGGAAAGATATAAAACCAACACCCTAACATCACAATTAAAAGAACTAGAAAAGCAAGAGCAAACATATTCAAAAGCCAGGAGAAGACAAGAAATAACTAAGATCAGAGCAGAACTGAAGGAGACAGAGACAGGAAAGAACCTTCAAAAAAACCAGTGAATCCAGGAGCTGGTTTTTTGATAAGATCAACAAAATAGATAGACTGCTAGCTAGACCAATAAAGAAGAAAAGAGAGAAGAATCAAATAGGTGCAATAAAAAATGATGGAGGGGATATCACCACTGATCCCACAGAAATACAAGCTACCATCAGAGAATACTATAAACTACTCTATGCAAATAAACTAGAAAATCTGGAAGAAATAGATAAATTCCTGGACGAATACACCCTCCCAAGACTAAATCAGGAAGAATTCAAATCCCTAAATAGACCAATAACAAGTTCTGAAATTGAAGCAGTAATGCATGGCCTATCAAACAAAAAAAAGCTCAGGACCAGACGGATTCACAGCTGAATTCTACCAGAGGTACAAAGAGGAGCTGGTACCATTCCTTCTGAAATTATTCCAAACACCAGAAAAACAGGAACTCCTCCCTAACTCATTTTATGAGGCCAGCATCATCCTGATACCAAAAGCTGGCAGAGACACAACAAAAGAAAGAAAATTTCAGGCCAGTATCCCTGATGAACATCATTGAGAAAATCCTCAATAAAATACTGGCAAACTGAATCCAGCAACACATCAAAAAGCTTATCCACCATGATCAAGTTAGCTTTATTCCTGGGATACAAGGCTGGTTCAACATAAGCAAATCAATAAACATAGTCCATCACATAAACAGAACCAATGAAAAAAACCACATGATTATCTCAATAGATGCAGAAAAGACCTTTGACAAAATTCAACAGCCTTTCATGCTAAAAACTCTCAATAAACTAGGTACTGATGGAACGTATCTCAAAATAGTAAGAGTTATTTATGACAGACCCACAGCCAATATCATACTGAATGGGCAAAAGCTGGATGCATTCCCTTTGAAAATCGGCTGGATGCATTCCCTTTGAAAATCGGCACAAGACAAGGATGCATTATCTCACCACTCCTATTCAACATAGTATTGGAAGTTTTCTAGCCAGGGCACTCAGGCAAGAGGAAAAAATAAAGGGTATTCAATTAGGAAAAGAGGAAGTCAAATTGTCTCTGTTTGCAGATGACATGATTGTGTATTTAGAAAATGCCATCATCTCAGCCCAAAGTCTCCTTAAGCTGATAAGCAACTTCAGCAAAGTCTCAGGATACAAAATCAATGTGCAAAAATCAGAAGCATTCCTATATGCCAATAATAGACAGAGAGCCAAATCATGAGTGAACTCCCATTTGCAACTGCTACAAAGAGAATAAAATACCTAGGAATCCAATTTGCAAGGGACATGAAGGACCTCTTCAAGGAGAACTACAAACCACTGCTCAAGGAAATAAGTGAGGACACAAACAAACAGAAAAACAGTCCATGCTCATGGATAGGAAGAATCAATATCATGAAAATGGCCATACTGCCCAAGGTAATTTACGGATTCAATGCTATCCCCATCAAGCTGCCAATTACTTTCTTCACAAAATTGGAAAAAAAGTACTTTAAATTTCATATGGAACCAAAAAAAGAGCCCATATAGCTGAAGGGGGCCAGCCCCTCCACACCTGTGGGTATTTCTTGTCAGGCAGGATGAGAGACTGAGGAAAGAAATAAGACACAAAGTATAGAGAAAGAAAAGTGGGCCCAGGGGACTGGCACTCAGCATACAGAGGACCCACACTGGCACCAGTCTCTGAGTTCCCTCAGCCTTTGTTAATTACTATTTTTACTATCTCAGCAAGAGGAATGCGGCAGAAGAGCAGGGTGATAGTGGGGAGAAGGTCAGCAAGAAAACGTGGCAAAGGAATCTGTGTCACAAATAAGTTCAAGGGAAGGTACTATGCCTGGATGTGCATGTAGGCCAGATTTATGCTTCTCTCCACCCAAACATCTCAGTGGAGTAAAGAATAACAAGGCAGCATTGCTGCCAACATGTCTCGCCTCCCGCCACAGGGCGGTTGTTCTCCTAACTCAGAATTGAACAAATGTACAATCGTGTTTTATACCAAGACACTCAGTTCCCAGGGGCAGGCAGGAGACAGTGGCCTTCCTCTATCTCAACTGCAAGAGGCCTCCCTCTTTTATTAATCCTCCTCAGCACAGACCCTTCATGGATGTTGGGCTGGGGGACGGTCAGGTCTTTCCCATCCCACGAGGCCATATTTCAGACTATCACATGGGGAGAAACCTTGGACAATACCCAGCGTTGCAGGGCAGAGGTCCCTGCGGCTTTCCACAGTGCATTGTGCCCCTGATTTATTGAGACTGGAGAATGATGGTGACTTTTACCAAGCATACTGCCTGTAAACATTTTGTTAACAAGGCACATCCTGCACAGCCCTAGATCCCTTAAACCTTGATTTCATACAACACATGTTTCTGTGAGCTCAAGGTTGGGGCTAAAGTTACAGATTAACAGCATCTCAGGGCAAAGCAATAGTTCAGGGTACAGGTCAAAATGGAGTTTCTTATGTCTTCCTTTTCTGCATAGACACAGTAACAGTCTGATCTCTCTTCCTTTTCCCTACATATAGCCAAGACAATCCAAAGCAAAAAGAACACAGCTGGAGGCATCACGCTACCTGACTTCAAACTATACTGCAAGGCTACAGTAACCAAGACAGCATGGTACTAGTACCAAACAGATATCTAGACCAATGGAATGGAACAGAGGCTGCAGAAATAACACCGCACACCTACAACCATCAGATTTTTGACAAACCTGACAAAAACAAGCAATGGGGAAAGGATTCCCTATTTAATAAATGATGTTGGGAAAGCTGGCTAGCCATAGGCAGAAAACTGAAACTGGACCCCTTCCTTACACCTTATACAAAAATTAACTCAATTTTATTATGTTGTATTAAATTAAGTTGGATTTAATTAAGATGGATTAAAGACTTAATTATAAGACCTAAAACCATAAAAACCCTAGAAGAAAACCTAGGCCATACCATTCAGGACACGGGTATGGGCAAAGACTTCATAACTAAAACACCAAAAGCAATGGCAACGAAGTCCAAATAGACAAATTGGACCTGATTAAACTAAAGAGCTTCAGCACAGCAAAAAAGACTATCGTCAGAGTGAACAGGCAACCTACAGAATGGAAGAAAATTATTGCAATCTATCCATCTGACAAAGGGCTAATATCCAAAATCTACAAAGAACTTAAACAAATTTACAAGAAAAAACACAAACAACCCCATCAAAAAGTGGGGTAAGGATGTGAACAGACACTTCTCAAAAGAAAACATTAATGCAGCCAACAAACATGAAAAAAAGCTCATCATCACTGCTCATTAGAGACATGCAAATCAAAACCACAATGAGATACCATCTCACACCAGTTAGAATGGCAATCATTAAAATGTCAGGAAACAACAGATGCTGGAGAGGATGTGGAGAAATAGGAACACTTTTACACTGTTGGTGGGAGTGTAAATTAGTTCAACCGTTGTGGAAGACAGTGTGGCCATTCCTCAAAGACCTAGACACATAATTGTCAGATTCACCAAAGTTGAAATGAAGGAAAAAATGTTAAGGGCAGCCAGAGAGAAAAGTCAGGTTACCCACAAGGGGAAGCCCATCAGACTAACAGCTGATCTCTCAGCAGGAACTCTACAAGCCAGAAGAGAGTGGGGGCCAATATTCAACATTCTTAAAGAAAATAATTTTCAACCCAGAATTTCATATCCAGCCAAACCAAGCTTCATAAGTGAAGGAGAAATAAAATACTTTACAGACAAGCAAATGCCGAGAGATTTTGTCACCACCAGGCCTGCCCTAAAAGAGCCCCTGAAGGAAGCACTAAAAATGGAAAGGAACAACCGGTACCAGCCACTGCAAAAACATGCCAAATTGTAAAGATCATCAATGCTAGGGAGAAGCTGCATCAACTAAGGAGCAAAATAACCAGCTAACATCATAATGACAAGATCAAATTCACACATAACAATATTAACCTTAAATGTAAATGGGCTAAATGCTCCAATTAAAAGACACAGACTGGCAAATTGGATAAAGAGTCAAGACCCATCAGTGTGCTGTATTCAGGAAACCCATCTCACGTGCAGAGACACACATTGGGTCAAAATAAAGGGCTGGAGGAAGATCTACCAAGCAAATGGAAAAGAAAAAAAGGCAGGGGTTGCATTCCTAGTCTCTGATAAAACAGACTTTAAACCAACAAAGATCAAAAGAGACAAAGTAGGCCATTACATAATGGTAAAGGGATCAATTCAATAAGAAGAGCTAACTATCCTAAATATATATGCACCCAATACAGGAGCACCCAGATTCATAAAGCAAGTCCTTAGAGACCTACAAAGAGACTTAGACTCCCCACACAATAATAATGGGAGACTTTAATATCCCACTGTCAATATTAGACAGATCAATGAGACAGAAAATTAACAAGGATATCCAGGAATTGAACTCAGCTCTGCACCAAGTGGACCTAATAGACATCTACAGAACTCTCCACCCCAAATCAACAGAATATACATTCTTCTCAGCACCACACTGCACTTATTGCAAAATTGACCACATAGTTGGAAGTAAAGCACTCCTCAGCAAATGTAAAAGAACAGAAATCACAACAAACTGTCTCTCAGACCACAGTGCAATCAAACTAGCACTAAGGATTAAGAAACTCCCTCAAAACCACTCAACTACATGGAAAATGAACAACTTGCTCCTGAATGACTACTGGGTACATAACAAAATGAAGGCAGAATAAAGTTGTTCTTTGAAACCAATGAGAACAAAGACACAACATACCAGAATCTCTGGGACACATTCAAAGCAGTGTGTAGAGGGAAATTTATAGCACTAAATGCCCACAAGAGAAAGCAGGAAAGATCTAAAATTCACACCTTAACATCACAATTAAAGGAACTAGAGAAGCAAGAGCAAACACAATCAAAAGTTAGCAGAAGGCAAGAAATAAGTAAGATCAGAGCAGAACTGAAGGAAATAGAGACACAAAAAACCCTTCAAAAAATCAGTGAATCCAGGAGCTGGTGTTTTGAAAAGATCAACAAAATTGATAGACCACTAGCAAGACTAATAAAGAAGAAAAGAGAGAAGAATCAAATAGATGCAATAAAAAATGATAAAGGGGATATCACCACCGATCCCACAGAAATACAAACTACCATCAGGGAATGCTATAAACACCTCTACGCAAATAAACTAGAAAATCTAGAAGAAATGGATACATTCCTCGACACATACACCCTCCCAAAACTAAACCAGGAAGAAGTTGATTCTCTGAATAGACCAATAACAGGCTCTGAAATTGAGGCAATAGTTAATAACTTACCAACCAAAAAAAGGCCAGGACCAGATGGATTCACAACCGAATTCTACCAGAGGTACAAGGAGGAACTGGCACCATTCCTTCCGAAACTATTCCAATCAATAAAAAAGAGGGAATCCTCCCCAACTCATTTTATGAAGCCAGCATCATCCTGATACCAAAGCCTGGCAGAGAAACAACAGAAAAAGAGAATTTTAGACCAATATCCCTGATGAACATCGATGCAAAAATCCTCAATAAAATACTGGCAAACCGAATCCAGCAGCACATCAAAAAGCTTATCCACCATGATCAAGTGGGCTTCATTCCTGGGATGCAACGCTGGTTCAACATACGCAAATCAATAAACATAATCCAGCATATAAACAGAACCAACAACAAAAACCATGTGATTATCTCAATAGATGCAGAAAAGGCCTTTGACAAAATTCAACAGCCCTTCATGCTAAAAACTCTCCATAAATTAGGTATTGATGGGATGTATCTCAAAATAATAAGAGCTATCTATGACAAACCCACAGCCAATATCATACTGAATGTGCAAAAACTGGAAGCATTCCCTTTGAAAACTGGCACAAGACAGGGATGCCCTCTCTCACCACTCCTATTCAACATAGTGTTGGAAGTTCTGGCCAGGGCAATCAGGCAGGAGAAGGAAATAAAGGGTATTCAATTAGGAAAAGAGGAATTCAAATTGTCCCTGTTTGCAGATGACATGGTTGTATATCTAGAAAACCCCATCGTCTCAGCCCAAAATCTCCTCAAGCTGATAAGCAACTTCAGCAAAGTCTCAGGATACCAAATCAATGTGCAAAAATCACAAGCATTCTTACACACAAATAACAGACAGACAGCCAAATCATGAGTGAACTCCAATTCACAATTGCTTCAAAGAGAATAAAATACCTGGGAATCCAACTTACAAGGGACGTGAAGGACCTCTTCAAGGAGAACTACAGACCACTGCTCAATGAAATAAAAGAGGATACAAACAAATGGAAGAACACTCCATGCTCATGGGTAGGAAGAATCAATATCTTGAAAATGGCCATACTGCCCAAGGTAATTTATAGATTCAATGCCATCCCCATCAAGCTACCAATGACTTTCTTCGCAGAATTGGAAAAAACTACTTTAAAGTTCATATGGAACCAAAAAAGAGCCCACATTGCCAAGTCAACCCTAAGCCAAAAGAACAAAGCTGGAGGCATCACACTACCTGACTTCAAACTATACTACAAGGCTACAGTAACAAAAACAGCATGGTACTGGTACCAAAACAGAAATATAGACCAATGGAACAGAACAGAGCCCTCAGAAATAATGCTGCATATCTACAACCATCTGATCTTTGACAAACCTGACAAAAACAAGAAATGGGGAAAGGATTCCCTATTTAATAAATGGTGCTGGGAAAACTGGCTAGCCATACGTAGAAAGCTGAAAGTGGATCCCTTCCTTACACCTTATACAAAAATTAATTCAAGATGGATTCGAGACTTAAATGTTAGACCTAAAACCATAAAAACCCTAGAAGAAAACCTAGGAAATACCATTCAGGACATAGGCATGGGCAAGGACTTCATGTCTAAAACACCGAAAGCAATGGCAACAAAAGCCGAAATTGACAAATGGGATCTAATTAAACTAAAGAGCTTCCGCACAGCAAGGGAAACTACCATCAGAGTGAACAGGCAACCTACAGAATGGGAGAAAATTTTTGCAATCTACTCATCTGACAAAAGGGCTAATATCCAGAATCTACAATGAACTCAAACAAATTTACAAGAAAAAAACAAACAACACCATCAACAAGTGGGCAAATGATATGAATAGACACTTCTCAAAAGAAGACATTTATGCACCCAAAAAACACATGAAAAAATGCTCATCATCACTGGCCATCAGAGAAATGCAAATCAAAACCACAATGAGATACCATCTCACACCAGTTAGAATGGCGATCATTAAAAAGTCAGGAAACAACAGGTGCTGGAGAGGATGTGGAGAAATAGGAACACTTTTACACTGTTGGTGGGACTGTAAACTAGTTCAACCATTGTGGAAGTCAGTGTGGCGATTCCTCAGGGATCTAGAACTAGAAATACCATTTGACCCAGCCATCCCATTACTGGGTATATACCCAAGGGATTATAAATCATGCTGCTATAAAGACACATGCACATGTATGTTTATTGTGGCACCATTCACAATAGCAAAGACTTGGAACCAAGCCAAATGTCCAACAATGATAGACTGGATTAAGAAAATGTGGCACATATACACCATGGAATACTATGCAGCCATAAAAAATGATGAGTTCATGTCCTTTGTAGGGACATGGATGAAGCCAGAAACCATCATTCTCAGCAAACTGTCACAAGGACAAAAAACCAAACACCACATGTTCTCACTCATGGGTGGGAATTGAACAATGAGAACACAAGGACACAGGAATAGGAACATCACACACCCGGGCCTCTTGTGGGGTGGGGGGAGGGGGGAAGGATAGCATTAGGAGATACACCTAATGTTAAATGACGAGTTGATGGGTGCAGCACACCAACATGGCATATGTATACCTATGTAACTAACGTGCACGTTGTGCACATGTACCCTAAAACTTAAAGTATAATTAAAAAAAAAAGACTTAAACGTAAGACCTAAAACCATAAAAACCCTAAAAGAAAACTGAGGCCATACCATTCAGGACATAAATATGGGCAAAGATTTCATGACAAAAACACCAAAAGCAATGGCAACAAAAGCCAAAATAGATAAATGGGACCTAATTAAAGAGCTTCGGTGCAGCAAAAGAATCTCATCAGAGTGAACAGGCCATCTACAGATGGGAGAAAATTTTTGCAATCTATCCATCTGACAATGGGCTAATATCCAGACTAAAAATACTTAAACAAATTTACAAGAAAAAAACAAACAACCCCATCAAAAAGTGAGCTAAGGATGTCAACAGACCCTTCTGAAAAGAAAACATTTCTGCAGCCAACAAAAATGAAAAAAGCTCACCCTCACTGCTCATTAGAGAAATGCAAATCAAAACCACAGTGAGATACCATCTCACACCAGTTAGAATGGCAATCATTAAAATGTTAGGAAACAACAGATGCTGGAGAGGATGTGGAGAAGTAGGAAGGCTTTTAGACTGTTGGTGAGAGTGTAAATTAGTTCAACCACTGTGGAAGACAGTGTGGCCATTCCTCAAGGATCTAGAACCAGAAATACCATTTGACCCAGCAATCCCATTACTGGGTATATACCCAAAGGATTATAAATCATTCTACCATAAAGATACATGCACACATATGTTTATTGCAGCACTGTTCACAATACACAGACTTGGAACCAACCCAAATGCCCATCAATGATAGACTGGATAAAGAAAATGTGGCACATACATACCATGGAATACTATGCAGCCATAAAAAAGGATGCGTTCATGTCCTTTGCATGGACATGGATGAAACTGGAAACCATCATTCTCAACAAACTAACACAAAAACAGAAAACCAAACACTGCATGTTTTCACTAATAAGTAGGAGTAGAACAATGAGAACACATGGACACAGGGAGGGGAACATCACACACCAGGGCCTGTCTGGAGCGTGGAGGGCTAGGGGAGAGATAGCATGAGAAAAAATACTTAATGTAGAGGATGGGTTGATGGGTGTGGCAAACCACCATGGCTCATTTATACCTATATAACAAACCTGCAAGTTCTGCACATGTATCTCAGAACTTAAAGTATAATAATTTAAAAAAAAGAAAAAAATTTAAAAGAAATAAAAAAGGAGGGGTTGGAGCATGGGAGAAAGAAAAGAAAAGCAATTTGAAGGACAGTATGTATAGTGTCATCTCATTTGTGAAACAATTTTTAAAAGAAAAATGCATGTAAATGTATAAGAAACTGCTGGAAGGATACACAAAGCCAAGAGCTATATGAAGAAGGTAAAGGAACCATAAGGAAGAGTTACCTTTCAGTTTTCACATAACTTTCTATCCCTTTTTAAAATAATAAGCATGTTATAATTTAATGAGTAGATGTGTTGATTTGAAAAACACACTGATCCTGAAAGTTAAAATTCCAATTCAGAGAAAATTGATTTCTATGAAAAGTATCAATTCCCCAACAATGCGAGAAAAATGAAGTGTAACTATACAACACAAACAGTAATTGAGGTTGTCATCATTCACTCTGATTTCACATATAGAATTTAAAACACCCGACTGGGCACAGTGGCTCACACCTGTAATCCCAGCACGTTGGGAGGCCAAGGCAGGAAGATCACTAGGTCGAGATGGAGACCATCCTGGCCAAAATGGTGAAACCTCGTCTCTACTAAAAATACAAAAATTAGTTGGGTGAGGTGTTGTGCTAGCTCACCAGGTACTGTAGTCCTAGCTACTCAGGAGGCTGAGTCAGGAGAATTGCTTGAACCTGGGAGGCAGAGGTTGCAGTGAGCCAAGATTGTGCCACTGCACTCCAGCCTGGTGACAGAGCAAGATGCCGTCTCAAAAAAAAAAAATTTAAAATGCCGCAGTCCTTCATGGACTGAACAAAACAAGATGAATGTGGGAATAAAGACAAAGGCAAAAGAGTATATTTGGAAGAAAGGATCAGGAGGCTCCTTGCTTCTAGTGAACAAGGGTGCTGAGCTTCTACAGCCCTTCGTATTTATTGAGTAAAGGAGATAGGGAGAAGGTGGTGGTTGTCAGTCAGCTGCTTGGCTTAGTGCAGGCTTGCATGACTGCATTCTTTGAACAGTAGTCTCCAGATGTTCCAGCAGATAACCTCAAGGAGCACAGCACCAGGGAGTGATTGCCCTCAGCAAACCTTCTGGCAGCAGGTGCAGAAGTGAGTTTGTACACGTTCTGCATTCATGATAAACAGTTTGCTGTTTGATCATGCAGCCTTCAGTGGAATGCTGAGTTGGTCACAACCCTCAGGCCTTTGGCTCCCTACATTAAAACACCCATTTCACCAGATTGAAAATATTCAGTAAAATTTCTGAAAAGGACTTAACACTTGCCAGCACTTAGTAAGGAAGTGCTCAATAAATACTGTTAACACTGTTACTATTATTTCTCTGCCTGGCAGTTGTCCTAACCCCACACCAGACCTCCCACATTGCCTAATCCTGACTTGTGTCAGTGATGCATGACTCAGCAGTGAATCTGGGACAGCTATTGCAAAATGCAAGACTTAAATTCCACCCCAGGTGAATTCTCTTCTGGACCACAGGCAGGCCTTGAAAAGGATGGGAGTAGAGCCCTCAATCATGGAGGCATTTGTCCCTCAAGATAGGCAGATGTTACCACCTCCATACAAGAACAATCCCATTGCCTATTACAGTTCCCATTTCAAAGAGATACTCCCACATATGCATGTATTTCCCTGAAGGATATCTTGTTCTTTTTTTTTTTTTTTTTTTTTTTGAGATGGAGTCTCTCATTCTATTGCCCAGGCTGGAGTGCAGTGGTGTGATCTAGGCTCACTGCAACCTCTGCCTCCCAGGTTCAAGCAATACTCCTGCCTCAGCCTTCTGAGTAGCTGGGATTACAGGCACGTGCCACCAGGCCTGGCTAGTTATTGTACTTTTAGTAGAGATGGAGTTTCACCATGTTGGTCAGCCTAGTCTCGAACTCCTGACCATGCCCAGCTAATTTTTGTATTGTTAGTAAAGACAGGTTTTCACCATGTTGGCCAGGCTGGTCTTGAGCTCCTGACCACACCCGGCTAATTTTTGTATTTTCAGTAGAGACTAGGTTTCAGCATATTGGCCAGCTGGTCTCAAACTCCTGACCTCAAGTGATCTGCCCACCTCAGCCTCCTAAAGTGCTGGGATTACAGGCATGAGCCACCATGCCCGGACCAAGATTTCCTGCTCTTATCTCCAATAAGCCAGCTTGATGAGGAGTAGTGCTAGAGATTCCCACACTTCTTGACTTCCTTCTATCCTTTTCTGCTCACAGGCCCCCTCCCTAATGTCCCCTGTGCTCTCCGCAAAAGAAATAGGCTGGAGGCCCAATAGCAACCCTGCCCACACAAGGGAGGGCCATGTGATGTTCACCAAGCTCCCAAGCCACAATTCTCTTTTCCCAGAATCCTTTGCTCTTTGAAGTATAGTCTTGCTCACCTTCCTGCAACCCTCAGCCCCTCAGTGGCCGTGTCTACCTCTGAAGAGAAGGGGAAGAGAGATCAAACGCCCCCTGCAGGCCTGTCCGTTTGAACCAAGCCTTGAGAACCCCCACAGCCGTCCTCCTGTGTACCCCCACCCCAGCGCCACACACAGATGGAGAGCCCTGGTAAAGGTTCCCACAGTGCATTAGCTCCAAACAGTGCAAGAGGACAAGGAGTGTGGTGCTTCCAGCCTCTGTCAATAGTTCATGAGGCTCAAACTAAGGAGCACCAGTCAGAGTCAGTTTTCCCTGGACATGGGGAAAATGATACTTAAGCTCTCCTGTCTCATCGGGATGTGCTGAGTAGCAAAGCAGAGTACTGCAGCTGTAACTTCTTGGCTGAGGAAAACACTATCAATACAGTGCAGGCCGTCCTATTACTTGCTCACTATACGCCACCGTTTGAATGTCGAAACCCTTTTTTTTTTTTTTTTTTGAGACAGAGTCTCCATCTGTCGGTCAGGCTGGAGTGCAGTGGCATGATCTCGGCTCACTGCAAGCTCCGCATCCCGGGTTCATGCCATTCTCCTGCCTCAGCCTCCCGAGTAGCTGCGACTACATGCACATGCCACCACGCCCGGATAATTTTTTGTATTTTTAGTAGAGACCGGTTTCATCGTGTTAGCCAGGATGGACTTGATCTCCTGACCTTGTGATCCACCTGCCTCGGCCTCCCAAAGTGCTGGGATTACAGGGTGAGCCACCACGCCCTGCTGAATGTTGAAATCCTTTTTCAGCTGCTCAGCTGACCTGCACATACACTAAATGAATCTTGAGCAAACATGAATTCTATTCAAAAGTCATGCCTAGAACTGGATTTTACAAACCAGGATTCTTTCCCCTCTAATTGTAGGGACTGGCATAAGGCTGCAAAACTGGTGATTTCACCAACAACACATCTCCAAACCTACCCATCTGCTTTCATCATCTTTTCTAAAAGAAAACACTAACACACAAAAAAAGAAGCAAACGTATACTCCACAATAAAGGACTGTTAAATAAGCTTAGCTTTATGAAACTCACTGTAATTGTTTCCTTTTCTCATTTTGCTTTGAACTAATGAAAACGCTGCCATGAACCAGCACTGCTTCTCAGTCTGGCTTAGGAGGCCAGTGGGTTAAACTAATTCAGATGCTTACATTTGGGTCTGTTGGGGCCTTTCTACAGTGTACCATAAGCCATCCATATTTATTCATTCTCCCGGAAACCCAGGAGGGAGATCATTTCAGCCCACTTGGCAGAAGTGGAGACTGAAGTCTTGGACACAGAATTTATAGCTGGCAAGGACTTTATTCATCATCTACTCCATACCCTCAGTAATTTACAGATGAAGAGTCTGGCCCAGGGCACCAATAATAATCACTACATGGTGGCAGTAACTACTATGTGCTTAGTAGCTTACAGTTCATAAAGAGATTTTGCATTCAACAAATATTTATTGAACTAGGATGGAGGCTAAGACCTGGGGACAGAGTGGTTAGGGAGAACTTGAGTGCCCCGAGTTCTTTGCATTTCCACCACTGCTTGAGGGACTGTCCAGCCTCCTCGCTACCACTTAGCCCCTGTAAAGGAGGAAGTCCCTTTGGCGAGGGATATGAGATCCTGTTTGGCCAATGATCATTGTCTGCAACATGGAGACCTTGGGCAGAGGGAAGGGCAGTGCCAGGCCTGGTGCAGCTACTCCCTATCACGTCTCTCTCCCAGGCTGCTCCAGCCTCACCTGGTGGACTCCATGGGGACCACAGGCCTCACCTCCATGGGCAGTCTCAAAACATTTGCCCTCCTGTGGGCTGTCACATACATAGACCCAGACTTTCTTGGAGAAGGAATTCTGAAGAAGCAAAAGCAACCAACTCAAAACCCCCACTTCCCCAAGAAGAAAAGGTGGGCAAGCAGATGCAGAAAGGCAGCAGCCAAAGGCTGCGGGTTCCTGCGGGGGCCAGGGGAGGGGCGAGCCCTACAGGCAACTTGAACGGAGAGCGCTTTGATCACCCGCCAGCCCGGGAAGGCAAGCCCCAGTCAGGCGGAAGGTAGCTGGCTGCGGGGCGCGGCGACTGGCGGGCGGCGGGCGGCGGGAGGCGCCAACCGCCACAGACGACTCCCAGCTGGCTGAGGGCGGGGAGGGAGCAGGCAGGGAAGCGGCCCGCCCTTCGTCCTGCCCCTTCGCCCTACTCTGTCACCTCGCTGGAAGGAGTGGAACCCAGACTTGCTGGTCTGATCCATGCACAAGGCGCGGCTACGAGGCCACTGTGCCCGGGCAGGGAAGTCGGTGCGGTTGGCCAGCTCCGGGATGACCCGCCGGGACCCGCTCACAAATAAGGTGGCCCTGGTAACGGCCTCCACCGACTGGTGAGTGTTGGTGCCGGAGTTTCTGAGGCCCTGGCTGCCTGGAAACAGGCACTGGTGTCTCGTCCTTTGCCTCCAGTGCCCCTGTCCTCAGACCTCACATACCGCCAAAGTCTGGCCATGGAAAAGAAGTAGCCACGTGGTCCGCCCGAAGCCCCTCCGAATCCCCTGGCCCTGGACCCTCCCTTGCCTGCCTTCGTGTCCCTGCTGCCTCTGGCACAACTGTGCCTCCTCTGTGAAGTCCCATCGATCTAGTCCCCCCAGTGTTCTGGGCTGCCCCCGTCAACCAGCACCACCTAGCGTCCGGGAAGACCAGAAACTAGAAATCCAAGGGAATCTGGATTTCAAAATCATATCCCAAGGCCTCCAGCACTTTGAAAATGTACCAGACATTCTATTTGGGCACCGGAAAGTCTCCCGGAACCCCTCCCCCTTACCTAGATGGGACACCAGAGCCAAGTGTCGAGATTTTTGTTTAGGTCGGTACATCTGGGCCGACCTTCGCCAGCCTGTTTCTCACCCACCTCTCTTCTCAGTCCTGGTTCTCATTTCTACAGGACTTTGCTAGATGCCAACTCTTCACAAAACTAAAATACAAATGTAGGTAAAATGCTAATGGCTGACAAGTGCAAAATGTGTAACTCTTCCTCCCAAGGCAATATTTACATTTTTGACCGGAGACCATCTTTTCACATGCACCCCAAAAAATAATTAAGGATAGAATTTTCAGAATGATGTAGACTAGTAAGAAAGAAACCTGGAGGCAGGGCTGTTCTGAGTGAGACCCTCAAATCACGGAAGTGGCTGCTGCTGCAAACCCAGCTCATTTCTCACCTCTCAGTCCCAAGAGGGGATGAAGCCTGTCACCCATGGTGGGAACTGTAGAAAGTGATGTCAGTTCTTGGGAACTGAGGCTGCAGTCCAAGATGATAATAAAAATAAGTAAAGGAACGCCAAAAATGGCTGTGCCATTAAGCCTGTTTTACACGTAGTAGAGACACATGGAGGTCATATAGAGAAAGAGCCAGAATTCAAAACCGGGCAGTCTAACTTCAGAGCCCATGCTGTCCATCTCTTCCCCTGCACAAGCCTTAGCAGTCTTTGTCTCTGCTCACAGGATCGGCTTCGCCGTCGCCCAGCGTCTGGCCCAAGACGGGGCCCACGTGGTAGTCAGCCGCCGGAAGCAGCAGAATGTGGACCAGGCAGTGGCCACGCTGCAGGGGGAGGGGCTGAGCATGACGGGCACTGTGTGCCATGTGGGGAAGATGAAGGACTGGGAGCGGCTGGTGGCCACAGTGAGCTGCAGGGAAATGGGCACAGAGCCAGGAGGTGGAAAAGGGAGCCAGCCTGAGCCTCCTTCCCTGCTTTCCTGGACAGCATTGGTGAGATCCAACGCAGTGATGTTAACTAAAACATAACAGTGTGTTCTGCATACCCAACCAGCCCACCAGCACGTTTTTATTGTGTGCCTTTCTATTATGTCCATATATTAAAGTTGGAGAATAATCCCATCCCAATCAGAGAATGTTAAAACATTCTAATGCTTCAACCCTGCATCATCCCTTGCATACCCCAAAGAAACCGCTGGTACTGGTTCTCCAGTAATTTTCAACCTAACTGGACAGATGAGAAGGGTAAATACAATCACAAAATAGATGTTCCCACCCATGAGCTAATAAACATTCCCCTCTTCTTCAGCTTACAGAGTCAAGTCCCTGGGAACTTCAGGAAGCAGCCCACCATGTTTCAACCACTTACTATGTGCCATTTCCTGTGTTCAGAGCCTTACACAGGTTATCTCTAGACCTGACAACAACCCAAGCAAGGCAAGGACTATTCTCTCGGTCTGCAGACGCTGGCTCAGATAGCTGGAGCAACTTCCCAAGGTCCCACAGCCAGTAAGGAAAGACCCAGACCTCCCAAGCTCCCTTCCTTTATTGGCTGCCTGTGGACTACCAGGTACTGGACTTTAGTCTCAAAGAAAGTATATAAGTCAGTGTCACAGTTAGTAGTGGATACCAGCCTTCCAGCTGCCGAAGGAAATATGAACCATCCAGCAAAGCAAGCTCCTCTTCCCTTGAGGCTCAGGATACACACTTTATTTTCCAGAGTGGAAGGGAGAATCTACCCAAAAATGGAAAGTACAGGGTTGTGCTAACAGATTGGAAGGTTGGCAGAAATAATTTGCATAATCTTAGAAGAGGAGGATCTTAAGCAATAGTAGACAGTAGCATGGTAGACAGTATAGGGTAATTCCGTTTTTAAGGAACTGTCTGGCAAATGCTCAAATGTGCATTGGAAAGAGCCAAATGTGAGTCCTAGAAAGTCACCTTGCCTGGCCTAGGCTGGTGGACAGAGCCCAAGATTGGGGCCTTGATCCTGATGGTGGAAGGAGCCGTTTGGGAGTCTGGGTCAATTAGTGACTAACCATATCACATGTAAGTAGCAATGTAATGTGAAAACCCTGTTGGGAAAACATCCTGTGGCCCCCACCAGGTTCACTTAACATGGCCTACAGGCCTGGCCCAGAGGTGGTACTTGAGCTAAACCTTAAGGAATGGATGGGAATGGACAGATGGAATAGTGACGAGGTTCCAGATAACTCTGCAAAATGAGCAGACAGCCAAGGAGGAACTGAAGGAAAGAGAGGAGCACTGTCAGGCCACAATGGAGAGCACAGGCTCAGGAGTACTGCTGGGGAAGGGGCTGCATTGGAAAGATAGAGGCCATGGGCCTCCATATCTTTTTTTTTTTTTTTTTTTTTTTTTTTTTTTTTTTTTTGTGACGGAGTTTCACTCTTGTCGCCTAGGCTGGAGTACAGTGGCACCATCTCGGCTTACTGCAACCTCTGCCTCCCAGGTTCAAGCAATTCTCCTGCCTCAGCCTCCTGAGTAGCTGGGATTACAGGTGCCCACCACCATGCCCAGCTAATTTTTGTATTTTTAGTAGAGACGGGGTTTCACCATGTTGGCCAGGCTGGTCTTGAACTCCTGACCTCAGGTGATCCACCCACTCAGCCTCCCAAAGTGCTGGGATTACAGGCGTGAGCCACTGCGCCCGGCCATAGCTTCTTAAAAGGATACGTTAAGGACCTTAAAAGGATATAGCCTCTTAAAAGGATATGTTTACACACTCTTGTAGCAAATAAGAAGCCATGTGAGGTTTTGAGCAAGAGAAAGATGGTTATTAGGAAAGCTAATCTGGCTCTGGTAGGAAGGATATACAGAGGAGACACCAAATCCAGGGCATCAGTGAGGAAGCTGTTGCTGTCGTCCAGGTTTAGAGCAGTGGCGGTGGGACTGGAATAGATGTGCCCAAGAGACATTCAGTGGAAACGAACCAAGATTTTCCAACCCCATGTCAAAAAGTGGGAAATAGAGAAGTCAAAAATGACTCTCAGGTAGTTTGTATGACCATTGTCAGAGAGGAGAATGATAGAATACTTGTCAGCAATTTGAAATGTCTTCTGCCAGTTGTCACATGTTACCCTGCAATGAGAAAAGCCACTGCCCTGAGAATGGATACTACCCAGTGGCCTCCTCATCTGCACACCACGAAGCTTCTCACTGGTGTTGTAAGTGGAAACCAGAGTAGCTGCCTATCTGCTTGATTATATTTTTTCTTAAAAATGTATAACTATCAGAACACAGAACAAACAGCTCCTAACCACTTTAGTGTAGTGATCACACAATTTAGAACACTTAGAAGACATCTTTTTCTTTTCCCCCCAGAGACAGGGCCTCACTCTGTTGCCCAGGCTGGAGTGCAGTGGCATGATCATAGCTCACTGTAACCTCCAACTCTTGAGCTCAAGCAGTCCTCCCCCGTCAGCCTCCCAAGTGGCTAAGATTATAGGCATGCACCACCACGCCAGTTCATCTTTTAAATTTGTTGTAGAGTTGGGGCTTTATTGCCCAGGCTGGTTTTGAACTCCTGGCCTCAAGCGGTCCTCCCTACTGGCCGTACCAAAGTGCTAGGATTATAGGTGTGAGCCACCACACCCAGCCTCATTCATCTTTTATGGTTTGCTGTCTCTGTTCATTCAAAACCCAGCCTCCTCCCATCTCTGTGCTGACAGACCTGGAAGTAGAGGGGCATGGGGTATGCAGCAGAGTAGAAAATGTCTCCAGGTGATTCTGGAGCAATCCACTGTCTTCTCCCAGCCCAAACACACGTGCACTGAGCACAGCACACATCACTTATTAACTTATTCTGCACCTCCCTAGTAACAAGTACATTGGTGAGACTTACACAGAGCCAAGGCAGGTGACTTGGCTTTGTGCCAGGATACCAAAATTTAAAGGGTGCAAGAAAGTATTCATACTGGTTTTAAAAGAGTACTTGACTTTAAATTTTGTTAGATTTACACGTTGACAGCCCAGGCATTTCTTCAACTGTGTTGAAGGTTAGCACCTAGTTAACAAGAATAATTAGTTAAAATGGGAAGCTAGCAGATGGTGTACATTGTTAATAACACCCCTCCGTGGGCCAAATCCGGAGCACAAAATTGACCAAGGGCCCATGTACTGCTACTTGCCCAAGGCATCAAAATTGCCAGTTCCAGGCAAATGCAAAGTCTGGTTTCAGGGTGGCTTTGTACTGAAAACCCTTGTTGGCAGATTCTGCTTGGCCATTCATTACTCTAGCACATGCCTCACTACCTACTTATAACTTATTAAGGAGGTGAGATGTTGCCTTTCTTGGCTTTCTCAGTTTAAATTTCCCTTTCTGCCTTGAATCTTTCATGCCTCCAGGTCAAAAGAGAGAGACAGAGACAGGGAAAATGACATCATAACCAAATATGGAATTGCTTTAAATTCAGGCTGGTATCTTCTCCCATCATGGCTCTCCTGGGCAGCCGGTTTCCTAATGACCCCAGCTCACTTTCAGAGGGCTCTTACGAATTAGCTCTGTGCTACAAAGTGGGAGACTGACCTCAGTTCTTCCACCACTAACTAGCTTTATGCCCTGAACAAATCACTTTCCCCAACACGGAATAAGCAGGCCTCCTGTTCTTAGCTAGCCCCAGTGTGTTACTACTGAACTATATGATCTTGAGAAAATTCCCTGAACCTGTTTCATCATCTCCACCTTAAGGACATTGGAATAGATGATCTCAAAGGCCCCTCCAGGGTAACTTTCTACAGCTCTATTTAAGCCAGTTTTTCCATTCAGGTAAGTGTGGCCAGATTGACTTTGAAATAATGGTAACTTATTCAAGAAGAACTGGACAGTAAGCACTTGGAGAAATGTGGGTGGAACTCAGTGTGAAAGGAAGAGGAGGGGTCTGGAAATAGATTTTGGGGTGAGATTTGAAATCACGAGAATGAAGGAGCTCCCAAATGGGAAAATGTAAAGAAAAGAGCATAGGGTCAGAGACAGCCTTAGAAGAATAGGAGGTGGGAAGAAAACACTGCAAAAGAAATAAGGCCAACTTCCTGGTGGCTCACACCTGTAACACTTTGAGAGGCCGAGGCAGGCGGATGGCTTTAGCTCAGGAGTTCCAGACCAGCCTGGGCAACATGGCAAGACCCTGTCTCTACAAAAAGTACAAAAATTGCCCAGGTGTGATGGCACGCACCTGTATTCTCAGCTACTTGGGGGGCTGAGGCAGGAGGATGGCTTGAACCCAGTAGGTCAAGGCTGCAGTGAGCTGGGATCATGCCACTGAACTCCAGCCTGGGTGACAGAGGAAGACTCCATCTAAAAAAAGAAAGAAGCCAACCTTAAATGGTTAGCAGCAGATCTTAGGGTAGTTTTCAAAAAAGATGTTTTAAGAAATAGAAGTTATTTTGACGATAGTTCCTAAGAAGGAAGATTTGTTGTTGTTGTTGTTGTCATTGTTGTTGTTTTTTTAAATATAGGGATAAGGTCTCCCTATGTTGCCCAGGCTTCTCTCAAACTGCTCAGTTCAAGTGGTCCTCCCACCGTGACCTCCCAAAGTGCCATGATTCCCGGCGTGAGCCACCACGCCCCGCCCAGAAGGAAGTTTTTATCAACGTGAATAAATGCACCTCCCTTACTTACTGCAGCCCTGGTCCAGACCTTACCCCTCTCCCTAGGCTATGAAGCTTCATGGAGTTATTGATATCCTATCACTATCGATAACAAACTCCGTCTGCTTTTAGAATGTGTTTATCAAGTGCAGTGTAAATGTGAGGAGTCTTTGCCACATGCCACACACCTGGAGCACACCTGGTAAAGGGCGGGTGGGGGCAGCTTCCTCTGTCCCTGCCCTTCTCATTCGTTTCTGCTGCTCCTACTTCTGTCTGCTTCCATCTGCCCTTCACTATCCACCGTCTGCTCCCCTCCCCAGCCTTCTTCCCGGCATGCTCTGCTACCTGGTTGATTTCCAACAGAGACGTGGCAGCTAATATGCCAACAACTATGACACTTAAACTTACACACCCAACTGTCCCCCTTTCAGCTGCCAAAAAGGAATCATTTTTCATTAGCTGGGAAATATTAAAAGCTGCTAGTTAAGTAAAATACTAATTCTGGTGAAATAACCAGTTGCCACTTTATAATATACATCCTTTAAAAAAGTAAAAATAAAAACCTATATTATTTTCTTCCTAACTGCAATGTCAAGAAAATCTGAGATCCAGATGTCTATATTCAAGTGGTACAATATTGGGTTTTATGTGTAAGTATATAATTACATTACATTCGTAATATATTTCACACACATTCTTTAATTACAAAGCTTTAATTAAAATATTTGTCTTTGTATACTAAGGTTAATAGTCCCACGATTTGGAAATGCTAATTTTTTATGATCTCCCATGGTTTTGCTTTTTACTCTGATGTTGTATTAGTCTGTTTTGCGTTGCTATAAAGGAATACCTGAGCTGGGCAATTTATAAAGAAAAAGAGGGTTGTGGCCGGGCGCGGTGGCTAACGCCTGTAATCCCAACACTTTGGGAGGTCGAGGCGGGCAGATCACGAGGTCAGGAGATCGAGACCATCTTGGCTAACATGGTGAAAGCCCGTCTCTACTAAAAATACAAAAAATCAGCCGGGTGTGGTGGCGGGCACCTGTAGTCTCAGCTACTTGGGAGGCTGAGGCAGGAGAATGGTGTGAACCCGGGAGGCGGAGCTTGCAGTGAGCCGAGATTGCGCCACTGCACTCCAGCCTGGGTGACAGAGCGAGACTCCGTCTCAAAAAAAAAAAAAAAAGAAAAGAAAAGAGGGTTGTTTTGGTTTACACTTCTGCAGACTGCAGAAGAAGCATGGTGCCAGTATCTGCTTCTGATGAGGCCTCAGGAAGCTTACAATCATAGCAGAAGGCAAAAGGGAGCAGGCGCGTTACATGGCAAGAGAGGAAGTGAGATACCAGGCTTTTAAACAACTAGCTCTGGCATGAACTAATAGAGTGAGAGCTCACTAATTGCCACCAGGAGAGCACCAAGCCATTCATAAGGGATCCACCCCATGACCCAAACACCTCACACCAGGTTCCACCTTGAACACTGGTGATCACATTTCAACATGGGACTTAGAGGGGACAAACATACCAACTATATCAGATGTCATCAAACATTTCTCAACACTAAAGTATCAGGATGTGAAAACACTATGATTTATTTACCAGTGTTTCATACACATAAAGACCAAAGTGCCAAAATGTTCTTCAGTGAGCTAGTTTTTTATTGTTAAGCTTTGTCCCTCTTTTTTTTTTTTTCCTCGCTGTGTCATCGAGGCTGGAGTGCAGTGCTGCGATCTAGCTCACTGCAACCCCCGCCTCCCAGGTTCAAGCGATTCTTGTGCCTCAGCCTGCCAAGTACCTGGGACTACAGGCATGTGCCACCATGCCCGGCTAATTTTTGATATTTTCAGTAGAGACAGGGTTTCACTGTGTTGCCCAGGCTGGTCTCAAATTCCTGGCCTCAACTGATCCACCCACCTCGGCCTCTCAAAGTGCTGGGATTATAGGCGTGAGCCACTGCACCCAGACAGATTCTGATAGTCTTTACAATGGAGGAACATCTTTCATGAACAGTCTGAATAGAGACCCTATGAAAGTCAGTTTTAAACTAAGTACAGGCACACCTCGGAGATATTGTGGGTCTGGTTCCAGGCCACCGCACAATAAAGTGAATATTATAATAAAGTGAGACACACGAATTTTTTGGTTTCCCAGTGCATATAAAAGTTACGTTTACACTATAATGGTCATCTAATGGTTGTCTATTAAATGAGCAATAGCATTATGTCTTTAAAAATATATACATATCTTAATTTTAAAATACTTTATTGCTAAAAAGTGCTAACAATGATCTGAGCCTTTAGAAGTTGTAATCTTTTTGCTGGTGGAGGGTCTTTTTTTTTTTTTTTTTTTAGATGGAGTCTCACTGTGTAGCCCAGGCTGGAGTGCAATGGCACCATCTCGGCTCACTGCAACCTCCGCCTCCCAGGTTCAAGCGATTCTCCTGCCTCAGCCTCCTGAGTAGCTGGGACTATAGGCACCCGCCACCACACCCAGCTAATTTTTTGTATTTTTAGTAGAGACGGGGTTTCACCGTGTTAGCCAGGATGGTCTCAATCTCCTGACCTCGTGATTCACCCGCCTCGGTTTCCCAAAGTGCTAGGATTACAGGCGTGAGCCACCACATCCGGCCTTAGAGGGTCTTGCCTCAACATTGATGGTGGCTGACTTAGGGTGGTGTTGCTGAAGGCTGGGGTGGCTGTGGCAATTTCTTCAAATAAGACAGCAGTGAAGTTTGCCACATCAGTTGACTCTTCCTTTCACAAAAGATTTCTCTGTAGCATGCAAGCCTGTTTGATAGCATTTACCCACAGTAGAACTTCTTTCAAAATTGGAGTCAATCCTACAAACTCTACCACTGCTTACTCAACTAAGTACATATCATATTCTGAATCCCGTGTTGTGATTTCAACAATGTTCATGGCATCTTCACCGGAAATAGATTCCATCCCAAGAAACCACTTTATTTGCTTATCCGTAAGAACCAGCTCCTCAGCCATCTACATTTTGTCGTGAGATTGCAGCAATTCAGTCCCATCTTCCAGCTCCACTTCTAGTTCTCTTGCTATTTCCACCACATCTGCAGTTCCTTCCTCTGATGCAGTGTTGAACCCTTCCACGTCATCCATGAGGGTTGGAATCAACTTCTTCCAGACTCCTGTTAATGTAGATATTTTGACCTCCTCCCATGAATCACAAATATTCTTAATGGCATCTAGAATGGTGGATCCTTTTTAGAAGGTTTTCAGTTGACTTTGCCCAGATAAATCAGAGGAATCATTATCTATGGCAGCTACAGCCTTACAAAATGTATTTCTTAAATAACAAGTCTTGCAAGTCAGAATTACCCCCTGATCCATGGGCTGCAGAATGGATGTTGTGTTAGCAGGCATGAAAACAACATTAATCTCCTTGTACATCTCCATCAGAGCTTTTGAGTGACCAGGTGCATTGTCAATGAGCAGTAACAGTTTGAAAGGAATCTTTTTCTGAGCAGTAGCTATCAACGGTGAGCTTAAAATATTCAGTTAACCATGCTATAAACAGATGTGCTGTTATCCAGGCTTTGTTGTTCCATTTATAGAGCACAGGCAGAGTAGATTTAGCATAAATCTTGAGAGCCCTAGAATTTTCAGAATGGTAAATGAGCATTGGCTTCAACTTAAAGTCACTGGCTGCATTAGCCCCTAACAAGAGAATAAGCCTGTCCTTTGAAGTTTTGAAGCCATATTAACAATAAAGCTGTTTTGCTTTCTTATCATTTATGTGTTCACAGAAGTAGCACTTTTAATATCCTTCAGAGATTTTTCCTTTGCACTCATGATTTGGCTACTGGTGCACACGGCCTAGCTTTCAGCCTGCCTCAGCTTTCAATATGCCTTCCTCACTAAGCTCAATTATTTCCAGCTTTTGATTTAAAGTGTAAGATGTGTTACTCTTCCTTTCACTTGAACACCTAGAGGCCATTGTAGGGTTAATAATTGGCCTAATTTCAATGTAAATGTGTCTCAGGGAATATGGAGGCCAACAGAGAGGGAGAGAGATGGGAGAAGGGCGGAGCAGTCAGAACACACAACATTTTTCCATTAAGTTGACCTTCTTTTCTGGGTGTGGTTTGTGGTACCCCAAAACAATTATAATAAAAACACAAAAGATCACAGATCACCGTAACAGACGTAATAATAATGGAAAAGTCTGAAATATTCCAAGAATTACCAAAATGTGACCCAGAGACAAACTGAGCACATGCCATTGGAAAAATGGCTCCAATTAGCACAGGGTTGCCATGAACCTTCAATTTGTAAAAGACGCAATATCTGCAAAGAGTAATAAAATAAAGTGTGCCTGTAACTTTTCTTTTAGTTTATATATTATTTTAAATATCACAGTACATCAAATCCAAACATAATAGCTGATCCTTGATTGAACTCTGGACTTTAAAAAAAAAAAACCACATTTCGGGGACAATTGAGGCCAATATATTAGATAAAATTATCATCAATGTCAAACTTCTTGGGTGTGATAATGGATTATGGTTGTGTAAAAGAACATCCTTACTCTTTGGGAATGTATGCTAAGTATTTAGGGATAGAGCATTCTAATATCTGCAACTAAGTTTATTTATTTTAATTTTTTTTATTTATTTTTTGAAATGGAGTCTCGCTTTATTGCCCAGGCTGGAGTGCAGTGTTGCGATCTTGGCTCACTGCAACCTCCACCTCCCGGGTTCAAGCTATTCTCCTGTCCCATCCTCCTGAGTAGCTGGGATTACAGAAACATGCCACCACGTCTGGCTAATTTTTGTATTTTTAGTAGAGAAAAATTGGTGAATCTAAGTGAAGGATCTCTAGATTCTCCTTGTACTTCTATTTCCAATTTTTCTGTAAGATTGAAATATTTTAATATAAGCAGTTGTCTAGAACAATGTAAACAGGGTCATACATTTGTTTTAGATTATGGATGTGGGGATTCTGATTGTAGCCATCCCCCAGCTTCCCCAGAAGGTGCCTCCTCGTGCTCCCACTTTCTAACCATGCCTAGCCAGACAGTCCACCCTAGAGGACCAATAGCATCTCATTCCCTAAATGCAGAAGCCAGAGAAGTGCTAGAACAACCCCAGGTATCCAAGGTCAGGCCACATTTTCCCTGAGAAGCATGGCCTACTCTAGGGCAGGTCCAGAAGGCTGACAATTCCAGACTTTCCCTACTTTGAAAAAACAGAGAAAACACAGCTCAAATCCGAAGGAGCCCTGAGGATTTAGGCTCCTTCTGGGCCAAATCATACTTGGCTGGTTATGAAACTAGATGAACCAGGCTCCATTTTTGCTCACCTGAACCTAATGTATCATTATCTAGCTGAGCAGCTGGTGAGAGCTACTTCTCCCTGAACCTCAGTTGCTTCATGTGTAAGATACAGGTATATCATCCTAAGATCTTCGTCAGCTTTGACAAACATCCTAGGAACCCATTCTAACTCCTCATTGCCATGTCTCCTCCAGTGCTCTACACTCATGTTGTTTCCCCTTCTTCTTTTGGCTTCAGAATCTGGACATTAATGGGAAGGCCCTAGCCCTAATGATAAAGGCAGTGGTGCCAGAAATGGAGAAACGAGGGTACAGAGAGTGAGAGAGAGCCTGGGTGAGATGGGACCCCACACAGGCTGAGGGCAGTGGTCCACACTGGGAAGACGGTCAGCTCTCTTCTTTTTCCAGGGGTGGTTCAGTGGGGTTCCTGGCCTCTGTAGCAGCCTTCAGGCCACTTCCTGTAAGAACCCTTTTGATTGCCCTTTCCATCCCATCCTCCACTCCACATCTTTCCACCCCTCCTATTACCCAAGGAAGTTTGTGTCCCCTTGTAGAATCACACCACCAAGTCCCTGCCCACAAAATAGATGCCTTGCCTCCACAAACCATAACCTAGGGGAGATTTAGCCACAAGACAGTTCCCTAACTCTGCCCCTCCCTTACAGGAGATCCCTATTGAGCACTGCCCTCTATGTCTAGTTATTAGAACCAAGAATGACCTGGAAACTATGAGTCTAACACATTCTCTTCTTTCTCCAGGGCTTCAGTCCTTACAATGTCAGTAAAACAGCCTTGCTGGGCCTCAACAAGACCTTGGCCATAGAGCTGGCCCCAAGGAACATTAGGGTGAACTGCCTAGCACCTGGACTTATCAAGACTAGCTTCAGCAGGATGGTGAGGAAGGGGAGCTTTGCATCCCACTGGGACCCCTTGAAAGGCATCCATCTTCTTGGACAGGGAAACCCAGTACCTGAGTCCTGAGCTCTCAACCACTCCATTCTCCTTCCCTGGTCTTTTCCATATTCACTCTCTGTACCAGCTGCCCTATACAAGCCACACTCCTATCACACCTTTCCTGAGGTGCAGAGTGGAGACTGAGATATTCACACTCTACTCACACTGTTTCCTCTCTCCTTACATGGATGAGAATTGGAGAGACACAGCAAAATGCATCACTAGAACCTGAAACAAATGAAACAGATGAGGGCAGTGGGGAGAGCTGGGAGCTAGAAAAAAATAGGAAGTGAAAGAGGGAAGTCTCTCTCCCCATCCCTCCTCTCAGTTGCCATGAGGATGGGCAGTTTCTTCCCTTTCTGTTCCTCACTTTCCTCTTCTTAAACATAAAGAGATTTCCCTTCTTCCTGCAGCTCTGGATGGACAAGGAAAAAGAGGAAAGCATGAAAGAAACCCTGCGGATAAGAAGGTAAACTGTCATACGGGCAAGGGCACTAAGAGACATGAAGATGGGAAGGTCTGGTCCCTAGCAGCCCACAGCCCGCTGTCTCAGTCCCACAGATAACACAGGCAGGCTCTCCTCTGCCTCACAGACCACGAATTCATAAACACTATCACTACAGTGACCTGAGCAAGAAGTCAGCTTCCCTTTCCAAAGGTAAACACAGAGACATCGGGGTTTCAGCAGTGCAGAGCTCTCGGAGAAGCCCTGAGTCCTCTCTCCACCTGGGGGATTGCCTCCACCTCTGAGCATCCATGGAGACCAGGGACTATAACCAAAACCATGCTTTTTTAGTCCCCTTGAATAATGACACATGTTTACAAAACTCAGGTTGATGATCTACAATCCAAATGAAAAGAATGAAGAGTTTTACTAAGCCCCAAACTCCCCTTGCCTAAGGAGTTACTTTCTTCCCCAGTGAGCTGGGTGAACTGTTCAAGCACCTTTGTCGGGCTCCCTTTCCTCTAAGTTCCCTGCCTCTCTCTACCTTCTGGCTTCTGGGCACTATCTAGTTTCTCCATCTTGTCCCTCAAGGACAAATGCCAGCAATGCCTAATTCCGTACTGGTCCAGACATCCCAAATCTTCCCAAAGCCATTCTGATGTCAGGCATGAGCTACAGGCCTAGTTCATAACTCATTAATAAGTCAGGGGATTGTCAACCTAGAGCTCCAGTGAATGATCTAGCCCATGTAGCTCAATACTGGATGCACATTAGAATCACCTGGGGAGCTTTTTAAACTGCAGGTGCTCAGGCCCCACCCACTCCCAAAGATTCTTTTTTAATTGGTCCAAGGTAGGACTTGACCATCTAGGGTTTTGTTTTTCTTTGTCTTTTCTTTTCTTTTTTTGTTTAAGCCTCTCAAATGATTGCAAGGTACAGCTAGAATGGAGAAGCATTAATTCAGCCCTTCTAGGTTTGAGTTACTCTGCCCACCTCTAGAGCATTCTATGGCAGGCAGATTAAAGTGTCTCCTAACTATGCAGTCACTGATAAAATAAGAATTAGCACATTCTCACCAAATGATCCTGACTTTAAGGGACAAGTATAGATTCCTGAAAAAATTGTCTCTAAGTTGAACCTGTACAAATGGAATCATTTTAAACACACCATTTACTGTCACACAGACTCCCTGATACTTTAGTGTGTGCACATGTGAAACCATTTTTTTGAAGTATGAAATAATTACTATTTTACCTGTATAACTTTGGATTTTGGTGTCCTGAGCTCTCTAAAAAACAGTGTCTCTATAGTATTTGAATATTATGGGTAATGGTTTTTGCAGAGTACAGTATGCTTATACTAAATTATAACAGCATATCCTCATGGTAACCCTATTTGATAGGCGGAAAGTTTGTACACTGATCCTGAAAAGTTATCTGATAATTCTTGATTAAGCAAATTTCATTCCCCGTGTCCCAGGTGAGGGAGGCAGACCTGTTTGATTTTTACTCCCTTCCTTGCTTCCCCTATTCCCCAGGTTAGGCGAGCCAGAGGATTCTCTTGGCATCGTGTCTTTCCTGTGCTCTGAAGATGCCAGCTACCTCACTGGGGAAACAGTGATGGTGGGTGGAGGAACCCCGTCCCGCCTCTGAGGACCCGGAGACAGCCCACAGGCCAGAGTTGGGCTCTAGCTCCTGGTGCTGTTCCTGCATTCACCCACTGGCCTTTCCCACCTCTGCTCACCTTACTGTTCACCTCATCAAATCAGTTCTGCCCTGTGAAAAGATCCAGCCTTCCCTGCCGTCAAGGTGGTGTCTTACTCGGGATTCCTGCTGTTGTTGTGGCCTTGGGTAAAGGCCTCCCCTGAGAACACAGGACAGGCCTGCTGACAAGGCTGAGTCTACCTTGGCAAAGACCAAGATATTTTTTGCCCAGGCCACTGGGGAATTTGAGGGGAGATGAGAGAGAAGGAAGCTGGAGTGGAAGGAGCAGAGTTGCAAATTAACAACTTGCAAATGAGGTGCAAATAAAATGCAGATGATTGCGCGGCTTTGAATCGAATCGACGTTTTCTCAGTGCGGGGTGCTTAGCTGAGCAGAGAGCAGAAGTCTGGCCAGGCTGGATCTCTGGATCCCCCAGCCCTCCTCCCTGTCTCCAGGACCTGAGCGTGATGTTCAGGGGTGGAGGTGTCTGCAGAGCTGCCAACTGGAAGGAAGGTGGGACAGGAACTCCCAGGACGCCACGGGGATCCCCGAGGCAGGGCGAGTCGGGCGAGGGTGGGGAAGGAGGAACTCTCTAACACCTCCCCGCCCCTCGCCTCCCAGATCCAGCCATGCCCTCTCCCAGCATGGCCCTAGGTCCCGAGTCAGCAAGGACAAGCTGGAGGGGTCCTGAGCCGGTGGGGAATAGAGAAAGGCCCTGCAAGGTGCCCGGGCCCACAAACAAAAGAAATGGCTTCTGCCCACGGGCCCGAGGATTGAGTAGATGGAAAGCGGGGACGCTGCCCCCCGCCCCGAAGGCCCGGACACCGGGCGACGCACACCGGCCAGCTCACGCGGGAGCCAGCGAGAAGGGTCGGCGCGAGCGCGCGCGGGGTCTCACGCGGCTCGGCAGCGCGGAGCGCATGCTCAGTCCGGCAGCTCTCCCTGCTGGGCGGGGGAGCCGGCGCTCCGAGGCGGGGGGAGGAGCGCTCAAGCAGCCGCCCCTGACCGGAGCGGGCTCGGCCGCTGCTGCAGCGCTCAGCGCCCGGGCCCTGCTGAAGCCGGGTCTAGCATGTGCCGCGGCTCCCCGGCGGCGGCGGCGGCTCCTCTGCAGCAGCCTCAGCAGCAGCGGCCGCCATGGCCAAGCCCAGCGTGGAGCTCACCCGCGAGTTGCAAGGTACGAGGCTGCCTCGGTCTCTGGGACGCCCCGTCCGGGAGCATCCCAGACCCAGCGCGTTCCTCCCCGTGGTGCATCCCAGCCCGGTGTCTCACACCCCTCACCCCATGCATCCTGGCTCCAAGGCAGCCCCTGCATTCCAGTCCGGGCATCGCTGTCCCCGGAGCATCCTCCGCTGCCTGCCTCGCCTCACCCGGTCGGGACCTTCCTGTCCCGGAGCCGCCCGTCCCGCCCTTCGGTGACAGGTGCAGTTCCCTGGCGCTCCCTGGGGCTGACTCTCGGCGTTCCTAGCCCACCCTCGGCGAAGCGTCCAGTCTCCCATCCGGAGAGTCCCCGCTTCCCCGCCGGGCGGGGCCAAGCCCGCCCCTCCCTGCGATGGGAGCTGCCCCTGGTCCTGACCGCTGCGTGGCTTAACACCCTCCCTCCTCCCGGCCCCGCCCCGGAACTGGCCCTGAAGAGCCCCTTAGGAGCTGGGCAGCGCCCAGGCCAGTGGGGCAAAGAAAGGAGTCAGGGAAGAGGCCCTGGATTGGAGCTAAAACCAAGAGCAGGAGGGTCTCTGAGGCTCGCCTCCCACAGCCCCGTCCCAGCCTGCTTCCTTCTCGCTACCCACCACCCACACATCAAGGCTTCTCCCGTTTGCATGGTTCTCAGACCTAGCCCAAACCCAGGCCCGGCCACCCAGCACTGCCACAACCCTGACCCCCAGAGACGGGAGCACAGGCTAGCCCACGCAAAGCGCAGGATGCTCGTGGATACTCAGAGGCATGCTGCGCCGTGGCAATCTCCCACACCTGCACACACACACAGCACAATCATTAGACGTGTGTAAACACATCTTCACAGAGATGGCACCCCAGCACACGCGCGTGCACACACACACACACACACTATATCTGGGTGGTTCTGCCAGCAGATGGGTATGGGGCTCATTTAAACATTAATTCTTCTCCCCGCCCAACACACACAGAGGAAGTGTCTGGCTCTGTGCCCCTTCCACAGCATACTCATTCACACTTACCTGTCCCCACCAATGCCACACTCAGGCTCCCTGACATCTCCAGGAGGCATGCACACTCTCATAGTAAAGGCAGACACTCACACCCGGACCACCTAGAATATAGTCAAAGGGACACCCCACACCCCCACACAGTGACTCACTTTGTATGTGTCAATGGCTGTTGTAGTGCATGGGTTGGAAAAATTCTTCACACCCTCAGAAGTGTGAGACACACCCTCCCACAGACAGTCAGCAACCGTCCCCTGACTCAGGGACATCAGGAGCCGGAGTTTTCTCCACACCCTACTCCCTCTCTAATAGGAAGAGAAAAGTCAAAAAAGAGACAGTGTGAAAAGTCACCCAAGAAGGAATGCCCTCTGTCCCTGTCCTCCCTTCTTTGTCTCTCTGTTTCTCTCTTATCCCATTTGACCCTGACCCTGCCTCTATCTGGAGAGCTCTGGGAGGTGGGGGTGGCCAGGGTAAGGTGAAGCTCTGAGCAGGCTCCCACCCCCCCTCAGACAGCATCCGGAGGTGCCTGAGCCAAGGGGCCGTGCTCCAACAACATCATGTGAAGTTGGAGACAAAGCCCAAGAAGTTTGAGGACCGAGTGCTGGTGAGGGCACTGGGCATGTGGGGAGGGAGGAGGTGGCTGGCAAGGGCAGCTGGCCAGTAGAGGGCAGGGAGCCGGGAGGACAGAAGAGACAGAAGTGGGTGGACACTGAGGAGACAAAACCTGGGGGGAGGAGGCAGGGCTGGACTGTGTTGATGTCCAGAAGTCTAGGGTAGGGCATCGGGTTGGGGAGACACTCCAAGAGCAGAGCTGAAGGGCTTAAGGAGGGCAGGGCCACCAAGGCCCAGCAGCTGCCATGAGCTGCCGATTTTTTCCTCTCTCTGTAGGCCCTGACCTCCTGGCGCCTCCACCTCTTCCTCCTTAAAGTCCCGGCCAAGGTGAGTTGGGCTGAGGAGCAGGAGAGCACCTGGCATGCTCCCTACCTCCCAAGCCTGGCAACCCAGGTCCTTACCAGGAGCTGAGCATCTCCATCCCTCCTAGGTGGAGAGCTCCTTCAATGTCCTGGAGATCCGTGCCTTCAACACGCTCAGTCAGAATCAGGTGAGTACCAGGGCTTTGGGCCCCACTACTGGGCCAGCTGGAGGAGGGAGCAGAGAGGAGGGAGTCTGAGGCTCTGACGCTTCGTCTCCCCCAGATCCTGGTGGAGACGGAGCGTGGCATGGTGAGCATGCGACTGCCATCAGCTGAAAGTGTGGACCAGGTGACACGACATGTGAGCTCTGCCCTGTCCAAGGTCTGCCCTGGCCCTGGGTGAGTGGCAAATAAGGGGTCTCTTAAGGCATTAGATGAGAGGGAGAGTTCATCCCTTCCTCCTTCCCCTGGGCCAGGGCTGAGAAGGAGAGCTCTCATGTCCCCACTCCTGGTTTTTCCTGGGATGCAGGAGCTATAACGTGGGAAGAACTGAGAGCCTCTTTCCAGCCCTCTCTGGAATGACTTGTTTCTTTTCCAGGTGTTTGATCCGGCGTGGAAACGCAGACACCCCAGAGGGGCCCCGAGATACATCCCCCAACTCTGAGACTTCCACATCTACCACCCACAGTGTCTGCGGTGAGCAGGGGCAGATGTGAGGAAAGTAGGCGCTCCACCATCTTGCCCCATGATCAGAGCCCTTTGTGCACAGGGTGTTGCCTGGGCGGGCGGGCTTTGCCTGCCTGAAGGACTCCCAGCTCCCAGACCTCAGGAAGTTCATGGCATAGCAAGAACCAAGAGCACTGGCACATAAAGTGACCTTGACTGTTCTTGAACCCCAAGCCTATTCCCCATCTCCTTACCCTCATGGAATCAGCCTATCTCCTGCCCCACAGGTGGCTTCTCTGAGACCTACGCTGCTCTGTGTGACTACAATGGGCTACACTGCCGTGAGGAGGTTCAATGGGTATGTTGGGCAGGGACCCCATAGGGAACAGGTGGGACCTGGAGGGAAGGGGCTAAGAAGGAAGTGGGGAGCAGGTGTGAGCCAGTTCCACCTCTCCAAGGATGTGGACACCATCTACCATGCTGAAGATAACCGGGAGTTCAATCTTTTGGATTTCAGCCACTTGGAGAGCCGGTAAGCAGATGGGGCAGAGACTCCACCCTCAAATTCCCAAATTCAGCCCAACCCCAGCCCTTCCCAGGAGTGCCCTTCTGGTCCCACAGCCCCAGCTCTATCTCCCCAACTCCATCCCATCCCCATCTACCCATTTAGGCCTTCCCCAGCCCAACCACCCTATCCTTGGTCTCTTCTTTTCTGACCCAACCACCTGCTCACCACTTTCCTGCCCCCTTCCATATCCCCACAGAGACTTGGCCCTAATGGTAGCAGCCCTGGCCTACAACCAGTGGTTCACCAAACTCTACTGCAAGGACTTGCGGCTGGTAGGAACTGGGAGGGGCTGGTGAGGTGGGAGAAGTAGTGCCCCCCTTGGCCCCTGATCACAAGACCCCCCTCTGTCCTCAGGGCTCTGAAGTGCTAGAACAGGTGCTACATACCCTAAGCAAGTCGGGGAGCCTCGAAGAGCTGGTGCTGGACAACGCCGGGCTTAAGACGTGAGGCCAGTCTCCTCCTTGGGCAGTAGTGCACCCTTGATGTAGTTTTAGGGTCCCAGAACCTCAGAGCATGATGCAGGCCTCTGGACTATCTTATCCAGTGCCTCTCTCTACAGAAGAGGAGACCAAGGCCAAAAGAGGGCACAAAGCAAGTCGGAGGTCAAGCTAGAACTCAGACCCAAGCCTCCTGACGCCCAGCTCCATGGCCTTTCCCCAGGATGTTCCATGCCCCGTCCTCTTTTTCCATTAACTACCAAGCAGGGTGGGCTGCTCCAGTCTTGAGGACCCAAAGCTGACCTTTGTCTCAGCACAACTTCCTAAGGTGTGGAATGCCCCCAGGTACTCCGGAGTGGTGACAAGCTCCCTGGCAGGCCCTGAGCTGTTCCCCTGTTGTGGGGGCCTCTGACCATGCAGCCCCAGCCAGGCAGTCAGGTAGAGGAGGAGGGGAAGCCCAGAGGCTGGGACCTGGGGCTCAGCTCAGGACAAATCCTTCCTCCCCTTCCCTGAAGGGACTTTGTCCAGAAGCTGGCCGGGGTGTTTGGGGAGAACGGGAGCTGTGTGCTGCATGCCCTCACTCTGTCCCACAACCCCATCGAGGACAAGGGTGAGCCCCAGCCCTGAATCCTGTCCCCATCCCAATGCAGACCCCTGTCCTAGCCCAGAGCCCAACCAGGTCTGAACAGCAGCTCTCCAGCCTGATTCCAGCCCCTGCCCTGACACCTCCATCCTTGACCCAAGGCCTGTACCCTACTCGAGCCCCCAACCTGACTCTGTGCCACCTGCACCCACTGCCCTGCCCCTCACTGGGCCCGTTTCTCTCTCCACTCCCCAGGTTTTCTCAGTCTGAGCCAGCAGCTCCTCTGCTTCCCCTCTGGCCTCACCAAACTGTGCCTGGCCAAGACTGCCATTTCCCCTCGAGGTACTCGCACCAAGGACCCCTGACCTCTGACCCTACCCTGGTGCTGCCTGGGGTGTTGAGCTCCAGAGGTACACCCACACATTCACACACCACCTCAGGGATGGAAGAGTGAAAAGGAGCCACGTTTGGGGAGAGGGGAAGAGTTATGTGCTGAGGGGAAGAGGTGGGGCTAGGGGCCAACCCAGCCCAGTGCCCGCTGTGCTCAGGGCTCCAGGCACTCGGCCAGACCTTCGGGGCAAACCCAGCATTTGCCAGCTCCCTTCGATACCTGGACCTGAGCAAGAATCCTGGGCTCCTCGCCACGGATGAGGCCAATGTGAGTCCTCAGAACAGCCTCAGCCCCCTGCAGAAAGCATGCTTAAGCTTCAGGAGCTGGGAGGCCTTCTGCCCCATGGCCTCTGGGGGTGGCGAGACTCCATCATCCCTTCCCCTGCAACCCCTCTTCCTTCCTACTCCAGGCCCTCTACAGTTTCCTGGCCCAACCCAACGCCCTGGTGCACCTGGACCTGTCAGGAACTGACTGCGTCATCGACTTGGTGAGGAGTTGGTGATGGGAAGCCAGTCTGAGGTGATTTGGGGAAGACCACAGTGGGCCTCGGTCTCACCCCCTATCCCTGAGTACACAGGCGGGCAGAGCTGTCTAGATGACTTCAGGTTCAGCTGAAGTATAAAGCAATGTCCATAGTTCATACCTGTGTGGCACTTTATCCAGGTCACAAGCTTGTGCTTGCTGTGCTTAAAAGCCAGCCCTTGCTCCCTTCCCCAGCTGTGCACCCTGGCTCCACCAGGGGAATGGATGCTTTTCCTAACTTGAACAAGGCACCTTAGGAGTCAGTGGTGGCCCTGGCTTTACACATCCACTGCCTGTGAGCAGCTTCATGCCCCTGGAAGCCAGGCAGGGAGTAGACCCATGTTCCACAGGGGAGAAAACAGAGACTTCAAGAATCTGAGTGGGCATCTCCAGTGGAGCTCACACAGGCTGACCACAGAGAATGAAGAGCCAGGAACCTCGATGGGGAGGGAGGGGGAGTCCTTTCCTGCCACCCCCTACCCCCTTCCAGCTCCCCTGAGACCCACCATATCTCCCCCCACAGCTTCTCGGTGCCCTGCTCCACGGCTGCTGCTCCCACCTCACCTACCTCAACCTGGCTCGCAACAGCTGCTCCCACAGGTGGGAGAGGAGGGGGAAGGGAGGACAGGGCAAGACATGGCCAACCCCCTCCCTCGCTGACCCCAGGGGTCTCTCCACAGGAAGGGTCGAGAGGCCCCGCCGGCCTTCAAGCAGTTCTTCAGCAGCGCCTACACACTGAGCCACGTCAATCTGTCGGCCACAAAGCTGCCCCTGGAGGCCCTCAGGTCGGGTGGGTGCAGGGTTGGGGGCGCATCCAAGGGAACCACGGGGAGCGGGAAGAGGTAAAGGAGGGCCTGCTGACCTCCCTCCCACAGGGCGCTGCTTCAGGGCCTCTCCCTCAACAGTCACCTCAGTGACCTGCACCTGGATCTCAGCAGCTGCGAGGTGAGCCCTCAGTCCCCAACCCCTCTGCCCGCCTCCGATCCATGTGCATTTCTCAGACCTAAGTCAAACCCTGGCTCCATCTAGCCTCTGTGCTGACCCTCTGCGACCCCCTGACCTGGCCACACCACCACTTTCCCCTCTCAGTCTGGCCTCTTTTCCAGAGGCCATTCATTCTCAGTCTCTAGTATCTCTGCCCTTAAAGCTTTGGGGTGGGAGATACCAGACTTTTCCACCAGAGGGCAGGAGCAAGCTGTCTTAGGAATAGCAGCCTTCCTGGCCGAAGGGAGGGAAGCCAGCTCTAGGGAAGGATCTGGTGTGGGGAAAGAGTCTCCCTGATTTTACACCCAGATCCTGGCATGACTTTGAGTTCTGGTGTGACTACTATATCCTAAGCATTAAAGGTGCCCTACCCCCACCCCAACCCCTGCCTTCCCTACCTCACCTTGTCCCTGCAGCTCCGTTCAGCGGGAGCCCAAGCCTTGCAGGAGCAGCTGGGAGCTGTCACCTGTGTAGGCAGCCTGGATCTGTCAGACAATGGTGAGTAGTGGTTCCTCCCTTCCCTGGGGCCAGGGGAGAACAGGGGCCTGGAGCATGCAGAAGCAGCCCTGATGGGACACCAGTCAGCCTCAGGCCTCCAGGCCAGGCCTCTCCCATCTGCTCACCAGGGTTCGACTCGGACCTCCTGACACTGGTGCCTGCACTTGGCAAGAACAAGTCCCTCAAGCACCTGTTTTTGGGCAAGAACTTCAATGTCAAGGCCAAGTGAGGCCCCCTTTCCATGCCCACAGACCCTCATCCCATCATTCACCCATCCTCTTGGCTCACCGTATTACCTCTGGCCACCTCTCTCCTCCTCCAATAGCATGACCCCAGCCCTTCCCCTCCTACTCTGAGCCCCGCCTCCCTGCAGGACCCTGGAGGAGATCCTCCACAAGCTGGTGCAGCTGATCCAGGAAGAGGACTGTGTGAGTGCCTGGGCCTGGGAGGGGACCTGCAGTCGGAGGAGGCTGTGGGGACTGGGTCCAACCGCCCCTTGCCCACACAGTCCCTGCAGTCACTGTCGGTGGCAGACTCCCGGCTGAAGCTTCGCACCAGCATCCTCATCAATGCCCTGGGCAGCAACACCTGCCTGGCCAAGGTGGATCTGAGCGGCAATGGCATGGAGGACATCGGGGCCAAGATGCTGTCTAAGGCCCTGCAGATAAACTCCTCCCTCAGGTGGGGCCCACACCGGGACCCCCTGACCTGGAGCCCCAGCCCCTCCCCATATGTACATAATCTCCCTGCTTTCCTTGATGCTCTGGACCCCAGCTTCCAGAAGACCCCCAGCCCCAGAACCATCTCTGAGTCAGCCTTATTGCCCCAAGAGGTTTGTGTCCCTGGCCCCTAGTAGGGACCCAGGAGGAGAGGTGCCAAACTGGTGCTTACCCTCCCCCCAGAACTATCCTATGGGATCGGAACAATACATCTGCCCTGGGCTTCCTGGACATCGCAAGGGCCCTGGAGAGGTGAGTAGACCATGGTCCTGCCCTGATCCAAGTCCCCAGCCTCCCTGTGCCTGGATCAGGCCTGAACTACTCTTGCCCCACCCTAGCCCCTTTGACCTATTTGCACAGAAATTTTAGGAAGGGCCATGGAAGACAGAAATGATGAGCAAGGGGGCTGGAGGGCTGCTCACCAACAGAGGAGGCAGGGGCCTCCCATCCTCACCTGTTCCCACCCAGCTGTGCCCCTGTGTCCCACAGCAACCACACGCTGCGCTTCATGTCCTTCCCCGTGAGCGACATCTCCCAAGCCTATCGCAGCGCGCCTGAGCGCACCGAGGACGTCTGGCAGAAGGTGCAGGGTGCTGTCCTAAGCAGGGTGGCACAGCAAGGGGCAGGGGGCAGCCCCCATCCCCAGGCCCTGACCCACCAACCCCATCATCTCCAGATCCAATGGTGCTTAGTGAGGAACAACCACTCCCAGACGTGCCCCCAGGAGCAGGCCTTCAGGTTGCAGCAGGGCCTGGTGACCAGCAGCGCCGAGCAAGTAAACGTTTCCCTCTGGGACACGGGGCATACCCGGGGCATGCAGGGCACAGTGTGATGTGATGGAAAATTGAGTGGGGGAGCATGAAGAGGCACTGCATGGTGCCTATCACTGGACTGAGCATGTGGGGAAGCAAAAAGAGAGGACATGCAGGATATGGGCTTCAAACATATGTGGGCGAACAGCAGGAGTGCACAGGACTCTGGGAGCTCAGCTGGGCATTCAAGAAGGCTGTAGCAATGGGGACCAGGCCAGCCAGAGACATCACCTCCACCACTGTCGGTGCCAGCACCAGTAGCACTGTCTAAGGGGTCCTACCTGCGAAGATGTGGAAGCAGGGGTCCCCTTGACACCCCTGCCACTGTGCTCCAGATGCTGCAGCGGCTGTGTGGACGAGTGCAGGAGGAGGTGCGGGCCCTGAGACTATGCCCCCTGGAGCCTGTGCAGGATGAGCTACTCTACGCTCGGGACCTCATCAAAGATGCCAAGAACTCCCGGGCGGTGAGCCCTCCACAGGCTACCCTTCCCCTGAAGTCTGGAGAACCCAAGAAGGCCGACCATGCTAAGCCATGACAGCCCTGCCCTGTGCATCTGCCTTCCTAGCCCAGGGACCCCAGAGACCTAGCAAGTCCTGGTTCTGGCCTGCTAATCATAACCCCTTCCTTCTCCAGCTGTTTCCCAGCCTCTATGAGCTGGGCCACGTGCTGGCCAATGATGGGCCTGTGCGGCAGAGGCTGGAATCAGTAGCAAGTGAGGTGTCCAAAGCTGTGGACAAGGAGCTGCAGGCAAGTCCTGGAGGAGGGAGGAATCCATGGTGGGAACCTAGTGTTGACTGAGGCCCTAAGCCCAGAGCTAAAGTCAGAGCTGGGAGACTTCTGGAGGGCCAGGAGGACATGCAGAGTTGAGACCACCCACGCTCCCACTGTACCAAGGCATTGCTGCAATATCAGGCTTGGATTTTTTTCTGCTAGCTTTGATGTTGGTCCCTGAACTCTGACCTCCCTGCTCTGGATTTGGATCCTTGGACTGACTGCCCCTGTCTGTATGGTAGGGTGGAAGGAGCACTGACCAGAAAGTGGGGAAGCCTTAGTGTCCAAGGCTCTGCCACTAACAGTTTTGTGACTTAGGCAGGTCCCTCAGTCTCAGCAGGAGGGGCTGGAATAGATAAAGTCTCTTCTGCTGTGGTGCCAGCCCTGATCCTGTCCCCCTTGGGCCTCTGGCCTCCCTTTCCCCCATACTAGGTGATCCTGGAGTCCATGGTCAGCCTGACACAGGAGTTATGCCCTGTGGCCATGCGGGTGGCCGAGGGACACAACAAGATGCTGAGCAATGTGGCGGAGCGTGTCACTGTGCCCCGGAACTTCATCCGAGGGGCACTGCTGGAGCAAGCAGGACAGGACATTCAGAACAAGCTGGAGTGAGAGGCAAAGGGCAGGGCTGGGGCTGAGCTGGATTTGGCCCAGATCACTTAGGGACTTAGGACTGGAGAGCTATCAGCAATGAATAATGAATGGCACAATCTCCATTACAAGGATCAATCTTTAACCAAGTGCAACCTTGCTATTTAGGGTCTGGCTGGTCTTTGCCCTAGAAATCTAAGTGCTGAGCTGGGGTTTAGGAGCCAAGTTTGTGCCCACACAGGTGTACACACACATACCCACACAAATACACCAGGAATGGGATAGCAGGGCCTCCTCGGAGGCATGGACAAAGAAAAGTACCTGAGTTGGGTGCATGGAAGCACTGTCTTCCTCCCAGTTTTCATTGCCCCTAGAGTTCTTTCATTCTGGGTCTGGGTGCCACCACTCACCAAACCAAAGGAAAACTAGTACACATACCTATGAAACAGCTAGGCCCAAGGAAGGGTCTTTCCTACCCTCACAGTAGCAACTAGCAGGGTTTAGTTACTCAGCACCCCAATTACCTAGCTCTGTTCCACTGGGGCTCCAGGGGCCTGACCTAGGGCCCCCTTGCTCCTTCTCCTCGAATTCCTCTTTCCCCACACATAGTTGGGCTGGGGGCTCTGGGGTGGGACTAGACGTGTATTTGTGGAGAAATGAGTGTCAAGGGCTAGGCTGCCTCCTTCAGCAGCCACATGCGCTCCATGGGCAGACAGACCAGGCCAGCTGGCCGTTCTCTCAGGCTTCTGGGAGAGGGAGTGCCTCAGGGGCCATGCGGGGGACTGAGGTGCTAATGTTCTGAGTAGCCCCACCTGTGCCCACAGTGAAGTGAAGCTCTCAGTCGTCACCTACCTAACCAGCTCCATAGTGGATGAGATCCTGCAAGAGCTCTACCATTCCCACAAGAGCCTGGTAAGGCTTCTTCTGCAGCCTGGCCTGGCTCGGGCACGCCCTCCACCCCACATTATCCTGTCTCCCTAATCACCCTCCCCTTCAAGGCCCTGGGAGGTGGGCAGCTTCCATGGAATTCTGTTCACACCTGCCCTTCCCCAGGCCCGGCACCTGACCCAGCTAAGGACGCTGTCAGATCCACCAGGGTGCCCAGGCCAAGGGCAGGATCTGTCCTCCCGGGGCCGAGGCCGGAACCATGACCATGAGGAGACCACAGATGATGAACTTGGGACCAACATTGTGAGCCCCCCGCTCCCTGCTCCTCCTTAATAACCTGGGCCCTGCCCTTAAACCTGCACAACACTGTCCCCTTCCACTGATCTGTACTCCCCTGGCCACCTCACTGTGCCTGGCCTTCTGCCTCCAATCTCAATCCAGCCCAACCTCTTCCCTCATCCCAGTGCCTCAGCCCCCTGAGGAGCGAGGGGCAGGATGGGCTCAAATAAGGTTTCATGAGGAATGGATGGCTCTGGGTGAGGTGCCTGGCCCTGCCACTCGTCTTCATTTCTGCAGGACACCATGGCCATCAAAAAGCAGAAACGCTGCCGCAAGATTCGGCCGGTGTCTGCCTTCATCAGTGAGTCTCCCAGCCTCCGTTCTCATGGACTCCAGACTCCCGCCCTCTGTAGCCCCTCTTTCCCTTGATTTTTTCTCTGTCTCCCCATCCTGCTTTCTCCCCATTCCTCTGCTAGTCCCTCTAATGCTGCTGTCTTTGCAGGCGGGAGCCCTCAGGACATGGAAAGCCAACTGGGGAATCTGGGGATCCCCCCTGGCTGGTTCTCAGGACTTGGGGGCAGCCAGCCCACAGCTAGTGGCTCCTGGGAAGGTCTATCTGAGCTGCCCACTCATGGTTACAAACTAAGGCATCAAACACAAGGGAGGCCCCGCCCCCCCAGGACCACACCTCCAGGACCTGGTCGACCCAGTGTGAGTCCCTAAGGCTTCACAAGAGGATCCCCTTCACTCAGTGACACCAGAGCCAGGAGTTTTACCTTTAGGACCCAAATGCCAGAGACAGTAGCCTTGAGGGATTGGGCAGGAGTCCAGGCATGCCAATGAACAGATGAGGGATTGCCCAGTTTTTATGAGAGCTAGACCTTGTCACAGATAAGAAAGCTCTGTCTGCCGGGCAGTGTCATTCTTATTTTGGTGAAGGATAGAGCCACCAAGAACACCAAGAGCCACCAAGCTTAGGAAACACTAGGTGAGCTGGGCATGGTGGCTCAGGCCTGTAATCCCAGCACTTTGGGAGGCTGAGGCGGGCAGATCACGAGGTCAAGAGATCGAGATCATCCTGGCCAAGATGGTGAAACCCCATCTCCACTAAAAATACAAAAATTAGCCGGGCGTGGTGGCGCCTGCCTGTAATCCCAGCTACTCGGGAGGCTGAGGCAGGAGAACTGCGTGAACCCAGGAGGCGGAGGTTGCAGTGAGCCAAAATCATGCCACTGCACTCCAGCCTGGGTGACAGAGCAAGACTCCGTCTCAAAAAAAAAAAAAAAAAAGAAAAAGAAACACTGGGTGAACTGAAGTCTACATTTCCATAAATGTCCAAGCCCAAAGGGGAATGCTCTGAGTGGATGGGAGGTGGGGCTTCCTGACCTAGATGAGATGTCCCACGGGACTTTCCTCCCAGCAGATGCCAGCACCTGGGACTCGTCAGGAGAATGGGATGGCCACCCGCCTGGATGAAGGGCTGGAGGACTTCTTCAGCCGAAGGGTCCTGGAGGAAAGTTCTAGGTGTGATGCCTAAACACACTCCCATTTTCAGCAGGCCCCAAGGCCCTAGAAGGGCTGCTGTGTCCTCCCAGCTCCCATGGGAGTCTCCATAACAGCAGTGCCCAAAGCCAGTCTCTGTGAGAAATTTCCCCACATTCTCATCCTTCCCCACCCAGCCCTCAGGGCCCATGACCTCTGCGTCTTCCCAGGACAGCTGGGAAGAATGGGGCCAGAGTGAACCACCACAGTGGGGTTGGAGAGCAGGTGTGGATGAGAGGGAGGTGGGGGGCAGCCCTGGGACAGGATACCCATTAGTGGTGAGAGGCCCGGGGGGTAGTGTTCCCTGTCACTGTCCTGCAGACTGCCCAGGGTCTGTCCAGGAGGAGCCAGGTCACTTGGAGAAGCTGAGAGGAGTTGCAGGGGAGGTGCCTGGGAAGAAACATCAGTCTGCGGGAAAGGCTGCTGGAGGATTACAACGGGACAGGAAAGGCAAGGGCATCATCTCCCTGAGAACTAAGTGGAAAGGGCTGCAGTGCAGCAGGGGAGACCAGATGAGAGGAAAGCAGGTTTATCAGACCCAGGATTGAGCTTGCATCTGGCATTTGTTGCTAACTTACCCCGATTCTCCCCAGCTACCCCCGGACTCTGAGGACCGTGCGGCCAGGACTCTCGGAGGCACCGCTGCCTCCACTCCAGAAGAAGAGGCGCCGGGGCCTGTTTCACTTTCGCCGGCCCCGGAGCTTCAAGGGGGACAGGGGGCCGGGGTCCCCTACCACTGGACTCCTCCTCCCTCCACCCCCACCCCCTCCCCCGACTCAGGAGAGCCCCCCTAGCCCAGACCCCCCAAGCCTCGGCAATAACTCCTCTCCCTGCTGGAGCCCAGAGGAGGAGAGCAGCCTCCTCCCTGGATTTGGTGGGGGCCGGGGACCTTCCTTCCGCCGGAAGATGGTAAGTGAGGCAGGGGGTGCTGTGTCTTCCCCTTTTCCTGCCCCACACTTAACCCAGTCTCCTACCCCACCCCAAGCTTAATGGGAGAATGCTAGGACCCAGGGTTCTTGGGAACATTGGTCATTTCAATTCTCCTCTCCTTGAGAGTGGACTAAGACCCAGTGGCCAAGAGCATGCTGGGAGTGCTATATGCGAATGCAGGCGTTGGAAGGACTCTTCAGAGGGTCTCTGCAGGGCTTCCCCGTGGCTAGGGACTCAGTGAGGCAGGGGTCCTCCTGACAACTCCCTCACAGCCTGGGGAGCCCCCTTCGACTGGGAACTGCTAATAAATAAGAGACCTTGTTCTAGGGCACTGAGGGGTCAGAGCCAGGGGAGGGGGGCCCAGCCCCTGGGACAGCACAGCAGCCAAGGGTTCACGGTGTTGCCCTTCCCGGGTTGGAAAGAGCCAAGGGTTGGAGCTTCGATGGGAAACGAGAGGTGAGTGGAGCCTGGGACAACAAACTGTGGGTCCTGAGGGTATCTGTCCACCACCCTCTCCTTCCCACTCCCTCATCCCTGGTGGTTCAGTAGAGAAAGCAGATGCTTTGGCATTAGAAGATGTTAGCTGCTCTTCAGCCCCCACCACACACTTGCCGTGGAGCCCTGGACTGGTCACTTCACCTCCTGAAACCTCTCCTTCTTTACTGTAAAATGAGGGGTTATAAAAATACTTACCTCTAGAGCTCTGTTTCCCAAACAATGGTGACTTGATTATAACCTTTGCGACTGATTTTTACCTGAATTATTACTTACATAGTATTTTTATTTAAATTAACTCACCTTTTTTTAACTTAGGCTAGACCTAGACATTATCTTTAAAATCGCAGGCTTTTTGAATGAGTCGTGTTTTTTTCTACTACATGTAAAATACATATGTAACTATAAAGATGGAAGTATACTCATTTGTGTAAGCCATTTCTTGTGCCCCTGGGGAGGTATGGGTGCCACTCTTTGGGAAACAGTTTTAAGTGTCTAGGGACTAATGACATGAGAATGACATGGAGATGCTAGAGCAGAAGCCCTTTGTCAGCTGCAGTCCTGCCACAGAGGAGACTTTCTTACAACCTGACCCACTGTTCTTTCAGGGCCCAGGCCCAGACCAGGAGGGCAGCACCCAGGCCTGGCAGAAACGGCGCTCTTCAGACGACGCAGGTAAGAACAGTCACATTCAAAGCCCTTTTGGACCCCTCTCTCAGGGGTCAAATTTACCTTTTCCCTTTCTCCTCTCTTTCTCATCCCCTCTCTCTACTCCAGGGCCTGGATCCTGGAAGCCCCCACCACCGCCCCAAAGCACCAAACCAAGCTTCAGCGCCATGCGCAGAGCAGAGGCCACATGGCACATAGGTATGGAAAGCCTCTTTTCAGGCAGCAGTACTGAAAGCCCAGGGTGTGTCCAAAGAAACAGAAGCCCATGGCCCCTGTGCTGGGGAATTTATGGCCAAGGTGGGGCAGTGAGAAGTCAACACAGTGAAAATGTTTAAGGATATTTACAAAGCTATATCCAAAAGAGACAAACAACCCAATCCAAAGAAAGCTTCTACAGAACAAAAGCGGCTTCTCCAGTGTTGGCAAACAGGAGCGATGCTTTGTGGATGGCTCTGGCGAATTCTCCAGGGCAGGTGCAGCCTCTGGTCACCATTGGCACAGTGGCAGCCTCTGTAGACAAGGCTCCTCTCTGCACCTTGCTGGGAAGAGGGTGGGCAAGTCAAACTGCCAGCAAGTACCAGCTGTGCCAGGCCCACCTCAGATTCCAGCCTCCTCCAGAAGTCGTTTATCAACTCACCCTCAGCTCACGCAGAAAGGTGCCCCAAACATGGGCAAGAGCTCGCCTCGGAGGTCAGAAACCTGCAGTATTAGTCCTTCTCAGCCACCCGCGACCTTAAACAAGTCATTTACTTTCTGGCCCCATGACCGGAGGAGTAAAAGGGAGGGGATTATCCCAGGCATGACACTTCCTTTCTGCTGGCTTCAGAGCACCTTCCGCTTAGGGAGCCACTAAAGAAAAGCTGGTCAGCTCAGCATTCGCTCAGTCCAGCAGTTGCCAAAGGCCTGGACCATGACCCTCCAGCAATATTGACATAGACAAAATCTCTCTGTAGATGGAGACACCCCCTCAGCCTCTTTCACTCCCACCACCAGGCTAGGGCGTAAGGGCTGGAAAGAGCTAAGAGCTGAGCGGGCTGGTCTGGCTTGAGCCACATGCTCCCCACTGTCCTATCCCACCCATTCTGCATCTGCCCCTCTCTCCCCTGTAGTGCAGAATCAGGCTAGCCTGAGACTTGGAGTGCCTGTGTCCTTGCCTCCTCCTCCAAGGCCAACCCAGCACTGGGGGCATCTTTGCTGATTTTTTCCATCCCATACACAGGCTAATTAAAGCGCCCCAAAGTAGGGCTCCATCTTTCATTTAGGAAACCGCAATAGTCAGTTGCCCCACTGCACACACACCTCACAGATCCACATGCAGACAACACTTTCCAGTGTCAGAGCCACAGGCTCATGTTGCTTAAAGGCCACTGGGGCGGAGGATGAGTGTGCCAGGGCACCCCTCCATCTAAATCAGACTTTCAGACAGAGTTCTGGGAATGCCAGGCTGCAGCCTTGGCAGAGCCCCCAGGGCACTGCAGCCTGGATGGGCAGCATGCCTGTGGACCCAGCAGGCCCTGGGCCCTGCCCCAGCAGGAAAGGGGTTGGGCACTGCTCTGCAAGAGGGACAGCTAGGCCAGAGTCCCCTCCAGAGGTGATGGCCTCAGGATGATCCTGGGAAACAAGGGCTAAGGAGCGTGGATGTAGAAAGGCATATGAAAGACCGGGTGCGGTGGCTCATGCCTGTAATCCCAACACTTTGGGAGACCGAGGTAGGTGGATCACTAGGTCAAGAGATCGAGACAATCCTGGCCAACACGGTGAAACCCTGTCTCTACTAAAAATACAAAAATTAGCTGGGCGTGGTGGCACGCACCTGTAGTCCCAGTTGTTCGGGAGGCTGAGACAGGAGAATCGCTCAAACCCGAGAGGTGGAGGTTGCAGTGAGCCAAGATTGCACCACTGTACTCCAGCCTGGGTGACAGAGCAAAACTCCATCTCCAAAAAAAAAAAAAGAAAGAAAGAAAGAAAAGAAAAAAAAAAGGCACATGAAAGGCAGAGACATAGGAGCAAGTGGGCTTGGAGGGAGAAAGTCCTGGCCTCCAGGGCTTCAGTGGAGAGAGGAGACAGGGACAGGAGCTATGCAAGAATGCCTTTTCCTGCAGCTTCTCCTCTCTCTCATCCCCAGCTGAAGAGAGTGCCCCCAACCACAGCTGCCAGAGTCCCAGCCCAGCCTCCCAAGATGGGGAAGAGGAGAAGGAGGGGACCCTCTTCCCAGAGAGGACACTTCCAGCTAGGAATGCCAAGGTGAGAGCTGGCAAGATGGGTGGGGGAGGCACTTTGATGAGGCAAAGGGACTAACTGACCCAGCATCTTCCTTCCTCTGCCAGCTACAGGACCCCGCTCTAGCTCCATGGCCTCCCAAGCCAGTGGCTGTGCCCAGGGGCCGCCAGCCTCCCCAGGAGCCAGGGGTCAGGGAGGAGGCTGAGGCTGGAGATGCAGCTCCAGGAGTCAACAAACCCCGGCTGAGGCTGAGCTCACAGCAAGACCAAGAGGAGCCCGAAGTCCAAGGTCTGCCACCCTGGCTGAGTGGGGGGCTCAGGGCACCTCTAGGACTTTGCTGTCCACATCAGGTCCTCTTCCAGAGCATGGAATGAGTGACAACCAGGAGTCACAGCCTGGATGAGCATCCCAGCATGAGCCCCACTCCTGTGTTAGGCCTGCCTTGATTGTTATTTCAGGGCCCCCTGATCCAGGCCGGCGGACTGCCCCCCTGAAGCCCAAGAGGACACGGCGGGCACAGTCCTGTGACAAGCTGGAACCTGATAGAAGACGGCCTCCTGACCCCACAGGTGCTGGTGGTGAGAGGGCAGGTCCCCCCTTCCCACCTATCTGTCCAACATGACACCCCCCGAAGCCCCAACACCAGGTGGCTGGCTGTCCCTGCCCAGGAAACAGGGCTCCCTGGATTTGTCCCCAGCAGGAACCAGTGAGCCAGGAACAGACTGACAACTGCCACAACACCCTCCTCAGCCCTCGACATGTGCCTCGCAAGGACTCAGACCCCTATCCACCCCCAGTCCCCAGGGCCCCCTGCCAGCCCCTGTCCTACAGGGGCAAGACGGCAGGACCAGGCATGGGGGAGCTGGAGGCAGGGACTAGAACAGAGGGAGCCACCTGGAGAGACGGAGGCTGTCAGTGCCTGCCTCGATACCTCTCTCTGCAGAGAGCTTCTGGGTGGGGGCTTATCTCCTCCCCCAGGAGGGTGGATCTCTGTCCCTCTATCCCCAGGGACTCTCTCCCCTCTTGTATAGAATAAAAAAACAAAATCATCGCCTGCCTCGAGTCTCTGCTATCTTCCCCATTCACTGCCTCCACAATCTGCTCTCTTCCCACAAACCCTCAGAGCTTGGCCACAGTGGAGAAAAATGAGAAACATTCCACAGGGATAGACTTGGGGTTCTGAGAGGAGCAGGAGAAAAAAACAGAGAACTGCCGAGGGAAGGGGACTGATAAGTCCCCAAGCCAAGATGGGTGTTATGCCCAGGGTCAGGGCTGAGCTTCCTGGAGAAAGAACCAAAAGGACAGAAACCAACACAAAGTCTGTCCAGCTTTTGGGGGTGTAATGGGATTGGAAGCCCCAGTGTACCAGAGGGACACGGGAGCAGTGTGTGTGTGTGTGTGTGTGTGCATGCATGCACACTAATGGGGGAATTACATGATGTTGTGTCGTCCTGGGGGCACCCTCACTAGTCAGAAGTCTCAATAGCAGAGTGGCTTGCAGGTGAACAGAAGTCTCTGTGGCATGAGGTCAGCAACTAAAGTAGCTGTCTCCCATGGTGTTCTAGCAAATACTATCTTGGCATTCAAGATCCCACTCAAAAGCCCCTTCCTCTGTGAAGTCCTTCCTGATGCCTTCCCCACTCATCCATATTGCACCCTGCTTTAATGTGCTCCCACTGCATCCTGAGCAGGTCCATAACATTGCACCTGTCACGCTTCATTGCGTATGCGTATTGGCTTATCCTCTCTCTGTCTGCCTGTCTTTCTGTTCCATATACATCTGCCTCCCCCAGGGGCAGAGGCTGTGTCTTAATCACCTGTGTAGCCCCAGCACCTGGCACAGTGCCTGACACCCAGGAGATGCTCAATAAATGGCTGCTATATTAATACATGAGCAGCTTAAGGGGATGGAGGGCGAAGGTAAATGCTCTTGCGTACTCATCGCAGACCACAATGTGCCCAAATGTCTTCATGTGTGGTTTGCAGCTCCCCAGGCAACTGCTTACTTCCCTTACTTACTGATTTCACCAGGAATTACTTGTTTTGTTTCCTTAAGATCTGTGCATGGCACAGCCCCTCCCACAAGGGTAAGGCCATATGGGTTGAATCTTGGGGGGTGTTGGGTACATTGTGGCACCGGGAAGAAGCCTTGGGAGTCAGTCCTTCAGCAGATGCCCTCATGTGACCAGGATATGAGGTTGGGTGTCCTTAAGCAATTATGTCCATTTCCTGTGTCTCCTTATAAAATGGTGGCTAGGGAACTGGACATCATTCTCAAAGCTATGACGTTCAGCAAGGTATGTGATGGCTTTTAAGGAGCACGGGAAGATCACATCCTGCTGTATTCCGGGTTAGTTTGAGTGAGTACATGTGTGACAAGGACAGCCCAGTGTTCCTGTATATGTGACTGCAGATATCCTTAGCTAGTGTAACAATGTTGAAAGTGATGTGAGAAGGGGTATGTTTCCCAATGTGTATCCGCCGGGGGCTGTAACTGTCGTGGTGTCACAGTGAGTTTATGTACTGGCGCCTGTGTGTGTCAAGATATGTGTGAGCCTGTGAGTCGTGGGTGCATGTGTCGCCATCATTTCTCTGTTTGAATGTGTATGTGCATGCCACTGCAATGTGCGCATCTCTGCGATTCTGGGTGTGGGTGTAGTGTGAAGGGGAAGATGTGTGTCACTGTGTCTGTGGGGGTCCTGCCTCTAAGCCACCCCCAGCCTGCCCTCCTCCCCCGGTTCTGTGGCTCCCTCCCAGGCTGTGGCCCTGCCCCTTCCCTCTTCTCCCTCCCAATCCATCCACGCGGGGGGAGCTGGTGCTGCGCCCCCCCCCACCCCTCCCCATCCAGGCCCCATAAATAGCAGCAGAGCCGGAGCTGGAGCCGGCGCCAGCGGCTGGAGCAGCAAGGGAGTCAGGGCCAGGGCCAGAGAGCCGGAGAGAGGAGCCCCCGACCGAGAGCCCAGGTGAGCCCACCCTTCCTCCCCAGCCCAGCCCCAGCCCAGCCCAGCTTGGCCCAGTCTCCATAACAACATCTCCTGGAGCCCGCAGAGAGATCCCAGCCCTGCCCAATCCCTTCACCACCACAAGCCCCTGCCTATCTCGGGGACCCCCAAGAACTGGGAGACTTGTGGCTGGAAGGCAGAGACCCCCCTCCCCCAGCCCAGACCCTCCCTCACATATCCAGAAAGGCACACACTGTGGGGAGGTAGATACCCAGCCAGAGAAAGGTCCCACTTCTGAGGGAGGTACAGGAACTGTCACACCCTCCTGGAAACGGACACACGACATGGGGGGACAGACACGGAGGGTGGGGCACTCAGACACACCAATGCACACTCACTCGGGGAAGCATGACATGGGATCAGACAGCCTCACCCTGAGATCTGTACAGACACAGATAGATGGACTGACCGGCCATGAACTCTGGCCGGCATACCCCTGCCTGCTTCAGCCCGAGGCTTGGTACCACTGCTGGGGGAAGGTGGCATGCGTGCATCCCACGGGCAGCATGGAGGGAGCCACGACTCCCCAAAAATCCTGTCGCTAAGAGACGGTGCCAGTGCTGCCAAGAAGTGTGAAAACAGGGGAGGTGGGGAGGGATGTGAGGCTTGTCACAGTTAGAGCTCCTGCCAGGAGCCTGAAGGAGCTTTCAGCAGAGCCCTGGTCCTGCCTCCCAGCCCACCACCACTCCTTTTCCATCAGCTAGCCAGAAGGGGAATGGGGGTAGGGAGTGGATAGGGATAGCCCAGCAGGGGACTTTCCAACCTGTCTCCTGCCCACTGCAGACTCCACTTCTGAGACCCATCCTCTTCAGAACTCCAGAGGCCTCTCCACCCCCTGCCCCACCCCCTTGCCCTAGTTTAGCTCCCTCGTGCCAAGACTGAGTGCAGCGCTGGCACAACACCAGTCGGGAAATAGCAGAAGGTGCTGAGGCGGCAGAAAGTGTAGATCAATCGATGGCCTAGGAGCCAAGACTGCCAGGAACATCCCCACCCCAATCCTTCAGCCCTCTCCAGCCCCATCCACGCATACCTAGGCCAGCAGCACAGGGCTTCTGAGCAGGAGTGGGAGGCTCAGGTCCTCTGCCCTCCCCTGCTCAGAACTCTGGTGAAGCTGAGGAAGCAGGAGGTCCGTGAGGCCCCAGGGTCTAGGGAAGGAGGTTAAGGGGTGGGGCCCAGGGACCCTAGAGGATAGACCCCTCTGCTGGCAGGTGTTCCCTTTCCAGAGTCCAGGCCACCTGCTCTGTCCCCACAGTGACATGTCGGACCCTGAGATGGGATGGGTGCCTGAGCCCCCAACCATGACGCTGGGGGCCTCTCGGGTGGAGCTGCGGGTGTCCTGCCATGGCCTCCTGGACCGGGACACACTCACCAAACCCCACCCCTGCGTGCTGCTCAAGCTCTACTCTGATGAGCAGTGGGTGGAGGTGAGAGCAGCTCAGGTTTCTCCTTAACTAACCTGGGTTAAGCTTGGGAAAGAGGGAGGCTGGGTGGGAGCAGTGAAAGCCTTGCAGGGAAATGTGTGGACTCTGCGGCGCCTTCTCGAGGCCGCTTGGGTACCCTGGAGATGGTGTCCCAGAGGGTCCTGAGATTGACCCAGAGGCAGTGGGGTTGCTCCCAAAGGCCTCATGATAGCCCGGAGGACTGAGAGTCCAGTGGGCAGGCAGCACCCCAAGCTCAGGGATCAGCTTAGGAAGAGAAGAGCTGGTTGCTGGGGACGTGGGGGCCCAAGAAGAGCTGGCATGACTAGGGCAGTCCAGGACAGGGAAAAGTATCCTCGGTTCCCAGACAGCCCTCGCCTCCCTTCAACCACTACCACAGGTAGAGCGCACAGAGGTGCTTCGCTCCTGTTCCAGCCCTGTCTTCTCCCGGGTGCTGGCCCTTGAGTATTTTTTTGAGGAGAAGCAGCCCCTGCAGTTCCACGTGTTCGATGCCGAGGACGGAGCCACCAGCCCCCGAAATGATACCTTCCTCGGCTCTACGGAGTGCACCTTGGGCCAGGTCTGCATTCCCGGCCTCCCCGGCTACCCTACCCTACCTCCATCAGCTTTGCCTCTGGAAGCCAAAAAGAGAGAAAACATGAGCTCTAGAGCTAGTTCAACCCAGCCTTGGCTCCCATCTCTGCCATTCACTAGCTGTGCAGCCTCAGGAAAGATACTTAACCTCTCTGAGTCTTAGTTTTCCTATCTAAAAAATGGAGGAGTGGTCAGAGTGCTTCCCTCTTCAGACTATTGTAAAAATTGAGCCCAACCCTAGCCCAACTCAAAGTGCCAACCCTTGCAGACACTCAGAGCATTTATTATTCCATCCCTTGTACGTGGCCAAGGCAGATGGGGATGTCACAGCTGGGTCTCCCTCCACCTCCATCCCCAGATTGTGTCACAAACCAAGGTCACTAAGCCATTATTGCTGAAGAATGGGAAGACTGCGGGCAAGTCCACCATCACGGTAGGCAAGATCACCTGTACTCACCCTTGGTCCAGGTATTCAATGCCCCTGCATGGACACCTATGGTGACATCATGCCCAGGACCACCCCCACCTAAGGGAAAGGGGATGGGGTGGCCCTTGTGGTAAGGTTAGGGGAGTCCTGCCACTTGTATCCCCCTTGCAGATCGTGGCCGAGGAGGTATCAGGCACAAACGACTATGTGCAACTCACCTTCAGAGCCTACAAGCTGGACAACAAGGTTGGAACCCCAGAGTCCAGGCCCCCAACTCCCCTGTCACTCCTAGGCCTCCCACTCAAGACAGATCCCAGGAGCCCAGGCCTGCTCTCTTCCCAGTGGGAGCCCATCCCCCACCCTCCTTGCAGCTCTCACCAACCTCAAGGGCCCTTTCTCCTGTATCTTCAGGATCTGTTCAGCAAGTCTGACCCTTTCATGGAAATCTATAAGACCAACGAGGACCAAAGTGATCAGCTGGTCTGGAGAACTGAGGTTGGTGCCTGGGGCTATGGGGATGAAGGGAGGGAGAGTAAAGTAAGAAGACACAGACAGGAGCTGACCAGCCACCTGGTGCCTCTCCAAGGTGGTGAAGAACAACCTGAACCCCAGCTGGGAGCCGTTCCGCCTGTCCCTGCATTCCCTATGCAGCTGTGATGTTCACCGACCTCTCAAGGTGAAGTCCCAGCCAAGCCAGCACAGCCTACTTAGAGCAACCAATCTGCTATCTAAGACCTTTCCCCTGCATGTGGCAAGCCTCCCTCCTCTCCCCCAAGTGATAATCACATCCCACTGTGGGATAAATAATAGGTCACAGCTCAATGTTAAACTTCCCACATGTGTGCATTTTATCAGTGGCCAAAGTCCCTAGCAGACTGAGCCAAAGAACAAAGTTCAGCAGGTGGCCTCTCCGGGCAGGCTGAGGATGTCTGTTTGGGCATGGAGACTCTAAGGCCCAAGTCCCCCTACTCCAAGTCCCCGAGTCCCCCTACTCACCGTGAATACCGCAGAGCATCTCCAACCTGACCCCACCCCTCCCCCTGCCTTCTCAGTTCCTGGTGTATGACTATGACTCCAGTGGGAAGCATGACTTCATCGGCGAGTTCACCAGCACTTTCCAGGAGATGCAGGAAGGGACGGCAAACCCTGGGCAGGAGGTGCCACAAATACCCCACCCCCAGAATCCCACCCAGATCCCTGGGAGAATCCTGAGGGTGATGCTGAAGAGACCACCATAGGTGATAGGAAGTGGAGAGGGTGGAAAGCACCTGGGCTCAGCTGAAGGACGGAACCATGGGGGTCTTGCTCTGGGAGGCTCTGCTGGAAGGGAGAAAGAGGGGTCACCTGATGGACTTGTGACCCTGAGCTTGTGGGGTGGGGTCTAGATGCAGTGGGACTGTATCAACCCCAAGTATCGGGACAAGAAGAAGAATTACAAGAGCTCAGGGACGGTAGTGCTGGCCCAGTGCACGGTAAATTTCACTTCCTGCTTCAAGCCTTGCCCCAGCCCCTGCCCCTACCACACTCTCAGGTTCAACCCTTCCCTTGTTTCAAAGACCAGTTTCTCTGCTTCTGGGAACTGGAAACCACCCCCAACTGCAACCCAAAAAACTCTGGCTCCCCCATGTTCCCCACAGAAGCCCTACCCAAGCTCCCTCCTCAAAGGACCACCCCATCCCCTCGCCTTACCCCTCTCCCTACCTCCAGGTGGAGAAGGTGCACACCTTCCTGGATTACATCATGGGTGGCTGCCAGATCAGCTTCACGGTAAAGACTCAGAGGGAGGGCACACAGGCAAGAGGGAGGGGCTGAGTCCATAGTGAAAGGAAGGAGCCCAGAATCTCCACTGCCCCAACTTGGGCTGCTCATGAGCCTTCGCATTGTCAGCTTATGCACCCCCACATCATTATGTGGCTACCTGTAGCCTCCCCACCACTCATCTTAGTCCTCCCTACAGATCCCAGCTCTGGCCTAGGCAATCTGGTGGCTCTCATGGTTGCAGCATGACCTTCTTCCCACCCCCACCCAGGTGGCCATTGACTTCACCGCCTCCAATGGGGACCCGAGGAGCAGCCAGTCCCTGCACTGCCTCAGTCCCCGACAGCCCAACCACTACCTGCAGGCCCTGCGTGCAGTGGGAGGCATCTGCCAGGACTATGACAGGTAGGAGAGAGTGGGGCGGGAGGGAACAGGCAGGGAGGCCTTGCCCAACGGATTCCACAGCTTTTTCTTCTCCCCAGTGATAAGCGGTTCCCAGCTTTTGGCTTTGGGGCTCGAATCCCCCCCAACTTCGAGGTAGGCTAGATGCGAGGGAAAGAAGGAGATGGGGGGCGTGTCAGTCAGGCAGAAAAGGCAGGCCCTCACTGCTCCCGCCTTGCCCTCACAGGTGTCCCATGACTTTGCTATCAACTTTGACCCGGAAAATCCTGAATGTGAAGGTAAAAGGGGAGATTTTCACCTGCCCCGCCTCCCCGCAGACACACTCCACACAGGAGCACAGACTCCACTCCCCAGGGCCCAGCTTCCTGTCCCTTCCACCCATCCCAGGCCTGTCTTTATCAGGTGAGGCTTCCAGGGCCGAGGCCCAGCATCTGCACCCAACTCTCCCTGCCAAGGGACCATCCAACTCTCCCACTGCTTAATGAAGGAACTCGAGGGGAGGGCAGTCCTCAGACCTGGAAGCATTTCCTTGCTTTAAGGAGTGTCAGGAGGGGGCCCTGCTCATTTCTGCCAGCTTCACAACTTCTCTTCACTCACAGAGATCTCAGGGGTCATCGCCTCCTACCGTCGTTGCCTGCCCCAGATCCAGCTCTACGGCCCCACCAATGTGGCCCCCATCATCAACCGTGTGGCTGAGCCGGCCCAGCGGGAGCAGAGCACCGGCCAAGCCACGGTAGGAAGACATGGCGGGCAAACAGGAGCTGTCCCATGTGTCTTTAAGTGGTGCCAGGGCCAGGGTCTGCACCTTGGTGGAAACGGTGTCAACGCCCTTGCACACAAAGCCAACCCTTCCACCCTCTCTGCTTGCCCTCAGAAGTACTCGGTGCTGCTGGTGCTCACTGACGGTGTGGTGAGCGACATGGCTGAGACTCGCACTGCTATCGTGCGTGCCTCCCGCCTGCCCATGTCCATCATCATCGTAGGCGTGGGCAATGCTGACTTCTCTGACATGCGGCTGCTGGATGGCGACGACGGCCCCTTGCGCTGCCCCCGAGGGGTGCCTGCAGCCCGAGACATTGTCCAGTTCGTGCCCTTCCGAGACTTCAAGGATGTGAGTCCCCCGGGCCCCTTCCGGCTGAAGGACTCCTCAGCTTCTCATCCCCCCAAATCTGACCTTCGTCTTCCACCATTTGATGTCCTGCTAAGGACGCGGGAGCCCAGCTGGCCACCCTGAAGCCCCACTTCTCCCTCAGATGACCCTGCCTCCCCTACTCTTCCTCTCACCCCTAACCACATCACTGTCCCCACCCTAGGCTGCCCCCTCTGCACTCGCCAAGTGTGTCCTGGCTGAGGTGCCACGGCAGGTGGTGGAGTACTACGCCAGCCAGGGCATCAGCCCTGGGGCTCCCAGGCCCTGCACACTGGCTACGACTCCCAGCCCTAGCCCGTGACTGCCTCCCTCCGGACCGACACTCCCTCAGCCTCTCAGTGAGTCCTGGGGCTTCCAAAGGAGTGGACACAGGGGGTGCAAAGTGGGGCTTGGTAGAGCCCAACTAGGCTGGGTGTAGTGTAGAAGAGAGTGCTTATGACTCTCCCACCCCCTCCCAGGTGCCTGTCCTGACCCTCGTGACTCCAGTGACCAATGCCTCCACCTCTTGGACCAGGTGTGCCCCCTGGGTTCTGGACGTGAGTGGTGGGTCCTGCTCCTATCTCTCCAAACCCCATACCCTTCAATGCTGTGGCCCCTCAGTGACTTCCTTGGGTGATCCTGACTTTCTAGCCATTAATAAAGAGAACTGCTCCTAGCACCTCAGCCTCTAACCATCATGCCTCAGATGCCCACTGGGCAGCCTGCAGCACCCCCACACACACCATAAGAAATGAGGACCAGCACCTTTCAAAATCTGAGACAGAGCTCCCCAGGCAGGCTGCTGTCTCTGCAGTCTTACCCCAGCTATGTGCCAGTGGGATCTGAGGAGCCCCCTCCCTCACCTCCCAACCCCAGGGGGTCTAGGCACCATGGAGAATAATTACAGGAGATAGGAGGATAATTACGGGCTGTCAGGAGGGCAGGCTGAAGCTTTCTTATAGCTGTCTCCAGAGAGGCCCTGCTGAGTCCCCCAGGAGCTGAACCCCAGCCCCCACACAGCTGTGGGGCGGGCCAAGAGCAGGTGCTGGGGGATACTGAAGGAGGGCAGCAGGTCTGCTAGTGAATTGGGAACATAGTGGAGCATCTAAGGCCTATACAGTCTGGTTTCCCGGGTGTGTCAATGTGTGTGTCTGTTCATGGCCTTAATGGGTCACACTCATGGACTCAGGGATGTGCAGTGCATGAACACACAGATTCACACACTTAACAATCACATCAGCAACAACAGCAAATATCATTACGTAGCATGTGTCAACTTTATGCTAAGTGCTTATTTAAATGCATTTATTCTCAGTAGGTGGTTACCATTATTTTCACCATTTTTCTGACAATCAAGTGAGGCTTGATTTTAACCCACCCATGGTCAAAAAACTGGTAGAACTGCAACTTGAAACAGGGTCTCACTCTGCCACCCAGGCTGGAATGCAGTGGCACGATTATGGCTCACTGCATCCCCGAACTCCTGGGCTCAAGTTATCCTTCCACCTTAGCCTCCTGGGTAGGTGGGACTCCAGGTGCATGCCATTACATCTGAATTTATTTTATTTTATTTTTTTGTAGTGACAGGGTTCTCGCTATGTTGCCCAGGCTGGTCTCAAACTTCCTCCTTGGCCTCCCAAAGTGTTGGGATTACAGGCAGGAACCACTGCGCCCCACCTAAAGCACTACTCTTAATCACCACAGTGTGCAACTTTGTTTTTTTAAGTATACTCAGGTAACCCAGGAGTATCATTTTGAGACCCAGGTATGGTACTGTATATGTGGCCTAGTTGTGTGCTCAGGTGTCTATGGATGGTTCTGTCTGTCTTTGTGTGCCATGCAGGTGAGAAAAGTGAACAAGAAAAGTAGTGGGTCTGAATTACAGCTCCAGGGCAGGCAAGGATAGACACAGGTGAAATTTAGAGTGAGAGAAAAAGAGCTGGGCTCCCGGAAGGACCCTCCCTGCCCCATCCTCTCCCTTCAACAATGAGTGTGGAAGGGGATGAAGAAAGAGAAGCTAAAGGTTCTGTGAGCCCCTCAGAGAGAGAATCCAGAGCCAGAGAGGATGGCCAGTGGCCAATGGTGGGGAAGGGAGAGGAGACGAGAGAAATTCTGAGAGCGATGGAGGAGAGGACTCCCATTGCAGGCTCCTAAGCGGAGGAGGGATGAGCTGGGATAGAGGAGGGGAAAGAGGGAGCAAGAACTGTGATGGGAAGAGAAGAGACAGCTGGGGAGGGGGTGGAGAGAGGGGGTAGAAAGGAAGAGGGACATATGGGAGCCTCTTCCCCCATGCCCGAAAGCTTCTCCCATTTATTATGTCCGGTAGAGGACAGATGACAGTAACTCGTGAGGCGGCTGCTCCCAGCACAACGCCTGTGCTCTGCCCAGAGGCCCCATCTGCCCTCCCCTTAGCCTGCTGAACTGGAGGACTGGGTTACCATGGAAACTGTGAGACCTGGATAGCCACTGACAGGCCGAGCTGGGCCACTGAGGCTTCTGAGTTTGGTGGTGGTGGTGGTGAGAGGGGGAGGATCCATCTGTTCCAATGCCTGCCCCTCCACCCCATTTCCATTGGCTCTCCATAACAGATGTGCCACCCAGCTCCAGGTGGGGACTTCCCTTTTTCTTGCTCTCTCTCTCTCTCCCTCTCTCTCCCTCTCCCACACACAGACACACAAACAGTAGCCTGAAGCAGGGATAAAGAATGAACACTTCTTAAATTGCAAGAACATTTAGCTTATTGCATTAGAATTCTGCCTGGACTTCAAGTTTAATTCACAAAAGCTGCACTCTCTCAGCAAATTGTCATCCCAGGAGAAGTCTCACCTCAGCCCTCAGAGAGGTGGGAGGTGGCAGGAGCACCCTGTGCAGGTCTGGAGGCCCAGACAGCCTGGAGGGAGCTGCCGAGGACCCACGTATGTGCTCACAGAGAAGCCAGGCTTCCTCGCCTGGGCTGTGCATCCCCTGCCTAGGCTGCAGCTGGGAAACTGCAGCAGGATAGGAGGTGCCTTTGGCGAGATTGTCTTGGGGACTTCTTGGGGAGACCACCGGGACTTCCATACTGGGGAGATGCCAGAACTGGAAAGGGAGCAGAAGTCGTCCAATCCACATGAGAATTAGATGAAGTAACACAAGTCCAGGAAGCAACTGATTTGCTCAGGGTGACAGGGGGATCCCATGGAAGAGCTGGGACTAGGACCCAGGTTTCCAGACTTCTGCACACAGCTCTCTCCCAACCCACACCAACAACCCCCAGAGCTCACTCTTCAGGCCTTTGCTGCTCTGAGCCCTGAAGGCCACAGGGTTGGGCAGGGAAAAAGCATCTCGGATAGAGGTCCTAATCTATCTAGTTGTTGGATATTGAAATCTTGAAAATTCTGTAGTGCTAAAATGGGGAGGTTACAAGCTTCAGAATGAAAATACAGCCTCATTGCTAATTACAGCTTTAATGTGTTACAGGTTGAAAACCCTGAATTAAAAACTAAACTGAGGTGGGAGCTGCAACCCTCCTCCACCTCCCATTCACTGTGTCACCACACTTCCACCCCCCAGTGCCTGGCACTGGTCCCTGCAGAGCTCAGCGTGCTAGTCATGTGGGCTGGGTTTCTGTGTTCGTAAGGGGAGGGGACCCCTCTCCAGAAAATGACCAGCATCTAAATTCGGGCATGACTTGAGGACCCAAAAGCTTTGGGGATATTTGCGCGGTCATACAGGGCGTGGCTAGGACCAGAAGGCGCTCTGGTAACGATGCAGAGAACCGTGCAGCCGCCTCCTGGGCGGAGCCACCCCACCCAGCCCCCACTACACCACAAGGTGCTCTGAACGGCTCAGAGGAAGAGGTGGGAGGGGTCCCCGGACCCGGGGCCGCTCGAGGTTAGCCGGTCACAGCGAGCCTTGTAGAGATCGCGCTCCCGGGCCAGGCGGGCCACCTCGGCCCGCAGCGCGTCCAGCTGGGCGGCCAGGCGGGCGCGCTCGGCCTCCAGCCCGCGCCGCTGCTGCAGCCGCTTGGAGCGACAGGCCTGCGCGTAGCCGCGGTTCTTCAGCGTGCGGCGCCTCTGCTTCAGCCGCAGCGCCTCGTCGCGCCCGCAGCCCCGCAGCTGCCGGTTTAGCTCCCGCACAGACATCGAGACCAGCGCCGCGTCGGAAAACCGCTCTGCCAGCTGCGGAGGGAGAATGCAGAAACCGGGTCAGCGCCAGGTCGCACCCGGCTCTGCCCTGAGGGCCCGACGCTACCTGGCTCCGCCCCGGGACAGCCCCGCCCCGGCTCCCACCTTCACCGGAAGGCTCGCCCTTCCACGCAGTCTGTTTCGGTCCAGAGCCCGCCCCAGGCCCCGACGCTCCCCGGGCCCCCCAGCTGACCGTTGCTCCAGTCAGGCGGGCGCCCCACGGTGCAGGGCCGGCCACGGTCAGGCGAGCCCGTCGCGCACCTAAACCCCGGGCTCGTCTCTGGGATCCCCGGCATCCAGCTCCAGGCCCGGGTGTGTCCAGTGGACCCGCACCCAGACAGCCCCCAACCCTCCAACGCGCTGCGTTTCCCTGTCCTGAAGCCTGCAACCCGGTGACCCTCACAGGATTTGGATTACATCCTAATGCCCGCAACACCCCCATCTGTGTCTGTAATTAATAGGATGAGTCCCAATCCTTCCTGAGAAGGTTGGGGGCTGGGAAGCACGAAGTCTTGAAAAGGCCAATCTAAACCAGTCTTAACCCAGCTCCACTCCACACATAACCCTTTCCCTGGTTTCCACACACCATGTATCTGTTTACCCCCCGGAGTCGCCCACTCCCCAGCTCAATTCTTCCCTTTGGATTCTCTGCTAATCTTATCTTCTCCCTGCTCCTCCTGGTTCAGCCTACTCATTTCTCTCCATTTTAAGAAAAGGGGGAGAAGCAGAATGTAGTTTTCTCGATCTGATTGCTTTCAAGGGACCTTCTCCCCTTCTCCTGCCCTCTGTCCCCTGTCCCAGTCCATAACCCCCTCTGGGAGCTCCCCTTCCTCTCTTGGGCAGTCCTCCTTCCTTGCCCTGCCTCCCCTCAGGCCAGCTTGCTGACCACTCACCTGGACGTGCTGGGCTCCTGTCTCCTCTGGGCTCCCTGGGTAGTAGCCATGGGGCCCATCAACAGGGACTGGGCCCTGACCCTGCAGCAGCTCCATGGCCTCTTCAGGACTCAGCCCCAATGCCTCCCCAGCCCCCAGCTGCTGCTGCAGGGTAGCCAGCCAGTACAGCTCCTCCAGGCCTGGCCGGGTGCCCTCGGTTGCCCCCACCATGCCTGGTTCACTGAAGGTGGGTGAAGGAGGCACTGAGCTGTAAGGTGTGGAGCCCAGTGAGGCTGTAGGGGGGCCAGGTCGGCCCTCAGAGGGTTCCCGCTTTACCTCAAACTTCATCAAGTCAAAGTCATTGACATATTCCATGGCCAGGGGGCTGGGGGGCAGGGCCATTCTGGAGCTGGGCTGGGAGGAGTGCACCTGCAAAGAGGAGGAGAGGTCTGGAGCACATGGAGGCCACCTGCCATCCCCTCTTCACCAAGTCCCTCTTCCCTCAAAGCCCAAGTGCCCTGGAGCAAGAGTTTGGGAAAGCCAGAGGGATGGTGCAGCTCTGTTCACTGCAGAGTCCCCACCAGGCTGAAGAGTAACCTTTCAGAGGGCAGGGGCTCCTGACAGGGGACAAGCAGCTGAATTCCTGAAGGAGGAAGAGGACAGCACAGCCTCTCGCCCCACTGATGCCTCAGGATCTATGAAAAGCAAGAGCAGTATGGCAGTGCTCCCAACCCTAGTGCTGAGACATGCCGAGAGGTCTGTCATCTCAAGAGGCATCATTCCATTTCCAAGCCATTTTTTTAAATTGCTTAATTAACTGTGACAAAGTGAGTGTATATTTTAGGACAGTGGGAAGGCATGTATGCTGTGAATTTTAAGAGCCAAGGATAATGTGTTCTTATAGCTCTCTGTCTCTCAAAGCACTCAGGGAAGTGCCTTGCCTATAGAAGACCCTCAGTGTACATTTGTTCTATGGATTAATCAATCAATGAATCCCTTTTGTAGGGGCAAGAGGCTTTATATGGAAAAAAGAAAGGTCCTAGAATTAGTTCTAGAAAGATCAGAATCAACTGGCCACCATCTTTCCTCAAGGCCAGTCTCTCCAAGGGGAACAGACCAAGATTGATTTTCCTTCTATTCAGAACTTGTTACGTTGTGTGAACTTGGCAGATCACCTTCACCCTTCTGACCCGTTTTCCCTTCTGTTCAATGAGGGCAGTTAGACTTTGTAACATATACCAAAGAGTGTTCTCTAGAACACTGATTCTGAACAATACCTATGAAGAGGTCTGTGCTCAGATAACTTTGAGAAATGTTGCCTCCTATCCCTACCTCTTACAGATGCACATAGCACAAGAGCATATTAACCTGAGCAATCCTTTAGTAAACCGTCTGTTCAAGTTCAACAAAAAGTGTCCTAAACTTATGTCACCAAGGAACTCTCCTGTCTGTTATCAATCATGGGGCACATGTTCACCTGAGGAACTTCTGGCTGGGTGACCTCAGATACCCTTCCCAGCCTTGAAGTCCAAGCTCTAGTCCAGCTCCCAATTCCAGTAACTCCCACCCCACCCCCAGAAGGTGCGCGGCATGGAGTGTTCATCCCCAGGGCTTAGACTTCGGCTCCTTCTAGATGCCCCAAGCCTAGGTAGCCTTCTTTCCAACCACATGTCAGACCCCCAGGCTCTACCCAGAGAGGCAAAGAGGAAGACCCAGGCCTCTCTCTTCCTGTTCCAGGGCAGGGTTGCTGCCCTCTCTATGGAACCTGTCACCCTTGAGAGGACAGAGGGGATGGAAACAGACACAGATTAAAGGAACTGGGTCTTGGCAGAAAGGAGATGGTGAGACACTGAGAGAGGTATCCAGAAAGAACTGGATGTACAGAAGGAGTAGTGGGGAAGGTTGTTTATCTTTCTGACGTGATAGCAGTGAGGGACACAGGCCAGTCAGGGTGGGAGTGGAGTAGGGTACCAAGGTGTTAGGATTCTTGAAAACAGACAACAGAGAGCAGGTGTTAAAGAGGGGGTTCTAGGTGAGCGGCCTGACACCCAGGTAGGCCCTGGATATACTCACTTCAGAAATGGCCGAGAGGATGTGGTCAGTGCCAGAGCCAGACAGGCACAGCTTCCCAGGAGACTGAAGGCTCCATGGAGCAGGGCCTGGTGCCTCTGCTCAGCTCCAGGGGGCTGTGGGCACAGAGCCCAAAGGGCATTCTTAAAGGGCCAGCTCTCTGAGGTCATCTGTGGTCCTGAGGCCTCCAACCAATAAGGTAAGGAGATCATTTGCATATCTTATTGGCCTGGGGTTGGGGGAAATGGAGAGAGAGGAGAGTACAAGTGTGCTTATTCTCAAAGAAGGAAAGGGAGCATCTTCCCCAACAAAGCTCCTCACTGATGATCCGACTCCCAAGTGCTCAGTTTCCCAGTTCGGACAGAAACATGGGTCTGAACCACCACCCCTCTATGTGAACACAACCCTCAGCCCTAGCCATGCATAGCCTGGGATTGGAAAAAGAGGACCAGACAAACTCCCAGCACCCCCACCTTCCAAGGCCCTGCAGCCCCTCATCTGTCTTTGGAGACTATAAGCTCTCCCACGCCCACTCTCACCGGGCCTTTTGGATCTGTTTCCTATTTTCAAGAATCCTCACATTTCTACCTCTGCCCCATCTTCATGCTGACTGGTCTTATGCCCCTCATAGCCGTCGCATCAGAAAGGAAAGCAACTTTTCCCACAGGGGATCTCCAGGACTTGACCACCATATTTTGTCTCTCCCATTCTTGCTAATCCAGCTTGGGAGAAAGAGTAGGAAAAAAGAGAACAGGGAACTCTGTTCCTTCCTTCTGGGCCTCAAGGGACATTGAAATCTAATCACCACCAGTCCGTCGGAGACACTTTTGTAACTGGCCTCATATGCCCTCTGCTTTCTCTCACCTTTTCCCTGTGTGTGTCTCTGCCCCTCTCTCCTCTCTCACTCATTCTAGTTCCCAGATGGCTGAGGGGTGACCTACATTTTCAGCCTAATCCCCTAACACCTCTTAGAGCTATCATCCCTGAGTAGGAGTGGGAACAGGGATACTAGGAATTATCCAAGGAGATGTTTAAACCTGTCCGAAGCTGTTTAAATAGGGTCTATGGAGTTAAAGGCCACTTCCTACCTTCTGAGGCCACCCAAATACTCCCATGGGGTTAATAGTTCCTCTTTCTCAACACAGAGGCCTGGGTGTCCATCAGACCCCAAAGGTCATCACTTATAAAACTTAACCTGGTCCCAGCCTTATATGTTGGGGAAAAGCTGGCAGATACAGATTATCTAAGAAGGTGGTTTCTGAAGTGTGGTCCCCAGAGCAGCAGCATCCATATCACCTGGGAACTTGCTAGAAATACATGTTACCTGATCTCACCTTAAATCTACTGAGTCAGAAACTCCGGGGGTGGGGCCCAGAAATCTGTGTTTTAAGGCCCTTCCAGCAAGTCTGACATGCTTGAAAGTTTAAAGGCCAGGCACGCCTGTAATCCCAGCATTTTGGGAGGCCAAGGTGGGCGGATCACTTGAGGTCAGGAGTTCAAGACCAGCCTGGCCAACATGGTGAAACCCCATCTCTACTAAAAATACAAAAATTAGCTGGGCATAGTGGCAGGCACCTGTAATGCCAGCTACTCCTACTGAGGCAGGAGAATCACTTGAACCTGGGAGGCGGAGGTTGCAGTGAGCCGAGATCGTGCCCCTGCACTCCAGCTTGGGCAACAGAGAGAGACTCCATCTCAAAAAAAAAAGAAGAGAAAAGAAAGAAAGTTTGAGAACTGCACAGAATGCCTGCAGTCTACCCAGCTTCCCTGGGGAGGCATGTATATATGTCTGTCTGTGCATGTGTATGTGGTCTCTCCTACCATGCTTTCCATACACATATTGGAAAACCTAGATCAGATGACATCACTCTCTTCCCACACCTGGGTTTCTGTTTTAAGGAGCAGAAACCATCGTCACCATTCAAGCTTCTCTGTGTGACTGCCTGGATCTACTGCTGTTTTCTCAAAAGAATAAAAAAGCCTAAGGCCTAGGAACCAACCACAAAATGGGAATGAGGATCATGGAGAGGCAGGACCCCACACACATGCCCATGGAATGTAGCTCTCCAAAGTGGACACCCAGGAAAGAGACTCTACAATTTCCCTGGTTGAAGAAGGAATGGGAAGTGTTGAGTGCAGCCCCTTTTTCATGCCTGCTCTGGCCTGGCCAGACACTTGCCCCCAACCAGCAGCTGTCAGGTCTGCACTGATCCTCTTGTTTACTGGAGGGCTCAAAGGAGAGGTGGGAGGGCTAAGCTGCTAACGGGCTAAGGGAGTCAGACTAAACAAGCTCAGGCGAGTTGAGCTGCTTGGGGCTCAGACCAGGCACCACTAAACCAGGGAAAGGAGCTGGGGGAGTGAGGGTTGGGCCCAGTCTGGGCCAGAGGAAAGGACCAAGGGCACAGAGAGGAGAGTCTGTGGCAGTCAGTGGGGACCCAGAAAGCAGAGCCCATCTCCCATATCCACTGGAGACTGAGAAATGAATACTGAGACTAATGGGCTCAAGGACATCTAGGGATGAAAAAGATGAAGCCAGTGTGACTCCAGGAATAATAGAACAGAGGAAGGAGACTAAGGAGGCAGTAGGTGTAGATGTGAGATAGAGGACAGGACAAGTCAGGGTCTCCATGGGGATTTGGATTAAAGGAGACAGAAAGATGTAGGCACATGGACGAGATGGATAAAGAAAGGAAGTCTTCCAGGAGAGGACCAAGAAGGGAGTAGGGGACAACAAGGACTAGAACAGTAAGAGTGGTAGAAGGAAGGGACAGGACATAAGATTGGGGACCAAGACCTAGACACCAATACAAAGAAATAGACACATAGGCCACAGAGGAAGAGCAGTGGCCAAAGGACAGAAAGGTAGCAAGATATGGATGGAGTGATATTGGACCATGGGGAAAGAGGGGCAGGCAGGCAAAGGGCCTGCAGGAGTGGGGTAGAAAATGAAGAGGAAGGAGAGAAAATGAGACAGTCAGCATTCCAGGATGCTACCTCCTCTCCTCTGTCCTGCACTCTCATTTTTGGAACCCTGAAAGACTGGTTCTCATTCCTACTTCTGGCTCATGGTATCTAGATCTTCAGTAATAGATCCAAATCCTCAACCTCTTCTTGGTGTACCTCCTACATTCTTTTGAAAAATGCATATTAAACACCTATTCTGCACCACATCCTGAGTAAGGCATTAGCGACCCCTCAGTAACTTACACTAATACCAGCCCTGACTTCAAGAAACTTACAGACTGATGAAACAGAGAAACATCAAATTATTGCCCTTTGGCTGGGTGCAGAGGCTCATGCCTGTAATCCTAGCACTTTGGAAGGCCAAGATGGGTGGATCGCTTGAGCCCAGAAGTTCGACACCAGCCTGGGCAACATGGCAAAACCCTGTCTCTACTAAAAATACAAAAACTGAGGTGGGAGGATCAGGAGCCTGGGGAGGATGAGGGTGCAGTGGGCCATGATGGTGCCACTGCACTCTAGCTTTGGAGACAGAAAGAAACCCTGTCTCAAAAAAAAAATAATAAATAAATTATTGTCCTTAGGCCCAGGCAGGAGTGGCCCCTGCCCTGGGCCCTGTGCTTTAGAAGGCTCCACTCTGGCCTCCTCTGGCTATGTCCCACCACATGGGTGAGGAGTCCAACTATCCTCTGCCCATACCTTAATCCTCTCAGGACCACACTCCAGATAGCTAAGCATTCCCTGTCCAAAAGGCCCAAGCCCACTCCTAGGGCCCACGTGAACCTCTTCCCTGGGTTTGCCCTCCCACGGCTGGGCCACATGACTGGTTCACACATTCTGAGGTCAAAGGGTAGACAAGGGGTAGCTGCTTGCAGGAGACTGTGGACAGACTTGGGATGGCCTGATGGGAGGTCCACATGGTTCCACACAAGGCCCCTTGCAGTCCAAGATGGTGTCAGGGGTAGGAGGCAAAGTGGGCCCAGCTGAGGGCCAGTGGCCAAAACTACATCCCCCTACACCATCACATTCTGGTGCAGAACCCTGAGGATTCCAAATAAAATACAAATCTGAACCTGGCCTTCCAGGCCATTGTGAAGTATGTATTTGTCAATATATTTGTCAAGGTAGAAGAACAGAATATATTTTGTGTAACAGTTTGTTAGCCTGAATTATACTTTTTTTTTTTTTTTTTTGAGATAGCTCTGTCGCCCTGGCTGGAGTGCAGTGGTGTGATCTCGGCTTACTGCAACCTCTGTCTCCTGGGTTCAAGTGATTCTCCTGGCTCAGCCTATCAAGTAGCAGACATGCACCACCATGCCTGGCTAATTTTTTTTTTTTTTTTTTTTTTCACAGAGTCTTGCTCTGTCCCCCAGGCTGGAGGGCAGTGGCGCGATCTTGGCTGACGGCAAGCTCCGCCTCCCAGGTTCATGCCATTCTCCTGCCTCAGACTCCGGCTGGAACTACAGGCACCCGCCACCATGCCTGGCTAATTTTTTTTTTGTATTTTTAGTAGAGATGGGGTTTCACTGGGTTAGCCAAGATGGTCTCGATCTCCTGACCTCGTGATCCGCCCGCCTCGGCCTCCCAAAGTGCTGGGATTACAGGCGTGAGCCACTGCGCCTGGCCTAATTTTTGTATTTTTAGTAGAGACAGGGTTTCATGTTGGCCAGGCTGGTCTTGAACTCCTGACCTCAAATGATCCACCCGCCTCAGCCTCCCAAAGCGCTGGGGTTATAGGCATGAGCCACTGCGCCGACCCTGAGTTATACATTTTAATCTTTTTTTTTTGAGACAGGGTCTCGCTCTGTTACCCAGGCTGGAGTGCAGTGGTGCAATCATAGCTCACTGCAGCCTTGAACTCCTGGGCTCAAGCTATCTCCCACTTTAGTCTCCCAAGCAGTTGGGACTACAGGTGCACACCACCATGCCTGGCTACTTTTTTATTTTTTGTAGAGAAGAAGTCTCACTATGTTGTTCAGGCTGGTCTTAAACTCCTGGGCTCAAGTGATCCTCCAGCCTCTGCCTCCCAAAGTGCTGGGATTACAAGGCATGAGCCACCACACCCAGCCCATTTTAAATATTTAAACACAAGGTTTGAGGGCCTCTATTTGTACTCCTGCCGCAGGTCCTACATATGTTAGAGATGTGTCTACATAAAAACAAACCATTTAAACAGAGATGAATGTGCTAAGAAGAAGAAGGGCAGGGTGCTATGAAATTTTCTTCCACGAAGACATACTCTAATACAAAGCCAGAGGGGATGCATCACAGGGACAGGTTGCCTAAGAAAGTCATGCTAAACCAAGACTGGTCAGGTGAATAAGAAGTGACCCTGCCTGGAGGTGTGGACAGGGTGGGAATTCCAGGCGGCAGAAACAACATATGCAAAGGTTGTGAGGCAGGAAAGATGTAGACATGTTCACAAAACTGAGAAAAGATCCACGTAGCCAGAGAGTAGAAAGCCTGGAAGGTGGGAAGAACAGTGATAGCTGAGGCTGGAGAAGTCAGCAGGGGCCAGATCATGCAGAGCCTGGGAGGTCACATTAAGGGTTTGGGCTTTATTCTAAGAGCAGGGAGAAGCTACTGAAGGGTTTTCAGTAGAGACATGATGTGATCAGATTTGTGTTCGGAAGGATCACGTATGTCAGCACTTTGTGTTTGTGGAGGAAGGCAACAATGAAATAAGAGTCAGATTAGAGGACTAATGCCGTAACCAAGTTGAGCCTGAGGAATATTTGCAACTGGAAGCACACTCTGAGACAGAAACTTGTGTGCAGGTGGTTTACTCGGGGGGGGGGGGGGGGCACGGGGGGGGACTTTCAAAGAAAGAGTAGCAGGACCCAAGAGAGGGAACAGTTGAATGGCACTGCAGTTGTAATCAGCTGAGCCTAAAGAGCTCTGGGGCTGGGATGGACCTTCAGAGTTGTCCCAAACTGAGACAAAGGGCTAGGCCTCTGTACTTTATAACAACCATTCATTGGATACATACTGCCCCCAGGAAGCGGGCATTGCATTTGGTGAGACAGCTCCCTTTGGCCACAGATAGTGCTCAAGGAAGTACTCAGCTGTGAGCTATCAGCAGCCAACACTCAGCAGCTGGAACAATGAGCATCATGATCCTGAAGCGGGAATCTGGGCTACACACCACAGCATCACTACTCGGGCTGTGAGACTTCAGGGATGAACCCAGAGGCCCCAGAGAGGACAATGCAGATCACACTCTGCCCCCTGGTGGTACTCCTTGGACATAGGGCCAGCTGGTGGGCCAGGCTCTCCCGGCAGGGAACTAAAGAAAAGTGTGTGGCAGATAAGGGGAAATGAGCAGTGCAAGGAAATCTGCACGTGAGCCCCTTGCTCCATCTGCCTAAAGCTAGAGAAGAAAGTAATGGTGGGGAAGAAGAATTCAGAAACGTGGCACTCATTCATTCTTTTATTCAACCAACTTTTATTAAGTGCCTGTTATAGGCCAGGTACTGCTGGGAACTAGGAGAAAAACAAGACTGAAATCATCACTCTAGTGAGGATTACAGAGATATAAAAGTAACTACAGTATAGTAAAGTACAAAAATATAGGCATATACATGGGATAGAAGCAACACAGATGAAATAGATGTTCATTCTAAGGGACGAACAGAAAAGGCCTGTGTGTGTGTGTGTGTGTGTGTGTGTGTGTGTGTGTGTGTGTGTGTTAGAGACAGAGTCTCACTGTGTTGCCCAGGCTGGAGTGCAGTGGTGCGATCTCGGCTCACTGCAACCTCCGCCTCCCGGGTTCAAGCGATTCTCCTGCCTCAGCCTCCTGAGTAGCTGGGACTACCGGCGTGCGCCACCACACCAAGCTAATTTTTGTATTTTTAGTAGAGACGGGGTTTCACCATGTTGGCCAGGATGGTGTGTGTTTAATTTGAGTGCAGATGCCCAGAAAAAGTTCACAGAAGTGCTCTGGAAACTTCAGAGTTCAGTACGTAGGAGAAAAGGAGGCAAGTGGGGATGTGGGGGTGACAACATTAGATAAATAGGAGTCAGATTATGAAGGACATAAGATATCATGTGATGGAAAGAGCCTGGAAGAGATTTTAAGCTTAAGAGTGATATGATCTAATTTTTAATGGTAAATCAAGGGGACAGTATAGGATTTATAGGGAGAGGGGGACTTGGTAATTAGAGTCAGAAAGATATGGATTCAGATTCCATTTCTCCTGCTAACCATTTGTGTGACTTTGAGCAAATGACTCTTTTTTTTTTCAATATACACAAAGCAATTTTATTTGTATGTACTTGTGGTAAACAATTAGAACATTTCATTCATAATAGGATAAAAGTATAAAATATTCATGAATAATTTTTTTTCAGAACAGGAATGGAAGTTTATTAAAAAGCTTTAGAGCAGGAATGAAAGAAAGGAAAGTACACTTGGAAGAGGCCCAAGCAGGCATCTTGGAGGTCAAGTGCGGCATTTGACCTTTGATTTAGGGTGTTATATGTTGGCATACTTCTGGGGTCCTGCCTCCCTTTTTCCTTGATTCTTCCCTTAGGGTGACCGAGCAAATGACTCTTTAAGCCCGTGTCCACATATGTAAAATATAGTTGTGAAACAGAATGAGATTATGCATGCAGAGTTGCTGACACAGAGCCTGGCACCTACTGTCCATAGCATAAACATTATTCTTCTCTCTTAACTTTCCAAGTGGATTTGCATGCACAGTGTGGGGAGTGGCTTGGTAGGGAGAGGGGTTGGTGTTTGGAGAGGCAGGAGTCCAAGAAGTGCCTTAGAAGCTATCACCTGAAGCCAGGTGAGAGATAAGCCCTGAACTAAGGCCCTGGCCATGGGGATAGTTGCAGACTTGAGGGCTAATTGAGAAGTACAATTCCAAAGGTCCTGGCATCTGATTAGCTATGCAGGATAAGAATAGTCTAGACTGATTCCCTTTGGGGCAACTGGCCAGATGATGGTGCCATTTGCTGAGGTAGGAAACCATGAGAGCAGGTGCAGGATTATGGAGAAGATGATGACCTTCAGGTCAACCATGCTGCCACCAGTGTGCACACCTTTAGGCCCAAAGGTTGGCCAAGAGGTATGTGTTTGCAGCTGGGTAAGTGTGGACAGAGTTTGGATCTATGAACTGGGGGGAAAGAGATCCAAATACATATACCTGAGGTTGAGTGTAGGCTAGAGCCTGAGGGGGAAGAGACGGGGACCAGTAGCAAGCCCGTGGCTGGAGACCAGCTCTCCTTATCCCACTATGTTCCAGCATAGAACTCCAAGAAATCTGAGAATCAAGACTGTTTCTGTTGCAAGTGGCAGAACTCCAATTAAAATTAGCTTGAGCAAGAGAAGAAATGCATCAATTCCTGTAACTGAAATCAGGAATCCATTGCTCGCCATCTCCCTGCTCTGCTTCCTCTAGGCTGGCTTCTGTCTCAGCCAGGTTCCTGCTTTGCAGTGCCAAGCTAACACTCAGCAGCTCCAGGCTTATATTCTACCAGCTCAGCAACTCAGCAGAAAGAGAGCTAACTTCCAAAGTTTTAGAAAAAGTCCCAGAGAGGGATCTCATGCCCATCCTTGAACATCCTTGATTGCTGTGGCCAGAGTGAGGAACACAAAAGTTGGCTAAGCTGCAAGCCTACCCCCAAGAGGGGTGACATCAGACCCACATGACAATACAGACTGAGGAGATGGTTCCCCAAAAGAAAATCAGGGTGCTATTACCAGAAAAGGCGAGTGGATGCTGAGCAGACACCCATCATAGATATGCTGAGTTTGAGGTGCTATATAGCATTGTGGGTGATATCCAGTGGTCTCAGGTTGGAGAGAGATGTCCCAATGGAGGTATAGCTTGAGAAATCACCTGAGGACTTTATGATGGTAGTTGGGTGGGCAGATGAGTTTCCTCATTGGATTGTGGAGAGAAAGAATGACCAGGCCGGGCGTGGTGGCTCACGCCTGTAAATTCCAGCACTTTGGGAGGCCAAGGCAGGCGGATCACGAGGTCAGGAGTTGGAGACCAGCTTGGCCAGCATGGAGAAACCCCGTCTTTACAAAAAATACAAAAAATCAGCCGAGTGTGGTGGCAGGCGCCTGTAATTCCAGCTACTCTGCAGGTTGAGACAGGAGAATTGCTTGAACCCGGGAGGCGGAGTGTGCAGTGAGCCGAGATCGCGCCACTGCACGCACTCCAGCCTGGGTGACAGAGTAAGACTCCGTCAGGGGAAGAGGGGATGTGCCGGGGGAGGAGAATGACCAGATCAGAGGACCAAGGAAGAGACCCAGGGGTAGAGAGACTCCACCATTTCATGGCAAGGCAGAAAGGAGCCTTGATCAGGAGGAGAAACGGGGATTTAGGAGTTGGGGACTAAGTGGACCTTAGCATTGGGCACTTGGACTACAGAAAGGCCCAGGACTCAGGGTGTCGCGTCCCCAGGAGGAGGAACTGGAAAGGCAATGCCCAACCCCCTAACTTCTAGACGTCTGGCCCCTGTAGTCTCCCGCCCCTGGCCTCGCCCCTCGTTCCTAGCTTGTTTGCCACCTAGTGTCTCTCCCGGGAGCAAGAGTCCTCAAAGTTACATCATGTGCGGCTGGGAGGGCGGTGGCGGATGGGGGGCGGGGCCTCGAAGTCGGGGGCCGAAGAGTGGACCCAGTCCTCCAATGGGAGAGATGGGTTTGGCGGTTTGGAGGCAGGGGTTGGGGCGGCGGCTGGGCTGACCTGGAGCCTGGAGCCCCGGGGCCGAGGGAGCTGGCCTGCCAGCGGGGCGGAGGAAAGCTAGTGCCAGCCCTACCAGGTTCCGCCCCCGCGCCTGCCCCCCTCCTTTTTAAGCGCCTCCCGCCAGCCTCTGCTGTGGCTCGCTTCGCCGCGCTCCCTCCTTCCCCGCCTTCCATACCTCCCCGGCTCCGCTCGGTTCCTGGCCACCCCGCAGCCCCTGCCCAGGTGCCATGGCCGCATTGTACCGCCCTGGCCTGCGGTGAGTGACCCCCGGCCCGGGGCCCACCCGCACCTTCCGCTGCGCTCGCCCCCTCGGGGCTGCCAGTGGCGCTCTCCTGCTCTCAGCCTCCGCCAGGTTTCCCATCCTAGGCGGAGGCGGGCAGGGGCGACTGCTGTGGGTCCAGCCTCCCGCGCCGCGCGTCTCTTGGGAGGGCAGCCGGCCGGTGCTCCTCGTTTCCGCCTGCACCTCCCCTTCTCTGCCTCGCTCGCCTCTGACCGCGCGATCTCTATCTGCCACTCTCAGAACTTCCTCTCTCTCCTCGCTCCTCTCTGCTGAGCCAGGTCTCCGCATATCCTCCTTTCCTTCCCAGATACCTCCCTCGGACCTCTAACGGGCTCTCAGCCAGCGCCCCAGGGTACTTCGAGAGGCAGCAGGGCCCTGGGGACAAGGGTACGTGAGCCCCGGGAGACTAAGCTCAGAGCCCCCTAAAGAAGGTGGAAGGTTAAATATCCATTCCCGGCCTCTCCCGGACTGGAAGGACTGGAACCTGGCGGGAAGTCCAGAGCAGCCCGAGGGACCTGGGCCCAGGGGAGGGAGGCAAGCAAGGTGGGAGGAGGGCGCCAAGTTGCCTTCGTTTCTTACATAGCTGGCTTCTTCCTCCGTCCAGGCCTGGAGCCCCCAGGCTCGTCCTGTTTGTCTGCCTGTCCTCTTAGTCTCCTATTTATTCTCTGAGGCCTCTCTTCTCAGCTTTTGTCCCAGAGTCGGAAGTGACCCACATCTGTCGCACAGCCCGTTCCACTTGGGCAGCCCTTGTGGGTGGTCTCTGAAGGAAACGTCCCACTTAGAGGGCTGCAAGAGGGTGTGGGGGCTTCACAAGAGATAACGTGAGCCAGGCTCCAGGGAGAGAGAGGCTGTCCTCAAGACTGTGTGCTTGAAAACTGATGCTCACGGAGAACTTCCCTCTGAGGCAGGAACAGACCCAGGTCCCAGTAGCCCTCCTCCCCTGCCCCTGGGGCCACACTGATCATCTATCCTGCTTTAGCGGAAACCACCCCAGCTTCTACCCCAGACAGACTCAAGCTCCCGTATCCATGCTCTGAGCTTTCTTCCTTCCCCAGGCTAACACCCTCTGAGTCTGAGCTGCCAGCAAGCTGCTGTTCCACCCTCCCACCAACACCAAAGCTCTCTAGGCATGTGGCCTCTAGGAAGAAGAGCCAGGGGAAGCACGGGGTCACGTGGTCCTGGGTGTGGGGGCAGTTTCTGATGGGCGAGGCCTTGATAGAGGAGGAGAGTAACATCCCCTTCATGGTCTTTGCTCTCTCGGGTTTACTCCACCTTGAGTCCAGGCCAATCAGAGCAGACGTTGCTTCTCTGTCTCCCAGGGCCATGAGAGGACAGACAACAGGACGCTGACCTCCTGAGAATTAAGCCCATGAACCCCAGCCAGTGACACTCATTCCCCAGTGGTCAACCTTCCGCAGAGTTCAGAAATACTTACCCGAGGGCAACATTTTATGCAACCATTGTTGGTCCAAGTGGGCAGCAGCAGATCAGGGCCTGGAAGCCCAGCATCCAGTCACCTATTCTCTGTGCAAGAGCCCTCATCTAGAAACCTGGCACTGGAAAGACTGTGACCTTTGCTTGGGGCTTTCATAGTCTTACAGCATACACACCAGAAGGAAAGAATAAACACAGCTGCCATTTTAATTTATAAAAAACTATACTTGAAAATGGAAATAAAATGGATGAGGCTTCAAATACCAGACATATGAAATTGTCACCTGGGCCCAACTTCTTGTCTTGACACTTGGGCCAAAGGCCCCTACTCATTTCTTTTTTTTTTTTTTTTTTTTTTTTTTTTGAGACAGAGTCTTGCTCTGTCGCCCAGGTTGGAGTGCAGTGTCCCGATCTCGGCTCACTGCAACCTCCACCTCCCGGGTTCAAGCGATTCTCCTGCCTCAGCCTCCTGAGTAGCTGGGACTAGAGGCACACGCCACCACATCCGGCTAATTTTTATATTTTTAGTAGATGGGGTTTCACCATGTTGCCCAGTATGGTCTTGATCTCCTGACCTCATGATCCACCTGCCTCAGCCTCCCAAAGTGCTGGGATTACAGGCATGAGCCACCGTGCCCAGCCATCTCCCTACTTATTTCTAAACGTTGATTAAACAGTTAAACATGGGCATGGGCTACACAGGCAGTAACATCAGCATGCCTACATGTATACTTCCACACAGCCAGGCATGTGCCTTTTTTGCTCATTTGGCCATATCTGTCCCTCGCTGAGCAGGAGACACCCTCCTCAAGCCTCATAAAGGCTACAAGATACATGTGTCCTGAACACATCCCACACACCAACTGCAACCTGCTCTTCATGGTCCCTGCATGCAGACATGTTTTAGCAGGCTGCAGCCCAAGCTTTCTGTCTCTCCACCACCTGCCTTGTCCACTCTCGATGACAGCAACTAGCTCATTGCCTCTGTTTCTCCTATAGGCTTAACTGGCATGGGCTGAGCCCCTTGGGCTGGCCATCATGCCGTAGCATCCAGACCCTGCGAGTGCTTAGTGGAGATCTGGGCCAGCTTCCCACTGGCATTCGAGATTTTGTAGAGCACAGTGCCCGCCTGTGCCAACCAGAGGGCATCCACATCTGTGATGGAACTGAGGCTGAGAATACTGCCACACTGACCCTGCTGGAGCAGCAGGGCCTCATCCGAAAGCTCCCCAAGTACAATAACTGGTAAGCCTTGGGCTCCACAACCTGCAGGATAGGTGCACTGAGGCCACTTTGGGTTCACCAAGGCAAAATCAACTTAACTAGAACATCCCAATGGAATGAACAAGAATGAGAGCTTTGGGGTAAACAGACCCAGAAACTGGGATTTGCTTACGCCTATAATCCCAGCACTTTGAGAGGCCAAGGCGGGTGGATCACCAGGTGTCGGGAGTTTGGGACCAGCCTGACCAACATGGAGAAACCCCGTCTCTACTGAAAAAAAAAAAAAAAAATACAAAAATTAGCCCAGCATGGCAGCGCATGCCTGTAATCCCAGCTACTTGGGAGGGTGAGGCAGGAGAATCACTTAAACCCAAGAGGCGGAGGTTGCAGTGAGCCAAGATCGCGTCATTGCACTCCAGCCTGGGCAATAAGAGCGAAACTCTGTCTCAAAAAAAAAAAAGAAAGAAACTGGGATTTTTTTTTTTTTTTGAGATGGAGTCTCACTGTATCACCCAGGCTGGAGTGCAGTGGCATGATTTCAGCTCACAACAACCTCTGCCTCCGGGGAATTGTCTCAAGCAATTCTCCTGCCTCAGCCTCCGGAGTAGCTGGGATTACAAGCATGCGCCACCACACCCAGCTGATTTTTGTATTTTTAGTAGAGACAGGGTTTCACCATGTTGGCCAGGTTGGTCTCAAACTCCTAACCTCAAGTGATCCACCCACCTCAGCCTCCCAAAGTGCTGGGATTACAGGCATGAGCCACTGCGCCCAGCCTAGTTTGTAGTTTGTATTTTATTTTAATGTTAAATGAAGAAGCTGATATAAATAAGATCCTTTGCTTTTTTTTTTTTTCCTCACCAGTTCAGGGAGCTTTTGCCAGGGGCAGAGACCCCCAGAGGGCTGGGACCTTGGGGAACACCCCTTAGATGGGACAAAGCCTGGAGGAAGGGACTGAGATGTGATTGGGTGGGGAAACATAAGGCCAACAGAAGACCTGGAGTCAAAGTTGGACTTGAAAAAGTGGGTCTAGGGACAAGGGAAACCTGCTGGCCACCATCTTCCTGACAATCCCCTCTCCCCCAGCTGGCTGGCCCGCACAGACCCCAAGGATGTGGCACGAGTAGAGAGCAAGACGGTGATTGTAACTCCTTCTCAGCGGGACACGGTACCACTCCCGCCTGGTGGGGCCCGTGGGCAGCTGGGCAACTGGATGTCCCCAGCTGATTTCCAGCGAGCTGTGGATGAGAGGTTTCCAGGCTGCATGCAGGGTAACCAGGGCAGGGGCACAGTGGCAAGGGCACGGAAGATGTGAACAGGTTTGGAACCCTTCATCCAGGGGATGCCTTCCTCCACAGGCCGCACCATGTATGTGCTTCCATTCAGCATGGGTCCTGTGGGCTCCCCGCTGTCCCGCATCGGGGTGCAGCTCACTGACTCAGCCTATGTGGTGGCAAGCATGCGTATTATGACCCGACTGGGGACACCTGTGCTTCAGGCCCTGGGAGATGGTGACTTTGTCAAGTGTCTGCACTCCGTGGGCCAGCCCCTGACAGGACAAGGTAAGCACCTGCTCTGCCCCAAGGGGAACACAGAGGCCTTCTTGTACTCAGAGGAAATCCCAAATCCTACCTCTCCACAGACCCTAAGAACCTGTCCTCTCTGGCAACCTAATTCCCAAGATCCAGAGCAGCAGTCCCAGCAGAGGGATAAGGCTGTGTTTGCAGAGCACTTTGCACTAGGTTGAGAAAAATCCGTGTCCAAGAATAGGGGCATGGAAGCTGATGGTTATTATGAGGTGGGGGGCTTCAGCCACCTCTTGGTGCTGCTACTGCTCCCAAGTGTCTCTCCTGCCAATCCCTGATCCCTCTGGCCCCGACACCCCAGTTCCTGATGCTGCTGCCAGCAGCCCCATGACCCCATTGTCCCCAGGGGAGCCAGTGAGCCAGTGGCCGTGCAACCCAGAGAAAACCCTGATTGGCCACGTGCCCGACCAGCGGGAGATCATCTCCTTCGGCAGCGGCTATGGTGGCAACTCCCTGCTGGGCAAGAAGTGCTTTGCCCTACGCATCGCCTCTCGGCTGGCCCGGGATGAGGGCTGGCTGGCAGAGCACATGCTGGTGAGGGCCTGGTGAGAAGCAGGGCAGCTGCCGGGGACAGGGCAGGGGTGGGGCCTGGCCAGTCTGCCTCAGCCTCACCTCCCTCCTGCCAGGTGCCAGGCTGGTGGGCGGGGACTCTACTTGAAGGCCCAAAGCTTTGGCCTCAGGCTGCTGAATGTTGAGGTTTCCCCTGCCACTAACCCAGGCCTGATGGCAGGGCAATCACTTATATAGTTAATAAACATTGGTCCTCCCTATTAGACCCTAGCTGCCCTTCCCCATGCAGACCATGCCCTGACTTTTGGTGACCTCTTTCTTATTCCCTCTCTCCCCAATGCACAGATCCTGGGCATCACCAGCCCTGCAGGGAAGAAGCGCTATGTGGCAGCCGCCTTCCCTAGTGCCTGTGGCAAGACCAACCTGGCTATGATGCGGCCTGCACTGCCAGGCTGGAAAGTGGAGTGTGTGGGGGATGATATTGCTTGGATGAGGTTTGACAGTGAAGGTGAGGGACTCTCAGATCATACTCTTGGTTCTGGCTCTTGTCAGAGCCTCGGGGTCTCCTCTCTAGTGTTCACAATGACTTTGTCAGTGAGAAAGTTTCCTGAACACCCAACCCTGCTCCATTCCTCTGGCAGCCCAGCCACCCGAGAGACAGCCTTTCCTCATCAGATCTTGGGTCCATCTCAGGACAGGGGTGGGTGGAGCAGGACCTTCTTTGGTCTTACATCTCAAGTTTTCCTTGTTTGGTCCTTCCTTTCTTTCACTTCTCCTAACAGGTCGACTCCGGGCCATCAACCCTGAGAACGGCTTCTTTGGGGTTGCCCCTGGTACCTCTGCCACCACCAATCCCAACGCCATGGCTACAATCCAGAGTAACACTATTTTTACCAATGTGGCTGAGACCAGTGATGGTGGCGTGTACTGGGAGGGCATTGACCAGCCTCTTCCACCTGGTGTTACTGTGACCTCCTGGCTGGGCAAACCCTGGAAACCTGGTATGTGCGGTGGGGAAGGTGTGGCACAGCCTCCAGGCCTCAGCACCTTAATGGTGGAAAAGCTTTCTCCACAACCTCCAACCATCTTCTAGGACTGCCAGGAGGCACAGAAGTCATGAACGTTTGCAGTTTCCAGTCCCAGGCAAAATCTCAGTTCATGTCCCAACTCCACCAGTCACTGGTTTTGTGATCTGGCTAAGTTGCTCAACTTCCCTAAGCTTTAGTTTCCACATCAGTTGAATGAGGGTAGTTGTGATAGTACCTATCTCATGAGATTGTTGGAGGATTAAATAGTGCATAAAAAGGGTTTATCACACTGACAAATACACAGTAAATTCTCAATAATAAATACAGGCTGGATTTTTTTTTAATGAAAGGAAAAGGAAGGACTTTTGAACATTCTTACAGAAGGTATTGGGCTCCAAGCACTATCCATAAAGTTTGGCCCATTAGGAAAAGAGGAAAGCTGCCTCCTCTGCTCCAACTCTCCTCCTGCCACTTGGCTCCCACTGTCCCCTGTATAATAACCACTGTCTAAAGGTCAGTATTGTTACCGTCACCCTTCCCCTGTCCCTCCAAAGCATTCACCCCAATCCTTCCTACAAACAAAATCAGGTCAGTGCTTGAGTCTTTCCCAGAAGCTAGTTTCTGAATCCTGTCATTACCCTGGGCGCCTGGGAGTCCCACCTCTCCCTCAGCCCTGCACTCTGGACCTTCAGTATTCTTTCCATGGCCTTCTGCAGTCAGGCAGTCCAGACACCAAGAGGCAGGGGCAAAGAAGAGCATGGGAGGGGAGGCTGGCCTTGTAGTCACTGAAGCCTATATTCAGGTTTGCCAGGCTGGCCTAGCAGTCACCCTCCTTGCTTCATCTAATCACCCTTTATTTTTACTAACACCATCATTAAGCCCCCCTCAGCCTTCCCACCCAACTGAGAAATCCAAGAAACTTTCATCTTTCCCCACAGGCTAGTTCCCCAACCCTTTCATCATCTCCAGATTTGGGGGCATAACTAGGGCATCTTGTCCCCAGCTTCAATTCCCAGAATAATACCCTGTGTTAGGATTCTGCACTGGGTGCTGAAGAAGGATGGCTCTTATCTGCAATGGCGGGCAGAAGCTGGCGGATGGGAGAGGGTGGGGATTTTGGCCCCGTGGCTTCCCCACTCCCCAGGTCTGACCAGCAACCTCCAGCAGAGAAGGCACCATGTCCACTCAGGGGCCACACAGTGGTGCTTCATACATGTGCCACTGACTTAGTCCCAACCCCCCTCCAGGACACCTGAAGGTGCCAAGTGTGACCTGGGCTCCTGAGGTTATCCCTACCCATGTGATATCCCTATCTCTATTTTTCCAGCCCTATCACTTCATCAGGGTCTAAGCAGGGCAGGGAAATCACCAACATGTTGTTAGCTTTAAAATCAATTCCTTGCAGGGCACAGTGACTCACATCTGTAATCCCAGCACTTTGGGAGGCCGAGGCAGTTGGATCACCTGAGGTCAGGAGTTCGAGACCAGCCTGGCAACATGGCAAAACCCCGTCTCCAATAAAATACAAAAATTAGCCAGGCATGGTGGCTCATGCCTGTAATCCCAGCTACTCAGGAGGCAGGAAAATTGCTTGATCCCAGGAGGCAGAGGTTGCAGTGAGACAAGATCATGCCACTGCACTCCAGCCTGGTGACAGAGTGAGACTCCGTCTCATAACTAAATTAATTAAGTAAATAAAATCAGGCCAGGCGCAGTGGCTCATGCCTGTAATCCTACTACTTTGGGAGGCCAAGGTGGGCAGATCAGTTAAGGTCAGGAGTTTGAAACCAGCCTGGCCAACATGGTGAAACCCCATCTCTATTAAAAATACAAAAAAATCAGCCAGGCATGGTGGTGGGTGCCTGTAATCCCAGCTACTGGGGAGGCTGAGGTAGGAGAATTGTTTGAACCTGGGAGGCGGAGGTTGCAGTAAGCCAAGATTGCACCACTGCACTACAGCCTGGGCAACAGAGCAAGACTCTGCCTCAAAAATAAAAAGATAAAATAAATTCCTATTTGCATTTGGATAACTTAGGAGAACCTGTCTTCCCCGGTTTGCTGACGGAAAGTCAATTGTCTGAAGTACTAAGCTGACATTCTCAGTTTTTGCTTTAGGTTTGGGTATTCATTTAAATAATAATCTCACAAATAATGAAATAGTTTCTGGGGGAAAAATTATTATAACCTTATGCCCATATCTAACCCCATTCCCTTGAGCCCTGGTCAGTGCCAAGTGCCAGTAGCTTGGCACAAACATTAGTGCCCTGCCAAACCCCAATTCCTCTCCCACTCTTTTCTCACATAGCTCAGCTGGCCGCACCTTCATGGCTAAACAACCTGAGCTCTTGGAGATGCCCTGGCTCCCCTCTCTCTGCTCCTTATCACACAAGGTTCTAGGCAGCTGATGAGGCAAAAAAAAAAAAAGAACCCTGCAAGAATGTGTGCCCATGTATGTGTGTGTTGGGGGTCGACATGACCTTGGAAATAATAGTGTTTGTATTTCCTCTGCCAGGTGACAAGGAGCCCTGTGCACATCCCAACTCTCGATTTTGTGCCCCGGCTCGCCAGTGCCCCATCATGGACCCAGCCTGGGAGGCCCCAGAGGGTGTCCCCATTGACGCCATCATCTTTGGTGGCCGCAGACCCAAAGGTAAACAACATATGAGCTCCATGTTCTTGGCAAAAGGGCTATCTCTGTATTAGGGCCTACCTCCCTCCCTCTGATCCAGAGCCTCAGCCTGGATCTCACCTTTCTCCAGAGTTCTCCCCTGGTGAATGCAAACTTGGGAGGAGGCAAAGGGTCTGAAAATGGGATAGCCGAGGTCTTAGGAGAGAGAGTACCAGTCAAGCTCACCAGAAGGGCTGGAGTTAGGGTCCAAAGAAAAGGGCTGCCTGTGACTCTGTTCATTGGTGATCTAGGGGTACCCCTGGTATACGAGGCCTTCAACTGGCGTCATGGGGTGTTTGTGGGCAGCGCCATGCGCTCTGAGTCCACTGCTGCAGCAGAACACAAAGGTGAGCACCCTCACCATTCCTCCCTCTCCTGTGTGTGCACACAGCACGTCCTCTCTCCCTTCCTGAGCCAGACCTTCCTTTTGTCCACCCCTGGAGTCTGATATGGCCCCACCTCTTCCCACTTCTATCTTTTCCCCATCCCTGAAGATATTCAGAACCATAAGCCTTTCACAGCTTCCTCCAACTGGATGCAGGGTGCCCTTCCCTACCCCAGTGAGAAGGAAGATTCCTTACCCATCTTGCTTCCCCCCCAGGGAAGATCATCATGCACGACCCATTTGCCATGCGGCCCTTTTTTGGCTACAACTTCGGGCACTACCTGGAACACTGGCTGAGCATGGAAGGGCGCAAGGGGGCCCAGCTGCCCCGTATCTTCCATGTCAACTGGTTCCGGCGTGACGAGGCAGGGCACTTCCTGTGGCCAGGCTTTGGGGAGAATGCTCGGGTGCTAGACTGGATCTGCCGGCGGTTAGAGGGGGAGGACAGTGCCCGAGAGACACCCATTGGGCTGGTGCCAAAGGAAGGAGCCTTGGATCTCAGCGGCCTCAGAGCTATAGACACCACTCAGCTGTTCTCCCTCCCCAAGGACTTCTGGGAACAGGAGGTTCGTGACATTCGGAGCTACCTGACAGAGCAGGTCAACCAGGATCTGCCCAAAGAGGTGTTGGCTGAGCTTGAGGCCCTGGAGAGACGTGTGCACAAAATGTGACCTGAGGCCCTAGTCTAGCAAGAGGACATAGCACCCTCATCTGGGAATAGGGAAGGCACCTTGCAGAAAATATGAGCAATTTGATATTAACTAACATCTTCAATGTGCCATAGACCTTCCCACAAAGACTGTCCAATAATAAGAGATGCTTATCTATTTTACACAAGATTTGTGCTGTTTTCATTTCCCACCTATCTTCACAGGCTTCCCTCTAACACCTGTCTCACAATCATCTTCTTCCAGCCCCTAGAAGAAGCACAGCCTGGCACAATCAAAGATCTGTTTTACAGGTAGCTCTAGCACTGGGTCACAGACATAGGAATTGCTGGGAGAAGGCACTATCCACTCTATGTCCTGAGTTCTTAAAAAAAAAAAAATGGTGAGGCTGGGTGTGGTGGTTCACGCCTGTAATCCCAGCACTTTGGGAGGCTGAGGCGCACAGATCACGAGGTCAGGGGATTGAGACCATCCGGGCTAACACGGTGAAACCCTATCGCTACTAAAAATACAAAAAAAAAAAAAAAATTAACCGGGAGTGGTGGCGGGCGCCTGTAGTCCTAGCTATTTGGGAAGCTGAGGCAGGAGAATGGTGTGAACCCAGGAGGCAGAGGTTGCAGTAAACCAAGGTCGTGCCACTGCACACTCCAGTCTGGGCAACAGAGCGAAACTCCGTCACAAAAAAAAAAAACAAAACAAAACAAAACAAAAAAAAAACTGAGGGCCTCAGCAAGCTGCTCAGTACAGCCCCCAAGCCTAAAATTCCTGATCTCCCACTTAGATTGCAGAAGCCTCTACAACTCCATTCTCCAGTGAAGTGGCTTCATTGTCAGTTCTCGAATTTGTTCTTCCCCCTGCCTGACCTGGCACTGGGAGCTGCATAGTATTCATGGAAGCATATTCAATATTAGGACAGCTAACAACACTTCTGTGGCACCTTCTTTATGCCAGGCACTGCTGAGACCAGCTCTGTCAAGGAGACCCTAACCCAGCAGTGCTAGAGGAATTAAAAACACGCACACAGAAATATAGAGGTGTGGAGTGGGAAATCAGGGGTCTCACAGCCTTCAGAGCTGACAGCCTCGAACAGAGATTTACCCACGTGTTTATTGACAGCAAGTCAGTGATAAGCATTGTTTTTATAGATTAACTAAAAGTATTCCTTACGGGAAACAAAGGGATGGGCCAAAATGAAGAGATGGGCTCTGGCTGGTTATCTGCAGCAGGAGCATGTCCTTAAGGCACAGATCGCTCATGCTATTGTTTATGGTTTAAGAATACCTTTAAGCGGTTTTCTGCCCAGGGTGGGCCATGTGTTCCTTGCCCTCATTCCGGTGAACCCACAACCTTCCAGTGTGGGTGTCATGGCCATCACAAACATGTCACAGTGCTGCAGAGATTTTGCTTATGGCCAGTTTTGGGGCCAGTTTATGGCCAGATTTTGGGGGCCTATTCCCAACAAGGCAGTGTTCTAAGCACATACCTAACAACCCTTTGGGGGAATTACCATTTTACAGATGAAGTAACAAAGGCACAGAGAGGTCAAGTAATTTGTCCAAAGCTTCACAGTTAGTAAACAATAGAGCTAAGGGTTAAAGTGATAAAACTGCAAAGACATGTCTTTCATAGTAGTATAGACATCTACAACTGCAAGGACCTTAGAAGTCACCTATTCCACCGGGCGCAGTGGCTCATGCCTATAATCCCAGCACTTTGGGAGGCCAAGGAGGGCGGATCACCTGAGGTTGGGAGTTCAAGACCAGCGTGGCCAACACGGTGAAACCCCTTCTCTACAAAAATACAAAAATTAGCTGGGCATGATGGCAGGTGCCTGTAATCCCAGCTATTTAGGACAATCACTTGAACTCAGGAGGCAGAGGTTGCAGTAAGCCTAGATCATGCCATTGCACTCCAGCCTGGGGGACAGAGCAAGACTCTGTCTCAAAAAAATAAAAAAATAAAAAGTCACCTATTCCGTGTTTCTCAAACTTAAAAGTGCCTTTGAATCACCTGGAGATCTTGTTAAAATGCAGATTGTCACTCAGCAAGTCTGTAGTAGCCTCAAGATTTTGTTTTCCTTACAAGCTCCTGGGTAATGCTGATGCTGCCGGTCTGCGAACTACAGTTTAGAGTAGCCTAAATTCATCTGAAATAAACTTTGGAGAGTAATCAGGAAAACAGTGCAATGATCTCACATGAGTCAGGGGCATCAGCTTAGGATAACTTCTGTGCAATCTGGATCAGGCTGAGAGAATGTATAACCTAAGGTGGGTAGTGTGGTAGTCTTTACCCAGAAAAAGGGAACAAACTTCAACAAATAAAATGGAATTATTGGGAACTCCCTCAAAGGAAAAAACTAGAAGAGGAAACACCAAGTGTTCTCATAGGAAATGCCAGTGACCAGCCAGAATGTGTAAAAATCTAAAGGTCAGAGTGGAACAGAGGTTAGAACAAAGTTAGCAGTGGAGTATATTGTACTTTAAAACACAGCCAGCCAGGCGCGGTGGCTCACACTTTGGGAGGCCGAGGTGGGCAGATCACCTGAGGTCAGCAGTTTGAGACCAGCTAGACCAACATGGTGAAACCCCATCTCTACTAAAAATACAAAAATTAGCCAGGCATGGTGGCCCATGCCTGTAATTCCAGCTACTCAGGAAGCTGAGGCGGGAGAATCACTTGAAACTGGGAGGCTGAGGTTGCAGTGAGCTGAGATCACACCACTGCACTCCAGCCTAGGCGACAGAGTGAGACTCTGTCTCAAAAAAAAAATAAATAAATAAATAAATTTAAAAATTTAAAAATAATAATAAAACACAGCCAAATCCTTAGCTTCATAAATAGCATATGATAACTGAATACCGTCAAAAGCAACATAGCACAGGTATTAAACACATAGTAGACTTGAGCCAGAGGTGCCTCTCAGTTGCTTCATCTGTAAAATGGAAATGCCTACACTTTACAGTCTTGTTGGGAAGATTAAAAGAGTCAGTGGAATAAAGCACTCAGAACTATGCCTGGCACCGAATAACCATTTAATACATGTTAGCTATCATCACCTTTCCACTTTATAATGATTAGAGTAGGCCCTGTAAGCGTATATTACATATTGCTGACTCTACAGTTTAAAAGGAACATGAGCAATGTAAATAAAATCTAGGAGAGAAAGAAAATAGATTTAAAAATAAATCCCTCCAGCTAAGAGGCAGGGAACTGGGGTTCCAGGCACCTTTCTGGTATCTTCTAAATGCACAGGGACAAGAAAGTGTTAGCCTTAAAAATTATTTTTATTAATTAGAATAAAATGGGGCTGCATGCCCTTCAGCTCCAGATAACTGATAAAATATAGTTAACACATTATAATCTTTTTATTTTAAAATAAAACACAGATACAGAAGACCATCTAAAACAAAGTTATGGCTGAATAAACTATCATAAAGTGAACACCTTTGGAACACTACCCAGGGAAAGAAACAGAACTTTGCAGACACCAACCCAGCCCCGCCCCGCCCCGACCCTGTTGCCCATCTCTATCATAGCCACCCCTTCCTGCCATAGTGGATACTATGGTGAGTAATAATTACTTCTTTGCATTTTTTTATAGTTTGATCACCTAAATGTAGATCCTTAGACACTATAGTTTAGCTTTGCTCCCATTTAAAATTTTTTTCATATGTCTTTCAAGTCTCTATCAGTCTACAGATTCCCCCTCCATTCCTTTCTTTTCCTTCAATTTACCCATTGACGAATCCAGACTCAGATGTTCAGTGTCTAAATGCATTAACTCACTAGGGATTGCAAAACAGCCATATTTGAGTTGTCATAACATTGCAATAATTTTATAAAATGGACACTTCTATTTCATTACCCTATGGTATTGTTTATATAGAAACAGCAGGATAACTGCTTAATTCTTTATCTTTATTTATCATCTTCAAAAAAATGATTTGATTTCCTATTATCCTTTGAAAAGGTAACCAGTTAGTTACACACAAACATTATGAACTCATGGATTTAAACATACTTAGTGTTTATTAAATTGACCTTATTAAATGTTCAAATTGTCCCACATTTGGCTATGGAAGCTAGGCCAAAAAGAGCTGAGTCCTTTTGACATGATACATACTCCTTGCTTCCCGGCTATCTGGTATAAGTTGCTCCATGCTCATTGTGTTCATTTCCTTCCCCAAACCTGGAATCAGCTTTTTCTCTAAGAAGCTCTGGCTTCTTTCAGGGGGAAATGGCGTTTTAAGACCACAATCTGGATGCTAGGAGTGTTCATTGATACTGGATTGGTCATTGTTTCTAGATCTTTTTGGTGGATAGCGACAGAAGATAAAACCTCATGAACTCATACTGACATGTTCTATTCAAAATCAGGGCTAAAGGGTTTTCTGGAAACATGGTCTTGCTTTGTTGCCCAGGCTGTAATGCAGTAGCGTGATCACAGCTCACTGCAGCCTTGAATTCCTGGGCTCAAATGATCCTCTTGCCTCAGCCTCCCGAGTAGCTACAGGTGTAAGCCACCACACCTGGCTAATTTTTTTTTTTTTTTTAGAGATGGGGTCTCACTATGTTGCCCAGGCTGGTCTTGAACTCCTGGTTTCAAGCAATCCACCTGCCTCAGCCTCTCAAAGTGCTGGGATTACAGGTGTGAGCCACTACCCCGGGCCACTAAAGGGTATTTACTTATATTACATCTATAGCTCCTACCCTACACACAGAAAAATCTGATTCTTACAGACACAAGACATGAGAGTATTAGAACATCCCATAGTTACTTAGTGGCTTTCTAGTCAACACATTTTAAGTCCCTAGGTAAATTATTAGCACACTCTCCATTTCCATCGACACAGAGAATACTATAAGGCAATGTTCAAACACATGTATGAGCATCAGTCACTCCAAACACGGAACTGTCCCAGGAGCTCTGTGTGGTCACCAAGCTGGGAGCTGCAGTAGAGGAGAGGAGGACAGGGTTAGCTAGAGAATGAAAACACTCCTTTCCTTCTCTCCTCAGCAGCCCAGCCTGCCCTCTAGTGGAGATGCTAATGAGCAGGAAACAGGCCAAGACAGGTCAGGCAGGAAGTCAACTAGCTGACATTTACTTAGCAATTACCAGAAATTGTCCTAAAATGGGTGCTGAAGGTAGAAAAACCTCTCTGTGGCTTTAAGTGACTTTAAGTGCAACTGGAGAGAGTAGAGGTTACCCAAATGAAAAGTGCTTCACAAACTGTAACCACGCAACGTACCAAATTTCAAAATCAAGACAGCATAGGCAAAATTTAGTCTATCAAAATGACTTCACCATAATTATTTTTAAAGATATGCCATTTTATTTATTTCAATAGACACACTGTATACCCTAAGATATAAATGCTCTTACACATTTTGAAAAACATTACAGGTCATAGTGAGATAATCAAGTTCATAGGCTTAAAAATCTTTTATATGCTGCCAGGCGTGGTGGCTCACACCTGTAATCCCAGCACTTTGGGAGGCCTAGGTGGTCAGATCATGAGGTCAGGAGATCGAGACCATCCTGGCTAACATGGTGAAACCCCGTCTCTACTAAGAAAAATACAAAAAATTAGCCGGGCATGGTGGCGGGCGCCTGTAGTCCCAGGTACTCGGGAGGCTGAGGCAGGAGAATAGCATGAACCCGGGAGGCGGAGCTTGCAGTGAGCCGAGATCGGTCCACTGCACTCCAGCCTGGGTGACAGAGCAAGACTCCATCTCAAAAAAAAAAAAAAAAAATCTTTTATACGCAAAAAAATTAATCAATGAATCCAGTGATTAATCTTATATTCTTTCCCATGTGATGTGAAGGACTCAATTTTGTCATAAAACCTCAGTTATTTTAACATTTACCATGACTTTTAAATGTTTTACTCAATAATGTACAAGTTCCATATTACAAAAGCTTGAATTAAAAGATTTTATTCAGGTTTAAACTAATTTGTAAGAAGAAGAGAAAAGAGAATCAAAAAATGAATTGTTAAGGAGATAAGTTTAACAGAAGTTTTTTGTTCGTTTTTCTGGACCTCAGGTGCTATAGCTGTATTCATCATAATCCTTTGTAGAAGCTACACCTTTGTCACCAGTTCATGCAAGCCCTCCCCACTTTGTTTAATGATGTAATGAGCTGGGTATTATTATACTTTTTTTTTTTTTCTTTGAGACGGGGTCTCATTCTCGCCCAGGCTGGATGAAGTGCAGTGGCGCAATCATGGCTCACTGCAGCCTTGACCAGACTCAGGTGATCCTTCCACCTCAGCATCCTGGGTAGCCAAGACTACAGGCCCAGCTCAATTTTGTTTTTGTATTTTTCGTAGAGATGGGGTTTCGTCACATTGCCCAGGCTGATCTCAAATTCCTGTGGTCAAGCGAGCTGCCCGCCTCAGCCTCTCAAAGTACTGGGATTACAGGTGTGAGCTACCACGCCTATTATACTTTCTAATGAAAAAATGAAACCACATCGTTTTTGCATCTATTACATGTCACCAGAAGAAATGATTATCTTTATTTTTTTAACTTGACAATGTAGTTTGCACAATTTCCTATGGTATAAAAATAGAAGGCTACAACAAACCTATACCAGGAATAGGTACCTTAAAAAAAAATTGAAGACTACAACACCATTTTAATAGCTACCTGGTATTTCTGTGTCTATACTACATGGACCATAATTTATTTAACAATCCCATATTGCAAGATATTTAGATCTTTGTTTCCAGTGTTCCACTTTTATCAATAATTGCTATGTAGAACATAAATTTTTATGCATGTCCGGCCTAGATTTCTGGAAGCAGTATTACTGGGTCAAAGTGCAAGGCTGTGAGGAAGGGAGTTTTGTAGACAGCTTCCCTCTAATAAGAAATTCTCCTGGGAAGGTGCAGAGGTAAAAATAAACAAGCTATTTATTGGCATATTTGCTTAGCAGAAATATCAAAAAATGAGGTTACTAAAAATAGACATCCAGGTTTGGAAGTTTGTATTTGAAACAATGAACAATAGTGAGCCATTTGTTGATTTTCTTTTAGAGACAGTCTTTAGCTCTATCCCCAGGCTGGAGTACAGTGGAGCAATCATGGCTCACTGCAGCCTCCACCTCATAGGCTCAAGATTCCCTCCTTCATCCTTCCCAAGTAAGTTGGGACCATAGGCACGCGCCACGATGGCCGGCTATTTTTTTTTTCTTTTTGTAGACTGGGTCTCACTATGTTGCCCAGGCTGGCCTTGAACTCCTGGCCACAAATGATCCTCCTCCTCGGCCTCCCACAGTGCTGGAATTACAGTCGTAAGCCACCGTGCCCAGCTCACTTGTGCGTTAAGCACTAAATGCTGTTAGAGGAGGATTCTTCAGCAGATCAACTACCGGAAGAGGCATAGGTGTTTTTTGTTTGGTTGGTTGATTGTTTTTTGTGTGTGTGTGACGGAGTTTCGCTTTTGTAGCCCAGGCTGGAGTGCAGTGGCGTGATCTCGGCTCAATGCAACCTCCACCTCCCGGGTTCAAGCGATTCTCTTGCCTCAGCCTCTCGAGTGGCTGGGATTACAAGCGCATGCCACCACACTCGGCTTTTTTTTTTTTAGTGACGGGGTTTCACCATGTTGGCCAGGCTGGTCTCGAACTCCTGACCTCAGGTGATCCACCCGCCTTGGCCTCCCAAAGTGCTGGGATTACAGGCGTGAGCCACCGCGCCCGGCCAATTTTTTTAAAAAATGATTCCGTCCTGAGACTTTGCTGAAGTTGCTTATCAGCTTAAGGAGATTTTGGGCTGAGACGATGGGGTTTTCTAGATAAACAATCATGTCGTCTGCAAACAGGGACAATTTGACTTCCTCTTTTCCTAATTGAATACCCTTTATTTCCTTCTCCTGCCTGATTGCCCTGGCCAGAACTTCCAACACTATGTTGAATAGGAGCGGTGAGAGAGGGCATCCCTGTCTTGTGCCAGTTTTCAAAGGGAATGCTTCCAGTTTTTGCCCATTCAGTATGATATTGGCTGTGGGTTTGTCATAGATAGCTCTTATTATTTTGAAATACGTCCCATCAATACCTAATTTATTGAGAGTTTTTAGCATGAAGGGTTGTTGAATTTTGTCAAAGGCTTTTTCTGCATCTATTGAGATAATCATGTGGTTTTTGTCTTTGGCTCTGTTTATATGCTGGATTACATTTATTGATTTGCGTATATTGAACCAGCCTTGCATCCCAGGGATGAAGCCCACTTGATCATGGTCGATAAGCTTTTTGATGTGCTGCTGGATTCGGTTTGCCAGTATTTTATTGAGGATTTTTGCATCAATGTTCATCAAGGATATTGGTCTAAAATTCTCTTTTTTGGTTGTGTCTCTGCCCGGCTTTGGTATCAGAATGATGCTGGCCTCATAAAATGAGTTAGGGAGGATGACAAATGGGATCTAATTAAACTAAAGAGCTTCTGCACAGCAAAAGAAACTACCATCAGAGTGAACAGGCAACCTACAACATGGGAGAAAATTTTCGCAACCTACTCATCTGACAAAGGGCTAATATCCAGAATCTACAATGAACTCAAACAAATTTACAAGAAAAAAACAAACAACCCCATCAAAAAGTGGGCGAAGGACATGAACAGACACTTCTCAAAAGCAGACATTTATGCAGCCAAAAAACACATGAAGAAATGCTCATCATCACTGGCCATCAGAGAAATGCAAATCAAAACCACTATGAGATATCATCTCACACCAGTTAGAATGGCAATCATTAAAAAGTCAGGAAACAACAGGTGCTGGAGAGGATGTGGAGAAATAGGAACACTTTTACACTGTTGGTGGGACTGTAAACTAGTTCAACCATTGTGGAAGTCAGTGTGGCGATTCCTCAGGGATCTAGAACTAGAAATACCATTTGACCCAGCCATCCCATTACTGGGTATATACCCAAAGGACTATAAATCATGCTGCTATAAAGACACATGCACACGTATGTTTATTGCGGCACTATTCACAATAGCAAAGACTTGGAACCAACCCAAATGTCCAACAATGATAGACTGGATTAAGAAAATGTGGCACATATACACCATGGAATACTATGCAGCCATAAAAAATGATGAGTTCATGTCCTTTGTAGGGACATGGATGAAATTGGAAACCATCATTCTCAGTAAACTATCGCAAGAACAAAAAACCAAACACCGCATATTCTCACTCATAGGTGGGAATTGAACAATGAGATCACATGGACACAGGAAGGGGAATATCACACTCTGGGGACTGTGGTGGGGTCGGGGGAGGGGGGAGGGATAGCATTGGGAGATATACCTAATGCTAGATGACACGTTAGTGGTGCAGCGCACCAGCATGGCACATGTATACATATGTAACTAACCTGCACAATGTGCACATGTACCCTAAAACTTAGAGTATAATAAAAAAAAAAAATGATTCCGTCACATTCTGGGAGAACGCAGGTAAAATCAATCAATAAATAAAGATCCCGATTTTCCAGGCTGGATAACCCAGAAACCACGGAATCCTAAAGTCTCAATAAACGTTAAAGCACAGATAGTAAGTAATCTGGCAATAGAGGATGGGCGCCCAGCAGACCGCCTACATAATCAGTGGAGCCGAGTGCAAGATGAAAATACCAGGCACTTGCTTTAAAATTACTAATAATTTCAAGACCGTTAACACTAGAACATTAAACCAAACATTCAGGACCCTTCTAAGCGCAGAGGCCATCAAAGCTAGCCCTGGTGACAAGCTCAGGTCTCCGGATCTAGAGACTAGGAGACGTCGCCCGAAAGCTGGCCAAACCCTCGCCCTCACTGGGAGAGGCCCCAGGAGGGCCCAAGAAGGCCACGAGCCCTCGCTCCCATCCCTGCCCTCAGGAGCGGGCGGAGGGAAGCTCGCAGCTTTCCCAAGGAAGTGCAGGCTGCAGGGAATGAAGTTCAGCTCGGACCCTGAGCCTCTGAGCCCGAGACAGCAAGGTCATTCAACCCACACGTCCCCACCCAGCCAGGGCGAGGATCAGAGATGTGGCAACTCCCGGCCTTGGACTCAGGCTTGTTACTCATAAACCCGCAGGAGGGGGCAGGAGGGGGCAGGAGGCGGCGAGCGCGCACCCTGGACCCGCGGCCGGGGGCGGAGAGGCACCGCGAGGACAGAGGGACTAGCGAAGGTCTGCAAATCCCGGAGGGCCAAGGGAGCGTCAAAGGGGACAGCGGAACCGGAAAAGCTTTGACAGAAAGACGCGTGTATTAGGGAACGTCTGCAAAGACCGCGGCGGAAAGCCAGGGATTGTCTTAAAAAATTGTCAGACCGGATAAAGGGAGGTCTAAAAGGGGACCGTCCCAAGAGCAAGGCTTCCAAAAGCTAAGCCCGGAAGGACGGTATGGAGGTCTACTGGGACGCTGGGCACCCCTTAGGGCAGAACCGACTGGAGCTGCGGCCAGCGACAGAAGAACGGCTCCAGCTGGACAGGGGAAGCAGTGGGGAGAAAGGAGGCCCTTGGGCACTGTCTGAAAAGTGCGATGCCAAATGATCTTTAGGGACAGACAGTAAATTATATCCCTTGCTAAAATACCTCTCGGTAGCGAACCACCAAACGTTTCTTTTTTAAGCCCCGCCTCTCAGCCGTTACGCCTAGTTCGGCTGTCTCTGATTCAGGAAGCTGGCAGTTCCCACTTACTCCTCCCCAGCAAGAGCTAACAGCCCTCCTTGGGTGTGCACTTTCTCCTCCCCTCAGGCACCTCGCGCATTCTCCCGCCTACCTATCAATCATCGTGCTCCGCTGTCCAGTTGGCTGGCCAAGGGGGCGGGGCCGTCGTGTGACGTTTGCAGCCCGCCGGCCAGGAAGCCGCGAGATGCGTGACGAGCGAAGCGCGTGACGGAGGAGCGGTTGGCCAACGCAGTGGCGGCAGTCGGTGTAAACAAGGCCTCGCGCCGCTGCGGGTCCTGCGACCGCTCCTGGCTGGTGGGTGGTCTCGCGTGGGGCGGTTACCGCCGGCTTCAGTGGGAGGTGCTTCTCGGCTTCCTCCCCCTCATGGCGTACACACCCCCGGCGCACCACGTGGGCGTGAGGCGAGGAAGGAGGGGTGTTAGGCCAAATTCTATTTTCATTGGCTGTCACTGCTGCCGGCCTTTGTAAGGGGGCGCTCTGATTGGTCGATAAGGTGGGGGCGTCGAGGGTCTTTGAGTCCTAAGGCTTCTAATTGGTTAGATGAGATAAGCTAGTGAAGCGCTTTCTTCCGAGAGGGATTTCGATTGGTCGGTCAGAGAGGTTACCTGGAAATCCAACACCGCCCAACACCCCTCCCGCTCCCCAGTCCGGGGACTTCGATAGGTGAGTTTGGTGTAGAAAACAAATCTTTCTTCAGTTGGTGAGCTAGGGTAGCGCACTACGGTTCACTCTTGCTTTCTTTGCTTCACAGGATTGGAGAAGGTTTGTGTTCCCGACGCCTTGGTAGTTGGCATAGGCTAAAGAAAAGGGATCTCAGCCCCGAGGAAGGGTCACCCTCCTAGAGATAGCTACTACCCCGTCTCAGGAGACCCTGGTATTTCTAGAGCACGCTTTGCTTTCACCAAACCCAAGGAGGTGACAGGAGGAGCCCCCGCACAGGACCTAAGAATGCTGTGACCAGAAGATGGGATCGCGGAACAGCAGCAGTGCAGGATCCGGGTCCGGAGACCCCTCCGAGGGCTTGCCCCGAAGAGGGGCTGGCCTGCGTCGGAGTGAGGAAGAGGAAGAAGAGGATGAAGATGTGGATCTGGCCCAGGTACTGGCCTATCTCCTCCGCAGGTAACTTACCCTCTGGTGTGACCCCCAGCAGGTGCTACCACAGTGCCTTGATCCCAACTCCAGGCAGGAAAATTACAGAGGTTAGGAAATGGGATTCGCTCAGGACAGCTGTTCTGTTTGAGCTGAACAGCCTTTCCCTGCTGGGCACCCATGGCACTCAGCTCCATACCCAGTAAGAGTGGTTCTTACCTAGGGAGGGTCACCAAGAGGACCTGCTCATGTGTTTGAGGGGCTATTCAAGGGAGCCTGTCTCTGTGACTACACAAATATAGTCTATTTTCCAAGTAAGCTTGAAAAAAAAAAGGGGGGGGTCCTAGTGGGAAAGGAGTGATGTAAGGGGTGAAGAGATGGGAAGGGAGTGTTGAACTTTTTAGTAAGGCAGTTGACACATGATATGAGGCCACTTCGATTTACTTGAAAAACAAGTTTAATTTGCCCTGACTCTAACCTGTTCTTGAGGAAAGAATGCCTTGAAGGGAGAGACCACCTGGAATTGACTGGAAAAGGGTGCAGCTGGCTTTCTTTCTTTGCTTATGGCTCTTTGAGGAGAAGATGGGTTTGGGGGTCCCTTCAGAATATTGTATTCTTTTTTGTTTGTGTTTTGTGTTGTTTTTAGTAGACATAGACAGGGCTCACTGTGTTCCCCAGTCTGGAGAACGGGCTATTCACAGGTGTGATCAAGTGCACACCACAGCCTGCAACTCCTGGGCTCAAGCAATCCTTGCCTCCCAGGTAGCTAAGACTACAGTTGCACACACCACCGCACCCAGCTTAGAATATTGTCTTCTGTGGTGGACTTCTCAGGCAGAGGCTCAGAAGGAAATGCTGTGAGGATGTTTAGCTTGTTGGGAGGTCAACTTAGTAGGTCATGTCCACAGCGTATTGGTCTTGCTCTTGTTCTAAGGAAATGATGTTAGAATGTTTAGCTCGCTGGGAGGTCAACTTAGTAGGTCACGTCCACAGCATGTTGGTCTTGCTCTTGCTGTAAGAGTAAAACTCTCTTTCCTACTGTGTTTTATAGGAGACCAAAAATAACAGCCAAGGTCTAGTCAGCCTCAAACCTCAAAATGAGTACCAAGTGGTCTAAGAGCTAGATAGCCATTGACTCTGAATTTGGTTGGTTTGGGGGAAGAAGTCCCCTCCTTTATAATGGGGGTCTCTCCACAGAGGCCAAGTGAGGTTGGTGCAGGGAGGAGGTGCAGCAAATTTACAATTCATTCAGGCCCTCTTGGACTCAGAGGAAGAGAATGACAGAGCTTGGGATGGTCGTCTTGGGGATCGATACAACCCACCTGGTAAGAGGAAAAGCCCCTAATGTTGGAAGACTTTTACTAGAAAACCTTTTAGTGATATTTTGAATGATAGGTTACATTGAAAGAAGGTACGATAATTTAAGGAATAAGGAGTCCTTACAGCCCCAGTATATTCAGCCACAGGGGTGGGCTTGGGTACAGTTCTGCTAACTGTCCTCTGAGGCTGGCAGACCTAGGATGAAACTTCTCCTTGGTACTCACAGTGGATGCTACCCCTGACACCCGGGAGCTGGAATTCAATGAGATCAAGACACAAGTGGAACTGGCCACAGGGCAGCTGGGGCTTAGGCGGGCCGCCCAGAAGCACAGCTTTCCTCGAATGTTGCACCAGGTAGGCCTCTCCACCTCCCAGCCTGGCAGCAGGCCTGCCAAAGCAGCCAGAAGCTCTGCCAGCCCCAGAGAAAAAGGAAGTCAACTTTCCAAAGTAGAAGCCTCAAGCGCTGGGGCTGGAGAGTTAACCAGCCTCCATCGGAGTTCTGTGGGACAGACTATGATGTGTGTGTCCATTTCTATAACAAGAGCAATATCTTTGGAGGAGGGGGCTTGATATGGCTGAAGTGGCCCTCTATTTCTGCTAGCAATATTCCCCAATCCCTTCCATTTAGAGAGAACGGGGCCTCTGCCATCGGGGAAGCTTCTCCCTTGGAGAACAGTCTCGAGTGATATCTCAGTGAGTATGGGGCTTGGTGAAGAGACTCTAAGGGCCAGATAGGTCTTATCTCCTAAACTTTGAAGGGGTAGGTGTTAAAGGAGCCTCAGAGATATTAAAGGTTAGGTTAAATGGGGTTGAAACTTTGAGAGTAAACAAAGTAGAAAAGTGTAGAAAATTGTAGAAATTTAGAGGATGGTGGAATGGTTGAAAGACGGGATTGCACTCACAGCCAAAAGGGAAGAATGACTGTTCTGATATTCCAGCTCTGTTAGGATTCTGCTGATTGGGACACTCCTTATCCTGAGCACCCCTCACCCTCACTTTCTCTCTCCTTCCCTAGCTTCTTGCCCAATGATCTGGGCTTCACTGATAGCTACTCTCAGAAGGCTTTCTGTGGCATCTACAGCAAAGATGGTCAAATATTCATGTCTGCTTGCCAAGGTACCAGACCCTGGTCCTATAAACTATCTTTTCCTGGAACATGGGACATTCCCCCTGACTGAGGCTAGAAAGCCACAGACGGGGAGCTCAGACCTGGCTTAAGGATGCTTAGCCAGACCATGTTTCCCATGATAAAGGGAAGACTCCACAGGTACACTGAGTGGGAGATGTCTAATCTAGAAAAGTTACAAGGAAACTGTCCCATAATTCTGCCTGATCTTTACTTACACAGACCAGACAATCCGACTCTATGACTGCCGATATGGCCGTTTCCGTAAATTCAAGAGCATCAAGGCCCGCGACGTAGGCTGGAGCGTCTTGGATGTGGCCTTCACCCCTGATGGGAACCACTTCCTCTACTCTAGCTGGTCTGATTACAGTGAGTATGCACCAGGCTTCCACTGACTCTCCAGCCTGGGACCTGAGGTTTCCATGTGCCTGTCCCCTCTGAGCCAGGATCCCTCACTTTGTCCTGGGAAAATCACTCCCAAAGTGCTCCAGTACCCTTGTCCCCTGTTTGATCTCTTCCCTAGCTTCACTTCCACTCTTCTTCCCCCATCCCTGAAAGATTCTTGTTTTTCTTGCTTCTCTTAGTTCATATCTGCAATATCTATGGTGAGGGAGATACACACACTGCCCTGGATCTCAGGTACTGGCTTCCCTTTCTGGTCAGACTCATCAGAAACTTCTCAAGGGAAGCTCTTTGGGAGCAAACCTCTTGAGTTGGAAGTTCTGTTTAGGGGAAAAAGTATACTGGTGGGTCTGTGTGCATTCCTGGGAGGGAAGCACCATCTTGTCAGCCAGAGGACTGGGTAAAATAGATGGTTGCAGGATGATTTCTGGGTTCTCACTGAGCATCTGCATTATGGTGCATGTTAGCCAGACTTCTTTTTTCCCCTGGGGATGTGCCTTACAACCGTTGTCAGATTTTATGTAGATTAACAAAAGCTGAAGGAAGTCCACTTAACCCAGCTCCTTCTTGCTTTTAGGCCAGATGAGCGTCGCTTTGCTGTCTTCTCCATTGCTGTCTCCTCAGATGGACGAGAAGTACTAGGAGGGTAAGTGCTTGTGGGGTATGTTTCCCTCAATAACAAGATGGGGGTTCTGCCAGAGATGAGTTCTGCTGTTACACAGATGGCACTGGCAGCTGCAGAGAACAACCAGACCTTCTCCCAAGGTCAGGATTTACAAGTTGCTTCACCCCTTGCTCTCCATTTCCCCAGCACGAGATTGGAGGTGTCAAGCCTCCTTGAAACACAGCTAACTCTTCCCCCACTTCCTGTATAAAAAGAGCAAAGGGCTTGACCCAGAGCAGGATTTCTCAGTGGAACTCTCTAGAGCATATACCACGTTGGTCCTCTCGATCATGGCTCCAGGACCCTCCTTTATCCCTTCCCTTTCAGGGCCAATGATGGCTGCCTGTATGTCTTTGACCGAGAACAGAACCGGCGCACCCTTCAGGTATGGCTCCTGAGATAGAGCCTCTGCCTCCTGGTTTTTGGCTTTTTATAAGACCTAGAAAGAGGTCTTATATCCTGGCCTCCTTTTCGCCTAGATTGAGTCCCATGAGGATGATGTGAATGCAGTGGCCTTTGCTGATATAAGCTCCCAAATCCTGTTCTCTGGGGGAGATGATGCCATCTGCAAAGTGTGGGATCGACGCACCATGCGGGAGGATGACCCCAAGCCTGTGGGTGCACTGGCTGGACACCAGGATGGCATCACCTTCATTGACAGCAAGGTGGGCCAGAAGTCAGGACTGTACAGCCAGGCCGCTAAGGTTCTAGTTGCCCAGGAGGGCATGAAAGCGGACTGGTGTGGGAATTTGACAAGCTCCTTATTAACCAAGGTTTGTAAGAGTTGGAGTTTAGGGAAGGGGCTCAAGCCAGGGAACATGAATTCCATCTGTACTCACCAGTCCTCAAGGAGCAGGGCAGGGCTTTCCGTACAAGAAAAATGGAAGACCGGTCAGGTACAGCGGCTCACACCTGTAATCCTAGCACTTTGGGAGGCTGAGGTGGGAGGATCACTTGAGCTCAGGCGTTCCAGACCAGCCTGTGAAACCTAGCGAGACCTCATCTCTATTTATTTAAAAAAAAAAACAAAAAAAAAAAACTAAGGCCAGATGCCGTGGCTCATGCCTGTAATCCCAGCACTTTGGGAGGCCGAGGCGGGCAGATCACGAGGTCAGGAGATCGAGACCATCCTGGCTAACATGGTGAAACCCCGTCTCTACTAAACATACAAAAAAATTAGCTGGGTGTGGTGGCAGTCGCCTGTAGTCCCATCTACTCAAGAGGCTGAGGCAGGAGAATGGCGTGAACCCGGGAGGCGGAGCTTGCAGTGAGCCGAGATCACCCCACTACACTCCAGCCTGGGTGACAGAGCAAGACTCCATCTCAAAAAAAAATTAGTTAATTAAAAATTAAAAAAAGAAAAATGGAAGACAATCTGATTAAGGCTAGAATAGGAAAGCCGGCCAGTAGCCTGGGCAAGGAAAGGAAAACCTAGCCAGGTGGTAGGATCTGAGGCAGAACGCTGGAAATGAGTTCACCTGGATGAAGAGAGGCAAGTAAAGCCAGAGGCCAGAGTTCTTCTGCTCAACTAGAGAACGGGAACTAGACTGACAGGCGCCGACATTTGCAAGCTCTGATGCTTCACTATCCACCTTTGGATTCATAGGGTGATGCCCGGTATCTGATCTCCAACTCTAAAGACCAGACCATCAAACTCTGGGATATCCGACGCTTTTCCAGCCGGGAAGGCATGGAAGCTTCACGCCAGGCTGCCACACAGCAAAACTGGGACTATCGGTGGCAGCAAGTGCCCAAAAAAGGTGAGACTGGAAGTACAGGCACAGTGGATTTGTCTGTAGCCTGGGAGCCCTGGAGGACCTCCCCCTCAGCCCTCTTTGCCAGGCATTAACTCTTTATTTGCTAAATCATGGATGGAATGGCCAGAGGTTCCTAGGATTGGGGCCTGGGTGGGGGTCACTCAGAATCAACCAATATAAAAGTATGTGAGTGTAATGATTAACCGGCAGGGCCATATTGGAGACTGTCCACTGACTATTAGGTGGAGAAAGAGCCACCACTTGAAGATTGGAAAGGCATTTGTCTCTGGGCATCGAACCTTGCTCAGGACTGGTGGTACGAAACAATCCCAAAGCAGATTTCCTAACCTAGGGTTTACTCTGCATCCCTACCCAGCCTGGCGGAAGCTGAAGCTCCCAGGGGACAGCTCCTTGATGACCTACCGGGGCCACGGAGTGCTGCACACCCTCATCCGCTGCCGGTTCTCCCCCATTCATAGCACTGGCCAGCAGTTCATCTACAGTGGCTGCTCCACTGGCAAAGTGGTTGGTAAGGATTGTGTCAGAACAGGGGGCCTCAGGAAGGGCAGGAATGACTCCTTGCCATTCCACCTATAACGACTAGTGACCACCTTAAAAAGCCCAGTGACAGCTACAGGTAAAATCAAACTTAGCTTGGAGGCTTAAACAGAGAAATAGAAACCATTCTATTTTTCAGTGTTTTAAATTAAGAAAAGGAACATAGAATTCTAGACAGTAAATATAATAGATTGCCAAAAATATAGTTGGTTCTGTTTTTCAGCCAGTCAAGAAAGAGGTTGCAGATGAAAGGTAGGAGGGAACAGAGACAAAATGACACAGGAAGATGGTAGCAAGTAGTTAAGGGACATGCAGTCGCTAAAGCAGAAAAGCATAGAAAGAAATAAGCTGGCTGCAGTGGCTCATGCCTGTAACCCCAGGGCTTTGGGAGGCCAATGAGGGCAGATCACTTGAGCCCAGGAGTTTGAGACCAGCCAGGGCAACATGGAGAAACCTTGTCTCTACAAAAAATGGCTGGACATGGTGGCACAGGCCTGTAGTCCCAGCTACTTGGGAGGCTAGGGTGGGAGAATCACCTGAGCCCGAGACTGCAGTGAGCCATGATTGTGCCACCGCACTTCAGCCTGGGTGACAGAGTGAGAAACTGTCTCAAAAAAAAAAAAAAAAAGGTCGGGCACGGTGGCTCATGCCTGTAATCCCAGCACCGTGGGAGGCCGAGGCGGGCAGATCACCTGATGTCAGGGGTTTGAGACCAGCCTGGCCAACATGGTGAAGCCCCATCTCTATTAAAAACACAAAAATTAGCCAGGCATGGTGGCAGGCGCTGGTAATCACAAGCTACTTGGGAGGCTGAGGCAGGAGAATCGCTTGAGCCCAGGAGGCTGAGGCAGGAGAATCGCTTGAACCCGGGAGGCAGAGGTTGCAGTGAGCCAAGATCGCGCCACGGCACTCTAGCCTGGGCAACAAGAGCGAGACTCCATCTCAAAAAAAAAAAAAAAAGAAAAAGAAAAAAAAAACCAGAAGCACAGCTGCAGATACAAGGAGCCTAAGGCAGTGCTGTCCCTAGAGAGACACTCACAGTCCCATGACAAAAGAAAGATGCACCCTGTCCAGATAAGGTGCAGCAGGTGCACACACCCCCAGACAGCTCATTGTTCACTTTTGTGGTGCCTTCCATATCTTACTAAAATCTTCAAAGCCAGTGCATTTCCTTAACTGTAGCCCCTATGAAATTTAGCTAAGGGCCAGACATACCCACACCACTAAACCATACCCTCAACCCAAGGTATGGAAAGGAACAGGGATAGAAGCAGAAATAACACAGTCTTCTGGTGTGGGCTTTGCTCCCATGGGAACATGGGAAGTTGCCTGAGAGGCAGGTCAGTGGTGCTACTCATGGGGAGGTGAGGGATAGTTTAGATGTCTTGTGGTGGTCCCTCTCCACTCTTGCCTGTCCTGGACAGTGTACGACCTTCTAAGTGGCCACATTGTGAAGAAGCTGACCAACCACAAGGCCTGTGTGCGTGACGTCAGTTGGCACCCCTTTGAAGAGAAGATTGTCAGCAGTTCGGTGAGGTTGCAAGGGTTGAGGGTGCTGGCACATGTCTGGGGCTTGGACTTGGGTGGGGGCAGCACATCCTGACTGCTTGCCACCCTCTGCCCTGCAGTGGGACGGGAACCTGCGTCTGTGGCAGTACCGCCAGGCTGAGTACTTCCAGGATGACATGCCAGAATCTGAGGAATGTGCCAGCGCCCCTGCCCCAGTGCCCCAATCCTCTACACCCTTTTCCTCACCCCAGTAGATCCAACCTCCAGCCCCATATAGGGTGAACCTCTTGATAAGCTCTCTGCCTCCTCCTCCCTTTCTCCCTTGTGGGGAATGTTTGGAGGAATCACTGGCATTTGATGGGGAATAACATAAGCCTGGGCTCTGAGCCTCAGCTGAGCCCTGGAAGATTCTCCCCATGGGGCAGAGTGGTCTCCTTACGTGCTCACACCCAGTCAGCTTGGGTCCCTATCTCTGGCCAGAGTTTGGCAGGACTGCCATTATCTGGGGTGTGGCCTCTGCCAGCAAGAGAAGTGTCCTGGGTGTTTTTAATCATGTTTGAATGTTAGGGGTTGGATCCTAGAGTAGATGCCTGAGGCCACATCTGAACAGACCTGTCAGCCAGGCCTGCCAGGTCTTCACGTTGAGGATTCAACTGGCCAATCACAGGACAGGTGTCCTGGCCTTTCTTCCTGAGGTCTCTAGGGGAGGGGCATGGGTAAGGGTGTTTCCTCAGCACCCTCCTGGGGTGGGGATTATGTCTGCTGTCATGTCTGGGTCTTTAGGGTAGGACAGGCTGTGGTATGAGAGGCAGGAGTCTCCACAAGGCTTCATGTGGCCCCTTATAGGGCAGGCCCTGCCCTCTGGGAAGGTCCCTTCATGCTGGAGGCACACAGCTTTAAGGAAGTAGGTTGAAGTAGGACTCCTTCGTCCTCTCACTGGCTTTGGCTCCCTCAATAAACTGTGTGGGAACCTGGCTCAGTGTCTGTCTCTCTCTCTCACTCTCTGTTTTTCCTATCTGAGGTCTTTCATCTCCTCACTTCAGGAAAACACAGTTCAGCAAAGTCTTCAGATGCGATCCTGTGTAGGAGAAAATACCCTTCTGGTGCCCCATGAAAAAGGGAAATACCAAAACCATTTGTTCACTGAGCCTTGCAATAGGTGCTCCCTTACCAATTTCAGAAGCTTCCCTGCAAGTAGATATCGAGAGAGCACACTTTCCATTAGAGCCTGGTAATACCCATATCACCTCTGCTCTGAGGCTGGGCCTGCAGCTGTGTAGTCTTTGGAAGAGGTAGCCCCTGAACGCAGAGCCTAAGAGAAGCAAGTCGGCCCTGACGCCAGGCCCCAGTGGGCGCCTCACACTCAGAACCTCATACCCCAGAGCAAACCGATGGTCAGGGAGAGGGCTAGAGCTCACACCCAGCTCGGAATAGATCTTCCCTGATGACATTTCATGCCCTCTAAGGCAGTTTTTAAATGAAGGTACACACATCCAGGGGTGTTCACAGGCTTTCACAGCAAGGGTACCTATTTCATGGCAAAATAGGCAGTTTTAAAAGAATAAACAAGCTAGGTGTGGTGGCTCATGCCTGTAATCCTAGCACTTTGGGAAGCCAAAGCTGATGGATCGCTTGAGCCCAGGAGTTTGAGACCAGCCTGGGCAACATGGCAAAACCCCATCTCTACAAAAAATACAAAAAGTAGGCCGGGCACGGTGGTTCACACCTGTAATCCCGGCATTTTGGGAGGCCGAGATAGGTGGATCACCTGAAGTCAGGTGTTTGAGACCAGCCTGGCCAACATGGTGGAACCCAATCTCTACTAAAAATACAAAAAAACTAGCCGGATATGGTGGCGGGTGCCTGTAATCTCAGCTACTTGAGAGGCTGAGGCAGGAGAATCGCTTGAACTTGGGAGCAGAGGTGAGCTGAGTGCAGTGAGCCAAGACCATGCCATTACACTCAAGCTTGGGCAACGAGAGCAAAACTCTGTCTCAAAAAAAAAATTAGCCAGATGTGGTGACGCATGCCTGTAGTCCTAGCTACTCAGGAGGCTGAGGTGGGAGGATCACCTAAGGCCAGGAGGTCAAGGCTGCGGTGAGCCGTGATTGTGCCAATGTACTCCAGCCTAGGTGACAGAGTGAGACCCTGTCTCAAAAATAAATAATAAATAAATAAATGTTCAGATCCTTGGCTTCTGTGTTCTCATTCCTCAAATTGATCTACCTAGTGTGAAACTCCCGTGCCAGATCTCCTTTCCCATCCACGCTTTTCATTCCCCGTCTGCCAAGTGATAAAGTTACCTAAGGTGCTACCCATCTCACCCAGAACCTGTGTTACTTCCAGGGCACCAAATTAAGAGAGAAATTCAAATTGTTAGTATCCTTATAGCTTCATTAGATCAAAGCCCCACAGACCGACCATTCTCAGTAAGAGATGCATTTACAATATAATTTTATGTTATCGAAGTAATGTAAAATGTTTGTTGTACAGGCATACCTAGGAGATATTGTGAGTTCATTTCCAGACCACTGTAATAAAGTGAATATTGCATAAGGCGAGTCAATTTTGTTGGTTTCCCAGTGCATATAAAAGTTATGTTGTTTTTAGGCTGGGCACAGTGGCTCATGCCCGTAATCTCAGCACTTTGGGAGGCCGAGGCAGTGGATCACCTGAGGTCAGGAGTTCAAGACCAGCCTAGCCAACATGGTGAAACCTCGTCTCTACTAAAAATACAAAAATTAGCCAGGTGTGGTGGCAGGCGCCTGTAGTCCCAGCTACTCAGGAGGCTGAGGCAGGAGTATCGCTTGAACCTGGGAGGCGGAGGTTGCAGTGAGCTGAGATCGCACCACTGCACTCCAGCCTGAGCCACAGGGTGAGACTCTGGGGAAAAAAAAAATTTTGTTTTGTTTTGTTTTTTTTTTTTTGAGACGGGGTCTCACTCTGTCACCCAAGCTGGAGTGCAGTGGCATGATCTCAGCTCACTGCAGCCTGGACCTCTCCTGGCTCAAGCAGTCCTCCACCTCAGCCACCTGAGTAGCTGAGACTACAGATGCCCACCACTACACCTGGCTAATTTTTGTGTTTTCTGTAGAGATGGGGTTTCGTCCTGTTGCACAAGCTGTTCTCAAACTCCTGGGCTCAAGCGATCCTCCCACTTCAGCCCCCCAAAATGCTGGGATTATAGGCATAAGCCACTGTGCCTAGCCATGAATGTTCTTAATGGCATCTGGAATGGTGAATCCTTTCCAGAAGGTTTTCAGTTGACTTTGTCGACAGCTATCAGAGGAATCACTATGGCAGCTGCAGTCTTACGAAATGTTTTTTTTTTTCTTTTTTTTTTTTTTGCTTGATATAGGGTCTTGCTCTGTCGCTCAGGCGCAGTGGTGCACTCAGCTCACTGAAACCTCTGCCTCCCCCTGGACTCAAGCGATCCTCCCACTTCAGCCTCCCAAGTAGCTGGGACTACCAGCACACACCACCCACATCCAGCTCGTTTTTGTTATTTTTTGTAGAGACGGGGTTCGAAATGTATTTCTTAAAGAGTAAGACTTGGCCGGGTGCAGTGGCTGACACCTGTAATCCCAGCACTTTGGGAGGCCGAGGCGGGTGGATCACGAGGTCAGGAGATCGAGACCATCCTGGCTAACACAATGAAACCCCGTCTCCACTAAAAATACAAAAAAATAGCTGGGCGTGGTGGTGGGCACCTGTAGTCCCAGCTGCTCAGGAGGCTGAGGCAGGAGAATGGCATGAACCTGGGAGGCGGAGGTTGCAGTGAGCCGAGATCGCGCCACCGCACTGCAGCCTGGGCGACAGAGCAAGACTCAGTCTCAAAAAAAAAAAAAAAAAAAAAAGTAAGACTTGCAAGTCAAAATTACTCCTTGATCCATGGGCTACAGAATGGATGTTGTGTTAGCAGGCATGAAAACATTAATCTCCCTGTACATCTCCAGAGTTTGTAGGTGACCAGGTGCATTGTCAATGAGCAGTAATATTTTGAAAGGAATCTTTATTTCTGAGGAGTAGATCTTAACAGTGAGCTTAAAATATTCTGTAACCCATGCTGCAAACATATGTGCTGTCATGCAGGTTTTGTTGTTTTATTTATAGAGCACAGCAGAATACATTTAGCATAATTCCTAAGGCCCTAGGATTTTCAGAATGGTAAATGAGGATTGGTTTCAACTTAAAGTTACCAGGTGCATTATCTCCTAATAAAAAGAGTTAGTCTGTCCTTTGAAGCTCTGTAGCCAGGCCTTGACTTCTCTCTAGCTGTGAAACTTCTATGTGGCATCTTCTTCCAATAGAAGGCTGTTTTGTTTGCTTTGAAAATCTGTAATTTAGTGTAGCCACCTTCATCAATGATCTTAGCTAGATCTTCTGGATAACTTTCTGCAGATTCTATATCAGCACTTGCTGCTTCACCTTGCATTTTTATGTTATGGAGGTGGCTTCTTTCCTTGAGCATTATGAACCAACCTCTCCTAGCCTCCTCACCACTCTCAGTCTTTATAGTATTGAAGAGAATAGGCTGGGCTCAGTAGCTCACACCTATAATCCCAGCACTTTGGGAGGCCAAGATGGAAGGATCACTTGAGGCCAAGGGTTGGAGACCAGTGTGGGCAACATAGTGAGTGTTGGCATGCACATGTAGTCCCAGCTACTTAGGAGGCAGAGCAGGAGGATTGCTTGAGCTCAGGAGTTTGAGACTGCAGTAAGACATGATCATGCCACTGCACTCCAGGCTGGGCAACAACGCAAGACACTGTCTCTTAAAAAAAAAAAAAAAAAGAGTTGGGGCCTTGCTCCAGATTAGGCTTTGGTTTAAGGGAATGTTGTGGCTGCTTTGATCTTCTATCCAGACCACTAACACTTTCTTGATATCAGCAATAAGGCTATTTCACTTTTGTATCATTCATGTGTTCACTGAAGTGTAGTACCTTTTAATTTCCTTTAAGAACTTTTCCTGGACAGGTGCAGCGGTTCACTTCTGTAATCCCAGCACTTTAGGCAAAGACAGAAGGATCACTTGAGCCCAGGAGTTTAAGACCAGCCTGGGCAACATAGTGAGACCCCTGTCTCTACAAAAAATTTAAAAATTAGCCAAACTTCGTGGCCTGCACCTGTAGTCCCAGCTCAGCGAGAGGAGGATCACTTGAACCAGGGAGGTCAAGGCTGCAGTGAGCTGCAATCATGCCACCGGATTAGGCTTTGATTTAAGAGAATGTTGTGGCTGCTTTAATCTTCTACCCAGACCACTAAAACTTTCTCCATGTCAGTAATAAGACTGTTTCACTTTCCTGACAGAAAGTGACCCTGTCTCAAAAACCCCAAAAACTAAGGTATTCATGTACTAATAATATATTTTAGACTACTAACAGTTACAATGAAAATAGAATCCATAGGAAAAAAATTAACTCTTAGGGCTTTATGGTCACAGGACATTTCTATTTTATTTATTTTATTTATTTTTATTTTTTGAGACAGTCTTGCTCTGTTGCCCAGGCTGGAGTGCAGTGGTGTGGAATGCAGTGGTGTGATCACTGCTCACTGCAACCTCAAATTCCTGGGCTCAAGTGATCTTCCCATCTCAGCCTCCTGAGTAGCTGGGTGGGTGCCACCATCTTTGGCTAATTTGTGTATATTTTGTATAGATAAGGTTTCACCATGTTACTCAGGCTGGTCTAGAACTCCTGGGCTCAAGTGATCCTCCTGCCATGGTCTCCCAAAGGACTGGAATTGCAGGTGTGAGCCACCACACTGGGCCCAGAAACTATAAAAAATTAAATTTTTTGGCTGGGCACGGTGGCTCACGCCTGTAATCCCAGCACTTTGGGAGGCCGAGGCAGGCGAATCACTAGGTCAGGAGTTCGAGACCAGCCTGGCCAACATGGTGAAACCCCATGTCTACTAAAAAAAAAAAAAAAAAAAAGTAGCTGGGTGGTGGCGGGCGCCTGTAATCCCAGCTACTTGGAAGGCTGAGGCAGGAGAATCGCTTGAACCCAGGAAGCAGAGGTTGCAGTGAGCCAAGATCGTGCCACTGCACTTCAGCCGGGGCGACAGAGTGAGACTCCATCTCAAACAAACAAAAAATTAAATTTTTTGAGTTACTTTTCTTGCAGAGAAATGTGATAAATGGTCAATAAAAGACTTTCAGGCATAAAAACATATTAGGATAAATTCTGTGAGGGAGTAGAATGGAAATATAATTTCTGATGTAAAATCTTGTCATGTTTTAATGGATAAAGGTGAAGTATCTAATCACTGTAGTATTTACATTTCATTGGATACATTTGAAACAGTGATATAATGGATTTATTTTGAAATGTCAGTATATGATACACTAGAAATTATGTCCTTTGCAACTATTTAAAACCACAATGAGACCAGGCATGGTAGCTCATGCCTGTAATCCCACCACTCTGGGAGGCCAAGGCAGGAAGATCACCTGAGGCCAGGAGTTCAAGACCAGCCTGGTCAACTTAGTGAGACTTTGTCTCTACAAAATAAATATTGAAACAAGGTCTCACTCTGTTGCTTAGGCTTGGAGTGCAATAGTGCCATCACGGCTCACTGCAATGTCAACCTCCTGGGCCCAAGTGATCCTCCCATTTCGGCCTCCCAAGTAGCTGGAATTACAGGCACGTGCCACTATGCCCAGCTAATTTTTTTAATTTTTGTAGGGACGGCGTCTCACTGTGTGAGACCAGCTCAAGGTGGTCCCGAACTCCTGTGGCTCCTCAGGCTGGTCCCAAAGTGCTGGGATTACAGGCATGAGCTACCACACCTGGCCAAAAAATAAAAAATAACCAACCATGGTGATGCATTCCTGTAGTTCTAGCTACTCAGGAGGCTAGGGCAGATGATCACTTGAGCCCAGGAGTTTGAGGCTGCAGTGAGCCGTGATAGCACACTGCATTCCAGCCTGGGCAAGCGTGAGACACTGTCTCAAAAAAATAAATCATAAAACTTTAATAAATAAAAATGAGTGGAAAGAATTTTTTTTTTTAAGACGGAGTCTTGCTGTTGTTGCTCAGGCTGGAGTGCAATGGCACAATCTCGGCTCACTGCAACCTCCGCCTCCCGTGTTCAAGCGATTCTCCTGCCTCAGCCTCCAGAATAGCTGGGATTACAGGCGCCCGCCACCGTGCCCAGCTAATTTTTTTATTTTCAGTAGAGACGGGGTTTCACTATGTTGGCCAGGCTGGCCTCAGGCGATCCATCCACCTCAGCCTCCCAAACTGCTGGGATTATAGGCGTGAACCACCATGCCCAGCCTAGTTCAAAATTCTTTTATAGGGTTCATTGAAGGTCACTATTCCAAGGTATGGGCTTTAGGATCTGGAAGGAATCTGATTGATTATCCAATCTGTCTTGATCAGTTTATAAAGGAAATTGATTTACTGAGGACTGAAGAGGGTTCATTGATTTTCCTAAAGTCACACAGTTGGGCCCAGAACTCAGGTGTCCTTGCTTGCTCATTCCTTTCACTACTTCCGCTGTGCTCTGAAATCCCACCACTGGTTTTGAGGAATGAGGAAGAAAGAAAAAGTGATCTCGAAACAGTTACTGACTAACAGGCACTCTCCGTGGATAGGTAGCTGACTGCCCTGCTGTCGCCGCCTCAGCAGTCAGACTGGGAGGGCAGGCTTATATGGAGAGCCCTGAGGCCCAGGGTAGTTGGTTGGAGGATGGAACTTAAGGTTTCAATTGACTCCTGTCTGGCAATTGCCCTTTTAGGGTCTCCTCTACCTCTGTCACCTGGGAGTAAACCTAATCTTTAGGGATCTGAGGGTCAACGTGATCAACAGATGAAACCGCCAGTTTATACAGCAGCCCTGGGCCAAACTAGTCCCTTAGAGACCCTCAATCCAGACAGGAACTAGGGCAGAGCCAAGCTGCTGGGGTCACAGGGCACTGAAGTGGATACCCATGCTGATCTGCCTCCCAAGGCCTATGATGGCCACAGTGCTGTGCACAGCCACCTTGCTGCATCCTGCTGTTGGTGGGCTCTTGTGCTCAGAACCCCAGGAGAAGGGCTAGATCACACTGATAAGACTGGCAGCTTTTTTTAAAAAACGACTTTCAAGGTTTGGTTATTTTTATCTCCATGACCTCTGATTTCCCTGTGGAGCAAATGGTAAAGTAGGGGTGGGTGGAGAGGGACTTTGGCAGACTATGGACAAGGACAGCCCTGAACAGCTGGCCCTGTCACAGGAACTGGAACATGGTCGGAGCCAAGGACACAGGACTAACAGGAAAGGACACAGACTGCTGTCAGGACACATACTACCACACACCCGAGGCCAGGACCCTGCTGACGTGGCAGACCTCCACCCTGGCCCCTTACTGCCCCCCGCCCCTCTCCCCCACCTGCCAGCTGCCAACAGGGCTCTGCCTTGTGTCTGCCACACCTGTCACTGCCTATCCTTGTCCAGGGGGGGCCCCATCAGCCCCTCCTCAGCTGCCCAGCAAAGCAAGCAGTTAGTGGGGAGGGGAGGGAACATGGAGCGGGGGCCGGTGGTGGGGGCAGGACTGGGGGCCGGGGCCCGAATCCAGGCACTGCTGGGCTGCCTGCTCAAGGTGCTGCTCTGGGTGGCCTCTGCCTTGCTGTACTTTGGAAGCGAACAGGCCGCCCGCCTTCTGGGCAGCCCCTGCTTACGGCGCCTCTACCATGCCTGGCTGGCAGCAGTGGTCATCTTTGGGCCGCTTCTGCAGTTCCATGTCAACCCTCGGACTATCTTCGCCAGCCACGGCAACTTCTTCAACATGTGAGTCCACTCAAGGCTGTGGGAGCCGGGTCCCTGCACTCTGGGATCCTAGCTCCCTTCTCCAGGCTTCTGTCCTCCTGCCAGTCTGAACACTAAAAATAGGCTAGGAGGTTGAGGAAAAGGTCGGGGGAGGGGGAAGGGAACAGAGCCCTGGGGTACAGGGGAAGTTGGGAACAGGACTAAAGAGGAAATATGGACCCTGGAATGCTGAATTGTCTTCCAAGGAGATAGCAAAGGTTAAATGACTGGGGGCTGTAAAGGGCACGGCAAGGAGAGAACGAGTGATGATGTGTAGGGTTGGGGAGAGTGCAGTGATGGGAGCACAGACCAGGGTGGGAGATGGAGCTTGGGGTCTCAATAGTCTCCCTTCTTTGCCCACAGAAAATTTGTGAATTCAGCCTGGGGCTGGACATGCACTTTCTTAGGGGGCTTTGTGTTGCTGGTGGTGTTCCTGGCTACACGGCGCGTGGCAGTAACTGCCAGACACCTGAGCCGACTGGTAGTAGGGGCAGCCGTGTGGCGGGGAGCCGGCCGGGCCTTCCTGCTCATCGAGGACCTGACTGGCTCCTGCTTCGAGCCACTGCCCCAGGGTCTGCTGCTCCACGAGCTGCCTGACCGCCGCAGCTGCCTGGCAGCCGGCCACCAGTGGCGAGGCTACACCGTCTCCTCCCACACCTTCCTGCTCACCTTTTGCTGCCTGCTCATGGCAGAGGAAGCAGCTGTGTTCGCCAAGTACCTGGCCCATGGGCTTCCTGCCGGCGCCCCACTGCGCCTTGTCTTCCTGCTGAACGTGCTGCTGCTGGGCCTCTGGAACTTCTTGCTGCTCTGTACCGTCATCTATTTCCACCAGTACACTCACAAGGTGGTGGGCGCCGCAGTGGGCACCTTTGCCTGGTACCTCACCTATGGCAGCTGGTATCATCAGCCCTGGTCTCCAGGGAGCCCAGGCCATGGGCTCTTCCCCCGTCCCCACTCCAGCCGCAAGCATAACTGAAAGAAATAAAAACCATCGGGCCTGGCTGTGGCTCCTCTCATCATTTGGTTGGGTCCTTGAAAGGGTGGGAAGAGGGTCTGGTAGTCACTAGGGTTCCCCAGCCATTCCTTGCTCTCATCAACCTTGAATGTCCTTCCTTATGCTTGACCTCCATCCCTCCAGCTGTCCTTTCAGTCTCCTAGTTTTTGCAGACTTCAGGCTATCTGGGGACTGAGACATCCAGGAATGGTGCTTCTAAGGTAATGCCCTTAGGTGTGGGCATCATTCTTGCTGAGCAGTTGCTCCATCTCCAGCCTGTTTGATTGTTTTTCCTGCCTTCTCCACTGAATCTCCACTCCCTCTCTTCAGGGGCCTACCTATCTGGGCACTCCTCGCAGGGACTTTTCCTACCCTGTCTTCCCCGTAGGGGGTCTGTATGTGCTCATCTATTTAACAAATGTTTATTGAGCTGAGCATAGTTCTATGCCATGTAAATAAGACAAGATTTCTGCTGTTTGGAGGCATATGAGCTAACTGGGGAAGGCAGATAATAGATCACACAAATAATAGCAAAACACTTGCACTGCGTTTACTCTGTGCCAGACACTGTTCTAAGTGTCTGTAAGTTCTTTATAAAAGTTAACGCATATGGCCGGGCGCGGTGGCTCACGCCTATAATCCTAGCACTTTGGGAGGCCGAGGTGGGCAGATCACTTGAGGTCAGGAGTTCAAAACCAGCCTGGCCAACATGGTGAAACTCCATCTCCACTAAAAATACAAAAAAAAAAAAAAAAAATTACTTGGGTGTGGTGGCGGGCGCCTGTAATCCCAGCTACTTGGGAGGCTGAGTCAGGAGAATCCCTTGAACCCGGGAGGCGGAGGTTGCAACGAGCTGAGGTTGCACCACTGCACTCCATCCTGGGCAACAAGAGTGAAATTCCATCTCAAAAAAAAAAAAGTTAACACATTTGGTCCTCACAACAATAAAAGTATGAGGTAGGTTGTACTGATCTTGATTGGCAAAAAAAAAAAAAAATTGAGATAGTAGTGTTCCCATTGTACAGTTGCAAACACTGAGACACAGAGGTTAAGTAACTTGTTCACAACTAATAAACAGAGGAGCCATGATTACAAAGCTAGATAATATGGGTATATCATCTATCCTCTAAACCAGGAATTAGCAAACTTTGGCCCTCCTGTGGCCAGTTTTGTATGACCTGCGAGCTAATAATTATATATGTATAATATATATATTTATATATTATATATATTATTATATATTTTATATATAATATTTGCATATATAATATATATATAATTTTTTTTTAAAGACAGAGACCTGGCAGTGATGGCAGTGTAATCCCAGCACTTTGGGAGGCTGAGGCAAGAGGATCACTTGAGCCCAGGAGTTTGAGACCAGCCTGGGCAAGATGGTGAGACCCTGTCTGTATAAAAATTTTTTTTAAAAGGTAAAACATTTTTTACATTTTTATTTTTATTTTATTTTTATTATTTTTTTGGAGACAGAGTCTCACTCTGTTGCCCAGGCTGGAGTGCAATTCTGGCTCACTGCAACCTCCACCTCTCAGGTTCAAGCGATCTCCTGTCTCAGCCTCCCGAGTAGCTGGGATTACAGGCCCCCACCACCACACCCGTCTAGTGTTTGTATTTTTAGTAGGCACAGGGTTTCACCATGTTGGCCAGGCTGGTCTCGAACTTCTGACCTCAAGTGATCTGCCTGCCTTGGCCTCCCAAAGTGCTGGGATTAGAGGCGTGAGTCACTGTGCCCGGCCATTTTTACATTTTTTAATGGTTGAAAAAGCAAAAGAATAAGAATATTTTATTACAGGAGAAAGTTACATGAAATTCAAATTCCAGTGTCTATAAAATGTTATCTCACCAAACTAATTCATTTACATATGGCAGCTTTCCTACTACAATGGCAGAGTTGAGTAGACAGACACTGTAAGGCCTATAAAGCCTAAAATATTTACTCTCTGGCCCTTTATAGAAAAAGTTGGCCAGACGCGGTGGCTCATGCCTGCAATCCCAGCACTTTGGGAGGCCGAGGCGGGCGGATCACGAGGTCAGGAGATCGAGTCCATCCTGGCTAACATGGTGAAACCCCGTCTCTACTAAAAATACAAAAAATTAGCCGGGCGTGGTGGGACGCGCCTGTAGTCCTAGCTACTCCGTAGGCTGAAGCAGGAGAATCGCTTGAACCCTGGAGGTGGAGGTTGCAGTGAGCCTAGATGGTGCCACTGCACTCCACCCTGGGCGACAGAGCGAGACTCCGTCCCCCAACACACACACACACACACACACACACACACACGTTTGCCAAAACCTGGTTTAAATCAGTAAATTATCCTGGAAAAAAAAAAAAAAACACCTGGCTAATATCAGAGAGATAAATGCTATGAATGTACTAAAACAGGATGATTTGTAATAGATTTGGAGGGAGGTTCCTTATAAAGGATGATGAAAATAGTTCTCTCTGAAGAGGTGACATCTAAACTGAGAACCGAATGACAACACCCAGGGTAAGGGTGTTTTAGGCAAAGGGATTATTAGCAAGGGCAAAGGCCCTGAGGCAGAAATGAACATGACACATCTGAGAAACAAATAGCCCAAATATTTGCAAGTGTAATGAATGAAGGGGCAAGCAGTAGAAAGTGGACTTAAAGGGGAGACAGGTGCGACAGCCTTTTGGATTTCATTCAAAGGTCAACAGGCAGCTGAGAAAGGGTTTTAAGCCAGAGAGAGGCATGAACCCGCTGCTCCGTGAGAGTGGGTTATAGAATGGCATCTGCAGCCGTGGTCCAGGAGAGAGTTGGTCCGGGCTTGGATAGGGATGCTGCCAGCTCTGGTGCCGGTGTTGCTACAGGTGCGCAGGATGTCGGCAGAGCCAGAGGCCCACGCTAGCAAGGCTAGGAAAGACAGGCCAGGTCTTATTCCATCTCTAGGGAAAGACGGAAGAGCCCTAAGTAAAGCTTATCTGTCCCAGGCGGAGCAGGGGAAGAAGAGAGCAGGTGGGGAGCCAGTTGGGAGGCGGGAGGTGGAGGTTGGGACGCGGAGAGACTGGCTTGGGCTTGGCGATGGGAGGACCCGGACCCGCCGTCCTCAGGCGGCGGGCGGCAGGTGGCGGGAGGCGGGAGGCGGGGACCGGGCCAGCGGAGGTGGGGAGCCTGGAAGCTGGCCCTCGCGAGGCGGCGCGGGGAGGGTGGGTGAAGAGCGCCTGTGCGCGCTAGGCGGAGCCTCACCCGCCGCCCTCCTCTGCGGCACCGCCCCTTCCATGGCAGGGCTGACCCCGCCTCCTCCATCCGACCCCGCCTCCTCCAGCCCTCCCCGCCCCACTACCCAGGAAGGCGGAGCTGGGTGCGAGCGCCCTACCGCTTTCGCTTTCCCTTCGCGGTGCCCACTCCACTCCTTGTGCGGCGCTAGGCCCCCCGTCCCGGTCATGGCCATGCTCAGGGTCCAGCCCGAGGCCCAAGCCAAGGTGAGCGCCGCGGGGTCTAGAAAGGGCCCACTGGGGAGGCGTGGCTGGAGCGGCCGGGGGCATCCCCGACCCGCCCCCCAGGCTCCCACGCGAGTCGGGGGCAGTCGGCCGAGCTGGCGCGCCCGGAGCACCTGCGCCCCGGGGAGGGCGGCGACTGCTGCCTGCGGGGAGAGGCGAGGCGGCCGTGGTTCTGCGGGGTGAGGTGAAGCGGAGAGCTGGCGTGGAGGGGAACTCCGCTGGCCTGGGGCCGGGGCCACACACAGACTGGGTGCGGGACTGCCCCAGCTACCTTCTGGCCTTTCCCTCAGGGAGGGTCCCGGGGCCCACCCCATCCCTGTCCTACTTGCAGAGGACTCTCAGCACCCCTCCTCACACCTGCCAGGCGACCCCAGAGATCTGTTCTCACGTGAACACTGGCCCTTCACCGCCAGGAATGTTCTCATCCCCCATATCCAGCCCCAGGGATACCCACTCCACTTTCCGTAGATCCAGGTCTGCAGAGATCCACCTTCTCCACCACCCCAACCCACCCTACAGGCATCCATCTCGCTTTCTTCAGGTCTGGCCTTAGAGGGATCCCCTCCACCCTTCCCCAGGTCAGGCCCTACATAACCCTAAGGGAACTGTCCTCAAATGAACTGGCCTTAAAGCCAAGTTTCTGAAGGGATGCGTGTGCCCCACAGGTGGATGTGTTTCGTGAAGACCTCTGTACCAAGGTAAGACATGCCCCATCAGCGTGGCCCCACCCCTGCCCAACTCCTACTGCTCAACCCTGCCTCACTACCTAGGACGGGCATTTGATGCTGACTCCCATCCTCCTCCACCCCCACCTCACACACAGACAGAGAACCTGCTCGGGAGCTATTTCCCCAAGAAGATTTCTGAGCTGGATGCATTTTTAAAGGTACCGCGGCTGGGCAGGGAGCTAGGGAGTAAAGGCCAAGAGAAGAGTCTGGAGGCTGTGAGAGTGAGGTGAGAGGAACTCCCTCACCTCCAGCCCTCCTCCCACCCTACACCAGGAGCCAGCTCTCAATGAAGCCAACTTGAGCAATCTGAAGGCCCCATTGGACATCCCAGTGCCTGATCCAGTCAAGGAGAAAGAGAAAGAGGAGCGGAAGAAACAGCAGGAGGCAAGCTGGGAAGACCTGGGAGAAGGGATCCAACTATGGGGGTAATCAACCTTAGTCCTGACTCTCATGAGCTCCTCTCTTTCTGCAGAAGGAAGACAAGGATGAAAAGAAGAAGGGGGAGGATGAAGACAAAGGTACTTGAAACCACAATGGTGGGAAGAGACTTGAGTCCCACTCACAGGAGCTCCTCCTAAGGATTTCTTTCCAGTCTCCCCTTCGCCCCTCACACAGGCTCAATCATGTGACTGACCCATTGCTCACTCTCTAGGTCCTCCCTGTGGCCCAGTGAACTGCAATGAAAAGATCGTGGTCCTTCTGCAGCGCTTGAAGCCTGAGATCAAGGATGTCATTGAGCAGCTCAACCTGGTAAGCCCTCCCCCTTAAACTCTCAGGCTTCAAGTCAAACCATTGTCCTCTTGGTCCCTGCCATTTAGGGCCTGGCACTTGCCAGGTTTTAGCAAGAGAGGGCACAGCAAGTGAAACCAGAAGTCCAGGCCCTGGGGCTCAGGATAGACCCGGCACGCCTCCACCCAGTGTGGGGAGGGAAGCAAGGGAGAATATGAAACTGGGAATTGGGTAGAGGGCTGATGTGGCATTATGCCATTCCCTCTTCCCAGGTCACCACCTGGTTGCAGCTGCAGATACCTCGGATTGAGGATGGTAACAATTTTGGAGTGGCTGTCCAGGTGAGAGCGCTGCCCCACTTCCCTGCTCTTTTCTAGTCCATGCTTCCTTCCACTTTCCCCCTTGCTTTTTTTCCCTAGGAGAAGGTGTTTGAGCTGATGACCAGCCTCCACACCAAGCTAGAAGGCTTCCACACTCAAATCTCTAAGTGAGTGACCACCCATGTGCACACTGTTTTTGTTTTGGGAGACCTCCTTCTTCTACTCCATACACACTTCTCCTTCCACAGGTATTTCTCTGAGCGTGGTGATGCAGTGACTAAAGCAGCCAAGCAGCCCCATGTGGTAGGTGAGGCCCAGGTCAGGGTGCATGGGGGAAGGACACATGTAAGGTCAGGCCTGACCCGAGCTTCCCACAGGGTGATTATCGGCAGCTGGTGCACGAGCTGGATGAGGCAGAGTACCGGGACATCCGGCTGATGGTCATGGAGATCCGCAATGCTTATGTGAGGAGGCAAGGGCAGGGCAGGGGTGGGCAGAGGCAGCTTTCCCAGGCCACCCACTCCCTGACCCTGCAGGCTAGGGGTTAAGGGTGACAAAGCTCAGCTTCTCCACAAGGCTAGAAATGGGGCACAGAGCCACTGGAGGCCTCTGACTGACCTCTACTCCCTGGCCCTGTAGGCTGTGTTATATGACATCATCCTGAAGAACTTCGAGAAGCTCAAGAAGCCCAGGGGAGAAACAAAGGGAATGATCTATTGAGAGCCCTCTCTCCCATTCTGTGATGAGTACAGCAGAGACCTTCCTGCTTTTTACTGGGGACTCCAGATTTTCCCCAAACTTGCTTCTGTTGAGATTTTTCCCTCACCTTGCCTCTCAGGCACAATAAATATAGTTATACCACTGCCCATCAGCCCAAGTCTCTTTATTGGAACCGGGCCCCGCTGGCCCTGGCTCAGGCATTTCCATTTCCATTAGTGGGACCAACCCACTGGGTGATTTGAGTGTTGAGCCGCTGGTTGGTCCAGTCCTGCCGGATGTCATCAAGGTGGCAGTCAAAGTCCACAAGGTGCTGGTGGGCCCGATCTTCCAGTAGAGCTCCCACCATCTGCCGTGACTCTTCCCAGTCCCTCCACATCACTCTGAAATAGTAACCCCCATGGAGGTCAAACAGCAAGTAGTGGGTCCAGACACAGACTTAACAGAGATTGGGTCTAGAGAAAGACCCTTGGGGCAGGGCCAAGGACAGAGGAGACCCAGGAGCCTTGGGCTTCTAAGAAGAGGTAGAGGGAGTGGGGTACTCACAAGTTCTTATCCTTAGGGACCCAGCGGAGACCTTGGTTCTCCAGGACGATGACCGGGGGCACACGAGGCTGAGGCACCAGTTTCTGATTATCCAACTGAGTGGACAAAGATGGGCAAGTGAGAGTTTCAAGGGTCCCCCCACCCTACTTGCTTTTCACCTCCCCACCCAGAAACCCAAGCCTCACCATAATAAGTACTGCATCAGGGAAGAATTCTGCAATTCGCCCAGCAATTTTCAAGGCCAGGGGCCCAGGGCTGTGTAGAGGGAAGATCAGAGGAGTGAGGAGCCAACTGTGGGCAAAACCCATCCATTTGAGCTGGGCCTCCCAGGTCTCATAGGTGTGGGCGCAGCTGTGGCCTTTCCCTGTAGGTGGCCTGCGGGGATCGGGCCTGCTGGATGCTTGATGCACGACTGCTTGATGCTTGAGTGCTGTGGGAGACAGGTGCTCAGATATTGCTGGTGAGAGTGGAAACCAAAGGTGGTCTTTTTGGAAGGTAATTTGGCATAACCATCCAAATTGAAACTGTATACATACTATACATATGCTGACCCAGAAATTCTACTTATAAAGAATTTATGGTAATCATAGGACAGTGTCTGTAATAAAACACTGGAAACAACCTCAATGTTTAAAGTATTAAATAAATTAGAGTACATTCATATTCAGACTATATAGCTGTTACGGTAGATCTTGGTGTGGAAATGGGATGATGTCAAGTATTTATTAAGTGAGGGAGAAACGCAAATTACAAAACAGTACCTCTAATTGCTCCATGTATATGATTAATATATATATATATATATATATGTCTTTTCCTATATGTATATATATAAGGAAACTGCCTTATTTTTGAAGTTGCTGGTTGGGATTTCTCTGTTCTTTCAGCCCCTGGGGGACACCTCAGTTAAAGCAAGATCAGTCTGTTGGCCGAGAGTGGTGGCTCACGCCTGTAATCCCAGCACTTTGGGAGTCCGAGGCGCGTGGATCACCTGAGGTCAAGTTCTAGACCAGCCTGGCCAACATGGCGAAACCCCATCTCTACTAAAAATAAAAAATAATAATAAATTAAAAAAATAAAAAAAATTAGCCGGGCATGGTGGCGCTCATCTGTGATCCCAGCTACTCGGGAGGCTGAGGCAGGAGAATCGCTTGAATCTAGGAGGTGGAAGTTCCAGTGAGCCGAGATTGCGCCACTGCACTCCAGCCTGGGAGACAGAGGGAGACTCCGTCTCAAAAAAAAAAAAAAAATCAGTCTGTTGATACACAGTTGTCCTCCCCGCCCCAACGGCACTCCAGGGCAGGGCTCTGTCCTATTCATCTTTATATTCCCTCACTCCAGTACCCAGCATAGTGCCTGGTGTAAAGCCCCTGCTCCTAAGCGTTTGATGAAGGAAAGATAAAAGGAACGACCTTGGTTCATCTTGTGCGCCCCCGCCCCGCCCACCGCCCCACGCATCCTCGCCCTCTATTCCTCCAATCCCCAACCCGCCATAATCCTTTCCTTCTTCCTCTGGCTACGCCACTCACCTCTGATCGTTCACAGCTGCATTGGCATGGTAGTAACCAGCCACCACCAGACCGGCCTGTGCTCCCCACACATCCACCTGTCGTAGGAAAGGGGCCATCAGTAATTAAATTGTGCCGCTGGCTTTGTGGATGCGCACTGCTGCCAAGGGACCGGGGATGAACTTGGGCTGGGGTGTTGGGTGGGTTCGCGGTGGGGGATGGGCATCCAACGGAGGCACCTGGTTGAGGGCGACCTCCAACATGACGGACAGGGCCAGGTGGCTGTGGAAGAGGGGCACACAGTCGGTGAGGCACAGGCATTCTCCAGACCGCGGCGCTGGCGCCAAAAACAGCCCGTTGACTGCGGCGTGTGGGTACCGGGCAGCATGCAGGCACATCTTCACGTAGGCCAGGGCCGAGATCTCCACCTCCCCCATGGCGAGCGAGGCCTGGACGGGAAGCAGCAAGCCGGATTAGTACCGGATTAGGCGAGCCGGTGCCTAGCTCGCGTCCGTGAAGCTCCCTCCAGCGCTTCGGCACGCTCTTTGACCCTTCCCCGTGCCCTCTCACTTCGGTTCGGCGACAACGCTAACTCGACTCGCAGGTAGCCCGCCGGCTCCCGGCGCCCTGGGTCCCGGAGTCCGCCCCCGGCCCAGTCCAGGAGGAGGTCCCGATTGCATCCGAGCCCCGCCTTCCCGCGCCCCTAGCTGGCGGCCGCGACTCTGCGCCTGCCTGGGAGACAGACCAAACTGCAGCTCCCTGCAGAACTGGCTCCTGGAGTCCCGCCCACGTGGTGCTCCTTGATAGGGCTAAAGGCTTTCAATTTGTCCAATCAGCGGCCGCGCCCCAACGTTGCCCCGCCTTTGTCTCCAGCGGACTGGAAAGAACCCACCATTGTGAAGCACAGAAAATTGCCCGCACTCTTATTGGCTAGGTTCCCCGACTTCCGCTCTCGGTTGGTGGTTGGCTTTGCCTGTTACCTGTGTTGCCCACTACCACTCGCTCCGCCGAGCCCCAAGGATGGATCGCTATCCCGTAGCCGGGTGTTCCGGAGCGCTGCGGGCAAAGCAGACCGCCTTGCGCCTATTATGGGTTGAGTGGCTCTGTACTCTAGATCGGCTCTGTCACTTACTAATGGGCCGTGTTGCCTTCGCGACTGCAGGTTTTCTTGCCCTTGGTTTATCTTTTGCCCGTGTTCCTTTAAGGATTTAATGAGATATGTATGGGGGCAGGCTTCCAGCCAGTCTAGTGCTTCGCAGCACATTCTTATCTCATATTTTATGACAGGATAAGGCCCTGAATTAAAGAACAATCCCATGGAGTTTACAGCAAGATCACAGCAAAGGAACCCTTGTCTCTATCACCAGCCCAGGGCTGAATCTTGAAAAGCAGAGATAAAGACAGTGATTGGCTGAAGGGGATATGGGGGAGGACAGTAAGAAAAACTTACAGATTCATCCTTCCCATAATGTCCTGCGATGTATTTCCTTCACCACAGTGCCTTGGAAGCATTATTTTTTCCCCTCCTAGCCCTTAAGGAGGGAGTCCAGGCCCGGCGCGGTGGCTCACGCCTTGTAATCCCAGCACTTTGGGAGGCCGAGGTGGGTGGATCGCCTGAGGTCAGGAGTTCGAGACCAGCCTGGCCAACATGGCGAAACCCCGTCTCTATTAAAAATACAAAAAAATTAGCCAGGTGTGGTGGCACATGCCTGTAATTCCAGCTACTCGGGAGGCTGAGGCAGGAGAATTGCTTGAACCCGGGAGACGGAGGTAGCAGTAAGCTGAGATCGTGCCATTGCACTCCAGCCTGGGCAACAGAGCAAGACTCCATCTCAAAAAAAAAAAAAAAAGGGTGGGGGGAGTCCAATCATTCATCCGTAGTTCTCCATAGTTCTCCCAGTGAAACCTTATTCTCCTTCTAGGCTTTTCCTGAACTGATGAGGATTCTTTCTTTCTTCATTCCTGATGTTGACCACAGAACTTTCCCCTTGTGTATCCAAAGCCTGATTATTCCCATAAGGGCTCTGTGCAAATGCCATCTCTTCCAATAATTCCTGAGACCTCTGGATGAAAATAATACTGTTACATTCCAAAATACAGGTTATCTGCATGGCTGCCATGGCATGTAACAATCCCCACCCTAGGCACTCAGGGTGAAGGACTTGGACTATAAACCCAATGGAGAAGATAGCCCTTCAACCTCTGTGACTTTTCTAAAGCTACTTTCCCCCCTTTTTGCCTTAGATGGAAACAGATAAGCAGGAGAAGAAAGAAGGTAAGTGAGATAAGAGGTGACTAGGGAAGGGGAGATGGCACATTGACTACTGGATGAGAAAGGGCCTGAATCCCCTCTTTCTCACAGTCAAGATTACAGTGGGCATCTAAGTCATCTTTGTCTTTGTGACACCCACCCCTTCCCACCACATTCATCTTCAGGCTGGACATAGGTGCCACTCAATAAATGCTTTTTGAATGAATGACACACGCCAGAAGGGAATCCACACAACATATAGATCATTTATTTTCCTTCTAGTCCCGGGTTCAGTACATAGATGGCTTTTCTTCACCCTTTGGGTTGACAATTTTCTCCAGGTTGCTGCTGATGATATGATAAAGCTCAGCCTGGGAGAAGGCCAGAGTGCAAGAGTCAGGTTCTTAGCCAATCCCCTGCCTGCCCCCACTCATCCACCTCCCCTAAAGCCTTACTCCACACTCACATAGAAGGCCCTCAGGTCCAGCACCATGGCCCTGAGCTCCCCATAGGCTGCCTCATCTCGCTCATGCACCAAGGCCCGGTAATCCATCTGCAATGTGGGAGGCAAAGCTGAGTCAGTCCCATGGGAGGCTGGGACATGAGTCTGGTTTCCTTTTATAGGAAATAGGTTAACTTGAGAATGAACCCCTTCTTAGCACCAAGAAATAGGATCCCAAAGGACTGAGCAGAGAAAAGGGTCAAGGTTGTTGAAGCCCAAACCAGTTTTTCTAGGTAATGCTTTTAGCTTAATATTCTCCACATTGGGAAAGTCACAAACAAGACAAGGAGGACTTCTTCCTCCACACCTCCTCGTCCCACACCCAGCTAAAAGGCTGGTGGACTATCCACTCACTACATGAGTCTCCTTGGAGGCCTTGGCCACAGCATCCCCACGTTCTGAGAAGTACCTGCCAGAAGCAAGGGAATACCACAGGAATGAGTGTTCAGGGAGATGTACTCCCTCAGACCCTTCCCAAAGTCTCCCATCATCCTGATAGGGCTGCCCAGCTCTGGGGGTCCCAAAGAAATGCTCCTACTGCCCCCAATGCTGGTCCTCCAGCTGCCCTCACTTGGAAATGGTTGTCTGGAAAGCTTCCACTTTGGTCTTGACGGCATTCACCCTCTCCAGCACCTTCTCCTGTGGTGACACGGGAGGCAAAGACAACACTTCATGTCCTCCCCATTTCATACACTATCTTCCTCCTCCTCCTGGTTCATGTCTAGCTCACCCCCTGAGGCTCTCCCCACTCTAAGTATCTTCAGTTACCCTTTTCTTACCTGGATTGCTACCCCAAAATCATTTCCATCTTCAATCTTGGGGATCAGGTGTTGGATCCATGTAATCACCTGTGTTAAGAGGTATCATGTAAGAATCATTCAACAAACATACTGAGTTCTTCCTATTACTGTCACTTCCTAAAAAAAGTTATATTTAATTGGGTACTTATTACATACCAGGTACTGTGCCATGTATTTATTTCATGTAATCATCACAGCAACCTTCAGAGATATGTATTTATTGTACCCATTTAACAGATGAAAAAACTGAGTCACAGAATGTCTAAGTGACTTACTTAAGGCTACCAGCTAGGTAACTGATAGAATCACGATTTGAACCTAAGCAGTCTCTCTCTAGGGTCCAATCTTTTAAAACAATTCACTCACTATATCATACCACCTCTACTATGAACCCAATACAGCAGTAGGTTCTGAGGTTACAGAGTGGATACTGCACAGTCTCTAATTTTGGGGGTACCGTTGTGATAAGAGAGGTCTAACAGAACGAGGAGAACAAAGGGGATCTAAGCCCAAGGCACAGAAGGAAGTTTTCTTTTTCAGGACTAGGTCTCTGTATGAAGGACTTGTATCTACGGAGGAGTCCAGGGCCTCACCTTGTGTGTCTTCTCTTTCTGCTTCCCCCATTTCCCAGGCTTACCAGAATGCATTTCTCTTTGAGAGTCCAGACTTCTGGCTTAACCAGGGCAAGCAGGGACAGGACTTTCTCATTCCCAGGGAGAAATCCACACTTATGGACTGTGAGAAAGAGGGGATTCAGGCCCTTTCTCATCCAGTAGTCAGTGTGCCATCACCCCTTCCCTAGTCACCTCTTATCTCTCTTACCTTCTTTCTTCTCCTGCTTATCTGTTTCCATCTAAGGCAAAAAGGGGGGAAAGTAGCTTTAGAAAAGTCACAGAGGTTGAAGGGCTATCTTCTCCATTGGGTTTATAGTCCAAGTCCTGCACCCTGAGTGCCTCACCTCATCATCCTTGGGTGGAGGGTCTGGGATGGGGATGTCCAGTGGGGCCCGGAGGGAAGTCAAGTCAGCCACATTGAGGGAGTCCTCCTGCACAGAGCTCACTGTCAAGGGCTGCCCAACCTCTTCCCTTCATCCTAGGTCACAGCCTTCCCTCCATACATCCCACTTGCACTCTGCCTCCCAACCTAGGCTCATGCCTCACGCCATCCTAATGTTCCTAATCCACTATTTGAAACTATTCTCTGCATGCTGAATCCAGTTGTTAGCTAGAGAGGGTGGGCAAAGGGGATAGAGGACATAGGATGGGGCAGAAGGGGCCCACACTACTCACTTGCAAGAGCTGATTCAGGTATATGATTTTCTGTGGCAAGAATCTGTAGAGGAATTCCTCAGCCTGTGGGTTACATTGCAAGGGAGGGGAATCACAGAATATGCTCAATGAGATGTCTGACAAATGGAACTGGAAGGGCCTTTGGAAATCACTGGGTCCAAGACTTGCAAATGAGGAAACTGAAGACCTGAAAATGAAAGGACTTGCCCAAGCTGGTAAATGGCAGAACGAAGGTTAGGACTGTGATATTCCTGCTTTGGAAGCCATGGTTTTTTTCCTCCACATCAAAAGACGGGAGAAGTGCCAGAAGTCGGGAGAGTCATAAGAAAGGTCAGATTAAAGGTAGCTATCAATAATTCCGGGGTTACTTTGGGTGAAGGCTTGGTAAGGGAAGTAGGGTTAAGTCTAGGGTGACTTGGGGGGGTCATTCTGAGAGGCTGTTATCCTCAAGTATTGGTCCAAGATTCTGGGTCAAATCGCTCAAATCCAGAGACTTACCTCCTGGAAAAGATTCTGTCTGAAGACCTCCACCTACACAGAGAGCAGTACCCGGATGTTGGTTAAGGGTCTGGGTTGTCAAAAGCTTCCACCCACAACAGGGTGCCCTCGAACTGTGGCTCAGGCCTTTCTCACCACAAACTAGCTTTCCCTGGAAGCTCCTGCTCACTGCAGTCAGAAGGCAGGAATCTGGGAATCCCCGAGAAGTGAAGGCACTAGCGAGATTGGGGGAGTTCTCTGGCACTGCTTGGTCCCCTGAACCACCCAGCTTGGCCTCCACCCAAGAGGGTTCTATGACCCCTTCCTGGCCTCCGATTCCCCATTACCTGTTTGCGGGCTTCCCCGCTCAGGCGCACCCCACACGGCTTGGCCATGCTGCTTCAGTCGCTAGATCTCTGGTCTCCCGGCTAGTCGCCCGGGCTTTCGCTTTCACTCCCCAGGTCCAGGCCCGCCCCCCTCAACCCCGCCCCCTTTCTTCTTTCCGCCCCCCTCCTCCCGCTGGCAGGCCGCAAGCAGTAGGTAGCCCCTCAGCCATTCCCAGCCAGTTGCCACTAGGAGAGGCGGTGCTGGCTGGGTCACAGTCCAGGGGCTGCCCGAGGGAGGGGCTAGGGTAAGTGGGACCGCGGAGACTGGAGCGGGGGCTGTCCCTCGGAGAGGGGCGGGGCTTATAGCTAGGGCCAACTGGAAGTCCAGGGTTGGGGTAAGAGAGGTGGGAGTATGGCAAAGGGGGTATTCAGTGGCGGGGCTCCCCCAAGAAGGCTCGACCGCAAGTAGCGGACGGAGAGAGATCAGAGCGAGTGGGAGGGGCAGCCAGAGGGAGCGCCTGGGGTGGAGAAGGACTAGCAGCTCTTAGAAGAGAGCGGGCAGGGGTTGGGTGAGGGTCTTCCCTCTGCCTTCAGGACAGACCGGAGATGGGGCGGGACTCGCTCGAGAGGGGTTAGGGCCGGCCAGAGTCGGTTCCCCTGCAGGGTGGGACTTCCTCGGTGAGGCCCGGAGCGTACCGGACTGGTCCAGCTAGAAAAAGAAAGGTTTTGAGCTGAATAGGATAACCCCGCGCCTGCGGCTATCCGGAAGGGGTGGAACCAGATTGGGGGAAGGCGGGGAAGAGCGCTTGACTGAGGGAAGATGCTGGCGCGCTCTGAGGGAGGAGCCAGGAGCCATTTGCCTTCTCATTGGTTGGGACCTGGCCCTCCCTCTTGGCCGCGCCCCCTGGTTTCCTGACACCGCTCCAACCTTAACCTTAAGCCCCGCCCGTTCCTCCGAAATTGGGTCGCAGTCCCACCCTCTCTCCTAGTACTTCCTGTTCTCGGCTAACCCTGGCGCTGGGCCGGGGGCTGGAGAGTGACCGTGGTCTGAGTGACCTGGGGCGGCTGCGTGGGCCGGGGTGGGCCTCAAAGCCGGGCACCAGACGGGAGGGGCGGCGCTCGGGCCGCGCGCTGCCCGCGCCGGGTCCTGGCGGGCGGCGAGGCTGGGGCTGACTCCTGCCTCAGGATGCCGGGGGAGGAAGAGGAGCGGGCCTTCCTGGTGGCCCGCGAGGAGCTGGCGAGCGCCCTGAGGAGGGATTCCGGGCAGGCGTTTTCCCTGGAGCAGCTCCGGCCGCTACTAGCCAGCTCTCTGCCGCTAGCCGCCCGCTACCTGCAGCTGGACGCCGCACGCCTTGTCCGCTGCAACGCTCATGGGGAGGTGAGGCCCGGCCCCGCTTGGAAGGGGGACACCAGGGCCTGAGGCCCAGGCCACGCTCACACCTCTCTGCTCTCCTTGCTCCCAGCCCCGAAACTACCTCAACACCCTGTCCACGGCTCTGAACATCCTGGAGAAATACGGCCGCAACCTTCTCAGCCCTCAGCGGCCTCGGTACTGGCGTGGTGTCAAGTTTAATAACCCTGTCTTTCGCAGCACGGTGGATGCTGTGCAGGTGAATCCCCTGGCCTTATGGGAGAGGGGGCTGGGGTTTGGCTAGAAAAGGCCTGAGGTTGTGCTGAATGGGAAGGGGTCCAGCCCTACTAGGCAGGAAACCTCCTGGGTGGTGACTCGTTTGAATGTGTGGCAGGGGGGCCGAGATGTGCTGCGATTATATGGCTACACAGAGGAGCAACCAGATGGGTTGAGCTTCCCCGAAGGGCAGGAGGAGCCAGATGAGCACCAGGTTGCTACAGTCACACTGGAAGTACTGCTGCTTCGGACAGAGCTCAGCCTGCTATTGCAGGTGAGATGCTCCTCTAGTCTTGATGGACTTATGCACCAGGGCTGGGGAGCCCAGCCTAACTCAAGTAAGTTTGAGGACCCCCGTGCTGCTGAACTATGGGCATAGTTCAGCATTCTGGGAGCTCCGGGTACTGATTTTCCTTCTGTGAATGTTAAGGGACCAGGGCTTAGAGGGAGGGCTTTGTTCTAGGGGTCTAGCTGGAAACCGTTTTTATCTGTATTATTGCAGAATACTCATCCAAGACAGCAGGCACTGGAGCAGCTGTTGGAAGACAAGGTTGAAGATGATGTAAGGAAGGCAGGAAAGGGGCTGGTGTACAAAGGAAACAGGAATTGTGAGACTCTGTGTCCCTAAACCCTTATTCATTCCCTGCCCTTTCTTTTTCAGATGCTGCAGCTTTCAGAATTTGACCCCCTATTGAGAGAGATTGCTCCTGGCCCCCTCACCACACCCTCTGTCCCAGGTATTATTGGTCCTAAATTGGGGACCAGGTAGGAAGCTATATTGATGGAAATTTGGGATGCTCCTCTGTCTTCTTGGTTATCTTCCTTTGTGTTTGTTTGTTTTGAGACGGAGTTTTGCTCTTGTTGCCCAGGCTGGAGTGCAATGGTGCGATCTCCGCTCACCGCAACCTCCACCTCCCGGGTTCAAGCGATTCTCCTGCCTCAGCCTCCCGAGTAGCTGGGATTACAGGCATGCGCCACCGCGCTCGGCTAATTTTGTATTTTTGGTAGAGATGGGGTTTCTCCATGTTGGTCAGGCTGGTCTGGAACTCCTGACCTCAAGTGATCCACCCACCTCAGCCTCCCAAAGTGCTAAGATTACCTGCATGAGCCACCACGCCCGGCCTCTTTGTTTTTTAAAAGAGATTAAAATTGTTTCCTTGGGTCCAGATGTTTAAAAAGTAGTCTTGTGATTTGCCCCCATCCACAGCAGATTCAGATGTAGCCTGGTCTTTTTTGGAAAGATGTTCCATCTCTCCTGCCCTCCAGGCTCCACTCCTGGTCCCTGCTTCCTCTGTGGTTCTGCCCCAGGCACACTGCACTGCCCATCCTGTAAACAGGCCCTGTGTCCAGCCTGTGACCACCTGTTCCATGGACACCCATCCCGTGCTCATCACCTCCGCCAGACCCTGCCTGGGGTCCTGCAGGGTACCCACCTGAGCCCCAGGTGAGAGGGCTTCTCTTCTGGGTGGGAGTGAAATTTAGAGAACTTAAGATCACTTGATTATGGACTACCTGCCAGTTTCTGTGCTAAAGACTGTTTAATAGAGGACAAGTAGCCAGTCAGAACCCTGAAAGAGATAATAGACATACACATCAAGCAGGTAGCAATTGCAGTAACCCAGGTTGTTATGGTAATAGGTGGTTTGCAACCTAGTCTGAAGGGTCAGCTGAATCAGGTGGCAATATTTTAAACACCTAGTGTAGGTCAGGCCATGTGTTAGCAGTATCTACTAGGAAGAAGTGAGCTTTAAGCTGTCATTTAAATGTTGCATAAGCTATGGGTATAGGAGTATTCGAGACAGACAATGTGTGCAAAGGCCAGTGACATGAGTTGTTACCCAGGAAATGGAGAATGCTTAGAGGTGAGGGATCCAGGCACCAGGTGCCACTTCAGCAGGCCATGTCTGCTTTTCCATTACAGTTTACCTGCCTCAGCCCAACCACGGCCCCAGTCGACCTCCCTGCTGGCCCTGGGAGACAGCTCTCTTTCTTCCCCTAATCCTGCAAGTGCTCATTTGCCCTGGCACTGTGCTGCCTGTGCCATGCTAAATGAGCCTTGGGCAGTGCTCTGTGTGGCCTGTGATCGGCCCCGAGGCTGTAAGGGGTTGGGGTTGGGAACTGAGGGTCCCCAAGGAACTGGAGGCCTAGAACCTGATCTTGCACGGGGTCGGTGGGCCTGCCAGAGCTGTACCTTTGAGAATGAGGCAGCTGCTGTGCTATGTTCCATATGTGAGCGACCTCGGCTGGCCCAGCCTCCCAGCTTGGTGGTGGATTCCCGAGATGCTGGCATTTGCCTGCAACCCCTTCAGGTAACTGGCCTTCCCAGCTCTTTATCGTGTGTTACCTCAGGCATTCTCTTCCCTATCCCATGTTTTCCTTCAGTTCCTCCCAACTCCCTGTATTTCTGTTGTGAACTTCAGCCAGCCAGTCAAAGGGATAATTCTCTCTGCCTTCCCAGCAGGGGGATGCTTTGCTGGCCTCTGCCCAGAGTCAAGTCTGGTACTGTATTCACTGTACCTTCTGCAACTCGAGCCCTGGCTGGGTGTGTGTTATGTGCAACCGGACTAGTAGCCCCATTCCAGCACAACATGCCCCCCGGCCCTATGCCAGCTCTTTGGAAAAGGGACCCCCCAAGCCTGGGCCCCCACGACGCCTTAGTGCCCCCCTGCCCAGTTCCTGTGGAGATCCTGAGAAGCAGCGCCAAGACAAGATGCGGGAAGAAGGCCTCCAGCTAGTGAGCATGATCCGGGTAAGGACTGGGCCTGCGATGAGGTAGGGCTGAGCTGGTCTGGGAAAGGAGATGCTGCAGGTGGTTAATAGTTTCTATGAATCTTGTTATTGTTAGCAGCAGCTGCCTGTTACTGAGGCAGTTACCATTGCTGTACACTGATGACATGATCCATATGTCTGAGCTGAGCCACTGTCACCATCTTAGTTCAGGCTGAGGGTGGGTGAAGGGTGCCCCTCCTGATGGGCGGGACTGTGCCTTAGGAAGGGGAAGCCGCAGGTGCCTGTCCAGAGGAGATCTTCTCGGCTCTGCAGTACTCGGGCACTGAGGTGCCTCTGCAGTGGTTGCGCTCAGAACTGCCCTACGTCCTGGAGATGGTGGCTGAGCTGGCTGGACAGCAGGACCCTGGGCTGGGTGCCTTTTCCTGTCAGGAGGCCCGGAGAGCCTGGCTGGATCGTCATGGCAACCTTGATGAAGCTGTGGAGGAGTGTGTGAGGACCAGGCGAAGGAAGGTATCAGCTGTGCTGGATATGGGATAGGGTCGAGAGTCTGCATCTCTCACACTCTCCCTTGCTTGCTTTCCCACTTCATTCCCCCTTGCCACTCCCATCTTGCAGGTGCAGGAGCTCCAGTCTCTAGGCTTTGGGCCTGAGGAGGGGTCTCTCCAGGCATTGTTCCAGCACGGAGGTGATGTGTCACGGGCCCTGACTGAGCTACAGCGCCAACGCCTAGAGCCCTTCCGCCAGCGCCTCTGGGACAGTGGCCCTGAGCCCACCCCTTCCTGGGATGGGCCAGACAAGCAGGTGCTGGGAGGAGGCAAGAAGCCCAAGGGTCCACCTAGAGGAGCAAGAGGGAGCTGAGGGGAAGGGTCCCTGGAGTCTGACAGCACTTCCCCCCTCCACCTGAATCATATTGCAGAGCCTGGTCAGGCGGCTTTTGGCAGTCTACGCACTCCCCAGCTGGGGCCGGGCAGAGCTGGCACTGTCACTGCTGCAGGAGACACCCAGGAACTATGAGTTGGGGGATGTGGTAGAAGCTGTGAGGCACAGCCAGGACCGGGCCTTCCTGCGCCGCTTGCTTGCCCAGGAGTGTGCCGTGTGTGGCTGGGCCCTGCCCCACAACCGGGTAAGTCCCTCCCCACGATACCTGGTCCAAGAATTACTCTATTCTTTTGGACCCCCATCCTACCCCAGTCTCCATCTCTGATCCTGTCTTCTGCTCTTCAGTTGCCCATATACCCCTGAAGGCTCCTGGGAGGGGGAAGTCAGGAACAGGCTTATCTCCTCCCTTTTAAAACAATGTTCTATTATGGAAATTTTCAAACATGCAATAGTAGAAAAATTGTACTACACTGTATAACAAATTCCCATACCCCCCTGCAACCCCTCCACTTCCAGTGTATTTGTCATCAAGCTTCAGCAATTGTCAACAAACATGATCAGTCTTTATTTCACATATATACACAGATGGCTATTATGATATCAAATATCAGGCATAATATAGTTTATAAATGTTTCCGTATATATCTCTAAAATGTAAAACTTTATTTATTTATTTACTTATTTATTTTTTTTAGATGGAATTTCACCCTTGCCCCCAGGCTGGAGTGCAATGGCGTGATCTCGGCTCACTGTAACCTCTGCCTCCTCCAAGCAATTCTCCTGCCTCAGCCTCCTGAGTAGCTGGGATTACAGGCACCCGCCACCACACTCGGCTAATTTTTGTATTTTTAGTAGAGACAGGGTTTCGCCATATTGGCCAGGCTGGTCTCGAGCTCTTGACCTCTACAATTATTTTAAATACAGAGTAAAACCAAAATAAAACACATACAGAGCCAGTCTAACTACTCTGACCTAGAGTACGTGGAGTCTCAGGAACTAAGAAGGGCTTATTCCTATAAACTGGATATTTGCTGATATTAAAGAATTACCAGGCTGGGCGCGGTGGCTCACGCCTCTAATGCCAGCACTTTGGGAGGCCAAGGCAGGCCGATCATGAGGTCAGGAGATCGAGACCATCCTGGCTGACGCAGTGAAACCCTGTCTGTACTAAAAATGTAAAAAATTAGCCAGGTGTGGTGGCAGGCGCCTGTAGTCCCAGCTACTCAGGAGGCTGAGGCAGGAGAATGGCGTGAACTCAGGAGGCGGAGCTTGCAGTGAGCCGAGATCGCGCCACTGCACTCCAGCCTGGGCAACAGCGCAAGACTCCGTCTTAAAAAAAAAAAAAAAGAATTACTGTTCATTTTTGTGTGTGTGTGTGACAGTGCTACTGTGGCTATGTTTTCAAAAAGAATTTTGCTGGGCATGATGCCTCATGCCTGTAATCCTAGAGCTTTGGGAGGCTGAGGTGGGAGAATACCTTGAAGCCAGGAGTTAGAGACCAGCATGGGCAACATAACAAGACTCCCATCTCTAAAAAAATAAATAAAGGTCCGGGCATGGTGGCTCACGCCTGTCATCCCTGCACTTTGGGAGGCCAACGTGGGTGGATCACGAGGTCAAGAGATTGAGACCATCCTGGTCGACATGGTGAAACCCCGTCTCTACTAAAAATACAAAAATTAGCCAGGCGTGGTGGCGTGCACCTGTAATCCCAGCTACTCGAGAGGCTAAGGCAGGAGAATCGCTTGAACCTGGGAGGTGGAGGTTGCAGTGAGCCAAGATCGTGCCACCGCACTCCAGCCTGGGCGACAGAATGAGATTCCGTCTCAAAAAAAAAACTTAAATTAAAAAAAATAATAAAATACATAAAGTTGGCCAGGCGCAGTGGCTCATACCTGTAATCCTAGCACTTTGGGAGGCTGAGGTGGGTGGATCACCTGAGGTCAGGAGTTCGAGACCAGCCTGACCAACATGGTGAAACCCTGTCTCTACAAAAAATACAAAAATTAGCCGGGTGTGGTAGTGGGTGCCTGTAATCCCAGCTACTTGGGAGGCTGAGGCAGGAAAATCTCTTGAACCTGGGAGACAGAGGTTGCAGTGAGCCAGGATTGCGCCACAGCACTCCAGTCTGAGCGACAGAGTGAGACTCTGTCTCAAAATAAATTAAATAAATAAATAAATGTAGAATCTACAGGAAGTTTCAAAAATAGTGCATAGAGTCCTGTGTACTTTTCACTAACCTTCACTCAGCGATGACATTTTTTTGAGACGGAGTCTCGCTCTGTCGCCCTGGCTGGAGCGCAGTCGCGCAATCATGGCTCACTGCAACCTCTGCCTCCCGGTTCAAGCGATTCTCCTGTCCCAGCCTCCCAAGTAGCTGTGATTACAGGCATCTGCAATCATGCCCGGCTAATTTTTTTTTTTTTGAGACAGAGTTTTGCTCTTGTTGCCCAGCCTGGAGTGCAATGGTGCGATCTCGGCTCACTGCAGCCTCCGCCTCCCGAGTTCAAGTGATTCTCCTGCCTCAGCCTCCCGAGTAGCTGGGATTACAGGCATGCGCCACCACACTTGGCTAATTTTGTATTTTTAGTAGAGACGGGTCAGGCTGGTCTGGAACTCCAGATCTCAGGTGATCCGCCTGCCTCAGCCTCCCAAAGTGCTGGGATTACAGGCATAAGCCATGGTGCCTGGCCTAATTTTTGTATTTTTAGTAGAGACAAGGTTTCACAATGTTGGCCAGGCTGGTCTCGAACTCCTAGCCTCAAGTGATGCGCCCGCCTTGGCTTCCCAAAGTACTGGGATTACAGGTGTGAGCCAGCGTGCCCGGCCCCCAGTGGTGACTTCTTATATAGTTATAGTACAATATCAAGACCAAGAAATAAGACATTGCTCCAATGTTAGCTATACTACAGGTCTTGTTCATTTTTCTCATGGATATGCCGCTGTGTGTATGTGTGGTTCTATGCAGTTCTGTCCCACGTATGGATGCATATAACCACCACCATAATCAAGATACAGATTGTTTCATCACCACAAAGGAACTCTCTCATGTACCTCTTTAGTTATACCCTTCTGCCCCCACTTCTAGTCACCTGGCAACCATGAAGCTGTTCTCCACCTCTATAGTTTTGTCATTTCAAGCATGTTATTTGTATATTTAATGGAATATGAATGTTTTTATAGGCACTTTTGCCTTTACCTTAGGTGTCACCATTGTCTATTTTCCTCCACCCGACTGTCTTCAGATGTTTACGTTGCCTGCCTGGCCCCTGCTGGCACTTGAGGTTGTTAACCCTGCCCAGTTGTTAATTAGACCCTGATTTCTTAGTGGACACCTGGCCACTGCCTCTTCCCTAGCCTGGCAGCTGTGGCTTCTGACCCCCTCCCCTCCAACCCCTCACCCTCCAGATGCAGGCCCTGACTTCCTGTGAGTGCACCATCTGTCCTGACTGCTTCCGCCAGCACTTCACCATCGCCTTGAAGGAGAAGCACATCACAGACATGGTGTGCCCTGCCTGTGGCCGCCCCGACCTCACCGATGACACACAGTTGCTCAGCTACTTCTCTACCCTTGACATCCAGGTACTGCAGCCCCTCTAGGACTCAGGTACCCTGAGCTTTGAACAGGGACCCTCCCACCCACCACCTCTGCATCCTGTCCCCAGCTTCGCGAGAGCCTAGAGCCAGATGCCTATGCGTTGTTCCATAAGAAGCTGACCGAGGGTGTGCTGATGCGGGACCCCAAGTTCTTGTGGTGTGCCCAGGTAAGTGGCCTGCCCAGGGCAGCTACTGTGGAGGGGCAGGGGATGGTTCCAGGTCAGGCCTTTGATAACTTTATGCTCTTGCACTTCCAGTGCTCCTTTGGCTTCATATATGAGCGTGAGCAGCTGGAGGCAACTTGTCCCCAGTGTCACCAGACCTTCTGTGTGCGCTGCAAGCGCCAGGTGAGGCACATTCATCCTTTCAGAAATACTTGCTGAGCTACTGCCAGGTACTGTGTTAGACTCAGGGGAGTTTGTGTACTGGAGAGCAAAACAGACATGAGCTCTGAGGTCAAAAGAGCTTACAGACTACTCAGAAAGACTAGGCACAAGGAGAAAGGGAAGCAGAGGGAGGGAGGAAATCGGGAGGGAAAGGAAAGGGGAGGAGGAAGGAAGGAAGGAAAGAAAGTAAGCCAGAGGAACTAATTATACATAGGCATAAATTCTATGAAGAAAACAAACAGGAACCTGAGATCAGGGTAACAGAGTGGACCTACTTAGGGTAGAGAGGTCAGACAAGTCTTCTCTAAAATGGTTTAAGCTCAGGCCTAAACATTAAAAAGAAGCCAGCCATGCAAAGAGCATTTGGGAGAGAAAGAACAACACATGGAAAGGCCAGAATCAGAAAAAAGTGTTGTATGGCTGGAGCCTGGAAAGCAAGGCGGGAATGGCAGGTGGTCAGAGAGAAGCCAGCTGCCAGGTCTGTAGAGCCCTGGAGGCCACGTGAAGCAGGCGTCCGTCTGCCTTCATTCTGAGATAAAGCAAGGGTGATACTATCTCATTTATCTTTCGTTTATTTATTTATTTATTTATTTTTAGAGACAACTCACTGTCACCCAGGCTGGGGTCCACTGGTGCAGTCACAGCTCACTGCAGCCTCCAACTCCTGGTCTCAAGTGATCCCTCGCCTCAGCCTTCCAAAGTACTGGGATTACAGGCATGAGCCACTATGCCCAGCCACATTTATCTTTTAAGAAGTGTAATATTTGGCTAGGCATGGTGGCTTCCGCCTGTAATCCCAGCACTTTGGGAGGCCATGGTGGGTGGATCACTTGAGGTTGGGAGTTCAAGACCAGCCTCCCAATATGGTGAAACCCCGTCTCTACTAAAAATACAAAAATTAGCCGGGTGTGGTGGCATGTGCCTGTAATCCCAACTACTCTGGAGGCTGAGGCAGGAGAATCGCTTGAACCCAGGAGGTGGAGGCTGCAGTGAGCCAAGATCACGCCATTGCACTCCAGCCTGGGTGACAGAGCGAGACTCCATCTCAAAAAAAAAAAAAGAAGTGTAATATTTGATACGAAAAAAATTTCATCTGCATCATGTCTGAAATAAAGTGAACACCTGAGACTACCACAGAACCAAAACACCACCAATCCTGTGGAAGCTACCTGACTTACAGTTTTGAAGGACTTTTGACAGCCATGGGGAGAATTGACCCTAGGGGAGCAGGAATGGGAAACAGAGAGACTAGTAACCGAGGCAAGCAATTGAGGCAAGGTCTGATGGTGGCCTGGAGTAAAGTGGTAGCAGTAGGGATGAAGGAAAAGGGGATATGGTTGAGATGGTCTGTGGGGTGGAAACAAGGCAAAAGTAGTGTGAGGTGGTAGGAGAAAATGAAAGGACCAAGGATGGCCTCTCATTTTGAGATCTGAGCAAATGGTAGGTGGCAGTGACATAAACCAAGCTGGGGAACCACTGGATGTGAGTGGAGGGGCCAGCAAGAAAGGCCAGGGGATGGGATAGAGCTCCCATGTGAAGCCTACTTTCCCTCTGGCAGTGGGAGGAGCAGCACCGAGGTCGGAGCTGTGAGGACTTCCAGAACTGGAAACGCATGAACGACCCAGAATACCAGGCCCAGGGCCTAGCAATGTATCTTCAGGAAAACGGCATTGGTAAGGCCTCCCTACTCGGCCTGTTTGCTCAGAAGCCTGTCATTGCCAGCAGCTCTCTTCCTGAGGGCCTTGAGTTGCAGCGGCAGCTCCAGCCCTGACCTCTTGTCCTTTGCAGACTGCCCCAAATGCAAGTTCTCGTACGCCCTGGCCCGAGGAGGCTGCATGCACTTTCACTGTACCCAGTGCCGCCACCAGTTCTGCAGCGGCTGCTACAATGCCTTTTACGCCAAGAATGTAAGCCCAGAGAGTTGGGGAAGGGGTGGAAGGGTGGGGGGTGCCATTGGCTTTGAGAGTCAGAGGCTATTGAGGAGTGGCCCCGGGGAAGAGAAGAGGTCAACGGGATGTAAAGCACAACTCTCTGTCCCCTTACCCTTTGCTTGCTCCTCCAATGTCTCCATCTCCCCTCACCCTTACACCCCTCACGCAGGGGTTCCTGAGAGGCCAGGACCCCAACAGTCTCCAACTTCCTCTCTCCCATCTGGGTTTCTGCCAGAAATGTCCAGAGCCTAACTGCAGGGTGAAAAAGTCCCTGCACGGCCACCACCCTCGAGACTGCCTCTTCTACCTGCGGGACTGGACTGCTCTCCGGCTTCAGAAGCTGCTACAGGTCAGAGGTGGCCAGGAGAGAAGAAGACAGGGCCCAGGGTGGGCAAGAATGGAAAAGGCTCCGTGCTAGGAATTGCAACAGGGACTTGGCATCAAGGGGAATGTAACACCCATCTGTCTCTCCTCCTCAGGACAATAACGTCATGTTTAATACAGAGCCTCCAGCTGGGGCCCGGGCAGTCCCTGGAGGTGAGTGTTAGGACAAGCCTTTGAGAAGAGGAGATGGTGTGCTGGGCTCCCACCGTGTGATGGGTAAAGGGGAGGCTTGGGTCTGGGGTCACTTGTTGCATGCCCTTTGGCAAGTTAATTGAGACCCAAGGCCTTGTTTCTTCCGCTGTAAAATGGAGGTAGTATCCACCTTGCAGCTAAGCCATTTTACATAAGACATCTTTAAAGAACCTGGTACCCAAGAAGGCATTAATACTAATTTTCTTCTCCCATTCCCAAATGATCATAATTAATTAATTAGTTCAATGAGTGTTTAATGAGAAGTGCTAGTTGCAGGGCACTGTTTTAGGTTCCATGAGGGCAACAGAAAGGTGTTACATATGGTTCTAACCTCTGTCACTTCTTACAGTGTAGACAGAGGTAAGTCTACAGTCCATACCACCCTGAATGTGACTGATCTTTTCTGATCTTGGAGGCTAAGCAGGTTCGGGCCTGGTTAGTACTTGGATGAGAGATTGGCTGGGAATTCCAGGTGCTATAGGTTTTAAATTTATTTTTTAAAAAATAGAGGTGGCCGGCCGGGCACATTGGCTCATGCCTGTAATCCCAGCACTTTGGGAAGCCAAGGCGGGTGAATCACGAAGTCAGATCGAGACCATCCTGGCTAACACGGTGAAACCCCATCTCTACTAAAAATACAAAAAATTAGCCGGGCGTGGTGGCGGGCGCCTGTAGTCCCAGCTACTCGGGAGGCTGAGGCAGGAGAATGGCATGAACCCGGGAGGCGGAGCTTGCAGTGAGCAGAGATGGCGCCACCGCACTCCAGCCTGGGCAACAGAGCGAGACTTCGTCTCAAAAAAAAAAAAAAAAAAAAAAAAAAATGTGGCTGGGCACGGTGGCTCATGCCTGTAATCTCAGCACTTTGGGAGGCCGAGGCAGGTGGATCACCTGACGTCAGGAGTTCGTGACCAACCTGGCCAACAAGGTGAAACCCTGTCTCTACTAAAAATACAAAAAAATTAGCAAGGTGTGGTGGCAGGCACCTGTAATCCCACCTACTCGGGTGGCTGAGGCAGGAGAATCACTTGAACCCGGGAGGTGGAGATTGCAGTGAGCCAAGATTGCGCCATTGCACTCCAGTCCAGCCTGGGCAACAAGAGTGAAACTCCATCTCAAAAAAAAAAAAAAAAAAAACCAGAGGTAGCCAATAGCCAGGAGTGGTGGTGGCTCACACCCATAATCCCAGCACTTTGGGAGGCTAAGGCAAGAGGATTACTTGAGCCCAGGAGTTTGAGACCAGCCCAAACAACATAGTGAGACCCTGTCTCTATTTAAAAAATAAAAATAAAAAAAAGAGGTAAGATCTTCCGATAATAAGTTAACTAGTCAAGAGATAAATAACAACCAAAAAAAAAAAAAAAAAAAAAACACTATCTCAAGAGGGTATGTGTTTATGAGCCAAAAGCCAGCTTGGATAAAAGTAGGGACAAGGTCCCTGCCTCTGTATCAGATGGTCTGCCGTTGACGGCACCTCTGAGTACCCACCAGCACCACTGGGAAAGCAGGAGTTGCTGTGCTCGGTCCCTTCCTTGGAGGCTGCCTTCCCTGCCTTGTGGATATCCCAGTTCTGGAGCTTTGTGGTCATTGGCCTCCCAACAGAGGCTCCCTTCTTCCCTCACCTTTAGGCGGCTGCCGAGTGATAGAGCAGAAGGAGGTTCCCAATGGGCTCAGGGACGAAGCTTGTGGCAAGGAAACTCCAGCTGGCTATGCCGGCCTGTGCCAGTGAGTGCCAGCAGGACATGGGCATGGTGTTGGGCAGTGGGTAGAAGTGGTGAGGGCATGCCCAGGCAGTAAAATGGGTCCTTGGGAGCAGTAGGTCTTGCAGTGGGTGGGAGGGAGGAGGCTTTCTGGGCAAGGGCATGGGTAGATAGTAGCAGGCAGTGTGGGCACAGGTGGGTTGTTAATCTTGTTCGTCCAGGTGTCTCAGAGTCCAGCTATGTTAGACACACTCAGTTAATATTAGCCAACACAACAAATATTCTGCTCCCTTTTCTCCCCAGGGCACACTACAAAGAGTATCTTGTGAGCCTCATCAATGCCCACTCGCTGGACCCAGCCACCTTGTATGAGGTGGAAGAGCTGGAGACGGCCACTGAGCGCTACCTGCACGTACGCCCCCAGCCTTTGGCTGGAGAGGATCCCCCTGCTTACCAGGCCCGCTTGTTACAGGTATAGCCTCCACCCAGCCTCATCTCTTAACCCACCCTACAGAAGTCACCTGGTGCTGACTGTGTCTGAGCTCCAGGCTTCCAATATCATTACCTTCTCTCTCCTTCTGCAGAAGCTGACAGAAGAGGTACCCTTGGGACAGAGTATCCCCCGCAGGCGGAAGTAGCTGAGGGCAAGGGTCCCGATGAGGGTCCCATGGCCTGCTCCCTCAGGAACAGCTCCAGCACCAATAAAGAGGCATCTTACCACCCAGGCTTCTTGGTGGTCCTTCTTCCTGGTGCCACCATCTAGGGGCACCAGGGAAAGAGCGGGGTGAACAGAGCTTTGCTGAAAAGGGCCCCCTGCAACCTAGTGCCTGACCCTCCCTGGACTCAGGACCAGGAAGGAGTTGACACCCTGGATGGTCAAGGGAGGCCCTCCCCATCCAGCAGCCTGGCCTGGGCTTCCTCCCTCCCTGCCTCCTTTTTTCCTTTCATAGAATTTGACTGGTATTTGAAGTCACCCAATATGTATCAGGTGGGCACTGTGGGGGAATGCAGATGCACAGGTGTACACAGCAGTCCAGAGGTCCCAGGCCTGACTCCAGGAAACTGGCCTCCCTGGGGAAGCCACGGTGTCACCCAGAGGTCAGATAGAAGCAAGAGTATCTGAGGGAGGCAGGGGAATGAGCCAGGCTGGAGCTGAGCCAGCAGGGCAGGGCCCCCCTGCTGCGACAGTGGCATCCTGATAGTGAGATGCTCAGATGCTGCTGCCCTCTAGTGGCCGCCAGTTCCCTGCAACTCAGACCACGTGATTTCTGGGAAAAGGCCCTCCCTGGAGGAGAACTGAAACTTAGGGTGGGGACTGTAGAAAGGGGCGGAGAGATCAGCCGCCCAGCCAGGAGTTAAGCTGAGGTCGTCTGAGCCCTGCGACAGCCTGGACAGCAACTCAGGTAAGATCAGCCAAGGATGGGAGTCAGCCTGGGATCTAGGGCTAGAAAGTCCAGCCAGATTGAGGGCAGGGGGTCCTAGGGGTCGCTCTGTTAGACTGAGGGATAGACAGAAGATCTCTTAAGTCAGGAAGTGGGAGATTCAGCCTGAGAGTGAGACTGACAAGGGCCAGCTCCCCAGACCCTTGTAGGCAAAGGTCAGGAGGACCTACTGCTGGATTGTTCAAGGAAGAAGGCTCCTGGCCCCAGCCTCAGTGGACCATTTGTTTCCTTGCCATCTGGCCCTGCCCACTTCTGCTGCAGCTCCAACCCCACCCCTACTTCCTGCCCCACCTACTCCTGGGGCCGGCAGGGGGTGGGGGTCAGGCTAGGTTGTGTAGGCTGTGGGGCGGTGGGTGAAGAGCCTGATGGATCTCAGCAGAACCTACCTCTGCTGATGCTCGGGAATCTAGACAGGGCCTGTCACCAGGAACGATCACCAAAGGAATTCTTTTGTAAACAATACATCTCTGAAAAGTCCTAAAATTAAGACCAGTGCCCAAGGTTTCCTTCCAGGTATCACAGCTTAGAGTGCTAAAAACAATGTTTTGGGGGGTTTTGTTGTTGTTGTTGTTGTTTGTCACTGCTAGTGATGGCAGAAAGGAAACAATTCTGTCCCATAGAGTGTTGAAATGTGTTTGGAGCTAAAAGAAGATGGATGGGATCTCTGGGACCTGTTGCCAGAATCTAGTCTCAATGGCCAGGGTCTCAGGAGATGTTCCCTCCCAAAGTGTCAGTTCTGATGCATCCTGCTCCTATTATCCCCCAGGATGGCATCAGGCAGGGCACGCTGCACCCGAAAACTCCGGAACTGGGTGGTGGAGCAAGTGGAGAGTGGGCAGTTTCCCGGAGTGTGCTGGGATGATACAGCTAAGACCATGTTCCGGATTCCCTGGAAACATGCAGGCAAGCAGGACTTCCGGGAGGACCAGGATGCTGCCTTCTTCAAGGTGAAAGGGCCTGGAAACCACTGTTCCTCTGTGTGTGGGATGGTGTATACACACTGGTACACTCATCCTCGAGCACTTGCGTCTGCCTGGGTTTCAGATAAGGGACAGATTGGAGAGGAAAACTAGCTGCATCATTTGCAGAGTCCAGTACAAAATGAAAATGTGGAGGCCTTGTTCAAAAATTTTAGGGATATTGGCCAGGCACGGTGGCTCACGCCTGTAATCCCAGCACTTCGGGAGGCCAAGGTGGGTGGATCACGAGGTCAAGAGATCAAGACCAGCCTGGCCAACATGGTGAAACCCTGTCTCTACTAAAAATACAAAACTTAGCTGGGCCTAGCGGTGCATGCCTGTAGTCCCAGCTACTCGGGAGACTGAGGCAGGAGAATCGCTTGAACCAGGGAGGTGGAGTTGTAGTGAGTCGAGATCGCACCACTGCACTCCAGCCTGGTGACAGAGTGAGACTCTGTCTCAAAAAAAAAAAAAAAAAATTTCCAAGGATTTCAAGATGGCAACGCAGAGCACAGACCCTGCATAATCCCTTCTGAGCTCAGAGCTGCACGCCTGTAAAGCCAGTCCTATTGGAGGGGCAGGTGGAGCCTGTAACACACTGCCTCTTCTTCCCTTGCTTTCTTTCCTAGGCCTGGGCAATATTTAAGGGAAAGTATAAGGAGGGGGACACAGGAGGTCCAGCTGTCTGGAAGACTCGCCTGCGCTGTGCACTCAACAAGAGTTCTGAATTTAAGGAGGTTCCTGAGAGGGGCCGCATGGATGTTGCTGAGCCCTACAAGGTGTATCAGTTGCTGCCACCAGGAATCGTCTCTGGTGAGTTTCCCCTTGTCCAACCACTGCTAGACTCAGCAGACTGGGGAGGAAGGATAGATGTGCAGGCTTCCCCCAGGCTTATAGCTCTGCCCTGTCCATGCCCTTGGGGGGCTGCAACCCAGGTTTCCCTTCCTAGACCTGCCCATCCTTCACTGCCTCAGACCTCTCCTTCACCCTCTGTCCTTGCTCAAGACCCTGACCTTTCTCTGTCCCTCAACAATTCCACAGGCCAGCCAGGGACTCAGAAAGTACCATCAAAGCGACAGCACAGTTCTGTGTCCTCTGAGAGGAAGGAGGAAGAGGATGCCATGCAGAACTGCACACTCAGTCCCTCTGTGCTCCAGGACTCCCTCAATAATGTAAGAGATGGAGAGGGAACTGGGTGGGCCTAAGGGCAGGACAGTAACCAGAGGGAGAGGTGGGCCAATGAAAGACACTGTGTCTTGGGAGGCCGAGGCTGGCAGATCACGTGAGGTCAGAAGTTCGAAACCAGCCTCGACCAACATGGTGAGAACCCGTCTCTACTAAAAATACAAAAATTAGCTGTGCGTTGTGGCATCTGCCTGTAATCCCAGCTACTCAGGAGGCCGAGGCAGGAGAATCGCTTGAACCGGGGGGCGGAGATAGCAGTGAGCCGAGATCGCGCCACTGCACTCCAGCCTGGGCAACAAGAGTGAAACTCTGTCTCAAAAAAAGAGAAAAAAAATAAAAAGACACTGTGTCCGCAGGAGGAGGAGGGGGCCAGTGGGGGAGCAGTCCATTCAGACATTGGGAGCAGCAGCAGCAGCAGCAGCCCTGAGCCACAGGAAGGTACCACCTGCCCTGCCTCTTGTGTCGTCCCCCATGCCACACCCTCTGGCCCAAGACTCCCCAGTCCCACTCTGAATGACCAGTGCCTTTGCTTCCCTTCCAGTTACAGACACAACTGAGGCCCCCTTTCAAGGGGATCAGAGGTCCCTGGAGTTTCTGCTTCCTCCAGAGCCAGGTACGTGGCATTTCTGACTTTCTCCTGTGCCCTGTGCCCCTGAGGTCTTCCACCTTTGACTATGCATGCATTATCTAGTCAGTCAGGGCTTACAGCAAACTGTACCCACATTACCATAGCCCTAGGCAGTGGTTTCTAGGTGGCGAGAATTCCATATGCCTGGCCAGACTCCAAAAAGCTTGCTTCCCAAAAATACCACCCTATACACTCTCCTGGAAATCTACATTGAGACATTGATTTCATTGGGCCAAACAGAGGCCCAATCTCAAGGGACCTTCTAGTAAACTACAAGCCCCTGGGCATTGAGCCCTGAGGCCTCATGGTGAATCACATACTAGCTACTTGCCTCAGTGATAGGAAAACCTGAGAGGAAGCCCCCTGGCTGGTGTGGGGAGGGGAGGTGGAGTTGTTCCCCTGGGGAGGGGCTGCTGCCAGCCTGCATGCTCCTCCAGCACCAGGTAGGGCTGTTCTATCCCCAGACTACTCACTGCTGCTCACCTTCATCTACAACGGGCGCGTGGTGGGCGAGGCCCAGGTGCAAAGCCTGGATTGCCGCCTTGTGGCTGAGCCCTCAGGCTCTGAGAGCAGCATGGAGCAGGTGCTGTTCCCCAAGCCTGGCCCACTGGAGCCCACGCAGCGCCTGCTGAGCCAGCTTGAGAGGGGCATCCTAGTGGCCAGCAACCCCCGAGGCCTCTTCGTGCAGCGCCTTTGCCCCATCCCCATCTCCTGGAATGCACCCCAGGCTCCACCTGGGCCAGGCCCGCATCTGCTGCCCAGCAACGAGTGCGTGGAGCTCTTCAGAACCGCCTACTTCTGCAGAGGTGAGGCTGTTCTCTCTGGGCACATGAGCTTCCACCCCCTACCTCTTAGTACCCCCTGGGCCCAACTTGTTGGGTCCTGCTACCTCCCTATCTGCCAGCAGATCCTCCATGTAGCCTATGCATGGCACTCCTGCGCTTGTGTGTTGCATATCCTGTGTGGCCATATGCCCAGCCTGGCAGCTACCTGGCAGCTCTCCTCCAGCCAAGACAATGGAAGAGGTGGTTCAGGTAGAGCCCAGCACAAGAGTGTCATATCTTGGAGAACACCATCACACTGAAGCATGCAGTCACTATGTGAAGGTGCACAGAAGAATTGGCACAGAGATTTTGAGCCTCATGGCCTTCTCCTACGTACACACATTTGGGAGAGCTGGCACACATCACACACACTGGCCCTGGCTGCACCGTCTTTACCACACTCCAGGCATGCCTTAGGGTTGCGCTTCTCTCCCATCCAATTCCAGCTCCTACTCAATTCTAAACCTGACCTTAAGAGTGGGACCAGGTGTACAGGGGGTGCAGAGTGTGGGTGTTCCCAGGGCCATGGGTGCCCTAGCACTGGGAGGATGTGAGCAAGTAGCAAAGGTCTGGGCACATCTGAGTTAGCAGCCAGGGCTGCTACCTGGGAGGACTCTAAACTCTCCCAGCAGAGAGCTTGTCGGGCTGTGCTGTGATCTGCTACTTCTAAGCACTTATATGAGGCAGGGGCACCCTTTCCTATTTGCACATGGGTGAGTAGCACTTAGTTCCAAGTACTTCTGACCTTGCAGCTCCTGCTCTGGCAAGACCCCCTCCTACCTCTCTCCATCATGGGTTCCTCACTATTGCCTCCCTGCCTGTGGCCCTCTCTCTTCTTTTTGTTCTTCGAACCCTTGACCCTTTCTCTTTCAGACTTGGTCAGGTACTTTCAGGGCCTGGGCCCCCCACCGAAGTTCCAGGTAACACTGAATTTCTGGGAAGAGAGCCATGGCTCCAGCCATACTCCACAGAATCTTATCACAGTGAAGGTGAGCTCGGAGCAGGGGTAGAGTACCCATCTAATGAGAGCAGAGACAGTGGTGCTCCAGGAGGCAAAGGGGGTCTCCCAGTGGGGAAGGAGCTCCTGGGGGTGGTGTCTGTCCCTGATGCACGCACTGAGATGCTCTTCTCCATCTCTTCCAATACAGATGGAGCAGGCCTTTGCCCGATACTTGCTGGAGCAGACTCCAGAGCAGCAGGCAGCCATTCTGTCCCTGGTGTAGAGCCTGGGGGACCCATCTTCCACCTCACCTCTTTGTTCTTCCTGTCTCCTTTGAAGTAGACTCATTCTTCACACGATTGACCTGTCCTCTTTGTGATAATTCTCAGTAGTTGTCCGTGATAATCGTGTCCTGAAAATCCTCGCACACACTGGCTGGTGGAGAACTCAAGGCTAATTTTTTATCCTTTTTTTTTTTTAATTTTGAGATATACGCCCTCTTTCATCTGTAAGGGACTAGGAAATTCCAAATGGTGTGAACCCAGGGGGCCTTTCCCTCTTCCCTGACCTCCCAACTCTAAAGCCAAGCACTTTATATTTTCCTCTTAGATATTCACTAAGGACTTAAAATAAAATTTTATTGAAAGAGGAATCAGTATCTGATTTTCTGGGAGAAGAAGGTAGCAGTGGTCACAGATAGAGATGTAAACTTAAGAGTGGGGCACTGGGGTTCTCTTCCTGCTGACATCTCCAGCCTCTTTCCTCTCCTCTGCCCACAGGTTCTGGCTAAGATGCTGCCTGGGCCCTGTGGGTCCTGGGCCTGGCACTCTACAGAGGTACCCTCTGGGCAGATAAGATTAGGGTGTGGGTTGGGCACCAAGCCTTCAGCCAGGCACTATAGCCACCAACTTCACATGGTAAAGTCTGGGCTCCACAGTTCTTGCTAGAAGGCCCCAACATCGGGCCTGAGGTTAGTTAGATTGGAGGTCTAAATGAAGAGGAGACACTTGAGGGTGACCTGAAACTATGGTCTAGAGGCCCTGGGACCTGAGAACAGAGGAGTCAGAGAGAAGAGTTGCTGAAACTGTACCTGCTGTTACTGGCACCTCTTCCTCCAGCACAATTTCACTGTCACCCCAGCAGGGTACTCCCAAACTGGATTCCTTGCTCTATCTAAGCCCCATAAAAGACACTCTGGCCGGCTGGGCGCAGTGGCTCACACCTATAATCCCAGCACTTTGGGAGGCCAAGGTGGGTGGATCACTTGAGATCAGGAGTTCGAGACCAGCCTGGCCAACACGGTGAAACAGCGTCTCTTCTAAAAATACAAAAATTAGCCAGGCCTGGTGGCGGGCACCTGTAATCTCAGCTACTTGGGAGGCTGAGGCAGGAGAATCGCTTGAACCCGGGAGGCGGAGGTTGCAGTGAGCCAAGATCGTGCTATTGTACTCCAGCCTGGGCAACAAGAGCGAGACTCTGTCTCAAGATTAAAAAAGAAAAAAAAAAAAAGCACTCCGGCCTAGACTGCCATGTCATGCTGTTCATGAGACTTGAGGGCTCCAAATTGGCTGACACTCTTCTTTCCCCCATGTTCATTTTACTACGAAACTGGAAGTTTTTCCTTCACCACAAGGCCACTTGTCACCTACTTTTTTGTACACTCACTTCCAGCAAACTAGTTCCAACCCAGGCCACAGCCTTCAGCTTCCTTCTTCCTGCATATGACACCAGCTTAGCTTTCCAGACTTCCTTCTGTCATTTCACCCTTCAGCCCTCAATGGTTCACACACATGATCAAATCTGGATGCCTAAGTCTTCCTAGGACCTTCTTGCTGCCTCATTTGACAAGCTTCAGTGCTGCCTTTGAGCCTCCCTGCCTCCATGGACCTCCCTTCTTCCCTTCAGTCTTGTCCATCATCCCACTGGGAAGCCAAGCACCTAGACATTCTCTGCACTAGCAGTGAAGAAATGAGGTACTGAATGCAGAGGTGTACAAACCCTGTTGTGCCCTCAATGTGATGCAATGTGATGAAATCCTTCCTGGACCTTCTTTGTACAAGGTCTAAATTATCTCCTTGACTTCCATTTTATTTTAATTATTTTGATTAAAAACAAAAACTTGGCTGGGCATTGTGGCTCACACCTGGAATCCCAGTAATTTGAGAGGCCGAGGTGGGTGGATCACCTGACGTCAGGAGTTCGAGACCAGCCTGGCCAACATGGTGAAACCCCGTCTCTACTAAAAATGCAAAAAATTAGCCAGGCGTGTTGGTGGACACCTGTAATCCCAGCTACTTGGGAGCCTGAGGCAGGAGAATCGCTTAAACCCAGGAGGCGGAGGTTGCAGTGAGCCGAGATTGCACCACTGCACTCGAGCCTGGGCAAAAAGAGCAAAACTCCATCTCAAAAAAAAAAAATTTTTTTTTTCGGCTGGGCGTGGTGGTTTATGTCTGTAATCCTGGCACTTTGGGAGATCGAAGTGAGAAGACTGCCTTAGCCCAGGAGTTTGAGACTAGCCTGGGTGACATAGTGAAACCCTACTTCTACAAAAAATTCTTTTTTTTTTTTTTGAGACAGAGTCTCACTCTGTTGCCCAGGCTGGAGTGCAGTAGTGCAATCTTGGCTCACTGCAACCTCCACCTCCTGGGTTCAAGTGATCCTCCTGCCTCAGCCTTCTGAGTATCTGGGATTACAGGTGCGCACCGCTATGCCAGGCTAATTTTTGTATTTTTAGTAGAGACAGGGTTTCACCATGTTGGCTAGGCTGGTCTCGAACTCCTGACTTCAGGTGATCTGCCCACCTCAGCTTCCCAAAGTGCTGGGATTACAGGCGTGAGCCACTGCACCTGGCTCCCAAAAATTCTTAAAAATTAGCCAGGTGAGGCCAGGCATGGTGGCTCACACCTGTAATCCTTGCACTTTGGAAGGCCCAGGTGGGTGGATCACTTGAGGTCAGAAGTTCGAGACCAGCCTGACCAACATGGTGAAACCCCATCTCTACTAAAAATATAAAAAAAATCAGCTGGGCATGGTGGCACATGCCTATAATCCCAGCTACTTGGGAGGCTGAGGCAGGAGAATCACTTGAACCCAGGAGGCAGAGGTTGCAGTGAGCCAAGATCGTGCCATTGCATTCCAAGCCTGGGCATCAAGAGCGAAACTCCATCTCAAAAAAAAAAAGTGGGGGAAAAAAAAAAGCCAGGTGTGGTGGTGTGTGCCTATAGTCCCAACTACTTGACCTCCTAAAGTGCTGGGATTACAGGTGTGAGCTACTATACCTGGCCTCCTTCCGTTTTCTATCATACCCCACATCCAATTCATCAGCAAATCCTGTCGCTCGCTATTCCTTCAATATGTATCCAGGGTCTGACCACTTCTCTCTGTTCCCATCAGCAACACTTTGGAACAAACTACCACCATCTCTCATGTCTCCTCCTCTGCTTCCTTCACATCTGTTTCCACACGTGTCTACCTTAAGCTATTCTCAACACAGTAGAGATTCTTTTCACATGTAATTCTGATCATGTCACTCCTCTGCTCAGAACCTTCCAGTGGGTCCCAAATCACCCAGGGTAAAAGCCCAAATCCCCATAAGGACCTCTGAGGTCCTGTGATGCGACCCTACCCTCCTCTCTCTCTCTCTCTCGCCCCTTGCCATTCTTCCCCTGTCACTTTGCTCCAGGCTCCTTGAACCCACCAAACACATTTCTACCTCAGGGTCTTTGCATTTGCTGGTTCTTTTGTCTAAATTACTCTTCCTTCAGGTAGGCACATGACTTACCCACATTCTTCAAATTTTATCTCTTAAGAGAGGGGGCAAGGCTTCCCTGAGTACCCTCCCTAAATAGCAGCCGTCATTATTCTATCCTCCTATGCTGCCTCATTTTCTTCATAGCACTTACGGCCACTTCATGTATTTCTTTTTTTCTTTCTTTCTTTTTTTTTTTTTTTTTGACAGAATCGCCCATGCTGGAGCACAGCAGTGCAATCATGGCTCACTGCAGCCTCGACCTTCGGCTCAATCGATCCTCCTGTCTCAGCCTTCTGAGTAGCTGTGACTATAGGCATGTAATTTGAGAGGCCGAGGCGGGTGTCACCTGAGGTCAGGAGTTTGAGACCAGCCTGGCCAACATGGTTGAAACCCTGTCTCTACTAAAAATACAAAAAAATTAGCCAGGCATAGTGGCACATGCCTGTAGTCCCAGCTACTCAGGAGGCTTAGGTAGGAGAATTGCTTGAACCCAGGAGGCGGAGGTTGCACTGAGCCAAGATGGTCCATTGCACTCCAGCCTGGGCGACAAGCAAAATTCCATCTCAGAAAAAAAAAAAAAAAAAAAAAAAAAAAACTCTCAAATTGAAGGGGACTGTAAGAAGATAGGGTCAGCTCAGCTGCAGTAAGATATAAGTCTCAGGAAGAAGCATGCTCTGGAGTCAAGGCAGAGAAGGACATTCTAGGCCAAAGAAATGGCTGTGCAAAGGTAGGAGGCATAGGGACAAGGGTTATTATTACAACTGTACCTCTTAAATTTACACAATAATTGTTGAGAATATGGCTTTTCCAGGCTAGGAAGTTGTGCTGCATCCAAAAATGCTAAAGTCTATTTCAGCCGGGAGAACACTGACAGCTGGGAAAGGACCACACGTGGCGTGCCCATAACCTAAGTTGTTCAGATTTAGGAAGTGACCCCAGTAAGTCCTTTCGGAGTTTCGTGTAAGATTGACTTCTTCAGCTGGGGGCAGTGGCTCACGCCTGTAATCCCAGCACTTTGGGAGGCCAAGGCGGGCGGATCACCTGAGGTCAGGAGTTCGAGACCAGCCTGGCCAACATGGTGAAACCCCTGTCTCTACTAAAAAATACAAAATTTAGCCAGGTGTGGTGGTGGGCGCCTGTAATCCCAGCTACTCGGGAGCCTGAGGCAGGAGAATCCCCTGCACCGGGGAGGCGGAGGCTGCAATGAGCTGAGACTGCGCCACTGCACTCCAGCCTGGGTGACAGAGTGAAACTCCATCTCAAAAAAAAAAGAAACCAGCCTGGCCAACATAGTGAAATCCCGTCTCTTCTAAAAATGCAAAAATTAGTTGGGTGTGATGGAGGGCGCCTGTAATCCCAGCTACTCAGGAGGCCAAGACACGAGAATCGCTTGAACCTGAGGGGATGGGGGGCAGAGGATGCAGTGAGCCGAGATTGCCGAGATAGCGCCACTGCATTCCAGCCTGGGCAACAGTGAGAGCCTCCATCTCAAAAAAAAAAAAAAAAAATGGACTTCTTCCTCATTGACCTGTGGTGGCTCCAAGGCCATCAAAAAAAAAAAAAATGGACTTCTTCCTCATTGACCTGTGGTGGCTCCAAGGCCATCATCTCACAGCCTTTTTTTTTTTTTTTTTTTTTGAGACGGAGTCTTGCTCCCTTGCCCAGGTTGGAGTGGAGCTGCATGATCTCGGCTCACTGCAACCTCCGCCTCCCAGGTTCAAGCATTCTCCTGCCTCAGCCTCCTGAGTAGCTGGGATTACAGGCGCGTGCCACCACGCCCAGCTAACTTTTGCATTTTTAATAGAGACGGGGTTTCACCATATTGGTCAGGCTGGACTCGAACTCCTAACCTCATGATCCGCCCGCCTCGGCCTCCCAAAGTGCTAGGATTACAGGCGTGAGCCACTGCGCCCGGCCTCATCTCACATCTTTCTTCCTCTGCAGCACACGACACGCCCTAGTTGGAAACAAAGTCGGAGTTTGTGGATTGGGGGAAGGGCGGGGTCTAACCTCAGGTCAGGCGCCGTGCAAGGTACATCTTGGCACCCGGAAGAGGCCCAGTACAGTTGCCCCCGAGGTGACCCGACCTCCCCTACCAATTGAGGCGCCCTTGTTGCCAGGCTTGCGGCGGGGGAGCGGCGGGGGAGCGACGGGGATGCGCTCATTGGTCAAGGAAGGGGCGCCTGTTACTAGAGGCGAGAACCGGAGCCCATTGGTCGGAACACCTCACAATGGACCCCAGCGGCGCGCAAAATCCTTATGATTGGTTTGCTGGCTGCCTCGGGAGACCCTGTTGCCAGGATACTTGGCGTTCCCGACCCGACCCCCGTTCCCCATTGGCTGTCAGGGCAAAAGCCGCCATCTAATGAGGAGCGAGGTGCGGTGCCCCGAAGCGCTCGCTTCCCGCGGTGCGATCTAGTCCTGCAGTAGGCGGCCCGGGGCCACACCGCGGCCGCCCAAGCCAGTGCAAGGCCCAGGGGCCTGACATCGCTCCCAGCGCTCGAGGACCGAGGCCTGCTGTGGAGGACACCGTGCTCCCTCGGGACCTGCTCTGGATTCCGGCCCGGACGTCCCCTTGGAGCTCTGCATCTCCAACCTGGAACCCAACCCAGAAGTCTCAAGTTTGACGCATCACGTGGCGTGCGGATCCACTGAGGGTCCACAGAGAGGGGCGCCCATCTCCTGCGTCTCAGTTATCCTGGTAATTGTGTATCTGCCCATTGTTCGTTGCCTCATTAACTTGGCTTTCTAGGTGCACCCACCTTGCCACCAGAGAAGTCCAAATCCTGACTTCTCTCCAAGGTGTTGGGAATTCTGTGCCCTAAAGAATTCCGACTCAGATCCGAACGGGGATCTGGTGGAATCGAGGGTGAAAGACCAGAGGGACAATGTTCTACTATCCCAACGTGCTTCAGCGCCACACCGGCTGCTTTGCCACCATCTGGTAAGGGCGGGGCCCGTTGGCGCGCGATGGCGGACGCTGCCCGGGATCCCAGCCTGACAGCTCCCCCTCCATCCCCATTCTCCCACCTTCCCCACCCACTTCAGGCTGGCGGCGACTCGCGGCAGCCGGTTGGTGAAGCGCGAATACCTGAGGGTGAATGTGGTGAAAACCTGGTAAGGCCCAGAAAAGGGAAGGAGGGCCTGGTGCGGGGGGTGAGTTAGGGGATGGGGTGGCCAAGACTGTGGGCCCACTCCTGGACGCAGCGGTAATCAGGGCGCATTGTTCCCCAGCGAGGAAATCCTCAATTACGTGCTGGTACGAGTGCAACCCCCGCAGCCCGGCCTGCCGCGGCCCCGCTTCTCCCTCTATCTCTCAGCCCAACTTCAGATCGGTGTGATCCGCGTCTATTCTCAACAATGCCAGTACCTCGTGGGTAAGGCTGGGAACCCTCAAAGGTGGGGCGGGCTGAGCAGCTGTCTGCTAAGCTGGCTGTCTACCTCGTCCTCCCTGCCCACAGAGGACATCCAGCACATCTTGGAGCGCCTCCACCGTGCCCAGCTGCAGATCCGAATAGATATGGAGACTGAGCTGTGAGTGTGCCCTGGGCCTTTGATGGAACACCTGCTAGCTTGGCCTCAGCCTGGCTCAGCCTCAGTCCTTCACGGCCTACATTCTCTCCCAGACCCAGCCTGCTGCTTCCTAACCACCTGGCCATGATGGAGACCCTAGAAGATGCTCCAGATCCCTTTTTTGGGATGATGTCTGTGGATCCCAGACTTCCTAGTCCTTTCGATATCCCTCAGGTAGGGCTCATTCCCCAAGACTCGTGAATTGGCAATGCAGAAGGGGAGTGCTGTCCCTGTGTCACTCTGACATTGGGGTTGGGGAAGGAAGCTTACCACAGCTCTCTCCCACAGGAGATGGTGCAGGGGGACTGCCAAGGTGGACCCATCCAGGCGAAGCCCCCTGTACTTACCTACTCAGGGCCAATCTGATCAGACGGTTTCCCCACTGGAGGCAGCTCTTGTCCCCACTTGTCTCCACACTGTTTTCACTGCCAAGGCCCTAATCCAGGCTCTCATCTCTCTGCACTGGGCTTTCTTACCCCTGTCCTCCTCCATCTATTCCCAATACTCCTACAGCTTAATGTCACCCCCTTCCTTGGTTCCCCATTTGAACAGTGGCTCCTGCTGCAAACAGATTACTAGCATTTGGGGCTCTCCATGCCCCATTTATTTCTTTTTTTATTTTATTACTATTATTATTATTATTTTTGAGACAGGATCTTGCTCTGTGGCCCAGGCTGGAGTGCAGTGGCACGATCTCAGCTTACTGCAACCTCTGCCTCCCCGGTTCAAGCAATTCTCCTGCCTCAGCCTCCCGAGTAGCTGGGACTACAGGCATTTGCCACCATGCCCAACTGATTTTGTATTTTTAGTTGAGACAGGGTTTCACCATGCTGGCCAGGCTGGTTTCGAACCCCTGACCTCATGATCTGCCTGTCTCCTCCTCCTGAAGTGCTGGGATTACAGACATGAGCCACAGAGCCCGGCCCAATTTTTTTAGGGTTTCGCCTTATCGGCCAGGCTGGTCTCGAACTCCAGACCTCAGGTGATCCACCCACCCTGGCTTTCCAAAGTGCTAGGATTACAGACGTGAGCCATCGCGCTGGCCTATTATTATTATTTTTTGAAATGGAGTCTCTGTCACCCAGGCTGGAGTGCAGTGGCATGATCTTGGCTCACTTCAACCTCCGCTTCCTCTGGTCAAGCGATTCTCCTGCCTCGGCCTCCCGAATAGCTGGGATTACAGATGCCTGCCACCATGCCCGGCTAATTTTTGTATCTTTAGTAGAGATGGAGTTTCATCATGTTGGTCAGACTGGTCTTGAACTCCTGATCTCAGGCACTCCACCCGCCTCGGCCTCCCAAAGTGCTGGGATTACAGGTGTGAACCACCGTGCCTGGCACATACCCCAGTTTAGAACTAGTCATCCCCAGACTTCTCTCTCAGTCCTCTGGGCATCTGTGGCTCCTAAACACTAGTTTGGCCCTTATGCCTCAATGATGCCACATTCACATCTTTGCTTGTACTGTTTCCCTAGCCCATAATGGTCACCCCTCATCCTCTACAAGTCGGGTTCTACATATTCTTACAGACCTGGCTCAAATGCTGCCCTTCTCTATGAAATATTTATCCCAGTCTTAGCCGGAACCAAATGCAGTTTGGGAACTCAGTACTTTGCTAGGGCCTTGTTTTACCCTTTGCCTTGACTCTTGTGGGGTTACATACAACCTTGTCTCCCCACTAGACTTCCTTAAGATCAAGAATCTTTTCTGTTCACCTCTGTCAACCACAACACTTGCCAAGGATAACGATGCACTGCTGCTTGCACAAATTTTTTTTTTTTTTTTTTGAGACAGAGTCTTGCTCTGTCACCCAGGCTGGAGTGCAGTGGCTCAATCTCAGCTCACTGCAATCTCTGCTTCCCAGGTTCAAGCAATTCTCCTGTCTCCGCCTCTCAAGTAGCTGGAATTACAGGCACTGCTACCAAGCCCGGCTAATTTTTGTATTTTTAGTAGAAATCAGGTTTCACGATGTTGGCCAGGCTGGTCTGGAACTCCTGACATCAAGTGATCCACCCACCTCAGCCTCCCAAAGTGCTGGGATTACAGACATGAGCCACCGAGCCCGGCCTTCTTGCACAAATTGATGAGGGCTAGATAACTGGGGTGCGGGTTGGGGAGGGAGGTGAGAACAGGAACTGAGGAAAGAAGACCAGAGGGCGGGTGAGTTTACTGCAAGCTGATGTCAATGCAACAAGAATTAGGCATAAAAGGAGATTACCGTGCATTGTTGAAGAAGGCTGTGAAAAGTGGGAAAGCAGGGGGCTGAAGCTGAACCCTATCTTTTGTTTCCAATCCCTCTCCAAAGATTCGACACCTCTTAGAGGCTGCAATCCCAGAGAGAGTTGAAGAGATCCCTCCTGAAGTTCCTACAGAGCCCAGGGAGCCAGGTCAGCAGAGAGAACCTTCTTTCTGGTGAGAGGCATAGGCAGGCCCAAGAGCTGTAGAAATGACCATTTTTGAGCTTAAGAGCCAGGCCTTGTGAGGGGCGCTTTTTTTTTTTTTCGAGGCAGAGTCTCACTCTGTTGCCCAGGCTACAGTGCAGTGGCACGATCTCGGCTCACTGCAAGCAATTGTCCCGCCTCAGCCTCCCTAGTAGCTGGGATTACAGATGTGCACTACCATGCCCGGCGAATTTTTGTATTTTTAGTAGAGATGGGGTTTCACCATGTTGGCCAGGCTGGTCTCAAACTCCTGACCTCAGGTGATCCACCCGCCTCGGCCTCCCAAAGTGCTAGGATTACAGGTGTGAGCCACCGTGCCTGGTGAGGGGCATTTTATGTGTATAACCTCATCAGTACCTCACAAGAGTCCTCTGAGGTCAGATTTCTTATCCTTTTTTTTTTTTGAGAGATGGGGTATCACTCTCTAGCCCAGGCTGGAGTACAGTGGTGCACTTTAGGCTCACTGCAACCTCCGCCTCCCGGATTCAAGCAATTCTCCTTCCTAGTAGCTGGGATTACAGGCATGCACCACCACGCCCAGCTAATTTTCGTATTTTTAGTAGAGATGGGTTTTTGCCATGTTGGCCAGGCTGGTCTCAAACTTCTGACCTCAGTTGATCCACCCACCTCAGCCTCCCAAAGTGCTGGGATTACAGGCGTGAGCCACCATACTCGGCTTTTTTTTTTTTTTTTTCTTTTTTTCCCAGGCTGGAGTGCAGTGGTATGATGATCATAGGTCACTGCAGCCTTGACCTCCAGGGCTCAAGCAATCCTCCCACCTCAGCCTCCAGAGTAGCTGGGACCACAAGGATAAGCCACCACACCTGGCTAGTTTTTAAATTTTTTGTAGAGACAGGGTCTCGCTATGTTGCCCAGGCTGGCCTCAAACTCCTGGGCTCAAGCGATCCAAAGTGTTGGGATTACAGGTGTGAGCCACTTCGCCCAGCCTCCCCACTTTACCGATGAGGAAAGTGAGGCTCACAGTGGTTAAGCAGTGTACCCAGGGTCAGGATGCCAGAGATTAGCCTGGGTCTGATTAGAATCCAGGTTACCTTGACTTCAGAGTCCATGCTTTTCCTTAACTGCATGGCTGTGGGAATTTGGAAAGAAGCAGAGAGGCTAGTGACTCTCTTGTCCCTCCAGAGAGGATTCCGGTCACTGTGCTGCCACCTGAGGCCATCACGATCCTGGAGGCAGAGCCCATACGGATGCTGGAGATTGAGGTGAGTTCCCCTGCACACAGGGCCTGAGGTCCAGCCCCCTTGCATGTACTTCTCTCTGTCCCCAGAGTCCTGCCTTTTCTGTCTCCATTTCCCTATTCTCTGTCCCTGGCACTTGAGCACCCAGTGGCTTCCTTGAACCTGGCCCTGTGGCATGCCTCTGGGATCCACTCTCCTGGATCCACTTGCCTTTTTCAGAAATATTATTGAATCCCCTCCCCTTGCTCTTCCTCTCTGGACAGGGTGAACGGGAGCTCCCAGAGGTCAGCCGCCGAGAACTGGACCTGCTGATCGCAGAGGAAGAAGAAGCTATCTTGTTAGAAAGTAGGTGTCTCCGGCAGCGTAGGGCCCGCCTGGAGCTGGATAGTCAGACCCCTGGCGTGGGCATTCTGGGACTGGGCAATGCTCCCATTTCTCTTTTTCTGTCCTCTGAACTCTGATTCTCTCTCCACAGTCCCGCGGCTCCCACCTCCAGCTCCTGCAGAGTAAGGGCAAGAACTCCTAGACCAGGTAGGGTGTCAGTGCTGGGAAGGGTCTCCTCATTTCTCTTGCCCATTTCCCCTCAGGGTGGAAGGAATAGGAGAGGCACTGGGTCCTGAGGAGCTGAGGCTGACAGGCTGGGAACCTGGGGCCCTACTCATGGGTGAGTGCCCACCATGCCCCAGGGGCTTTTCTGGGAGTACCTGGATACTGCTGCAGACAAGGGCTTTATATCCCAACTTGCTAAAGGGAGGACCCTGCAGTTTCTTGCCCTGGCATCTGCAAGGGGTAAGGGGCTTATGGGACAGAGCCCCTTGGGTGTTGTTGCAGAGGTGACCCCCCCGGAGGAGCTGCGTCTGCCAGCCCCACCCAGCCCAGAGGTGAGTAGCCTCCCTTCTAATCCTCCTCCTCCTCCTCTTTGCCCTCCCCCACAAGGACTGCCTCCCCAAGCCCAGGGCCACTGCTAGCTTACAGGGGTCCTTAATGCAGATGATAAAAGATGCCCCTTTCTACGCCCCATCGTATCTGGCCTACGCTTCCCAGATGGGTACCCTTATGCAAGGTATGAGCTGCTCAAGTGCATGGAGACCCCGCACAAGCCCTCTCCAGGTTCCTCTAGGGGCGGGTGTGGGGTCCTGTTAGCAGTCCACCAGAATGACAGGAAAAGGAGTAATGGGCAGCCTTGCCCCTACCTGCCCTCCCCACTCAACAGAGGAGGCCCCCAGTCCCCCCACCTCCTCGCCGCCGCCGTCGTCGCCGGTTACTGTTCTGGGACAAGGAGACTCAGATCTCCCCGGAGAAATTCCAGGAACAACTGCAAACCAGAGCCCACTGCTGGGAATGTGTGAGTGCAGCCCAGGCTTTGCCGGGGAAGGGAGGGAGGCAGGGATGACCAGGGGCACATGCAGGCTGAGCCTTCCAAACTCCTCAGGTGGGTGGGGGGAGGATTGGGAACTTGATGAAAAATCTCCTCCATTCTCCAGAAAATGCAGGCGATGTGGGTTTGCACATATACAACTCTTCATGCTCCTTTAGTGACCCACCTGTCATACCCATGGGCACCAGGTTAAAAAGTCCTTCTTTTAGCAATGAGCAGGGCAGGCAGGGTCATGAGCGCAAAAGCTGGGGAAGTCCAGAAGCCCCAGAACAGTGCATTGCAAAGAGGCAAAGGGGCCCTGAGGAGTGGCTGCTTTATAATGGGGCTTCTGACCTTCCCCCACTACACAGCCTATGGTGCAGCCGCCCGAGAGGACCATCAGAGGCCCTGCGGAGTTGTTCAGAACCCCAACTCTCTGTAAGAATGGTGGGGGTTGGGCACGAAGTATCCTCAAAACCAATTCCTCATTCCTGGTGCTCCTCACGCCTCAAACCCCGTGCCTACTACCCTCTTGTCCACAGCTGGCTGGCTACCCCCTGAACTACTGGGTCTCTGGACCCATTGTGCCCAGCCACCCCCAAAAGCCCTCAGGCGAGAGCTGCCTGAGGAGGCAGCCGCTGAGGAGGAAAGGAGAAAGATTGAAGTTCCAAGTGAGATTGAGGTAACTGCACCACCTGTTTACTGCATCGCCCCAGTGCCAGGGTCTGCCTGACCAGCTGGCTGCCCTCTCCTGCTATGAGAGCCAACAGCACAGGCTCACTGGCCTTGTGCCTTCTGAGGCCCAAGTCCCAGATGCTTGGGGTCTTAGTTCTACTTCTCCCATCCCCAGGTCCCGAGGGAGGCCCTGGAGCCCAGTGTTCCCCTTATGGTGTCTTTAGGTAAGCACCTAGAGAAGAGGCGCAGTGGGACCACACCCTAACCACTGTCCCAGGAAACTAGTATCCCAACTGCTGAAGCTGTTTTATGAGTGAAGGCGTGTGTGTGTGACATAAGGAAGCACGGACTGGTCCTCCTCAGCTCTCCCACCTATGTGCTTTTAACAAGTCACCGCACGGCTCTGCCATCTACTTACACCAGGTGGCCACAAGGCCCTAACTGCCACCCAAGCAGACACCCACTAGCGCCTTTCCTCCCCCAACAGAGATCTCCCTAGAGGCAGCTGAAGAGGAGAAGTCCCGCATCAGCCTCATCCCACCAGAAGAACGGTGGTAAGCGGCCAGGCTCCGTGGGAGCCAGGGCCCACAGCCCTTGGCCAGGTGGTGGAAACAGCTGCTGGGATGGGTATGCCCCTTGTCACTGTCACAGCTGCCACCTTCCCTACTCTCTCATGTCCTCCTAGGGCCTGGCCTGAGGTGGAGGCGCCAGAAGCTCCTGCATTGCCCGTGGTGCCTGAACTCCCTGAGGTGCCCATGGAGATGCCTTTGGTGCTGCCCCCAGAGCTCGAGCTGCTCTCACTGGAAGCAGTGCACAGGTACCAGGGAGGTGGCACCTTGATGGGGTGGACCCGGGCTGAAGCCTCTGCTAATGGTTCTTGATCCCTATAGGGCAGTGGCACTGGAGCTGCAGGCTAACAGGGAGCCCGACTTCAGCAGCCTGGTGTCACCTCTCAGCCCCCGCAGGATGGCTGCCCGGGTCTTCTACCTGCTCCTGGGTGAGTGTATGCATGTGTGTGTGTGTATGTGGGGCAGGGACACAGAGACCAGAGGCCCGTACAGGGACTCCCCCGACCTGCCCTCTCCTCGCCTCTTGACCAGTGCTCTCAGCGCAACAGATTCTTCACGTGAAACAAGAAAAGCCATATGGTCGCCTCCTGATCCAGCCGGGGCCCAGATTCCACTGAGGTTAGAGTCCATTTACAAAGCTGCCAGGAAACCGGCCACTTCTAGTAAACCACGTCGTGCCTCACTGGGTCCTGCTTACCTCATTTCTGAATGTGCATTTCCAGCCTTCTTGCTCTCAGAGCTATTGTTCAAGCAGAAAACAAGCTGCTTTTATTACAGTATGATGTCATGACTCATTTGTAACAGATCCAGCCTCAGGGACAGCCCTGTAAGGCAGCAAGTGGGGCTGGCTCCAAATGGGTATGAGTCTCAGAATCTTTGGTAAGGCAGAACTGAACTGGGCTGAGAGGTGGTCTTAAGGCCTGGGCAGGCTCTATTCTCTCTGGACTGGCTGCAGCCTGCAGTCTAGGAGAGGCCCAGTACAGCCTGGAGCTCCTGAGCCTTGTCAACAGGCAGTGAGCCCAGAGCTGCTTGAAAGCTGTCGGTGTGCTGTTTGGCCAGGAACGTCAGGAGCAGCAACAGTGCGGCCTTGGTGTCTGGGTGGAGAGGGAGGGAGAAAGGTCGGGGCTCCTAAAGCCTCGCTGCCCCAGGCTCTCTGAGCCCTGCCACTCCCAGCCTCCCGCAAGCCCCTGCCTATGACTCCTACCCTCACCTGGTGGGATCTTGTTGTCAGCCAGAATGAGGCTGCAGATACGCAGAAGCTCGGGAGCCACATCTATAACCTGTGAGGAAAGAGTGGCTGACTCAGGGCAGCAGCCCCAGACCCCAGGTCTAGGAGGGTGGTCAGGACCAAGGAGTGGCAGAATCTCTTATCAGGGGGGTGGTTGCACCTGGTACTGATTCACAGGCATCCAAGACAACTATGAACATGAGAAGAACCAATGAAACTTGGTGCTAATGATTTTTTTTGGAGGGAATGGGGGATGTGGGACAAGATGATTAAAGTCATAGCCTCAAGACCTAAAGAAACCCAGACACTCAGGAGCTTCACCTACACAACAGTCTCTAAAGGTATAAGACAAGGGTGACACAAACACTCTGACATGACTCCAAACCTAGCTACTTGGTACAGGCAAAATCTCTTCAGAGAGCAGAGCTGATCTGATTGAAATGTATGGTGTGGTGGCCCAGAGGTACCCTGGGCTCCACAGAGCACAGTTTGAAAGGGCCCCGGTTTAGGAAACCAGCCTAGGAAAACTGCAACTTCTGGCTCAGACCAAAGGGTAGAAATGGAGCTTCCTCAGGAAAAATGCTACGTGGAGAAAGGAAGTCCCTCCTGTCCCATCACAGGACTGGCTGCCAATCCTTGCAGACAAATAAGAAATGGTGCAGGGAGTACCAAAAGAACAGCTGAAACTGTCACCTTGCATCAGGTGCAACTGACAGCCTGGAGCTCCCGAGCCTCATCAGCAGACAGTGCCTATCACTGAGTGGAGCGGCACGTTCCCCTCTGAGGGCTGCCAGCAGCAAGGTTACCTGGTCAGGGCTGCTCTGGTACAGGAAGCTGAAGAGGCGCCCAATGGTGACCCACTCCTCCAAGTCCTCCTTCAGTGGCAGGGCATGCAGTAGGGCAGCCAGCACCTGGGCACACAAATGTCTCAGGCCAACCTGCCCTGCCCTCCACCACCCTCCCTCCTCAGCTTCCAAGCCCTGCCTGATGTCTCCCTCCCTCACCTGGGGCTCTGGTTTCCTGGTGGGACTGGCCATCAACAGGCGGGCAAGTGCCCCACAGATGTTGTCACGGACACGATCATGTCGCTCCCGCGCCAGGAGGGGAAAAAGGAGCCCCAGCAGCTTGGGGAAGTGTCTGGTCCACAGTCAAGGAATGGCCACACGCTCAGGTAGACCTTGCCCACCTGCAAGCCCTGGGGACACTCCCCCAACCTCCAGTCCCTCCCGTCCTGCGAGCCAAGGATACTCCTGGGCAGGGTGGCCCCCATGCTCTGCCAGCACGCCCATCCCGAAGATGGCATTGCTTCGCACCTCGGGGTCTGCCTCTTGGGCGGTGCTCAACAGCACAGGGAGCAGCCGAGACACAAACTGGGCTGAGGCAGCACCCAGGCCCTGAATAGTCTCTGCCAAGGTCCCCACTGCAAAGGACTTCTCTGCCACTGTGCAGCCCTGTTTCTGATGGGGGAGAACAGGAAGGAGTACAGATCAGCCTGGGCCAAGGATAAAGGCTGTGGTGGGCACCGGGTGCACGAGGGGACTAGGGCTTGAAGCCAGAAGATGGACACTCACTGTCTTGCACACCAATAATGGCAGGAAACCGGCAAAGAATGGGGCAAAGGAGTCTCCCCCAGCCGCGGCTGCCAGGGCAGGGATGGCCTCTCCAGCGTGCTCCAGCAACATGGCGTCGTATTCAGCCTGTGGAGCCAGGTCAGGGGCTGGAGCACCAGGGCCAGCTCAGTGACTGTACACCTCCCTCCCACGCTCTGCCACCAGCTGCAGGGGTCCCTGGGGCTGCCCTTGGTTGATAGGGCTGGCCCCTCTCAAGCTGGGTGTTTCCATGACCCAGCTTCTTCCCCTGGCTCTTCTGCTCCTACCTATCACTCCAAGCACACCCCAGTCCACACTGCTCTCCTTCCCTGAACTCCCACTGGCTTAGTGGGATCAGGGTTGTATCCCTCTGGCCATTACCAGTCTCTTTTAGTGGCCCTGGCTGCCCCAGGCCAAGCCCAAATACACTGTCCACCCCTGTCCCTGTGGAGACTGCCTGGACCGCCTGGTCCCCGTTTTTATCCCTGGCTCTCACCTGATCATCATCTTCCTCTTCCTCCTCCTCGTCAGTATCCTGACAGGCTGTCTACAAGAAGTAGCTCAACTTAGCGGAGCTTTCACGCCCCTTCTCTTTTCATGGGGGTAGGGGGTGGACTTGTAGCCAGTCCCCAACCGAGGCCCAGCACCTCTCCTTCCCGAAGCCCACCTGCCCTGCTCACCTTCCTCTGCAGCACAGCCTTGAGCACGCCACAGAGCTCAGCGAGGCGCCCAGGGGGCTTCAGTGTGAGGGTCCCACAGCTGCGGAGCACCCCTGTCAGGGCCTCCAGCACGGCCATCACCACCTGGCGTTCCCGCTCCCTGTTCACTGCCTGCATGTAGGATGGCACGACTCGGGCCAGGGCAGCCTGCAAAGCTGGGGACATTATTGGCTGAAGCACCAGTCAGGCCCTGCCCCTCCCCAAGAACCCCCAGCCTGGCCCAGCCTCTCCTCACCAGCAGTGTTGGGTTCCGAGGGGCAGCTTTGACAGGCCTTGTGCAGTGCACAGCAAAACTGACCCAGAGCCTCATGGGCTGCCTTCCGCACATTCAGGTGAGGGCACTGCAGGATGAGGAGGGGCGGGATATGTCTGCTATGTGCACCGTGAACACAGGGCCCCCAGCCTGAGAACCCCACCCACTCCACCCGCCGGCCCGCTCACCTCCAGCAGTTTAAATACTTCTTCAAAGACACTTTCCATGTATGGAAGGAAGGCCACACTACAGAGAGAGACACAGCCGTGGGTAAGGGGCCCCCAGGCAGGGTTTTCAGTGCCAGGGAAGGGCGAATGCTCACCTGGTGTTCACAGAGATCTCCCCCACGGCAGCACAGGTGTCTTCCTTCTCATCGAAGAAGGCATTCTCCACGCTGTACCTAGAGTAAGAAGGGGAGGCAGTGGTGATCAGGCACCAAGAGGAGCAGATCCAGCACTAGGCCCTTGTCTAAAGCCAAAGTCTAGATTCCTGATCAGAAGAGCACCCCTCCGCACCCTGAGATCTCTGAGTCATCCTCTTCTTCCACATCCTCATCCATGAGCTCCTCCTCTTCTTCCCCATCACTCTCATCGTCAAACAGAAGGAAGGAGCTGCTCCCGTCATACTGAGGCTGGAGCGGAGGCACGGCAAGGACTTTGGCTCAGCTGGGCCCAGGAGATAAATCCCATTGCAGGGCAGGCCTGGCCCAGCCCACCCACCCTTTGCTCACCACAATGCCCTCGGTGGAACGCAGTGACAGCAGCATGAGCGTGGTGATCTGTTCCAAGTGGGGCGCCAGGCCCTCACCCATCAGACCCGATAAGGCTGCAAATAGGCTGTACCTGGTCAAAGCAGGCAGAAGAAGCTGTAAGGTCCTGCCTGCTACCACCAGGCAGGATGGGGGAGCCCGGGAACACCTGGCTATGGTCCAAACCAGACGACTGGAGTCTGGGGTGGGGATTCCAGTGGGTCCAGTGGGAAGACAGGAGGGGAGGGGACAAGGGCAGAGGCAGGGTGAGGGGTCACTCACGTGCAGCGCCGCAAGTCAGGGTCGTCTACCTGGTCGCAGAGGCCCAGACCCAGCTGGCAGCATTCCTCAGCCAGCGGCCTCATGGGCTCCCCCACTGCTCGTGCCAGCACCCCCAGTGTCTCTGTGGGGGCAAGGGCTCCATTAGCACCAGGAGGTGGAGGTGGGCTACGGGACCAAAGGTGGTGGCTGGGAGGGATTCAGAAATCCCGCCCCACCCCTTGGTACAGCATGAAGCACACCCCTTTGATGAGAAGGAAGACATCCGTGCTCCTGTGGGGGCAATCTGTCAACACCAGGTGAGCACCAGCCCTTTGCTGGCACTGGGAGCCCCACCTGGGAACCTCTCACTCACCCAGGCTCTGGATCTGCACAGGCTGAAGGTCCTCACGGCCTGTTAACAGGAATTCCCGCAGGTGCTCCATGATGGCAGGGAAGTAGGGCAGCAGCGAGGCCTGGGCAGCCGTAGCTGCAGGATGGAAGGACAGAATCAGAGCTGGAGAGGGCAGGGACCACCAGCCACAGGGCCTTTGGGTGAACCCCACATCCCTGCCTCCTGCCTCTCTCCTCACCAATGGCTCCCAGGGCGCTCACAGCCAGCTCCTTGGCCCGGGGACTGCTGGGGTTCCTCAGAAGCTGCAGCATGCATTCCATAAGCTCCGGAAGGTAGGGCTGCACCTTGGGCCCTGTGGGAAAGGATGCTCCTCTACCAACCAACCCAGGTCTGCTACCTGCACGCCCACCTCCCTCCAGGCGGAAACCTTTTTTTGGCACCATCACACCCTTTCCCCTACCACAGGCAGCAATGCAGGGAGATGCACATCCTGTACATTCAGCCAAAGCCGCCGCCTCATCCCCCTTCCCCAAGCTCCCCACTGCCATCACTACCTAGGTTCTCCACAAAATTCTCCAGGGCATAGCAGGCCTTGGCTAGGTGGTGTGTGTGTCCAAGAGGCACCGACTTCAAGTAGGCGAGGAGCAGTGGCATTACCTCCCTTGAATAGCTGCTGATATGGGGCTGGGGGAGGGAGCAAGCAGGGCCTGAGTCAGGTTCACCTGCCGGGCACACACAAGAGTGCTGATGGCAGCAGGGATGCTTGAAGAGATGAAAGATGAGGGGAAGGGGACATTCAAGTGGTGGCTCCCACATTCAGCCTGGTTCACCTGTAGGTTTTCTGAGAACTGGCCCAGGGCAAACAGCGCAGCATTGCGTACAACTTGCGAGGGGTCCTCCAGGCCCTTGCACACAATCTGCAGCAGTGGGGGCAGCAGTCTGGATGGGGCAAACAAGAGGACATAGGCTGAGAAGCTACACCTGAGAGCCCTAGGCTGACCTGTTCTCTTCATTTTCCCTGGAAAAACCAAGGCTTTTCCTGTCACCAGAGGGTGGGCAGCAGCCCCTGGTCCCTATAGCTGGTAAGCCATGTCATTTATCTTCCAAGCCAGGACACTTTTGATAATGGGGGGAAACGCTGTTGATAAATAAGCTTGAACAACAAGCGTAAACCAGGACAGCCATGGTCCTCCCTGTGGGCAACCCTCACCCTGGGACAGGGGAATACATACCTCTGCCTGATGTGGTCGCCAGCTCCGTCAGACAGCACGGCCAGCACCAGGAGTCCAGCTTTGCGCTGGTATGGGCTCTCGCTCCGCAAAGCCTCTTCCAACATGGGCATCTAGGGAAGCATGTGGCACGCTTCTGAAACCCCAGCAAGAGCCTGCCCATTCCTGTGGTAATAGGCCTTCACACCTCCCAGGGTCTAAACGTCGTTGGCCTCAGGGGGACTAGGCACACTTGGAGGTAGGGACACCAGAAGGACAGAGCCACACTTACCAGCTGGGGACAGAGCTTCTCGGGGGGCAGGTGTAGTGCCAGCATGTCCACAACCTGAGATGGGATGGGGAGACTTACTTTGCTTGACTCCATCTCTGCCTCCCCAACGTCCCACAGCCACCTAACACCTTCCCCCTCTGTCCTGCCCCACATCTCACTTGTACAGCGAAATGCTTGGGAGTCTCCCCCATCAGCTCAATCTCCAACTCTTCCTCTTCTGAATCCTGGTCCTCGGGATCCAACTGGCCTGGTGGGGGCTCAGCAGCCACAATGGGGAAAAGGGTGTGCAGCAAGGGTGGCAGGAGACGATTCTTCAGTAAGGCCTTGACAGAGAAGGTGGAACAGTGTCCCTAAGAATCTGCTCCCAGGATGGGCTCACATTAAAAATTCCAGTCTTCCAGGCCATAAGGGGTCTGACAGAAAATTCCCAACCTCCCAGGCAGGAGCTGGGGTGAGGCCAGGCCAAGGCTTGAACCCCCACAGTACTTTAGATACCCTGAGATGGACCGAAAGCCCCAGGAGTGAGACTAAGGGTGGAGATGGGGGTGGGGTGATGTGTGTCAATGGGCACTCACTTACCTTGCTCTTGACTTTGACCAAGAAAGTGAGGCAGCAGAGAATACGTATGCGTATCGCATTGCCCAGGGCCACATTTCTAGCTACCTGTCCACAGAATAATAAAAATCAGCGACAGGGAAGGAGAGTCCCAGCAGAGCATGTAGCAGGGGCCATGTCCACTCCAGGCTCACCTCCAGGCAGAATGTGAGGACTTCAGAGAGGTAGGGGGTGATGACCGGCACCTCTGACTCCAACAGTTCATCCAAAGCCTCAAGGGCCTCACAGGCCTTTGCCTGACAGACAAACAAGGCACAAGGTTACCATGCTCTTCTTCAGTGGGCCAAACTGGACACTTCTGCACTCTCCTTCCAACAGAGCTCCTGCCCACCTGTCCTCACCTCATCTATGGGGATCAGAGTCTGCATGGCCATGATCAGCTTGGGCACCAACATCCGAGCGAGAGGCTGAGGGACACATCACAGAGAGCATGATGCAGCCCAATCTCACACCCCAGCAGCTGGCAGCTTCCTCACAGCCTGAATTGCGAGGAGGAGCCCAGGCATAACAGCCAGGCCCACCTACAGCATCCCCTCTCAATTGTCAGGAAGGGCCACAGGCAGGTAAAGAATCCAAAGCAGCTTTGTAACTTTTACGGGTGAGGACATGAAGGCATGAGGAAAGGGAGTCAAAGATAACGAGGGCCCACATCTCACCACATCTTCAGTGCTGAGGTAGGGAGCCATGGTGGTCAGAGTGCGCAGGGAGTAGAAGAGCAGCCCAGGAGAGCCCACCTCACCAAGAGTCTCATTCAGAAGCCGAAGAAGCTCCCGGTGGTGGGGTTGGAAGGCCTCGGGCCGGGAGGTCACCACCACACTTAGCAGCAAAAGCCCCATCTGTCCAAGAATAGAGGATGGGAGAGCAAGCTTACAAGGTCTATCCAGCCTCTCAGGCCCTCCCTCCTGCCAACCATGTGATGGTACCTCTCTCTCTGGGCTGTGGGGGCTGTGGGTACTGTGCTGAAGCAGCTGCAAAAGCTGTGGCCAGGCCTCCAAGCCTTCCTTTCGAAAAATGGTGGCTGAGAGCTGGGCCAGGCTGAGGCTCACACAGTGCCTGCAAACAGGAGAGATCTCCTCCAATCACCCTTCAATACCTTCCTCTGCACACAGTGGCCAGGCTCAATGGGGCAGCCAGGACAGAAACTTTCAGGAGGTGTGGGCACAGGGTCTTTGCCAAGTTGGGACACATGAGACAGCAGCTCAGAGGGAGCCCAACAGCACTGTGGGCATGTAATCTGGTAAGTTCAGTCTAACTTAGCCTGAATTTCAGTCTTATTCTTCTGACTTGGGTTTGGCAGATCATCATCACCCTTCCTCAAGAACTTTAGTCTTCAAAACAGCCTTAAAATCCTCACTCCACCTTGCGTCTAGAACTGAAGTCCCTGCCCCACAAGTCCCAGCCTGGAGCCGAAAAGGAAGGCAGAAACCTAGACAAAGTCGTCAAGATCCCGAGAGAAGTGGGTAGGTACTTACTCTGTTTCTCTCTGCAGGGCCGTCAGGATCAGGGACTTGAGGCTGGAACACAGGTGGCAGGTGTTTGGTACCCAGCCTGCCCAAGAAAAGTCTCCGCCTGGCCCCGCCCCACCCCAGGCCCAGCCCACCTCTCCCGTTGCTCCGCCGCCAGCCGTCGCCAGCGGGTGTTCAGTCGTCTGCGGGTCAGCACGGCCGCAAACTGGCGGATCTAGGACGAGGAAGCAAGCACGTGGGGGTCCGGGCAGGAAGGTGCTGAGCGGACCGCAGTGGGCGAATACTGGGGCTTGACCGGTGGCGTACAGTGGGAAGCTCGGAGGGGAGAGTCAGGGGTCTCACCTGGGGGTCGGCCGCCGAGGCTAGCAGGTCGCAGAGAGCCGGCAAAGCGGCGGGGGCCCGAAGAACGATCTGGAGCTGTTCCGTGGCCTGGGGGGAAGCTAGGGGTGAGAGTTGGGCCTTTCCCGCAACCTCCCGCTCGCCCTGGCCCGGTTACGCCTGCTCCGTACCCGACGGATGCGCTCGGTGTCCGGTAGCAGCAGCTCCCGTAGGAGCTGCTCTAGCCCGGCTGACTCCATGGCAGCAACTGAGCCGCCGCTACTGGGCCGAAAAGGGGAGGGGGAGGGACAGCACGTGGAGGTTCTGACACCCACTTCCGGAGGAAAGGGCGTTGCTGCACGCCCCGCGGGTTGCCAAGGTGATTCAATTCGCTTCCCACAAAGAGGTCCGGCTCCTCCACTTCCGTTAGGCTGAGCACCGGCTGAATCGCGGAAACCCGACTCTGGCAATGTAGGTTCCCCACGCCGGGAGTTCCCAAGCTGGGTTGGAGAACTCGAGCTTCGGGCATTCAGTGGCCAGCTCGGCTTTATAAAGGACCGTGCCCTTAACAGCAGGGCTCGAGTTCCTATATCCAGACCAAAACCTCCAACTGCATGAGCCTTTTTCTTAATAAATTTTATTTTGGTAATTGTAAAAAGAAAAATCAGGACCAAAACTAAAGGCAACTTAAAAAGTTCAAATATATAATCCTTATGTGATAGAGATTTATAATTTCCAGGCCCTCTCTGGGGAAGGAATGCCCAAAGGGCAAAAGGGAAGGCAACAATGCCATCACACAATTCAGTCAATCAGAAGAGAAGCTGGTAGGAGAGTTCAACAGGGCATGAAGAAAGGGAGAGAACAGCAATAGTTCTGCCATACAGAACTCAGTCCATCTTGAGGTTAACATAGATATACCGGATGAACTTTAGGGAAGAAAAAAAGGAGATGGTGCCCAGCATGAGGAAGAAGACATAACCAGTGAGTAAGGAGTAGCCGAAGAACTCTACTGTCTGTACTGCCCCAGACATGTTGGAGCGCCGGGCATAATAGAAAACTGAGTAGAGGAAGATGAAGAGGCCGGTGGAGCCAACACTCAGCACAGATCGCCACCACCAGCGGTAATCCTCCCCAGACAACTGGAAGTAGGTGAGTGCAATGGAGATGCAAGCCCCCACACTCAGCAGGATGGCGAAGACAAAGAAGAGGATGCCGTACAAAGTGTACTGCTCCCGACCCCATACTGTGGCAAAGATGTAGTACAGCTCCACAGAGATGGCACTGTGAAGAAAAGAGATGATACACAGCATTAAAGGGCTGTGCACCATCAGCACAGTGGCTGGGCTGAAATCCAGCCCCCACCCTCTCCCATGTTGCTGGGTCATTGTGAAAAGTGAGTTCACTCCACTCTCTGCCCCAGATCTCCTGGCTTCATGGGGATTTTTTGCCTATGATTAGCCGCTCTCACTTCAAGAATATCTTCCCTAATAGATTGAGGGCAGGGATCTTGTCCATTTTATTCCACTTTATTCTTTGCCTGGCACAAAGAGGTATTCAACAAAGTAAATGGGTCATCAAATGGGCTTTAAACCCCACATGATGTCCATAGGCATTAAAGTCAGAAACCAGGAAGGTGAAGGGGGAAATGTCTCCGGAGAGCTTTATAAGTGAGACACTCTCATATCATTCAAGCTCAGTCCTGCTTGGGGATAGGAGGAACCATTTAATGATCTCTGAATGGTACCACTGAACCAGGGATCAACGGGTTGGGTTAGGGTACTGGATGAGTAGGGACAGGAAAAATTGAGGTCAGGAACCTGACAGTAATAGCCATGGAATAAAGGGAGGATACCTGAAAGGCAGGAAGCCTCCAACAGTCATGTGGATGACAGTAGACTTGTACCAGGGCTGGGGTGGAATCTCCCGGGCGATGTTCTTGGTGCGACAGGGTGCATCAAAGGGGCTGGCGTTGTTCTTCCCAAAGATGCCTCCAATGACAGTGAGGGGAAAGCCCACCAGCAGCCAAACCGTCAGAAGCAGCAGGATGGTTGTGGCTGGCAGAGCCTGTGTCGAACCATTGGCCCAATGCACTGAGTTCACCACACTCCACGTCAGGAAGAAAGGCACTGCAGGGATGGGCCCCCGGAGGGAGGGTCAACACTAGGAGCTACATCTCTAAGGGCACCCACTTACATCCAGGACCAAAAGGGGAGGGGGCTGAAGCAGCCTGCCACTCTAACGGCAGACTCATGCTCCTGGATGTCCCTGCAGAGTCGACTGCCTTCACCTCCACCCTTTCAGGTCCCATTATTCTTTGTTCTGTGTTTTTTTTTTTTTTTTTTTTTTTTTTTTGAGACAGAGTCTCGCTCTGTCGCCCAGGCTGGAGTGCAGTGGCGCGATCTCTGCTCACTGCAAGCTCCGCCTCCCAGGTTCATGCCATTCTCCTGCCTCAGCCTCCCGAGTGAGTAGCTAGGACTACAGGCGCCCGCCACCACGCCCGGCTAATTTTTTGTATTTTTAGTAGAGATGGGGTTTCACTGTGTTAGCCAGGATGGTCTCGATCTCCTGACCTGGTGATCTGCCTGCCTCAGCCTCCCAAAGTGCTGGGATTACAGGCATGAGCCACCACACCCGGACTCTTTGCTCTTTATCTTACCAACACCATCCCCCAACCCGGTGTCATTAAGGATCCAGGTAGCTACTACATAATCTGAGAGTAGCACAAATCCATCTGCCTCCAGGGGCCTGTCTTGCCTTGGAGTTGGTAATTCCTAGCATGAGACATTCCTTTGGATTAAGGCCCTGTTTTCAGAAAGCCTTGGTTCAAATATAAATGTGATGGGATAAAAATCAGACACACAGAATTGGGAACAAGAAGGGTTCAGAACAGAGACTACTACTGCCTTTGAAAGGGCAATCTGGTTTGAAAGCCTAGAGTGGGCCCACCTTCAAAATAAAAATTCAAGGGTGTTATTTTAGTGTAATGGGTGAGAATACAAGTCAGACTGCTGAAACCTAGTTCACTACTTTTTAGGAGTGTAATCTCAGACAAGTTACTTAAGCAGCCTTTAGTTCAGTTTCCTCATCTGTGGAATGGAAATATTACCTACTTCACACAGTTATTGCTGAGTGCTTTCCACACTGCCTAGGACATTTTGAGGGCTTAGTAATTTTAAACTATTCAAAAGAAATGCATTCTTGTTTTTTTTTGGTTTTCTTCTTTCTTTTACAATATTCCTTCCCTTCAAGCCTCATCCTGACTCTATCCCAAGTTCTATGATGTGTTCTTTTTTTTTTTTTGAGACAGTCTCACTCTGTCAGCCCAGCTAGAGTGCAGTGGTGCAATCATGGCTCACTGTAGCCTCAACCTCCCTGGCTCCCCAGGCTCAAGCAATCCTCCTGGGTCAGCCTCCCAAGTAGCTGGGATTACAGATGTGAACCACCATGCCCGGCTAATTTTTTGTTATAGAGAGAGGGTCTCACTATGTTGTCTAGGCTTGTCTCAAACTTTTGGGCTCAAGTGATCCTCCGGCCTCGGTCTCCCAAAGTGCTAGGATTACAGGTGTGAGCCACTGTGACCAGCCACAATGTGTTCTTCATTCCTAAGTCCAGAAAGGCCCACCAGGGAAAGGAAAGTCCTCACCAGAGAAGAGACTGGTGGTGAGAATGATGTTCCACACCCAACGCTCGCCTCCAATCTGCCGGTAGAAGTGGCTGGACACGTAGCCAGAGATGCAGCAGGTCAGGGCATACAACAAGATGGCTGCTGAGTTAATGGCCCCATGACGGTGCACATTGAACATGCCCAGCAGTGCCATGACAATAATGCCTGCAGGACGGTAGCGGAAAGCCCAAGTTAGGCCTCACCTGTGTCTCTTCTAGCAATTTCAGAGGAATCAGCCCCCCTTCTCCCAGACCCAGGGCCTCCAGCAAAACAATCTCCCCCAGTTTTGCTATCCAGAAAATCTACAATAGAATACGTGCATTCTTGCTAGAGCCACCCTATCCCTTAGGTCTGCCCCTCTGGATAGAAGAGAAGATCCACAGACCTTTTCTGAACAAACTCCCTACCTAGTTCTATCCCATGAGATAAATCCCCAATTCATTTTTATCACCTCACCAGTGCCAAGGGCCAGGAACTGGGCACCCACGCCAAGCACAGCACAGAGCAGACCACGGTATGGGGGGAAGCGGAAGACATCTGTATGGATAATTTTCCAGCCATTGTCACCCTGGTCAAAGTCATCACCAGAACCTGCAGAGGTGGTCTCCTCATCTAAGTTGTACCGAGCCAGGTCATTCCGAAGCACACGCATTAGAATGACAGCCACAAAACCCACCAGTAAAAACACAAGCACCATGGAGTTGATGATGGACAACCAATGGATTTCCAGTGTTCGAGGAAAGAAACCACCATCGTCACCACGGCGCCTGTCACTCCGACGCTCCACTGAAGTCTCAGACCAGCGCACGCTATAAGTGTGGGTAAGGCCTAGGAACTCGTCAGGTCGTAACCCATCCAAGCTGTGGGGCTTGACGTCCCGCACTGAAACATTGGCAAATATAATTCGGTCTCCATGGAATTCTAGGTGGAAGTCCAAATGGGTCCAGAGTCCTATCTTGTGGCTGTGTGGCAGGAAACCACTCTCCTCCATGTAGCCCACAAAGCCCCGGATTGGCAAGTCATCTACCACAAATTCAAAGTAGTACAGTTCTTCAATGGCCTGGCGCAGCTGCTCCACCTATAAAGAGCAAGTCAGGAGTTGGTCACACAAGATCTCCCCAGGCGCAGAGTTACAGCAAAGTTTCTCACCTTCAGCACTACTGATATTTTGGGGTGGATAATTCTTTTTTTTCGAGATGGAGTCTTGCTCTGTCACCCAGGCTGGAGTGCAGTGGTGCGATCTCGGCTTACTGCAACTTCTGCCTCCTGGGTTCAAGCAATTCTCCTGCCTCAGCCTCCCGAGTAGCTGGGATTACAGGCGCCCACCACCACACCCAGCTAATTTTTGTATTTTTAGTAGAGACAGGGTTTCACCATGTTGGCCAGGCTAGTCTCAAATTCCTGACCTCATGATCTGCCTGCCTCGGCCTCCCAAAGTGCTGGGATTGGTCGGGTGCGGAGGCTCATGCCTGTAATCCCAACACTTTGGGAGGCCGAGGCGGGCAGATCACGAGGTCAGGAGATCGAGACCATCCTGGCTAACACGGTGAAACCCCGTCTCTACTAAAAATACAAAAAATTAGCTGGGCGTGGTGGCGGGCGCCTGTAGTCCCAGCTACTCGGGAGGCTGAGGCAGGAGAATGGCGTGAACCCGGGAGGTGGAGCTTGCAGTGAGCCGAGATTGCGCCACGGCACTCCAGCCTGGGCGACAGAGCAAGACTCTGTCTCAAAAAAAAAAAAAAAGTGCTGGGATTACAGGAGTGAGCCACCACACCCAGCCTGGGTTGGATAATTCTTTGTCATAGTGGGGTTATCCCGTGCACTGTAGGATGTAGCTTTCCTGGCCTCTTCCCATTCTATGCTGGTAGTACCCCCCCAGCTGTAACAACAAAAAATGTCTCCAGACATTGCTAAATGTCCCTTGGGGGACAAAACTGTTCCCTGTTGACAATCACTGGGTTAGACTCTAGTATGTTGAGATTCTCCAAAAAAGAGCAAGTATGGCTTGACAGGGTTAAGGCCTAGAAAAAGGAGAGCGGTGAGGTATAAGGAGGTCTGGAGTGGACTAAGGAGAAGTACCAGGATTCACTAAAGAAAAAGCATGACAGGGAAGTTTAGGTAGAGACTACAGGAAACAGCTAAGAAACAGCCAAGAGGTAGGCATGGAAGGAAACAGAACTATGTGGGACTGATAGTTGGGACCTCATGACCAACAGAGAAGCTTGCAGTAAGAAACCCTGGGCTCTGATATCAGTTCTGCAAATCACTGTCCATGTAATCTTGAAAAAAGTAACTTCTGAGCAAGTATGTATCTTAGTCAACTGAATTAGAATAGCATCACCTAACCTGCCTGCCACACTGGGTTGTATTGTAGTTAGAATCAAATCAGACAATTTCCATAAAGGTACCCTGAACCATAAATGTAAGGCACTGTTAGTCTCTGGGAAGGAGGGCTACGTGATAGCCAATGTGGAGAGGCTGACCTGTGCAGAACTGAGCTGCATGTGGCACAGAATTCTCTTCTCCACGTTTTCCCGAAAGCGGATCTCATACAAAGACTCAGCCATTCGGTCCCCATCCAGCACTTCACCCAGGCTAAGGCTTTTGTGACGTATCTTCTCAGGGCAGCAGACTGGAAGCTGATAGTAGTGGTAAGTTTCCTGAGGGTTATGGTAGGGTCCCACTTTGTTGACATACAGAATAACAGGGTCGCCGGCCTTGTAGTGTGTCACGCCTTCCACCCCTGGCCCATGGCCTGTGCCCAGCAACAGTATCAGGATTGGCAACCACTGGCAGCTCCAACTTCGAGGGTTCCCTACGACTGTCATCCTTAAGGCAGTGGAACCTGTTTGGGGGAATCCTGAGGTTATAGAAACCAGGGAGGTTACAGAAACCCCAGGTCAGGTGCCTCGAACTGAGGTCCCCTGGCTCCACTTGCTCCCATTGGCCCCCTCCCCGCCTCACCCTACCCCACGTCTCTCTATCCCAAAGACCCCGCTCCACCTCTGCTCTCTCATCCTCCCAACCTGGGGTTCACCCCACCCGCAGCCCGTCTGGCCCGGGGCCTCTACTACGCGCCCTGGCCCGTTTCCATGGCAACGCCGCTCGGTCTCGCACCTCGGGTCCCTTCCCGCCACAGCCCCGGGGTCCTCACCGCGCGGGAAGGGCTGGCCGAGGCGGCGCCAGCGGCCTTCGCGCCCCCGTAGCTGCCTTTGGGCTCCTGCTGGGGTCTCTCCCACAGCGGCGCGGTAGCGGCGGGTTGGAGAGGACCTGCCGACCGACTTCTACGGGGTTGCCCGTTGCTGCGCCTGACAGCGGCGGCTGCGGCTACACCGCGCTGGACACCGCTCTGGCTTACTCAAGAACTCCCCGTTGCGCCTTCTCCATCTGGAGGCCCGGCCCAGCTCCGGGGACCCCGTGAGGCTCGGCTTGCCCCGCCCGTCTTCGGCGAGGCGGGGGTCCTCCCGGCGATCGGCAGCGCGGCCCAGGACACGTCAGTCTTACCACTTCCGCCCTCACCGGCGGCGACCTCAGCCTGGCGGAAAGCTCCTTGCCTGGAACGCAGAGGGCCTTCGCTGCTGCGGCCCCTGGGGACTCCTTCGCGACGGCTTCCCGGGGAGGGGGCTGAGGCCTGGCAGCGAGGACCCTGACACCCCTTCGGGAGAGGAGTGGCTGCTAGGCCGCTCGCTTGCTCCTGGAAAGATTTGGGGTTTGAGAGCTCTTGGCCAGGAGGCTCGCGCTGGCCGAGGCCCGAGAGCTGTCCCCGCGGGACGGGACTAGCGAGGGCCGGGGAGATGGAGCGCAGGCGGCGTCTGGGTTCGAAGCACTTTCCGGCTGAACCACCTGCTGCTGAGGCTGAGCCCTGAGAGGCGGTTCGTGGCCCCCAAACCGGGGAAGGGGCGAAGCTTTGGGCATCTGTCCCATGCAAGGGTCCCAACATCTGAATCTCACCTCACTCGTCTCCCACCTGTCACGAATGGCCAGCGCCAAAGTGATAAATATGTAATAGGAATGTCTTCCCGAGGCTGTGCTGGAGACTTCCCTGGCCGCACAGTGACCGTTCAGAGCCCACGATAAGCAAGCCGAAACCCGGTTTGGCGCAGAGGCGCGCAAGGAGAGAGGTCTGTCCTTTGACTCTGTGAGTTGGGCAGCCTAACATGGTTATTGTTAATTGACGGTAAAGTATCTCGAGGTCCGTTAGTCTATGTTTTTGTTCTTATTTATCACTGTGTATGTCTTTGGGCTTCTCTTCACTTTGTATGGCAGATTATTTTGAAAAAGTTTACCCTTGTGTTTGTCTCAGCTGTTTTAAAGGGGATCTGCCGTCTAGGGAGTTCCCCTTGAAAATCGGACCTTTGAGCAGTGACTTCTGTTTTGCCACCTGGGAGCAACGTGTAAGGAAGTGGACTTAAGCTTCTCTCTCCCCAGGGGAAGAAGCACAGTGGAAAAATCACAAGTGACTTCTGGCCTGAAAAGCCCTTAATTTACCTGCTTCTACAATTACTGCCCTTTCTGACCCAGTTCTTTCCCTGCAGATATAGGTGAGGTTCAAAGAAGCAGATGGTGGAGTTTTGTTAGACAATCAGTGAATTTTCTAATTAGAAAAAGAACTGAGGTCGGGCGCGGTGGGCTCACGCCTGTAATACCAGCACTTTGGGAGGCCAAGGCGGGCAGATCACCCGAGGTCGGGAGTTCGAGACCAGCCTAACATGGCGAAACCCTGTCTCTACTAAAAATACAAAAAAATTAGCTGGGCCTGGTGGCGGGCGCCTGTAACCCCAGCCACTTGTGAGGCTGAGGCAGGAGAATAGCTTGAACCTGGGAAGCGGAGGTTGCAGTGAACCGAGATCAGGCCATTGCACTCCAGCCTGGGCAACAGAGCGGGACTCCATCTCAAAAAAAAAAAAAAAAAGAAAAAGAAAAAGAAAAAAGAACAAGAACTGAGAGTGGCTTAGAAATAATCTCTAACTGACAACCACCTGGTCTCTAAAGCCAGAAACTTGGGCCTCTTTCTCTCTATCTTCCCGCTCAGATATCAGTGTCACCAAGCCCTCTCCACTTATTTCCTGAATATCTTCCAGATGCTTGCCTCCACCTCTTTGGTTCAGGCTCCATCTTCTCTCACCTAAACTACCATGAGAGCCACCTTGCTAGTCTCCTAGTCACCTTCCCCCTGGGTCATTTTTCACACTGCTACTGGAAAGTTTCTTTTTTAAAATCAGGATTCTCAGGGGAGGGGGTGCCTGGTCATCAGCATTTTTTTTTTTTTAAAAAAAGCAAGCACTGAGGCCGGGCGTAGTGGCTCACTCCTGTAATCCCAGCACTTTGGGAGGCCGAGGTGGATTACCTGAGGTCGGGAGTTCAAGACCAGCCTGTCCAACATGGTGAAACCCCGTCTCTACTAAAAATACAAAAAAAATTAGCCGGGCATGGTGGCTCATGGCTATAACCCCAGCCACTTGGGAGGCTGAGGCAGGGTAATCGCTTGAACCCAGGAGGCGGAGGTTGCAGTGAGCTGAGACTGCACCATTGCACTCCAGCCTGGGCAACAAGAACCAAACTCTGTCTCAAAAAAATAAGCACTGATTTTGATGTATACCCAGATTATATGAGCATACAAGGTAGAGTCAAAATAGCCTGGCATATGAGACTGCTCAGACCTGGATCCTAATTACTTCTCAAGGTACATTCCCCTTCTGGAACCCTATTCTGTATTCAAATAGAAATACTGAATATCATATTCTCTCAAGCCGGCAAGCCTCATATTGTTCCTCCTGCCTAAACCACCCAATCTCCTATTCCCTACTTATCTTTTTTTTTTTTTTTTTTGAGACAGAGTCTCGCTCTGTTGCCCAGGCCGGAGTGCAGTGGCGTGATCTCTGCTCACTGCAAGCTCCGCCTCCCAGGTTCACGCCATTCTCCCGCCTCAGCCTCCCGAGTAGCTGGGACTACAGGTGCCTGCCACCACGCCCGGCTAATTTTTGTTTTTGTATTTTCAGTAGAGACGGGGTTTCACAGTGTTAGCCAGGATGGTCTCGATCTCCCAACCTCATGATCTGCCCGCCTTGGCCTCCCAAAGTGCTGGGATTACAAGTGTGAGCCACCGTGCCTGGCCTTTTTTTTTTTTTTTTTTTTTTTTTGAGACAGTCTCACTGTCAACCAGGCTGGAGTGTAGTGGTGTGATCTCAGTTCACTGCAACCTCCACCTCCGAGTTCAAGCGATTCTCCTGCCCCAGCCTCCCGAGTAGCTGGGACTACAGGTGCGCACCACCATGCCCGGCTAATTTTTGTATTTTTTAGTAGAGATGGGGTTTCACCATATTGGCCAGGCTGGTCTCGAACTCCTGACTTCGTGATCCGCCCGCCTTGACCTCCCAAAGTGCTGGGATTACAGGCATGAGCCACTGCACCTGGCCTTATCCTTTTTTTTTGAACAGTGCAAATGTCACCTTCTCTATAAAGCCTTCCCTTACATCTCCTCCCAGGTTTGTTTATAGCATATCTCACTGTAGTGTTATTTTACTTCTTATGTGTCTGTCTCCCTTGCTAATTTCAAACTCCTCAGAGGAAGACTGTAATTTATTCATCTCTGTTTCCTCAGGACCTAGCAGTGTTTTTGTATATGTTAGGCAGCTTAATACATGATCTTCGCATGAACTGGTTTACCCCCTGTACATGATGAGAGACTAGAGTTGCCACCAAGTTACCTATCCGGGGGCCAGCCTGTGGGATCAGATGGGCAGGATTGGGTGGGCCCCCTTACCATGGTGTGCCCTGGAAAACTGCTCATCTTGCTAGATTGAGGATATAGAGCTGGCTTCCAACAGAACTTTGGAACCATCCTGCCAGCAAGGTCAGACTGTCAATAAATGGGAATTTATTGCATGCCTGTGGCATAATCTGTTCTTGAAGTATTCTGTTTTGGAGGATGGAAGATATGAGAATTTGGATTCTTCCCTTGTTCTTTTCTCTGCCCCTCTGTCCCCCACTGATATAGTTTGGATAGTTATCCCTGCCCAAATCTCATGTTGAAATGTAATCCCCAATGCTGTAGGTGGGTCCTGGTGGGAGGTTTTTGGATCATGGGGGCGGACCCCTCATGGTTTGGTGTAGTATTTACCCTATGAGTTCTCACAAGATCTGGTTGTTTAAAAGCGTGTGGCACCTCCACCACAACTCTCTCTCTCTCACTCCCATTCTCACCACGTGATGTCCCTGCTTCCCCTTCACCTTCCGTTTTGATTATAAGCTTCCTGAGGCCTCCCCAGAAGCTGAGCCAGCACCATGCTTCCTATACAGCCTGCAGAACGGTGAGCCAATTAAACCTCTTTTCTTTTCTTTTCTTTTTTTTTTTTTTTTTTTTTGAGACGGAGTCTTGCTCTGTCGCCAGGCTAGAGTGCAGTGGTGTGATCTTGGCTCACTGCAACCTCCCCCTCCCAGGTTCAAGTGATTCTCCTGCCTCAGCCTCCAGAGTAGCTGGGACTACAGCCACACACCACCATGCCCAGCTAATTTTTGTATTTTTAGTAGAGATGTGGTTTCACCATGTTGGCCAGGATGGTCTTGATCTCTTGACCTTGTGATCCGCCTGCCTAATTTGGCCTCCCAGAGTGTTGGGATTACAGGCGTGAGCCACTGCACCCGGCCTAAACCTCTTTTCTTTACAAACTACCCAGTCTCATGTTTTTGTTTGTTTTTGTTTTTGAGACAGGGTCTCACTTTGTCACCCAGGCTGGAGTGCAGTGGTGCCATCTTGGTTCACTGCAGCCTTCACCTCCCAGGCTCAAGTGATCCTTCTGAGTAGCTGAGACTATAGGCACATGCCACCACACCTAGCTAATATTGGTATTTTTCGTAGAAATGGGTTTTTGCTATGTTGCCCAAGCTGGTCTTGAACTCCTGGGCTCAGGTAATCCACCTGCCTTGGCTTCCCAAACTGTCAGGATTACAGGCATGAGCCACTGTACACGGCCTCAGGTATTTCTTTCTTTTTTTTTTTTGAGACAGAGTGTTGCTCTGTCACCAGGCTGGAGTGCAGTGGTGCGATCTCGGCTCACTGAAACCTCCGACTCCGTGGTTCAAGTGATTCTCCTGCCTCAGCCTCCCGAGTACCTGGGATTACAGGCATGCACCACCACGCCCAGCTAATTTTTGTGTCTTTAGTAGAGACGGGTTTCACTATGTTGGCCAGGCTGGTCTCGATCTCCTGACCTCCTGATCTGCCCGCTTCAGCCTCCCAAAATGCTGGGATTACAGGCATGAGCCACCACGCCCGGCCTGGTATTTCTTTATAGCAATGCAAGAACGGCCTAATACCCACCACACAAAATCTTTTTTGTTTTTTTGGTTTTTTTTTTTTTTTTTTTTTTTTTTTTTTTGAGACAGAGTCTCTGTCGCCCAGGCTGGAGCGCAGTGGCGCGATCTCGGCTCACTGCAAGCTCCGCCTCCCAGGTTCATGCCATTCTCCTGCCTCAGCCTCTCCAAGTGGCTGGGACTACAGGCACCCGCCACCACACCTGGCTAATTTTTTGTATTTTTAGTAGAGACAGGGTTTCACCGTGGTCTTGATCTCCTGACCTCCTGATCCGCCCTCCTCGGCCTCCCAAAGTGCTGGGATTACAAGTGTGAGCCACCGCACCCGGCCGGTTTTTTGCTTTTGAGACAGAGTCTCGCTCTGTCACCCAGGCTGGAGTGCAGTGGTGCAATCTCTGCTCACTGCAAACTCCACCTCCTGGGTTCACACCATTCTCCTGCCTCAGCCTCCCGAGTAGCTGGGACTACAGGCGCCCGCCACCATGCCTGGCTAGTTTTGTATTTTTAGTAGAGACGGGGTTTCACCATGTTAGCCAGGATGGTCTCGATCTCCTGACCTCGTGATCTGCCCACCTCAGCCTCCCAAAGTGCTGGGATTACAAGCTTGAGCCACCGTGCCTGGCCTTTTTTTTGTTCGTTTAGACAGAGTCTTGCTCTGTTGCCCAGGCTGGAGTGCAGTGGCATGATCTCGGCTCACTGCAAACTCTGCCTCCTGGCTTCAAGAGATTCTCCTGACTCTGCCTCCCAAGTACCTGGGATTACAGGCGCCTGCCACCACACCCACCTAATTTTTGTATTTTTAGTAGAGATGGGTTTCACCATGTTGGTCAGGCTGGTCTTGAACTCCTAACCTCAAGCAGTCCACCAGCCTTGGCCTCCCAAATTGCTGGGATTACAGGCGTGAGCCACTGCGCCCGGCTACAAAATCTTAAATCTAAATAACTCCTCTGTGACCACAACCTCCTGTTCTTCTCATTCTCTCAATTCCTACCAAACTTGTTTTTCCATTCCAGTGACACCTGCAACTCCTCCTTCTGCCCCTTTGGCCAGTTTCTAGCTTGTCTTCTGTGTCAGCTGCCTTGCTATAAAGAAATACCTGAGACTGGGTAATTTATAAGAAAAGAGCTTTAATTGGCTGTGGTTCTGCAGGCTGTACAGGAAGCATAATGCTGGCATCTGCTTCTGGGGAGGCCTCAGGAAGCTTACAATCATGGCAGAAGGTGAAGGGGGAGCAAGTATCTCACATGGTGGGAGCAGGAGCAAGAGGGCAAAGGGGGAGGTGCTACACACTTTTTAAAATGACCACATCTCATAACTCACGGCAAGAGGGTGGTGCTACACATTCATCAGAAACCCACCTCCATGATCCAGTCACCTCCCACCAGGCCCCTCCTCCAACATTGCAGATTACAACTGACCATGAGATTTGGGTGGGGACACAGATCCAAACCATATAATCTTCTGTTGCGGGAAGTCAGGGACCCCAAACGGAGGGACCGGCTGAAGCCATGACAGAAGAACGTGGATTGTGAAGATTTCATGGACATTTATTAGTTCCCCAAATTAATACTTTTATAATTTCTTATGCCTGTCTTTACTGCAATCTCTAAACATAAATTGTGAAGATTTCATGGACACTTATCACTTCCCCAGTCAATACCCTTGTGATTTCCTATGCCTGTCTTTACTTTAATCTCTTAATCCTGTCATCTCGTAAACCGAGGAGGATGTACATCGCCTCAGGACCCTGTGATAATTGCGTTAACTGCACAAATTGTACAGCATGTGTGTTTAAACAATATGAAATCTGGGCACCTTGAAAAAGAACAGGATAACAGCAATGTTTAGGAAACAAGAGAGATAACCTTAAACTCTGACCTCCGGTGAGCCAGGCGGAACAGAGCCATATTTCTCTTCTTTCAAAAGCAAATGGGAGAAATATCGCTGAATTCTTTTTCTCAGCAAGGAACATCCCTGGGAAAGAGAATACGTGCCTGAGGGTGGGTCTCTGAAATGGCCCCTTTGGGTGTGGCTGTCTTCTATGGTTGAAACTGTAGGGATGAAATAAACCCCAGTCTCCCATAGCACTCCCAGGCTTATTAGGAAGAGGAAATTCCCACCTAATAAATTGTGGTCAGACAGGTTGCTCTCAAAACCCTGTCTCCTGATAAGATGTTATCAATGACAATGGTGCCCGAAACTTCATTAGCAATTTTAATTTTGCCCCGGTCCTGTGATCTCGCCCTGCCTCCCTTTGCCTTTGATATTCTATTACCTTGTGAAGTACGTGATCTTTGTGACCCACACCCTATTCGTACACTCCCTCCCCTTTTGAAAGTCCCTAATAAAAACTTGCTGGTTTTGCGGCTTGTGGGGCATTACAGAATCTACCGACATGTGATGTCTCCCCCGGATGCCCAGCTTTAAAATTTCTCTCTTTTGTACTCTGTCCTTTTATTTCTCAAACCGGCCGACGCTTAGGGAAAATAGAAAAGAACCTACGTGACTATCGGGGCAGGTTCCCCGATAATCTTCCTTATCCATGCAGCTTAGATTCCGCATTCCATTTCAGCCACATTCTTGCGTATGTTCTTGATGCCCCTCTCCCATTGTTTCATTGCAGCTGCCAAGCAAAACCCTAAATCATCCATCAACATTCAAGTACCTATAACCAAGATGCTAAAAGAATCACAACACTATATGTGTCTATGGACAAGTTGTTCTCCAACCTCAGTTGGGCCCTCAATGCTGCTCATTTTCTAAACCAGCTCTTTTCTATTCTCCACACTTCATCTGTCTTCTCATCATTTGACCTCCCTATATAGCTTAGTGGGAGATGCAAGCAACAGAAGCAATTACAGACACTATGTTAGGTGCTGTGACAGACAAAGTATTGGGCCTGTGGGAGCACCCAGGAAGAAGGAATATCTAACTGAAGCTTGAGCAGTCAGTTAAGCCTTCTTTAAAACAGCTCCACTGGGCGCGGTGGCTCACGGCTATAATCCCAGCACTTTGGGAGGCTGAGGCAGGCAGATCACCTGAGGTTGGGAGTTCGAGACCAGCCTGACCAACATGGAGAAACCCCGTCTCTACTAAAAAATACAAAATTAGCCAGGCGTGGTGGTGCATGCCTGTAATCCCAGCTACTCGGGAGGCTGAGGCGGGAGAATGGCTTGAACCCGGGAGGTGGAGGTTGCGGTGAGCCGAGATTGTGCCATTGCACTCCAGCCTGGGCAACAAGAGCGAAACTCCATCTCAAAACAAAAACAGACGGGGCGCGGTGGCTCATGCCTATAATCCCAGCACTTTGGGAGGCCAAGGTGGGCAGATCACCTGAGGTCGGGAGTTCAAGACCTGCCTGACCAACATGGAGAAACCCTGTCTCTACTAAACATACAAAATAGCTAGGCATGGTGGTGCATGTCTGTAATCCTAGCTACTAGGGAGGGTGAGGCAGGAGAATCGCTTGAACCCAGGAGTTGGAGGTTGTAGTGAGCCAAGATCGTGCCATTGCACTCCAGCCTGGGCAACAAGAGCGAAACTCCATCTCAAAAAAAAAAAAAGAGAAAAAAGGTCCTATGCCAAGTTCTCAAGGAAGATTTGGAGTTTGCCACAAATACAGAAAAGCAGTTGTGGATCATTACGTGTGTGTTAAAAAATAAAATTGGGGAGGTAAGCAGGATCAGACTTAAAGCTGTGTGAAAGAATTTGGATGGACTTGATCCTAAAGAGAATGGGGAGACACTGAATTGTTTCAAATGGAAATAAAATCAGATTTATGCTTTGGACTTGGGATGGACAGACTGGAGTGGAGCAGAAGGCTGGCGGGGGCCATCTGTTCGATGATGGAGGCGTGAACTAAGGGATTAGCAGTGGGCTCAGAAAACCATGAGAATATTATCAAAGAGAGAATCAGGAGGTATAAGAGATAGGATTTCGTGATAGATTGAATGTAGGGACTGAGGCAGGAGGGTCTGGGATGACATATGAGTGTCTAAATTAAGGGTGATTAGTGTACAACTCACAGAAAAGTCTGAGAGAAGAAAATAAGTTCAATTATTGATATGGTTAAGTTTGAGATGGATATGGTAAGTTCCATGCCTGGGGCAGACATGGCCACGTAATACTGGCTGCTCTATCTAAACTCCAGATATATGGGATGGAGATGAAATTAGGAGCAGTCAGCATAAATGTAGTATTGACACCATGGGTATGGACAAGATTAAGGGAGGATGTGAAGGTTTGAGAAAATAAAGCTTGTGATGTAACACTTGGGATATGATTAAGGGATGGATAGAGAAAGATATAACTTCAGTGAAGGCTGAGGAGTGACCAGAAGGATGTGGAGGAAAACTAGAGAGTTCTGGCTCATAGAAGATAAGGATGCATTTCAAGGTTAGATTTTCCTAGAACATGTTCAATACCTTACAATGGTAATACTTTCACACTCGTATTTCTCATGCTGCATTATAAGCTTTAGGATCATAGTGTCTCTATTGGCCTTATTGAACTAAGGGGGCTGCAATGGGCTCGGAAAGCCTTGAGTGTATCATTAAAGAGATAAGTAGGAGATAGCAGAGACAGGATTTGATGAAAGATTGTATGTAGGGATTGAGGAAGGAGGAAGGGTCTGGCATGACATTTGGGTGACATTTTATCCAAGTATTCAGCACAGTGTCTGGTACTTAGTAGGTACTCATATATCAATGAAAGGTCTGATCTTTAGGAGTTTCACCAGACTGTGGAAGGTGCCTCTGGGAATGAGTACGTTTCCAACTGCACTTCATTCTCTTTTTTTTTTTTTTTTTTTTTGAGACGGAGTCTCGCTCTGTCGCCCAGGCTGGAGTGCAGTGGCGCAATCTCGGCTCACTGCAAGCTCTGCCTCCCAGGTTCACGCCATTCTCCTGCCTCAGCCTCCCAAGTAGCTGGGACTACAGGCGCCCGCCACTACGCCCGGCTAATTTTTTGTATTTTTAGTAGAGACGGGGTTTCACCGTTTTAGCCGGGATGGTCTCGATCTCCTGACCTCGTGATCCGCCCGCCTCGGCCTCCCAAAGTGCTGGGATTACAGGCGTGAGCCACCGCGCCCGGCCGCACTTCATTCTCAAGTTTTGTGGCCAACGATGGATAGGAGGTGGATTGTGATGTATTCGGAACATGGGACCTTGAGGAGTTCCGTAACCAAAAGGAGAAAGTAACAACAGCCAGTGGAGACAAAAAGAACTGCTTCTCTTTCTTTCCCCCTCCAAGTTCCTAGTGGAGGGCTGAGTCCAGCATCCCAGACTCGTGTGACTATATAGGCAAGCATTTGGGGACCTACTTCACTTTGATACCCTAGCCTTCAGCAGCTCAAGGTGTTGGCCTTTGGATAGGAGGCTTCCAAGTAGTAAAGCTCCCTGCTCTCAGCAAGCCCAACACCATGGGGAAGGGAGATGTCTTAGAGGCAGCACCAACCACCACAGCCTACCATTCCCTCATGGATGAATATGGTTATGAGGTGGGCAAGGCCATTGGCCATGGCTCCTATGGGTCGGTATATGAGGCTTTCTACACAAAGCAGAAGGTTATGGTGGCAGTCAAGATCATCTCAAAGAAGAAGGCCTCTGATGACTATCTTAACAAGTTCCTGCCCCGTGAAATACAGGTTGGAAAGGGGGCTGGAAGAGGGAACTGGAGCTTGGTACTAAGCTGCTTGAGGTTTCTCAGAAGGGGTATGGCCAGGAGGGGTGGGGCCAGAAACCCCTAAACCAGAACTGAAATGTCTCACTAAGCAGCTAGGAAACTTTATGTAAGTTAAACCTCTTTCCCATCCACCCACTCACCTTCAGTCCCCAAAAAGTAAAGGCACAAAACATAGCATTTGCCCACAGGCCACCAGTTCTCTGGGGTTGAGGGGCTGATCCTATTGCAAAGTCCTAAGTCAGTAGCTGAGGGTAGGAGACGGCTGGGAGTGCAGTCAGGGTTCTCCCTTCCCAGGTTTGATGGGTCCTTCTTCTGGGGTCAGGTAATGAAAGTCTTGCGGCACAAGTACCTCATCAACTTCTATCGGGCCATTGAGAGCACATCTCGAGTATACATCATTCTGGAACTGGCTCAGGGTGGTGATGTCCTTGAATGGATCCAGCGCTACGGGGCCTGCTCTGAGCCCCTTGCTGGCAAGTGGTTCTCCCAGCTGACCCTGGGCATTGCCTACCTGCACAGCAAGAGCATCGTGCACCGGTGAGGGCGCTGCCACCCAGACTGGGGCCTTTGCCCTCAAGGGGGTTTTATGCACATCTCCCATTTCCTGTCCTTTTTTCCTCTTTCGAACTCCCTCCTCAATATCTAGCCTATTCATGCACTCTATTTTAATCATATGGTCAAGGATACTGATAAAGTACTCACTGTATGCAAAGCATTTTATGAAATACAATGGTGAGCTCCCGGTGGTCCTCAGATACCATCCTCTGTCTCTCTCCCTACTTTGGGCTCTGCTCACAACTCCATGGCTTTCCTTCCTCTCTACCTTGTGCCCTCATAATGGTTTCTACCTCCCACTTCCTCTGTCCTCATCTTTACCCTCTGACCCCTGGCCCTTCAGCTCCCAGTCTAAAACTAAGCCCTCTCCCCAGCCTGATGCCCAGCCTTTCTGCTGCTGGTAGGGACTTAAAGTTGGAGAACCTGTTGCTGGACAAGTGGGAGAATGTGAAGATATCAGACTTTGGCTTTGCCAAGATGGTGCCTTCTAACCAGCCTGTGGGTTGTAGCCCTTCTTACCGCCAAGTGAACTGCTTTTCCCACCTCAGCCAGACTTACTGTGGCAGCTTTGCTTACGCTTGCCCAGAGATCTTACGAGGCTTGCCCTACAACCCTTTCCTGTCTGACACCTGGAGCATGGGCGTCATCCTTTACACTCTAGTGGTCGCCCATCTGCCCTTTGATGACACCAATCTCAAAAAGCTGCTAAGAGAGACTCAGAAGGAGGTCACTTTCCCAGCTAACCATACCATCTCCCAGGAGTGCAAGGTACTGGCTACCTAAGGAGGGCTGAGCCTTCAGGGATGACCCACAGGGAGGGGTGAATATCCAACCTAGGTCACCCAACCTAGGCCTCCCAACCCTGGGGAAAGGCTCTTCCCACACCAGAGCCATCTCACACACTAGCTCCTGTCCTATAATAAACAGTATGGAAGGCATAAAGGGCCAACCACTAGGCTCCAAACCTTGCCTGATACACAGGTTCCAGCTTCTTTCTCTTTAGGCCAGAAGGGAAATATGGAAAGCATTCCTCCCAAGGAACTCTTCCCTTCCCCTCCAGGGAGTTAACTGCCTGGGTCTCCAAGATAAAATCAGAGCCACACCCACTTTGACCAGAGTGGTATGATGGGCTATCCTGCTTCTTTCTTAGGTCCAACTGCTCATTGCCTGTGTGGCACAATGGAGAAAAACTCAGGCAAGACCTCTCTCTCCCCTGCTCTAGAACCTGATCCTCCAGATGCTACGCCAAGCCACTAAGCGTGCCACCATTCTGGACATCATCAAGGATTCCTGGGTGCTCAAGTTCCAGCCTGAGCAACCCACCCATGAGATCAGGCTGCTTGAGGCCATGTGCCAGCTCCACAACACCACTAAACAGCACCAATCCTTGCAAATTACGACCTGAAAATGGCTGAGGGAGGGGGCTAAGAGAGGAGCAAAGCAGGAGGTCTTGGGCTAAAAATCTTTTTTACCAAAAATAAATCTAAGTCTGATTTAGTTTCATCAACTAGGGTCAAAGACATTCTTTTCTCAAGGCAATCTTATAGCAGGGAACACTGCTGGAGTAAGAGATAGATTTCTGCCCAGAGCCTGTAACCAATAATCTTGACACTGTGTTAAATCAATAGTGTAATTCATGATGTGGCTCTTAGGGGATGGGGTGCTCAGATTAACGCTCTATTTTGGGAAGCTTTATTATTCAACTCAACATATGCTCATTATTTTACATCTTTGTGCTGTTTAAATGCTCAAGTAGTGGGGTAAAAGCCCTGGTTCTTCCACTTTGATTATGGCTCTGCCTGTCTATAGTCCAAAGTAATGGCACTGTTAGTTCTTTTAGAAATGGGTATTCGAGCTGGGTGCGGTGGCTCACGCCTGTAATCCCAACACTTTGGGGGGCCGAGGCGGGCAGATCACTTGAGGTCAAGAGTTCGAGACCAGACTGGCCAACATGGCAAAACCCTGTCTCTATGAAAAATACAAAAATTAGCCGGGCATAGTGGCACCTGGCTGAGGCAGGAGAATCACTTGAACCCGGGATGCAGGGGTTGCAGTGAGCCGAGATCGCGCCACTGCACTCCAGCCTGGGCGACAAAGTGAGACTCTGTCTCAAAAAAAAAAAAAAAAGAAAAGAAAAGAAATGGGTATTCGGGTGTATGAAGTACCTTGGTTCCTTTTCCCTCTTCCAGTGTCACCTTAACCACTACTGACACAATAGCAGGGAGACAAGGCTTCTCACACAATTGTTCCCAGACACAGAATTCAAACCAAGCCTTCTAGTAGTGAAAGCTACTAACTATGGGTTCTGGATAAAGGAAAGCTACTTGCTCCTTCCATTCCAAGTAGCAAAGCTACTTGCTCCTTCCATTCCAAGTAGCAAAGCTACTTGCTCCTTCCATTCCAAGTAGCAAAGCTACTTGCTCCTTCCATTCCAAGTAGCAAAGCTACTTGCTCCTTCCATTCCAAGTAGCAAAGCTACTTGCTCCTTCCATTCCAAGTAGCAAAGCTACTTGCTCCTTCCATGGTATTCTCCCTCCTTGTCCTTGAAAATGGGCTTTGTAAAAGAAATTTGGGGCTGTCTTGGCAGAGGCACGACCAGGGGAAAGCAATGAGGGAAGACTCAGAGATGCCTCCACGTGGTTCTAAGTGGTAGATGGCAGTTTCTTCAGCCTCAGCAACTAGGCAACTCTAGGACAAACCGGCTTGAAAGATGAAATAATGTTTGCCTGGAACATAGGTTGAGATACTAGGAATGCCCATTTGTTCTATGTTCCAACCCCCCTTCTTTGCTCTAATTATTCATTGCTTGAAATAAGGCTCCAAGGGCCAGGGGAACAGCTTCAGGGGTAGACAAGGCAGTATAGACACTAGGATTCCATCTGCCCAGTTTTATTGGGAACAAGGGCATTATAACTGCTATCAAAGAGAAGGGAGCCCAAGGGCTCCTTCTGTAGCAAGATCCTTCTTCAGAGTTGAGCCAGGGCTGGGAGGGTAAGAGACCCTTTTTTCAGGCAGGGTCACACTACCACCCTCAGCATGACTTCCCCAAAAAGTTATCCTCCTTTAGCTCAGCACTTGGCACTTAAGGAAGAAAGGACCAACAAAGGTAGCATTAGGAAGACAAGCCCAGATTTATCAGGATACCCACTCAGCCAACTGCTTTAGTGCTTCTTCATCTTCATCCACTTTGGGAGCTTTGAGGACAAAGATACCCAGAGAAAAGAAAGGAGAAGCAGTAAGGTCTCAGCAACTCCAACCATCCCCTGCTATGACATTCAGAGCCTGCTGAATTCTGTCTCCCCAGCAAAAAACCTAAAGGTATGGTCCTTCTGCTTGCTAGGCTGCTGTTCAATCCCACAGCACCTTTGTGCAAATTAGAAAAATGGTGCCTCTTGCTCCTGCCATTTGCAGCCCTAAACCAGGGTACACGGCTTGTTGAGTGAAGCACAGGCTAGGTGGGTGCCTATATGCAGTCAACAACCTGCACAACTGCAGCAGCAGCCCTTTCTGTGTGGCTCCTTTGAGGCAGGATGGATGAGGAATAATCTTTCCCCATATCTCTCCCACCCTCTTAAGTCCTCAAGACAACAGAACAACCCTGCATACCTGGCCCTGCCGGCAGATGAGTAGAAGGTACACTAGGCAATTTGACTGAGGGTTCTTCTTCCTTGTCGCCCACATTTAACAACTCCTGGGCCAATTCCTCCTGCTCCAGCTCCTCTAGCTCCTCCAGCAGTTCATCCTGGATAGGGAAGACAAGACCACTTTAGATGAAGAAAAAAACTTCTACCTCCAAAAACATACCACTTTTGAAGTTCCCTCCCAAACTTGTCCCAAGAGCCTCTCTTGGGTGTTCCTTCTGGCCAGTCCCATACTTTCTGCAATATTCCCTGACCCTTCACCCCCAATCACCTCATCCACATCATCTCCAAAGCCCATAGGCCGAGAAATGGCATCTGAGATCTGCTGGGCCACCTCCTGTTGTTCCGTGATGTCAGTCATCAGTTCATCTACCTTGTCAATGTCCCTGAGAATGAGATAGATAGCTAAGAAATCACGCAACAATGCCCCCTTGACTTTCTCATCTCACATGAATGAAACCCCTCCTGCCTTGCAGGGTCACACTGATAAGCCCATAACTATCAATCAGAAGAGATCCCTGGAAAATTGCAAAGATGCAAGTTGTGATCCCAGCACTTTGGGAGGCCAAGGCAGGTGGATCACCTGAGGTCAGGAGTTCAAGACCAGCCTGGCCAAAATGGCAAAACTCCATCTCTACTAAAAATACAAAAATGAGCTGGGCACAGTAGTGCACACCTGTAATCCCAGCTACTCAGGAGGCTGAGGCAGGAGAATCACTTGAACCCAGGAGGCGGAGGTTGCAGTGAGCCGAGATTGTGCCACTGCACTCCAGCCTGGGCGACAGAGCAAGACTCCATCTCAAAAAACAAAACAAAACAAAACAAAAAAAGAATTAGAGAAGGCATCTTTCCTCCCTAGAATGCCCCAGGCAGCGAAAGAATTTTATAGGAAGCAAGGGGCAGATGGATGTCTAGCCATCACAAGTATCTATACTGCAAATTCACATTCTGAGAGGCTTTAAAGTTTAAAGTGTGATAGCAAGCCACTCTTCCCAGTGCCTGGGTCCCCTCCACCCCTCCCCCCGTACCCACATGTCCTGGTAGGCCTTCTTCATGCTTTGGGCAGCAAGCTCCATGGTACGAAGGACTTCTGCATTGGTAGTGGCATTCTCAATGGCCTCACGCTGAAACTCCAGGGTGGATAATGTCCCGTCAGTTTGTGCCAGCTGCTGTTCGAATCTTTTCTTCCTCCGCAAAGCCTGTAGGGCAGCTGACCCAGCCCATACCCTGAACATCAAGAGTCAGAAGCACCTGCTTCCCATCTGGGCCCTCCCCATAGGCTTGTTTCCCTCATTACCTCTCTTATTCTTGGTCCCATACTTCTTGGCTGTTTGTAGCTCCTGTTGAATCTTCTGCTCCAAAAATTCCTGTTTCTTGATCAGTATCTTCTCTGTCTCCTTCAGTTTCTGTATTGCTTCTTCAGGGGTTGGCCCTTTCTCCTTCTTCCCTGAGGAGTCCAGTGGAGTAGGCCCAAATTTTGTGAAGGAAAAATATTAGCCACCAATCATTGAATACATAGTATGTGCTAGAGACCTGACTGTGTTATTGCTAATCCCCAAATCTCTACAATGAACGTGCTATCTCTTCACTTTAAAAATGTGAAAACAACCACAAAGATGTTAAAAATCACAACTAATAAGAGATTGTGCAGGAATCAAGATGTGGCAGTATGAGTTCTAAAACCAATATTCTTTTTACTATTCCTAGCTGCCTTTCTTTTTTTTTCTTTAGGCAGAGTTTCAGTCTTGTTGCCCAGGCTGGAACGCAATGGCGTGATCTCAGCTCACCTCAACCTCCGCCTCCTGGGTTCAAGCAATTCTCCTGCCTCAGCCTCCCAAATAGCTGGGATCACAGGCATGTGCCACCATGCCTGGCTAATTTTTTGTGTTTTTAGTACAGACAGGCTTTCTCCATGTTGGTCAGGCTGGTGTCGAACTCCCAACCTCAGGTGATCTGCCCGCCTCGGCCTCCCAAAGTGTTTTGATTACAGGCATGAGCCACCGCGCCAGGACTTCTTTTTTTGAGACAGAGTCTCGCTCTGTTGCCCAGGCCAGAGTGCAGTGGCATGATCTCAGCTCATTGCAACCTCCGTCTCCCGGGTTCAAGTGATTCTCCTGCCTCAGCCTCCCTGAGTAGCTGGGACTACAGGCACACACCATCATGCCCACCTAATTTTTTTTTTTTTTTTTGAGAATGGAGTCTCCCTCTGTCACCAAGGCTGGAGTGCATTGGTGCAATCTTGGCTCACTACAACCTCCGCCTCCTGGGTTCAAGCGATTCACCTGTCTCAGCCTCCCCCAGTAGCTGGGACTACAGGCGCGTGCCACCACAACCAGCTAATTTTTTTTTTTTTTTTGTATTTTTAGTAGAGACAAGGTTTCACCATGTTGTCCAGGCTGGTCTCGAACTCTTGACCTCAGGTGATCCACCCACCTCGGCCTCCCAAAGTGCTGGGATTACAGGCGTGAGCCACCGCGCCCGGCCAATTTTTATATTTTTAGTAGAGACGGGGTTTCACCATATTGGCCAGGCTGATCTCAAACTCCTGACCTCATGATCCACCCACGTCGGCCTCCCAAAGTGTTGCGAGTACAGGCGTGAGCCCCCGCGCCGGGCTAAGAAGGCAGTCTTTCTTCTTCACCTTAGATCCCTCTTGCCCAGCACAAAGTATTATAGAACAAGGTTTTGAAAATGGCTGAAGACAGCAGGAAACTCGTCTTCAAGCCTGAACAGTGGGAGTCAGCACGATCGCCACGCCCTCAACTCAAGTCCCCTCCCAGATCTTGAGTTCTTCCCTCTGAGAGTGGGGGAGGACGGCGGACGGGAACAAGGCGCCCCGACATGGTGTGCCTTTTGGCACCGGCGATGAGCCTTGCTCCGCCATCGGCCGCCGGGGTTTTCCAGTCAGCCTGTCTCCTGATTCTCTTCCCCTGCCCGGCGCAGCGGTCCGGCCGAATCTCGCCGGGGTCTCCTCTTCCCCTGCACCAGCCAGCGCCTCCTGGCTGGCCAGTCCCACCCTGGCTCACCCTTCCCGAAGAGCCTGCCGAGACCACTCATCGCGAGCTCGCCTCTCCCGCCTCCGCCCCTCAGCGTCCTCCAGACTTCCGCCTTGCTCCTGGGAGGGTGATGTCTCATCACACAGGGACCAGCCTTGCCCAATCCGTCCTCAGGGCGCCGCCGCGACATCAAGAGGCGCAAACGAGACCACCGGTGTCACGTGACCCAAGCCACCAGCCCCAGACCGACGCGCTCCTCTTAAAGCTGCCACATCATTTTCTATTAAGTAAAAAGACAGTTCTATCTCCACCTGAGTACGTGCTTGTTCTCCGGAAGGAAATGTGCAGTGTGATGGCACCTCAGTGTATGGGGTCAGTGGGAAAACTTCATGCTCTTTACAGAGCTCAGGAAAGTGGGGTGGTATAGGTTCAAGCACTTGGGGTTGCCCTAAGTTTAGATGGCAAACCTGATGCAGTCTAATGTCTCACATTCTGGTCTCTGCACCTCAGGACAACCAACCCCATTTCACAGGCTAGAAAAATAGAAACTCCCCACACTGTGGGTAAAATCTCTTCTGTCACACACAGATGAACTTTAATAAATTACAAATGCACCTGAAAATGCCTTCTTGATTTCCTTTCAGTTTAGGCCTCAAATGGGCTCTCCTCAAGGCTGGACCTCAAAGGCCCAGTTTGGGCCTTCGCAAATGTCTCTAACCCTTGACTTAGAGTTTGAAGATTCATTCCATTCTGGATGTGAATGCAGGTAACACCTAGAAAGATAAGAAGTCACATTTCATTAAGCTTTCAGGGTTCTCCATTATTACTCTGACCTTTGTGAGTGCCACCTATAGGGCAAACTATCCAACCTGTATGTATCTACCTAATCCCTCCTAGGGACCCCAAATGGCTGTTCCTCATCACTCAGTACCCAGTTTGCTGACGTCTACAATATTCCGCCTCTCATCATCAAAGAAGATCATCTGGGAGAAAGGAATTCCAGTCTTCTGCTGCAACCTATTCAAGACAGGGCAGGAGTAACCAAGCTAGTATCTTGGTTTCCCAGGCCTCTCTGATACTTTCTCACCCTGCTCCTCCCTTATCTCCGCATACCTCTCAAAGTGTGTGATCTTGCTGCCTGGATAGATTTCCCGATGAACAAAGTACCTGAAGAGGTCAAAGAGCTCCAGTAGCTGGTTGGCCCCTTCTATCTCACTTGTCCTGCAAAACGGTGTAAAAGATGGGATTAGCAAAGTGAAGGGCCAGGGCTACGTTAACTTATTAAGCAAAGTTAGTAAGTATAACCAGGGAAATCAACTTGCTGTTTTTCCGGGATGGACAGGCATCCTCAGCCTCTGTTTAACTCCATTGCCTTCCTATTTGACACAATTGGTGCTGGGCCAATGTTTTAGCTTTTGTTTTGAGACAGGGTCTAGCTCTGTTGCCCAGACTGGAGTGCAGCGACCCAATCACGGCTCACTGTGGTCACGACCTCCTGGGCTCAAGTGATCCTCCCACCTCAGCCTCCCAAGTAGCTGGGACTACAGGTGCACGCCACTACAATTTTTTTTTTTTTTTTGGTAGAGATAGGGTCTCCCTCTATTGCCTAGGCTGGTCTCAAATTCCTGGGCTCAAGTGATCCTCCCACCTAGGCCTCCCAAAATGCTAAGATTACAGGTGTGAGTCACTGTGTCTGGCCCCACTTTTTTTTTTTTTTTTTTTTTTGAGACATTGTCTCACTCTGTCACCCAGGCTGAAGTGCAGTGGCTCCATCTCAGCTCACTGCAACCTCCGCCTCCCGGGTTCAAGCGATTCTCCTGCCTCAGCCTCCCGAGTAGCTAGGATTACAGGTGCGTGCCACCACGCCCTGCTAATTTTTGTATTTTTAGTAGAGACGGGGTTTCACCATGTTGATCAGGCTGGTCTTGAACTCCCGATCTCGTGATCCACCCGCCTCGGCCTCCCAAAGTGCTGGGATTACAGACGTGAGCCACCGCGCCCGCCTGCTGGCCCCACTTTTTAATAGTTAAAAGGCACAGGAGAGCGTTCAAGGGAAAAAATATGTAAATACTTGGAAACTTGCACCGCCCCTATTTTTGTAGACCAGGGGTTTCACTGTCTCTTGCATGCACCCTTCAGCATTACACTGTCAGTTGTCAGTCGCTCTTCTTACCTTGAAGCAGCCGCACCGGGCACCCCAAGGCTCTGCAATCGTTTTAGGACCTCAGGCACCTCTGGGTACAGTCGGACGTCTTGGCCCCGCCTATCTCGTACAGTTCCATCACTGGAGAGGGCAAGAGTGCGCTCAGCCCTGGCTGGGTCCTATCTCGCCCCCAGTCTTCCCTGTCCCTACCTCACCTGCTCTTATGGAACGGAGGGTCTACGTGCGTGTCGACCCAGAAAGGCCAGAGAGTGTAATCTGCGAGAGGAAGGAGAGGGAAGGTTCAGCCTGGGGCGGGAGATGCAGGGATTCGGGAGCTGCTGTTAGGGATGTGGAAAAGGAGAGCACCTTACGAAATTCTCCCCTTCCCGTCCCTCACCCAAATCAAAGACTGCCAGCTTCGGTAGCCGCGCCATGACCCGCACCGCAGGCTGCGCGCAGCAGAGGTGGGGCTTCACCCGGGGCCTTAGAGAGTGCGGAACCTCCGGCAGCTAAGGCAGCCACCCTGCCTGCCATAGACAAATGGCGACTAGAGCGTCGCCACTCGGGGCGTCATCAGCCTGGAGATGGCGCAAGAGTGCCATCTGATGCTGGGCGGGGAAGAGGATTGCAGCGAGGTACCAACACGACCACACATGCAACCACAGCAGTCAAGTCTTTCTAAGGCATTGGCCACGGGCATCCTCCCTACTTCTCCACTCCACCCAGCCTTGCCCGATTCTATTATACTAAGAAGCCAGGGAAGAAGGAAAGCCTTTTCTTCTAGCACCTGCCTCTTCTTGAGACCCAAGTGATACATCACAGCTTGTCACTCAATCTTTCTGCATTATCAACCTCCTGACAGTGTAGAACCCAAAGTCCTCAGTAATATTCCAGCCATAGAGTACAGTGTCAGCCAAACCCTTGAAGGCGTTCTCCAACCAGGCCTAAATGTCCAGTACAGCCACAGTCAAGAGAGAATTCACTCTCCGAAGGTTTCACCATCCATGTCAGCACTACACTGGTAGATGTATAACAACCAGTTTGTGGGGAGGAACTGATCTGTAGTGTTTGCTAGTTTCTGTAAATAATCCTACCATGGCCAATTTCAAGCTACCAACATGAAGTCACTTAATAGAGTTGGAAAAAGGTGCCAATAATTGGCTCTCATTAGCCACTAGGAACTGGTTCCAACACACCACTAAGTAGGTTTTCCTAGAGTCTGATAATCCCCGTAAGAGCACCATTCCTTCCACTGTCCGATTCCTTCAGCCTGCTATAACTGAGTGAGCATTAGGTCCATTTTTATTTCAGTCAACTTGTGCAACAGAAGAAAGATTCCAGGAGGCCAGGAAATATTTTATTGACAACCAGGGACACAGTCATAAGAGAGGGAAGCACACAGGACTGCAAACTAACACCCAGTAGCCAGCAAGGGCCCTCTGGGCCAGGAATACTGAATCCTGGGATCCTCACAGTCTCCCACCAGTAGACATACATTACTGGGCATCCAGGGGAGGGGGCAGTGGCTATGGTGTCCCAGAGAGTGAGAGGATATATGATGCCTCATTATGAGCGACAGGGTAAAGAGGTAAAATGGAGGGTCCATCACTGCCTAAGACCACCTCCTCCTCTCAGAGCCAACACCAGGTGAAGGACTGAACCACCTAAAATCTTGTAATCAGCTGCTGTCTTCTCATCATTCCTGCAGGAAAAGGAAGCCAGAAAAAAAAGAAAAAGAAGACTTAGGAGTTTTTTGTTGTTGTTGTTGTTGTTGTTGTTGTTGTTTTTGACAGAGTCTCGCTCTGTCATCTAGGCTGGAGTACAGTGGCACGATCTCAGCTCACTGCAACTTCCACCTCCTGGGTTCAAGCAATTCTCCTGCTTCAGCCTCCTGAGTAGCTGGGATTACAAGCGCCCACCACCACGCCCAGCTAATTTTTGTATTTTTAGTAAAGATGGGGTTTCACCATGTTGGCCAGGCTGGTCTCGAACTCCTGACCTCAGGTGATCCACCCCCTTCAGCCTCCCAAAGTGCTGGGATTACAGGCGTGAGCCACTGCGCCCGGCCAGAACAGGAGTTCTTGAGTTTCCTGGATCTCTTTGGGGGTCTGTGAACTTGAATGAGAAAAAAAATCCCATCTTTATTTTTACTAACCCCCAACTGAAATTTAACATTTCTTCTAACTTTAAACATAGCCCAAAAACCACAGTAGTATTAGCAATATAGGTAACTTGTTAACAATAGCAATTAACTATTTTCTATCATGATCATTTATAGGTATCTTGAAAATATTTCAAAATTATGGTCATATTAGACCTACCATTAGATCTTATGCATTAATAAAAAAGTACATATATTACTATATCACAAATTTGTTTTAGTATTTTAATAACTATTTCAATATAATTAGTTTTCCTTTAATTCTATATATTTTGTTTTATGCCTGAAAAAATCTTATTCTGAGAAGGGGCTTAGAGGCTTCACCAGATTGCCAAAGAGTCTTAGGCACCAAAAACAAGAGGCACCCCTGATCCACCTCAGTACGTGCCCCCTCTCCTCTTCTCATCTTCACATAAGATCGCCATGCTGTCATTCTCACTCCAAACTCACATCTGCTTGCCACTGTAGATGAGCCTCTGCTGTTGTGGGGGGATTCCCTCTTTCTCCTCCACACGCTCCTTGATTCGCTCCACCTTTAGAGAGACAAGTAGTCAGGGGCTGCTGCTTAGGGGTAGGACCATGGAAACGGAAAGAACAAGGGCTATGCAGACAGCATGAGAGCAAAAGGACCAAGTTCATAAGCATATGCAAACAAATACACATGGCAAGAAGTACATGAAGAGGAGTTGGGCATGCATCACCTTGTCTGTAGGTTCAATGTCAATCTCAATCTCCTTTCCGGTCAGCGTCTGAAACAGGCAATGGTTTCATGAGTCCTTAAAGCCCAATGTACAATTTGTCTTCTAGGTAAAACATCCTATGTTGGTCTTTGGGATCTACTGCCTTCTAAAAGATGCATATTCTCAGCAGCACTGCTTTGGAGAATGAGAAGGCTTTGAACATACCTTCATTTATCAAATATTTTTAGGCTGTAAACAACTTTGATAGGGCAAGATTCTTTGAACCATCTGATCCTCTTAATTCCATGAGTCATCTTCCAACATCAGTCCCCCAAAATCAGTGAGAATATTGGCATTATTTTAGATGATACGGCAATGAAAGGATTTATTTATTTATTTTTGAGATGGAGTTTCGCTCTTGTTGACCAGGCTGGAGTGCAATGGCACAATCTCGGCTCACTGCAACTTCTGCCTCCCAGGTTCAACCAATTCTCCTGCCTCAGCCTCCCACGTAGCTGGGATTACAGGCATGCGCTACCAGGCCTGGCTAATTTTGTATTTTTAGTAGAGACAGGATTTCTCCATGTTGATCAGGCTGGTCTCAAACTCCCAACCTCAGGTGATCCACCCGCCTCAGCCTCCCAAAGTGCTGGGATTACAGGGGTAAGCCACTGCACCCAGCCTGAAAGATATCTTAAAAAAAGTCAGAAGGACCTTGTTCTAAATATCAATGCTAGAAATTAATATTCAGATAATTTGAAGAATTCTCAAGGACACCAGAAATCATCTCAGCAGTTTTTTAAAAAATGCTAGAATTGGCTGGGCATGGTGGCTCACACCTGCAATCCCAACACCTTGGGAGACTGAGGCGGGAGGATCACTTGAGCCTAGGAGTTCCAGACCAGCCTGGACAACACAGCGAAACCCTGTCTCAACCAAAACAACAACAACAACAACAACAACAACAAAAATTAGCTGAGTACAGTGGTGCATGCCTGTAGTACCAGCTATTTGGGAGGCTGAGGTGGGAGGATCACTTGAGTCCAGAAATTAGAGGCAGCAGCAGTAAGCCACGATTGTGCCACTGTACTCCAGCCTGGGCAACACCCTCGCAAAAAAAAAAAAAAAAAAAAAAAAAAGAAAGTAAAAGAAAAAAGAGAAAAGAAGACAAGAAGTCAACATTACATCTCCCATATCTTTCCAGACTTCTACCTAAATCCTAAATTGCAGCTCTTGTCTTCTTCCGTAAGTTAAGGGCTGGTGATATCCAAATACAATAATTATACTGATTATGCAGTCATAAATGTTGTGTCTTCTCCCATCTGTCCTTGCTCTTAATAGCTCTATCTGTATTAGTCTACAGTGATCCAGGCCACAAACACACCATGCTCATTCTAATTTATGGGCATTTCTTTGCTTCCGTTATTTTCCTTGTTGCAATATCCTCCCCTTCTTCTCCAAACTTCAAGACCCCTTAAATGTAAGATCTCCTCCTGGCCGGGCACAGTGGCTCATGCCTGTAATCCCAGCACTTTGGGAAGCTGAGGTGGGTGGATTACCTGAGGTTGGGAGTTCAAGACCAGCCTGGCCAACATGGAGAAAGCCTTCTCTATTAAAAAATACAAAATTAGCCAGGCGTGGTGGCGCATGCCTGTAATCCCAACTACTCAGGAGGCTGAGGCAGGAGAATCTCTTGAACCCAGGAGGCAGAAGTTGCGGTGAGCTGAGATTGTGCCATTGCACTCCAGCAATGTATAAAACCTCCTGTATGATGTGTAGACCTGTTCCCAGTGTACTTTATTAATACTTCCAATATTAATATACCAATTACAGCTAGTTGTTTAAGTGTTAAACTTTCCTAGTGTTTGACACACAAGCAGTCAATGAATATTTTTGAAGGGCTAAATATACTGATGATCATATTATAATCACAGCTAACATTTACTGAAAACTATTTTTTTCCTTTTATTTTTTTAAGAGACAGGGTCTCACTGTATCAAGCAGGCTGGAGTTCAGTGGTGTGATCCTGGCTCACTGCAGCCTTGACCTCCTGGGTTCAAACAACCCTCCCACCTCAGCCTCCTAAGTAGCAAGGACTACAGGGTGTGTGCACCACCACACTCAGCTATTTTTAAGATTTTTTTGTAGAGACGAGTTCTGTGTTGCTCAGGCTGGTTTCAAACTCATGGGCTCAAGTGATCCTCCTGCCTCGGCCTCCCAAAGAGCTGGGATTACAGGCATGAGCCACCTTGCCCAGCCATTGAACACTTTCTAAGGGTCAGTAACTATGATCAGCATCTTACATGCATCACATTTAATCCTCCCAGTATTTATGAGATATGGACTATTACTATTTCCATTTTATAGATGAGAAAAATAAGCCTTAGGTTAAAAACACATCTACGCAATCAAAAGTAGAGATTGGATCCAGATTCCCTGGTCCCAGAGCCTGTGCTTTTATTTCTGTACTCCGTCCTACCTGAGTCTGGCTGGTCTAGTATTGGGACCCAATGTACACTCCTATAGTAGCTCACAAAATAACATATGGTTTCTCCTTATGGTATTCACATAGAACAGCACGAAACAAGAACTCAGAAAATTTCCCAACAAGGAGAATGATTTAGTACTAGTATGTTTCCAAAAATACAAGAACAATTCCTTTGGATTAACCTGTTTGGATATGAAAGAATAAATTACAGCAGTGATTCTCAAGCTTCTACCCTAACCTATGCTGGTCTGTGTGAAAATTTTCAGCAGCCTATGGTAAAATGAGAAAAGCAGTGTTAAAAGTGAAATTTTCATGAAACTAAATATATTCAGGTGTTAATGTCCTTTCAGAGAATGGTGGTGACAATTTGTGGTAACTTTAAAAAGACAAAATAAAAAGTTTGTAATTCTGTGTTGTCCACAAATTATTTCACTTTCTTTTTTTTTTTTTTTGAGACGGGGTCTCAGTCTCACCCGGATGGAGTGCAATGGTGCAATCATGGCTCACCGCAGCCTCGACATACTGGGCTCAGGTGATCCCCACCTCAGCCTCTTGAGTAGCTGGCATCACAGGCGGGCACCACCACGCCTGACTACATTTTGTATTTTTAGTAGAGATGGGGTTTTGCCATGTTGCCCAGGCTGGTCTCGAACTCCTGACCTCAAGTGATCCACCTGCCTCAGCCTCCCATAGTGCTGGGATTATAGGCATGAGCCACCGTGCCTGGCCGATAATACAAATTTTTATTTATTTATTTATTTTGAGATGGAGTTTTACTCTTGCTGCCCAGGCTGGAGTGCAACGGCACAATCTCAGCTCACCCTGCAACCTCTGCCTCCCAGGTTCAAGCAATTCTCCTATCTCAGCCTCCCAAGTAGCTGGGACTACAGGCATGCACCACCACACCTGGCTAATTTTGTATTTTTAGTAGAGAAGGGTTTCTCCATATTGGTCAGGCTGGTCTTGAACTCCCGACCTCAGGTGATCTGCCTGCCTCGGCCTCCCAAAGTGCTGGGATTATAGATGTGGGCCACCGCACCCGACCACAAATTTTTAAAGAGTGAAAAAAGACTCTCAGAGAAGACCTAGAGCTGCTCTCCCAAGAGCAAAATGCTTGGACCTTATATTTTTAAAAAGGATTATTGGTTTGTAAATTCTAAAAGTCTAGAGCTGGCCCTTTGTTTCTGAAATCGACTGTAGAGGCCCATAAATATATCTAGAGAGCAATTTGGCAATATGGTGTCCCAGCAACAATACTTCCAGGAAAATACTCATGACTATGTCCAAAAGTATACCTACAACAATGGTTATTGCAACCTTTTGATACTGTAAAATTAGAAACACAATCTAAATATCAAACAGTTGAGGGTTAAATAAATTATGGTACAATCATAGAAAAAAAATTACAAATCCCTCAAACAATGTTTAGGATAACTATTTGTAATATATTAACAATATGCTGATAATTTAACAAAAAAGTTATAGTATATAGAGTATAATTAAAATTTTGTAAAAACAACACATGCATCTATATGCTCTCCAAAAAGCTTGGAAGGGTATATACAGTATATTAATGCTTTAACTTGAGCAGTGGAATTATGGGTGATTTTAATTACATTATTATGCTTTTCTGTATTTTCCATTTTTTATACCACAAATGTGAATATGCTGTAATGAGAACAAATTATTTAAAAAACAATGTCCTTGATAAGGGTAAGATTTTGTAAAGCAGCACTGCCTTGTAGAAATATAATACAAGCCATACATGCAATTTTTAAATTTACTAGTAGCCATATTGTAAAAGTTCTTTAAGAGGTAAAATTTTAATATTTTTAAACCCAACATAGCCAAAATATTATTCACATGTAATCAATATAAAAATTAATATATTTTATGTTTTTTCTAACCAAATCCTAAAAATCCTGTATTTCATATTTACATCACATGTAGAGATGGGGCTGGGTGCGGTGGCTCACACCTGTAATCCTAGCACTTTAGGAGGCCGAGGGGGCGGATCACGAGGTCAGGAGTTTGAGACCAGCCTGGCCAACACAGTGAAACCCCATCTCTACTAAAAATACAAAGATTAGTTGGGCATGGTGGTGGGCGCCTGTAGTCCCAGCTACTGGGGAGGCTGAGGCAGGAGAATCGCCTGAACCCAGGAGGCGGAGGTTACGGTGAGCTGAGATCATGCCACTGCACTCCAGCCTGGGCAACAGAGCAAGACTGCATTTCAAAAAAAAAAAAAAAAAAAAAAATAGAGATGGTAGGCTGGGCATGGTAGCATATGCCTGTAATCTCAACACTTTGGGAAGGGGATGTGGGAGTACTGCTTGAGGCTTGGAGTTTTGAGACCAGCCTGGGCAACATAGTGAGATCCCCATCTCTACAATAAAATTAGCCAGGCATAGTGGCACAGGCCTGTAGTCCCAGCAACTGGGTACTCAGAAGGCTGAGGCAAGACTGCCCAAGCCCAGGAGTTCAATGCCGTAGTGGGCTGATTGTGCCACTGCACTCCAGCTTGGGTGACAGAGGGAGACCCTATCTCCAAAAAAAACCCAGAAAAACAAAAAAATTCAAATGGTAAATTTTCATCTGAAATACTTGACATATATTTAAGTTTCATAATTTACAATAGAAAAAGTAGATTTATACACCCAACTTGTTCTAAACATACTTAAAAGTTTTTTATATTTATTTATTTATTTATTTATTTGAGATGGAGTCTTGCTCTGTGTCCCAGCCTGGAACACAGTGGAGTAATCATGGCTCACTGCAGCCTCCAACTCCTGGGCTGAAAGTATCATCCCACCTCAGCATTCTGAATAGCTGGGACTACAAGCACACACCACCATGCCTGGCTAATTCTTTTTTGGAAAAAAAAAAAAATTTTTTTTTTTTTTGAGGCAAGGTCTCAGTCTGTCACCCAGACTGGAGTGCTGTGGCATCATCTGGCTCACCACAACCTCCGCCTCCCAGGCTCAAGCAATTCTCCTGCCTCAGCCTCCCAAGTAGCTGGGGTTACAGCCGCGTGTCACTACGCCTGGCTAATTTTTGTATTTTGTATTTTTTATTATTTTTATTTTTATTTTTTTGAGACAGAGTCTCGCTCTGTCGCCCAGGCTGGAGTGCAGTAGCACGATCTCGGCTCACTGCAAGCTCCACCTCCCGGGTTCACGCCATTCTCCTGCCTCAGCCTCCAGAGTAGCTGGGACTACAGGCGCCCGCCACTACGCCCAGGCTAATTTTTTGTATTTTTTAGTAGAGACGGGTTTTCACTGTGTTAGCCAGGATGGTCTCGATCTCCTGACCTTGTGATCCGCCCGCCTCGGCCTCCCAGAGTGCTGGGATTACAGGCGTGAGCCACCGCGCCCAGCCAATTTTTGTATTTTTAGTAGAGATGGGGTTTCACCATGTTGGCCATGCTGGTCTCGAACTCCTGACCTCAAATGATCCACCCGCCTCGGCCTCCCAAAGTGTTGGGATTACAGGCATGAGCCACCATGCCCGGCCTGAAAATTGTTTTGTAGAGATGGGGTCTCGAAATGTTGTCCAGGCTGGTCTCAAACTTCTGGCCTCAAGTGATCTTCCCACCTCAGCCTCCTAACTCACTGGGATTACAGGTGTGAGCCACTGTACCCGGCTAAGTTTCAGTTTTTAAATTTAATTAAAATCAAGTACAATCAAAATTTCAAATCTTCAGTCTCTCTAGTTACATTTCAAGTGCTCAATAGCCAAATGTGGCTAATGGCTACCATTTTGGACACTGTTCAAATATTCCAGCTAATATATGAAGCAACAAGAATATTAGAGTACCTCCAGCTTGTAACCCCCAATGAAACAATGTATCTAGGAAATGACTAACATCACAGAAAGCAAAACAATCTGATGGAAGTACATACCACATCACCACCTATGAATTCTTCTCACATATGAACATACAAAGATTAATCAAGCCTCTAGATCTAATTACCAGCTGACAGGAAATACAGAGGAAAAGAGGAATACGTCAAAAGACAACATGGGAGCCCGTTGTGGTGTCTCATGCCTGTAATCCCAGCAATTTGGGAGGCCGAGGTGGGCGGGTCGCTTGAGGCCAGGAATTTGAGACCAGCCTGGCCAACATGGCAAAATGTCATCTCTATGAAAAATACAAAAATTAGTCAGGCATGGTGGCGCATGCCTGTAGTCCCAGCTACTCAAGAGGCTGAGGCACGAGAATACAAGAATCACTTGAACCCTGGAAGCAGAGAAGTTGCAGTAGTGAGCCAAGATTACACTGCTGCACTCCAGCCTGGGTGACAGAGCAAGACTCTGTCTCAAAAAAAAAAAAAAAGAAAAAAAGAAAAACATGGGAATGTAATCAGCAAAATTCAAACTGCAGGAAACTCTATTCAACAAGAAAAAAATGGGAAAAAGGAGAATCTACGGATTTAAAGAAATTGAAAACACATAAACCAATGGCAATGTATGGATCTTAATTGGATCCAGATTCAAACTGTTAATAAAAAAAGAGAGAGAGACAATAGGGTAATTTGATGATAGTAAGCAATCAGTTAAATTTTTGGATGTAAAAATTACGGTTATGTTAGAAAAAAGGTTATCTTTCACAGAAAAACACTGAAATATGTAGGAATAACATATGCTATGCTAGCTGGAATTTGCTTTAAAAAAATCAGGTAAAAGGAGTTGGTGAGTTTAAATTAAATAAGATTGGCTATGAGATGATAATTTTTGAAGCTGGATGAAGGGTGCATACACCCTTCTCTTTCCTGATGTATGTCTTTGAAATTGTCCATGAAGTTGTTTTAAAGCAGTTGAACAATTTTAGAAGATATTCTTGATATATCACACTGTAACCTGACAATACATTCAATGCTATTTAAACAAGTATAAGATGAACCTAGACAGGGCGCGGTGGCTCACGCCTGTAATCCCAGCACTTCGGGAGGCCAAGGCAGGCGGATCACCTGAGGTCAGGAGTTCGAGGCCAGCCTGGATAACATGATGAAAACTTGTCTCTACTAAAAATACAAAAAAATTAGCTGGGTGTGGTGGCACGCACCTGTATCCCAGCTATGCAGGAGGCTGAGGAGGAGAAATGCTTGAACCCAGGAGGTGGAGGTTGCAGTGAGCAGGGATCACGCCACTGCACTCCAGCCTGGGTGACAGAGTGAGACTCCATCTCCAAAAAAAAAAAAAAGATGAACCTAAACCTAACATACTGCCCTAGGCACTGGAGGAAATACAAAAGAAATGTGATCCAGCCCTGCCAACAATCTTTATCAAGCGAAGATGTACAACCAAGAAACAATTAGACATAAAATTAATAGAATAAGGCTGTATACAAGGAAGTTCTGGCTGGGCACAGTGGCTCACGCTTGTAATCCCAGCAGTTTGGGAGGCTGAGGCAGGTGGATCACTTGAGGTCAGGAGTTCGAGACCAGCATGGCCAACATGGCAAAACCCTGTCTCTACCAAAAATACAAAAAAATTAGCTAGGCATGGTGGACGCTTGAACGAAGGTGGAGGTTGCAGTGAGCCGAGATCGTGCCACCGCACTCCAGCCTGGGTGACAGAGGGAGACTCCATCTCAAAAAAAAAAAAAAAAAATTAAAAATTAAAAACAAATCAAAACAAAACAAAACAAAAGGAAGTACTATATTGTCCAAACACAAGGGGCAATGACTAAGTGCTATGGTGAATGAAAATCAATGTTAATCAATTTAAGCCTTGAATGAGATAACATTATATAACACTAGATATAGTGTTTTAATTTATATAACATTATAACACTATAATAGCCAAAATAAAAATGACTGACATCAGCATTTTTATGGTGCTACAAGGGTACCGTCTAGTAAGGGTACAGAGCAACTGGAATGCTCATACACTGCAGGTGGGAATATAAAATGGTACAAACCCTTAGTTTCTTTTTAAAGTTACATATATCTACCACATGACCTAGTAATTTCATTCTTAGGTATTTATCCAAAGGAAATAAAAACATATGTTTACAAAAACACTCGTATAACAATGTTCATAGAAGACTTTTTCATAATAGCCAGAAACTGGAGATAACTCAAACACCCATCAACAGGAGAATGGATAAACAAATTATGATATAATTCATCCAATGGAATACTATTCAGTAATAAGAAGGAATAAACCACAGATTACAGTAGACATTATGCAGAATGAAAGAAGCCAGATACAAAAATTGTACATTCAATAATTCCATTTATATAAAGTTCTAAAACAAGCAAAACTAACCTATGAAACTCTTGAGGGGGTAGGAATACAAATGTTTAGATTTTGTAATTACATGAACGTATGCTATTGTCAAAAACTCACTGAACTAAACCCTTAAGAACTGTGCATTTTACTGTATGTTAAAAAACATGAATGAGAAAACTGATTCACACAGTAAAGACAGTTGCCAAAGTAATCTGCAATGAGGAAATCAATGAAGGATCTGGGGTTAGGGAGTAATATAATGAAAAAGAAGCTAAAGGAAGACCTGCACATTATGGTTTTGTACGTCATGTCTTGGTTTAGACTACACTTTAGAGGGGATATGACGGTAGGAAAACCTGGTTGGATGTATTACAGAGACATAAACATATAAATGAGTAAGACCCGAGACCAGAATGAGGGTAATGGAGATGGAAACAAAAATCAAACAGAAAGAGCTTTTAAGTGAAAAATTAGATCTTATAAAAGGACCACGTAATTTTAAATGACTCTAAAGAATTGTATTCCAGACACCTGAATGATTGATGGGATTAATACACGAGATGGGTATTGGGATATGGCTTATGACAGAAGATGATGCATTTAATTTTAGAACCATAGAGACAAGGTAACAAGATTTAAATCAGGAAGAATTTAATTGTAAAATCTTATAGAAAAATATGGAAGAAGTCAGCTACACAGAGACAGCAGTTGAAAATGAATCATTCGGCTGGGCATGGTGGCTCACGCCTGTAATCCCAGCACTTCGGGAGGCCAAGGCAGGTGGATCACTTGAGCTCAGGAGTTCAAGACCAGCCTGGGCAACATGGTGAAACCCCACCTCTACTAAAAATACAGAAAATCAGCCAGGTGTGGTGGCATGTACCTGTAGTCCCAGCTACTTGGGAGGCTGAGTTGGGAGGATCCCTTGAGCCTGGGAGGTGGAGGTTGCAGTGAGCCGAGATCATACCACTGCACTCCAGCCTGGGTGACAGAGTAAGAATGTCTCAAAACAAAAACAAAATGAGGCCAGGCGCGGTGGCTCATGCCTGTAATCCCAGCACTTTGGGAGGCTGAGGTGGGTGGATCACCTCAGGTCAGGCGTTCAAGACCAGCCTGGCAAACATGGCGAAACCCCGTCTCTACTAAAATACAAAAGTTAGCCGGGTATGGTGGTGGGCACTTGTAGTCCCAGCTACTTGGGAGGCTGAGGCAGGAGCATCGCTTGAACCCAAGAGGCGGAGGTTGCAATGAGCCAAGATCGTGCCACTGTACTCCAGCCTGGGCGACAGAGTGAGACTCCATCTCAAAAGCAAAACAAAACAAAAATAATAATAATTCAAAAAGGGGTCAGATATGGTAGCTCACGGCTGTAATCCCAGCACTTTAGGAAGATGAGGTGGGAAGATCACTTGACCCCAGAAGTTTTAGACTAGCGTGGGCAACACGATGAGACCGCATCTCTACAAAAAAATAAAACAATTGGCTGGGTATGGTGGTAGCACACGCCTGTAGTCCCAGCTACTCAGGAGGCTCAGATGGGAGAATTGCTTGGGCCTGAGAGGTCGAGGCTGCAGTAAGCTGTGATGGCACCACTGCACCCTAAGCCTGGGCGACAGAGTGAGAACCTGTCTCAAAAAAAAAAAAAAAAAAAAAAAGGAACTGTAATAAAAAATGTCACTTATATGGTAATTAACAGCTCTTTTTTTTCTTTTTTAAATTAATATTTTCTTCAGATCAGATTAACAGCTATCTCATGTGTAACTACTTTCCTATGTATTTAATTAAGAAATGCAACAAACAAGAGGGGATGGGGCGAGAGGGGGAGATAGAGAGAGATGGGGCACAGAGGCCTGTTTGAAGGCAGAAGGGTGTTGCAGGAAAGAAGACTGGCAATTTTAGAGAAGTACCACATAAATATGGATTCAAAGAAACAGAAAAAATCTAGAATCTTGCTATTCAAAGTGTAGCTCTCAGACATTCAATATCACCTGGGAGTTTGTGAGAAATGCAGAAACCTGTGCCCCACCTTAGACCCACAGAATCATAATCAGCATTTTAGCAAGACCACAGGTGATAGGACACTGTATTTTCAAGTTTCCACACACAGCATTGATTTTTTTGTTCAAACAGTTATTTTATTTATTTATTTTTTGAGACAGTCTCACTCTGTTGCCCAGGCTGGAGTGCAATGGCACGATCTTGGCTCACTGCAACCTCTGCCTCCCAGGTTCAAGCAATTCTCCTGCCTCACCCTGTCAAGTGGCTGGGACTACAGGTGTGTGCCACCACACTCGGCTAATTTTTGTATTTTTAGTAGAGACGGGGTTTCACCATGTTGGCCAGGCTGGTCTTGAACTCCTGACCTCGTGATCCGCCCGCCTTGGCCTCCCAAAGTGCTGGGATTACAGGCGTGAGCCACCACGCCTGGCCTTTCAAACAGTACTTTTTAAACTGCAGGTCTCAACCCATCAGTGGGCAGGTCTCAACCCATCAGTGGGTTATGAAATCAACTTAGAATTGAAAGTCTGAGAGCATATCACAAATAGCAAAGTTTTTGTGCCTTATGGGTTGTGACATAAAATTTCTTAATGTGGAGTGAAATTTTCAAAAAGTGTACAAAACACTTAGCATTAGTAACTTAACTTCTTTGGACCTAGTGGACATGAGAACCCATATGCATTGAAAAGCCAACAGAAGTATTCAACAGGCCGGGCGCGGTGGCTCATGACTGTAATCTCAACACTTTAGGCGGAGGTGAGCGGATCACTAGGTCAAGAGATCGATACCATCCTGGCCAACCTGGTGAAACCCCGTTTCTACTAAAAATACAAAAATTAGCTGGGCGTGGTGGCACACCCTGTAGTCCCAGCTAGTCAGGAAGCTGAGGCAGGAGAATCGCTTGAACCCGGGAGGCGGAGGTTGCAGTGAGCCGACATTGCGCCACTGCACTCCAGCCTGGTGACAGAGGGAGACTCCGTCTCAAATAAAAATATTCAACAGTTAGTGTTTCTCAAGATTTTGACAGTGATCCATTCTAAAAATTAGTATGAACTAGTAACACCCCCTGTGTAATATACATATAAAATAAAATAAAAAATTTCAGGCCTGGCAACAGAGTGAGACTCTGTCTCAAAAAAAAAAAAAAAAAAAAAAAAAAAGGCCAGGCACGGGGGAGGGTGGCTCACACCTGTAATCCCAGCACTTTGGGAGGCAGAGGCGGGCGGATCACGAGGTCAGGAGATCGAGACCATCCTGGCTAACATGGTGAAACCCTGTCTCTACTAAAAATACAAAAAAATTAGCTGGGCGTGGTGGCAGGCGCCTGTAGTCCCAGCTACTCGGGAGGCTGAGGCAGGAGAATGGCATGAACCCGGGAGGCGAAGCTTGCAGTGAGCCGAGATGGCGCCACTGCACTCCAGCCTGGGCGACAGAGCGAGACTCTGTCTCAAAAAAAAAAAAAAAAAAAATCATAAAACAATATCCTTACCTAGCACTATATTATTTCCTATTTTCTCCCCCTCTCTCTTTCTTTTTTTTTTTTGCAGGGGGAGATGGAGTTTCACTCTTGTCGCCCAGGCTGGAGTGCAATGGCGCCATCTCAGCTCACTGCAATCTCCGCCTCCCAGGTTCAAGGGATTCTCCTGCCTTAGCCTCCGAGTAGCTGGGATTATAGGCGCCCACCACCACGCCCGGCTAGTTTTTGTATTGTTAGTAGAGGCGGGGTTTCACCATGTTGGCCAGGCTGGTCTTGAACTCCTCACCTTAGGTGATCCACCCACCTCGGCCTCCCAAAGTGCTGGGATTACAGGCGTGAGCCACTGGGCCCGGCCTTTTTTTTCAGGCAGGGTCTGGAGTGCAGTGGTGCCATCACTGCTCACCGCGGCTTCGACATCCCAGGATCAATCAATCCTCCCATCTCGGCCTCCCGAATAGCTGGGCCTACAGGCATGCGCCCAGACCCTTGGCTAATTTTTTGAATTTATTGTACAGGCAGGGTTTCGCCATGTTGCCCAGGATGGTCTCCAACTCCTGGGCTCAAGCGATCGGCCTGCCTCGGCCTTCCAAAGTGCTGGGATTACAGGCGTGAGCCACCGCGCCCAGCCTATTTTCTCTTTTTAATGGCGCCAGTGACCCATTCACCTATTAAATTGATGTTACGACTCTTATATAGGCCGCTACTCAACGTTAAAAAAAATCATCTTTAACATACTATTTTAATACTAGACCTCAAATCTTAGCTAAGAAGTAGTTTGGAAGGACTGGGGAAGAGAAGGTTAAGAATGACTATTATGTACGGTAAATATGCTAAGAAGCTGATGAAATAACGATAGATTTACTTAGCTACAAAAAGGCCAAACTAGCATTAGACTTCACTTGTCAGCAGTTTTGTTTTTTTGAGGGGGGCGTGGGGGGGGGGGTCTCTGTCTGTCTGAAGGCACAAAAGAGGAAACAGCAGATAGGACTAACGAGGGCTGGAAATTGGTGAAGAACCACCACGGGAGTTGAGAGATGCAGATGAAGGAAACCATGGCTAGTAGCAAGAACTAGGGCAGCGGTAACTAACCTGCCTCAGCCAAGGAAGTGAGGCTGGTCCAGGATGCCAGGCTCAGAAAGGCAGGTACTGACTGAACACACTCCCCGCTTTGGTTCCTGTAGGACGGGTGAGATACCACACCTTGGCAACCACCAGTAAAGGCTCATAGTCTAGCCCTTGGGAGGCCCCGATTTTAGGGCTGTGCTCGGAGGCGACCTACGTTAGGGACTGGGAGAAGCAGGTACCCTGGGAATGAAGAATGGAGAGCAGCGCTTACTCCAAGAATCTGAGAGACGGGGGAGTCAAGCCGCTGCTAGGCCTTCTCTATGACTGCGGGGGTTCGAATACAGTGAGACCCGACAAAAGCGACCCCATTCTGGGTGATAGCACAGTCCTGGCAAAAAAGCAGGCATGGCAAAATACCCCAGGGTCGTCAGGTGGGACCTGGGCCCCGCTCTCAAAGCCCTTCTGGGTCCCCCTATTTCCCACCACCCCTCGCGCGGAGCCCTGAGGCAGTCAGCGTCCTCCAGGCTAGGGAAAGGCGTGGTTTTCCTTCCCCACGTCTCCCGTAAGGCACTGCTGCCAGCCCAGTACTACTGCGTCTTGGCAAGGCTGGAGGTGCTCCCACCTTCACTTTAATTAGCATCTTCTTTCCAGTTTGGGGCTGCACACGGATAAATTGCTGCTCCTACCGCTCCGGTCGCCGCTGCCGCCCTCCAGCACTCTTGCCTGCAAGGGCCACTTCTACTTCCGGGTCACTGTCTGGCTCCACCCCCCCCCCCCCCCCCACTGGGTTCCGGAAAGGCTCAGGGTTGCTCCCGCGTTTCGGTTCAGTGACGTCGTAAATTGGAATGAGGCATCCAGTTTAGCAACAGCAGAGATGACGACTCTGCGATTCTGAGAGTCCCTGGCGAGCCCGGGCTAGCGAAAAGTGGGGGCAGAACGAACTACATCTCCCATCGTGCCAGGAGGCGGTCCCGCCCGTTTCCCCCTGGGAGTTGTAGTCTAACCCCCTCGGATCCAACAGCAACCTCAGTGCGTGAACTCTGTTATCCAGAAGGCCTCGCCCTGCCGCCGCCGAAGCTGGAATTCGTCGGCTAGTAGTTCTCGCCGGCAACTAGAGGAACCTGTTGGCGTGGCCCAGAAGGCTTAGCGGGATTGCACGAGGTTAGTTGCTAAGCAAGGTGGTCTTTGGTCAACTGCCGCCTGGACCAAGGCAACAGGAAGTGAGTACCTCTATTCCGGAAACTAGTTATGAACCCTCCCCGCCCCCCGTCGCCAACATTCCTTCGTTCCCCTAAATCAGCCTCTTGCCCCATTGCTCTTTGCAGGGGTAGAAGAAGGAAGTGTAGCGGGGTAAGGAATGCACCGTCAGGGTCTCTCACAACCCTTTCCCAGCTCTCCTCCCCAACAAACAGTACCTGGGATGGAGCCCTAGGGTAATCGCAGCCACGGGATGGGTCGAGGTGACAGGCTTCAGGGACCACACTTCGGCCTTTGCCCGACCTTCCACAACTTAAGCGAAGAGAGGCCACCAGCCGTAACAGGGCGTTAAAGCCCAGGGGAAGATTGGTCCTTATGACTTCCTGCCTTCCAGCCCTCAGATTCATCGCTACCCCGAGGCTAAGCGCCATGCCTCATATTGACAACGATGTGAAACTGGACTTCAAGGATGTCCTTTTGAGGCCCAAACGCAGTACCCTTAAGTCTCGAAGTGAGGTGAGCAAGCTTCTCTACTTGCTGTTTCTTGACCCCACGCTCCCGGTGGGCCACAACCAAGAAAGATGCCTGTCCTTGTCCTAATATGGTACGTTTTTTGGATTAATGAAATGGTCAATTTCCTGTTCATATCTGCAGGTGGATCTCACAAGATCCTTTTCATTTCGGAACTCAAAGCAGACATACTCTGGGGTTCCCATCATTGCTGCCAATATGGATACTGTGGGCACCTTTGAGATGGCCAAGGTTCTCTGTAAGGTAGGGCTTTCCTCATGCCCCATCCCTATTGGTGTCCAGTTAGCCCAGCTGACTGCAGAGGTGTTTGCATCCCCACCCCCATGCCCAGTCAGTTCTCTGGCAGTTAGCAGTCAGGATGCTCTGATTTACGGTTTTTTCCACTACTGAAGCCCTTTATCTGATAAGTTCAAAAGGCCATCTGAATTAGTGAGATTCAAAGCTAAGTTCTGCTCCGATATTTCTGATATATGAACAGAATTTTCCCTTTTGTCCTGTTTAGCAGTTTGTACACCTTGCCAACTTTTCCCACCACCCAGGTCACCCCCTCACAGTCACATGCATCCCTTCAGTTATGCGATTGTCCACATTAAGCATTCACTGTTTTAGTCCAGAAACTACAGTTTAAGCATTCAAAAATCCTAACTAGAAGATCCTAGGAGAAGCAGCTTATTAATTTTCTTTAATAAGAACAATTCATTAATAAAAGAATACTTCTGCCATTCTTTTTTTAATCTTCCTCTTCTTTAAGTCCTAGGTTCCTGGGAGTTTCTGGGATGTGCCCCAAATGGGATGTGTTTTTCTTATATACAAGTTGTTCACTTTGAAATGGAAGATGCTGCTCCTGTCAGTACTATTACCTGCCTCTATACTTGTTGCTGAGAAGGTAGAGAGTTATCTGGGCACTTTGAGAACATATGCACTCTGCTGGTTGATCCATGTAGCCCTGGTTGATGAATTCTGCTATTGTTTGTGGCTCCATTAGTCTTAAGGACTTCATATCCTTTTTCTATTTTTGATTGCTGTGTCTTTGTGGAATGTCTTGTCATTTCTTTAAGGTTGATAGTTATGCAGTTTTATTTTTACTTTATTTTTATTGCCATTCAGTAACTGCTTAGGAATCTTTCTGTTGCCCACTGTCCATCTGCCCTGACCAGTAGAGTTCAGAATTGGTGACTCTGACTGCAGAGTTAACAGGCGTGCTGTAATACATGAACCTTTTTGGGGACTGTCTTGATGCTTTATGTGGAGCCTGGCTTTCAGTATTGCTGACGAGAGGTAAAGAAATCAGGTTTTAGAGATAAGAGCCAAGTCTTACTGTAATAAAAAGGTTGGATGCAAGCAAACATCTTTTTCTAAGTTTGGTATGTAATCTGATGTGCTCATCATGCCACACTCTGCCAGTATATCTCCAACATCTGCTGACTTCCTATCCTATGGTGACTTTTCTTTGCTTATCAGTATGTTGATGATAGAGTTGTTGAGAAAGCAGAATTCAATACCAGCTTTAGCTAGATATTGTTGATCTCTGAGTACGTATGTAGAGCACTTGTTGCTAGCTAATACATGACTTCCTTGGGTTTCTTGTTAGTTGCAAGATTTGTGCTGTTTCAGCCAACTGCTGTCTCTTGTCTGTTTGCATGTAGACATGTAAGGCACAAACACCAGCATACACAATGGCCTTTGAATGCCTTCCTCAAAGTATTGGGATATTGTTTGCAATCTGTTGAGCTAGAGAATATGAGTTTGATGAGTCATTATGTCCTTGAACTTTATTAAAATGGACTGAATGAAACAGATTTTTTAGCTTGATCCATGTCCCCAACTAGGAAATTTGTCCTTTTTTCCACTAGAGATGGAGACAGGGTAGGGTAGCCCCTTATCAGCTCTTATCAACCTTAAGGCATTACCTTTGGTGAGCATCCAGATCTACTGAATTACTGCTGGTAAATGAACGAGAACATAACCAAAAATAGTTTAGTACTAGGTTACCTTAGGAGGAGGGGCTGAGTCAGTGCAGAGAAACACAGGCTCCATCCAGCTTCTTCATGGTTCTTTCATGTCTGCTGCCTGTCCCACTGCACCAGCAGCTTGTCACCTTTTAAGTCAGAAGCAGTGAATGTGCTGGCAGATGAAATCCAACCCAGATCACTCAGTACTTTGGTGGGAAATCTGACAAGTACTAGCTTATGGTAAAAAGCCCTACTAGTATTTGTAGAGAGAAGAAAGGTTGAACTCAAATCCCAGCTCAACCTGAGTTCTTTGACTTGTTTCCTCCCCAACTTCAATCATGTCCTCCCTCAGATAGAATAGGTCTGTTTCTAGAAAAGAGACCTTAATAAAGTTTTCTCCCTTTTGATGCTTCTTTGTCTTCTCCCCAGTTCTCTCTCTTCACTGCTGTCCATAAGCACTATAGCCTCGTTCAGTGGCAAGAGTTTGCTGGCCAGAATCCTGACTGTCTTGAGGTAACACTGGGCATACCCTGCTCCCTTCCTTATCCCAGTTTTCCAGCAATTATATTTTGGCTTTCTGGGGACCAGCACTCACCAATGACCCACTGGCTGCCCACCAGATCATCTCTGATATGCCAATGACTCTGTTTCTCCCACAGCATCTGGCTGCCAGCTCAGGCACAGGCTCTTCTGACTTTGAGCAGCTGGAACAGATCCTGGAAGCTATTCCCCAGGTGAAGTATATATGCCTGGATGTGGCAAATGGCTACTCTGAACACTTTGTTGAATTTGTAAAAGATGTACGGAAGCGCTTCCCCCAGCACACCATCATGGTATGTTTCTATTACAGTCGGTACCTTTTTATCTTTCCACTTTCCTGCCACTCCGTTTTGCTACATCAGTCCATTTCTCCTCTGCTGCATTATGATATTCCTAGTTCATTTAATCATGATACTGGATGATTATCCATAGTTCTAAGCTGAAAATGTCTATTTGGTCAGTGTAGTATCTCTGACCCTTGGTTCATAGTCTTTGTAAATCTGATGTCCCTGATGTCACTCACCAAACCATGATGGAACATCTGTGCACTGTACATACCTGTGGTACATAGACATCTGCCCACTGAAATGGACACATACTAGTCACATAAAAAGGGGTCACATGAATAATGATTTATCTTTTTACAACCTTAGAAGAGTGGCCTTCATTTTCTTCGCAGCATTGAGGGGTGTGTCTACTGATCATCAAAAGCCAATCAACTGGTCAAATGGGTCTTTAGCCTATACTACCATGCCTTCTCCCTTTCCCTGAAGCCAGACAGGTTCTATGACAGAATGGCTTAAGGACAGAATATGTTTGGGTCTCTTGAGGAAGGGGAGCTAAATCTACTGTAAATCAGATGTGAGCCTGGTCCAGTAGTTCCCTTTGCCTCACTGAATGCTCCTCCATGCCACTTCATGTGTCCCTGTTGATCATAGCACCTTGTTGCCTTAGAAAAGTGCATCATGGACCTCGGCTTTACCCTAGGTTCAGTGGTGACATTGGCCACTCACTCCTACCTTGGCTTGGTGTTGGGTGGATGGGTAGGGAGCAGGGTTCTCTAAAGTGGCTAGTGTAAAAGCCCTCAGAGGGCCCAGTAGAGGGGACCTAGTTATCCTTTCTTTGTAATAATGTTGGAAAGTCATGGTCCATGCATACCGTAACAATACATGACCTCCTGTTTCTGGCCCTAAGGATGCTGTATTTCAATTGCTCTGTCTCAGGCAGGGAATGTGGTAACAGGAGAGATGGTAGAAGAGCTCATCCTTTCTGGGGCTGACATCATCAAAGTGGGAATTGGGCCAGGTAAGCTGGTTCATTGGGGCCACTGGCTACCCCCCTTCAGTGGCAAACACCTGTGGAGCACGTCATTCTTACCCTTATCATGTTCTTCCTAGGCTCTGTGTGTACTACTCGGAAGAAAACTGGAGTGGGGTATCCACAGCTCAGCGCAGTGATGGAGTGTGCAGATGCTGCTCATGGCCTCAAAGGCCACATCATTTCAGTAAGGCTCAAGGGCAGGGTAGGGTATGAGCGGGGTTTCTGCAGGGTATGGAGGTGGCAGAGATGGATTAGAATTCCTGGGTTCTTGTTGGCTTTGAGTTGGGCTGTTGGGACATCGCTGAGGGCTTGGGAAATCCATGTTGTATTCATAGTGCTCCTTACTTTGCAGGATGGAGGTTGCAGCTGTCCTGGGGATGTGGCCAAGGCTTTTGGTAAGGAGCTTGAGGGCACAGAAGGATGATTCTATACAAGAGGATGAATCACCTCTGAGGGTCTAGGGTCAGGCTAAGAGAGGCTCAGGAAGTCATTCAGATTCTTTCATAATATGAATTAGTGACTCCGAAGTCTATGGTATCATCTGGGGCAGCCAGCAGGGGACATCTGAGACTCCAAGTGTGGGCCAGGGCCATCTGACCATCTCCTAGATTGCTGCACAGTGCAGACTCCTGAGCCCCAGCCATACCTAAAAATAGGCTCTGAGGAATGGGACAGCACATCTGCATTTTTCATTTTGCACAGCTTCCCAGGAGATCATTACTCCCATTAAAGTTGGGGATCTTTGCTCTTGGGACACATGAAATGAGTCTTATTTAGCTGGGCACAGTAAAATCAAATGACCAGACGATGATGGTAAAAACAGCAAAAGGAGAAAGCAAAAGCCAGGCAGGGACTCTCCAGAGGCTCTTTTTTAAATCTTGGGGAAATCATACCCACTGAGGAATAGAGGCCAGGGCAGATCAGGCCTGCGTGGATTGTGGGTCAGCTAGGGAAGCAGAAGGAGGAAGACGCTGGAATCATTGTCAGGACTGAGAATATGGTGTGAGTTGCTTTTGAGGGTGGCCATGTGAGCACCTTGGCCAGATTAATCTCTTTCCCCCCTCCATGATGGTGGCAGGGGCAGGAGCTGACTTCGTGATGCTGGGTGGCATGCTGGCTGGGCACAGTGAGTCAGGTGGTGAGCTCATCGAGAGGGATGGCAAGAAGTACAAGCTCTTCTATGGAATGAGTTCTGAAATGGCCATGAAGAAGTATGCTGGGGGCGTGGCTGAGTACAGGTATGTGTGGAGGCCCAGGAGCTTAGTAATAGTATGGAGGCAGAACTCATGGCTGCTGAGAGGGGGATGGTACAGTTCTCAGAGAAGCATGGTGAACCGGGGCTCAATGCTAGGGTCTGTGGAAAAGTCCCTGGGCTTAAGGAATCCAGAAGGAGAAGATAATAAAGTTTTTCCTACTTTAAGAGCCTCAGAGGGAAAGACAGTGGAAGTTCCTTTTAAAGGAGATGTGGAACATACCATCCGAGACATCCTAGGAGGGATCCGCTCTACGTGTACCTATGTGGGAGCAGCTAAGCTCAAAGAGTTGAGCAGGAGAACTACCTTCATCCGAGTCACCCAGCAGGTGAATCCAATCTTCAGTGAGGCGTGCTAGACCTGAGCAGTTCTACCCTCCCAAGGCACCAGTACTCTACCATGGGGCATCCCAAGTGGGGTCCTCACCCATCCCAGCTACTGCAGCTCTGTATTACTTTGTCATTTCCTGTTGTCTCACTCCTGAGGGCTCCTGCAGTAACTCTGTACTTCTCTATCTGCACACACAAAATGCCCAAGGCACTCACTGGGGAGGAAGCAAGGAAGCAAACAGTCTGAGAAAATGATGCAAGAAAATCAAATGGGAATCTGGGGACCCAACACAACATCCTGAAGATTATTAAAAGGAAAAGATGCTGATTGGTACATAAATCTTTTACATGGCCTTGGTCTAGAGGAGGCAGGCTTTTAGAATCATGTTTTGTTAATCCGCTTCACTAAATTGGACCTTCACATATCTAAAAAGCTCTGAAGTGTTTGTATATTTGAAATACCTCAATAAAGAGAGAGCTCATTGACTGTAAAGAGATGCTGGGGCTTTCTGTACAAGGCTAGCATCTGGGTGCTGCTGCAGAGTGGGTGGTGGTAGGGTCAGCACTGACCCAGTGGGGTCAAGAACAATGAGTATTATTCCCATGAAGTATCTCCATTCTAGTGCCACCACACCCAGATAATCTGGCAGCATGAGAATTTACAAAGTATATTCTGGCCTGAGGACACATATTTCCAGAATACCAAAGGACATTTCTCTTCCAGGCTTTCAACCCTGCTAACCCTTTTAGGCACAGCTGAACAACACTTAGCAAGGGAAGTAAAAAAAGGCAAAGGGATCCTTTCAGTTTGGAAGGGCCAGTTCTGTTTCTAAGGAATGACTTATGCTGACCTTATGGAAACCTTAATTCCCCTCCTTCACATCAAGGCAGTATTTTAACAAATCCAAAGTTTAATTATTAAGGATTACAAATATTTTTAGCAGTGTAGTTAGGCAATCCAAGCCTGGACTTCCACTTCATTCCTACTAAACTACTTGCAGAGCTGAGGAGGCAGGAGACTAGAGTACAGAGAGCATTTTAGTTCTATCACAAAGGTCTAGAACTGTCTCTACAGTCACAGGAAGAAACAGGTATGGCACCGTGGCCAGAAGGGGGTAGGTATTCACAGAGAGTGGGTATCAAGGTGTCAAACTTTGTCTTCTGATAGTTTTCCAGAGATTCCTGTAGAGAAGGGAGCAGGGAGAGCCTACTATCCGAAACCATTCCCTGAACCCTCTGAATTCTGAAGCATGTGGATTTCTCAGTCTTGTTCTACCCATCCCCTTTCCCAGCTTTCTGCTCCTTCCCACTCACCTTTCCTTCCCCCTGGCCATTTTCTTCCTCATCAGAGTCTAAAACCAAGTCCCCTATGGTAATGACGGAGCTGCACAGAGACGGAGGACACACTGTAGGAGGGAAACCAGAATCAAACTACTACTTCTAGATGAACACAGGCTCTTGAGAGTCCCCAAGAGAGGAGGCTGTTGATCCAATCCTGACTCAGACTACCTACCTGGCTTCCTGGCCCTAGGAGGTAATAATGATAGTCTCAGGGGGTCCATGTAGCAATCCAAGCAATTCCTGAGGTGAGAGCAAGCAAAGAGGATAGGATGAAGGGAAGGCAGGCAAAGAATGTGCTCCTAGTAAGAAGCAACTCTGTTCCACTCACTCCTTTTGCTCTGTGGCAGGCAAGTCAACTGGGTTCTCCTTCAGAGCCCTTCCCCCCAGGGTCTGGCATGGACTCTTAGACTTCCCAGTGGAGGCTGCTCTTGTGCCCATGGCTAGGTCTGCTGTGTATATCGCATGTTCTTCCTTGCTCTCAGGCTTAGATATGACCTGGGTTGGTGAGCCGAGATTCCTAAAGGGAAACAGCATGACTGTGGGGCGCTCCTTATGGCCTCCCCTAGTGGAGGCCCATTGGGACTGAACTCTTCGTCGGCCTAGAGGGGCCAGATTGAAGTGTCGGCCAGCTAGAGGTTCTGGGTGCGTCCTTGAAGATGGTCCCTGAGGAAGATGTGTGCCAGGCTTGGCTTTTGGCAGGGGATTGTGGAGTGCTAGTCTTTGTTGCTGAGGAGGATTCTGTTCCATGGGCTCAGCCAGGTTCACTGAGTCAGTAACAGAGCACTCTGAAAAAGAAAATGAGGCCCCTTATAAAGAGAACAGATAGTAACAGAATAACTGGTTTCTTATGCCCGGAGCCCATGGAACTATTCCAGTGGACTGCCTCAAAAGGTCTCAGGCTAAACACTACACCTCCAAATTCCTAGTACCTGGAAGCAGCCACCCCATGTCCACACCATATTGTCTCCAGGCAAGAGAAGAGGTGATAGAGACTCCAGGCTGCATCCAACTCAGCACATCCTGAAGCTGTGGGCAGGGACAGAGGTATGAAGACCACAATCCTTGAAACAGCCACCCCACACTCTGCCCTTACATGTTTTGCCCCAGCGAAACCTGCTGTGCCTGCGGTGTAGGCAGTGCTTTCTCCAGCTGACACAAGTACTCAAAAAGCAGCTTTTCCATGGCAGCCAGAAAGGGTTCCCCATACTCTTGTTCAAGTTCCTACAGCAGGGGAGATTAGGTCAAAAGTGGGTTAGTGGCCAGGCACGGTGGCTCACGCCTGTAATCCTGGCCATTTGGGAGGCCGAGGTGGGCGGATCACTTGAGGTCAGGAGTTCGAGACCAGCCTGGCCAACATGGTGAAACCCCATCTCTACTAAAATACAAAAATTAGCTGGGCATTTGTAATCCCAGCTACTCGGGAGGCTGAGGCAGGAGAATCGCTTGAACCCGGGAGGCAGAGGTTGCAGTGAGCCGAGATTGTGCCACTGCACTCCAGCCTGGGCGACAGAGCAAGATTCCTCAAAAAAAAAAAAAAATGGGTTAGAGAAAATAGCCACATAATAGCCTTCAAACCAGTCTCACCTGCAGCTTCGAGGCCAAATCCACAGGAGCCTCTGACAGCTGCTTCACCTGCTGGTAAAAAGTTTCCTGTGCCTCCAAAATCTTCCTCAGATCCTGCTTTGTCTGTTGAGGATACAGAAGACAGAGAAGTTAGCACCAACATCCAGTAGACAGGAGGAGCAACTTTGCTGCACCAAGTGTAACTGGGGTCAGGGCTTGTTCCGGGGATTACTCACAGCCTTGGGATCCCGCACTATAGGTCCAGATTCTGGAAAGTGGTGATTCAGGGCTTTCAGGACTTGGGCCCAAGGCCGGCCCTGCAGGATCAGCTCCACCACCACCTGTACGGTACTGAATTCAGAATCCCCACTTCGGGGCAAGCTGACCTTTTCCAACTAGTCTCATCCCCAAGCTGTGGGCCCTTGTCAGGTGCTCGCATCCCGCCCCTTTCTTTCTTTCCCCTTCCAGGTCCTACTTGCTCCAATACCTTGGCCTTTAGGCCCATACAAAGGCGTTCGTGGTGCCGGTAGCGAACCAAGCCAGGGGCAACAGCGCGCAGAGATCGCAGAAACTCCAGTACTCGCGGAAAATGTTCCACGCAGCGTCCGCGCACAACCTGCCAGCTAGCCGCGGCGGCGAAGCGTAGAGCTGCGGGACCCGCCACCAGGGGCGTAGCCATGGTCGGCGGGCTCCGCCCGGAGGCGGTCCCTCCGGGTTCCTCACCCGGATGGGTGAGGCTTTCCGATCACTCCTAGGGGCGGGGCTTCTGGCAACTCCCTGTCGCTCCGGTCTGTCGGCTCTGGGTACCTCGCGATCTGACTCGGCTCCCTTCCATCGGCCCCCAGAATTCTGGGGGAGGGGGTCTTCTGGCTCGGGCTGGAGGAGCCTGAGTGGAGAAGCTGACCGTCTCCAGTGGCACTGGGTCGCTCAGCTTTAAACGTCGCCGCTGTCTCGAGCCCGAGGGTGCCTCACTTCCGGCTCCGCTACTAGCTTCCCTTGCCCCGGAAAAGGGCGGTAAGAGGGAGCCAATGGGCGGCCACAGAGGGAACCGTGACGGTGCGTCAGAAGGCCACGCCCCAGCGGAGCTGTAGCTGCCCGCTTCCTGCACTCTCTGCCGGCTGACATGAGTTGGCGGCTGAGGCTGTCGTGGCCGCTGAGGCTGTTGTGGCCGTTCGTCTGGGTCCTCCCAGCCTTGCTTTCTTCGCGGAGCCTGCGGAGAAGCCCCGTCACTCCCGTGAGGCTCGACTTCCTAGTCTGTAAAACGAGGATCATGCCACCGCCCTTTCCCACTGTCTTCACCCATCGAAATTTAGTTCTTTAAATTCCAGACCCGAGCCGGCGTCTACAAAGCCTTCCCCTCTGCGCGCGTCGCTTCCAGTAGGAATTCGACTGTTCCTTTTATAAAACAGAAGAGGGCGCCCGCCCTTAAAAAATAAAATACAGGCTGGGCGTGGTGGCTTGTGTCTAATCCCAGCGCTTTGAGAGGCCGAGGCAGGAGGGTCACTTGAGCCCAGGAGCTCCAGACAAGCCTGGGCGACATGGTGAAACCCCTTCTCTGCTAAAAGTACAAAAATTAGCTGGGCGTGGTGGCAGGCGCCTGTAATCCCAGCTACTCGGGAGGCCGAGGCAGGAGAATCGCTTGAACCCAGTAGACGGGAGGTGGCAGTGAGCCGCGATCTTGCCTCTGCATTCCAGCCTGGGCGACAGAGGGAGAATCTCTCTCAAAGAAAAAAAAAAAAAAAAAAAGAGGAAGAAGAAGAAATAGAATACAGGCTGGGGGCACGGTGACTCACACCTGTAATCCCAGCACTCTGAGAGGCCGAGAGGGGAGGATCGATCCGCTTGAGCCCAGGAGTTCCAGACCAGACTGGATCACATGGCGATAACCTGTCTCTACTGAAAATCAAAAAAACTAGCCGGGCGTAGTGGCACGCCTGTAGTCCCAGCTACTCAGGAGGCTGAGTTGGGAGGATTGTTTGAGCCAGGGAGGTTGAGGCTTCAGTGACTGCACTCCAGCCTGAGTGATAGAGTGAGACGGGGTCTCACACACACACACAAATTAGTTTCTTGTTTTAGGATTCTGTTGTGCACTGAACTTGTCAGCCCCCTAATGTAATTGACTGCTCTCCTTGACTGTCTCTTCCACAGGCTTCCTGGTGCCTCTCATTTCCATCAGCAAGCACAGAACCTAACACACAGCTTACACTCCTTAATTGTTGGCTGGATTAGTTGCCTGCCTTGACCACCTTACAAGGATTTAGTGAAACTGCTCCGTCTTTAGCCCATGTCTTCCATTCCCAGAGATAATGGTTCACACATCCTTGTCTCCGCCCCGGATCAGTCTCAGCTGATCCGCACATTCGACTGCCCAAGAAACACCCAGTCCCAAAGTACCCCAAATTGGATATGTGTGAAATTCTAGTTATCTTCCTTTTTCCCTTTATTTATTCCTTCTCTAATGTTCTTTCTTTCTTATGTAGATATGAACTTCTGTTGTTTTACTTTTTTTTTTTTTTGAGACGGAGTCTCGCTCTGTCGCCCAGGCTGAAGTGCAGTGGCGCGATCTCAGCTCACTGCAAGCTCCGCCTCCTGGGTTCACGCCATTCTCCTGCCTCAGCCTCCCGAGTAGCTGGGACTACAGGCGCCCACCACCGCGCCCGGCTTTTTTGTATTTTTAGTAGAGACGGGGTTTCACCGTGGTCTGGATCTCCTGACCTCGTGATCCGCTCGCCTCGGCCTCCCAAAGTGCTGGGATTACAAGGCGTGAGCCACCGCGCTCGGCTCTTTTTTTTTTTTTGAGGTGGGGAGACAGTCTCGCTCTGTTGCTCAGGGTGGAGTGCAGTGATCTTGGCTCACTGCAACCTCTGCCTCCTGGGCTTAAGTGATCCTCCTGCCTCAGCCTCCAAAGTAACTGGGGCTACAGGCATGCACCACCATGCCTGGCTCATTTTTTTCTATTTTTTGTAGAGACAAGTCTTTGTTGCCCAGGCTGGTCTCGAATTCCTGGACTCAAGCGATCTTCCCACCTCGGCTTCCGAAAGTGTTGGGATCGCAGGCGTGAGCCACTGCACGCAGTCCCTGGCTAATTTTTTAAAAAATCTTTTTTGGTGGGTGTGGTGGCTCATGCCTGTAATCCCAGAACTTTGGGAGGCTGAAGTGGGAGGATCACTTGAGGCCAGGAGTTTGAGACCAGCCTGGGCAATACAGTGAGACCCTGACTCTACAAAAAAAAAAAAAAAGAAAAATATGTTTTGTAGAGAAGGGGTGTCTCTCTGTGTTGCCCAGCCCAGTCTATCTTCATTTTTTGTTTTTTGTATTTATCCTGCTTGCTGCTCTCTGAGCTTCCTGGATCTGTGTTTTGTGTCTGTCATTAATTTGGGGGAAATTCTCAGTCATTATTGCCACATTTCTTATGTTCCTTTATTTTCTTCTCTGCCATTCTGATTATGTGTATGCTACAGCTTCTATAATTGTCCTACAATTCTTGGATATTCTGTTCTTTTTCATTTTTTTTTCTCATTGCATTTCAGCTTTGGAAATTTCTGTTGACATTTCTTCAAGCGCACCATGTTCTTTGGCCATGTCCAGTCTATTGATGAGCCCATCACAGACATTCATCATTTCTGTTACAGTGGGTTTTTTTTGTTTTTTGAGACAATGTCTTGCTTTGTTGCTCAGGCTGGAATGCAGTGGCTCAATATCAGCTCACTGCAACCTGTGTCTCCCAAGTTCAAGCGATTCTGGTGCCTCAGCCTCCCAAGTAGGTGGTACTACAGGTCGTACACCACCACGCCCGGCTAATTTTTGTTTTAGTAGAGATGGGGTTTTGCCATGTTGCCCAGGCTGGTCTCGAACTCCTGACCTCAAGCGATCCACCTGCCTTGGCCTCCCAAAGTGCTAGGATTACAGGCGTGAGCCACCGTGCCCAGCTGAATTACTCATTTTCAGCTGCTATCTCTGTGTAGCTGACTTCTTGGGAGTCCGAGGCAGGTGGATTGCTTGAGCCCAGGAGTTTGAGACCAACCTGGGCAAAATGGCGAGACCCCCGTCTCTACAAAAAAAATTGAAAAACTAGCCAGGCATAGATGTGCACACCTGTAGCCCCAGTTACTCAGGAGGCTGATGTGGAAAGATTGCCTGAGCCCAGGAGGTTGAGGTTGCAGTGAGCTGTAATCCAGCCTGGTTGCAATGAATTGCACTCCAGCCTGGGCAACAGAGTGAGAACAGAATGCAATGGATGTATTTCAAAGTGGCTACTTTCCTCCTCCCCTTTGCCAGAATCACGGGGCAGGGGGTTCTCCAGTTTTCACTGTGGGATCCTGGTAAAACTTGTGGCCATGTGCCATGGCTCACACCTAGGATTGCTTGAGGCTAGGAGTTCAAGACCAGTCTGGGCAACATAGTGAGACCATGTCTGTACAAAAACAAAACAAACAAACAAAAAAATCTAAAAGTTAACCAGGTGACTGGGCGCAGTAGCTCACACCTGTAATCCCAGCACTTCGGGAGGCTGAGGTGGGTGGATCACAAGGTCAAGAGATCAAGACCATCCTGGCCAACATGGTGAAACCCGTCTCTACTAAAAATACAAAAATTAGCTGGGCATGGTGGCGCGTGCCTGTAATCCCAGCTACTCAGGAGGCTGAGGCAGGAGAATCACTTGAACCTGAGAGGTGAGGTGGAGGTTGCAGTGAGCTGAGATCGCACCACTGCACTCCAGCCTGGTGACAGAGCGAGACTCCATCTCAAAAGAAAAAAAAAAAAAAGCCAGCCATGGTGGTACACACCTGCAGTCCTAGCTATTTGGGCTGAGGCAGGAGGATTGCTTGAGCCCAGGAGTTGGAGGCTGCAGTAAGCTGTGATTGCACCACTGCATTCCAGCCTGGGAAAAACAAAAACAAGAAACAAAAAATAAAAAACAAAAACCAAAAAAAGGGTAGGGTCCCCCCTAAGAATGGGACCCCTAGATGTTTTGTTTTTTTTTTTTTTTTTTGAGACAGTCTCACTGTCGCCCAGGCTGCAGTGCAGTGTCGTGATCTCGGCTTACTGCAGCCTCAACCTCCCCAGGCTCAGGTGATCCACCTCAGCCTCCCAAGTAGCTGGCATTACAGGCATGTGCCACCACACCCGGCTACTTTTTGTCTTTTTTGTAGAGATGGGGTTTTGCCATGGTGCCCAAGCTGGTCTCGAACCCTTGAGCTCAGTGATCTGCGTGCCTCAGCCTCACAAAGTGCTGGGATTACAGGCATGAGCCACCATGCCTGGCCACTATAGATTTTTTAGCTCTCAAATTTGTCCACCCTAAGCCTCCAGCTATGAGTCAATTACACTTTAAGTTTTCCTACCCTGGTACTGGCTCCCCAGAAGTTTCTGTTTCTGTTTCTGTTTCTGGGCTTCTGCTGTTAAGTTGTGATTCTCTGTATCTGCCTTTTTGTCTCTCCAGTTTTAGGGGCAGCAGTTTGCCCTGTGCCCTCAATTCTCTGATAGATCCAACAAGAGTTGCTGACTTTCAGTTTGTTCAGCATTTTTCTTTGTGAGGACAGGAGTGAGGACTCCTAAGCTTGTTACAGGCCAGACTAAAAACCAGAGGTCGTTATCTTCATTTTTTTTTTTTAGATGGAGTCTCACTCTGTCGCCCAGGCTGGAGTGCAACCTCCACCTCCCGGGTTCAAGCAATTCTCCTGTCTCAGCCTCTCGAGTAGCTGGGATTACAGGCATGTGCCACCATGCGTGGCTATTTTTTTTTTTTTTTTGTATTTTTAGTAGAGACTGGGTTTCACCATATTGGCCAGGCTGCTCTCGAACTCCTGACCTTGTGATCCACCTGCCTTGGCCTCCCAAAGTGCTGGGATTATAGGCGTGAACCACCGTGCCTGGTCTACCTTCCCTTTTATAATATGGTCTTCCTCCTGAGCTTCGAATTTCTGTGCATGGCACCTCTCTTCGTGGCACCCATGAGTCAGAAACTCAGGCCACCACCCTTATCTCTGCCCTCCCTCCTCTCCAAATTGAATCTGTTATCAAGTCTAATCAGTTCTATTTCCTATACAACGTTCAAACCCACCCTTTTTTTTTCATTCGTACTGCTTCTACCCTAATTCAGGTTCTCCTATCTCTCATCCCAAGAGGACTCTATCTTCCTACCTCCAGCCCAACCCCTCTAATTTCTTTTCTATGTTGCTTTCATTATGAATCATGTGAAATGCAAAACTTGATCATATCATCCCTAATTGAAAGCTCCCCCTTACTTTCAGAAGAAAGTCCAAACTCCTAAATATGGCAAAAGGATTTTTAATGAACTGGCCCAAGCTTACCTCTTCATGCACATCCTTTGCCACTTTGTACTCATCATGCACCCATATGCCAGTCCTCATCCAGCTGTCTGCATTTTCCAAACATACTGTGTTGTCTCACATGTCTGTGCTTTACACGTGTTGGGTGATTCCTCTGTCCTTTGCCTCTTGGACTTGACTTTTTCTCATCTTTCATGGGTCATCTGGTAATCACCTTCATGAAGACTTTCTGTATCAGCCCAGGCAGAATCACAGTTCTCTGGGCCCCTCAGCATCCTGAACATCCCTCTACTACCATGCAGAACCTATCTCATAAGGTTATTGTAAGGATTAAATGAATTCATAAAGTGCTTGGAGCCTGGTTCCTGGTAAGTGTGACATACGCATTTACTGTATTTAGAATGTTTGCATGTCTGTCACCCCCACTGGACAGGAGCACCTTAAGGGAAGGGCTTGTTTCTTCTTGTGCATGTTACACTACTGATGCCTCAAGGTGTGCACCTTGTTCATGTGTTTACAGCTAGTAGGAACAGCTCAATTTTAGCTCTCTTTTTCCTGCCCCATGAGCCCTTTGTCTTGAAAGCCTTCTAAACTTAAAGGTTCAAGAAGACATGCGTTCAGGACCAGAATATCAGGTACATGATCTCATGGCTACTGCTAGCCCAAGAAGAATGCAGGCAGTGGGAATGCAGAAAAAAGAACAGCTGAGAAGAAAAATGAAAGGGCATCGTTCTTGATCTTCAGTGTGCACAGGAGTCAAACTCTTGGTGAGTTTGTTCTGGGCCTCTTCCACGGGGATTCTGACACATGAAGTCTATGGTAGGGCCCATCTATCTGGATTATTAATAAACATTTCAGTGATTGTAATAGAAGTGGTCTAGAGACTACACTTGAAAAACCCTGAGGTAAGGGAACAGTTTCATTCAAACCAAAGCCAAAATCCTCCAAAACTCACCCACAGGAAAATTTCCAGGTAGAAGAGAGTTATACAAAGAGTATCGACTCTGTCTCTCTGAGCCTCAACTTCCCTTGTGGTTCCCTCTCTCTGGTGAGGGACACCAGCCCCTATCAGTGGATGATACAGGAAGGCCATGTGCAGCCCTGGGACAAACCATGGCTCCATCCGTCTTGGTGTGGCATGGACTGAAAGATGGACAGAGCAGCAGCTTCATTAAAAAACAGTTTATTAGCATCTGTTCCCCCAGTGCAAGTGAAGACTGACTCCCTCTCCGGGAGCCCTGGACTCCCCCTCCGGGAGCCCTGGACTCCCCACCTGAGCTCCTGGGGAGCTGCTCTGTAGTGTGCCCCTATCTTGGGGCAATGTCCTTGCTCATCTGACTCCAGTCCCATTGCTCCTGGCACGGGGCTAAGCTCCACCTCGAGATGCCATAGGGATGGTCTCTCCTAAGTGACTGTCACCTCCAGCGTCTGAGAAGAAGCCCCCATCCCCAGGGGCTGGGGCCACATCCACCTGGATGACACCGTGCACCTGGGAGAGCTGTGGGCTGTCCAAGCTGGCAATGAGCTGGCGGGGGCCTGGTCGCACAGGCACAAACGACTGGCGCAGTGTCACTGTTTCATTGCCTCCAATGTCCCTGTGGGCAGAGACAAGGTCATGGGCCTGGAGTAATTGGGGGTGGAGTGGGGAGTAAGAGCTGATCCAGGGCAGTCAGGAGGAAGAAGCAGGAGGTGGACCCATTCAGACAATTCCAGGCTTACCTGAAATTTCCACACCCAAGACCAGGATCCCCAGGGCGCCTCTGCATAGCCAGCTCAGCAGCCACCCACCAGCTGCCTGTGCTGGAACTCTCCCCATCGTCTGGGACTCCTCCCTCCCTGCTCCCACATCCACCTGGACAAAGACTGCTGATGCCACCGCAGAGGCCTCTCATGCCATCCCCTCCATCACCACTGCTCCTGCCCCAGACAGAACATCCTCATCTCACCTGGGGTTTCCAAAACCAAGAAAACTTCAAAATGAGACTTTGGGGGCCCAACACAATATTTTCAAATACTTTCAGTTTTGACAAGAGCATAGGTTGAAGAAAAGTAATCACTCTCTGCTATGATCGTCGTTCCAAAGAGAAAAGAGCATTTTCACACACCAAAACATTAGAAGGATGTTATCTTTGAAAAAAAAGGAAAATCCTTCCCAAGAACAGACAACAGACATCTTTAAATGGACATAAACCCTTATGTCTCTGTGTGTGTGTGTGTGTGTGTGTGTGTGTGTGAGAGAGACAGAGAGGTGGGTGGACAAACACACACACACACACACAACCAGTGTTTTCATTTTCTCCTTTCCACATGGGCCTCTGAAAAATTGATTCCCAGACCTCCCCTGGGAATCATGATTTCACTAGTCCTCTAACGGGACTCCTTGCCTCGCATCCCACTTTTGTATTCTGTTCTGCTAACCACTCAGAGGTGAACTAAATCCTTCAAGGATTTAGTGCTCCTTTGGTGCTTGTGGCACACGATCCTGGCTCTCTAACTTGACACACAGGCTCACTCTGACCCAGTCCCTGCTACTTGCACAGCCTCATCACCCCCCATCATTCCTCCTGCTGAGCAGCCCTACCGAATGCCTTCTTCCCCAGACTCACCTCCACAGTCATGCTTTGCAGTCTTTGCCTTGTGTGGAATGAGCACCCAGCTCTGCCTCCCCACCCTGGGTGTCCTTGTGAAGGCCTACTTTTCCTCCAAGGCCTGGCACACCACTTCCTCAGTGACGGCTCCCCTGAGCACCTCCTGCCTCTAGGAAAAGGAAACTCACCCTTCTCTGAGCTCCTCCAGCAATCTGCACGTTTCATTTTATACACTGAACATGACTGCATTTATATTGCATTTGCTCGTGCCTGTGGGAATTTGTCCTTCCTGCCTTTGCCTAAACCTTACCTCTGGTGCCCTATTCAACCCAAGCCTGCCGCTGGGGACCCTTTCCAGACATAGAACCTGTGCATTAACTATTGTCCTCTAAGAGAATGAGCCAACATCCCTAACTCCAAGGATGAGTTTTTTTCAGGGCAAAGCATTTGGCTTGGAACCTGGTTCTGAGGGGTTTCCCTGGACCACTCTACTCCCTTTTCTACCACTTGTTAGCTGTGAGGCTTATGAGAAGCTATTTAACTTCTCTGTTCCTCACTTTCTGGGTCATAAAATGGAAGTGAAAGTAAAAGGAGGAGTGGGATCTGATTATCTTGAAGGTGTTTCTGAGCTCTCTGAAGGAGGGAGGCAGGGATATATAATAGAACGTAGTATGATAGGAAGTCTATAAATTAAGTCTATAACTTAATGGCTAGGCTATGTCCTGACTGCTTACAAATTTGCACTCTTAATTTTTGCTAACTTTTCATAGATACAAGATTCAAGGTTGTTCAAGCTCAGACCAGCCCTCAGAAGTCTATTTACTCTATACCATAATTGAACTATAATATTTCAGAAAGTAACCTTTACATTGCAGTAACGGATTATTTTCAAGAGAAACTGTTTTCTAGGTGGAAATGTCAAGATCTCTCCCTCCCCTGGTCTCATTGTGAGGTGGGGGACTTTACCACACCTCTTTTGTGAGCTGAAGCTGAGTACAAGCCATCTGCTAAAGCTGGGATGTTCCTGGAACTGAGTGTGGGTCATGAAACCAACTCCCCAACAAGGACACCAGAACTTAGACGTCGAAACGAGCATTGTCCAATTGTGTACTTGTTCAATCGTATTGCCTGGGCTTGAAACATGTTTAAAACTCCTCCTGGACTCTTCTTCAGAGCCATTTAAACCATACACACAGGCGTGTGCTCAGTGATGCCACGGTCAGCCTGTCCTTCCTTCCACAGCATGCCTCGGTTCTGATGGAAAAGGGCAGTTACCCACTTGTTCACTTATCTTATTAATTAGTCTTAGCTCTTGATGACTTCAGGTTTCTCTGCAAAGTCAAATCTACCCCTAAGAAGGCAGACTGACCACTCTGAGGACATTCTAGAGAATATGATTCAGACTCTGAGGGAAATTCCCAGGAAGGGTTTGGAACAGACTTCCAGCCTCTCTGGTGACTGCTTTTGGTGGTGACAACAGCCATCTGGAGGAGTGAGTTCTGGAATGTTTATTAAGTGGCCAGTCACCACAGGGGGGTGGCACACCTTATGCTATAATGGGGTTCCATGCCACAGCCTCTGATGTGCGAATGAGAGGCAAAGTACACCCATCTTGGAATCTTAGGTACCTGAACCAACAGCTCAGAGATGTCCCCCTGGAGGCTCCCAATTGTACTGGAGGCTCTGGTCTGGGCTCACAGCAGCTAAGGAGCCACAGACTGTCCAGGGAGGATCTGCCTTAAGAAACCATCATCCAACCCTGTCTTTTACTGTAGGGAGACTCACATAAACCCTACAGCTAAAGACAGGAAACAGGTCCCCCAACACTCAGCACAGTGGCCCTTTCCTTACTTCCAGGCAGGGCCAAGAGGCAAAGGCCTGGTGGGGCTGCTGAGGCAAGTCCAGCTCTGCGGATCCCTTAGGACGAGGAACCTCCCCCCACCATGGTGGGGGTGTGGGTAAGAGATGCCTGCTGGGCAAGACTAGCAGAGCAGGCTACCCGGGGGGTTCAGGCTCTGTTCACTGAGCTGCCAGAGACCATGGTATGGTGACATGAGGAAAGCCCTACTTTGTGACACATCATAGCATTCCCAGGGGCCCAGGCTGGGGCAAAGATCAACATAGCTTCCTTCTCAGCTTTGGCCTAATGGCGAAGGTGGCAGCCACCACCAGGAGAGCTGCTGTGTGTGAGGGAGGGGTGGGCAAGTGGGCAGGGGGTCCTCTGCTTCCTCCCCTCAGTTTCCCCACCCCAAGCCATTGTTCTTTCTCAGGAACTCGCTGTCTGAAGATGAAGCCTGCCCCTGTCCCAGAAGGCTGATCTAGAAGGCCAGGCTCTGGCCTGCTCTGCTTTCCCTCCGTGCTTTTCCTAGGCGGGGACGGGGCAGCACGTGTAAGTCTGTATCAAAGATGACAGCCGCAGGCCCAGGAACACAGCATGTGTGTGCCCTCACTACACCCAGGGGCTTGCCCAGCCCAGGATCAGGCCCAGACGGGCTGGGTAAGGGCCTGAGGGATGGAGTTCTCTCCTCTGGAACTGCTACTTGGCCCTCATGGCACAAAACAAACAATGAGTTTGAGAGCCTGTGCATGGTATGCACCACAGTGGGAAGAGCAGAGTTTGCCCCCTACGAGCTGTGAGACCATATGAGATGTGACCGCCAGCTTCCCCATCTGTAAGTGGGGGTAATAATGGCAATAATAAAAATAACAACTACCAATGGAGCACTAACTTTGTGCCAAGCAGTGCACTAAACAACCCTAGGTCCAGGGGCTATTGCTATCCCTGCTTTACAGGTGAGAACACTGAGGCTTGAAGGAGAGAAGTCGCTTGCCCAAGGGCATATAGCCAGTAAGTGCTAGAGCTGAACCCGTATCATTAGGATTCCAAAACTTCGCTTGTGTGTGTGTGTCTCTGTGTGTGTGTGTGTGTCTGTGTGTGTGTGTGACAGAGAGAGAGAGAGACACACGGGGTCTCACTCTGTCGCCCAGGCTGGAGTGCAGTGGCACAAACATGGCTCACTTCAGCCTCAACCTCTCCAGGCTCAGGTGATCCTCCCACCTTAGACTCCCAAGTAGCTGGGACAACAGGCGCACAGCACCAAACCTGGTTAATTTTTTAAAAATTTTTTGTAGAAACAGGGTTTCATCATGTTGCCCAGGCTGGTCTCCAACTCCTGGGCTCAAGTGATCCACTCACCTTGGCCTGCCAAAGTGCTGGGATTACAGGTGTGAGCCACCACACCTGGCCTTCTAATGTACTTAAATTAGAGTTTTTGTGTCCAAAGGAGATAATATTCCTGAAAGGGCCTGGTCAATTCTTCAGTGCTGGGCAAATATTAGCAATGAGTTACTAATGATTCCTATGTGGGCCTTCTGCTCCCTAATTAGATAGTGAGGCAGGGCAAGGACATGGCATAGCACCAGGTGCCCAAGAGGTCTCCCTAAAGGCTGGTGGGACTGAGCTGGGCCGGGAGGTATTGCTAGCTGGCCCCAACCTGCTTGGTTGGGTCCTGACAGAACATACTTGTCCAGACAGAGAGGGAGCAAAGCTGGGAGCCAGGGCAGCCTGTGGGGAAGGCCAGAGTGGAAGCAGGGGTAGGGGGAGAGGCCAGACTCACCCAACGTTGAGGATCTTGGGCCTCTGTAACCCAGAGCCTTCGAGCCGGAAGACGACATTGGTGAGGGTGACGGGAAGGGGGTTCTTGAAGACAATCTGTACTTCACACTCCTGGCCAACCACTGCTGCTCCCAGTAACTGAGAGAAAAAGAGGCCCATCCCCCACGTCAGAGACCCTGGCCAAACACACGGGGACCGTACACTGCACCAGAGAGGGGAAGCTGCTTAGAAGCAAAACCTCCCCGAGTCCCACATTTATCCTCCTGAGAGAAGATTCCCCAGAAGTCAGAGAAGAAACTCCAACCTATTCCTCAATAAAGGCTGTCACAGAACCAGAGACATAAGATCCCATGCTACAGATGAGGAAACTGAGGCCCCAGAGCCGGTCCTTGACCTTCTCCTACAAAGGCTCATCAGGCCAGCCTGCTGCTGGCTTAGCGCCCACCTCTGATGTCCTTATCCCCTGGCCTTCACTCTCTGACCACCCCTCATGCCCCAGCAAACTGCATTCACCGTGAGGGAGAGGTCTGGGGTGCGCAGACGGAAGGTGTGCTGCTTGGCCAGCACCTGCCCGCTCTCCTTGACGTGGCCTGAGACATTGAGCAGCATGGCCCCCTGGTCCACAAGATGGGGCCGGTATTCCTTGTAGGCCACTGGCATGGTCACACGGTCCGCTGTGGAGAAGAGGCATGGCGTCACTGAGGCCTGCTTCCCTACATGAGGCTTCCCCCAGGGACTCCCCACTGCTCCTGGGGTCTCCATGTCCACAGCCCTGAGGTGCCCAGCCATCCAGGGGGCAGGGCTGGGTAAGGAGCACTTACAGGCCCCTGGTGCCAGCTCCACTTCCTTCTTGGTCTCCTTGAAGATGGTACCACTGACACCAGTATAGAAAGTGACTGAGAGGTAGAGGTGCAGTTTCACTGTGCGGCGGCTGCTGCTGTGATTGATCAGCATCACAGAGACCATCAGATCCTGCCCCATCACCGCGTCCTGTGCCTCCACCTGCATGGCCACATCCTCCGCTGAGCCCCGGTTGGCATACACATTGGGTTTGCTGCCGTGGGCTGCTGCTGTCTCTACTGCCTTCCGCTCTGCGTCTGAGCCTGGGGGTTGAGGGTCAAGGGTGAGGTTCCAATTCCCACGTGGGTGGCCAAGCACTTGGCAGGAACACTTGTTGTGGGGCCCAGAGCTGGCTGGGTTGGGGGAATGGTACCTTCTGGGTGCTTATAGAGGTAGGTGATGTCCTCCCGCATGTTGGAGCTGATGGCCTTTGTGACAATGAGTGTGCCGATGGCCTTCTCCTCCACATAAACAATCTTGAAGCTGCCATCATCCTGCCGCTGCCAGTACACCTTGTCACTATTCACCTGTGGGGGGTGGGGGTGAGCAGGAATGAGTGAGCCAGAGGGTCTGAGGGTGGCCTGACTCCCGGCCTCCTTCCCCTGATCCCAGGAGCTATGGGACAGGGCTTGGTCCCAAGGGTGGGAGCTTCCTGGCAGAGCCCAAGGGGAGACTTTCCAAGACGAGCCAGACGAGGCCAGAGTGCAGGGAAGAAGCTGGTCTGGGAGGCTCCTGGCAGAGCACTTTGGCAATATCAGTAATCCCTCACACTCAATGGCTGACTTTACGACTAGTGAAGCAGTTTCATACCCGTTATCTCTTCTGATCCCGAGTATAGGAAGCAAGGCAGCCTTGATTATCCCCTTTTACAGGTGAGGAAACTGACTTGTATAATGAGTGACTTGCCCCGGGTCGCAGAGCTGGTCAGTCAGCGGTGAAGTTGGGACCAGAGAACCCATGACTGAAGCCCAAGAAGGCACCTGGAGCCCAGCCCTCACCTCAGCAAAAATGAAAGGCGTGTCGTACTTCATGTAGACCAGGCCATTCTTGATGGACTCCACAGAGCAGGGGCCGCAGCAGAAGATGCCTAGAGAGTGAGGCGGGACAGAGGCAAGAGATCTGAGAAGGCGGAGAGGGCTCTTCAGACCCTGGGTAAGGTCCACACAGGGCCCCAGCCCCACCCACTCAGGCCCGGTCCCACTGCCTGGTGGCCTCTGGAACAAGGTCATCAGCCCTGACCCAAACACTTGGGGGTCAGTTGACAGCCAGTGCAACACAGGTATGGAAAACAAAGAGAGAGCGGCTCCATTTGGCTCTCAATCTGCTTTCCTCAGCCCAGGCTGCTCTGCTGGAGGATGGGGGCAGGGTACAGATGTGCGGACCAGCCTGCCTGATAACCAAGTCCCTGACATACTCTTTCATGGCTGGCTGACACTGGATGTCCACCATCTGTGACCCCCAGAGGACAGGACGCCCCATCCTTTATCATAACCAACCCAGAGTCCACAGTGGCCCTGCCTGCTGGCTGGGAGAGCGAGGACACCACCGCCACCACCATTCCAGAGAGATGCGGAACAACCCTCAGCTCTGCAGCCTGCTGCCCTTTCTACTGGGGGGAGCTGGTGGGAAATAGAGTCTGCCCTTATCATACTCAGGAGGCTGTCTAGAAGAGATAGGCTGACAGGAAGAGGCCTGGCAAGAGAGGACAGAGTGGTAAGTGAGTACCATCCAACCGGAAAGAATCTTAGACAAGACATAACACTACACACTCCTTTACAGACGGGGAAACAGCAAGGTGAAGTTCATGCCAGGATCTCACAAGACAGGTGGTGCAGGGAGAATGAAAGGAGCTCAGACTTTTTGAGTAGCTGCTACACTCCCGGCATGCTGCTGGTCCCTTCAGATACAGAATTTCTCATTTAATCCTCCCAATCACCATATATGGTATCTATTACCCCAAATTACATCCAAACCACCAAAGCCTAAAAGTTCGAGGTGCTTGCCCAAGAGCATACATCTGAGAAGTGATCAGGCTGGGATCAAGCCCCAGTCTGGCTGGCCCTGAGCCCCCTGCCTGATGTCCACCCCACCACTTCCCAGAGTTGGGGGCCAGAGCTCAGATCTGCCAGCGTCTGGGACAGGCTGTTTCAGCATCACAGGCATCACCGGGTTGCACAGCTCATGGGGCTGTGTTCACATATCTGAGTGAGAGGGAGGGCACTGGGAAGAGGCCAGGGGAGGAATGTAGGCTAGGGAGGACTCTCTGACCTGGGGTAAGGGAGAGGCTGGACAGAAGGTAGCTGGCAGGGCAGGCCTGGTGGCCTGGGGCTGGGGTATCACGGTAAGAAGGGGTGGGGGTTTGTTTGAGAACAGAGTGTATGGTAGTTCTAATTTCTGCAGAAACACATGTATGTGGACACAGAAAAGAGACCCGTTGGTTATATTAACAGTAATTATATATTAAGGCAGGGTCATAAGGGCTATTTTCTTCTTTGAACCTATCTGAGCCCTGATTTTTTTCTATGCTGTATATATAACTCACAGTGAGCAATGGAACAGACAGGAAGGAACTCGTTGAAAGCAAGAGTATGTGCTTAAAAGGACTGGACTTGCTCTGTCACTGACCTACCACTCTGTGCCCCAGAGGAGGTCACTCCATCTCTCTGGCCACCCTTTGGAGTGGGTCAAAAAATCCGGCTGATCGTCAGAATCACCAGAAGAACTTTCAAAAATATACATTGTTAGCATCTATCCTGGGAAAGTCTAATGTATCAGGTTTGGAGTAGAACCTAGAAATTTACTTTAAAAATATTTTTGAAAAAAAACCCAAATACCTCCTGAGAGAGAATAGGGAAGCTTTACATTTTGTGTTGTTCAATTCTATACTTTTTTTTTCCTTCCAAGCATGTATTACTTATAAAAATGACTTTAAAATGGTCCTTCAGTTAATTATCTCCAGGATATGTAAGTTAAAAAGCAAGTAAGAATAGTGAATATGAATTCTTTCTCTGAATACTCTTCCAGCTTTTGAATTTTGAACCTCCCTTGTATATTAACCATTATAAATAAAATAAACCATTATAAATAAGTAAAATGTAGGCAAATAGAGAGTTATATAGAATGGTAAAAATAAACTAACATCCACGTGGTGGTTCAGCTGACAAACCCGTTTAAGAAGCCGCGGGGTTACATGGCTTGGCTCTCCGGCCCGGCCCAGCACTGACACTCTGGACTGTGTTAATCAGGTGGGGGAGATAAGCAGGGGCATGGTGGGGAGTGGGGGGCCCAGCTTACCACTGCTAGTCTCTTGGGGTGTGGCATCCACCACCTGCCACCCATCAAAGCCCGAGGGCAGATCCGGCCTCTTCATCCAGCAGTCGTTCCACACATGGAAGTTCCTGGATGGACATGGAGGAGGGGCTGGGTCTGAGCCCCAGGGTCAGGAGTCCTCAGTTTCCCCAGCCTCCCCAGCCCTGCCCACCCTCCACCTCCAAAGCTCAGGTCACCATTCTTCAGCACAGATGGGCAGTCCACCCCAGCTCACCAGACAGAATCATGGTTCAGGTGCTCCAGGGGCTTCATGTTCTCGTCGAAGTAGATGTCCATGGTAAGGGATGTGTCTGTGTCGTGGGCGGAGTTGAAGTTGGTGACAGTACGGGTGGCCAGACCCAGGCAGCGCAGCACTGTGGAGGAGCGAAGGTTGGGGTTCAAGGCATGGGTTGGGGGCAAGTGAGGCATCGTGTCAGGAGTATCAGGGGGAGAAGGGCAACTAGGATTGCCAAGCTGGGCATAGACTGCCAGGGTCAGGGCCACGGGGGCCACAAGGCCTTTGGGCTACAGAGCACTTGGGGTCAGGGGAAGCTAGGCCACCTGCCTGGCTCAGTCCTTGCCTGTCCCTTCTCCCTCCTTTCCCTTAGGCCTCTCTCTGTTGTTAACACTAATTAATGATAATTAAGGCCAGCCTATTACCCACCCCCGCCTGCACCCTGCACTGTAGCCACATCTGGGCAGGGCTGGGTAAGCCTGGCTTTCCTCCCTTCTCCCTGTAGGGCCCGGGCCACTCCTGTCCCAGTCCCTCCACTACCTGTGGTGGTCACGCCAGCAAAGACCCAGCACTGGCCATAGGGGACGGAATATCCCGTGCGTAGGTAGCTAAGCAGGATCTCCACGCTGCCCACCCACGCTGATGGGTTGGTGCCTCGGGAGTAATCACCAGACCAGTTCCCAATCAGGACTCCATTGTCATCCAGGGAGTTCACCTGCCCAGGACAGGATGAGATAGGGCGGAGGTGGAGGAGGGGCTCAGGACCTGCCATGTGGTCCATGGGGACCAGCCGGGCCCCGATCCTGCAACCACCCCTTACCCCTAAATGCCTCAGGATCCAGACACCAGCCTGAGCTCCACCCAGCCCTTCCCTCAGCCATCTGCCCCCCTCCCACCCGGGCTCTGACACAGGAATGTGAATCCTGGGTGTGCCAAGTTTTGGGTTTGGCCCTACATTCCACAGGAGCTGGGACAGGAGCCAGGAAAGGCGGGGTGGGGGGCAGGCAAGGGAGAGAAGAGGAGGGAGACCCCTTCCTGAAGTATCCTTTACGAGGGCAGGGACAGGGCTGGGGGTTCTTGAGGAATCCAGAAAGGGCAGGAGGAGGGTGGGGGTGTGGCGAGGCAGCAGGCACACACACAGTAGGACTCAGAGATGTGAGGGTGCTCACCATGGCAGAGATGACCCGGGAGACATTGACTGGGTCTCCACGGCCTCCATATGGCATCCCCCGCCGGTCCAGGATGTATAAGCAGGCATCCAGCACCCCGTGGTCAAACTGGAAGGAGGGATGGAGGGCAGAGGTGACAGCCTGAACCCTAGGCCAGCACCCTGCTCCAATACCCCAGCCCCCACACCCACCCCAGCTCCTCTGGGTGTATGTGACCCTGGCCAGCCGCACCATACCTGGCCGTAGTTCCAGGTCCGCTCACCAATCTGTGCTTCGGTCCCGTAGTAAATTCTCCCAGACTCATTAAGAACATACTCCTGCCGCCAATCCTCATGGTCCACGTACACAATGTCCTCTGTGTCCCCAGAACACACAAAACTGGTTCCCTCCAGTTCTCTCCCTGGGCCTCACCTACTTCTGGCCAGTTCTGCAGGACTCATGTCCACAGAAGAAAATGCGGGGATGCCCCTAGCCTGACAGGACTGCTGTGGGAGGACACGGGGAGCATGACAGATGGTGGAGGAGATTGGCTGTAGCCAGGGGCCTTTGCCAGGAGAGGTGTGGCTGGCTGTGTGACCCTGGGCTGGCCACCTTTCTGCACCAGGCCTCGGTCCTCTCATCTGCCCAATGGGAGGCTGGCTTCTCCTGGGGTCAGGCACCTAGGCACCCCGCCACATCCGAGGGCAGGAAGCCCTTCCCTGTCTTTCCCTCCCATCTACCCTCTGCTCCAGACCCCAGCTGCTCACCTGGGCACCAGGGGTTGAAGAGGATGTAGATCTCATTGCGGGGGTCAAAGGGCAACTGGAACTCCCCAGCGTCTGATTGTGTGCGGACTGTGAACTGAAACTTGCCGATGATGGCGTTGGGGGAAGTGTGGACCCGCAGGTTCAGATTCTGCCCACTGGCCTTGACCACCTGGGCTTTCCAGCCTCCACTGCCCCCCTTGCCCACTGGGATGATCACGTGCGTGCCCTTGCCCACCTCGGGGTTGTTTCCTAGAGTAGGAAATCAGCAATTAGCTGGCAAGGCCTCCCTGAGGAGAGGGGATGGAGCCTGGGACTTCTCCCGGCCCCACCCACAATGTGTATGAGCCACTGTGTATGTCCCTACGTTGGGCCATCACCTTATTCTCTGACAGTCTCCCTTAGAGCAGCTCTGTCTCCACCCAATGCTTGCCCACATGTTAGGGCAGTGCCGCAGTCCAACATCCCAAACCTGTTCCCCTGACACTGAACTCTGAGGTGGGGAGGAGAGACGAGGGCTCCTGTCACCTTCTGCCTGCCTGACTATCACAGTGCCTGGGCTGGAGGGGCAGATCCACCTGCCCCGTATGAAAGGGCAGTCCTGATCCTGAAGGCCAACCCTGCCTGCTTCCTGGGGCTGCAGCTTCCAGAGCCCAGGGCATCCCTGGTGGAGGTGGTAGGGGTTCCTGGGAAATTAAAGGATGAGGTGGGCAAGGTTAGGCCCTAATCAAAGGGTAAAAGGAGTCACCTGCCCCAGGCAGCAGCATAATCACCAGCCTGAGAAGTCAAGCTACACCAAGCAACGCGGTAAGGGAGGCACCTGCCTTGGGTCATGGGGACAGAGGGACAGAGACAGAGAGAGACAGAATTGGCAGAGATGGGGGACATGGAAGGCAAGAGGGAGAGAGAGAGATAGAAGAGAGAACCAGCCACATCCTGGGGAATGAGAACAGATGCACAAAGGACAGAGCAGCAATGCCGAAGGAGGCACCGAGGCAGGCCCTGAAGAGGAGTACTCTGAGACCGATGCCCCAGGAGGCTTGAGGAGGATGGGCTTGGGAAAAACTGCAACACCAAGACCCTCTCTGAGACACAACCCCAGGGGCACACCCACACACTTGCACCTGCCTTATCTGGCAGAGGTGAGGAGTGGGGCAGGGAGGAGCCTAAAGACCTCTCTGACCCTAATGCCAGCCTCTCCCCACCAAACATAGGGCCTTCACCCGTCCCAATCCAAGCCCCACTGACCGATGAGTAACTCAAGGGTGATGCGATCAGAGGATTCATAGGTCCGGGACAGGAGGAGGAGCATATGGAAAGGCTGCCCGCGGCGCACTATCAGCTCGTCGTACTCATACTCGTCTGTGTGGTGCTCTCGGCGGTTCTGGTCCGAGCGCGAGCTCAGCAAGTCCACACCGTTCACTACTAGCATGCCCTCTGCAAGGACACAGCTCCGTGTCAGTGAAGCCCCATGAGGAGCCCAGGCCCTTATCATTAGCTTCCTATCCCCCCCAGAAATGCCAGGCTGAGTCTCTGGTCCCATTAAAGCCTTTTAGCTCTCAGCTGAGGAGGACAGACCGGCCTCACCTCGGATGGTGCCATCTCCAGCTGCATTGACACCGCTGCCCCGGGATACAGGCCGGCGGGAGTCTGAGCCCCGGGAGCCAGGTCTTCGAGTGCCAGAGCTGGACCCTCGACCCCTGGAGTCAGAGGGTTCAGGTCCCCAGTCGTCATCTGCCGCATTTCGGCATGAACAGCAGCCACAGCAGCGAGCCCAGAAGGAACGGCCTCCTCCTCTGCGAGAGCGTCCGTCTGGCTCTGGCTCTGGCTCTGGAGATGGCGTGGTAGGGGGCTGCAAGGGGTTGCCACCCCAACGGCCCACATCGGAACGTGGCCCATCCATCATGCCTGTTAGGAAGAGGCAGGGTGGCTCCTTAACCCAGGTAGTCCCAGCCAGTTGACCCAGAAACCCTCCATCCAGACAGCTGATTCAGTCCCACCCGATGACCGAAACAATCCCACCTTGGCCCAGAGATTCTCCAGACACATCCAGAGACCTTCCGCGAAGACCATTCAGACTCACCCAGAGAAGCTTCTCATGCTGCAGAGAAAAGCCTTCCCCTCACCCCCACCAAACAACATCCGAAAAACTGCCCAATGAAGAAACCCACTCAACGATCCATCCCAGGAAATCCACATAGTTCCCTGCATGGACACTTGTCCCAGCCTCAAGACCCAGCTGCACACACATCAGAGTGCTCCAGCATCCCTGGGCCTGGTCCGTCCACCTGCTAGCTCTGCAGTCTAGAGGTGCACAACACTGACAGCTTCTAGAACTCATTTCTTAGCAGAAATCCCCCAACTCAAGGTTCCTCACAAGACAGACAAGTGACCCCGGGGCCTGTGGTCCTTGGCATTCCCAAGTCAGGGAAGACCCCACTTGGGGCTGCCAGGAGGGGTAGGGCATGGCAGGTGCCCGGAGCCTGTGCACAGGGAAAGCAGAGTCTTGGTGTTGGGAACAGCCTAGCTGGGGCTGACAGGTACACAGCTGGCCCACACCCCACCTTGCTGGATCCAGGCACGGCCTCTGATAGTGTGGGCCGCCTGGACTCGGCACCACAGTACCCGTGGGAGCCCCTCACCTGGCAGCAGTGTTGGCAACCGCAGTACTGAGTCCTGGGGCTGAGATGGAACAGGTCAGGATGGATGGGACAGGACCCACAGACTGGATGCCGCAGGGACAGACCTGGTAAGTGACTTATGTGGGAGGGAGGGGCCAAACTGCTGTAGGGGGCGGAGAGAAGAGGCCAGGCCTCTGGGCGGGAAATGGGGAGAAGATGCTAGGGAGGGAGCAGGGGTGAGGTCTGGGGGCTTAGGCTGGGCTTTGGTGGGAGCCACCGCTGTGATGGCCCCTGGCACCAGGCTGATTCCTACCAGACTGGGCATGTGAGGAGCCCCTTCTCCCGGATGAAGAAGCTGCAAGGGCAGTGGGGCAGGCAGGCCCTTCCACCCACAGCCCTGTCTGGCCGACCTTCTGGTCCCAAGCTTAGGCTGCCTACCTCTGCTCTCACAGGCTCCTGCTGCCGAGTTCTGTGCAGCCCAAGCCAGGCTCAGCCCTATGAAATTGGCCCAGGGGCCTGGTCCTGGAACTCATCCTGCCCAGGGAGGTCCTGGGATCCCAGGTTGCAGACTGGTGACATCAGCAGCCAGGCCCTCAGACTGGCTCCACCAGCTAACCCCTGACCTGCTGGCTCTACCAGATATTCTGACTCCCTCCACCCCCAAGTCTGTCCCTTCTTTCTCAGCTGCTCTACAGCCCCAGGCATGAGTGAGCTGCCCTCAAGTTTGGGATTAGGGAGATCAGAGTAGGAGCAATCTCATTTCACGTCCCCCACCCCCGCTGTAGCCTCGGGGGTTAGGGGATGTTTAGGCCTTTCCACTCAGGCTTGGGTGGGAACTGAGTCCCCCTTCCAGGGGTACAGAGTACCTTTCTCTCACTGAGAGGAGTCTCTGCTCAGTTGGACTAGAGGATTCCCTTTTCTCCAACCTGGAATTCTTCCTGGGAATCCAGACCAACCGGCTCAGGCACCTGTGCTGTGTGCATCCTTACTCCACCCCGTCACTGGGGAAACACTGAGGATGGCACCAAGGCGATCCCAAGGTAGAGAGGAGGAGGCTAGGCATCTTCAGGGAGGCTCTCCTTGGGTCTTGTCCTCAGGCCCGTCAGCCAGGGCCTTCTTCCTTCTTTCCTTCCTTCCCACTAGTGTCCCAGCTCTGCCCATGGGCCGCCTAGCAGAAGACAGTAAAAACAGGCCGACAAGAAGACACAAGGAAACAGAATCCAGGAGGGGCTGTTTGGTGATGCATCAGGCAGGGAGGTGCCGTGGGGAGTGGGGACAGAGAGGCCCCAGGAACTGGCAGGGAGCCCTCCACACCCACACTGCCTTTTCTTGTCCAGCTCCAAGCACCAGAACCTGCCCGGGGGTGGGGGCAGGTGCCCCACCTCCAACACCCTCAGTAGACACACCAGTGGATATAAACTTCCAGGCAGGTCAGCCAGAGGGCTTTGTGCAGGGGCTGCGGATTTGTGCATCACTGCAGATACGGGAAGGGGCAGGGCCCTGGCTGTCCGGACGTGTGTGAGCACATGTGGGCCCAGGCAGATCCCAGAGAACCAGTAGGATGCCTTTGTCACACTCTCTCCCTAGCTTTAATCAATCTTTCTCTCCCCACCCAGCCAGGTTTGAGTCAGTGCCCTAACCCCTGAGCCAGTCCCCTCCCCCCACCACCACTCAGGACTCTCTAGGTCAGGACAAGGTGTGTACATGGTATGTGTGGGGGGACACCATGGGAGCAGACACTCAGCTCAGGACCTCAAGGAGCTGAGGCCAGGCCGCTGCCCAACCATTCCTTAGCAATACAGAAGCAAGAACATGAGTCTAGAATCCTAGACCAAGGGTAGAGACAACTTTGGTTTCAGTGCTGAAGCGCTCCGGCCAAGAACCTTGGGCAAGTCTCAACAGCAGTTTCCTCATCAGTACACTGGGCCTAAAAATCTCATCCCTGAGACTCTGTGAGGATCAAATGGTATCAAGTATTCTCAAAGGTACTTCAACCGTAGAATGCTACTCATGGGGACCGATAGTGTTGTTCAGGCAGGACGGAGCAAGGACACCCTGGCCCATTCCTGGGAACGTGGAGCCCTTGAGCCTCCCCAGCTATGGTGAATGGGGGCCAGGGCAGGGGGAACATGTGGAAGGTGCAGGGGTCATGGGAAAAAATTGTATGATGCTTCCAGCTGGAGAAACTCACAGCTGCTCTGTAGCTTACCAGAGCCAGAACCTGAGCCCAAGCCCTATTCCTGCTTGGAATCTAGACCCAGTCCCAGCCCCCACCCCAAACCAGAAGGTAAACAAAAGCTCAGCCTTCACCCTGAATTCTGCCCCAAACACTGAAGCCTTGGCTCTCTCTGAGAGGAAACAATAGGATGGCGCAGAAAGAAGGAGCTGGCAACACCCCATGTCTCTTCCCTTTCTTTTCAAAAAATAAAAGTGATGAAGGTGGTGGTGTAGTGATAGCAGCGACAACAGCTTGGTAGCCTGAGAGGGCCTCTCCATTCTTTATTCAGTCCCAATAAGTTAAAGGGCAAGGGTAGGGGGCAGGGCCTCTTAGGTGAGGACGCTGCTAACTGAAGGCAGCAGTTCAGCCAGTTGCTCCAAGATGCCCACCGCTTGGCACAGCGGGTTACCCTGCAGGTTGAGGAGGACCAGCCTGGGGCAGGAGGCAAGAGGCTGGAGCACTGCAGGCTGCTGGAGGCCTTGTTCAGGAGAGTCAAGGAAAGCTTGGCAGGTTCCTCCCAATTTATTTGCTCCTGTGTACCCTCAAGAGCTGGGGACTGCTGCCTGGAAGTCTGTTTGATGGGCATCTCATATGCTCCCTGGAGGGAGTCAGGCTCTAGGCAGGGACTGCAAATGCCTACCCACAGGGTCAGCCAGGAAAGAATGAGCCGCAACACCCCACGCAAGCTGGTGTAGTATCAGGGGAGTGGTGCAGGGTATGATAAGGTGGAAATCTAGCCTGGTCCAAAGAGACATTTACTATTCAGCAATGACCAAGGGCTGCTGAGTGAAAATACCAGTGTAAGGTTGCTCTAACTTCCAATTTTTAAGAGAGGAATTAGAACTCTAGATGTTTTTTAAAGTATGAAAGTTCCTGATTTTCAAAAAACTACATAGACCTGAAGAACAGCTGCGGGCTGCCCATTTGTGAACTCTGACTTGAGGAAGTCCACTCCGCACAACTCCACCAGTGCAGGTCAGTGATAGCCCGACAGCCCCAGGCTCTCCCCCTTCAACTCACACTACAGAGCCCCCTCTCTCCTGCCCTGCAAGAGGGTGGCACATACCCTGCCTGCTGTCTGTCCCTTCCCAGGGTGGCACCTCACTTTACCCACTGTCTGAAAGGCACCCAGAAGGAAGGATACGGTTGTTGCACAGTAGCAGCTCCTGCAGCCGGGGTAGGTTGGTGACGCCGTCCAGGGACTCTATGGCATTATCACTGGCCTGCAGCACCTGGGGGCAGGGAGGGCAGGGAGGCAGGACAGGCGCTGTCAGCCAGGGATGGTTCAGCAACTGAGGAGCTCAGGGTGACGGGTCCACAGAGCACAGAGGGGCTCACAGGGTCAGGCTGCGTGATGGAGGTGGAAGGCACGCAGTTACCTGTTCGGGGTGGAGGGTCCTGCACATCTCCTTGTAGGATGGGCAGACTTCTGAGGGAGAGGAAGAGGAAAAGAACCACCCGTGACAGGGACGGAGACATGGGTACTTTACCTCAAGGCAGCGCAGGGCAGCCAGTGCAGGTGGCAGGGTTCGGAGGCGATTGTGTGACAAGTCAAGATGGGTGACCAAGAGCAGCTGTTCCAGATGGCAGAGCACTGTCAGATCCTGGGGGGTGAAGGGAGGAAGGAGGTGATGGGCTTCCCAGGAGACCTGGGAGAGGGTCCTCGGCCAGCATTTATTAGGCACATGCCCTCTGTGCCCCACAGGCCCTTGGGGACCCCAGCCAAGAAGAGGATGGGAGCATGTGGGAAGCTGACCTTACAGCCCACAGCAGTACATGACGTGGGACAGACAGTGCTGCGAGTGGGGTAACCAGTGGGGTGGGTGAGGAGGAGGAGGCCTGGAGTTCGGAGGTACAGGGGCCAGTGGAGGGTGCTGGGTAAACAAAGACTGGTCCCCCATGGGGACTGGTCCTGATGAGGCAGAGATGAGTTTGGCAGGAATGGAGGTGGGCTGTGGTGATGTGATAAAACTAATGTGTTGGGAAGGACTAGGAAAGTGGAGCCTGGACAACTTCTCAGGAATCTCTGGAAAGTATTTGGCCTTCAGGTATTGGAGGTTGCTCCAGGGTGAGATGTGCTGGAATGTGTGGGAGGAGTGGGCTAGCGGTCACTCTGAAGGAAGATGAAGCTGTGACCAGCCTGGGGAAGAAACAGCACAAGGAGGTCCTGGTGACTCGGGATTTGAAAGTGAGTGGCAAGAAGAAGAATGGGCTGAGTGACAGAAAGGCCTGGAAGAGGAGCAAGCTGGGAGGCAGGGATGAACTCTATCTTGATTGGAAGTCCACAAAGGCACCTGAGACTGGGGGCAAAGTCAGGGACGTGGGGAGGCCAGCGGGATGAGGGCCAGGGGAAGGCATGCATGGCAGCCCATACCTTGTGAGCCAGGTGCAGCACACGCACCTCGGCATACTCCATCTTGAGCACGCTATTCTCCAGCAAGAACTTGCTGCGCAGGTCATCCAGATACGTTGCCCGCATGGGGTCCACGGCCTGGAGTGGATGAGGTGGGCAGGGTATGCATGTCAGCTGCCTGCCTCCTGCCTGCTGGGCCTCCCCCTGGTCTGTTCTGCAGACAGAACTTGCCTTGAGGGTCTGGAAGTACTGCAGGGTCTCCTTCTCATACAGCAGGGGGTCCAGTGCCCGCATCAGCAGGATGATGGTAAGCAGGCACCCTGAGGAGAGGGCAGGGAAAAGGAGGGTTTCTCTTGGAACCTCCTCTGCTCCCATCCTCCTGAGGCCTTCCTGCTGTCCTCTCAGGGCCACACTGGAAAGGGGTTTCCTCAGCGGGCTCTGGGAGCAGACTCTCACGGAATGGGGCCTCACATTTATTCTCAGGCTCCAGCTCCTGCAGCTCCTTACAGGATTCCAGCTCAGACTGCAGCACTGTGGACTTCTCCACTGACAGCTCACACCTGAGGGTGGGCAGGGTGGGGAGGAGTTGAGGCCCACAGCCCTGAAGCACTGGTCAACATTCCCAGTATCTAGACTGAAACAGCTCCTTGAGGCCCCAGCCTCCTGCCCTGGCTGCCTGATGCCCAGAGTCCAGAGCCCCTCTCCTTGTTTTGTGCTTCCCTATCACCACCTGAATAGCTGCTCGTCTGTCGTGGAGTCCCGGCACCAGCCCTCCTGGCGGCCTGGGGAAAGAGTAGGTGGTTGGAGGGTGCACCCTTGAGAGGAAAAGAGTGATGGGGGCTGCTGCAAGGGGTGGAGGCTGCAGGTTCCATCACCTTTTAAAAGCACGCATTCTTTCTGGACATCGCCTGCTGTCCAAATGACGCGAAATGTATGTTGGGGCAACTGGTCGTTGAGGGAGGCAGCAGGCAGGTCACAGAGCTGGGAGTACTGGGTCAAGGAAATGCCCCAGCCTAACCACTTTTTTGACTGTCCCACCCAGCCCTGCCCCAGACCCCAACTTCTGCCCCACCAATCCTGGGATACCCAGACATGGCTGGGCCGGTTCCTGCCATCTGGGGTCCTCCACTCCACAATCAGGGGAGAATCATCAACCATGAGCAGCAAGATCTCCATCCTGGAGCCCACCTGGCACAAAGGACAAAGACTTCAGCCCCATCAGCACCAGGCCCACAGTCCCACAGTGCTCTTGACAAAAGCTGCAGGACTCACTAAGAGGGGCCGAGAGAAGGAGACAGTCAGACAGGCCTCGTCCCGGCTCACATGCAGGCAGCGCAGTGCATCCTGGGGGTCAGCTGCGGGGAGACAGTGTCAGATTTCTTTAAACCCTCTCCCATTCCTATTAAGCGCTAAACACCCAGCCCCTTTCCTCATTGCTCACCTCGGCCTAGGAGCCAACGGTGATAAAACCAGGCACTCTGGTCATTGGGGTCAGTGAAGAAGGCATTCTGCACCAGCTCCAGCTCTGTGGGGTTCCAGGAGGCATGGGGCTGTGGTCAGGACACTGGTGAGCTCCTGGCCACTCCAACACCCTACCCTCTCCTTGGAGTACTTCCAGCCCCCAGTCTCACTTATATGCTGTCCTTGCACAGGGGCTACGTATGTCAGTTTTATCTTCCCCATCAGACACTTAAGCTTCCTTCAGCCAGGGACTGATTCTTAAGCACCCCTGGAGCCACGCATGAAGTAGGTGCTCAATAAACCTGAGTGACAGGTTCAGGAACAGGGTCAGGCATGGGGGCTGGAAGGGTGGCACTGCAGAGTCCTCCTGAGCATCCCTGACCCTGGTTACCTTTGAGCAGCACATCCTCAGGGAGGCGCCCCTGTGGTCCAGAATCCGGCTGGGGGTGCAGCTGGGGCAAGAGACAGGAGCGGTAATGCCAGGAAGAGTAGTTGGAGAAGTTTCGGGTGATGAGGCTGTCAGTGAAGGCTAGCTCTTCTGCAGGGGGCACGGCTGCCTGTGTGGCCACAAACCGCCGATAGTCCCAGCAGTGAACTGGAGGGGAGAGGTGACAGCATATCTTAGAGGCAGGGCAAGAGGAGCTACCTGGCTGGGACCCCTAGAGTCCCCTCAGGAACCCCTAGAAACACCTCAGTGCACTCCACGGAGGATGCATTTGGCTCCAACATCCCTTTCAGCACCAGCTCAGTGGACCCATCCTGGATATCCCTCCCCATTCTGGGCCTTACTGAGGCCCCAGTACCAGAATGTGGGCAGGTGAGGGCTGTGGGGACAGAATCTGCAGCCACGTACAGTTCCGCTCATCCACCTCCAGGAAACGGGCACAGAGCTCCAGCTCTCGGGTCCAGTTGGGCTCAGGCAGGCGGCCTAGCAGCCAGCATCGGTGGTGCCAGGTACCATAAGACTTGGGGTTCACCCGCAGGCAGCTCTCCAGGAAGCCCAGTTCTGCCTTCACCAGAGCAGCCAACTCTTCAGGAGACCTGTACCCAGAAGGGAAGGGGGGGGTCAGGGCTCTCCTACAGTCAACCTCAGCTCACCCCTCACTTTCTGCACCCAGCCCCCTACTATCCTCCATCTATGCCACTGGCTGCCCCATTTCTCCTCCACCCCTAGACCCAGGCAGTGCAGGCGCAGGGCCAGGGCAGTCTTCTGAGATCCTGAATCCCTACGCACTTCTGAGTCTCCAGCTGCTGGAGCACCTCTCGTCGGCAGTTCCAGAGGGTGGCAAAATCAGGGTTGGCTCCCAGAATCTGGCTTGTCAGTTCCAGCACGGACTCATCCAGCTCACCAGCCTGGCGCTAAGAAGATAGGTGGCAGGGTTAGAGATCATATAATTTTCCCACTACAGGACTAAATAACGTAAACTTAAAACCATCCAATATTCTGTGAATCCCACATTATACAACAGGTACTATGAACCATGCTTTATGGCCTTACAGGTATTCTCTCATTTAATCTTCACAACAGCCTTATGCAGTAGGTGCAATTATTAGCCCCATTTTACAGATGAGCAAACTGAGGCCCAAAGAGATTCAGCAACTTGCCCAAAGTCATACAGTTATAAGTGAGATAACCCAGAATTGGATCTAGGCAGTCTGACTCTAGGGACCAGCTCTTGGCCTCTGCACTATACTAAGGGAGCTACTTGGGGTCGGGGCTACCTCTGAGGGCCCCACCTTCTGGAATACGGCCTGGGTGGCTGACTGGTATAGCTTCAGCTTCTGCTCTCGCTCTAGCCTTTTGGCCTCCGCCTGCTCTTCTGACGTCTTCACCTTCAGGCGTCCGTGCTACAAGGATGAACGGGTTGGAAGAGTGCAGGTTGCCTTGCAGAAGCTGACCTGCAAAAACCCCACACTGTGGAGCCCTAGGTTCATACGGGGCAACCATGGCACTGCCACTGGGGGTGAGGGCGCGGGCCTGCGGAGGTGAAGGGCTGGGCTCAGGGTTCTCACCATGGTGCCGGCTCAGGGTTCAAGACAGGGGAAGGGTCCAGTGGTAGCCCTTGAAGTCTGAGGAGAGAAGTGTCAATCACGTAGCCCCGCCCCTACTAGCTCCGCCCACAGCTGTGTCCGGAAGCAGCAAGCGTGCCTGGGCAGAGACCCCCAGAGTGTAAAGAGGTCCTGGGACAGGCTTTGCACGTTCCACAAGAGGTGAGCACCCGGACTAGGACTTCCATCCGTGTGGCCCTTCCTATAGCCCGATTCGCCCGGGCCAGAGCGCGAGCCGGGGCACCTGGGCGTTGGGGACCACTCTGCTCCCCAAAGGTTGCCGCTACCCGCCCGTCCCACGGCTCCCGGGCACCCCCGCCCCCCGCGGGCGGACCCACCTGCGCTGGGAGGAGGCGCGGGGGACGCGGAGCTGCGGCGCCCGCCACAGAGCCCAGGCGCTGGCTAGAGCGGCGCCACGTCCCGGCTCATCGAAACGCAGCGCACTCTGCAGGCTTGGGGAGGGACTTGCGGCGGAAGAGGCCGGCTCGGAGGCGCGTGCGCGGGGGCTCTGCGCTCGCTGTCCGGAAACGCCTCGTACCTGTTAGCCACCTGGTGTGTACGAGTGCGCACGGGCGACTGTAGCGTGCGTGTGAAATGGGGGGAGGACCATGCCAGTTGGTAACTCAGAGTGCAATGTAGTTAGTGGAAGAGGTTTCTCCAACAGCCGGAAACCCGCACCTTCACTACTCCACTGACCTCACCCTGGCCACACCGACAGCCTTCTAGATGTCAAATCTAACAGGGGGAGTTTCCTGTCATTTTCTCTAACCTCTGAAGCATTTGACGCTACCCATTTCTTTATACTTGACACCCCCATTCTGGCTTCTCCTCCTGCACCTCTGCCTCTCTCTTCTCATCTGTTCACCTCCACCCCTAAATGTTGGTGATCTCCAGGGCCCTTTCCTCACCCCTTTTTCACTTCACCCACTGTTCCTGGGAGAATGTTTAAATGTAAGCCTTCAACTGCTTCGAGTTGGAGCTCCTCAGAGCTGTTTTGGCCCACAAATCTGGCATTACACTTTCTCTGGGTGAGTTCATCCACACTCATTGTTTTAATTACTACCTGTAAATTGATGACACCCAAATTTATATCTCCAGCCCAGATGTCTTGCAAGCTTAAATAACAATAAATAATATACATGCACATACATATTCAAACACCTGTTGGATATCACCTGGTGTCCCAGAGACACCTCAAACTCCAAAAGCCAAAAGGTATAAATTATCTTTCATCCATCCTGTCTAAACATTGGCCTTTATGTTTTCTATTGTAGTGAATGGCACTATTTCCTCCTCACTTCTTAAACTCGCTTAAATACTCTTTCTCTTCCCACTGCCACTAGGAGTTCAAACTCCGAATTTCTTCTCCAGATTGTTGAAAGTCTTTTCAGTGTTCTCCACCTCATCCCTTGTTATCAGTCCATCCTCTGTGCTACTGAATCCATTTTTCTAAAATGCAGATTTGACGTCATATCTGTGCCTAAAAGTGCTGAGTGGCTCCTTTTCAGGATAGAATTGTAATCTCTCAGCTCAGCACATCAGACCTATTGGCATTTGGGCTCTGCCTACTCTCTGGCTGTATATCCTGCCTGACCCTGCCAAAAACTCTTCATGACAGCCTACAGAAATACTTGCAGTTTCCTAAATATGTTAGCCTGTTCCCTCTTGACTCTCCTTTCTCCACACTCCTCCTTTGCCACAGTAATTCCTGTTTATCTTTAAGATTTAACTTTTTGAACTCCACAGTACAAAGAAAAAAAAATGTAACTCAAGTGGCACCTCGAGGAAGTTCTCTAAAATGCCCCAGTCTGATTTGATAGACCTTCATATGTACTTTTAAAGACTGTGATTTTTTTCCCTGTGCCTACTGCAAAGAAGGTTTTCTGGTGGAGCCTTTATGAGGTTCAGGGTGGCTAGTGAGTGTGTGTGTACCACACGTACACGTGTGTGATGTCTTTGCGAATAGTGTGTCCATGTGGCATGTGTGTGTTTATAACTCACACCTGGGTAAGAAGGTAGTGCTTTAAATTTTTTTTTTTTTTTTTTTTGAGACAGGGTCTCACTCTGTTGCCCAGGCAGGAGTGCAGTGGCACGATCTCTGCTTACTGCAACCTCTGCCTCCTGGGTTCAAGCGATTCTCCTGCCTCAGCCTCTGGAGTAGCTGGGACTACAGGCATGCACCACCACACCCGACTGATTTTTGTAGTTTTAGAAGAGACGGGGTTTCACCATGTTGGCCAGGCTGGTCTCAAACTCCTGACTTCAGGTGATCTGCCCACCTTGGCCTCCCAGAGTGCTGGGATTACAGGTGTGAGCCACCATGCCCCGCCAGTGCTTTAAATCTTTATATATCCTTCACACCTCTCTCAGCCCCTGGAAATGTATGTAAAGTGTCCATTATATACTTGTCCTTTCCTAGATCCTATAACAAATTCTCGAAAAGAGACATTTTTCCTATCCCTGTGTATTTGTAGTCCCAGTGAGGAAAGAGTTAAGCCATTTATTGGTTCTCTTTGTGCCAGCCACTGTGATGGGAGTTTTGCATACATAGGAGGGATGTGCACACACACAGAATTACAGGTAGGAGGCAGTAAGCAGAGTGATTAAGAACATGGATCCTGGAGCCAGACTGCCTGGCTACAAATCCTAGCTTTGCCACTTGCTTGTCCCAGTGTGACCTGGGGCAAGTTACTTAACTTCTGTATTGCGTTTCCTCTATGTCTGAATTTCTTCAACAGTAACATAGGAAAAATATTATCTAGCTGCTGCAGTTGAAGTTAATCTGTTGAAGTTAAGCTGAAATAAAAGAATCTATGTAAAGTGCTTAGAATAGTGTCTGTACTAAGTAAGGGCTCAGTATAGTAATAGGAAGCTGAGGCTCAGAAAGATTAAGTAACTTGTTGAGGGCCACCCATGTAATAAGTGGCCAAATGGGACCTGTGTCTAGTCTGGTCCAGCCCTCCCACCTCACCACCAGCCTTCTTTTGTTGGTGGTCACCTCCTTCTCTAGCTTCCTGCTCTGTGCACACTCATAGGCGCAACCAGATACTTGGGAACACAGATGCCCTCAAGTGCAGATTTGCCAGGTACAGCCTTGCATCATAGTCACTAATCACATTGTGATTAGCAATCTTGAAACTGGGAAGGTTGAGTCAAGCAGGCTTAAGAGAGGAAGTGAGTCTCATGAAAAAATCTGCATCAGAGAAGGCAGGGCTTGAGTTTTGGAAAGAGCGGGCAGGAAGGGTATTTCAGGTATGTAATATGACGTGAAGGTGGGGGAGAGAAAGCCAAACTAACTTAGCTGGCTGGCACAGAGAGGCTGAGCCAGGTGCCTTTGGAGATAAGAGCAGTGGAACTGATGATAATAAGCCTCTTGCTTGAAGGCAAAAGGAGTTGTCAGGAGTTATATTTGGCCTCCTATGTGGGATAAGTGGGAACCATGCAGGTGTCTGAGAGCCACAATCTTTTTTTTTTTTTTTTGAGACGGAGTCTCGTTCTGTCACCCACGCTGGAGTAGTGGTGCGGTGTCTGCTCACTGCCAGCTCTGCCTCCCAGGTTCATGCCATTCTCCTGCCTCAGCCTCCTGAGTAGCTGGGACTACAGGCGCCTGCCACCCTGCCCAGCTAATTTTTTGTATTTTTAGTAGAGACGGGGTTTCACCTTGTTAGCCAGGATGGTCTCGATCTCCTGACCTCGTGATCTGCCTGCCTCGGCCTCCCAAAGTGCTAGGATTACAGGCGTGAGCCACCATGTCCGGCTTTTTTTTTTTTTTTTTTTTTGAGACAAATTTTGCTTTTGTTGCCCAGGCTGGAATGATGCAATGGCACCATCTTGGCTCACTGCAACTTGTGCCTCCCGGGTTCAAGCGATTCTCCTGCCTCAGTCTCCCGAGTAGCTGGGATTACAGGCATGCACCACCATGCCCAGCTAATTTTGTATTTTTTGTAGAGACAGGGTTTCTCCTTGTTGGTCAGGCTGGTCTTGAACTCCCGACCTCAGGTGAGCTGCCTGCCTCGGCCTCCCAAAGTGCTGGGATTATAGGCGTGAGCCACCGTGCCCTGAAAGCCACAATCTAAATGATGTTTGAAGAAGAGATTTTTACTGCCCTCTATGTATAGAAAGAAACAAACAGTAATTGAGTATCAACAGAGCCCCAGACATCTTATTTACTGCACTCACTACCTATATGAAATAGGTATTATCCATATTTTACAATGAAGCAACAGGGAATACAGTGGGTTTGCAGAGGTTAGTTTCTTGTCCAAAGTCACACATCTTCGAGATTCAGAATTGAGTCGGCTGTATAGGTGAGAGTGACCATTGCCAGAGGCCTGAACCTGAGTTTCTTGAGACCTGGAACCCTGGCGTCTTTCCACCCCTGCCAATTCTTTCTCTACTCCTGCTCCCAACATACATACACAGAAGCACACACACATAGTCACTTACAATGGCTCCAGGACCCTGAGCCCGTCACAGACCAGAGAGTCTGGAGGGAGGAAAGGGGGCCACGAGCCCTGGGTCAGGGCCCTGGGCCAGGGCCCTGGGTCAAAGCTTGGCTAGAAGCCATGGTCTGACGGCAGGGGGAGCAAGTGCGAGACAGGTAATGGAGCTGTCTCCGGGCCATGTGCAGTGTGTGGTAGTGTGTGCATTTATTCAGTCTCTTGATGTTCAGCATCAGTGCTGGGCCTCACAGCATGTTGGGTGCCAGGGATCCAGTAGTGGACCAGAAAGACAAGTCTCTGTCTTCCAGAGCTTACAGTGGCGTGTAGCACTGTCCGATAGAACTTTCTGTGACAATGGAAGTGTTTGGTATCTGTGTCATCTAACACGGTTGACAGTAGCCCCATGTGACTGCTAAGCGCTTGAAATGTGCCTAGTGCAATTGAGGAACTGAATTTTTCATTTTTTTTCATTTTAATTAACTTAAAAATTTTTTTTTGGCCACGGGCCAGCTGTAATGCTGTAGTGCTGTAGTCCCAGCACTTTGGGAGGCCGAGGCAGGCGGATCACTTGAGGTCAGGAGTTGGAGACCAGCCTGTCCAACACAGTGAAATGCCATCTCTACTAAAAATACAAAAATTAGCTGGGCGTGGTGGTACGTGCCTGTAGTCCCAGCTACATGGGAGGCTGAGGCAGGAGAATCGTTTGAGCCTAGGAGGTGGAGGTTGCAGTGAGCTGAGGTCATGCCACTGCACTCTAGCCTGGGAAACAGAGCAAGACTCGGTCTCAAAAAAAAAAAAAAAATAGGTGGGACTACAGGCACACACCCAGCTAATTTTTAAAAATTAGCCCATGCCTGGCAAATTTAAAAAAAAATTATTTTTAGAGACAGGATCTTTCTATATTGCCCAGGCTGGTCTCCAACTCCTGGCCTCCAAGCAATCATCCTGCCTCAGCCTCCCAAAGTGCTGGGACTGCAGGCATGAGCCACCGCACCTGGCCTAATTTAAATGTAAATAACTGCATGGGGCTAGTGGCTAGTATTGGACAGAGCAGGTCTCTTGGGTGAGACACGTAAGATGGAGTAGGACAGGGGCCCATGAGGGCCCACAGAAGGGACACCTCACCCAGACTCAGGTTAAGAAGAACTTGTTTTAGATCTGGTGATTGTAACGGTTTACATTTTTTTCTGTTTAACTTTTGATGCTTACTCTATTCTTCTATAAAACTTGTCACTGAGGCATAATGTATTATACTGAAAGTGCACAAATCACAGATGTGCAGCTCTGATCCTCCTATTTTAAAACTCTCCCAGACACAGGTATGGGTAAAAGGTTTAGTGGGGGACGGGAGACACAGAACGGAGGTAAATGTGGGGAAGGAGGTTAGAAAACCCCCTCTTCAGGGATGATCTGGCAGAACCTAGAATCCACATGAATGTCCCTGTGGCTGTGGGGGGGCAGTGGGCATGGAGAGTGAGGATGGAGAAGGACTATTTCTGAGGACCAGTAGGCAGGATTTGGTAGCAGGTGAGACTAAGATGCAGGGACGAAGGGAACTGGGAGGAAGGCTTGCAGTTGTAAAGCTGAGGACTTGAGAATTTGTGGTGTCCACAGAGGTCCTAGAACATGGGCGTGGGGAGGGATGGTTGCATGAGAAGAGGAAGGGCTACTTCTCACATGTTTGGTTTTGATGTGGAGATGTCCTGAGGCAACAAGAAATCCTTGCCTGGAGAGAGGCTGAGAGGTCAAGGCAGAAGAAGTCAGCGTGGGCGTCAGGTGTGCGCAGGTAGTCATTACACCCAGCAGAGAATGGGTGCTCTGGGGAGAGGGGAGGTGAGGGAACCCACAAACAAGCTTTGATAGAGCGTGGTGAGGGCAGGGCTGAGGGTGTGGGGTGGAGAAGCCTCAGTGGAGGGCAAAAGAAGAAATGGACAACGAAGAGAGGAGAACTTCTGTGCTCCCGAAGCCATAATTAATGAGAAATTATAATGACTGAATACTTTATAGCCATGATGGCAAGAAACTGAAGCTCTGCCCGAGGCCGCACAGCCAGAAGCAATAAAGCCTGGCCTTGTGCTCAGGCTGATTCCAGAAGACGCTTTCTTGCTGGCTTTCCCTCCAGCCTTGCCCACCATGCTTTGCTGGAGCCGGCCAGGGCCAGGACTGTGGGAGGAGGGTGGAAGGAGGCATCCAGAGACCTCTGGGAATCTTGGGTGGGGGTGCTGGATGCTGGCCTTGTGGGGAAGCGGGGCCAGCAAGGGGAGGCAACTCAGGCCAGATGGTCTGGATCTAATCTTGGGACCCAGATGAAATCAAATATTGGGAAATCTGAGTCCCAGCACAAGTTGGGGTCAAGAAAATGAAAGGGGAAGAGCAGCGCTGGGTGCCTGCCACGTGTCAGTGATAGCAGAGTTGAAGCTTCCCCATGGCACAAGCAGAAGTGCCCAATTCTTATCTCTTGCAACAGGGACTTCCTCTGCCCCCAGCTTCCTGATTCTTTATAACTCTGACCATCGCAGAGCACAGCGTTATAGCGAGACAGGGCATGATGGATCCCCAGCAGCCCAGAGATACTCAGTGAAGTCACATACCCGGAGGTGGGGCCAGTGAAGTCACATACCTGGAGGTGGGGCCAGGTTTGGAAACCAGGTTTTCAAATGACTATCTTAGTGCTTTTGCACCCATCAGCTCTATCTTAGGATATGTTGAGCAACAAAATGGTGAACTGTGGGGGTGCTGGTGGGATAGTAGATATGGTTGTAACGGATAGGACATCCATCACCAAATAATATGAATTAATGTGTCTTTGTCAACCTGGAGGGAGGTCCCTAGTGATGGCACTTTTTCAGTGACGTGGGATGAGCACAGATGCCACTCTCATAATCGAAGGTCACTTGCACATAATTGGGAGGAATACTGGATGATGGCGTCTGGTGAGATTGTTGGGCCAGATTTGTCATGTGGTATTGAATAGGGACAGAATTACACTCTGGTTCTTTGGTCTTCAGATAATCAGCTGCACAAGAGTGAGATACGTGAGGGGTGGAATAACGATAGTGTATGAAGACAGGAGGACTCTGGCTGATAAGAGATTGGAAAGAATTGACTGTGATCTGCTTGCCAAAAGCACTAACATGACTTTGGGATGCACTAAGAGAGCTTTAGTACCCAGAACAATGGGGCTCATAGGCCCCAGACTCTGTGAGAGTCAAACCCTGTGAGGAGTGTGTGGCCCATTTTGAGAGGGACAGAGACAAACTGTAGAGTCCAGAGGTAGAAATCAGGATGGTGAGAAGAGCCCATGACCACAGGGAAGACATGAAGATACTGAACTGGGAGAGAAGATTCAAGGGGCAGATGATAATGGTCTTTCAACTCCTGGAATAGAAACCGAATTGATTCTGCATATCTTGAGAGCAAAGACCAAAGACCAGAGAGTGGATGTAGATCCTTTATGAGGAAGGACTTTCTAATAATTAAAGCTAATTATTCTACCAAAGGTAGAATGGGCCTCAATGAGAGGTGGGAGGCATTCAAGCATATGTTGGTCAACCACTTTGTGAGAACGTAGTAGTGGACATTCAGAGACCAGAGTCTCTCCACTCTGAAGTTCTGAAAGATGCTGATCCCTGGGATGGAGCAGGGGACTAGAGTAACTCAGAGCCCAAGAAGATCCTCTCCACTGCCCATTCCCCACAACTGACCATTCCTTGGACACTTGGTTTGAATGCTTGCATTCTTTCTCTTCTCCCTGCTCCCCAGTTCCTTCTGAGTCAGGCTGGGGAAATTGCTTGATGGCCCATGGGGGTTGCCACGTGCCTGTAGCACACTTCCTGGCTGGGGAAGAAGACGAAACAGGTTAGCCAGTGAGAAGGGAGGGCAGGTCCCCAAGGTTGCCCTAAAAGACAGAAGGGCCCCAGAGGGAAAGTCCCCACAAGAGCATTCTAACTCTCCCAGGGTGTGGTGGGTACTGACTCAGGTTGGCGTCTCTTGGGGAAGAGTTGAGGGAAAAGCAACCAAGAAATGGTGTTGAAAAGCTGGAAAAACTTCTTGAGCCAGCCAGAACTGAAGCCTCTGTGACAGGAGCCAGGCACTGCATGGTGACTGGTGATGATAATGACATGTTGGCTAAAAATTGCCCAGAGCACTGGTGGAGGTGGGAATGTAGCCAAGAAGCTCACTGCCTGGCAAGGCTGCTGCCCAGCTGCAGGGGGCACCATCACATTCGGTTTTGGGCATATATGATGTGAGTGGTACCAGGAGGCAGAAGCCCTGACGTTCTATGTCAAGTGAGAAGCAGAAGCTGTGGAACAAAGTGAGACTGTGGGTCCTGGGGAAGGATGGGATGCTGTCGCTGGTAGATGAACACAGGGGGCTAAGGACATACTCCTCTAGGGGAGGAAAGAGGAACCGCTCCTTTTGGGGGAGCACTCAGGCCTCGCCCTTTCCCTGTCCCATTCATCCATCCAACAAATACTGACTGAGGGCCCTCTGTGCCTGATCCACGCTAGGGTGGGGGCTGCGACAGTGAGCAGAGCACAGACAAAGTCCCTGCCTCACTGAGCATACAGGCTAGCCCTGGGCTGTTTAATCGAACTTTCTGGATGATGGAAATAATCACATAAGCAAATGTAGAAGGACAACTCTGTCAACTGCTCTGCCTTTATGGAGAGGCATATGGTGCTGGGTGAGCACCTGATGGGGAGCTGCCCTGTCTGAGAATGGGGGTGGGCTTCCTAAAGGAAGTGAGTGGGAGCTGGGGCTGTAGGTGAGCAGAAGCCCTGGCTTGGGGCTCGGTCAAGTGCCTCTTCTGTTCCTCTCAGCACCAGGTCCTGTGGTGCCTGCATTATAGCTCATCCTGTGGGTGCAGCGCCCCACTTCTGCTCCTGCTGTGAACTACCTACCCAAGGGGACTCATTTGACTGCATTTCCTCTCACCTAGCAAGGTGCCTGCACCATGGTGGTTGCTCAACTAACGTTAACATAATTTAGCCAGTCAATTATCAACCAACAATTATTGAGCGCCAGTACAGCTCAATATACAGTGGTGACCAAGACAGACAAGGTCCCTGCTGTCATAGGGCTTACATTATAGTTGGGGAGACAGTCCCTGTAGGAGCAAATACACACCTAAGACAATTTCAGGGAATCTAAGTGCCCCTGAGGGAAATGAAACAGGGTATTGAGACTAGTTGGGAAAGAATGAATGAATGAATAAATGGTGAGCCATGGAGGCACCCACCCACTGGGCTGGGGTGGGAGATGAGGAGGAGGAGTTGGGGATCTTAGAGCCCAGGGCAGGGAGCTTGGTCAGGGGTGGCTGCACTCCAGGCTGTAGGGCCAGGCCTCGCAGCACCGGGAGGGAGTGGACAGGGAGTGGTTCCGAAGCTCAGAATTCAGTGTAAAGGAGAATGCCTGGAACTGCTGACAGGAGCAATGCTGTGTTCCTGAGTCCCCTGTGGGCCCAATCATGACTCAGGCTTGAGCTCTGTGCCTGGCAAAGAACACTGAGGGGAAGAGGGGCAGGGAGGACCTGGAGTAGCCCTACAGAGGCATCCAAGGCTCCCACTGCTGGCAGCCCTGTTGGGAAATTCTCTCTTAGGCCCCTGAGCGGGGGTTTTGAGGCTGAGGTGTGGTGTGTGGGGCCGAGGCCAAGGACCGATGGATAGCAGGGATCAATGAGTCCTTAGAGGGTCAGTCCTGGGATACAGACACTGCCATGGCTGGCCCAGCATACCTCCCCTCAGGGAGGAAGGGTGGAGCTCTCACCAATTGGTCTCACTGGGCCTGTGAGTTCAGCCACACTCTGGGTTTGCCCCAGGTACTGTGCAGTTCTGTGCTGAAGGTTTCAAAGTTTCTGTGCATGGGGAAGGAGACAGCAGGAGAATGGGGGATGAAGGGTTCAAGACCTAATCCCTAACTTTGGGAAGGAGTCATCCTTATCCAGGAAATGGATGAAGACATCTATGGCTCTAACACTAGTCAAGAGCCAAGTGAATTTCATAGTAAGAGGTTCCCTGGAAGCGGGCAAAGCAAGGGTAGAAGACGCCAGGAGAAACTTCTAGGAGGTTGAGATGGGCCTGGCTGGATGAATTCTGGCAGGCAAAATGGGGTTGGGGGCTGGGTGAAAGAATGAGCAGTAATCCAGAGATCAGAACAGCTGGAGCAAAGGCGCAGAGGAAAGGGAGTGTGGTCAAGTTTAGGGAAGAGTAAGGCTCAATGTGGCCAAGAGGAACTTAGGCTGGGTGAGCTTGGGAAAGCTTTCACCATTCTGCCCAGTCCCCAACCCTTCCTCTACCCAAAGTAGAAGGCCTCCAAAGTCAAAACCAAACCAGAGGCCGGCACAGTGGCTCACGCCTGTAATCCCAGCATTTTGGGAGGCCAAGGCGGGCGGATCACTTGAGGCCAGGAGCTTGAGACCAGCCTGGGAAACCCCGTCTCTACTAAAAATACAAAAATTAGCCAGGCATGATGTAATTCCATGCTACTGGGGAGGCTGAGACAGGAGAATTGCTGAACCCAGGAGGCGGAGGTTGTAGTGAGCCGAGATAGCGCCACTGCACTCCAGCCTGGGCAACAGAGTGAGACTCTGTCTCAAAAACCAAACCAAACAAAACCAGACACAAGAAAGCAGAAGCAGCATGATGCAGGGGAAAGAGCTCACACTTTTATGCAGAGTTATACAGATTTGGTCGAATCCAGACTCTCGCTGTAAAGCCTTGCAATCCTGGATAAGTTACTTAGAATTTCTGAGCCTCAGTTTCCTCAGCTGTAAAAGAGTACTTACCTCATGTGGCAGATGAAAAGAGTAGGGCCTAGGTAGAGTGTTTGGGCGTTGCAGGTGCCCAATAAACCTGAATTCTCTCAGCCCCTACAATAACACAGGTCTCTGATGATAGGGTGTTAATGTGACAGTGAAGGGCCAAAGCCAAGGCACCTTTGCTCCCTCTTGCTTGAGGCCCTCTAGGGATGCTCAGGCTGTGTCTGTTCTGGCTTTGCGCGTTTCTTCTGGAACTGCCTCTCTAATGAGGAGGTAGCCAAGACCTCCTTACTCACCAATATGGGGCATATGTGTTGGTACTTGCTAATAGAAATTGCACAAAGCCGGGCCCACTTCCTCCCTTTGCCTACTTCCCAGCATTCCTCATGGGCTCCTCCATTCTCAAGGGTCTACAGAAGGGTCCTTATGTCCTCCAGATTCACCACTATCAAGCACAAGCAGCTTCCAGTTCCTCTCCACTGCTGGCATTTAAGTCCAGGTGGCTGGCGATCCCTTGGCCTTGCTTCAAGCTGAGCCTGAGCCTGCACCTGGACTCTGGCTGAGGAAACTATTCGCCCCCACAGCTGGCCCACTGCTGAGTTCCCCGGGAGGCTTGGAGCAGAGGGCAGTGGGCAGCAGCATCCCACTGAGAACTGCAGAACTCTCAGCACATGACAACTCTGTCCAAACCTCTGAACTAAGAGACTTGACCAACTCTAGATTGGCTTTTAGCAGCACAAGGCTGTATCCCTAGGATGGCCCCAGCCCCTCTTAAAGTGCTGTCTTGAGAAAGCTCAGTGCTGCCAGAAAAATTTATTATTTGTTCCAGCCAACACCTGATGATAGGCCCCTGACCTCACTTTCTTAGAACATTTGGCTCAAAATGGCTTGCCATTGTACATATGTATCTCTTGCAACTCAAAAGCATCAGGTCTTCCTTTAAAATCTAGTCATCAAGGCCAGGCATGGTGGCTCACGCTGTAATCCCAGCACTTTGGGAGGCTGAGGCGGGCAGATCACTTGAGGCCAGGAGTTCAAGACCAGCTTGGGCAACATGCCAAAACTCTGTCTCTACTAAAAATACAAAAAAAAAAAAAAACTTAACCAGGCATGGTTGTACATTCCTATAGTCCCAGCTACTCAGGGGGCTGAGGTGGGAGGATCCCTTGAGCTGGGGAGGTACAGGTTGCAGTGAGCTGAGATCGCACCACCCACTGAACTCCAGCTCACGCTACAGAGTGAGACCCTGCCTCAATAAATAAATAAATAAAGGACAGAGCCCTAACTTAGGTACATGCCAGCCAGAGACAGAGAGACAGCTGGCCTCATTCCATTCACTCTGAGGCTTTGCTAACCCCCTGCCTCCTCCCTTGACAGCTCCCAGATCACCTGTGCACAAATCAGAATGGAGCTCAGCTCTTTCCCCTACTGTCAGTAGTTACTGAATAAAGCCTGCTTTCACTGCTTTAACTAACATCTGCTATTTCTCTTCGATACCACCTGCAGAAGACCCAGCCCGTGCTCCTCCTTAGCCCCTGCTCAGTCCTGAGGTGACTTCTGCCTCTTCTGCTGCTCAACATGGGGCCCATCAGCCTAGTTAAACCAGCAGCCATGGGGCTCTGAGGAGGACCCCTAGGCCAGGGCACCCATGGGCATGTGTGTTGGGGGGAACTGAGTGGAGTGTCAGGCAGGGAGTCAGGACACACTGAGGGGGCAAGGATGCTCTTGGTTGCCTGCAGGCAGGAGCTGAGACAGAGGTGAGGCTTGACAGAGAAAGGCAGGGATAAGAATGTCCTGTCACCCCCCAGGAAGGTGAAACCTGGATGAAACGAGAGTTGTGTCCAGCCTAGGGAGGTGCCTGGCTGTGGCGACCCCTCCCACTCCTTTGAGTCCCCACCTTGGGTCTTGCCATTGTTGCCTAATGTTTTCATGATGCCAACTGGAAGCACTTTGAGAGCTGGACCTTTGTCTCATAAGGCTTGCCTGTACCCGTCCACCCTGCCCTGCCCAGTGCTGAGCACACAGGAGGCTGCACAAACACCAGCTGACCAGGAGATGGAGGGTTAAAGAGGGGATTAGAGCACAGGGGCCAGTGAGCACAGGCAGGTGATAGGGCTGAGGGGTCAGGAGGAGCAGTGCAAGGAGGGGAAGCCTGAGAAGGTGGGAGCAGTAGGGCCCAGGGGAGTGCGCTTGGTGGGGAGGGTGGGCCAAACTAGGAGGGGAAGACCAGGGACTGGAGGTGATGGGGAGGGGCTGCGGCAAAGGACTTCTGAGGTCATGGGTGGGGCTCTCCCTAGGGATGGGGAGGCCAAAAGTGTAAGGGACCAGATGCTTCAGCGACAGTGCCAAGGCCTTTGGCATGGGTGGTAGGAGACAGATGCCTCAGAGACAGGGCCAAGGCCTTTGGCGGTCGTGGGTGGGTAGGAGCCAGGGTGACAAAGGGAAAGGGCAGCCCTGGGCCCAGCCGCCTGCCTGGGTTTGTCCACTGGGCCCTCGTGTGTGCTCCTCACTCTCTGTGCCTGGATCGCACCCCACTGTCACTCACATCGTCTCCTCACTTCCCTGGCCTGCCAGAGACCTGACCTCCCCTTCTACTCATGGGCCCAAAGGGGACTTCAGGAGCTGATGGAAACTCCTCCTCAGTGACTTGTCCGTAAACCTGGAGTCACTGATACCTCGGTCCAGCCCTGCACCCATCCTCTTCCTGTTTAATGTAGGCCAGTTAGTCAAAGCTCACATTAGTGGGGACACCTGGGGATAGAGGCTCCAAAGCCTCATTTTGATACCTCACAACCCTTGGGCAGTTGTTCTAGAAAGAGGCATCTCCATGTGACATGCATCTCACAGCCATGTTTGGGTCCATATCCTTAGAGGAGACTGGGGCTGGGCCAGGCCGCTCAGGCTGGTCTCTTCTAGGCATTCACACTGCTTCTCTGCTGTCATTAGTCTCTATTTAAGCTGTCACACTTTCCTCTTACCCTCTCTGTTGGTGGGGTAGGGAAGTTTCTGGTGGTGGGAGCAGATGCATTAGGACCTGGGAAGGGGTGGGGGCTCTGGGTGCACTTAGAAGTGTTAGACACAAGGGCCAGAGTGGGCCTGAGACTGGAAATTATGACTCCTCTGCTGGAGAGAGAGGCCCAGATTTGCACGCAGCAAATCTCTTCTCTGAATATCTTAGATGTTTGCTTGTAAGGCATGGGCTGTCTCTGTGGCCACCCAAGAATGCAGTAGCACTGGCTGCCTCCGGGCTGAGGGCAGGGATGAGGAGGAGACTTTTCACTGTGCATCCTTCAATACCTTTTGGATTCTGAGCCATGTGAATGTGTTACCTCTGAAAAATATAAATTAACAGGCTGGGCACGGTAATTTATTACGTGCCTGTAATCCTAGTACTTTGGGAGGCTGAGATAGGCAGATTGCCTGAGCTCAGAAGTTCGAGACCAGCCTGGGCAAGATGGTGAAACCCGGTCTCTACTAAAATACAAAAAATTAGCTGGGCGTGGTGGCAGGCGCCTGTAATCCCAGCTACTCAGGAGGCTGAGGCATGAGAATTGCTTGAACCCAGGAGGTGGAGGTGGCTGTGAGCCAAGATCATGCCACTGCATGCAGCCTGGGCAACAAAGATAAACTGTCAAAAAAAAAAAAAAATTAACAATGCAAAACAAAAATCTCTTCTTCTTTCCCTGGGCTCCTTTGAGGAATTAAGCGTCTTCAGGGACCAGCCAAGAACCTTGACTTGCCTCAGTTGGGGCGGGGCTGCATCTCGGTCAGGCCCTCAGTGCCCCATCAGTGCTACGTCTGGCACACTGGCTTCTCCTTCACTGCTCAGGCACATTCTTTCTTTCTCTGTGCCTGTTGCTGGTTTCATGGCATCCCTCAAGCCAGGGATACCACCACCACAGTCCCACAATAGTCCCAGGTCCCTGTTGACTCTGCCTCCTACAATGTCTCGTCTGCTCACACCTTCACTGCATCACATCCCAGGGATACTGATAGCGGGCCAGCCTTCTGGCTACTCCTCTGGTGTCTGCCTCTCTCCTCCCTCTAGTCCATCCTCCCCATACCTCAGCCCCAGTGAACTTCCAAAATTCAAATCTGATGATTTTACGTTTCTGCTTAAATCCTCCTGCAGCTGACAGTGTTAATGCTCGGCCCAGATCCCTCTTGAATTTTCTTTTTCCATTTTTGTGCATGACACCTCACTCTGTCCTTTCTTTTATTATTTTTTATTTTTATTTTATTTATTTATTTATTTTTTTCGAGACGGAGTCTCGCTCTGTCGCCCAGGCTGGAGTGCAGTGGCACGATCTCGACTCACTGCAAGCTCTGCCTCCCAGGTTCACGCCATTCTCCTGCCTCAGCCTCCCGAGTAGCTGGGACTACAGGTGCCCGCCACCATGCCCAGCTATTTTTTTGTATTTTTAGTAGAGTCGGGGTTTCACCATGTTAGCCAGGATGGTCTCGATCTCCTGACCTCGTGATCCGCCCGTCTCGGCCTCCCAAAGTGCTGGGATTACAGGTGTGTGTGAGCCACCGCGCCCGGCCTATTTTTATTTTTAGACAGAGTCTTGCTCTGTTGCCCAGGCTGGAGTGTAGTGGCGCAATCTCAGCTCACTGCAACCTCTGCCTCCCGGGTTCAAGCGATCCTCCTGCCTCAGCTTCCCGAGAAGCTGGGATTACAGGTGCACGCCACCACACCAGGCTAATTTTTGTATTTTTAGTGCAGATGGGGTTTCACCATGTTGGCCAAGCTGGTCTTGAATGCCTGACCTCAAGTGACCCACCCGCCTCTGCCTCCCAAAAGTGCTGGGATTACAGGTGTGAGTCATCGTGCCCGGTCCCCACTCTGTGCTTTCAAGGCTGGCACCTGCAGCCCTTCTTGGAGGACTGCCTTTGGCCTCCTGGACTGCTTTGCCCTGGGTGGCAGTGTACCCAGTGACTGCTCTGTGGTCACTGAGCACCATTTGCTGGTGGTAGTTTTGGTGGGAATAAAAGCCCAGAAAAACCTTGTCCCAGGCTGGAACTATTCTGAGGCCTTACACACCAAAGCTGTTCCCTCGCATCATGCCAGAGCTGCTTTCTGCAGCTGAGAGGGTGCTCGTGCTTGGCTTCACCAACCCTGCTTACTTGTCTCCCTGGGAGTACTTCATAAATCACTCAGGGTCTAAGGTGGATCCTCAGTGGAAACCTATCACCCACAATTTAAGTCTCAGTCATATATCTTTACTCCACTCTCTCTCTGGAAATGTATTCCATACTGAATCTAAATTTAAGCCACATCAAACTTCTAGCTGTTCTGCTACTTTTGTGTCTCAGTACCTGCCTTTAAAAACAAACAAACAAACAAAAAACCCACCTCCACCCCTCGCCCATCCTTTATGTGTCTGGTTAGTCTCGCCCCCTTCCTCAGTTCTCCAGGCATGCTGCTTCTTTCCTCCTGTGTCCTCAGGGCACTCTGGGTAGTTTACTGCAGCACTCATCTAGCCAAATTCAACTAGTCTTCCCTGGTGTCTTGCATGGGGCTGGGCAGAGAGTTTCAAAAAACAAATGTCTTTGAATGAGTATTGATTCCCCAAAATGTCCTAGTGCTCTCTAGTGTCAGGCTTCCCACATCCTGAATCTCTTCTACCTTCAATCAAAAGTGACTGTTCATGTGCCATTCCCTTGGGTGGTGTACTCTGTGGCTTATGTTTCTAAGATGACTGAAACTTGTCAGAGAGAAGCACAGTGGTCTGCTGTGAATAGCACTATTCCTTCTGGTTTCTTGGGATACCAGGACCGAGGTCTTACTCCACATCTTATGGACTCTTGGGGTCCCAGTTCACTCACTGCCTTCAATAAATGGAAGGTCTAGATGACTTCTAAAATCTCCCATGGCTGAAATGAAAGTCTTTTGTGGGCGGGGGCCTGGTCTGTCTTGCTCTCTGTTCTATCCTGAAGCCAAGAATGGTGCCTGGTGCAGAGCAGGCTGTTAGATTTATTTGTTGAGAGAAGGAATTGACAATTTTTTTTTTTTTGAGATGGAGTCTCACACTGTCACCCAGGCTGGAGTGCAGTGGCGCAATCTCTGCTCACTGCAACCTCTGCCTTCCGGGTTCAAGCGATTCTCCTGCCTCAGCCTCCCGAGTAGCTGGGATTAGAGGCGTGCTCCACCATGCCTGGCTAGTTTTTGTATTTTTATTAGAGATGGGGTTTCACCATGTTGGCCAGGCTGGTCTCGAACTCCTGGCCTCGTGATCTGCCTGCGTCAGCCTCCCAAAGTGCTGGGATTATAGGCGTGAGCCACCGCGCCCGACCAGGAATTGACAATTTCGATGGTTATGTATTGCTTGATGCTGTATATATATTATTTCATTTAATTCTCAAGGTGGTGGAGTCAGGATTTGCATGACAGTTTATATGAGTTTGAAGTCCATGCTTCCCTCATAATATCTTGAGAATTTAGGAGACAATGCCATCATGGAAAGTTTTGTTCCAATGGTGGTTTTTGTTTGTTTGTTTTTTGTTTTTTTGAGACTGGGTCTCACTCTGTTGCTCAGGCTGTAGTGGCGTGATCACGCTCACCAAGTCCTCCCACCTTAGCCTCCTGAGTAGGTGGGACCACAGGTGCATTCCACCACGCCCAGCTAATTTTTTTTTTTTTTAGATGGAGTCTTGCTCAGTCACCCAGGCTGGAGTGCAGTGGCACGATCTCGGCTCACTGCAACCTCCTGGGAGGTGGGTTCATGCCATTCTCCTGCCTCAGCCTCCCGAGTAGCTAGGACTACAGACGCCCGCCACCACGCCCAGCTAATTTTTTTTCTTTGTATTTTTAGTAGAGACGAGGTTTCATCATGTTAGCCAGGATGGTCTCGATCTCCTGACCTCGTGATCCACCTGCCTCGGCCTCCCAAAGTGCTGGGATTACAGGTGTGAGCCACTGTGCCCGGCCCCAGCTAATCTTTAAAAAATTGTTTTGTAGAGATGGGGTCTCCCTATGTTGCCCAGGTTGGTCTCAAACTTCTGGGCTCAAGCGATCCACCTTCCTCAACCTCCCAAGGACTGAGATTACAGGTGTAAACTACTACGCCCAGCCCCATTGGTGGATTTTAATGATGGCTGTGGAAGGCTGGAGGTGGTCCTGAGGCCCATCTTCTTTTTATACCACATAGGCAACTGCCTGTGCTCCTCATCAACCTCAGGAGATAACAGGAATTTAGGCTGGTAAGTGGAAGAGGGTGAGCAGGTGCTGAGGGAATCTGATCACTGTGATCTGCTGCCACAGCAAATGGTGGCATTTAGGCACACAGTTCCAAAGGTTCTATACCAGTCACGTACTGATAAGCCAGCCCTCTCTCTAAAAGAAAGCTTTGATTGGTAGCATTTGTGGACTTTCATGGGACATGTACTGTCGCCATGGCTGATTCAAGACACCACATGAAATCACTGAATGAGGACTTAGAAGAGATGTGCATCAGAAGCTCTCAGAAGCTGGTGAGCCACTCCACTTACCACTGGAACAGTAACTGGGGACGGTCCCCAGAAAGCCACAGGAAGACTTCTGCCAATCTTGTGGGCAGCCTGGGGAAGCCTCAGCTCTCACTCTGAAGATTTTGAATAAGTAAAATGATTTATGTTTCTCTGATTTATGGCAGCCATCCCATCACTTTGGATGGTTATCTAGGCTGTCCGGTGGAAGGTTCCCTCAGAATAGCCCTTGGCTCCTCTTAGGAACACACCCCATTGCCTTGCCTCAGGCTAGGACAGCCTCTTGCATAGGCAAGGCAGCTCTATAGGGCTCATGCAATTAGTTCTGCAGAAAGCAATTCAGGTAGAACCATCCCGAGAGGAAGGATGAGAGTTGTCGGTGTCACAGCTATTCCTCTGTCCCTCACTTGGATTCAGGCAGTACCTTCTCCCCAAGTTCCAGGAAATCATGAACACCAAGGAATCTGCCTTTGCTGGACTGGGCCTCAGCCAGAGATCAGGCCCAGCTAGAAGGTAGCAGGCATCCCTGAAGAGATGGTGGAATGGGGGTGGAAAACCAGTGTGAGACTGGATGTGCCCACTTCTAGCTGTGGAGCGACTCTGCTCCTCAGCTGGGGCATGGGAAACAGGTCTTGCAGGGCAGAGCAGGAACAGTTCTGGAGGAAAGGGGTCTTGTCCTGGGGCAGAACCCCTTGAGAAGCTTCACATTTATACATCTTTGAGTCTTTCTCCCAAATTGTTAACATGTTGCTGAGCAGAGAATCAGCAGTCAAAAACACATTGAAAGAGAAATGAGACTTTTATTAGCTCCAAGAGCATTTTTCAATACTAAGGCAAAAAGTAAAAAGAAGGACAAGGAAAACCAAGGCACAAAGAAGGGACCTAGGCGCACCCCAGAACTCACCACGGACACACAGCAGAGGGCTTCTCTTCATATCAAGGGTATGGGTAAACAAGAAAGGCTGCTGTTTCACTGAGACAGGACGAACCACCAAGTCCAAATGAGAAGACAAGCAGAGACGTAGTGTCAGACCAGGAGGGTTAGAACTTGCTAGTGTAGAGGGCAATAATCCACTTGGGCACACGGAGGAAGGAGGGCAGGTAGGAGGCCAGCCAGCCCAGGCCGGACACGTGTGAGAGAACAGAGCTCAAAGACAAATAGTCTTGGACGGGGCGGCCTGGGAACAACAGGAGGAGGAGGATTAGATTCTCATTTCCCACTCCTCAGATACCCTCACCTTGGCTGGAGAGACCGAGGGAGGAGTGGGCAGGGAACAGAGGGAACAGCAGTCAAGGCTGACTGCTGTGCCAGGGTCCTCACCGTCCACATCCCGAAGGCCATAGCGTCGAGCAAGGTCACAGGATGGCAGCACCTTACCACTCAGGCTCAGGATATTGGGATCTGCGGGCACACAGACAGGTGGAGATGGCAGGCAGGGGAGTATGCAGAGTGACAAGGTTTGGGCCCAGTTGGACAGGGCACTGCTGAGAGCCCTGGAGCTCAGGATCCCTGGAGAGCTCTTTCTCTTGGGCCTTGGACTTTTTCCACACTTCCCAGGAGCCTGCTCCTAAGGCTCTCAGACCTCAAACTGGGAATGCTGACCCCTTGGGCCTCAAAAAGCAGAGAAAAGAATGACATGTTCCTCAACCAACTCCCGAGCCAGATCTGGGCACTGGATGCTACCGCACTACACATCCTCCATGCCCTTTCTTATTACCAGCTGCCCCCAAACTTCACCTGTTGCCAAAGCCACCACACATTTGCCACTCAATTCTGTGGTTTCCGCAGATGAGAAGGCTGATTTGAACTGAAACACAGGGGCAGAGAAGTGAAGGGTTAATTTCCAAGAGCACTGCCCAGGTCTCCTCCCCATTTCAACTTCTGTTCCAGGAGAAAAAGACCAAAGACCAAAGAGGCCAAAGACCTCAAGCAGGGCCTGTAGGACCCAAAGTATTGGCAGGTGCCAGAGCCACTCCTCCCCACATCCAGGTGAGCCCTGTGCCCTGGCACCAGGATCTGCTGTCTTTGCTAAGTGGAAGGATCTGGTAGTGCCAAATAGTGTTTGGACCTTCTAAGCTAGCTGGTGTGGGGGTCAAGTGCATGGTCTTTGGAGCTAGACAGCCTTTCCACTTAGGACATATGTGACCTTCAACAAGTTTCTAAACCTCTCTGGGTTTCAGTTTTGCCATCTGTAGAATGGAGCTGGTATCTCCCTTACAGGATTAAAGGAAATAATGTGTGTCCCATGCTCAGCCCTGCACCTGCCACAGTAAGCACCTGGTGAGTGGGAGTATCTGATCTTGTTATTGAGGATGCAGAGGCCGACTCCCCTGTTCTCTGCTTCCTTCGCCCTCCCCTTGCCAACCTGCTTCAACACAGGATCCTGCAGGACCTCCTCCTTTGCCATATGCTCCTTCAGCAGTTCTGTCTGCACAATCCCCGGCCACAGAGACACACAGCTGACCCCATGGCGCCGCAGCTCGTGGGCACAGTCAGCAGCCAGCTTGTCACACTGTGGAGAGGCGGAAGGCAGGGTAAGAGCCACCTAGCCATGTCACTTTCCTGCCCTGCCCTCTCTGCTTCTACTGTGAATGCTCCACCCACCCTGTCCTTCCCAGGAGCCCCAAGGTCTCAGCTGCCCACGCTCCCCAGTGTGATGCCTACTCTAGCCAACCAAGAGGAGCACAAGCAAAGGAACTGTCCATGGATGAGGCAGAGGAGGAGCTGAGAGGAGCCAGCCTTACCATTCTGACCACTGGGGATTGTACCTCCTGAGCTATAGGTAACATCACTGTCTTTTACCTCCTCAGCTCCTATGCCACTGGGTCCTCACCGCAGCTTTGCCCACACCATAGGGGACATTGAACATATACTGCAGGCTTCCTGGGGAGGAGATGACCACGATGAGCCCCTGGCCAGCTGGTACCATCAGCCGTGCCCCATACACTGAGCAAAAGTAGTGGCCTCTAGAAGGTGGGGCAAGGGAAGAAGGAATGAACCGTGTTAGTGCTGGCCTGGGTGCCACAGCCTCTGGCGGCTTCCCCTGCCTTCTGGTGGTTGTTGTCCACTAGGAAGGCTACACAGGGTGGGTTAGCGACCTGAGGAATTAGGGGCTTGAGGCCATATTCTGAGAGGAAAACTGGTCAAAATAACCACTGACAGATGAGAAACAGCAATCTTTGGAAGAAGAAATGGAACGCAAGAGCCCTGTCACAATAACAATTACAAACAAAATTGTTCAGGGGGAGAAAACTTAAGAAATGTATAGTGTCTACATAGAAAAACTATAAAACCATGACAATAAGTACAGACAAAATCTTTCAAAGCTAAGAACTGACATGTAAATCATCATTTCTATGTAAATCAATCCATAGATTCAGTCAAATTGGATTATAGCTCAATAAGACCTTTTGGAGGAATTGATAAAATAATCTAAAGCTCAATGAGAAGAATAAACGTGAGAACAGCCAGAAAAGCTGGGCACGGTGGCTCACGCCTGCAATCCCAGCACTTTGGGAGGCGAGGGGGGCAGATCACTTGAGCTCAGGAGTTTGAGACCAGCCTGGCCAACGTGGTGAAAGCCCATCTGTACTAAAAATACAAAAATTAGCCAGGTGTGGTGGTACGTGCCTATAGTCCCAGCTACTCGGGAGCCTGAGGCAGGAGGATCTCTTGAGCCCAGGAGGCGGAGGTTGCAGTAAGCTGAGATTGTGCCACTGCACTCTAGCCTGGCTGACAGAGTGAGATTGTCTCAAAAATAAATAAATAAATAAAAAGAAAGAGAACAGCCAGGAAAATTCCGAAAAAAGGACTAAAAAGACTAATGTCTTGTGGGTGAGGGGGATTGCTTTCCCTACCCCTGCTGTCACCCATATTAAAATGCACAGGGGCCAGGCATGGTGGCTTATGCCTGTAATCCCAGCATTTTGGGAGGCTGAGATGGGAGAATTGCTTGAGGTCAGGAGTTTGAGACCAGCCTGGCCAACACAGCAAGACCCCGTCTCTAAAAAATAAAATAAAATAAATTAAAATGTACAAGACATAATAGTTAAAAGAATGCAATACAGGTGTTAACAGTAGACTGATAAGTCAATGAAACAAAACAGAGAATAATTAGATACAAGTGTATGTGAGAACGCAATGTATTACGAAAGGAACCTGTCAAATCAGTGGGGGAAAGTTGGATCATTTGGGACAACCGACCAGTTATTTGAGTTAGGGGAATTGGGTCTCTGCCTCGTTTATTATTTTAAAATTAAGCCTAAAAGGATCAAATATTTAAATATAAAAAACGAAAGCACAGAAGTACTGAAAGAAAACATGATCAAATGTGTTTATAAACTTGAGGGAAAAGGCTTTTATTAGCGTCACACCAAGACAGAAACTATAAAAGACTGACAGATTTGACGTAAAATTAAGATACACACACATACACACACAAATACAAAGATACATGTATATTTCTGTGTATATAAAGAGCAGGGCGAGGCTGAGTATGGTGGCTCATGCCTATAATCCCAACACTTTGGGAGGCTGAGGTGGGTAGATCACTTGAGATCAGGAGTTCGAGACCAGCCCAGCCAACACGGTGAAACCCCGTTCTCTACTAAAAATACAAAAATTAGCCAGGCGTGGTGGCAGGTGCCTGTAATCCCAGCTACTCGGGAGGTTGAGGTATGAGAATCGCTTGAACCCAGGAGGCAGAGGTTGCAGTGAGCTGAGATTGCACACTGCACTCTAGCCTGGGTGACAGAGCGAGATTCCACCTCAAAACAACAACAACAACAACAACAACAACAACAACAACAGACGAGTGGGGGGAGTATGCGTGTGAAAAATGAGTGATAAATTGGGAAAAATATTTGTAAAATAAATGCCAAAGTCATTTGTTTCACAGTGATCTCTTATAAATTAATGCGAAAGTCAAAGATGATTTACAAAAGAACAAAGAGCCAATAAACAAAGGGGAAAAAAAGTTCAACCTGACAAATAGTGGAAGAAGTATGAATTAAAACCCCTTTATATATTTTCGGCTTATTATAGTAACAAAGCTTGCCTGAGTGCATGAGCTGACGCTGCCTGGTGTGGTAGAGGACATGGGGAAACACATATTCCCCTTCATTGTCTTGATATAAAAAATTGGTAGGGTCTTTTTGTAGGAGAGCTTGATAATATTTATTAAATCTTTAAAAAGTACATATTCTTTGTTTTCTTTTCTTTTTTTCTATTTTTCCCACAGTCTCTATAACCTAAGGGAAGTACATATTCTTTGATCTAAGAATTCCACTGCTGCAACAAATAAGGGATTAGAGAAATAAATGATCATACATCCTCCCAATAGAATACGTACAAGTATTAAAAAGAATGAGAGATATTTACATGAAAAATCTGAAAGAATATATGCCAGGCTATTAATAGTAGCTATATATCAGGCAAGAGAGCAAGGGATGGCACTGAGGGGAATAAGATTATACTGGTCTTCAGATTTTTTCCATATTTAAAAAAAGTAACACACACATAACTTGGTAACCAGAATAAATTTCTTTTGCATAGGGAAAGAATTAGGACCTTCCAAATGAAAACAAGTAGAGTTATAGTTTTAAAGGAAAGTGCAGCCCAAGGTAATACAGAGGAAAGGCAGTAAATGCGCATGGGGAATGGGTGGGCAGGAGGTGCTGGGGGGCTGTCAGGGGCTCATCAAGGGGCCTTTACCTTGGATAATTCATCAGGGCCCAAGGTCGAGGGTCTGGGCCTCTGCCTTGAATCTCTGCTTCAGGGTCAAAACCCTGGCCAGCAAGAGATGAGGGTGTGGAAGGCACCTCTCTTTGGAGGCTATGGTCATGAACACTGGCCAATTTCCAGCTCTTAACGTGTCCCTTTCTTGCCTTTGGCCTCACCATCCTCCTCTGTCCTAATGATCTTCCTTCCACTTTGGAAATCACAATTGCATTCTAATCCTGCTTCCTTGGGATTGTTACCAGAGTACCAAAATTGGAGCGGTGGGTGTTCTTACATGCTTTAGTCACAGATTTGCCGATAATCTCGTGGTTACTCCCACAGGTGACTGATCACATCCATCAGGCATGACTTGATTATATGAGAGTGTAACATCATTCCAACAGTAACAGAGGCATAACTGGTGTGCATTATGCTAGGCGAATTCTAAATGCTGTGTTTCATCTCACTCCTGGGCTAAATGACCCTGTGTGACCCAGTGATGTACCTGCTCTCCCAACTCTGACCCGGCAGTGCCCTTGCCTGTGGGTGTGGAGTGAGGATGTGGAGACTAAACAGCATTGGTGTTCGCTCCTTCTTCTTAAGCTTCTCCCAGTCTAAAATAAAACAATTTCTCCCTCTAACCATTTTGAAAGTATAGACTACAGGCTGTGCGCATTACTGAGAGGAGGAGGCTTCCTCCCTTCTGGGTCTTGCATTTGGATGGGCAGAGAGTGAGACAGGAGAGAGGCCAAGGGCTTGTTCCAATGAAAATTACTGACAGAGTTGACATTCTCAGGTACAGACTCACCTGGATGGAACTTCTCCAGAGGTAAGTGGGACAAATGGAATGGAAGGGAGAAGAAAGAGATGGGGGAGGCCGGAGGGAAAAGGAGAGGGCATGTAAGGAAAGGCCTGGCCGTCGAGTTGGCTAAGTGAGTGAGGGAACATGGGTCCTGGCAGTGGAGCACCCACCTGAGTCCGACGTTGTTGATATCATCCCACATGGAGGCAGGGGTTTCCCAGAATGCCTTATTCCTGGTGTTCAGGATCGTCTGGAAGGCACAGGGAGGGTGATGAATGATCTGAAGGTAGGGAGGTGTGAGGGGCTGGGTAATGGAAGGGACAATGAGTGGGGATGAAGATGCAGGGGTCTGAGGGGGAGGTCAGAAATGTGGAGTTGGGAACAAAGTTCAAAGGGTACCTGGACCCCTGCATAAGCATTGTTGACCAGCACATCTAGACGCCCTTGCTGTTCCCGATCCACTTGCTCAAACAGGCTTCGCACTTCACTCTCCTGGCTTGAATCGCACACCACAGGCACACATTGGCCCCCGAGGGATTGTGCCTGGAGTAGGACAGGGGATATGAGCTCACATTCACACATGGGTGTGAGTCATGACAAAACTCCCCAACCAAAGTGGGCTTGAGAACTGAGAAGACAATCAATCCTAGGAGAGCCTGCTGCAGAGGCAACATGGCAGGCAACGCTGCCCTCTGGTGTCTGTTTGAGTAGTTTCAGGAATGATAGGCCTCCCCACCACAGAGCAAGGTGAATTGCAATGTAAGTTTTAATAATCTACAAACATTTACTGAGGCCCACCATGTGCACAGCATTGTACTTTGCAAGTAGAGGGTAAGAACAAGTGAGGCATGGAGTCTGCTCTTGAGAAATGAGTAAGCATCCTTTTCCTTGTTGTGGTCATTTCCATCTCTCATGCCCTTAGCTCCCACCCTACACTACTCACCTAAAACCTCTACTCAGTCCCAGTTGTCTTACCCTCACTCCACCAATGCTCCTGGTTGGTAATTGAAAAAACCAAAGCTATCAGCCATGAATGATTTCTACTTCCTGTTCTGTCTCACTCTCTACAAATGCCCACAAACCTCCAACTTCAGAGGAAGAAGAGTCCTTTATCTAAGAACAATCCTCCTATTCTCCAAATTTATGCTCTGGGTCCCCGCCTATTACCCTCCTTGCCTGAACTACTGCAATGCCTCCCAACGACTCACCTGACCTCCAGTCTGTCTGCCTTAAATTAATTCTTCATAATCCAGCCAGTACGACCTATCTAAAACACAAACCCTGTTCAAAATCTCCTAACTGGATCTCCATCTCTTAGAGGATGAAGCCTGAGTTCTCTATTAGGGTCTTCCAAGACCCACTCTTTCCTCTCCAGCCTCTCACTCACTACTCTTCCCTTGCATTATCTCACACATCTACTCTTTCACACAGCGTCCCTATGCTTATGGAGCTCCCTCTGCTGGAATGCTTTTCCTAACTTCCTTTACCTAATTCTTACCTTTCAAAACTCAGTTCAAGAACCACCTACCTCCTCCAGGACGCTTTCCCAAACCACTTTCCCTAGCCACTCTCCTATGTCATCTGGATGCTCCCCAACACCCCTAGAGTATTCTGTGCATATCTCCCTCTTATAATTTACCATATTCACATTACATTGAAGTGACTGCTTTCTGTACCTGACTTCCTGTTGGAATCTATCTTCATTTTTAATTAAAATTTTTTTTTTTAGAGACAGGGTCTCACTGTCACCAGGCTGGAGTGCAGTGGTGCAATCATAGCTCACTGCAACCTCGAACTCCTGGGCTCAAACGATCCTCCTGCCTCAGCCTCCCAAGTAGATGGTACTACAGGTGCAGGCCACTGTGCCTAGCTAATTATTTAAAAAATATTTTTTGTAGAGACTGGGTCTAGCTATGTTGCCCAGACTGGTCTCCAACTGCTGGCCTCAAGTGATCTTGCTGCCTTGGCCACCCAAAGTGCTGGGACTACAGGCATGAGCCACTGTACTCCACCATGGACTGAATCTTTGAAGAGCAGAAATTAGATTTTATTAGTCTTGGTAACTTCAGTGGTTTACCAATGCCTAGCAAATCATGGATACTCAAATATTTATTTAACTGAAGTCTAGTAAATAAGTAAAAAATGTGCAGTTCAATAAAGTCTTGCCTGAAATAGAGGAAAGCACAGGTCCACAACCCTTTAGTTGCAATTCCAAAATCTCTGCTCTCAAACAAAAAGTTTTTTACTTTTCTTTCTTTTCTTTTTTTTAATACAGTGTCTCGCTGTGTCGTCTAGACTGGAGTGCAGTGGTGTGATCATGGCTCAACTCCTAGGCTCAAGCGATCCTCCTGCCTCAGCCTCCGGAGTAGCTGCTGGGACTGCAGGAACGTGCCACCATGCCTGGCTCAAACACAAAGTTTTTTCATAAAACTCACTTGGCGGCAAAATTCTACCTTACCTGAAGTTATTTACGGGGTTTTTAATTTCCACTTTGAATAAATATTCACATCTTGTTGAGTAGTATTATAGTTTCAGGTAAGGGATTAGGAAAGGAGCTGTTAAGTGGAAGGGCTCTCTCGGGTGGTTTCTGCAACTGTGGTCCCAGAGGAAGCACTCACCTCCTGAGCAACAACGCGAAGGGTGTCCAGATGGCGGCCAGTGATGTAAACTGTGGCGCCTGCTTTGCAGAGCTGCAAGGCAATGCCACGGCCAATACCCCTGGAGGCACCAGTCACCACACACACTTGGCCATTCATGGGAGCTGCCATGACTCACAGGCAAAGGAGGCAGGTCTGTGGAAGCAAAGACTTACTCTGAGGGAAGCCTGGAGACTGTGTGTGTGTTGGGGCGAGGTTGGGGGGTAGGGGAGAACCTCACTAGGGCTAAGAGGAGGAGCCAAGGTAAGAATCCTTTGAGGGGAGAGGAGTCAGAGGCTGACAACTGGGTGCGGGCCTGAGGACAAGGCTGACTGTCTTTTGGGAGGCCCAGAGAGTGAAGAAGGGGCTGAGTGGGACTGTCCAGAGGTGGACAACTACTACAACCCTCTGAGTGTGGCTGCCTGGATATGGGAATCTGGCGCGGCAGCCCCTCGGGGCGCGTCCACGCAGAGTCCTGGGCTATCTGAAGCTCCGGTCCCTGGCCTGACCCAGTCCGGCTGAGCCAGAGGCGCAGCTTCCGGGCCGGGGATGAGCGCGAAGCCTGGAGATCCTAAGCCCTAAGTGGGACGAGCGTGCGCCGCTTACCTGCCACCTGCGCTGCCGCTGAGGTCTGCAGATTGCGGGGCTGCGGTGGAAGTCTGGGTTCTCGCCCAGATTGAGCCGGCGACGTGGAGGCAGTGTTCAAGGATTGATTCTGTAGTAGGACCCGGGGCGATTCTGTGCTGAGGTAGAGGGGCAGAGTCCCAGGCCAAAGTTAGAACCTGCGGATGGGGGCGGAGCGATCTGGGTGACACACCCACCCCGCCCGGCTGGGGCGGCGCGGAACTATGACGTAGTAGCTGCGTCAGGAGCGCGCCCGCGTTTCTAAACTTTGTCTGGATAAGGCGCACGCTTGGCGACGTCGAAGGTCCGTCCGCAGTTAAGGAAGCTTTTGCAGCCGGACAGGTCGCGAAGCACACATGGGGCAGGGTCCGCGCTCTCCACACAAGGTGGGGCGCCGGTTCCCAGCTGGTGGCAAACGGGGGCGCGGGGCCAAGGGGTCGGGGCGCCCCTTACCAGGCCGTAAGCGGCAACCCTGGCCGCCTCCGGATGGGCGCTCGGAGCCGGCTCCAGATTCGCACCCGCACCTGAGCCCGGAAGCTCTGGGATATTTCCGCCGGGCGCTGTCAGCATTGAAAGAGGCTCCCGAGACTGGGGAAGAACGAGGTAGGCAGCAACTTCGGGGTTTAGACCAAGAGCATCAAATCCAGGGCAGGCAAGGAAACTTTCTAGGGTCGGCAGGGCGTGGGGACTTAGTTTCATTTCCCATGTCCTCTTCCTCGGCCTCCGACCCACGACCCTTGGTTAAGCGAGGGTACATAACTGTATTCTCTACTAAGTCTCTTCAAAGTGTGTCTTTCTTCCCTTTTCAGATCTGATGGTGCACAATATAATGAAGGAAGTAGAGACTCAGGCCCTAGCTTTGTCCACGAACAGGACTGGCAGTGAGATGCTGCAGGAACTGTTGGGATTCAGTCCCTTGAAACCGCTTTGTCGCGTGTGGGCTGCTCTGCGCTCTAACTTGCGCACTGTGGCCTGTCACCGATGCGGGGTCCATGTATTACAAAGTGCTTTGCTACAGCTCCCTCGATTGCTGGGGAGTGCTGCAGAGGAGGAGGAGGAGGAGGAGGAGGATGGAAAGGATGGTCCCACGGAGACCCTGGAGGAGCTGGTCCTGGGACTAGCCGCTGAGGTGTGTGATGATTTTCTTGTCTACTGTGGAGACACACATGGCAGCTTCGTGGTCAGAACTCTGCTTCAGGTGTTAGGAGGGACTATTCTGGAGTCTGAGAGAGCCAGGCCCCGTGGTTCCCAATCATCTGGTAAGTATTACAAGAGGAAAGTGGACCTAGGGGGAAGAAGAATTTAGAAAGTTCAGAATGAGACAGTAAACAGAAGAGTAAGTCTTCATGGGGGAGCTTGACCGGGAAGAATTAGCTTGACCTGTCCTAATCTGAACAGGGCTTAGCAAGCCAAAGATTAGTGTGTGCGGAGGCCCAGAGGTAGGGATGTACAGTTGTGTTTGGGGAAGGCTATTAGAATGGACGCAGGAGGAGAATTTTTTTTAAGCATGACTTAATATACAAATGGACTTAAGCAAAAGTAACATACACACTGGACTCAAGCAAAAGTTCAGGAAACTATACCCTTACTACATGCAGCCCACTCTGTTATTTTTTTTTCCTTTTCAAAACTATTCTGCTCTATTTCATTTAAAAAAAATGCTAGTTGAGACCACTAACTTGATTTCATGGTACAGTCTTGAGCTGTGATCCACATTTTGAAAAACTAGGAAATAAAGTTAGCGAGTTTAAATGAGGCTTTATTTTGGAATGGCTTGAATACCTGGCTGAGGAGGTTGAACTGTCTTCTGTGGACCATGGGGAAGCTGGTTGAAGTTTCTTAGAAAAATTAAGACAGAAATGTAGTCTCAGTTCAGTCATCCAGAAGAGACATTTAGTTGTACTACATCTGTTCTGCATCTCCAAGCGGAATCCTTGTTCATCTGTGAAATTTTTCTCTCCTGGATGGCAGTTTGTGATCTCCCCACTGCACATGTTCTTAATCTTCCTTCAGAAGCACAGAAGACCCCAGCTCAGGAATGTAAGCCAGCTGATTTTGAAGTCCCTGAAACCTTTTTGAATCGCCTTCAGGACCTGAGCTCCTCCTTTCTGAAGGACATTGCAGGTAAGGAGGGAAGTAGGAGGATGGTCTCGTATCTACTTGTCTGGAGGTCATCTTACCACCAAGCAAGGCCCTTACCTCAGGTTATTCCTCTTCTTTTCAAACCTGGTCTGGTTTGACGTTCAGAGCACTTTGTATAGTCCCTTTGTGTCCATAGTGCCCTGTATCTTGTTGCCTAAAGTTTGAGGTTACGCAGGTTGTCTGGATTTTGGGAAAGCCGCTTTATTTCTGCCCTCTCTCCACAGTGTTTATCACTGATAAGATCTCCAGCTTCTGTCTTCAAGTGGCTTTACAGGTTTTACACCGCAAACTTCCCCAGTTTTGCGCTCATCTCTGCAATGCTGTGATTGGCTACCTGAGTACTCGCGGTTCCTCAGTAGATGGCAGGTATGGTCAGGGCCTCAGGATCGACCCAAGTTGGCGGGGCTGTGTGAAATGAATGAGGTGATGTAGTGCAACTGTATTTTGCATGAAATGGAGTTAAGACTGCCTGATGCCCTTCTTGTCCCTAGTCCCCTACTGCTATTTCTCCGAGATCAGACGAGTTCCAGACTCCTGGAGCAGGTCCTGCTGGTGTTGGAGCCCCCAAGACTCCAGAGCCTCTTTGAGGAGCACTTGCAGGGGCAGCTGCAGACCCTGGCTGCACATCCCATTGCCAACTTCCCTTTGCAGCGCTTACTGGATGCAGTCACTACCCCTGAGCTGGTGAGTTGGAAACCTGAGCTGGATCTGTTTCTGCTAATTCTTGATCACTGGACCTTATTTTATGGTCTGTCTGCCTCTATATACCTTTGACATTGTGCTGGCCATTGCCCTTGAAAAGCTATTCTTTGAGGTTTTCCAGAGCTTAGGATAAAGGTGCCCACCTTCTAGTGAGGATTTGTTTTGACTTCTCTCAGGTATGAGGACCAGCAAGAAACTGGCTTTATTCAGGTTTACAGCTTGAGGTTCCATGGCCCACCCAGACTCTGGTACTTGGCTATAAGCCCACATGAGTGCTAGAGCTGTTGCCATAGCTTCTCTTTTCCTTTGCTGCTTAGGACTAAGGTGGGCTTCCCTGTGGTCTCATGCATTGGGTGTTAGAGTGGAAGTGCAGTTTAATTTTAGTCTCCCCTTGCTCCTAGTGCTCCCTTACACATAGGGAAGAGCCACTTAAAGTTCCTTCCTGTGAGGTGGCACCTCTAAGACTGCCCCCTTATCCTGGGCCTTATCTAGCCAAACAAAAGTCCTGATACTGGCAATGCTTTTTATGTTTTATCTAGCATTTTTAGTTGTTTTCGTTGGGAAGATTTCTCTGAATAATGTGGTCCGCCATTACCAGAATGCCAGAGTTACATTCCATGTTTCCCATCAGCTGTCCCCTGTGTTTGAGGAGCTGAGCCCTGTCTTGGAAGCTGTATTGGCCCAGGGCCACCCAGGGGTAGTCATTGCCCTGGTGGGGGCCTGTCGCAGAGTTGGGGCCTACCAAGCCAAGGTCCTACAGCTCTTGTTGGAGGTGAGTGGATATTACCCACAATCTGTTTATGCCCTCAGTTCAACTTCTACCTTTTAGGACTTATCTAATCTTAAGTTTTTGTACCTCTGGACTCAGGAAGTCTAATGCCCAAGGAGTTCACAGGAATGGGGGAAAATGAGGCCTATAGGTGCCCGCCACCATACCCAGCTAATTTTTTTTTTTTTTTTTGAGACGGAGTTTTGCTCTTGTTGCCCAGGCTGGAGTGCAGTGGCGCAATCTCAGCTCACCGTGCCCGGCTGAGGCCAAATGTTATTTCACAGTCCTGGAACAAAAATTGTCTCCCAGAACTAAGAGAGAAGTTTATTTAAGGGATAAACATTTATTAACCCCTGTATGTGATAGAGGCTGGGGATACAGCAAGGCATGACATCTGCTTTCATGGAGCTAACATTCTTGTGGAGTTGGGCCTTCTTTCCTTTCCTGAAGGTGTTCCCTTAAAGTTGAGGTAAGGGACGGAGAAGTTCTCAGGTTCATCATATTCTGTCTTCTCCTTTAGGCATTCCACTGTGCAGAGCCCTCATCCCGGCAAGTGGCCTGTGTGCCTCTCTTTGCCACTTTGATGGCTTATGAGGTGTACTATGGACTGACGGAGGAGGAGGGGGCAGTGCCTGCAGAGCACCAGGTGAGGTAGGGGAGAGGCCAAGCCAGTGACTAATTGGGAGTCAGGCCTCCCAGGGTTTAGCAAGCGTCTGACTTCTGAGGTGAGAGTGGTGACTTCATCCAGGTGGAGGTGGCAGTGTTCTGGGGATGGGCTCATCCACCTGGCTTGTTGGTGCCTCCTAATTTCTTATCTCTGCGCTGCCAGGTGGCAATGGCCGCAGCCAGAGCCTTGGGGGATGTGACAGTCCTTGGGTCTCTACTGCTCCAGCATCTGCTGCACTTCTCCACTCCTGGTCTTGTACTTCGAAGTCTGGGTGCCTTGACGGGACCACAGCTTCTGTCCCTTGCCCAAAGTCCCGCTGGCTCTCATGTGCTCGATGCCATCCTGACCAGCCCCTCTGTGACGCGCAAGCTGCGCCGCCGTGTGCTGCAGAACCTAAAGGTTAGATTTCTGGCTTTTGCCTTGATTCCCCACCATCATCCATTTAGAGAATATGAGCTTTCCCTGGACTGTACCTTCAGACTCAAAAAGGCTATGTAATTCCTAGACTATTTTAATTCAGCCCTTAAACTCTTCAGAAAATTCACTCTCCACAAGCCTCCAAAATACTTTTGTGGATTTTGCTAGGGAGACCTACTTTGCTTGTCTCCATACAGGGACAATATGTGGCTCTGGCCTGTAGTCGCCATGGCAGCCGTGTGCTAGATGCCATCTGGAGTGGAGCAGCCTTGAGGGCCCGGAAGGAAATTGCTGCTGAGCTTGGTGAGTACCAGCCCCTCTCTTTGATGTTTCCAGACTCTCCCCTCTCTTACTCCAGATCACTGGGTAGCTGGGAAGTCTACTGAAATTCAACAGTCTTTAGTTCCAAAGGGTGGTCTTGCTCATGGGTTCTTAGCAGTCTGCTTTCCCCTTCCCTCCCGCTGACTGATTGTGTAGTCCTCTGCCCTCACCCTGCCCTCTGACTTCTGTTCTTTGGAAAGTGAAGTGTTCACTTTATCCCAGTGGCAGTCCCAGGGTCTGGGGGAAATGGAGGGATCTTTACGTCAAGTAGAGTCTGTCTTTGAGCATGGTAGTACTAAACATGAGTGGTTCCCTTTGCAGGGGAGCAGAACCAGGAGCTGATAAGAGACCCTTTCGGCCACCATGTGGCTCGAAATGTGGCCTTGACTACCTTCCTAAAGCGGCGAGAGGCTTGGGAACAGCAGCAGGGTGCGGTGGCCAAGCGGAGGCGGGCATTGAACTCCATACTTGAAGACTGAGGCTTTGGATCTGGGACTGGGTGTTGATGGGGGAGGGCAAAATGGGGTATCCACCCCATCCCTTTCCTGGTTTAAATTGGAGTCAGAAGTCTTAGTGGTAAATATTTGATATTTTTATTGGAAATGTTTTTGTTAGTTTGAGGGGAAGGGTATGAAGACAGATCTCAAGGTAAAGTCAGAGAGGGCTGTCATCAGTATGCTGGGGAGTTTAGGGACAGGAGGCATTGGTAGGGGATTAGATGTAGCAGCAGTCAGGCTGGGATCAAGATGCCTGGGGGACATCTTGATCTTGGCCTTTCAGGGCAAGTGGGAGGCCAGAAAGGTGGCTAGGAAAGAACAGCATTCTTCAGGTAAGGGTATAGACTTGGGATGTGAGGCGTTATGCTGAAAGGTTCTGTCACGAGGGGATCAGAGGACAGTGGGGAAATTGGGTGGGTTATCTAGCCTGTACTGTCTGCAGGTCCTGAAATTTGATGCTGTCATAGTCTTTGCAGTGGGTCGGTTGGAATGATTCTGGGGGCAGAAGCTCAGAGCCCCTTAGTAGGAATGGAGGCGGCCCTTCTGCTGCCACTGCTCAGCCCCCTCCACTGCATGACGAAGGGTGGAGGAAATTCCCAGCAACATATGGCCCAGGCCTTGCAGCAGTGTGGAGGTCCAACGAAGGAGCTCCCTGAATGGCAGAGACAAGAGGAAATCAGATGATTTGGAAAACTTGGGAGGAAGCCATCAAGCTGGGAGATGAGGACTTTCCACAAGCAAGAGCTAACTAGGGGTAGGTGGGTGCAAGAGGACGAATTATGGGGACTATCCAACTGTAGGGGATGGGGCAGTATGACATGTTGATTTCTGACCTGAGTACTTTCTTTGGGCCAAGTCCTTGAAAGTCACAACTCATAGAGTAGAGCCCGTAGAATGTGGCTTTGACATTCAGGCTGCCAAAGAGGTCTCGAGGGTTTTGCTTGTACACGTCAAAGGTGAATCGGGCGATGTCCTTGCTGTGCTTGGGCCTCTCCCGTCCCAGGCCATATGACAGCACTCCACTCTGTAGGACACCCTTGTCAGTGCAGTAGATCCTCATACCAGACACCCACCACTAATCTCCATCAGCACTGGGTCAGACCCTCCCTCGCTTGGACTTTCTGTCCACTGTGTGACATCCTTGACAATTCCACAACTCCTCCTGCACCTGGTCCCCAGGATCAGGGTTAAGCTAGAGAGGAAGCCCGGGAAAGCTCTAAAGGACAGGCATTGGAAGCAGCCCCAGTATAGGCCTCTTACCCTTGTAGGGCTCCAGCTCTGACCAGACTGCAACACCATCAGGCACGTGTCATCCTCCAGCAGCTGGAAGAAGTCCTCACTGTCCACTGCAGTTCCATCCTCCTCTAGCACCAGGGTTAGCACTCCATTCAGCAGTAGGGTCTCCAATGCCTGCCCAATGGCAAGAAGCAAGAAGGGCAGGTCTTATCCCATGCCCCTTCCCTCTTTAGCTGCCCAACATCCATCAGTTGGCTCTAGACATTGGTCGATGTCCCACTTTGACTTTCCGGCACTTTGATACCTCCTAAAGGTTGCAGCTCTCCGTGTTCTTCAGTTTTTGGGGGATCCTAGCTAGAGGCTGACCTTTTTCCTCTTTGCTCCTACCATGTCATTGGCATCTCCCCTTGCTCCCCTCCAAGTCACTTCTGGTTTGGAATTGGAAAGCAAGCCAGGTTCTCACGAAGTCCACCCTTCTGTCTTATCTACAATGCTGCACCTCACTTCCCACACCCTCAAGAGTTCTCCAGAAGTGTTTTCAGTAATAGTGTTTAACCTTTTTGAGTCCTTACTCTGTGCCAGGTATGAGGACTTTACCTACATTATCCTCTTACTCCTTTCAACAACCCTAGGAGGTGATGTATTATTATTGCCTTTTTATAGTTGAAGAAACTGAGGTTTTGGTAGGTTGAACAACTTCCCAAGGTTTGACAGGCAGGAAGTGGCAGAATCAGAATTTGAACTTGATTTGTCACACAAATCACCTTTCCATACTAGCTTCTGAATTCTGTCCCTCGAACTCTCCCTATCTCCTGCTAACCCCTGCTCCCATAGAAAAGCTCACTCGGTGGAAAATGAACAAATTGACCAGAGCTCATTAGGCCCACTCCGCTGCTTTTAGCCCTCAGAGGGAGGGGCAGCTGTGTGACTTCAGCCCTCTGCTCCATCATCACAAGTTGCCACTGTTGTGGAGCCCCTTGGCTACCCCTGCTATAGGAACCGAGGAACTTGGCCTACTTACTTTGGCTAGCAGCTCCTGGCGGGTGGCAGCTGTCAGGCCTTTCCGGATGGTCCGCTTGTGATCACAGACACGGAAAGGTCGCTGGGGTGGTGGAGCTGAGGTCCAGACCCTCCGTCCAAACTCCGAGCTTATATTAGATACTGACCTGGTAGTTGAGAAGAAAAGTCAAGAAGGGGCGAGGAGGGGCTTGGTGAGTGTAAAGGGCATGATGAGGGTAGAGTGGCTAGAGGGCTAGGGAGGGAGAGATCTAGGTTTATCGATTAGGGATGAGGGAGAGACCATGGAGTGCAGGTGGGGGCGGGTGGCTCAGGAGCTTGACAAGCCCACTGTGGAGTGGGGAGCAGGAGAGGAAGGGGTACTGGTTAGTCTCCTAGGGGCTGAGTGGAGTATTGTTGCCCTGCCTATATCCCCTAAAGGTGGAGGGTAGAGCGGAGGGTTAGCAGTCACCTGAGTAAGTCACTGGGGTTCAGAGCTGAGAGGTACTCCATGGTGGACCGGAGAGTTCCTTCCCTGGAACTTCTGGGCTGGGTGGTTCTCTCCTGTGCTGGGGCTTTAGTGGTGTTTTCTGTTACAAACCTGGGATCTCAGCCCAGGACAAGGTGGGAATGAGTCAAGCCTGGACTCTGGCCCCCCTGCCTGGCCAGTAAGAAGGGCAAAGTCCAAGGGGAGGGATGAGGGAGGGGCCAGATGGGGTCCTGGAGGAAGAATTGCCTGGCAAAAGCCATTGGAGCTTGTATGTGTGTCTTTGGTGATGACATGTGTTGTGAGGGTAGATGGGAACCATGTAAAAGGATGAAATGTGACTTCTGGTGTTTTTTTATTTCTATGGAGGGAATTTCTGGGGACGGTTTCTGGCTCTCAGGCTCTGAGAAGCTGCAGTTTATGAGTGGCTCTGTGTGTGCTGCCACCTACTGGAGAAGCCATAAGCTGCAGCTTTAGGAAAAGGGAACCCGGGGCAGAGTGTGGGGAAGTGGGATGGCAGCATGGCAGGGCTTTGGAAAATGAGAGGTGAGACTGTGTCCAGGAAGGGTGTAAGGAGAGGATGGATCCTGATACATGGATTCAGGATCATTAGGGTCCTGTCTGGGACACTGGCCTTCCTGCTTACCTGCTCTTTCCTTCCTCCTTGGTCGGAGGAGGGGCTGGCTCACTGCTCTGGCTTCATTTTCCAGAGCTGCCTGCTGCAGTCACACTTAGGTCATCTTCTCTCACTTTTCTCCTTTTGCCGATTAGTGGACGTGACAGAGATGTGAATGGGGCAGGGATGTCCTTTGATGGCATCAAGACTTTAGCTTCTGGTGCGCTGTGTCCCAGCTCTGATTTCAGTTGCAGCCGTGATGGACAGTTGCATGGAAGCTGAGACTCTCACTGACAGTGAAACCCTCAAATGAACACAATCCCTGCTTTCCTGCCAAGGATCCTTGTAGGGTCCCCCAGCTTCCCCACTTTTTTTCTGTGTCCTGACAAAGAAACACAGAGTAACTTGATTGCCCTGTGACCTGGCCAGTTGCATTTCCCCTGCAGGCTTGAGCCCAAGCCAGAGCCTTGAAAAGGTATTCAGGTTGTTGCCCAAAACACTGAAAAAAACTGGCCCTGGCCCTGAACCAAATACCTTGAACCCTCGTAAACTCCATACCCTGACCCCCTTGTTTTGGATATACCCAGGTAGAACAACTCTCTCTCACTGTCTGTTGTGAGGATACGCTGTAGCCCACTCATTAAGTACATTCTCCTAATAAATGCTTTGGACTGATCACCCTGCCAGTCTTTTGTCTTGGGCAATCTATACTTTTCTCAGAGGTTCCCAAGGCCTACTGAAGGGACTTAACATACTCTTAATGGCTTTCCTCTCTCTTGTTTTACCTTATGCCCTCACTTCCTGAGTTAACCTCCCAAATACAGGATCACCTGTACCCAAGCCCTTAGCTCAAGAATACAGGATCACCTGTACCCAAGCCCTTAGCTCAAGCTCTGCTTTGGAAGAACCCAAACTAAGACAGTGCTCCTGGTGCCCTCCCCAAGCAACCTCAAGTTCTGGCTGTTACTTGAGCAGAGGCCTTTCTTTTCCCTTCCCCCAGCTCTATCCATCTGCCAGGCCCCCCTCAAATCTCTTCATTTCCAAGTTTTGCTTGACTTTTCCAAGAGGAGAGGGCTGCTTCTTAGTATGTCCCTACTCATCCTTTCCTTTCTTGTCTTGTATCCTGGTGCAGCCTGGTAATGGGGCCTCTTCATGGTTGTGTGTCATGACTCCCTAACCATTATGCCTCCATGCATCCCCTGTTCCTCCTGGAACCTAGCACCATGCCTTACATGGAAAAGCTGTCATTGACAGCCCGGTGAGAGCCCTGAGGGTGGAGTGACTGGGGCAGGGCCTGAGGCAAGAGGTGGGAGGAGGTAGGAGGCCAGGGGCTCAGCCGGACCAGGAGACTGGAAACAGGCAAGGATAAGGCAGGTGGGGGACTGAGTTGTTTGGGTCACCTCTGCAGGCCAGAGAGACCAGGCAACATACACACTGCAGAAGGTGGGCTGGGAGGATTGGGGCCAGAGCTGGGGGAGGGATGAGAACAGAAGCAGGACCAGGATTCAGCAGAGTCCTCCTATTTCCTTCCACCACCAGGGAATCTTACTGCCCCACTTCAGCTTGTGCTGTTTCCTGGCAAGGCAGGCTCTCACATGCCTGGACGCCTGGGTGCGTTGGTGATGGGAAGGAGCAGGGTGAGGGAGGGGCCCCAGGAGAGGCCCAGGATGAGCCTCATCTTGTCCCTCCCCATTCTTGTCTTACCCTCTGCAAATGTGATAGGCACAGGACAGGAGTAGGCACCTCGCCTACTGCTGCTTAACCTTTCAGCTTCTCCAGGCCCCCAATCCTGCTTGCTCCCAGCTTGGTAAGTAGATCTGTGCACGTCCCTTTACACCCCACCATCCAGTTTTGCCCAGATGTGCTAGAATGGGGCTGGACAAAGAAGGAGGGGCCAGACTAGAGGAGTGGTGGTAGAGATAGTGACAGCCTGGGGTGATGACTTTATGCCTGTTTACCACTGAGCTCTGGGAAGGAGGCCAGGAGTGGGGCAGGTCAACTGACTGGGAGCAGGGGATCTGGGTTCCAAGAAGGAGTTGTGTTTGAGGTGGGGTCTGGGTCCTCGTGGAAGTCAGGACTCCCAGGCAGAAAAGAGGCAGGCTGCAGGGAAGTAAGGAGGAGGCATGGCACCTTCTCATCGGGCATCACAGGTGGGGTTTTGCCCCACCCCTGAACGCCCTCTGTGGCGCCTTCCACCCACCTGTAGGCCCAGAAGGATGTCGGTCTGCTACCGTCCCCCAGGGAACGAGACACTGCTGAGCTGGAAGACTTCGCGGGCCACAGGCACAGCCTTCCTGCTGCTGGCGGCGCTGCTGGGGCTGCCTGGCAACGGCTTCGTGGTGTGGAGCTTGGCGGGCTGGCGGCCTGCACGGGGGCGACCGCTGGCGGCCACGCTTGTGCTGCACCTGGCGCTGGCCGACGGCGCGGTGCTGCTGCTCACGCCGCTCTTTGTGGCCTTCCTGACCCGGCAGGCCTGGCCGCTGGGCCAGGCGGGCTGCAAGGCGGTGTACTACGTGTGCGCGCTCAGCATGTACGCCAGCGTGCTGCTCACCGGCCTGCTCAGCCTGCAGCGCTGCCTCGCAGTCACCCGCCCCTTCCTGGCGCCTCGGCTGCGCAGCCCGGCCCTGGCCCGCCGCCTGCTGCTGGCGGTCTGGCTGGCCGCCCTGTTGCTCGCCGTCCCGGCCGCCGTCTACCGCCACCTGTGGAGGGACCGCGTATGCCAGCTGTGCCACCCGTCGCCGGTCCACGCCGCCGCCCACCTGAGCCTGGAGACTCTGACCGCTTTCGTGCTTCCTTTCGGGCTGATGCTCGGCTGCTACAGCGTGACGCTGGCACGGCTGCGGGGCGCCCGCTGGGGCTCCGGGCGGCACGGGGCGCGGGTGGGCCGGCTGGTGAGCGCCATCGTGCTTGCCTTCGGCTTGCTCTGGGCCCCCTACCACGCAGTCAACCTTCTGCAGGCGGTCGCAGCGCTGGCTCCACCGGAAGGGGCCTTGGCGAAGCTGGGCGGAGCCGGCCAGGCGGCGCGAGCGGGAACTACGGCCTTGGCCTTCTTCAGTTCTAGCGTCAACCCGGTGCTCTACGTCTTCACCGCTGGAGATCTGCTGCCCCGGGCAGGTCCCCGTTTCCTCACGCGGCTCTTCGAAGGCTCTGGGGAGGCCCGAGGGGGCGGCCGCTCTAGGGAAGGGACCATGGAGCTCCGAACTACCCCTCAGCTGAAAGTGGTGGGGCAGGGCCGCGGCAATGGAGACCCGGGGGGTGGGATGGAGAAGGACGGTCCGGAATGGGACCTTTGACAGCAGACCCTACAACCTGCTGCCCTTCCCTGTCCCTTTCCACCCCCCACCCACCCTCCAGAGGTCAGTGTTCTGGGACATTTGGGGACCCTTCTTTGACTAGAGTTTGGATCTGGCTGGGTAGGATTACTATACACTTGGGGCAGGCCCAGGCTCCTCCAAACTGAGGGATTATGAGGGTGGTGATGGTCCCTGTTAAGGACTATTGTGTGCTTGCAAGTTGGCATGTACCCATGTGCCAGCATTGCTTACTTGTTGCCAATAGCTGTTATTGTGAAATACACTGGGAAGCCATTAGATGATGACTTAAGTGTGCTTCCCCTGGTGGTTCTTCATGCCTGAGTTGTACTGAAGCCACCTAGTTCCCTGCTGGGTCAAGCCAGGCTGGGCAGTGCCAGCCTTCAGTGGCATCTTGACCTGCCCTCCTCAGCCCAGGTGCCCTGGTTCCACAGGCCAACCCATAGAACCACTCTGGAAATAAAGGAGAAAATGGAAGGAGAGGTATGGGAGCTTGGATGAGGGGTAGGAATGGGATCCATTCTCTGAGGCTTATAAAAGCCTCTGAGGAGGAAATGGCTCTGAAGGGGAAAATGAATCTGTGGGGTTTGAAAAGGAAGTTTTCCTGCCTGTCTTGTATTTGGTCCAGTGAGTATGAGACAGGCACACAAGGAGTGGACAGTGGTGTAGGGGCCCTGGGAGTCTGAGACTTACCTTGCCCCCTGACCATCTGATCCTCCCTGCAAAGGCCACCTGACGTGAAAAGGAGCCAGGAGCAAGCACTCAGTCAGGGAAGTTTGGAGGTTGGCCATTGGGGTATGAGGAATGGCAGGAATATTTAGAGGACAGGAATAATTTTTCAGAGAAGTGCCACATATTCTTTTTCTCTTTGCCAAGTCTGGGCTCCTTCTAAGATGCTGCTAGCTATTCCTAGCCCGTTCCCCAATACTTCTCTGCCCCCACCTTTTGGAATCCTTATCTAGGTCTAAAAACGGTTCTAGATCCTGACCCCTTTGATTGGGGGATGTAGAATGGGATTCTTTTCAGGGGACATCCACAAGTACACATCTGTGGTCACTAAGGTGACCAGCTCATCCCAGTTGGCCTGGAACTTTCCCAGTTTAAGCACTGAAAACTCCTTGTCCCAGCCCTGCCGGTTTCCCAACAAACTGAGATGGTTGGCCGCTCAAGTGGCTACCCTGACCATCACCCCAGGCTCTACTTTAGCGACTGCTCACACCTCCCTGCTTCCCAGACAGAAGTCAAAACAGCAAAAGAAACCCAGTCCCCAGGGTCATGCTAGGGCTACCAAAACTGGGATGAACTAGCACCTGTGAACTAGAACAGCAGGGAGTATGCTTAGAGTGCCTGGTCCTGGGTGTGGGGAAGAAAGGCCATCAAGGTAGATGCGGGTGGGGAACAGCTTGAGAGAGGAGGCAAGGACAACCCAGTTTCTGTCTGAAGGGGCCTCTGGTTGACCCTGGAGTTTCTGTCCCCAAACACAGGCCTCACGGGATTCTTTCTGTCCTCATGCACTGGGCAGAGGTTCCTTAACTTCCTTTGTTGCACATTGCCATTCTCTCACATCCCGTGCGGTCAGGAAGCCCTTCCTGAACTCTGACTTCAGTTCTTGCTGCGGTTTCTGCCCATTTTTTTCATATCCTCTGACAGCTGCGAGGTCATCTCTGCTCTGGCTTTTCTCCAAGCAGAACAAGTGGGGGCTCTGGAAAGGTTAAGGGACCTCAGTGGCCACCATTATACTTTGCATCTTTCCTGAGAAGTGAGAGTTGAAAGGGAAGCAGGAAGGCCCATGGTCAGATTGAAGGAAGGACTTTTTAGTTTCTTTTTTTTTTTTTTTTTTTTTTGAGATGGAGTCTCGCTCTGTCATTCAGGCTGGAGTGCAGTGGTGCGATCTCAGCTCACTGCAGCCTCCACTTCCTGGGTTCACATGATTCTCCTGCCTCAGCCTCCCAAGTAGCTGAGACTACAGGCACATGCCACTACACCCAGCTATCTTTTGTATTTTTAGTAGAGACGGGGTTTCACCATGTTGGCCAGGCTGGTCTCAAACTGCTAACATCAAGTGATCTGCTCCCCTCAGCCTCCCAAAGTGCTGGGATTACCGGTATGAACCACCACAACCTGCCAGGAATTTTTAGTTTTTAGCTTTTGCAGGAGACTTCAAGGAAAGGAGACATTCCTCTGTCCAGGAAACGGGTAAGGGGACCATTTCTGCATTGCTGGTTTCCCCTCTTGGCAGGGTGGGCATGAGGCATCACTGTTCCTGCTCCCTCACTCCTGCTCCTCATGCTCAGCCTGCCAGCTCGGCCTCAACTTTGTGTGTCTAAAGTGGAACTGAATAGTAGGCTGTGAGAAGATAGGAAAGAGGTAGTGCCAATCTCCTTGCCCAGATCATAAATCCAGACTCAGCAGGGTAACCACATGGGCAAGCACAAGGTAGGTGCTTGGGGAAAGGGGAAGTAATTGGCATTCTGTGTGATACCAAGGAGACCATTTGGATTTTGGCTTCTACCAAAGAGAATGGAGAATTGGTTGACCTAAATGGAACCAGTCCCTTTAAGTAAGGGGAGGAAAGGGGGTGCTGGAAGATGGCCCTCTTCCCACCACCTAGATCATAGCTTGAACTGAAGCCAAGGACAGAGTGCTGCCCCCTTCGGCATTTACTGATGTGCCCTCTTTAAATCATGATGTTATCTAACCCAAACCCAGACCCAGGACCTAGTCACAGCTCCAACCTACACTTCCTATTAATCTTAAAACAAAGCAAAACAAAACAAAAAGATATCAGCATTGTAGCCTCCAATCTGAGCCCATTTCCCTTCTCTGGCTACCATACCTCCTTCTCCTATATGATACCATTCACTACTTTGTTCAATTATCCAGTCTAGACCTGCATCTTGAGGCCACACCCAGCCTTCTCACTCCCCACACCCCTCTTTCCTCTCTCACTGCTCCTTCCTGGTCTCTTCTCATCTGGCCCCACCTCTAAGGAGTCCTCCTGCCTTCTGGGTTGCCCTGGAAAACAGACTATCCCCCCTCCTAGTGAAGGGAGTGGGTAGGGGTTTCAGCCCCACCCTCAGGAAGATGCGTCTTCCCTGTCCTCTGCTCTGTGGTACTTCCTCTCTGGCTGATTTAGCAAACAGCACCTAGACCTGGGGCCAGGCCTTTGGCAGTGGGACAGATCCAGGGATAGGCTACACCACCCTGCCCTGACCCTGGGATTGGCATCAGCTTCCAACCAGTTCCTGCCAAAGCTTGTAAGTAAGTTTCCTGGGAGCGGCCGTGGTTGTGGTGGTGGTGGGACAGTGTGCAGCCATGAAAGAAGGTGCAAAGGAATCTCCAAAGAAAGCCTGACCAGCGTAAAAAGTTGGGAGGCTTTGTCCTTGTCACTTGTCCACTAAACTCCTCCCCTCCCTGTTATTCCTGGTTGACCCTGGGCATCTCTGGGGACAGTAGGCAGGTGATTGGGAAAGTTAATGGGATTGAGGGGCTGAGGGCCTGGCAGGGGGCAAAAAGACTGGCCTTTCAAGGGGTGCAGCATTGGTAGGAACTCTGTTTGGTTCTGGGCTTTAGGGTCTCCTAAGGGGAGGAGACTGAAAAGGTCTGGAAATGCTGCTGCTGCTGTGGTCACTGTATATTTTGCAATTGGGTCTGTGGACAGGAAGGGGCCGCATGACCCAGTTAGGAAACTAGTCTTTGTACTCAACCAGATCCCTTTAAGTTGTCAGTCTGCAGCGATGGGGGCAGTATATTTCAGGGGGACCTCTGATGCTGCTGACCCTGGAGATAGACTAGAGTTCTCAGCCTAGGTGTGTCCATGGCGTCAGGAAACCCTTGGTCCTCTACTCTCATGCGTGTGTCCGCCCTCACTCTCCAGGTCCTCCCGACGGCCATGAACACTACATCTTCTGCAGCACCCCCCTCACTAGGTGTAGAGTTCATCTCTCTGCTGGCTATCATCCTGCTGTCAGTGGCGCTGGCTGTGGGGCTTCCCGGCAACAGCTTTGTGGTGTGGAGTATCCTGAAAAGGATGCAGAAGCGCTCTGTCACTGCCCTGATGGTGCTGAACCTGGCCCTGGCCGACCTGGCCGTATTGCTCACTGCTCCCTTTTTCCTTCACTTCCTGGCCCAAGGCACCTGGAGTTTTGGACTGGCTGGTTGCCGCCTGTGTCACTATGTCTGCGGAGTCAGCATGTACGCCAGCGTCCTGCTTATCACGGCCATGAGTCTAGACCGCTCACTGGCGGTGGCCCGCCCCTTTGTGTCCCAGAAGCTACGCACCAAGGCGATGGCCCGGCGGGTGCTGGCAGGCATCTGGGTGTTGTCCTTTCTGCTGGCCACACCCGTCCTCGCGTACCGCACAGTAGTGCCCTGGAAAACGAACATGAGCCTGTGCTTCCCGCGGTACCCCAGCGAAGGGCACCGGGCCTTCCATCTAATCTTCGAGGCTGTCACGGGCTTCCTGCTGCCCTTCCTGGCTGTGGTGGCCAGCTACTCGGACATAGGGCGTCGGCTACAGGCCCGGCGCTTCCGCCGCAGCCGCCGCACCGGCCGCCTGGTGGTGCTCATCATCCTGACCTTCGCCGCCTTCTGGCTGCCCTACCACGTGGTGAACCTGGCTGAGGCGGGCCGCGCGCTGGCCGGCCAGGCCGCCGGGTTAGGGCTCGTGGGGAAGCGGCTGAGCCTGGCCCGCAACGTGCTCATCGCACTCGCCTTCCTGAGCAGCAGCGTGAACCCCGTGCTGTACGCGTGCGCCGGCGGCGGCCTGCTGCGCTCGGCGGGCGTGGGCTTCGTCGCCAAGCTGCTGGAGGGCACGGGCTCCGAGGCGTCCAGCACGCGCCGCGGGGGCAGCCTGGGCCAGACCGCTAGGAGCGGCCCCGCCGCTCTGGAGCCCGGCCCTTCCGAGAGCCTCACTGCCTCCAGCCCTCTCAAGTTAAACGAACTGAACTAGGCCTGGTGGAAGGAGGCGCACTTTCCTCCTGGCAGAATGCTAGCTCTGAGCCAGTTCAGTACCTGGAGGAGGAGCAGGGGCGTGGAGGGCGTGGAGGGCGTGGGAGCGTGGGAGGCGGGAGTGGAGTGGAAGAAGAGGGAGAGGTGGAGCAAAGTGAGGGCCGAGTGAGAGCGTGCTCCAGCCTGGCTCCCACAGGCAGCTTTAACCATTAAAACTGAAGTCTGAAATTTGGTCAACCTTGTGAGTGGGGTACATGTGCTGTGGGTATCGGGGTGCTCGTGGGCGCCCTGGTGGGGCCCCTCTCGGTAGTTGAGAGTCACGTCCTTTAGTTCCCCATGATTTACAATTTTGGAAGGGACACAAAGAAACATAGACTTCCCCCATCCCAGATGATTCCGAGTACATAGTCTGCAGATAATACTTAGCAAAACGCAGTCTACAGACTCCTAAAGCAGCTTGTCTAGGAAGACCACCCATGTGGGCTTATCACTCCAGGTTCTGTGACCCGGGACCTTCTGAGAAAACAGCACTGCTGTGAAATATCTTCCTTGAAGCCTGTGATAAGTCTCCTTGTTAGAATGACTCCAACTTCCTGCCAATAATCTTTGTCCTCTCCATAGGAGATGTTCTAGGGGATGCCTTCCTTCCCTCCATTTCACAAAGAGGCCAGACTTGAGGACTAAGTCATTAGATCTTATCCCTTAGAATTTTGCATATCAGCATCTGCTAACCTCCACAACACACCCTGGCACAGGGTGGGGCTGAGGGCCCCAGGAAACAAAGATTCCCAAAAGTGAGAGGGATGAGTCATTATTTCCTAGAGATGACTGTTGTTTTAGAGAACCTTGGTCCAACTCTGTTCTGACAAGGTTTTAGGAAGATGGCAACAACAGTGGCAGCAGTGTACTTTTTGGATCTTTCTCATAAAAAAACAAAAGAGCAAGTAAGAGAGGGAAACCAAATATCCACATGCAACATCCGCAACAAATCTAGTATGTCAAGGTTTGACATACTCCCATGGACCCCAAAGTATGAGCCAGTGAGAATGAGTCATCAATATCTCAAGACCCATATACCAGCATCTGTGCAGAAGGATGCAGAAGGAAGCAAAGGGATGTTGGATGGACCTAAGAAGAGGAGATCCCCAAGCTGTCTACAGATCCTTACTGGAAGGTATGGTGCACCAATTTGAGAACAGCAGCTGAAACTGGGAGGGACCTAACGGAGTATTTCCCAGTCCTCTCGCCCATTCTGTATGGTGAGCACATAATAGGTACTTATTTAGTGTTTGTCGAATTAATAAAGTTCAAATGACATTTCCCTGGAGATTCTTCCGGTATTTTTGAGTAGGGGGCAGGAAAGGGCAAATTTTTGTTTTGAGTCATGTGGCTAAATTCTTTATGCTTCCAAGGTGTACAAAATACTATAATCAAGTTGGCAGAGAGGCTGAGGGAGTTCTCTTCCTGAGCTTGTGAAAAAAATCACTCCCTTTCAAAATGCTTAGTCTCACATGCATGCATGTGTGCAGGCATGTGCACACACATTCACACACACACTCGCACTAAAATTGGCCTGGGAAGAAGAAGAATTCCCACTGAAGGGCAATGAGAAGGTGATCCCCAGCTATATCAGCAGCTTCAGACATCAATGGGCTCCAGACACCCCAGAGTCTCTTTATTGAGGTTCTTAGAAGGCGAGTGCAATCTCAGCCTAGGGTAGCTGAAGGAGGTCCAGTTCGTGTCAAGTCTGTGTTCAGGAAGTAGGTGCAGAGCTGCCCTTTGCCTTTCACCTTGATGACACCCCGGCTGTAGCAGGTGTAGCCCAGGGACTGTAGGGCCCATGCTGTCTCCTCAGTCACCTACAATTGGAGGGGGGCGAGGGAATATGGAGGTGGCCCTATTCTTAGTCCCCCTCCCCCTATGCCTCCAATGTGGTTCCCTCACTTGGATTTTGCCAAGGACTCCTGTACTCTCCATGCGGCTGGCCACGTTCACTGTGTTGCCCCAAATGTCATATTGCGGCTTCTGGGCCCCAATAACTCCAGCTACTACGGGTCCATGGTTCAACCCTAATGAGGGATGTGGTAATGACAGACTTGGAGAAGGAAGAGGGGAAGAGGAAGCCACAAGGAACTGGAAGGAAGGGAGAAGAGCCTGGGGGGCCCTAGAGGAGAGGAGGGGTCTCTAAGGGCTGGAGGAATGTAGCTTAAGAAAAAGAGTGGGAGAGCCTCGTACCTCCTTGCCCAGCACCTTCACACCCCATCCCAGGGAGTGAGTCAGGAAAGGGGCTTCAGGATGAACTGGGAGCAGCTAACAAAGGACTTGGAGTGGGGCAAGCTCAGGAAGGTGAGGAGGTACCAGACTGCTGCAGCAGGGGAAGTCTCTCACCCACTCGCAGGCGGAAGTTGTTGAATGAATGCTTGTTGATGACGTCCAGCTTAGACCCCAGGGCCACGGCAAATTCCACCATAGTGCCAAGGTGGCTGCAGCTCCGTTCAGCATCCTGGCAATGGGCCCGCCCACCAGGGTGGGCCAGTGAGGGCACAGGAATAAGTCCCACTAATAAGCCCATCAATGAGAGCCCAGAGGAGGATGGTAGGTAAGGAAGGGTTGCCGTACCTGTTGTGCATCCTGTCCAGAGGTGGCATTTAAGCCTGTGGCTGCCATGTAGGTGCTGCCGATGGTCTTGATCTTCTCCACCCCACTGAACTTGGGCTTGGAGAGCAGCTGTATATAGAGAAGAGTCCTGTCCCCAGTCTCTCTTACTCTCTCCATCACCTCTCCCAGAAGCCCAGCCCCAAGCCTTTGGAGTTAAAGGATCAGGCTGTGGGAGTGGAGATAGTGTCAGGAAGGAGAGGGTTGGTGGTGGGCAGTGTTGCTGGAGTGGGTAGATCTGGGGGATCAGAGGAGGTGAGGGAGTACTGTGGAGGGGAGGATTGACTTCATGGCCAGAAAAGCAAAGTGGAAGGAGGTACTGGTGGAAAATTCTAGAATCTAGGACATAGGGTCTGGGAGACTCTTGGAATTTTCACCTCATCAAAATCAGCAATTATCTCATTGAGCAGCCTCAGACACTCTAGGCCCTCATGATTGATGTTGGATTCAGAGTAGAACTCCTTGAAGTCTGGGACTGAGGCGAAGAGGACACAAACGCATTCATAGGACTGGTGGTAGAGATCCTGGGGGAACAGGAGACTGGAGTGAGGGGTGTGTGTCATGTTCCTCTCCCTTCTAGAGGTCTGCGTGGGGCCCTCCTCCCCATGTCCACACTCCTGGTCTCCCTGTTTAAGAAGAATTGGGAAGGAGGGAGAGGAGTAGGGCCAGGCTACCCCAGGGAAGTGACTTAGGAGTCAAAGCTTAGATCTCATTGTAATTCTAGAAGAGACAGAGGTTTGGCGTTAGGATCACCTCACAGCAACACGAAGGGAGTCACTCCTAGAACTGGGATCCTGTCAATGTGAATTATTTCTATATCCTATCTTATTGCTGAAAGGTGTTTAAGTCAATTAAGCCGGCTACAAAACCAAGGGTAAAATGTGTTTAAGTGTTTAAGTCAGTTAAGATAGGTACAAAATGAAAGATGAAGTAAGCAACAATAGGGACTATGAGGCAAAGGGAAAATAAGGGTAAGATAATAAAGATGGAATCAGATCTGAGGGTGGTTCACAAAATGAGTGCCATGAAATCCTATTTAGTCTTAGATTTTGGCTCTCAGCTTTCTAGCAGCCAAAGTGAAGAGAGAAAAGGATCGATTACAAGATTCCTTGTGTCTGTAAGAGAAGAAACCAGAAAAGAACTACTGATCTTGAGAGCAGGGAGCAGGCGGTGGGGGCATAAGGCTGTGAAAGAGCTCCTGAGCTGTTTCTTTTAACATCCCTCAATATGAGCCAAGAGCATTTCCACAGCAGAGGGCCAGCAGATGATACAAATAAGATGGTACAAATATGTGGGTGAATTTCTGATGGTTTGGCGCTAGCAAGATTTTTGAGGATCTAGAGCAGCAGCATCCAATAGAAATTTTTGCAATGGAAACATTCCCTATGTGCAGTGTCCAATAGGGTGGCCACTAGCTACGAGTGGCTGTTGAGCCCTGGAAATGTGGCTGGTGCAACTGAGGAACTGAATATTTTATTTTAATTAATTAACATTAAAATTTCATATGGCTAATGGCTACCATATTGGATAGTGCAGGTCTAGAGAGAGGGGTGGACTGTATCCTCTAGACCAGCAGTCCCCAACCTTTTTGGACCCAAGGATGGGTTTCATGGAAGACAAGTTTTCCACGCACCCAGGCTGTGGTGGGGGATGGTTTTGGGATGAAACTGTTCTACTTCAGATCATCAGGCATTAGTTATTAGGTTGGTGCAAAATTAATTGCATTTCTTTTTTTTTTTTTTTTTTGCCATTAAAAGTAATTACTTTTAGGCCGGGTGCGGTGCGCCTGTAATCTCAGCATTTTGGGAGGCCAAGGTGGGTGGATCACCTGAGATCAGGAGATCGAGATCAGCCTGACCAACATGGTGAAACCCTGTCTCTACTAAAAAAAAAAAATATAAAAAAAATTAGCCAGGCATGGTGGCAGGCGCCTGTAATCCCAGCTACCTGGGAGGCTGAGGCAGGAGAATTGCTTGAACCCAGGAGGCGGAGGTTTCAGTGAGCTGAGACCGTGCCATTACATGCACTCCAGCCTGAGCGACGAGAGTGAAACTCTGTTGCACTCCAGCCTGAGCGACGAGAGTGAAACTCTGTTGCACTCCAGCCTGAGCGATGAGAGTGAAACTGTGTCTTAAAAAAAAAAAAAAGTAATTACTTTTAATTATATTACTTTTAATGGCAAAAACTGCGATTAATTTTGCACCAGCCTAATAGATTTTCATAAGGAGTGTACAACCTAGACCCCTTGCATGTGCAGTTCACAATAAGGTTCAAGTTCCTATGAGAATCTGATGCTGCTACTGATCTGACAAGAGGCAGAGCTCAGGCGGTAGTGCTGGCTCACCGCTCACCTCCTGCTGTGTAGCCCAGTTCCCAACAGGTCATGGACTAGTATCAGTCTGCGGCCTGGGGGCTGGGGACCCCTGCTCCAGACAGCTCCCATCAACGCCTAGGCTTCTGGAATGTATGGAATGGTCATGAGTTAGAGAAGACATGCCTTCCAAGTAAGAATTTGAAATGCAGTTTTGTGCTCACCAAAGAAAGAATCTAAGATGTTGTGAAAACAAAGACGCTTGACAAGCACAAGGGCTTGGGTGACCCTTCTGGGGGTTCTAGAGAAAACGGGCCATAGGTCAAGGCTTTCATCTGAAATTAGGCCCTATGGCATCCGTGGCTCAGGAGTCAGGGGGTCAGGAGTCACCTCGTTGCGCCGGTTCTGGCCAATGAACTGGGGGGCCACGTGTGCAGGGAGCACGTTCTCCAAGAGCAGCCGAGTCAGGTTCTCCATCGTCTCTGTCTCCTCCCTCTCCTGCCTCAGCTTCTTCTTCCACAGGAAGTCCAGGCGGCAGTAGTACTCATTCTGGGGAGGGTCACCCGGGGCCATGGGGAGACACAGAGCAGGGGAAGCCCAGCTCCTGAGTGTTCAGCCCCAACTCCATGATGCCTGAAACCACCCCCACCCCACCCCCAGTTTAGAAGTAGAGCTTAAGGTGTAAGTATACTTGGAGAGAGACTATCCTTGAAATTAGATTCAGACTAGGGATAGAGAATTGGCAGCAGACTTTTTCTAAAGCATGGGCTTTCCCAGATAGGGGTGTGGGAGAAAGGAGGGGCAGGGAGTGAAGGAGAAGAAAGGAAGCAGGAAGGCTCGCTTAGAAGCTTCCAATGGGCATTCAACCCTGGAGATTAGAAAGATCAAGTCACAGATATGGGGGCCACTCATAGGTGGGCCCTGGTGGGGCTGAGCTGGGTGACTTACCTGGCGAGCCAGGACAAGGAGGGTGAAGAAGAAGATGAAGAAGGAGATAGCACCCATCAGTTTGGGCTCCTTCAGCACTCCGGGCCTGAAGGGGCCATGGATCAGGGTGACCCCTTGCTTTCCCCCTTCCTGGCCTTCTCCCTGCCCCCATGTAGGCCTCCGCTTCCCTCCCACTTTGCCCTGTGGGTGATTCAGGTCGGTGAGGCCAGGACAGCTCTGCTGTATCCCATCTCACCCCATCCCAGGGGGCCCGGCACCTCTGTCCAGCAGCTGTGCACACCTGGAGTCCAAGGGGCCCAGATAGAGGCGGACGATGAGGCATTCCGACAGCCAGGCATGGGAGTGCAGGAAGAGGGAGCAGGATGCCGCCAGCCACAGCAGGAGCAGCAGCAGCTTCAGCTCGAAGCTCATGTGCAGAAAGAGGGAGCAGGAGAGGAAGCCCAGCGTGCAGCAGTGCATGGAGTACTGTGGGGCCAGGCAGGGGTCAGGAGTGGGCATGTCCCATAGGCAGAGGGGGGACACCTGAGGGCTCCCTTCCTGTCCCTCCCAGGCCCAGGTCCTATCTGGGAGACAGGGGGCATCATACACACTGATACACACTGGGTGTGACTTATGTCTGTTCTAATCCACAGAATGGAGCGTTCCTCCACTCAGGGGGCTGTGGGCTTGGGCTGAGGAAGGGTGTGCAGAAGGAGATTAAGGGCATGTGGGAACACTCACTGGGACACTGATGAGAGGCAGAGACCCAGGGAGCTCCCAGGAGAGGTTGGAAATCATGGAGGACACATTGGGAGCTTGGAAAGGGCAGTCTGATGATGTTGGGAAGAAGAACTGCAGAGGAGATGAGGAGTTGAAGAGGCAGGTAGCTTCTTGGGCACAGTGGTGGCTTGTGCTGGGTTTCAGCTGACCCAGGGATGAGTCAGGGGAAGACTCGTCCAAAGGGGTGGATCCTGCTATTTCTGGTTGGGAAGGGAACCTCAGCACTGGGGTCCTCACTCGGGGAGGAGTTATGTGAGGGGCGTCAAGAGTACTCCTCTGACTCTGAGCCACTGTGTGAGCTCTTGCCAGCCACTTAGCCTCTCTGGGCCTTAGTTTCTTCTTCTGTAACTTGGCTGGTGGGTGATTCCCAGGTGCCCACCAGGAATAGAATTCTAGGAATGAGTCTAAATCCTGAAGAATCAGCCAAGTGATCTAAGTAATAAGTAACTGCCTACACAGAAAAAAGATAAGAAGGACATTCACCGAAGTGTTATCAACAACTATTATGCCCAGATGGTAGATTGCTGGAGACTGTAATTTTTTTCTTTCTATTTGTACAACATTTCCAGCATCCCCTGGGCTTAGTCCAGCTGCCTGCCCAAATCCAGGGGTTCCCTTTCAGTCCCTGGCAGGTCCAACATGCCCTCATGGGGGTGGATAGGGCCCCCTCTGTCCTCACCAGGCTGGTAATGGCCATGGCAAAGACAAGGAGGATGGTGGCGGTGCCCAAGGCTATTCTCAGTCCTGGTCGTGTGGCCACCAGGCCAGACAGTGCAGGCAGCCAGTGCAGCATCTTGGGGCCTTTCAGGACACACCTCTGTGGAGGGAGCATGGGCATCTTAGCCACGGGGCTGGGGCACCCTCTTCAGGACAGGTTGTGACCAGGGCTCCGGCATACCACTTCCACCCCTCAGCCCACCTCACCATCAGGTCCTCTGAGAAGCAGACAAAAAGGATGAGGAGGAAGAGGAGGAAGGTGATGCTATACGTGATGGCCAGAGCTGGGGGCCTGAAGGGAGACAAAAGCGAGGCCTTGAAGTGCCAGAACAGGCTCCCTGTGTGCTATGAAGGTGCTGTGTGAGCTGGGTGGGAGATAGGGGAAGTGGTTCTGGGGAATCTGGGTTGGCTGGCGATGGGGTCCCGGCTGATAGAAGACATTGCATTCTGATGATCTGGGTTGGCTGGCTTAAGGGTCTAGAGCAGTGTCGAGGTGGAACAGGGACCCATATGGTGGGGAGTGGGGGCTCACAAGAATGGCTGAGGCTACGGCAGACTGATCTCTGGGCCTTTAGCCCAAAGCTCTTTAACTTGGCTGAGTTTTTTTTTTTTCTTTTTTTTTGAGGCGGAGTCTCGCTCTGTTGCCCTGGCTGGAGTGCAGTGGTGTGATCTTGGCTCACTGCAAACTCCGCCTCCCGGGTTTGAGCGATTCTCCTGCCTCAGCCTCCCGAGTAGCTGGGATTACAGGCGCCTGCCATCTCACCCAGCAAATTTTTGTATTTTTAGTAGAGATGGGGTTTCACCATGTTGGCCAGGCTAGTCTTTCACTCCTGACCTCAGGTGATCCACCTGCCTCAGCCTCCCAGAGTGCTGGGATTACAGGCGTGAGCCATCACACCCGGCCACCTGGCTGAGTTAAGAACAAGTCCTCATCCCTCCTAGCAGTGGACTAGGAATGAGGGCCTACTTTCTAAGCTCATGCATTTGCTGCCAGATTTGGGTTTCTCAATGGAAACAAACTGGCCTTCATGGGGATGTTGTTAGAATCAAAAGAGATGCTCATGGGAAAATGCTAGGGCTGTGTAGAAAGTCCACAGGATCTACAAGGTTAAGATAAGGGCCGTGATTATCATTTTCCCCAGAACACATGTTTCCTCTGTGGGTAAGTGCCTGAAGCTAAGGGGAAGGGGTGAAGGAAGAAAGTGTGGCCCGGGGTCATGAGGGCAAGGTGATCCGCTTATGACAGCCAGGGCCTCCTTTGCCTGGGGCACTCTCACCTGTTTGTCACTAGCATCTGGATGATGAAGTTGGAGAGAAAAACCAGGAAGGTGCAGGCTTCATAGTATTTGAAGGCGGGGATTGCAGAGAGTCGGTACTGAAAGTGAGAGGGCCAGAGGTGGAGACAGGGTCCAGTGCTACCCATCACCTTGAAGGCATCACTCCCAGGCAAGGGGTGGGCTCCTCAGCCTCACCGCCCAGGCTCCAGTTCAGTTCCATGTAGACCCTACCAGTTCTCCAAGGAGTTACCCTCCTTCCTCCCCCTACCATCTAGTAGCTCAGTCTACAGAGTGACTTTCCTTTAGAGAGAGGCACAAGCTCCTCACCCCTAGGATCACAAACTGAGCAGACTTGGGGAGGAGACCCAAGGGCTGACCCCTCCCCAGCACCAAGGAACTAAAGTTGGGAAGTTGTTTGGTGCCACCCACACCACAGCCCACCTCTTTCTCCATCTCCTTCTCTCTGAAGTACAGTGTCAGTGGGTTGAAGTCCTTCGACTGCTTCCACTGTCTGGTGGGAGGTGGGAGGGTGGGTGAAAGCACCAGAGAACAGAGGGCACAGAAGGGCAGGAAGAGGGCAGAGTGAGGGCAAGAGGGGGTGGTCAGGCGAGTCTTCCCTCCAGCCCCTCAGGGAGCACCATCCCTTCTCCACCATATGACCTCAGGGCCTGCGGCCCCCCCAGCCCTCTTTGTTCTCCGTACTTCTGCGAGTTGAGCTGCTCAATGACCTGGAAGAACTTGGCATCCCCGGTGTCCAGTTCATCATCTAGTCCCCGGGGGGTACGGCTCCTGCACAGTGAGAGCCAAGTCCATCACCACAGAGACCCTCAGAGCGTCTGGGCAAAGCAGGAGCAGACCCCCAGGGAGGATGGAGGGGGTCATCCAGACAGCCCCACTGGCAAAGACTTTGAGGCCTCCTCACCGATCCAGGCTCCACTGGGTGCTGAAGGAAGCCAGGGTCTTCTCCTGTTGGGAGAGCACAGGGGGAGGTGGGCATGGTGGGTGTTTTCCCTGCAGTGAGGTAGACCATGAGCCACACTGCATGCTCTATACATGTCTTTGACCTTGGGCATTTCACTGGGCTCTTTCTTTTGCCTCTAATGACCTCTCTGTCTCCCAAATCCCACCTGCCCTTGAAGGGGAGGTTTGAATCTCCTTAAAGTTTCCCCCTGACTCTCTAGACTCCCAGGATCTTTGTGTGTGTGTGTGTGTGTGTGTGTGTGTGTGTGTGTGTGTGTGACTGAATCTTGCTCTGTCACCAGGCTGGAGTGCAATGGCATGATCTCGGCTCACCACAACTTCCACCTCCCAGGTTCAACCGATTTTCCTGCCTCAGCCTTCCAGGTGGCTGGGATTACAGGCATGTGCCACCACGCCCAGCTAATTTTTGCATTTTTAGTAGAGATGGGGTTTCACCATGTTGGTCAGGCTGGTCTCAAACTGCTGACCTTAGGTGATCCGCCTGCCTCGGCTTCTCAAAGTGCTGGGATTATAGGCATGAGCCACCGTACCTGGCTGGATTTTTTTTTTTTTTTTTGCAACGGAGTTTCGCTCTTGTTGCCCAGGCTGGAGTGCATTGGTGCAATCTCAGCTCACTGCAACCTCCGCCTTCCAGGTTCAAGCAATTCTCTTGCCTCAGCCTCCTGAGTAGCTGGGATTGCAGGCACGCACCACCACGCCTGGCTGATTTTTGTATTTTTAGTAGAGATGGGGTTTCGCCATGTTGGCCGGGCTGGTCTCAAACTACTGACCTCAAGCTATCCATCTGCCTCATCCTCCCAAAGTACTGGGATTACAGGTGTGAGCCACCGTGCCTGGCAAGATTTCTAATATTTGACTGAGCCCCTGGAACTTCAGGGGCTAAGTGGATTTCTGTGCTAGTGAAGGTCCTGCCTCAGGAGACACCCTTGAACAAAGGGTCCTGCTCTTCCACCCTAATACTCCCTAGCCTGCACACCAGTGGAAAGCGGCAGGAGGTCTAGCATGGGCCCCGGCAGGCATTCCTGCTATGTAATTGTACCTAACACCATCTCACAGTCCCTGGGCTTGTAGCAGTCCCCACACACCACTCCACCCATGCTGGAGGTCTCATCCTGCAACAGTCAGCTGAACCTCAGCTTCTTCCTTCCTCTTCCTCCTGCCAGCTTAACCCTCTGACCTCTCCCCTACCTCATGTTAACACTTGGAATTAAGTACTTCCTGCAACCACTGCTGCCAGTGTCCTTCCCCCACTCCCCAGTGTTGGGGGGTTGAAGAAGAGAGCATGCAGTTTCAGGAATTGAGTTAAACAGAGACATTTCCTGGTGCTATGGGTGCACAGCCCTAGAATCAGAGACAGGAGGAAGTGGGGGGTCCAACTGCCTTTGTGGTGTCAGGGGAAGGCACTCTCCTGAGTAGAGGCTGGGGAGTTATGGACATGGTGTGTGGGTGGCAAGCCACCCAGGCACCGAGGCAAGAGACAGAGGACACGAGCAGTTCCAGTATAATAAAATATAAAACAAGAATTGTTATACCAGATATAGATCTTAGATATGATTATATATGAGTATCATTAATCATTAGTGGGTAGCAATTACTTTTTATTCCAATATTATGATAATCCTCACTCAATAATCATAGCCTAGGAAAAACCAGGCCATACAGAGATAGGAGCTGAGGGGACATAGTGAGAAGTGACCAGAAGACAGGAGTGCGAGCCTTCTGTTATGCCTGGACAGGGCCACCAGAGGGCTCCTTGGTCTAGCGGTGACGCCAGCATCTGGGAAGACGCCCGTCACCAAGCGGATCATGGTCCAGCGGTAGCAAAAGGTGTCAAGAAACAACACCAGCTACTTAGCAGACCGGGAAAGCGGGGTGGGGGGGGGGGTCTCCCTTTCCCTGGGGGAGTTTAGAGAAGACTCTGCTCCTCCACCTCTTGTGGAGGCCCTGACATCAGTCAGGCTCACCCACAGTTATCCGGAGGCCTAACCGTCTCCCTGTGATGCTGTGCTTCAGTGGTCACGCTCCTAGTCCACCTTCATGTTCCATCCTGTACACCTGGCTCTGCCTTCCAGATAGCAGTAGTAAATTAGTGAAAATACTAATAGTCCCTGATATGCAGAAATAATGGTGTAAGCTGTCTTTCTCTTTGTCTCCTCTCCCTCTCTGCCTCGGCTGCCAGGCAGGGAAGGGCCCCCTGTCCAGTGGATATGTGACCCACATGACCTTACCTATCATTGGAGGTGACTCACATTCTTTACCTTGCCCCTTCTGCCTTGTATCCAATAAATAACAGCGCAGCCCGACATTCGGGGCCACTACCGGTCTCCGCGCATTGGTGGTAGTGGTCCCCCGGGCCCAGCTGCCTTTTCTCTTATCTCTTTGTCTTGTGTCTTTATTTCTACACTCTCTCGTCGTCGCACACAGGGAGAGACCCACCGACCCTGTGGGGCTGGTCCCTACAATGGTGTCTGTAGGGATCTTGTATCTTCTCTGAGGTGAGCTGGAGGGCTCTTTCTCTAGAAGGAGGGGCAAGGAAGGGCCTGAACCAGTGACTGGGGTGACAAGACAGTTCGGGACTTTGGGATGTCACAAATCATTAAGTGGCTCACTGGTGGTGGGGGCAGGGAAGGCTGCCAGTGGGGCCTGAGGATACTGGGGGTGGATTTAACTAAGCTCTGGGGCTCAGGATGAAGGTGCACATACCGGGAGAGGGGTGGAGGTGGACACAGGGCTGTCTCCGTGGCTCAGGTGGGCAAAAGGCTTGGCTGCGCCCCAGGACTCCAGGTAACGGGTCATCAGCAGTGATGGACGCATCTTGAGGCCCTCAAGCGAGGACAGCAAGCCTCCTGCAGTGCCCTTCTCATCCTCCTCCTCTGCCTGGGGCACATAAGGGCTGACAGTAAAGACCACAGACACTTCCTCCTTCTCCCTCCACCCCCCACTAGGACCCAGGAACTCAATCTCTGGCACAGAAGAGATCAGGCCTGTTGGCTGTGGGGTGGTTTGTGTAGGCCAGCCCATGGGGTCTGGGCTGGGCTTTTACCCGTGGATCGATGACCAGATAGGTAGGCTCCCCTAGCTCCCGAAGGTAGGGGTCCCGATGCTCCATGCCTGCGTCCTCCACAGCATAAGCCCCTGCCAGCAGGGCCAGGGTAGCCCCTGTGATGTGCACTCGCCTGGAAGGAGGGAGGCAGTAGGGGTCAGCAGGGAGGGCCTTCAAATCTCCTATTTCCTGCCCCATCACCCCCATGGCTCCTAGAACTGACAAACATCTCATGTCTTTTAAAGATCGTTCCTGGATGTCTGACTTCAAGAAAGAGCCTGTGTTACAGGAGGTGCCTCCCAGCTCCCCTCCCTGCACCCTAGGATCTCCCAAGCCCCATATGGGACTTATCTTAAGGTACTCATCTTGTGCTTATCTTAAGGAACTAATGAAAGGATGGCAGCCTGTGGTAGGCCTGGTTGGCCTTCTGCTGTAGCTGCCTAGGGCCCTAGGTCTCACCCTGGTACACCGCCTGCCTCCATGTGGTTAGCCAGTGTGACATCATGTGACCAAACGTCGTACTGCCACTTCTGCAGCCCGATGACTCCACACAGTACGCTGCCTGAGTGCACGCCCACACGCATGTTGATGTCCACGCCAGTGGCTGCCCGCAGTTTCCTGAGCAGTGTGTGTGTGGGACAATCTGAGTCCTACCCTCAGCCCTGCCTGTGAGACACCCCAGATTCTCACAAAGAGGACTTCTGTCAGCTGCCTGCTGCCCCCCACATCCACCCTCAGCATTCCTCTTGACCACCGCCTGAGCTGACCTGATGGCCCGGCACATGTCCAGGCCCATGCGCACGCAGTTGATGGCATGGTCTGGCAGTGAGAGTGGCAGCCCAGAGACACAGTAGTAACAGTCCCCCAGGATCTTGATCCGCATGCATTCATGCTCCTGGGAGTGTGTATGTGGGTGTGCAGAGGAACCTGGTTAGAGGTCAGAAGGGTAGGAGGGAGTTGGGAAAAGTGGGCAGCGAGCGGGGTATTCCTGAAGAACTTCCAAGGTGGGGTAGTGTCTAGATCAGATCTAGGGACTCCTTTCACTTGATATGGGGCTAACTGTCTTTCATACAGATCTCTTTCTCAGAAGAGTTTCCCCAAGGGCTGGATGGCTGTGGCTCTTTCCACTTTTGGCATGTTGAAGGGGGTACCCAGAGTTGAGTACGTGGTAGTGGTCTCAGGATTGAGAGGTTGGGGGGAATCCAAGAATTGGTTGCTTGGAGGCATCCCTGGAGTCTAAGCAGGTTGCTGGGCTGAGGTTGCATAGGGCAGAAATTTCTCTTGGAAGGGCCTCCTAAGGTTAGAATATCAGAACGTCTCTATAGATTTGGTTGTAGTGTCCAGAGACACATATGTGGGGGCTCTGAGCATGTTTGGGGCATTGTACTTGGGACATCTGTGGCGATATTGAGGGATCTCTGTAGGTTTGAGGTGTGTGGTGAGCAGCTTCATGACTGGGAATGTTTGAGAGGGTTTCCTCCTTCCACTGGAATATCTGGGGGCCTGCATGCACTGAAGTGGGCCTGGGATCTTATAAGGTGGGAGTTTCCCTTGGAAGGGGCTACCCAGGATGGGATGTTTGAGGGTCCCTGGGTGGGGAGGGAAGTCTTCTCTGACCTTGGCAATCTGGTCGAACTTGCCAAAGAGCTCATTGAGCATGAGCACCAGCTCCTTAGGGGAACACTCGCTGGCCAGCCGCGTGAAGCCCACGATGTCAGCATACAGCACGCTGCATAGGGCAGACTGTGTCAGCAGGGCCAGGGTCTTAGCCCACAGGCCCCTCCCCTCCAGCCATTCTTCCTCATACCTGACTCCCTGGTGCCTCTTGACATAGAGGCTGTGGAAATTGTTAGTGCTCTCTGGCCGTGACCCCTGTCCTGCCTGCAGCCGTGCCATGATCTCTGCCTTCATCTCTCGGGCCAGGTAGGCAGGAAGGATGGACAAGAGAAGGTGTTCCTGGAAGAGGTCACCATGAACACCAACTCTTCTGCACCCTAAAGCCAGGAGGCCCTGTCCCCCAAATCACTCAGGAGCCCACACTGCCCATCCTAGGTGCTCCCCAGGGTGCTCCCCCAGGTCCTCCCGCTGCACACAGCAGGGCCCCAGCACTCCATCCTACACTGATCACCTTTAGTGACTAAACTCCCAGTATCAACACCTGAATGGGAGTTCACTTAATATCATAATGCTCTAAAGTGCTTTTTATAAGCTTTGGTTTGTTTGAGCCTCACAACCTTCTAAGATGGGCAATACCCACATTTTATACAAAAGAGGAAACAGGTCAAGAAACCTGCCCAGAGTCACTCAACTTGTGGAGGAGCCCCGTTATGTAATCTAAGCAACTCCTCCCTCGGAGCGCTGCTCTGACCTTCCTAGGCCCGGCTGACCTGGTGCTTCTTCTCGGTGTCCAGCCGCCGGCGTGAGTGCAGGGAGCTGAGTGCCTCCCGGAACGTGGCCCGCAGGGCGCGCTCCATCAGCGCCTTGTGGTACACTCCTGCCACGTTCCCGCACAGGAACAGCACTGCGTTTGCTGCCAACTGTGGGTGAAGGCCAGCCTCAGAGGGCGCGGGACCCGGGTGCTTGTCGTGTGTAGTTGGAGTTGGTCTCAAAGACTGGCTGGGGAAGACTGGGCTTTACAGTGAGGGACCTAACTATTGTGGGACAAGTGGTGCCACACTGTGGCATCCCTAGGGACGTTTCCCTTCCCAGATGCTCCCTCCTCCAGACTCTCGGCTGCTTCACCAACACGACCTCTTAGGTCTGGAAACGTTTGCAGGTAGGTTTCTTGTGCTTGGAATACCACTCCACTGTCGCTACCCACTCCCATCGCACAAAACTTTTTTTTTTTTTTTTTCATTCTCTGTCAAGGTTTCATTAACCACATCTGTTGTCCCCGGGGTAAACCACGACACGACTCCCTTCCGTGTGGCCTGGATCCCTCTTCTGGTAACAGCAGGCATTGCATCACACTGTTGTACCAGCTCTGCGAAAGCACGGTTGGGTATCCTGCGCCCAGCGTTGCACCTTGACTTGGAGTCACAGCTCAACAACCCCCTAAAAGGAGCCTACTAGCACGTGGCAGAGCCGTCCTGAGCGCAGCCTGTGCTACTTGCGTGCTCACCTGCGGCAGCAGTGCAGGCCGTGAGTCCGGCTGTGGCCCAAGATACAGCCCGAGGACCAGCAGATGCGAGAGTGAGGAGGCGAGGCCCGCGACGGCGGCGTCCCGCATGCCCAAGGGCAGCATGGCATACGCCGTGAAGATGACGAAGAGAAAATAGGACACCTGGGGGCGGGGCGCGGGAAGCCGAAGGCCCAAGTGGGGCTATTCAAGGCCTGGTGAGGGATCGAAGCCCGGGCCGTCCCCGCTGCCCCGCCTGCCGCCCCTCTCACCTGGTCCCAGGCGCTCACCACGCCCCCGGTGAACAGGAAGGCGTGGCCTAGCGCTAGCAGCGCGACCCATACCAAGCCGGACAGGGGACGCGTCCAGCGCTGCAGTCGCTGCTCCCGGGAAGCGAGGCCCAGCAGCAGCGAGAAGCCGCCCAGCGCGCACAGCACAGTGGTCAGGAAGCTCGGGTCTGAGGTCAGCTCCTGTGGGCAGGGGTGTGTGAGGCAAGATTGTGACAGGGAGAAGGAACGAACCTGATAAAGGAAAAGCCAGCAGCCCAGCCCCTCAGCCCAGTTCTGAAAGGTGTCTCAAGCCTAAGTACGAAAAGGAGGCAAGGCACCTCCGCTTGCCATTCACTTTAGGTTGAACCATTTGAAATTGCTTGTGTCCTACTGCTTTTATCTAGACTCAGCAGTCTCGTATGGTTTTTGTTGGTTGGTTGGTTTGTTTTTTGAGACAGAGTCTTGCTCTGTCGCCCAGGCTGGAGTTCAGTGGCGCGATCTCGGCTTACTGCAACCTCTGCCTCCCGGGTTCAAGTGATTCTCATGCCTCAGCCTCCCGAGTAGCTGGGATTACAGGCTCCCGCCACCACGCCCAGCTAATTTTTTTTTTTTTGTATTTTTAGTAGAAGACAGGGTCTCGCCAAGTTGCCCAGGCTGGTCTCGAGCTCCTGGGCTCAAACGATCTCCCGCCTTGGCCTCCCAAAGTGCTGGGATTACAGGCGTGAGCCACAGCGCCCAGCCTCCTGTTGTCCAACCTATTATCTTGCTGGGACAGCTACCCAGAAGATCTGGCTCCCATCCCCTATTTGTTTCTGAGCCTCAGTTTTCTTATCTGTCAAACGGGAACCAAAGCGTCATGAAGCAAGTGAAAGATAGATCCAAGCTCACAAGGAGGCACTTCGGAATGAATGTCTCCAAATCTGGCCAATTTGCTCGGGAGATTCCCGGAGCCGGGGACCGCGGCCGGCAGCTTGAAGGGCGGCGCGAGGCAGCGCTCGAGCAGCAGGGGGCGCCAGGACCCGCGGCGTCCCGCACCTCCCTGGCCACCAGGGCTGCGATCTCGCCACCTGCCTCAACTCCAAGCAGAAGCTGCACAGCCGTCCCAGCATTTTGTCCCCACCTCTTCCCGGATTTAGGCGTGGACCAGCAAGGATTGGCCGCGCCCGGTGATTTTCCCACCTTGCCTCCAAGCAGTGAAAAGAAAACCAGGGGCAGGCCATTTCTAGAATTGGATTGAAGACCTTCTTCCTCCCCAAACAGAAACTGGACATGGGTTTACTTTGGGACTCAGTGAGAGCCCGGTGGAGGGTGCCTTCTGGGAGTCTGTGGGTACAACTGCTCTACATCCCCTAAGAGGGAGAGAAAGGCAGGAAATGAATTCCCCAGGGGCCTCCTAGAATTTCCCCTTTGGAAAACTGGAAAATCCGGTGATGGATTTATTGTAGAACCCGTAGACCACGGATGTTCATAAAGTCTGTCAGAACCCGGACAGAAACGAGAAGCATCCAGGACTCAGCTTTCTCCCTGAGCAGACCCAGAAGGGTAGAGTGACTTGCCCAGGGTCACTGCAGTTCCTAGCCAGGCTCAATGGTCCTTTCTTTCTCTGCTCCCAGCAACGAAAACACATCGAAAAGAAGACCCCACAAACCCCAACCCCGAAAATGCTCCCCAGGTAGAGACCCTCCCGCAGCAGAGGCTCGGCTCACCCTGCCGCTGGCCCAGGCCACTGCGAGCAGCGCCGCGAGCGCACAGAGCACGATCCCCAGCAGCAGCAGCAGCAGCGGGTACTGCTGGCTCAGGCTGTAGTAGGTCTCGTAGAAGAGGTCTTCGCTGGGGGGCGGCCGGGGGCTGAAGAGGCGGGCCATGATCTCCCCAGCCCCGAGCCCCGGGGCTGGCTAGGGCCGGGCGCCGGGTTACCTCCTTCGGCCCGGCGGGCCCCACCTGAGCTTTTCTCACCCGCTCAAAGCCGCTACCACCCCGCGCCCCCAACCTCGTGGCAATCCCGTCTCCTTTTTCAGGCCCTCCCTGCGGCCTCCCAGCCCGCTCCCAGCTGGCGATGAGGGGATCCCTCAGTCCTTTCCTCCTCCTCCCTCAAACCCGGATTGTAGAGGTGCCCTAGAAAAGCCTCATCGCCAGGAGGGCAGGATTTGGGGTTGGTGCGAGGGAGCCCCGGGTTCCCCTGATCCCCGAACTCACTGCCCGCGGCGCTGGCGCAGCGGAGTGGGCTAGGTCCGGGGAGGGAGCCGGGGACCTGATGGCGGAGTCACGCTCGCCGCTGCGCTCTGGCTCAGAGTCCCGGGCGACAGGCGCTTCCCTCCCGGCGCCGCGGCCCCCTCCCACTTCCCCGACGGGACAGCCCGGCCCCTTCCTGTGCCAAAGCCGGACTCCCCTGGTCTCCTCCCGCACTTGGTTTTGTCTCTCCTAACACCATCGCCTCCCCGCTTCAGCCCCTTCAGGGAAGGGCAATGTGGACCCTGGGAGAGATGCGAAGGGGTGGGCTGGGGTGGACCCAATGGGATGTGTCCAAATGGAGGTGAACGTTTGGTAGTGGGGAGACCGAGGGCGGGGGGCTGAAGCCTGGCGAGAATGTAGGGAAGAATGTGGGTCCTGGTGGGGATCTAGGTCAGAGTTGGGGGCGCTCATTCTCTTGACCTCTCCGCTTGGCTGGCAACCACTACCACCGGGTTTGAACTGTTCATGCTCCGTGGGAGGGGTTGCGCCTGTGTATAGCTTTAGGAGCCATAGCTTTCCACTCCCGAACAGCAACTGGGAATCAAAAGGGAAGCAATGTCCAGGAAGCAACCTGAGTGTGTGGTGGAGGCAGGTATGTGGCGTCATGATCTCTAAGAGCCTGGGGGCACCGTGCGGGGCCAGGTCTGTGATCTTTCACATCAACTCATCCCTCGCCAGAGCCCTGCAAGTGAGTCTTGAGAGCCCGGAAGAAAAGGGACCACAGCCTCTATCCCCAGAGTTTAGGGTTAGGGTGGGGTCGCCATCCTAGGCTTTAGAGGAAGCACTGCCCTGAGATTAGAGAGTGGTCTGGGGAACCAGGCCTCTAGGATTCCTTCCTGTTGTAGCCGGCTGTGCCCTGACCTTGTGTGCCAGGCCATTGCCCACTCCCAGCCCCCAGCATCCCCACTTCCTGCCATAGCAGAGCTGTGGTGCCTCCCTATCCCTCACTGGCAGCTCCCACCCCCATCCCAGTCCCTCCCTGCCCCTGGCTGAGCTCAGACTGACTAGCATTCCATCATGTTTATTGACTCCTGGGGGACAGGTCACAAAGTCAGTTTGTGGGCAGGCCAGACTGCCCTAGAAGGAAGTCAGGGGCCTCAAGGGGTGGCACTCTTCCTTAACTCGTAACTCTTGGAGGCAAGCTTGGAAGGTGCTTTATTTCCCGCTATGATTATACCAACCCTGTGGCCTGCTCCAGGCTTCAGGATCTTTAGGGCCTTCTTGCGAACCTACTGGTGGGGGGTGCTGCAAGCCCCTCCCCTTGCCCGAAGGTGCCAAGCCCCATGTGGGCAAGGCAGTTGTCTGTTGCATAGTCAAGTAGTTGTTGTCTCCAACTTGCACCCCAGAGCAGTTGTATATGTTAACGAGCGGTCGCCCTTTAAGAGAAATAGTGATGGTGGCAGGAGGGTTTAGCTGTCAGAAAGGCCAAGTTGGGGGTGGGTGGGGAGTATGAAGTCTCTACTTGTCAGTGGCTGTGTCAAGGTGTGCCCTGTGCTCCTCCCCTCAGAGCTCCTCTCCAGAATTGTGTTAGCAGAAGCTCTAGAGAGTGGCAATTGACATTTGAGACCCTGATCTTTTTTGCTGGGAGGTCCTCTGGACTGCTGAAACAATGGAACTTAGGGGGCTCACAGAGCTGGTGTTGTGGAAAGTTAGAAGATTCAGGGACAAATCCAAGCTTTGTTGTGTGACCTCAGAGGGCTCCTTTCTCAGGGGGTGTCGGTTTTCCCATTTATGAAATGAGAAGGTTGAGTTAGATCATCTTCTCCCCTCCCCTCCACAAAGTACCCTGAATCTAGATATAGGTCTGGAGGAGGAGTCTGGTGGAAGAATTGAACAGGGAAAAGAAAGAGGTAGAGAATGGGTACCTGTTACTGGATTTGGCTCCGGGGTCCTGCAGGACCAGTTCATGCCTTGTCTCTCAGCCCCCTGCAAACAGCACAGAGCATCCAGTTCTGCCCTGGAGCCTGGCACTCCCACTGCACTCCTCTCAGCCCCAAGTTTTCGCTGGCAAGGGGACAGCATTTATAGGACTCTTAGTGCATCCCCTAATCCTGTCAATGTCTCACCTGATTCCCTCGGGGTCCAGGACTTGGTGTTCCAGTTGAGGTAGGGCTGGGCATCTGGTTTCTGAAAGTTGAGGTCTCTGGAGTCTGGGGAGGTTGGGCCATCGAATCTGAAGATGTGCCTGCTGTCCAGGCTTGTGGAACCTGCTCCTCTTGTGCCCTGCTCCTCTTGGTAAGGCTCGGGCATTTTTTAGGAACAGAGCTGGGAGGCTCCTCTAGATTCAGTTTGTTTAGCCACTCAGAAACCATGACATCATTACGAGAGTGCTGGTTTTCTATGGTTCTCCTAAAGCCATCCATTTCTGTCCCTCCTTGGCCTGACTCTGGGATAGAAAATCTCCTATTGCTGCTCCTGAGCTGAGACAGGAAATCCTTTACCTGCAGGGATGGGAGGAGTTTGCTGGGTATGACTTGGATGAGCCAGAGTAAACCCAAGGGAGTAGTCTCTCGGTCCATAATCTGTTGTCTGGGAACTCAGGGGTGGGCTGGGGACGGTGGGTACAAAGGTCAAGGCATAAAAAGCAGTGGTCAGTGGTGAGTCATTGGATGGCCAGGTAGCCACGCTGTGCCATCCCTGACCAGCTCCTGGGGAGGGGTGATGTTGGCACTCACCGTGGAGACAGCAGCATTCATATTGTTCTCCACCATCTGGAAGACTTCATCAGTTTTTGGTAGGCATTCTAGAGGGACAGCAGAGTGGAGTGCAGGTGAGCAAATCTTCTTTTCCTGAGAAAAGCCCCCTGCTGACAGACCCAAGCTTATCCTAGATCCAGCTAACTGGCCAGCTCACCCTGGAAGGAGGGTCTGTCCTTGGGCTCACTGCTCCAGCAGAGCTGCATTAGCTCCTTCAGTCCTTCTAAGCCGGGAGTCTCAGGCCCGGCTTGGGGCAGCTCAGCCAATGAAGGCCGGTTCTGCCTGTTGCACACTGCTTCGTACACGAGTGATGGTTCGGTTGGCACTGGAGTAGGGGAGGAGGGTGAGAAGAGAAGGCATTCAGGGTAAAAGGGAATTATCTGCTTCATCATGGAAAGAGGCAGGGAGTGTAATGTGGGGGCACGAGGAGGGAGGAGGGCAGTCTAAGTAGGTGAGCGGGAAGGGGAAGCCTTGGGGCTTTCAAGAGAAGGGCACCTGGGGTTAAGGATCCCAGAATCCTCCTAGAGTCTTACACTCAACTTCTCTTCCAGCAAGCACTGCCCACATTAGGATCCCGAAGCTGCAGGAGACACAAAGCTGAGGATCGGTCCAATCACTGGCAAGACTCCTTTCCTATACATCATCCCCTGGGAGGGCCCAGAGAAGTGTAGGAATCCTGGCTGTGTGTTTGGGCCGGGATCCTTACCTGTAGACGTCACTGGCTGTGGAGGCCTTCCGGTTTACGTTAACAAACAGTTCTGGGGCCAAGTAGCCCAGGGTGCCCCCTGGCTCCCCGGACCCTGTCCCTGACTGTGAGCCTCCCTGAAATGTGGACAGGCCAAAATCTGCCAGCTGCAAAGGAAGGAAAGAAGTGGGAGGTAGGGAAGACAAGGGGGCCAGAGAGCCTCCAGGAACCCCCCTGCCCCCAGAAGGTGCAGGTTCAGCTTTGTAAAGGGAGTGTGGAGGTCAAGGGAAGAGGTTCCCTTGGATGGTAGATCTAGGTGCCTTGTGGTAGGGCTAGGTCAAGGTCTGAGTCTCCAGGGCTGGGTCAGCCATGACTCTTTGGAGGGGCTGGTGGGGCAGCTGGTGGAAATGACTCGTGTGGCTCAGGGCCTCTATCACCTGGTAGGCAGGAGCTAAAACTCCTGGCTGGGCTTTGTCCCCTGGCAGCCCTGTGTCCAGAGAGAGAGGCTACGCCTATTCAATAGACAGGGCTCTGGAGGTCTAGTGTCCGGCGGGCCTGGCTGGAGCAGCTCTGGGGCCTTGTCTTGAGGCTGAGAGGGGTGTAGACCAGCTGACCTTGACGTGCAGCTCTGGGTCCAGCAGGACGTTGGATGGCTTGAGGTCCCGGTGCAGGAGCACCGGGTTCTGGTCGTGCAGGTAAAACATCCCAAGCACCACTTCTTTCAGCAGGCGGCAAAGGAGCGGCCAGGGCCGAGGGCACTGGGACTGCAGCAGCCCCGACAAGGAGCCGTTCTCCATGAATTTAGTCACCAGAGCCGGCTTGGGATCTTGGTCCCAGTTCACCTTCTCGATAACCCCTTCTAGGCGCAGCACGAATTCGTTATCCAGACTTGCCATGGCCTTGACCTCCCTGGATATCGCCTTCCTACACTCCAGGAGAGAGCTGGAGTCGCACCGGGGTCGTGGGAAAATCCCTCCCTTCGCCATTCAGGCCCCAGAGCACAGTGGCTCCACCTTTTTGGCCAGATTGCGGCTGGGGTCAACCGGGGTCACTCACGAGTTTACGATCTTGACCGCCACATCGTAGCCCCACTTCCTATGTTGCGCCCGGAACACTGTGCCGAACCCGCCTTTGCCGACGAGCTCCTGGTTCTCCAGTTCCTCGATGGACACCAAGGGGGCGGGGGCACCGCTGGGCCTGAGAGAGGGGTGTCGCCCACTAGCCGGCCGTGCCGTGCCTCAGCGCTGCTCCCCGCGCCCCTGTGACTCGGCGTTCTCACTGCAATCCCCAGCCTCCCTCGCCGGCCCCCACCGTCCCCGGACTCAAAGACGTTCTCTGAGCGAGTCTGTGGGGCTCTCTGGGTGTGAATGTCGGAGGCTGCGATCGACATGCCACTCCCTACTCACCATAACTTGACGCACGACATCAGGCTGGAAGGTGCCAGGGGGCCTCTGGAAATTGCGAGCCGTAGGAGATGGAGTGACTTCTGGGGCTTGGTCCTTTCGCAGAGAGGGGAAGGGGTCTGTCTGTGCAGGGGTCAGTCTCTAGACCAAGACGGTGAGTCTACTTTCCGGGTTGTTACCCTTTTTCCGAGTTGACTGAACAACTTCCCTTATAGGCGCCTCTACAGTCCCGCCCCTGGGGTGGGGCAGGGGGCAGAGCGAAAGCTAGTGCCTTTCTCCTTGACTAGCGTTTCCTGAGCACCTGCCGCAGCCAGATTAGGTGTTGCTGGGCATTGAGGATGTTAGGGAAGGAGTCCTCACCTTCCAGGAACCCACAATCAACCCACTCCTACAGTCAAAGCCTTCCCTTTTCCCACAGGATTTCCTGCTCCACGACCTGCCAGGCCATGAGTGGAGATGGTGCTTAGGAGGGTTTTATGGTTCTAGGGCTCAGCTCTCTCACAGCTGCCCTAAGATCATAGCCAACACGTATATAAAACTTATCATGCACCAGGTATATATATTAGCTTATTTAATTCTCACACGAACCCTAAGGGGATAGGTACTGCTTTTATTACCTTTCTATAGGTGAGGAAACTGAGACACTGAGAGTTTAAGTACCTTGCCTAAGCCCATATGGAAATAATGGCTCTGAACCATCAAGTTATCCTGTTTTCACATAGGCTTCAGGGCTGTACCACTCAGCTGGTCGTGCAGGTGGCTGGGAAAGGTGTGAAGCATCCAACAATGTAGTGAAGGATCCCTATCTGTATTCCTGCCCAGTCCCTATAGCTGCTCTTGCGAGGCAAGTCTTTGGCATTGATAGGGACTTATATGCCCTTTGAACAGGAGCTCCTGGAGGTGGCAGGCCCCAAGCCCACTCCCAGGGCATTGTGGTAAGGCTAGATTTATCAGCCCATCCAGAGGGTTGGTGACATTGTGGTGTACACTACAGTGGAAACACCTCAGAGCTTTCCTGCCCTCTCCCTTGCATGACAACTCTTGCATGCAAATACCCTAATTAATGTTCCTGACAAGCACATGCTCTGGACACAGTCTTTTGATAACCCAGAAGCATGGAGAGTCTTAAAGATTTAGGGCAGAAAAAAGGTGTCCATATTTTACCTTTCTGAGGTCTGACCATGACTGGAGGTTGTGGGAACCCGATAGGGCCTGCCCTAGGCACTCAATCCTTCACAGGGATACTCAATCCTGTGGGTTGTGCGTTGGCTCTCACTAAAGGTGCTCACCTTGGTACTTGCTTTCCATTTTGTTCAGTGGTCCATGGGCTCTGCTGGTTGAGGCAGAAGTGATCTGTAGTTTTTTCTAAAACAACTCTTGGAGAGCCACACCATGGCTTCTAGCAGGGTCAGTTCATGCTATTTTGGAACTATTTAGGGAATTGTTCAACCGTAGTCTCCTTAAAAGCCAATACATGGCAGATACCCAATAAATATTTGTTGAATTGAATGAATAAATGAACAACCCAAAATATCGAGCCTTTCTTAAGGCACTGATCATCCTAGATGGAGCTCCATACTCAGTAGGAGGAAAGAGGTGATTGGGTTCCTGTAGGGACTGAGGGCTCTCACCTGCACAGTTCATGAAATCCATCTGAAGTAGGCTTTAGTATAGAGATATGGTGGTATCACACAGAATCCAAGAAGGCAAGAAGTGTAGCAGGTCCTCAGAAAAGCCTAGAGTCAGAAGCTGAGAGCCATCAAAAGGGGCAGCCACTCCCTTTGTGATTCTTTTTAGAGAGAATAACCCAGGCTCAGTATCTCCACTTGAAGGGAACAGGCAGAAAGGATTTGGAAAGGTGTTATAACTGGGTTTCTTCAGATTGTGACGAGACCCTGAGAATGAGGGATAAACCACTGTGAAGCACAAAGTTGGGTGTGGTATCAGGGCCTATACTACTTTTTGACTCAAAATAAACAGCCTCTTTAAAAGAAGGAAGAGCAGGGAGAAGAACCTTAGACTAAGTGCCTAACAGGACCCTCAGCTTCCAGCAAGGGGGTATGGGGGTGGACCTAGGCAGAGGCTGATTCTTGGAATTCTGAGCTCTGGTCTTTTCTGAGGACTGATGCCTCTGACCACAGATGTCCCATGCTTTTGGAGCCTACTTGGGTATTTCTTTTTTTAAATTAAATGAAATTTTTTTTTGAGATGGAGTCTTGCTCTGTTGCCCAGGCTGGAGTGCAGTGGTGTGGTCTTGGCTCACTGCAACCTCCGCCTCCCGGGTTCAAGCGATTCTCCTGCCTCAGCCTCCTGAGTAGCTAGGATTACAGGCATGTGTCACCATGCCTGGCTAATTTTTTTTTTTTTTTTTTTTGAGATGGAGTTTCACATTTGCTGCCCAGGCTGTAGTGCAATGGCGCAATCTCAGCTCACCACAACCTCTGCCTCCTGGGTTCAAGCAATTCTGTCTCAGCCTCCCGAGTAGCTGGGATTGCAGACATGCACCACCACGCCCAGCTACTAATTTTTGTATTTTTAGTAGAGACGGGGTTTCACCATGTTGGCCAGGCTAGTCTCGAACTCCTGACCTTGTGATCCACCTGCCTTGGCCTCCCAAAGTGCTGGGATTACAGGTGTGAGCCACCACGTCCAGCCTTACTTGGATATTTCTTATTCCTTCAGTTCCCTGCTCCTGATTGTCTCTAATTACATTCAGTTCATCTCTCCTGTGAGCTCTGGTTCCCTCTCCCTAATTGTTGTAGGGGTAGCGGGTTGTGGGGGATCTATGTGGTCTCCTTGCATATTCTAGTCTTAATTCTTATCCGTTGTTTGATTAAGAGATTCTAATTACAGACCAAATGGTATTAATTGAGGTGACAGTCCCGGCCAGGACTAATTTTTTAAAAAGATCTGCTACCAGTAATTCCACCCCTGAGTATATCCTAAAAGAATTGAGGCCAGGCACAGTGGCTCATGTCTGTAATCCCAGTACTTTGGGAGGCCGAGGCTGGCGGATCACTTGAGGTCAGGAGTTTGAGACCAGCCTGGCCAACATGGTGAAATCCCATCTGTACTAAAAATACAAAAATTAGCCAGGCATGGTGGCATGTGCTTGTAATCCCACCTACTCAGGAGTCTGAGGCAGGAGAATCGCTTTAACTCAGGAGTCAGAGGTTGCAGTGAGCGAAGATCACACCACTGCACTCCAGCCTGGGGGACAGAGCAAGACTCTGTCTCAAAAAATAAAAATAAAAATAAAAAAAAAGAATAGGAAACATGGATTCAAATAGATAACTGTACACCAATGTTCATAGCAGCATTATTCGCAACAGCCAAAAGGTGAAAACAACCTAAATGTCCATCAATAAGTGAATGGATCGGTCCAATACAAACTGTTGTATATACATACCATACAATATAATTCAGCCTTAAAAATATGATTTAACCTTAATAAAATTCAGACACATGCTATAATGTGGATGAATCTTGAAGATATTATGGTAAGTAAAATAAGCCAGTCACAAAAGGACACATATCGTATGATTTCACTTATAAGAGGTACCTAGAATAGTCAAATTCATAGAGATGAAAGTAGAATGGTGGTTTGTAGGGGCTGAGGGAAGAGAATGGAGAGTTACTGTTTAGTGAGTACAGAGTTTAATTTGGGAAGATGAAAGGTTCTAACGATGTAGTAATGGTTATACAATGAAGTCAATGTACCTGATGCCACAAAACTGTACACTTAAAGGGTTAAAATAATAAATTTTGTGCTATGTGTATTTTACCACAAAAGGATCTGCTAAAAATATGATTCTAGTATTAGAAAGGGACATATGAAAATTTATATTAATAAACATTTAGCTGTTTGATTTAACATCAGATTTCACCGCGAAGAAAGAATGTATGTATGTATACGTATATATGCTTAGAAAAATATATGAATGGACAAATAGAAAAATGTTTAAAGGAATTATTCCTGGCTGATGGGCTTATAGGTGATTTTTATGTTCTTATATTTTATAATCATATCTTTTTCTTAGTGTGTGTGCTGCTGAGGTGAGTACTTATAGTCTTATTTTTATCTGCATTTTCTAATTTTCCTGAAATGAGTTCATGAAATGAGTGTAGTAATTCTACAGTTCAGCTTCCTCTTTGTCTCCAAGACATGCCCAGAGATGTAGCAGCTTCCCTCTCCCACCTGCCACTACCCTAGCCCGTCAGTCTATTATTTGCTGCTCCCTCCTGATTTCTTGTAATTGTAAGTAGCCTGCTGGTCACTTTGGTATTTAATGGATGTTATTAGGTCTTGGAGTTTCAATATGGTAAGATTTTGACAGACATAACGTGATAGAGGTGATTCCACTCAGAGAGCATGTTCTGAGTCAAGGGTAAAGTCTACAGTGTGAACTTTCATGAGTCCAACTGCCAGACTGGCTGAGTGGCCTTTCCCTCCCCGCCCCCACCAGCAACAATGATAACAACTGGTCTTTTCCACATGTGATGGTTCACAAAGCACTTTCACAGTAAATCCTCACAATCAAGGGAGGTTGGACTTACTGTCTAAGGTTTACAGAATAAAAAGTTCTCATTTTTTGTCTGGAGGTGAATAGTAAACATAGAGTGATAAGAAATCTCTTATTTATTTATTTATTTATTTATTTATTTATTTATTTATTTATTTTGACACGGAGTCTCACTCTGTCATCCAGACTGGAGTGCAGTGGCATGATCTCGGCTCACTGCAAACTCCACCTCCCGGGTTCAAGCAATTCTCCTGCCTCAGACTCCTGAGTAGCTGAGATTACAGGCGCTCACCACCATGCCCTGCTAATTTTTATATTTTTAGCAGAGATGGGGTTTCACCATGTTGGTCAGGCTGGTCTTGAACTCCTGACCTCGTGATCTGCCCACCTCGGTCTCCTAAAGTGCTGGGATTACAGGGGTGAGCCATCGCGCCCGGCAATAAGAAACCTCTTTTTACTGTGGCAGTGCGGATTCCCGTCTGCCCCCTTCCTTCCACCCCCTGCCGACTCAGGGATGCTCCAGCTCATGGGGGAACCCTTATCCCAGCTACTGAAAACAAACCCTCCACACATGGGGAAAGGTTGCAACTATGTGCAAAAGAACTGTCACTTTTGGGGACTGAGCTATACTCAACTCAGGAAAGTCACCAAACAAACCCCAGGTTTGAGAGAGAAGAGTAATGGGGAGAACTTTCCACTTGGATAGGGACTCCATTCACTGTGGCACCCGCCTCTCCCTATCCTTGAGATGCTTTCTTTTGGGGAGCCTCCTCCAGGGCCCAAGTATTGCTCTTCTCCTTTAGGATTCCAAGCAGGTCTGAAGCCCCCTTTTACTTGCTTTTCCTTAGGAGAGCTGAGGGGCTGATGCTTTCACAAAGAACCACATACCTTTAGCTCTCCTATCCCACCTGCGCTCACCGTCCTAGCAAAATGGAATCCTTGTGCTTAATCTGTTTCCTCACACCGCATTTTGGATCTGCGTCCCAGAGCGTCTCTTTGGCAGAACTTAACGTACTTGTCTGTACCCTCAAGGAAGGGAGGCTGGGCAGGGTAACTATTTTGATTCTACATTACCATGGTGGGACCAAAAAGATTTTGGGCAGCTATAAGTTAAGCGTCCACACACATATAACCGTAATGCCCCTTCTGTCAGTGTGAGTCCTTCTCTCTTTCTTACTGTCTAGTTAATGTCAAAATATAATTTCTGTGCTCTCCCAGCTCCTCTCACCCCAGTGGAGCAGGCCACTGCTTCATGTTGCTTCCCTAGCTGGGTGTCCTGCTGTTTCTTTTTTTCTTTTCTTTTTTCTTTTTTTTGTTTGAGACGGAGCTTCGCTCTTGTTGCCCAGGCTGGGGTGCAATGGTGCGATCTTGGGTCACTGCAACCTCTGCCTCCTGGGTTCAAGCAATCCTCCTGCCTCAACCTCCCGAGTAGCTGGGATTACAGGCATGTACCACCACACCCAGCTATTCTTTTTTTTTTTGTATATTTAGTAGAGACGGGGTTTCTCCATGTTGGTCAGGCTGGTCTTGAGCTCCTGACCTCAGGTGAGTCCTGCTGTTTATTTACAGGGAGTAAAGTATAGCCTAACGGTCAAGGGTATAAGCTCTGGAGTCAGTCTACCTGGGGTTGATTTCTGCTCTGTCAATTACTGGCTGTTTGACCTTTAGCAAGTTACTCAACCTCTCTGAATTTTGGTTAATTATAGCACCTACTGGATTGAGTTGTTCTGAGGGTGAAATGAAATGAGGATGAAAGAACATAGCAAGGCTCAGCATGATAATAGGTTAGACCACAGGAGGCTGGGCATGGTGGCTCATGCCTGTAATCCCAGCACTTTGGGAGGCCGAGGCGGGTGGATCATGAGGTCAGGAGTTCACGACCAGCCTGGCCAACATACTGTAACCTCGTGTCTACTTAAAATACAAAAAAAAAAAAAAAAAAAAAAAAGCTGAGCATGGTGGTGGGTGCCTGTAGTCCCAGCTACTTGGGAGGCTGAGGCAGGAAAATTGCTTGGACCCAGGAGGTGGAGGTTGCAGTGAGCCGAGATTGAGCCACTGCACTCCAGCCTGGGTGACACAACGAGACTCTGTCTCAAAAAAAAAAAAAAAAAAAAGACAGATGGACAGAAAGAAAGAAAGAAGACCGCATAATTCCAGGCAAATATTATATGCCCAATAGGTGATAGGTATTATCACAATAAGCATTGCTGTGTTTCCAATATGAAGAACATATCTGGTTCACAATTTATTTGTAGAGCAGAGAAAATGGATTTAACTACTGTTCAATGAAATAGCTCCCTCTTCCTTCTCCTGAAAATTTCCAGCCCCACCCCTCCGTCCTAGGGCCTTTTTAACAACTCAGCCCTCAGGTCTCTCTCTTCTCTCCCAGACAACTGTTCTGAGGGAGTGACTGAGGAAGGCAGTGTGTCCCTCCCTGCCTGTGGTCTTGAGGAGAGAGGGCTTTAACCGAGGGTCTCTGGTTTCTCTGCTGAGAAGTATTGGATGTCTGTTGCCTGGTGCAAAGGTGCTCAACAAGGTTAAGAGGGTTATGTTGTTGGCGCAAGGATGGGCTTTGGGCCTGAGGCAGCCACTTGGGGTGCATTGGGCTGTGTGTCCTCAGGTTGCCTCTGATTTGAGCTGCATCTGTGGTGAGCCATCCCTTAACCCTGCCAGGATCCCATCCAAGAGGACTTGTCTCTGCCTTTCTCCCTCAGCTGAGAGAAGTGTGGGAGAGGAGAGTAGCATCAGTGCTCTGAGGGCAACCCTTAACCAATGGAGGGAACCAGCCAGTGCCCAGCCTCCTGTCCTTTCTGAGGTGTGTTCTGCAGTTCCTGAGGATCTGCTCTGAGCTCCACCTCAGTAGCTAGCTCAAAATGCACCTTTGTATTGGCATTTTCTCCTTCCCTGACTCACGTTTTCTGCTCCCTCCCTTCTGATTCCTGGGGTCACCCTTCCAGGAAATCTCAAGTCCAGGTCTCAGGGGCACTGTTTTCAGGGAACACAACCCAAGACACACCCTTTGGCCTGTTTCCTTTTCATTGTTTCTCCCCTGAATGTCTTTGTAGCTAGGATCCTGATCTGAAACAAAAGAGGAAAGGAAGGGAAAGGAGGGGAACAGAAAGGAATCTAACCTTCTCAGAGATGGGGCCTGATATATACACACTGGAGCCTAGGATGTGCTAGGGACTCTCTCCCACCTGTCATGTCATTCTAAGTTTAGCAACAAACCTGTGAGGCAGAATATCATTAGCCCCATTCAACGGATGAGAAATGGAAAAGGCCATGAGAGTAGCCAGCCTAAGGTCACACGATGACTTTGTGGCAGAGTGGGGTTTTAAACCCTTATCTATGCTCTTTTTAGCTACTTTCCTTTTTGGGCAAAGTCCTTTGACAGAATCAGAAACAAGAACTTTGAATCAAGTAAGACTATTTTTTTTTATTAAATATTTTAACAGGAGTCTTTCTCATGCCCCCATGATTCGATTACCTCCCACCGGGTTTCTCCCATGACACGTGGGAATTGTGGGAGCTACAATTCAAGATGAGATTTGGTTGGGGACACACCCAATCCATATTAGCATACACTTAACTTTTAAAGAATTTACCAAATCGGCCACTGTGCAGTGGCTCACACCTTTAATCCCAGCACTTTGGGAGGCTGAGGTGGGTGGATCACTTGAGGTCAGGAGGTCAAGACTAGCCTGGCCAACGTGTTGAAACCTGGTATCTACTGAAAACACAAAAATTAGCCAGGTGTAGTGGTACACACCTGTAATCCCAGCTACTTGGGAGGCTGAGGCAGGAGAATCGCTTGAACCTGGGAGGTGGAAGCTGCAGTGAGCTGAGATCACACCACTACACTCCAGCCTGGGCAATAGAGTGAGACTCTCTCTCAAAAAAAAAAAAAAATTGTGAAATAGTTTTTCAGAGTAGTTGTAGTATTTTATATTCTCACCAGAAATGTATGAGAGCTCTAGTTCTTTCATATCTTTGCCATCATTTGCTATGTTCAAGTCCTGTTACTATTAGCTATTTGGATAGGTAGCTCATTGTGGTTTTAATTTGCATTTCCACAATGACCAATAATATAAGCATGTTTTCATGTGCTTACTTGCCATCCATATATCTTTTCTTTTTTTTTTAATTGAGACAGAATCTCACTCTGTTGCCCAGGCTAGAGTGCGGTGGCGCCATCTCTGCTCACTGCAACCTCTGCCATCCAGGTTCAAGTGAGTCTCATGCCCCAGCCTCCTAAGTACCTGGGACTACGGGCGTATGCCACCATGCCTGGCTGATTTTTTTGTATTTTTAGTAGAGGCAGGGGTTTGCCATGTTGCCCAGGCTGGTCTCGAACTCCTCACCTCAGGTGATCTGCCCGCCTCAGTCTCCCAAATGGCTGGGATTACAAGCGTGAGCCACTGCGCCCTACCACCATCCATACGTCTTCTTAGGTGAAGTGTCTGTTCAAATTTTTGGCTCATATTTTAATGGATTGTTTGTTTTATTATTACCGAGTTTTGAAAGTTCTTTATATATTCTGGATACAAGTTCTTTTTCAGATGTATCATTTAAAAATACTTTCTCCCTGCCTATGTCTAGTCTTTTCATTTTCTTAACAGTTTCTTTCAAAGAGCAAAAGTTTTACTTTTGACAAAATCCAACTTGTCAAGTTTTTCTTTTATAGATGATAAAAAATCAAGTTTTTCTTTTGGTGTAGTCTATAAGAAATTTTTGCTTCATCCAAGGTTACAGTGATTTTCTCTTATGCTTCTTTCTAAGTTTTAGAGTTTGGGTTTTATATTTCTACCTGTTATGATTAAAAAAATAGATCTATTCATTTTTAAAGGTTCAGATATTCCTGCTTATGGGTTGTGTGTGTGTGTGTGTGTGTGTGTGTGTACTTCTTGGATTTACTTTAATTTTTAAGAAAGTTCATTTTGAAAGTGTAAGACTGACTCACCTTTGATAAGGGAACTACCAACAGGGAATTTGTGTAACTTAGACCAGGTTTTGGATGGAAGAAAGTGCCCTCCACAAACAGCTGTGGTGTGGAGGTAAAGAGGTGCCCCAAATGAGCAGTAAGGGTACATAAATGACCACTGTTCTCATTTGAATACATGCCTTCTCAAGTTCTTCTGTGCCAGGAACTCTGGCTTAAAAGGTTTTGCTTTGTTTTAATATCAGAAGCTGTGGAATGGTCTTGAGCTACATTGCAACATGATTAGATCTGTGACTTAGGAGGCTCAAGCCAGTGGCTACATGGTGCATGAAATGAGATGGGGAGAACTGGAGGCAGGGAAAACTGCAGGCCACAGTTAGAGCAATTCAAGTGAGAGGTGATGAGGACCTGAACCAAGTTAATGCCTGCAGGGATCGAGAGGAAGAAACTCAGTCTAGAAATAACTCTGAGGTATTAGTAGAAGAACCTGGGGATGAGAGAGAAGGAATATTCAAAGTTTCTATTCTGGAAAGTTGAGAGAATAGTAATGCCATGACACTGAGGTATGGAACATAGAAGAGATACATTATGTGGGAATGGGCTATATTTGGATGTGGACATGTTTGTGTGAGAGCCACGTGCTGCAGCCTCAAGGGATCCCTAGCAGGCAGGAGAAGACAGGAGACCGGAGCAGGGAAGTGGTGAGAGTTATGCTGAAATGAACGACACCAACCGAGAGAGTCTATGGAGGAAGAAGGGAAGAAGGCAGAGGACAGAAAACACTACATCTCCAAAGTCAGGCCAGCAGAAGAGAAACCAGTGAGAGAAACTGAGGTCAGAGAGGCCGGAGCAGAACCAGGATAGCCAAGGGAGGAGAGACTTATCAGACTCAGCTGCTACTGAGAAGGCGTCTAAGTTTGGGTTTCCCAAAAAGAAGAGCCTGAGCTTGGATTTAACAAAGGTAGTGTTTTGGGGAGGGGATCCCAAGAAGCAGCAGTGAGGGAACAGAGTGTGAACTAGGAAGGGAAGAAAGCCAATATGAGGATGTTTTGTTGAGATTGTTATTGTAGGCAGTGGAGGCTCCTTTCCAGTAGAGGCTCCAAATTTAAAGAATGCCTCCCAGAATTGTCCACATGAAGGATGGGAGGCTGGAACATTCATCTGCCAGTGCCTGCACTCATTGGTTGAGGATTGCATCTGGAGGCACTAACTCCCTTGCACTTCTTGGCTGTGTTTGCATTGGAGCTGGAAAGGAGAGGAGTAGTGAGCAAGCTCCCATTGTGTGGGAGAAGGACCTTGTGATGGTTACATTTTATGGGTCTGCTTGGAGGGTGTTTTTGGATGAGATTCAACATCTTAAAAAGTGAATTTTAGGCCGGGCACAGTGGCTCATGCCTGTAATCCCAGAACTTTGGGAGGCTGAGGCAGGCAGATCATGAGGTCAGGAGTTCAAGACCAGCCTGGCCAACATGGTGAAACTCCATCTCTACTAAAAATACAAAAATTAGCCAGGCGTGGGGGCTGGCGCCTGTAATTCCAGCTACTTGGGAGGCTGAGGCAGGAGAATTGCTTCAACCCGGGAGGTGGAGGTTGTAGTGAACTGAGATTGCGCCACTGGGTGACAGAGCAAGACTGTCTCAGAAAAGAAAAGAAAAGAAAAAGTGAACTTTAGGCCATGTGCTGTGGCTCATGACTGTAATTCCAGCACTTTGGGAGGCTGAGGCAGGAGGATTGCTTGAGCCCAGAAGCTTGAGACTAGCCTGGGCCACATAGGGAGACTCTGATTTTGCAAAAATAAATATAAACAAATAAAAAATGAAGAGGTTTAGTAGTGAAGGGAGGGAAAGAGATGGAAGTTAGGTTAAGTATAAAGAACGATCAAGGGAATTATCCATGCTGTCTACGATACCTGCCTGTTATTCACTTAGTGTTGGTATTCGTAATCAGATCGACTGTCCGGGTATCTCAGTGCTTGTGTTCAAGTAATCTTTATTTTACTTAATAATGGCCCCAAAGCAAAGAGTAGTGTTGCTAACAATTTGGATATGCCAACAAGAAACCATAAAGTGCTGCTTTAAGTGAAAATGTGTTAGCTGGGTGTGGTGGCGTACATCTGTAGTCCCAGCTACTTGGGAGGCTGAGGTGGGAGGATCGCTTGAGCCCAGGAGAACAAAGCTACAAGGAGCTGTGATCCCACCACTGCACTCCAGCCTGGGTGGCAGAGTGAGACCCTGTCTAATAAAAGAAAAGAAAATGTAACTTTGGCGTTCTTTGGCTGGAGTTTGGTGCTATCTGTGGTTTCAGGTCTCCACTAGGGGTCTTGGAACATATCCCCACAGATAAGGGGGAATATCGTATCTCTCTTTTGCCAGCTGGCATAGTGTTAAGCGCTGTCAGTAGTGGGTGCTGGAGGAACACTGGAGCAGGAAGAAGTCCATCTTCCTGGTTTTGGTTTGCTCCTTTGCCTTACTCCTGCAGCGTGTGCAATTTCTTCAGTGTACACTCAGGCAGTGCAAAGTGGTCAGCAGTGCCTAGCAGCCAAAAGCTTCCCCTGGCACATTTCTGGGTGACTTCTCAGCCTGTTGCAACTGCTAAGGCACCTCCCCATGAATAACTTGCTTTGGCATCTGCTTGGCCAATTTCACAGCTATTTCAGCCCTAGGAGTAGTGGGTTTTTCTTAAATTTGCTGTTCCTGTGTCCTTTGGAATTCTCATTTCTTCTTACTAGCTAATCCCTTAGTATGCCAACACCCTGTTGGAGTTAATGCTTCTTTATTTTATTTTTGCAAATAAAAATATGAGACACTCCATGAATTTGCATGTCATCCTTGTGCAGGGGCCATCCTATTCTTCTCTGTATCATTTTAGTATATGTGTTGCCAAAGTGAGCACAATACTTGTTTATATTAAACGTTCCTGTTTCAAATGACTGTGTGGTTTCTGTGTCCTGATTAAACCCTGACCGATACAGCTTTAGTCCTAGAATATAGTTCTTCAGGGACGCTAACGATATCCTGTGGTGTTTAACAGGTCCTTCCTCCTTAACAGGTCCTAAATTCCCATTTTTGTTTTCTCAGGACTGTAGACTACTGAAAGTTCTTCTCAGCCTCCTACCTCTTAGGCACTATCTCCTGCTGAGTCTGGCTGCCTCTCACAAATCGATAAATATCCCCCATGGGACAGACCATGCAGAATGTTGGCCTCACCTCAACATGCTTTCCCTTTCTTCTGGGACGTTGGCCCTTCAAAGCCTCCTGCCTTGATGAATTTCCACTGTCTTCAAACATATTTAAAAAAATTTGTACCCAGCTATGCAAAGGCATACAGAGTGGTATAATGGATATTGGAGACTCAGATGTGGGAAGGGTGGGAGCGGGGCGAGGAATAAAAAGCTATATATTGGGTACGTTGTACACTATTTGGGTGACAGGTGCACTAAAATCTCAGACTTCACAATTATACAATTCATTCATGTAACCCAAAACCACTTGTACCCCAAAAGCTACTGAAATAAAAATTTTTTTAATAACTGTACCCAGCTTTTGTAGTTGCTCTCAGAGGGTTGATCTGATGCAAATTAGTTGATCATGGTGAAGTCGGCTAGAGATAACTACAGATGGATAAAATGTTTGTGGAGCAGCAGCGAGGGTCCAGCCGAAGTTAGAAAGCAGTGATTTATTATGGAATCAATCATCATGATTGTGAAACTTTCTCCAGACCAGGAGGCAGAGAAATGCATGCTTGGCTTACCTCAGTTTGAGAAGTGATGGAAAGTTAAGGGCTGAGGAAATCTTGATTGCTTGTGAAAACACTTTTGAAATGGCTCACGTGGATCCCAGGTTGGACAGGGAGAGCACTAACGCTGGAATAGGGGGTTGTTAGTCTAGGAGAATAAAGTAATGGAAATCAGAATTGGTGAGGAGAGAGCAGGGCACAGAAACTCAAGGTTTGGGTCAAAAAGGGGAATTTCAAGGCTGGGCACAGTGGCTCTCGCCTGTAATCTCAGGACTTTGGGAGGCTGACGCGGGTGGATCATGAGGTCAGGAGTTCAAGACTAGCCTGGCCAAGATAGTGAAACCCTGTCTCTACTAAAAATACAAAAATTAGCCAGGCGTGGTGGCACATGCCTGTAATCCCAGCTACTTGGGAGGCTGAGGCAGAGAATTGCTTGAACCCAGGAGGCGGAATTTGCAGTGAGCTGAGATCACACCACTGCACTCCAGCCTCGGTGACAGAGCGAGACTCTATCTCAAAAAAAAAAAAAAAGTGTAATTTCAGAGTTTGGTAGTATGGAATGGAGCATTCCTAAACCCTGGTAAGTGGACAGTATGTTGCGTATTTTAAATTATAGATGTAAGGGTCATTAGATCGAGGAACATAACCTGGAGTATTGGAATAGCCTTAGTCCCCAGGTGGCTGGTAGGGATGAGGTAGAGAGACACCCTGAGCCAGGGGCCAAAGTCCACCAGAGGAGTCCTTTAGGTTGTCAGGTGGCCATGACTCAGATAGGGACAGGGTGGCATGAGTGAATGAAATGAGTGGCACAACCTTCAGAGGAGTTTCTAAGTGAAAATGATCAAGAGTGATTCTGAAAGCTGCTATGAGGCCATGGAAAGGAAAACTCCACTTTCTTCTCTGTTATGTGAAAGGATGGCCTGTCTGTGCAAAGGTTATGAGAGAATGTCCAGGTCTCAGGTAAGGTGAGAGGGAGGAAGTTTTGACTGAAAGATTTGGAGAAACAAGAAGTTACACCAATAGAACAGGGATCCGCAAGGTAGAAGGGGCAAGGTAAGAGGTTGAGATTGTTCCTGGGGAGAAGCAGGGATGGAGGAGAGAAGACAGCAGGCTGCATGATGGCGAATCATGCGGGAGAAGGAAGTATGTTAATATGAGCTAGAAGGGAGGAATAGCCTCCCTCCCTCCCTCTCCCCCTCCCTCCCTCCCTCCCTCCCTTCCTTCCTTCCTTCCCTCCTTCCTTTCTTCCTTCCTTCCTCCTTCCCTCCTCCCTCATTCAGCAAATATTTATTAACCACATGGAAAGCACAAGGCACTCTGTTATGCAATAGGGAAAGACACAGATGAATCAGAAATAGATTCTGCCCTTAGTTTACATTCTGAGAAGTGACATGATTTTGTTTTAAAGACATAACCTCTTTTGCTTGTTTAGTTTGTAAGTTTCCTTTCTATCTATTAGTTCATATGATGTGAATCTCTGTGGGAATCTACCTTTCTTTAAGGAAGCCACACTAATTAACTCTTTATAACAGGGAGAAAATAGAAGAAAGAATAAAAGTTATGATTATTTCTATTTGAAACAAGAAGAGGAGGCCAGGCATGGTGACTCATGCCTATAATCCCAGCATTTTGGGAGGCCGAGGTGGGTGGATCACCTGAGGTCAGGAGTTTGAGACCAGCCTGGCCAACATGGGGAAGCCCTGTCTCTGCTGAAGCATACAAAAAATTAGCCCAGCGTGGTGGCGCACACCTGTAATCCCAGCTACTCAGGAGGCTGAGGTGGGAGGATCTCTCTCTTTTTTTCTTTTCTTTTCTTTTTTTTTTTTTTTTGAGAGAGAGTCTCACTCTGTCGCCCAGGCTGGAGTGCAGTGGCACGATCTCAGCTCACTGCAACCTCTGCCTCCTGGGTTCAAGCTATTCTCCTGCCTCAGCCTCCCGAGTAGCTGGGATTACAGGCATGCACCACCACATCCAGTTAATTTTTGTATTTTTAGTAGAGATGGGGTTTCACCATGTTGGCCAGGCTGGTGTTGAACTCCTGACCTCAGGTGATTCACCCACCTTGGCCTCCCAAAGTGCTGGGATTGCGGTGTTCCAGGTGGCCAGGTGGGAGGATTTCTTGAGCCCAGGAGGTGGAGGTTGCAGTGAGCCAAGATTACGCCACTGTACTCCAGCCGGGGCGACAGAGTGAGATTCTTTCTCAATAAATAAATAAATAAGCAGGAAGAGGAAATGTAAGGGAAGGAGGTAACACTTTATTCATTGGACACTCAAGCAGAAAACGGAACGAAAGACACCACCCTCATGTCGGCCATTGGACAGGTTGGTAACTGGTAGTTTGCTTCTGTTTTTGTTTTCTTCTACCTTGTCTTTGACCAGCCCCTTAGCTGGCTGCTGTGTTTTGTTGCTGCTATACTTAGCAGGGTGGCCTACCTTCATTCTGGAGGGTTTTGAGCACTTGACAGTCCTTCCTATGTAGGCTTGTAGCAATCTTCTGCTAACCCTCAGCAGTGGGCATGGTGGGAAGCACTTAGAGGAGTGCCTGGAGTTTCAGGCATACCCTTTTGGGCTCTACTGCTTAGTAGTAACCTTTTTTCCCCATGATGGTTGGGGTCAATCACAGTAGACCTAAACAATACTGTGACATATTTTTGTTTTTCTTGTTTTGCCAGTTACTTAATTATTTAATTAAATTTATTTATTTATTTATTTTGAGATGGGGTCTTGCTGTTGCCCAGGCTGGAGGGTGGTGGCATTACCATAGCTCACTGCGGCCTCAGCCTCCTGGCTTAGGCAAACCTAGTGCCTCAGCCTCCCAAGTAGCTGGGACTACAGGCATGTGCCACCACGTCTGGCTAATTAAAAAAAAAATTTTTGTAGAGACAGGGTCTCACTATGTTGCCCAGGCTGGTCTTGAACTTCTGGGCTCAAATGATCCTCCCACTTCAGCCTCACAAAGTGCTAGGATTACAGGAATGCACCAGCATACCTGGCCTGCCAGTTCCTTTAATGGTACAAGGCCTAAAATGGGCAGTGGTAGGGGAACCACTCTCGAGTCCCCTGTGCAAGTAGTTATTCCTTGAATTGTAAAATCTCTAGAGAGTCATAGGGATTCGAAGCAAAACTGTGGAGATTGGGTCGGTGACAGCATTTGTAGAGATGAGACCACCCCTTGTGTATTCCTTTCCTATTGCTGCTGTAACAAATAACCATAAACTTAGTGGCTTAAAACAACACAAATGTATTATCTTACAGTTCTGTAGGACAGAAGTTCAACACTGGCCTCACTGGGCTAAAATCAGGCATTGACAGGGCTGTGGTCCTTCTGGAGGCTTTAGGAGAGAATCTGTTTCCTTGCCTTTCCAGCTCTTAGAAGCCACCCACATTCCTTGACTCATGGCCTCTTCCTAGATTTTCAAAGCCAGCAACTCTGCATCTCTCTGTGACTTTTTTTCCCACAGACACAGCTCCGCCTGACTGTCTTCTGTTGCCTCCCATTCCACTATCTTTTTTTTTTTTTTTTTTTTCGGAGATGGAGTCTCCAGCCTGGAGTGCAAGTGGCACGATCTCTGCTCACTGCAGCTTCTGCCTCCCGGGTTCAAGTGATTATCTGGCCTCAGACTCCCAAGTAGCTGGGACTACAGGCACGCATCACTACGCCTGGCTAATTTTTGTATTTTGGGTAGAGATGGGGTTTCACTGTTTGCCAGGCTGGTCTTGGTCTCCTGACCTCAAATGATTCACCTGCCTTGGCCTCCCAAAGGGCTGGGATTACAGGTGTGAGCCACCGCCCCCAGCCTATATATATATATAAATATACACACATATATATATACACACACATATATATACATACATATATATACATATATACACATATATACATATATACACACATATATATACATATATACATATATACATATATACATATATACATATATATATACATAGATACATATATACATATATATATATACATAGATATATATTTTTTTTTTTAAGAGATGAGGTCTTGCTATGTTGACTGGGCTGGTCTTGAACTCCTGACCCCAAGCAATCCTCCTGCCCTGACCTCCTGAGTAGCTGGGATTATAGACATGAGCACTCAGTTTCCCCTTGTACTTTTTAGGACACTTGTGATTATATTAGGCTCATCCAGATAACTCAAGATAATCCCCCATCTCAAGGCCCTTAACTTAATCACATTTACAAAGTTCCTTTTGCCATGTAAGATAACATATTTATAGGTTTTTGGGAACTAAAACGGGAATATCTAATAATTGGGGGTTGGGGGTGGGCCATTATTCTGTCTGCCAAATCTTATTTCTTACAACCACGTATTCTGGTATTGGTTAAACAATCATATATATTAGTCACTAGATGAAAGTACAATGCACATTTAACCTCAGTATAGTATCTCACTGATGGTAAATTAAATGATTACTTAATTTTGCCACTCTATAGATAGGACTGTATGCACCAAAACCTCAGAGGATGTATGGGGCATTTGGAATTGGATAGGGGGGAAAGATTGAGCTTTTGCCCAATGAGACTCCTTCCACATTCCATCAAGGAAAGCTAGATGAGATCCTGAAGGACCAGGTAACAGTTCCTATGGAACACTTTAAAGATGATGAGGAATGTGGGATTCTAGGGCTGAATTTTTGTTTCCAATGGCATTGGATAGCTAAAGGTGAGAGAATAAAAATGTTAAACTCAGAATATCCACCTCAAAGCCCGGAAGAAAATAAAGCACCATTGCCTGGCACCCTTCTCTCTGCAGATATCAGCTAAAAACTGAATTCAGAAATTGATCTTGCACTGTAATCCCAGCACTTTGGGAGGCCGAGGCGGGAGGATCACTTGAGGTCAGGAGTTTGAGACCAGCCTGGCCAACATGGTGAAACCCCATCTCTATTAAAAATACAAAATTTAGCTGGGCGTGGTGGCAGGTGCCTGTAGCCCCAGCTACTCAGGAGGCTGAGGCAGGAGAATCGCTTGAACCCAGGAGGCAGAGGCTGCAGTGAGCCGAGATCACACCACTGCATTCCAGCCTGGGTGACAGAGCCAGACTCCGTCTCAAAAAAAAAAAAGAAGAAGAAATTGATCTTGCAAGTTGTTGAATTGCAGCAAAGTTTACAACCTCACCAGTTTTTTGCAGTGAAAGTAAGAATAATGATCTGGGGCTGGGCATGGAGGCTCATGCCTGTAATCCCAGCACTTTGGGAGGCCCAGGGGGGTGGATCATGAGTTCAAGACCAGCCTGGACAAGAGGTGAAAACCTGTCTCTCCTAAAAATACAAAAACTTAGCCGGGCATGGTGGCGGGCGCCTTTAATCCCAGCTACTTGGGAGGCTGAGGCAGAGAATGTCTTGAACCTGGGAGGCAGAGGTTACAGTGAGCTGAGATCGCGCCACTGCACTCCAGCCTGGGTGACAGAGCGAGACAATAAATATAGTCCCTGTTGAAACAATTTTCACTGTTTTCTTCTTGCAGAGGAGAGAGCGAAATCTGCTTTGCTATTATAGCTCAATTCCTTAGGCTCATCCTCTGACTAGGATAAACCAGAAGGTGGGAAGCAAAAACATCAAAATAAACAGGAATGATGCCCAGAAGGAGCCATGGGAACTTTCTAAGGCAAAATCTGGAGAATTCTATGTGACCATGAACATGAATGTTACGTGGTCATGAATTTAATTGGATCATGGATTTTATCCAAAAAGACAGAACATAATTTTAGAGTGGACCAAATTAATTGCACTAATGGTCTACAATGTATATTTCAAGTGCTTGGCCCACAACAAAGCTCAACATCTGCCCTTTTAAAAGTTTCAATGGGGTCGGGTGTGGTGGCTCACACTTGTAATCCCAGCACTTTAGGAGGCCAAGGAGGGCGGATCACTTGAGGTCAGGAGTTTGAGACCCAGCCTGGCCAACATGGTGAAACCCCGTCTCTACTAAAAATACAAAAATTAGCTGGGCGTGGTGGCACACAGCTGTAATCCCAGCTACTTGGGAGGCTGAGACAGGAGAATCGTTTGAACCTGAGAGGCAGATTTTGTGGTGAGCCAAGATCGTGCCAATGCACTCCAGCCTGGGCCACAGAGTGAGACTCTGTCTCAAAAATAAATAAATAAAAATAAAAATAAAAATAAAAAAACTCATTGGTCTTGCCTTTTGCCTGATGGTCCAGGAGAAGCATAGTTATTGCTGACACTAAGACCTAAGAGAAAAAGTGTCCCTGATCACAGAGTGAGCACTCTGAGTAGTTGCCATAGGTAACCATAAACAACATCTTTAAAATAGATAACAGTGAATCTCACAGAGCTGTTTCTTTTTAACTATGAAAAGAACTTGTTTTGTTCTGTGTAGTACAGAATGAGGGTAATTATGTAGTAGATCAAGAATATCCTACAGTACATGTAAAAATCCTGTGCATGTACTTCGTAAATCTAAAACAAACATTAAAATTATTTTTAAAAAAAGAAGAAAAAAGAATATCCTATAGTAGAAGAAAGAGACAAAAGAGAAAATATTGGTAACTGGAATCTATGGGTAATCCCAAAACCCCATTTCCCTAGTTTGCAGAGGCTGCTAGTTGAGTCCAACAACCTTTCTCGCCATCTTCCTTAGTAATAGATCCTGTCATTTTTTAGCCAGACATACGTCAACTTGGAATAAATACATTTTCTAGCCTCTGTTGCAGCTATATGTGGCCATGTGACTAAATTCTGGCCAATCGATAGTAAATATAAATGGTGTGTGGGGGAAGAGAGTTTGCATTTTTCTGCTTTTTCTCTTCTTGTTGGTTTAAACATGGATGTGACGGCTGCACCATAAGTGGTCATCTCCCATGCAGTGGGATGCTAAGGATGGTGCAGCAGTAAGACAGGAGGAGGTTGATAAGACCATATCTTGTCAACTTTTCAATCGTCAATCATGATCTTCATCAATCTTTGTATCCCAGAGCCTAGCATGGTGTATGGCACATAATAGATGTTCAATAAATGTAAGAGACTGAATATACAGATGGAAAATGGCCATATATAAAAATAGAACCCTGACCCACAATATGCAGCAATTAGTCCAAGAAACTAACCCATTATCTATCATGACCAGCCCAGGAAGCCAACTGCCTAAAAGTCATGCCTGTAATCCTGGCCCTTTGGGAGGCCGAGGTGGTCAGATCATCTGAGGTCAGGAGCTCGAGACCGGCCTGGCCAACCTGGTGAAACCCTGTCTCTATTAAAAACATGAAAAATTAACCAGGAGTGGTGGCAGGCACCTGTAGTCCCAGCTACTCAGGAGGCTGAAACAGGAGAATCGCTTGAACCCAGGGGGCAGAGGTTGCAGTGAGCCAAGATTATGCCACTGAAATCCAGCCTGGGTGACAAAGCGAGACTCTGTCTCAAAAAAAAAAAAAAAAAAAGTCAGACTTGTGAAAAGTCAGATCACTATCTCTAGCAACCAGCCCAGGAATCCAAACAACAACCCTTGCAAAAATCTGCTCCAAAGAGCCAGGACTTGATTAATAACTGACAGCTTTTTAAATTTTTGTCCCCTCTTCCAACTTAGGATCAATCAGAGAAAGCCAAATATGCATTCCTAACCAATCTTGTATGATGCACCATTTCTATAATATTTTTTTCTTTACTCCATTTTGCGGGTGAAATGATGCCCCACTTCTAGTTAGGCCACACATGACTTCCCCATGCCACAGCCTCCAGTCAGGGCATACCTGAAGCCTTCCCTTTGTCCACTATAAAGCTTTCCCACTCCTCTGCCTGCTTTTGAGTTTCTGCCAAAATGCAAGTGATGGTGGCTGACTAACTTGTGATAGAGAGCTCTGAATAAATAGTATTTGCCTGTTTTCATTGGTTAGCCTTCATTTATTTCCACAGGTATTTGCTAATTAGATCAATCAAAAAGTAAAGATGTAGGTAGAGAAATAAGACAAGGTACCTCTCATTAGAGAATTGCCACTCTAGTGGGGTACTCAGACATTAAATAAGTACTTACACAGTTATTTATTTATTTTGAGACAGAGTCTCACTCTGTCACACAGGCTGGAGTGCAATGGCATGACCTCAGCTCACTGTAATCTCTGCCTCCTGGGCTCAAGTGATCACCTGCCTCAGCTTCCCAAGTAGCTGGGACTACATGTGTGCACCACCATGCCCGGCTAATTTTTATATTTTTTGTAGAGATGGAGTTTCTCCATGTTGCCCAGGCTGGTCTCAAACTCCTGGGCTCAAGTGATCTGCCTGCTTCAGCCTCCCAAAGTTCTGGAATTACAGGTGTGAGCCACCGTGCTCAGCCTATGCAGTTATCTTATTATAATTGGGATGTGTGTTATGAAGATCTGAGATGGTAGCTGAGATGTAGAGATGAGTAGAAGGTAGTCAGGCAAAGGGGGTTGTGTAGAAAGAGAGATCTGGGCAGGAAAAACAGCATCTGCCAAGTACTGGAAGCAGGAAGAACTTGGTACATACCAGGAACTGAAAATGCCCAGCACCATGCAAAGGCTGTGCATCAGGTCTTGCTGACTAGTTCCCTAGAAACACTCTGGTTCCTATTCTTCCTGAAGCCTGACTGATTCTCCTTTTCTTTGGTTCTGTGAGGTCTGCCTTTATAATATTCTTCTTTTGCTTAAGTTACAAGAAGTCAGTTTGCGTTGCTTCCAAGCAAACGTCTCCTATTGATAGAATTGCTCTATTACATCTCTTGAATTATTTTTGTTAAGCTCTTTTATTATTGTGAAACTTTTCATGTGTTTACGTCTTATCTCCCAATTAGATAGTATGTATCTTAATGGAGCCACTAAATTTTGGGGGTGATTTGTTATATGGCATTTGTTCACACTTGAGTTCCAGGATCTAGGTGATGAGATCTAGGCTTTTGAGCCTGAGCTTGGTACCACAATGGGATGAGGCTTCAGGGTCTTGTAGGGTGGGGATGAGTATGGGAGGAATGTGAACTGTTCTGACCAGAGGGCAGACTGTGTTAGATTGTGTTTCCCAAAGATGGTCACATGTGTATACCCCATTCTCCATGCTCTTCATACGGTATATCTGATACTGCTTCCACCTAGAGGTGTGAGTGTATGTTCTCACCCCTCCATTCTGGCCAGGGACTGTGACTGTCTGATCAATGGAGTACAGCTATGTGACTTTCAAGGCTAGGTCATAAAAAGGAGGTAGATTCTGCTTGGAGCTCTCTCTCTGTCTGTTGATACTTGCCACGTTGTAAGGAAGCCCAAGCCTCATGGAGCAGTCATGTGTATACATGGTACAGCTGGTTGCCCTAGCTAAAGTCTCAGTCAACAGCATAAACTGCTAGACATGGTGATTCTAGCTCCCAGCCTTCAAGTTCTCCACCAGACATTGCTGAGCAGATAGAAGCCTTGCTCACTGCATCATCTGTATTTTTTACTCAGAGAAATCATGAGGGATAATGATCATTGTGGTTTAAAGCTATAAAGTTTTGGAAGTGATATGTTATGAAGTAATGAATGATACATTATATGAAAACTTGGAATGTTTGTGTTTAACATTTTTCAACTGAGACACTTGAAAGCTATTAGCTTCAATCCTGGAGAAATAAAGACACATTGAAAATAAATTTCTGGAATTTATTGTGAAATTGGGCTTTTATGAATCTCATCAATCTTATCCTTAGGTTTAAGATTTTTTTGCCCTAAGGCCAGGCACAGTGGCTCATACCTGTAATCCCAGCACTTTGGGAGGCTGAAGCCAGAGGATTGCTTGAGGCCAGCAGTTCCAGACAGCCTGGGAAGCACAGGGAGACTGACTCAACAAAAATTAAGACACACCTGTAGTCCTAGTTTCTCAAAAGGCTGAGGCAGGAGGATCACTTGAGCCCAGGAGTTCAAGGTTACAGTGAGCTATAATTGTGTCACTGCACTCCAACCTGGGCCACAGAACAAGACGTTGTCTCAAAATATGTATGTATGTATTTTTCTAGAAATTTATATATCTGTTACTGCATGGGAAAAAATTTTTCAAAATTAAAATTAGCTTTCAGCCATAAAAAGGAATAAAATACTGATACATAAAACAATATGGATGAACCTTGGAAATACTATGCTCAGTGAAAGAAGCCAGACACAAAAGGCTACATATTGTATAATTCCACTTACATGAAATGTCGAGAACAGGCAAATCCATAGAGACAGAAAGTAGATTCATGGTTTTTAGGGGTTGGAGGAAAGGGAGAATGCGGAGTGACTACTAACTAATAGGTATAAGATTTCCTTTTGGGATGATGAGAATGTCTTAGAATTAGATATGGTGATAATTGTGCAACTTGGTGAATATACTAAAACCCACTGAATTGTACACAAGAGTCAATTTTATGGTATGTGAAAGGTATCTCGGTAAAAATTAAAATTACCAAGAAGTTTTCTTTGATCAACTAGGAGTGGGAGAGATCCACAAATCTGTCTATATGGCCTATTGAAGATATGTACATGAAGATCTTTTTTTTTGTGACAGTCTCGCTCTGTCTCCCAGGCGGGAGTGCAGTGGTGCAATCTCAGCTAACTGCAACCTCCACCTCCCAGGCTCAAGCAATTCTCGTGTCTCAACCTCCTGAGTAGCTGAAATTTCAGGCATGTGCCACCATGCCTGGCTAATTTTTTTGTATTTTTAGTAGAGACAAAGTTTCACCATGTTGGCCAGGCCGGTCTGGAACTCCTGGCCTCAAATTGATCTGCCCGCCTTGGCCTCCCAAAGAGCTAAAAATCAATTTTGATAAGGTCATTGACAACTTTGTAAAACTTAAGACTCAAAACAGAATTCGTAGTGTTATTTTTCATCCCTGTGATCGACCAATATAAGATACGTATTTCCTTTTTTAAAAACAAAAAGTGGGCTGGGCTCGGTGGCTCACACCCATAATCCCAGCACTTTGGGAGGCCAAGGTGAGTGGATCACTTGAAGCAGGAGTTCGAAACCAGCCTGGACAACATGGTGAAACCCTGTCTCTACTAAAAATACAAAAATTAGCCGGGTGTGGGGTTACAGATGCCTTAATCCCAGCTACTTGGGAGGCTGAGGCAGGAGAATCACTTGAACCTGGGAGGCAGAGGTTGCAGTGAGCCGAGATCATGCCATTGCACTCTAGCCTGGGCAACAAAGCCAGACTCCATCTCAAAAAAAAAAAAACCCCGAAGTATATTAATATAACTGAAATTATTTTAACCCGTTGCTTTTCCCTTTCTTTACTGTGTGTGCATATGTGTGTATATACACAATAAAGAAACTTTTTTTGTGTGTGTATATATATATATACTGTGTATACATATATACTCTATATATACACAGTGTATACATATATACTCTATATATACACTGTGTATATACTGTGTATATGTATATACTGTATGACTATATATATACATTGTGTATATATACTTTATATACATGTATATCTGTGTATACATATATACAGATGTACAGATATATATGTATACATGTACATATATATCTGTACATGTATACATATATAGTATATATATAGTATATCTGTACATATATAGTATATATATAGTATATCTGTGTATATGCTATATAGTATAGTGTATAGTATATCTGTGTATATATAGTATATCTGTACATATATACATATATAGTATATATATAGTATATCTGTGTATATGCTATATAGTATAGTGTATATCTGTGTATATATAGTATATCTGTACATATATACATATATAGTATATATATAGTATATCTGTGTATATGCTATATAGTATAGTGTATATCTGTGTATATATAGTATATCTGTACATATATACATATATAGTATATATATAGTATATCTGTGTATATGCTATATAGTATAGTATATAGTATATCTGTGTATATGACCTCAGGCAATCCACCTGCCTGCTTTGGCCTCCCAAAGTGCTGGGATTACAGGGGTGAGCCACTGCACCCGGCCTTTTAAAATTTATTTTTAGTAGAGACAAGGCTGGCCTCTTCTCTTCAATTACATTCTCTGTGGCTATACAGATGGTCTCAGTAGGATAATATCCCAGTTGCTCAGAGTGGTGACCTGTTCTGTAGCACACCCTTGGACTGGCTTTTCTTCTTTCCAGTTTCACTTTTTCCATTCTTCTCTTTCTGTTCCTTCTGATTGCTTTTCACTATAAACTACCTACATCCTGTTCTTGTCTCAGGCTCTACTTACTGGAGGAGCCAAGCCTGGGACAGATTCCTGTGTAAAATGTGATGGAATGAATTAGCAAACTTGACAAGGACCCAGGAGGCCTGGGTTCCAGATCAACTCTATTGCTAACCTGATTTGTAAAAGTCACTTTATCTACTGAAAAGGTGGGCATTTTCATCATCATTTTCAGATGGTACTATGGGAGAAGATCTTCCAACCATTTGTTAAGTGAGGAAAAAAAAAAGCAAGAAAAATGCTTGTCACGCGCATAAAAAGAGCATGTGTGTGTGCGTACATGTTAATAAAGGCATACAAAATGGTGGACCATCAAGGTTTACTACATATTTTTGTATAGCTTGAATTGTTTACAAGAAGAATGCATATTAATTAGCTTTATTTAGACCTCTGGGGAAAAGAGAAGACTGCATCTTGTGTAATTAAAAAAAGAAATAAATAACATCCACCTCCAAGGAAGTTGAATGATGCTTGTTAAAGTGCAGAGCAGAAGCCACCAACCAAGGTAAGAAAGCCGGGTTGTGCTCCGGTATGTGCGCTAGGAGGCAGCGGAGCTGAGACCGAGGCCAGGCGGCTAGAGAAACCGCGAACCAAGGACGGGGGGGCTGGGTCTTTCTGGTCGCCAGGGGGCAGAAGTGTAGGGCAACTTAAATCCGCAACTACCCGCTGTTGCCCAGGCTCCAACGCCAGGCCGAGCATTTCAGAAGTCATAAGTTCCATCTCTCTGCCGCAGCCGAGACAGATTGGAGGGTTTTCAGAGTCAAGGGGATGCCCCCCCGCCCCCCGCCTCAGAGAAGCTTGGCACTCTGAACAATCTCAACCACTCTCCCCTCTGCTCCTCCCTTCCCTACCCCCCAACACCCATGAAGGGGAAATTGAGTCATGGGAGGAGAGGCCAGAGTCATCAGGGGAATGAGGGCCGACGCCAGCCCTCAGGGCCTTCCAGATGCTAGGAGGAGGAGGGTTCTCCAGGAAAACAAACAGGGGTGAGAGGGGAAGGCGGTTGGCTGGGCAGGAGCTGAGCCAGACACATGGAGAAACGCTGCCCAGGATCAAAGGAAATATGACATTTGAAAAGAATGTGTGCGTCTGCATGTGCTGTGCCTGCGGGGAGTGGGGCCGGGGAGGGGCAGAGTCTGGGGGAACAGGGGCTGGGCCTCGGGGTCTCTATCCCTGCTTTTCTCGCCTCCGCTTCCCACCTCCCTTGCCCTCTTAGGTACAGGCTGGTTGATGGGTCGAGGTGTTCCTCGTCCTCCCTCCCCGTGGGTTTCTCCTTCCTTTATTTCCGAGATGAAGCTGGAAGGGAAATGTAACCTGAGGAGACCAACCAAAGGAAAAAAAAGAAAAAAAAAAGAAAAAAAAAAAAAAGAAAGAAGAAAATCAAACCAGGCCGCTTCCCCGCTCGGCCTCGGAACATTCTTCTCTCCCCGCCGGCCTGGGCTCTTCTCCCCGCCCCTCCTGTGTTGCGGCCCTGGGCTCGGAGCCGGGGCAGCTCCGCACGTCACTGGGGTCCCCGGGGACTGGGGGGGTGGTCCCCTGGGCGGGCCCGAGGGAGGACCGAGGGGAGGGAGGGAAGCCGCCTCGGCCGCTGCGGAGCTCCGGCCCGTCGGGCCAGCCCTCCCTTCTTTCCCCAGTCCCGTAGAGCCTGTTTCTCATTAGAGTAACGGGCGCGGTCCCCGCCCGGCTTCTGAGTGTTTGTAAACGTCTGACCTGGGGCCGTCGCTTAACCGTTTAGTTGCTGGGATGGGGCGGCGTTGGGGGTGCGGCCCTGAACCGGAGGGATTTAGAGACTGGAGACGCGGCCTCTAAGAGAGGTTGAAACTGTGTGTGTGTGGGAGAAAATGATAACCACCCTCCCATCTCTCCTACCCGCCAGCCTCGCCAGTATCTCCCACCGAGTCACGAATCTCCCATCTAACTCCCTCTCACACAACCCAGGCCTCTCCAAGCCTGACTTTCCCGGAAACTCCAGTCCAGGTCTTCCTTCCTCCTCCAGCCCAGGTGACAGGTGTCCAGCCTGTTGGGGGCGGGGGGGCCAAGGAGGGGGAAGAGGAGGGGAACCCACAGGGTCCGGAGGTTTCAGGCCCCTAGTAAACCTGGCAAGGATTTTTAGAAGAGCCGGAGTGGGATGCTATCGGGTCAGAGATTCATTCCAGACTACAGTTCTAGGGAGGAGGCTGCCAACTTCCCGTGGAGGCTAATTCACGGCCCCTCTGGGTGGCTGGGACAAGGGCAGCGGCAAAGCCTGGCCTGGATCTACGCCCATCAAGGGCTGTGGGCCTAGGGACAGTTCTCAAAGCCTCTTTGGCTCGGACTGCTCCCAGAGGCATCCAGGCTGGCTAAGCGTTCTTCATCTTTGGGGGTCCTGGAGGAATGGCTGATGGAGGCGCTGATTCGGCAGCGCAAAGACTTCCAGAAGGCCCGGGCAGAGTAGCCCCAGGCAAGGGAGGCGGAAGAATAGCCTTTTCCTCTTCCGAGCAACTCGGTGCCACTCTGCCCCCAGGACCCTCCTGGCCTCAGGCTTGGAGGGAAAGGGGAGGAGAAGTGGTTCTGCCTTGCTAGGTGCTATCTACACAGTCTTCAGAATTTAAAAAAGGGTCTTCCGTGGGCTCTCTACCCTGGGGGCCCAGGATGTGGCCCCTTTAAGGCTCTCGGACCCAGAACCTTGAACTGAGACTAGGGGAGGTGGGGGCTGGGCTCTCTGCGGGAAATGATTGTCACAACGGCGGACCAATAGGCAACATTAGTATCACTCTTGAAGGACCGTTTTCCAATTCAGTTTTTTTTTTTTTGAGGGGGAGGGACTGAAGAGAGGACAGAGGGAGGGAGGGTGGGGGAGGACGAGGGGCGCGTGGTTTTCCCATCTCATCCCTGGAGGAGGGGCTGGAGCATCCCCGGCAGCCAATCAGGGACAGGCTGGGGGGGGGACCGCTTTGAAGAAGTTTGGGGGAAAAAAGTTTGGAAAAGTTTCTATAATAACGAGGGGGCTTCTGGAGGGAGGCGGCAGCGACGGAGGAGGGGGCTTCTCAGAGAAAGGGAGGGAGGGAGCCACCCGGGTGAAGATACAGCAGCCTCCTGAACTCCCCCCTCCCACCCAGGCCGGGACCTGGGGGCTCCTGCCGGATCCATGGGGGCGGCCAGCTGCGAGGATGAGGAGCTGGAATTTAAGCTGGTGTTCGGGGAGGAAAAGGAGGCCCCCCCGCTGGGCGCGGGGGGATTGGGGGAAGGTTAGTGCTGGGCTGGGAAGGGGTCTTGGGGTCAGTGAGAGGAGGGCCGGGGATCCTGAGTCTGGGGAATTTAAGGCAGCGAGCCTAGGGTGGGGGGTGAGGGAGTCAGAGGTCGAAGGGAGTCGGGGGGACTCGTTGGCCTGCGGAAGTGAGGCTGGGGGCCCGGGCACCACTTTCTCCTTTTTAGGTCGTGACTGGGGTGGGGGTGGGGGTGCTGTTGGCTGTGCGCCGCCTCCCGGCTGGGCCGCCTGTCACTGAACTGGGGGGCGGGCGGGAACTACGGCCCCAACAGCACCAGGCGCCGCCAGGGGAAGGGGAGGTTTGGCGCTGGAGCTGGCCCCTGGCGGACCGAGCTCTGGCCCGGCCGACTGGACGCCCGGGGCTGGGGGCGCTGTCAGGCCTCGCTGGGGCGCCCCTCCCCCTCCCCCGTCTGGCCGCAATGAGAGGCAGATGGCGGGGACCGAGCCGGGGGCGGCGGCCGCCGCTCGCACGAATCCGCGCTGCCCGCTGCCCCCCTTCCCCCGGCTGGGCCCAGCACGCATCACCCCCTCGGCTGCACCTCCGCCCCTAGATGGCGAGGAGAGAGGGAGGAGCCACCTCCCCTCGTCACCACAGCCCTGACGCCCCCCTCCCCTCTGGCCACGGTTGCGATGGCAACTGGGGCTCCTGCCAGCGCCGTTTGGGGGTTTGGGAACCGCTGCTAATTGGGTTCATGTGTGAGTCGCCCCCAGTCCAGCCCAGTGCCTCAAGAAACACGCCTCCAGGCCCAGCCCCAGCTCCAGCCCCTCTGGACCCACCTCTCTCACCTTAAGACCCACTGGATCGGGTACCCTCGGTCCTAGGATCCAGGGGCCAGTGGGCAAAGGCCTGGCATGCCTGCTTCAATCTCCTCCATCTTCCCAGGTCCAACTCTGCTTTTGTCTTGTGGCTCAGAAGGTCTCTTTGCTGAGGGGCAGGGAGCATAGAAGGACTTGCGGCCTGGCCACTCAAGGAACATAGCCATCTCACCTGCTTCTCTCTTTCCCCCTCTCCCTCTGCTCCTCTTCCCATTTTGACAGAACTGGACTCAGAGGATGCCCCGCCATGCTGCCGTCTGGCCTTGGGAGAGCCCCCTCCCTATGGCGCTGCACCTATCGGTATTCCCCGACCTCCACCCCCTCGGCCTGGCATGCATTCGCCACCGCCGCGACCAGCCCCCTCACCTGGCACCTGGGAGAGCCAGCCCGCCAGGTCGGTGAGGCTGGGAGGACCAGGAGGGGGTGCTGGGGGTGCTGGGGGTGGCCGTGTTCTCGAGTGTCCCAGCATCCGCATCACCTCCATCTCTCCCACGCCGGAGCCGCCAGCAGCGCTGGAGGACAACCCTGATGCCTGGGGGGACGGCTCTCCTAGAGATTACCCCCCACCAGAAGGCTTTGGGGGCTACAGAGAAGCAGGGGGCCAGGGTGGGGGGGCCTTCTTCAGCCCAAGCCCTGGCAGCAGCAGCCTGTCCTCGTGGAGCTTCTTCTCCGATGCCTCTGACGAGGCAGCCCTGTATGCAGCCTGCGACGAGGTGGAGTCTGAGCTAAATGAGGCGGCCTCCCGCTTTGGCCTGGGCTCCCCGCTGCCCTCGCCCCGGGCCTCCCCTCGGCCATGGACCCCCGAAGATCCCTGGAGCCTGTATGGTCCAAGCCCCGGAGGCCGAGGGCCAGAGGATAGCTGGCTACTCCTCAGTGCTCCTGGGCCCACCCCAGCCTCCCCGCGGCCTGCCTCTCCATGTGGCAAGCGGCGCTATTCCAGCTCGGGAACCCCATCTTCAGCCTCCCCAGCTCTGTCCCGCCGTGGCAGCCTGGGGGAAGAGGGGTCTGAGCCACCTCCACCACCCCCATTGCCTCTGGCCCGGGACCCGGGCTCCCCTGGTCCCTTTGACTATGTGGGGGCCCCACCAGCTGAGAGCATCCCTCAGAAGACACGGCGGACTTCCAGCGAGCAGGCAGTGGCTCTGCCTCGGTCTGAGGAGCCTGCCTCATGCAATGGGAAGCTGCCCTTGGGAGCAGAGGAGTCTGTGGCTCCTCCAGGAGGTTCCCGGAAGGAGGTGGCTGGCATGGACTACCTGGCAGTGCCCTCCCCACTCGCTTGGTCCAAGGCCCGGATTGGGGGACACAGCCCTATCTTCAGGTGAGGGTTGCGCCTGGCACTACCGCTCTCTCTAGCCATTCCAGTAGGGGAGCAGGAGGGTCAAGGGATGGATTTGAAGACACTAGTTTCATGCCCTCTGAATTTCAAAAGAGTATCTGCAACCAGCTCAGCAGCTGCCAACTACCTGGTTTTAAAGAGAACTAGAAAAAAAAGTGCACCTCTGGATGATTTACAAGAGGGCAACAGTTCCCTGTGGGACAATTAGAAAAAGCCCCTCCACCCTCCCACCCCTAGCTATTGTAGGAGGATCAACTAGGTTAAGGAGGTGTTCCTGTAGCCTATAGAGTGCTCCCAAGCCCCCGCTCTGCACTGGCATGTGGCTGAGTGTGGAACTTGGGCTGGATTTCAGCCTTCCACTCTGGCCCTTTCAATAGGTGCCAGACCTAAGCAGATTTCCACTCTGTTGCAGGAAATTCCCCTTCTGCATTCCTTAATTTCTAGAGCCTGACCTACTAGCTTAAAAGTATAGCTGCTAACTTGAATAAAATAGCATATATTTGCAAGTCAAATAATTCATATTAAAACTTGCAGTTCTATTCCTTCCACCCTCAGAGAATCTTGCCCATTTCAATAATCTTAAATCTTGAGATGTTAGACTGAGCTGGCTCTGTCCAGAAAAGTTTCTAGGGGAAAGAAACGTTAACACTGGTACCCCTGGGTTTCCCATAGGGCAAAGTTTCTCAACCTCAGCACTGTTAATTCAGCACTACTATTTTGAGCAGGATAATTCTTTGTTATGTGGGGGTGTACTGGACATTGTAGGATGGTTTAGCAGCTTCCCTGGCCTCTACCCGTTAGATGCTAGTAGCACCCACTCCCCTAGTTGGGAAAACCAAAAATGTCTTCAGACATTGCCAAATATCTGGGCAATTACTTGGGGGGCAATTACCAGTTGAGATCCACTGTCCTAGGGTATCAGGGAGCACAATACAGGATAAGTTGTCCCATCTGAAACCCTTAGCTCCCTGGAACTCCACCTATCAAGCCCCAACTAGTGGAAAGGGAGCTGGCTTGAGAGCAGAATGTGCTCAGTCCTAGGTCTGTCAGTAGCTGCTGGCTTCAGTTTCTTTCTCTCTCTCTCTTTTTTTTTTCTTTGAGACAGTGTCTTGCTCTGTCACCAAGACTGGAGTGCAGTGGTGTGATCTCACTCAGCCTCAACCTCCTGGGCTCAAGCAATCCTCCTGCCTCAGCAGGAGTAGCTGGGACTACAGGAGCACCAACTCGCCCAGCTGCTTTTTGTATTTTTTGTAGAGACGGGGTTTCACCATGTTGCCCAGGCTGGTCTCAAACTCCTGGGCTCAAGCCATCCTCACACCATCCCCTACCCCTGCCTTGGCCTCCCAAAGTGCTGGGATTATAGGTGTGAGCCAACGCACCTCAATTTTTTAATTTGTAAAACAAAGGGTTCATATCTGAGGCCTTTTCTGGTCTGAAGCGGCACTTCTTTTTTCTTTCCATCCAGGTCTAGGGATTGAGATGGGCTTGAGAATCCTCTGTATCCAAGTGAAGCCTTTCCACCCCAACCCCTGCGCTCAGAGCTGGGAAGAAGGGAGTTTTAGGCTTGTTGTCATCTTTCACACCTCAAGGGGCTCTGTCCCCTACTTCCCCTTGCTTCTGGACTTTTGGATTTCTTCATTTCTTTGTCCTTTTTTTAGTTTAAAAAAAATTCTTTTTTCCCTTCTTTTCACAAGTGTTAATGTACTTCTTTATTTCTTCTGTGCTTTCCTTTCTCTCAGACCCATACCCCCTCCTCCCTCACAGATCCAGTACGGGCCTGACTGGGGTCTGAGGCTGCACATGATCAATGCTCTTCTCTCCCACCCAGGACCTCTGCCCTACCCCCACTGGACTGGCCTCTGCCCAGCCAATATGAGCAGCTGGAGCTGAGGATCGAGGTACAGCCTAGAGCCCACCACCGGGCCCACTATGAGACAGAAGGCAGCCGTGGAGCTGTCAAAGCTGCCCCTGGCGGTCACCCCGTAGTCAAGGTAAAGGACAGACAGCAGGCCTGATATCCTCTCTCCTCTCCCAGATAGGTTCCAGCTATGCAGACACATGGCACTGCCCTTTCCCACACTCCCTCTCAGCTCTGACCCTGCAGGCAGCCTGGGGGAGGGGCTGGAGTTGGGGGAGGAGGGGTGCAAGGACCCGGATATACTTTCTACTCCTGTCCTTCCACCCCCACTCAGCTCATCCCATGGGACACCAGCCTCATGTCTACTCTGGAAAATGGTGGCCCGCCAGATATGGGGGAGGGTTTAGGCTGAGGACAAAAGTCACTGGGAGTTAAGTTTTCTCTGTATTGAGTTGGGCCAGTCTCTTTGGAGGCTCTTCTGCCTTTGCCCAGCCCACTTTGGGCTTTATTCCAAGAAAAACACTGTGAACTCCAGGCCATGTTTTCTCCACAACGGGTGCCCAGTTCCCCAAGGGATTCCCTTGCAGGATATCCTTTATCTTTCACCATTCCCATCCCATGGTAGACTGAAAATCTAGGGATGAATAAAGGATGAGACGGTGGGGATTTCAATGAGGTGGCCGCTCTCTCCCTCTGCCAGCTCCTAGGCTACAGTGAGAAGCCACTGACCCTACAGATGTTCATCGGCACTGCAGATGAAAGGAACCTGCGGCCTCATGCCTTCTATCAGGTGCACCGTATCACAGGCAAGATGGTGGCCACGGCCAGCTATGAAGCCGTAGTCAGTGGCACCAAGGTGTTGGAGATGACTCTGCTGCCTGAGAACAACATGGCGGCCAAGTAAGTCCCATGCAACTTCCCCTCAGTCCGCAGGCTTTGTACTAGCTTTCTCCACTGGGCCTATGCTAGCCCACTTCTTCCTTTTCCCAGAAGAGGTAGACATTTTTCCTAGGAGCTGGCTTCAGGCCTACCCACCATCTGGAAGAGGACTTTTGGGGTTGGGGGTACCCCAGAGAGGCCATCTCTGGGTTAGAAAATAGCCTCCTAGGCACTCATCGAAAGTCATTCAAGGCTTTGGATGGAGGGCGGGAACTTCCCTCTTTAGGGATGTATCACCATTTTGGCTTCAGCTAGGAGGGCTTGCCATCCATCCTTTGCCTCCAGCATTGACTGCGCGGGAATCCTGAAGCTTCGGAATTCAGACATTGAGCTTCGGAAGGGTGAGACGGACATCGGGCGCAAAAACACACGTGTACGGCTGGTGTTCCGGGTACACGTGCCCCAGGGCGGCGGGAAGGTCGTCTCAGTACAGGCAGCATCGGTGCCCATCGAGTGCTGTGAGCAAAGAGGCCCTGGGCCATGTCTCTGTCTCTTGCAACTCTTTTGTCTGTGTGTGTGTGTCTGTCTGCCCATTCCCTCTGCAGCGTCCTGTGCCCTGTCTGTCCTGGGTAGCTCTATAGAGGACTCAGCTTCTTTCTATTCTAGTTTGCCCCTGCCACAGACTCTGTCTCTGGGGTGGCCCAGAGTGACACTGGACCCTATCTATTCCTGGGGTGCCCTGTGCCCTTGTTTGGGAAACTCCCTGGTCTACCCTGTTTAACCCTCTCTCTGCTCTGGGAGCGGCCCCTTACATGGTGTATGTGACTCCATGGATATTACTGGTTTATTTGTGTGTCTACTGCTGAGGAGGGCTCCCTCAGAGCCCTGTGGCAGTTTTCCCAAAGAGGGTGGGGACAGAGGAGGCCACCCCTCCATGCCCAGCCCAGCCAGTCCTCTTCCTTGCACTGCTCTGCAGCCCAGCGCTCAGCCCAGGAGCTGCCCCAGGTGGAGGCCTACAGCCCCAGTGCCTGCTCTGTGAGAGGAGGCGAGGAACTGGTACTGACTGGCTCCAACTTCCTGCCAGACTCCAAGGTGGTGTTCATTGAGAGGGGTCCTGGTGAGTACCTGCTGGGGAGGGGAGGGCAGGCAGGGAGAGCTTGGGAGTGGCAGGTGAAACATCTCTGGCATTGTCACTAAACTGGCCAGTGGAGCCTCAGTTTTTTTATTTGTAAAATGGGACAGACAGACTACCCTTTCTATTATACTGTCTGCTTTCCATGTGGGATGGGTATGACAGCAATCTAAAATGTTGAGGATGCTGAACAAATGGAAGCAATGCACATTCTGTCTAATAAAGAGGAGTCTGCTTTGAGATAATTTACCCCCATGTAGATAGGGTATATGAGGAGAAGGGAAGAGGTGATTTACACCCTCACAGCTGCCCGCTGGGCCCCTCTTGAGTTATGGGCAGTGATTAACAGAGCCTGTTAGGTGCCCCAAGATGGAGCTACAGGAGTGGAGGAAGGGAAGACTGAGGGTTTGAGTTGCCAGCACCAACCTGAGGCCTTTGCCCTCTCCAAACGCTGCTCACCAAGAGCCTCAGTCCCTATATTCTTTTTTTTTTGGTAGCAGGATCTCACTTTGTCACCCAGGGGAGTGCAGTGATGCTGCAATCACGGCTCACTGCAGCCTCAACCTCCTGGGCTCAAGCAATCCTCCAAAAATATTCTGTGTAGAGACAGGTTCTCCCCATGTTGCCCAGGCTGGTCTCAAACTCCTGGACTCAAGTGATCCTTCCACCTTGGCCTCCCAAGGTGGGAGTGGTGGGTTCTGGGATTACAGGCATGAGCCACTGCCTCTGGCCCCTATATCCAAATTTAGCATCCTGGGACCATGTCAGAGCTTCTCCAGAGGTTCTAGGTCATGATACTTGGGGGTCTCATTGCGTTCTGTCGAGCTAGGACCCTTTCCTACCTTTGGTCTTCCTTCTCAGCATTATCATGGGAAAGGATGTTTGGAGCTGGGTGGGAGGGCTCAAGGGTTGCTTCCGTTACTGACTCCCTCTGGTTTCTGGGCTGGCCCTGCCATTTCCCTTGGTCTCAGTTTGCTTCCCTATACCTTGAGGACAGTTTTAAACCCTACCTCTTCCACTCATATTAAGTTAACATGCAGTGGGCTCCTCTGTGTGTCAGACCTTCTAGGGCCTTCTGAATTTGGCCTTGGCTCTAACAGGAGGGGAAATGGCAGAGAACTAGGGCAGGGGACAGGGGCGCTGGAGTTGGGCTGCAGCTCTCTGTTCCCTCTGGACAGATGGGAAGCTGCAATGGGAGGAGGAGGCCACAGTGAACCGACTGCAGAGCAACGAGGTACCAGTGTCACTTGGATACCTCCTGGGGGGCGGGGGTGGGAGAAGGCAGGGGATTCTCAGCTGGGTCCTCTTGCTCAGGGGAGTGGACTTTTCTGGAGGAGGGAGACTGGCCATTCTGTAAGCAGGTGCATCTCTAGGGAATGAACTTTGCATCTTAGAAAATGGAGAAGGCTAGGAGGTGGAGTCTGGGCCCCTGGAAAGGCTGGGCTAAGCCCAGATGCCCGAGGGCTCCCTGCCTCATTTTTACTCTTCCCTAGGTGACGCTGACCCTGACTGTCCCCGAGTACAGCAACAAGAGGGTTTCCCGGCCAGTCCAGGTCTACTTTTATGTCTCCAATGGGCGGAGGAAACGCAGTCCTACCCAGAGTTTCAGGTTTCTGCCTGGTGCGCTCTGGGACAGCCCATGGTGGGGGTATAGGGATATGGGGAGCTGGAGCAGGAGCAGAGGGAAGCAGTACTCATCATGAGGGGCCAAGGGGTGAATGGAACCTGGGAGGAGCAGGCAGCTGGAAGGTGTGCAGTGGGGAGACTACCAGACCTCTCACCAGCATGTCCTCCCACTTCCTGTCTTCCCAGTGATCTGCAAAGAGGAGCCCCTACCGGACTCATCTCTGCGGGGTTTCCCTTCAGCATCGGCAACCCCCTTTGGCACTGACATGGACTTCTCACCACCCAGGCCCCCCTACCCCTCCTATCCCCATGAAGACCCTGCTTGCGAAACTCCTTACCTATCAGAAGGCTTCGGCTATGGCATGCCCCCTCTGTACCCCCAGACGGGGCCCCCACCATCCTACAGACCGGGCCTGCGGATGTTCCCTGAGACTAGGGGTACCACAGGTTGTGCCCAACCACCTGCAGTTTCCTTCCTTCCCCGCCCCTTCCCTAGTGACCCGTATGGAGGGCGGGGCTCCTCTTTCTCCCTGGGGCTGCCATTCTCTCCGCCAGCCCCCTTTCGGCCGCCTCCTCTTCCTGCATCCCCACCGCTTGAAGGCCCCTTCCCTTCCCAGAGTGATGTGCATCCCCTACCTGCTGAGGGATACAATAAGGTAGGGCCAGGCTATGGCCCTGGGGAGGGGGCTCCGGAGCAGGAGAAATCCAGGGGTGGCTACAGCAGCGGCTTCCGAGACAGTGTCCCTATCCAGGGTATCACGCTGGAGGAAGGTGGGTGTGGGACTGGGGGCTGTGAGTGTGAGTGTGTGCAAGAGATTGCTCTGCATGTTTGCTGAGGGCTGGAGCTGGGCTTTTCAGAGATCGGGCATCCCTGGTCTCTCAGGGCCAGTTGGAGGTTCCCAGGAGGCATGTTCTTGATGCCTGTGGCTGCCTGAATCCAATTAACTGAATTCTGAAGAGTGCATGGGGTAACTGTCTCAGCCTTTCTCCTGTCTCTGCCTCTGTCCTCTGCTCCAAATCATAAAATCTCAGAGCTAGAAGCACTTTCAAGATCATTCCATCCAGCGCATTCAATTTGCAAGTTTAGGCGTTGAGTTCCAGAGAGGGATGGTAGCTTGCTGAGGTCCCAGTCAAGCACACTTGCCATTGCCTCAGCTTTCCCCTAAACACGGTGTCTGTGGTCAGGGTTGGTGAGGAGGAGCTTTCCTGTTTTGCCTCTCCTTCTTCCCATTGGCTACACCCATCTCTGGCCCTGCTGATACCGATTCCCCTGACATTTCAGGCTAAGCCAGCAGGAAAGGGCTAGGACGGGTGCCTGGGAGCCCACATGGAGGGAGTTGGGCAAGATTTGATTCGGAGCAGGTGTCAAGACGTGTTGGGGAAACTGAGGCCCAGTGGAATAGAAGCCAGTAGAGGAGGAATCTAGAGGCCTCCTAGATTAAGACCTGCCTGGAATGGATTGGGGGTGGGTCTTTGGAAAAGGAGGGGACCCACCTCTAGCCCAGTCTCTCAACTGCCCCTCCTTTACAGTGAGTGAGATCATTGGCCGAGACCTGAGTGGCTTCCCTGCACCTCCTGGAGAAGAGCCTCCTGCCTGAACCACGTGAACTGTCATCACCTGGCAACCCCAGCCCCAGCCTCAGCCCTGCCCCCTTTCCCTCCTTCCTGGAGTGGTGGCTACAGAAGCTTGGGGCCAACCCTGGCTCCTCTTTCCCCAGCTTCTGTCTGTCTCACTGTCTTCCCTCCCCTCCCCCAGCTGAGGTGTGGCCCTCAGGCCTGGTGCTGCCTTGGAGGGCTGGGGGAAGGAGTGTGTGGAGGAGGGAGGAGGGTGAAGACTGAGGCTAGGTGCCAGAATGGACTGGAGTGAAGGCGTGTCTAGAGTGTGGGCTGGCTGTTGTGCTGGAAAGCTGGGGACAGGTTGATGGTAATAAACTGCTCAATGACCAGTGCTTCAGGCTCCAGAGCTCTTTGGAGAGATGGGTTGGGGCAGCTTACTCCAGCCCTGGCCCAAGGAGGCCCAGAAGTTGGAAAGAGATGGAATGTGGCTGGGAACATTGCATCCCAAAGAGCTTCTCAGTGGAGGAGGCTGGGGAAGGCATGAGGGGGCTCAGAGGCTCCTTGACTGGGACCAGGATTGGGGGCCAGGGCTTGAGTAGGCCTCTCCACTCTCCTCCTTGGGGGTCCAGATTCCTTAGGAGCTTTGGGATGAGGCCCAGGAGGCTGCATTTTTCCAGGTCCTTAGTCTTGCCACCACACAGATGATTCTGATTCATAGCCAAGATGAGGACACACTGATGTAGCTGATCTCTCATTTACAGAGGAGGATTCTAAAGTTCAGAGAGGGAAAGGGGCTTGCCTGAGGTCACGTAGATAATCAGCAGCACATTGAACGCTGCACTCCTGGGCTCCTGTCCCCAGCCCCCATTCAGACACGCTGACTCAGGAGGTCCAGGCCTCTAAGGCTTCTCTCCCTGGAGTGAGGGTGGAGGTGAGGGAGAGCTGGCACAAGCCCTCCCTCTGGATCCTCCACTCCTGGGGATTATGAAGATATTCTGGAAAGATTTGTGCTTCAGAGGTAGACTGCAGAAAGCAAACAGTCTACCCAGCAGCTCTGAATGTCACCTGCCCTGGGGCTTACAGCACTATATGAGTTCCTGGCCTATCCTGCAAATATGCCCATGCTGGCCTTCTAAATAGCTGGTACATCCATCACCACTGACGGGCCTGGCCTGGAAACCTGGTTTGTCCCCTGTCTTGATGGCCTACGAGAGGCCAAGTTCCACTGGGCTGGGAAAAGTCACTTTGTCTGTCTTGTTCACCTGGAGCCTGACACACCGTAGGTACTGAGTACAAATAGCTTGATTTGGCTAGGCTTGGCTGCAGGGGGACGTGCCTAAAAGACATTCCGGGCATTTGCACTTGGGAAACTTGCCTCACCTTCAGGCTTGTGGGGCCTCTCTATGCCCAATGAGTCCAGGCAGTCCTAGCAAGTACTCAGGAGAGCAGGGGTGGGTGTGACAGAGGCTGGCTCTGGATTGGGGGACAACAGAACCAGAGTAACTCCTCGCCTGTTGCTGCTTTGCAATGAATTTCCTTTACCTTTCTGGAACACAAGCTGCTGTGAACCAAACTGATATCAAGTGATTAGCTCACCGGGCCTTGGTTGCTTTTCAAAGATCCCCTTCAGCCCCCTGCCAGAGTCACTGCCCCATAATCACCATGTCAGAAGGGACCCTAGGGCATTCGTGTCCTATTTATCAATCTTCAGCACCACCTCTAAGATCTCTGAGAGAGGGTGGATCAGCCTCTGTGTAAACAAAAAGCTGTTAGGACTTGTTGCCTCTCAAGGTGGACTATTCTGTTTTCTGCCAGGACACTGCCATTCATGCATTGTCAGATATTTATTAAACAGCAGCAAAGTGCCAGCCAATTTGTCCTGGAGGAATTCATAGCCTCATGGGGCAAAAGTAAATAAACAGCTTATTACAATTCAACAATTCAAACTCAATATTTTTTGTACAGAGAGTACATTAGACCTTGAGGAGTCAGTGAACAATGTGTGTGTGTGTGTTTGTGTGTGTGTGAGAGAGAGGGAGAGATAGAGAGAGAGAAAGAGAGAGAGAGAGACAGAGAGAGAGGGAGAGAGATGGGGTCTTGCTCTAGTGTCCAGGCTGGAGTGCAGTGGCAGGATCGTAGCTCATTGCAGCCTCAAATTGCTGGGCTCAAGCTATCCTCCGGCATTAGCCTCCCAAAGTGCTGGGATAATAGGCATGAACCACTGTGCCTGCCTTCAGTGAACAACTTTTTTCTTTCCCTGCTTGCTCGTTCATCCACCGCCCCCCTCTCGGGTAGTGGACTCCCCACCAAGGCACGCAACCCCATCCACTCCGTCCCACAATGAACAATTTAAGTATGAGATGCAGAGGGAACAGAGGAGAGGCATTCCATCCAGCTGTGGGGGTTGCAGGGAACTTCAGGGGTGACTTCTAAACTGGGACGTGAAGATGATAAGCTAAGAGTAGGGGAAGGGCAGGCCAGGCAGAGGGACCAGAAGAGGCAAAGTCCTGGAGGGGAGTGGCAAGGAAGGAAGGCTGACCGATCTCTAGGGCCTGGTATATCTGGAGAACTCTGAAAGGTTCCACTTCGAGGGTGGGAAGGCAGGTGAAGTTCTGGAAGTGGGGGGCTATAAGAAGGGATTGCGGAGGGAAGCCAGGCTGAATTCTGAAGGACCTTATAGGCTGCCAGGGCATTTAGAGTTTTCTAAGGATGATGGGCACTCTCCCACTAGACTGTAGGCCTTCGGCCGTGAGTGATGTAAGAGATTTGCCATAAAGTTCTTCCTCACATTGAGCTCACACCTGCTTCTTTGTGACTGCTCTGTAAGGGGCTCGTTATGCCCTCTGGGCCCACACTGTTTCAGGCCTAACCCCTCTTCTCTTTGGAATCCTGATGTGGGTCGGCCTCCTGGCGCCTTTGTGTGTAGTCACTCTGAGACTGGGGTCATTGTCTTCTCCCAGGCTCTCTACAGACATGTAGCTTCCTGAGGCTGTAGTTAGGAGAGAGAAGAACGAGGCTGGGTCTCCAGGTGGTGTCAGAAAAGACCTTCTTGGCCCAGGTCTGAGGATTACTTGTGTTTGAACCACTAAGGAGGTTTTTGTTTTTGTTTTGTTTTTAATACAGATTCCTAGGCAACACTTAACCTCCTTGGGAGGGAGGGCTGGACCCAGGTATCTGCATATTAATGAATACCTTTGGTGATTCTTCAGCACAGGAAAGTTCAAGTACTAGAGTCACCTGCCAATTGTCATTCCTTCCCATTCCAGACTCCAAAATAGCCCACTGCCCCGGTCTCTAAATCTTGTCTAGGCTGCCCTGGGTAGAGAGTCAGCTGGTGAAGAGGAGGAGATGGGCACACAAAGTCCTCACATTGCAGTTCATCCTTCCCCTCACCTGGCTCTGTCCTGCTAGCTAGAGAATCTGAGGATGGTCTCAGGCACAGCCTGAAGCCCCAGTACAGGAGCATCTGCCCTCTGAACTTACTGAGTCTCCTTCTCTGGCTGGAACTCTGGGCCTCCACGATGCTTTGGGGAGTGGCGTGTTGTGCAGCTTTCCATTGGGGTTTGGGATCTGCTTGGATTGAGTTCTGTGATGCCTTGGAACCCACTGCTGGACTTTCTACATTGTCATGGAGAGGAATTCCTGGAAATTCCAGATGCAGAAAGTGCACAGGGGTTTGGCTGCTTTTTTGGGAGCCTGTTTTAATGGCCTCAGTGTCTTGACTGTTCAGGTAGCCAATTCCCCACAAAGTGCTGCAGGGCCCCTGCTCTGTGCCAAGCCCTGTGCTAGGCTCCAGGGACATGCATCTCACTGCGGCCTTGACCTGGAAGAGCAGACTCTCTCTCATCACTAATGAGAGAGACCTTCCTGCCTAGAGACTGAGGTGAACAGAGCAATGAGTAATGGTGGGGAAGTCCCTGCGGCTTTGGGATGTCAGAGAAAGGCACTGAATCTGTCCTCTCTCGCTGCTTGTGTATCTCTTGTAGTAACAGTAGACAATTACGTTTTGAGATAACCTGTGAGTCCATCCCTTATGGTGGGAACATGACATTCTCTGAAAGGAACAGATGGTCCCAATGTTCATTCTACTGGAATAAAGAGCGTCTGGGGTCAGGAAATGGGGATTTGTTACTGAGGCCTTGGGTAGAGTTAGAGGAAGCATCTCTCTGTACTTCTCTCTCCTGGGCGTGAACCCTGAGGGCACTAGTTAGGCCAGGCTGTTCCCAAGCAGCCCCCACCAAGGTGAGGGAGAATCCTGGCAGGGCCGGGAGCCAAGGGCCAAGTGGCAAGGAGGCAGCTCCATTGCTGGGTGGCGCTCTACTTTTATGCTCCTTTGAGCAATTCCTTTCAGTTCTTCCTGGATGTCTTACTTTCCTAGGGCTGCTGAACCAAAGCACCACAAACCGGGTGGCTTAAAACAACAGAAATTTATCGTCTCACAGTTCAGGAGGCCAGCAGACTGAAATCAAGCTGTTGGCAGGGTCGGTTGCTTCTGCAGGCCCTGAGGGAGGATCTGTTCCATGCCTGTCTCTTAGCTCCTGATGGCTGCTGGCAGGCTTTGATGTTCCTCAGCTTGTCGAACCATCACTCCAATCTTGGCCTCTGTTGTCACATGGCTGTTCCCTATGGCTCCTCTGTGTCTGTGTCCAAATCTACCTCCTTTCTCTTATAAAAGACACTGATCATTGGATTTAGGGCCCACCCTAATCCACTATGACCTCATCTTAACTTGAATACATCTAGAAAGACCCTGTTTCCAAATAATGTCACATTTACAGGTACTGGAGCTCAGGACTTGAACATATCTCTTTTGGGGACCCAACTGAATTCCCTACACTGGGTTTCCTGCAAAATTTTGTCAGTCATTATGATCTCAATTTTGCTATGGAAGGTTAAGTAAAAGTGCCCGTGTTTGAGTCCAAGTAGTGAAGGGGAGAACATCGTCTTCTGATGCCAGCTTGGTAGATGCAGCCATAATTCATGGGATTCCCAAGGGAAAGGTGACTTTTGAAGGAGGAAAAAGTAGGAATTTGAGGCCCAAATCCTCAAGAAATTCTTCCTGTCCTGCTGCCCTTAGACAATCTTGGTGTTATTTTATTTGGGATGCTGGCCGACTGTAGATTTACTTACAACTACATTTCCAAACTGGAAAGAGTTAATAAGATGAAAAAGGAGTAAGTCATTACATGAGGATGGGATTCTTCATGAGTATTGTATATTAAAAGCTCTGAGGAGTCCTCTGAGAAATCCCATTAGCTGTTTAATCCAGTGTTTCCCAAACTTACTTAATCATGATGCTCTTTTCTGTAGGACAGTACTGTGTTCATTAATTACTCCCATGTAACACATTACCCCATAACGTAGTGGCTTAGAACAACAATGAAAAACTATTTCTCAGAGTTTCTGGGGGTCAGAAACTTGGAAGTAGCTTGGCTGAGCAGTTTTGGCTTGGTATCTTTCATGAGGCTACAGTCATTGGAAGTGTTGCTGGGACTGGAGGATCCATATTCTAGGTGGCTCAGTCACAGGGCTGGCAAGTGGGTGTTGGCTGCTGGTGGGAGGCCTCAGTTCTTCACCCTCTGGGCTCTCCACAGGGCTGCTTGTGTGTCCTCATGACATGGCAGTTGGGGCTTACCCCACCGTGAGCTACCCAAGAAGCCAGGGTGGAAACTTCATAACCTTCCCTTGGAAGGAACTGTCACCTCCACCATACCCTATTAATCACACAGACCAGCCCTAATTCAGTGTGGGGACACCAGAAGGTGAAGGTCATATGGTGCTATCTTGGAGGCCGAGTGCTACATTAATTAATTCACTCAACCAATATTAACCAGTACCTAATAGTGCCAGGCACTGTTCTAGACACTGAGGATACAACAATGAACACAACAGACATACACTTGTCTCCATGGAGCTCACATTCTAGTGATACTTCATTCAATGCTTGAGACAATTTGGGAAATGCTGTTTCACAGGTATTTGGAACAGTAAGTGAGAATTGTGAATACAGAATGATAAATGTGGCCAGGTGCAGTGGCTCACGCCTGTAATCCCATCACTTTTGGAGGCCAAGATGGGCAGATCGCTTGAGCCCAGGAGTCTGAGACCAGCCTGGGCAACATGGCAAAACCCTGTCCCTACAAAAAATACAAAAATTTGCCAGGTGTAGTAGTGCACGCCTGTAGTCCCAACTACTTGGGAGGCTGAGGTGGGAGGATCACTTGAGCCTGGGAGGCAGAGGTTGCAGTGAGCCAAGATGGTGAAACTGCACTCCAGCCTGGGTGACAGAGTGAGGCCCTGTTTAAAAAAAAAGAAAAAGAAAAAAAGATAAATGCTAAAACAGGAGAGAAACTCACAATATCAAGGGAATGAGGTCTCCTGACATAGGCTTGGAGAGTGGTCAGGGATGGTTTCCTGAAAGAGGTAGACGTGAAGTTAGCCAATCACAGGAGGAGTGGGAAGAGGAAAAGTGTTGCAAGCAGATGGAACAGCATGTACAATGCCCCAAAGCTTGATACAGTTGGAGAACGAAAGTGGCAGGAGCATACTATGTGTGTATATGTGTTATGTGTGTGCTCGTGCATGTGTGTGCCTGCCCATGCATGTGAGGTGGGGAGAAGAGGTGAAAGATGAGGTTAGATGAGGTAATTTGCTGTGGGAGGGGAGGCACAGAGATGTCAGTGATGGCATCCATGTGCCTGGTGTCAATCACAGTGATAGAGTATAGACGGGGAGAGAAGGGAGTGGAGAAAAGGAGTAAGAGAGGTTTGGGTTGGTTATGAAATGAAGAACTCAGTTTTGTTCACACTGAGTACAAGCCATCTTTGGGGTTGTCAAGAGCCTGTTACAGGTTAGCAATTCCGCAACTGCTTTCTATGCATACCAGTGTTGAACAAATAAGTAAATAAACTGTCGCTAGTGGGAGGCAGGTTTCTCACTGTCACAGAAAGAAGAGGGGTGTTAGGATGGTGGTGGTGCTGGATTTGAGCTGGAGATATCAGCATGAATTCATGTGCATTTTAATACATATATGTACACTCAATAGTATAGAATATCTTTAATAGATCCATATAGATATCTTTATCTATCTATAGATCTCTATATGGATTTATAATCCATAGATGTCTATATGGTGTGTATGTATGTACAAACAGATAGAGAAATAAATATAGATATGGTATACACACACACACAAACACACACACATATATATATATAAAATGTATGTTAGTATATATACTTATATTTGTTAGCTTTGTCTGCAAAGAGGGCCTAAAAGAAGTGATACCCCATTAGCAACAAGAGTACTTAGCACCCAGATCTTGGTTTCTAAATAATATTCTCCAATAAAGGAGCCAGGGTTCCTTGGAAAAATGGTTAATTCTTGAGCTGGGACAGGGAACACATAAGATGATCCTGGAACAACTTTTAGTGCCAGAAAATAAAGAAGTGCAAAAAAAAAAAAAAAAAAAGGGAAGGAAGGGGCATATCAAAAGGACACAGGAGCCAACCTGAAAGAGCTCCCAATGGCCAAATCTGGAACAGTTTGAGCAACGGTAATAGATAATAATATTGGATTATAACTCCAAGAGTAAAATAAACCTTTATGAATCCATACTGATGTAAATAAAGTCTTGAATAAATAACTAAATGAGAGAGAAGAACTAAATGCAGAAGAATTCTAATTATAAATGTATAAGGAATAAGGAAAATAGAAAATCAGTATTAGATCATCACAATAATAATTGCTACAGGCAAGATCCATTGATTAATGCTAAAAGCAGTAGATAAAACTTTAAGGAAAAACAGGACATTTGCAAAGCCTTCAAGTATCTGCCCCAAAATACATGAATACCTGAGTGGTTTTCACACACTATCACAAATTCTTTGATTTCCCTTTCTCCAGGAGGTGCAGCTTATTTCCTCTTGCCTTGAGTGTGCTCTGGACTTGGGGACCTCCTTCTTACGGACTATGGAAAGAAAAAAACAGTAACTTTACAGTAGAGAAACCTCACAAACACCACCTGAACCGAATGGTCAAGATGAAGATCACCAGCAATAAATCATGTTGACATCATGTGCCCCCATATACTGCAACGAGAAGCGCACATCACCTTTGTGCTACTCCTGCCAAAATCAACAACCTTAGTCTTTTCATGAGAAAACACCAGACAATCCCAGATTGGGGGACCTTCTACAAAATACCTAACCATGAGTCTTAAAAAGTGTTGAAATTTAAATTAAAAAAAAATTTTTCTTAAATAGGGTCTTACTCTGTTGCCCAGGCTGGAGTGCAGTGGCATGATCATTGCTCACTGCAGCCTTGGCTTCCCAGGCTCTAGCAATCCTCCCACCTCAGCCTCCAAGTAGCTGGGACTACAGGTGTGCACCACCACGCCGGGATAATTTTTGTATTTTTTGTAGAGACAGGGTTTTGCCATGTTGCCTAGGCTGGTCTCAAACACCTAAGCTCACGTGATTCACCCACCTGAGCTTCAAAGTGCTGTGATTACAGGTGTGAGCCACTGTGGCCCACCCACTTTACATGTTTTAATTCTAAATTTGCTGCAATCCTAAACCAAGGCTCAGAGCAATTGATTAAAAACAGCAGCAGCAGCAGAAGAAGAAAATACGTTAAGGAGGCCGGGCGCTGTGGCTCACACCTGTAATATCAGCACTTTGGGAGGCCGAGGTGGGTGGATCACTTGAGGTCAGGAGTTTGAAACCAGCCTGGCCAACATGGCGAAACTCCATCTCCACTAAAAATACAAAAATTAGCTGGGCATGGTGGCGCAAGCCTATAATCCCAGCTACTCGGGAGGCTGAGGCAGGAGAATCGCTTGAACTTGGGAGGCCGAGGTTGCAGTGAGCTGAGATCGTGCCACTGCACTCCAGCCTGGGTGACAGAGAGACTCTGTCTCAAAAAAACAAAAACAAATAAACAAAAAAAAAAACAAAAGAAGAAAACACGTTAAGGAGTATTATCTGCTCCAGGAGGCTTGACAAGCCCTTTACATACATAGCTCATCTTATTTAATCATCTCCCAACAATCCTGAAAAGTCTGTCCTGTTATTATTCCCATCTCACAGGTCAGGAAACTGAGGCACAGAGGGTTTAAGTAATGTCTGGAGTTCCACAGCTTGCCAGAGACAGAGCTGGGATTTGAAAGTCTATTTCCTAACTCCAGGTCCGGCGATCTTTTCCACAACACTGCAGCCAATTCCCCACCACATGGGTGAAATCAGATGAAAAGTAAACATCTAGGGCAGTCTTCAAATGAGGCAGCCAGACAGGCCACAGATCGAACTTCAGACTTTTAACCAAAGGTTCTGGGATTCATGCTCCCAGTTGGACACTGTTTACTTCTTAAGTAGTAAAATGAATGGGGTTGGATAGATCCAAACAGTGCCTAAGATCCCTTCCAATTCTAACACTCCAGGAGTTTATGTTTCAAAAGAACAACCTGCAGAGGAGCCTGCAGAATGGGACCCTCCCACTCAGGGTGGCCTGGTAGAATATAGGACATGCATGTCCCACCCCCAGTCCTCTCTGCAAAAGGTAGAGTCAGGGAGGGGAATATGGGCTGAGTGTTCGTACAATGAGGCTGGTTTTTAGCCCCCACGCACTCCCTTTCCCTACTGCATTCTTTTTTTTTTTCTTTGAAAGATGCTGCTCAGCCTTGGAGAGAAGTCTTCTTCATCCCTGATGGCAAAGGGCAGAGGAAGAGAGACGCCCAAGGGCTCGATCAGCCTTGGTACCTTGCCAACCCCCAGTCCCTAGCATCAAAGGTTTTTCCAAGACAGAGTAGGTAAATTTCAATTTTATTTTATTTATTTATTTATTTTTTTTTGAGGCAGAGTCTCACTCTGTCACCCAAGCTGGAGTGCGATGGCACGATCTCGGATGACTGCAACCTCTGCCTGCCGGGTTCAAGCAATTCTCCTTCCTCAGCCTTCCTAGTAGCTGGGATTACAGGTGTATGCCACCATGCCTGGCTAATTTTTTTTGGCATTTTTAGTAGAGGTGGGTTTTTGCCATGTTGGCCAGGCTGGTCTTGAACTCCCGACCTCAGGTGATCTGCCCGCCTTGGCCTCCTAAAGTACTGGGATTACAGGCATGAGCCACTGTGCCCAGCCTCAATTTTATCTTGTGTTGTTTTTGTATTATTTTCTCCATCCTCAAAACTCGGACACTTCCTAACTTAGCACCCATTGGCTACTGCTCATAGTCCTGCCTGGTTTGGGGTTTCCCAGTTTGGGGTGGATCTGGCTACACTTCATTTTCTGCCTCCATCGAGACTCCCTATTGTTTCTTTGAGGTTCCATTAGGTCAAGGCAAACACTTCTCTTGTTCTCCCAACATGTAGCAAAATGTCACAATTCTTTTTGGCTCCGTTGTTCATTAGCCACTCCATTTCGTTATTCTATTTGCACTACTTCATCATTGAGCAAACTTTTTTTTTTAATAAGGATTTGTGATGGTTAATTTTATGTGTCAATTTGGCTGGGCTAAGTGATGCCCATAGAGCTGGTAAAATATTATTTCTGGGTACATCTGTGAGAGTGTTTCTGGAAGAGATTAGCATTTGAATTGGTAGACTAAATGAAGATCTTCCCTCATCAATGTGGGTCCACATCACTCAATACATTGAGGGCCTGAGTAGAACAAAAAAGTAGAGGAAGGGCAAATTATCTCTATTTGAGCCCAGTCGTCCATCTTCTTTTACCCTCGGACATCAGAGCTCCAGGTTCTTGAGGGAAGGGCACACATAGATTAGTGTTTTCTGCACAATCAGTTCACTCACTTCTCCTTGTCTGACCCATGAATGTGTCCGTATCTTTTGAGGTTCATTGGTTCAGATGCTACAGACACCACCCTTCCCCAGGCTGCTGAAATGACTTTCAAACTTGGACTGAATTACACTACTGGCTTTCCTTGTTCTCCAGCTTGCAGTCAGCAGATTGTGGGGCTTCCTGACCTCCATAATCACATGAGCCAATTCCCATAATCTCTCTCTCTGTCTCTCTCTCTGTTTCTGCTATTGGTTCTGTTTCTTTGGAGAACCATGACTAACACAGGATTATAGAAACTGCAGGAGAAAATGTTAGTGCCTGTTGGGATTAGAAAGGCACATACGATAAAGCCCTATCCTCAAGGCTGCTGCAGCTGTGATAGGAGCTCCTCTTACAGCTCCATTTATTTGTTCACAAAGGATTTACTATGTGTTAATTATCAGGCAATGGTAGGCACTCAGGATACCAAGATCAACAAGATATGATTCCTGTCCTCAAGCAGTTCACACCTAAGAGATCACTAACTGGTGACTTGAGGCATTTGATTGGCAAGATGCCTTAATTATTTCTCTTTGTTATCTATGGCTGTGTAACAAATCACCCCAACTTAGTGGCTTAAAACCACAATAATTTACTTTTCCTCACAGTTCTGTGGCTTAACCTGGTGATTCTCCTCCTGGTCTCACCTGGGCACACTCATGTGGTTGCATTCAGATGGCAGTTTAGCTAGTTGGTCCTAGACAGCCTCACTCCCAAGTGTGAAGCCTCAGCTGGGGCGGCTGGAATGGCTGAGATGAGTTTCCTTCTGTCTGCCCATGCGACTTCTTTCTGCCGGTATCTCAATTTCCTTCCTTCCGGCTATCCTGGGCCTCTTTACACAAGAACAGAGCATTCCAAGAGGCTCAAAGTCAAAGTTGCAAGACTTTTTGAGGTCTCGACTCAGTGTTACAAATGTTACTCCCACTGCATCTTATTGGCCAACACAAGTCACAAGGCCAGGCTAGAACGGGGAGGAGGGGGAATAGAATTCATCTCTGATGGGGGAGCAGCAATGTCCCATTGTAAAGGGTGGGCAGATAGAGATGGGAGGAATTTGTGGCCATAGGTTGCAGTCTACTACAGCTGCTACAGCGAAACAAAATTAGATTTCACATAAACGTCAAGTTTACAATATTTTTTCCTTAACAATGGGGAGATTTGGCAACAAGCCACTGGAGCTGAGTAACTGCTGTGCCATTTAGACTGGACGTTCTATCTCTAGCCCATCATAGTCTCTACCACTTCTTTTTTAAAGAGTTGGGTTCTTGCTCTGTTGTCCAGGCTGGAGTGCACTGGCATGATCATGGCTCACCGAAGTCTCGACCTCCTGGGCTCAAATGATCCTCCAGCCTCAGCCTTTAGAGTAGCTGGGATTACAGGCACTCACCACTCCAGCTAATTTTTTTTTTTTTGGTAGAGGTGAGTTTTGCTTTGTTGTCCAGGCTGGTCTTGAATTCCTGGCCTCAAGTGATATCCTCCTGCCTCGGCCTCCCCACTACTGCTTTATTTATTTATTTTTTTAGATGGAGTTTTGCTGTGTTGCCCAGGCTGGAGTGCAGAGGTGCGATCTCAGCTCACTGCAACCTCCGCCTCCCGGATTCAAGCGATTCTCCTGCCTCAGCCTCCCGAGTAGCTGGGACTACAGGCATGCGCCACCAGACACAGCTAATTTTGGTATTTTTAGTAGAGACAGGGTTTCACCATGTTGGCCAGGATGGTCTCAGTCTCTTGACCTCCTGATCCGCCCGCCTTGGCCTCCCAAAGTGCTGGGATTACAGGCGTGAGCCCCCGCCCCCACCCCCACCTATCGCTTTTTAAAGGTGAGGAAATTGGGATTTCCAGGGCTAGGATGTAGTAGTCTCTGGGCTACCGATATCAGAGTCTGTTTTTAACTACTGTATTCAACTGCCATCACCAAATGGGTTCTATGGATAATTACATGGGAAACCACTGCTGGGGAGTTACTAGAAAAGTTTGAGTAAGCTCATGCCACAGAGCAAGTGATGCTCTTCAATTAACTAGGAGTCTGGATTCAGAGCCAAATAGGGGTGAGGGAGGCGAATGGTCTGGTGGCTGCTAGATCAGTTTGAAAGTCATTTCAGTAGCCTGGGCCAGGGAGGTGTCTGTAGCATCTGAACCAAATGAAACTCAGAAGATATGGACACATTCTTGGGTCAGACAAGGAGAAATGAGCGAACTGGTTGTGCAGAAAATACTAATCCAAGTGTGCCACTTCCCTCTGAGAAACTTTGTAGGCTCCCTCCTGCCTATACCTGCCAGTCTCAGTGGTAACACATTGTTCTGTTAAAAAAAAGAGGCTGTAATGTAAGCTATGGACTTCGGTTGTTAATGTTGGGTCAATGTTGGTTCCTCTATTCTAACAAAAGTATCACACTGGTGCAGGATGTTGATAGTGGGGGGAGGCTGTGCACATGTGGGCACTGGAGGCATATAGGAAGTCTCCTTTCCACTCAGCTTGGCTCTAAACTTAAAACTACTTTAGAAATAAATTCTATATACACAAAAAGTGGAGGAGGAGGATGGTTTCTGAGGTAAGTTTAGGAAACTTAGGTAAATAAGTTGATTTTTAAAAAAACTGCGGGGCTTACAGCATTGCTTTTACTTCATAACAATATAGTCACAAAACATAATTATGCAATTGCTTTTTTCAACTTTGGACGCAGGCTCCGTGACAGCAGGGCACTTACTCATTGATGTATCGCCAGCACCTAGAATGGTTTGGCACATGGTGGACACTTCTTAGTACAAGGAAGAAGGGAGAAACAGTCAACTCGCAGGACTTAATGATTGACTGGCTGAGAGAAGTGGGGGGCAGTTAGCTTCAGAGTGGCTTTGGTTAGTCATAACCTTGCTAGAGACTTCCCAGAGCTCCCACTCCCTGTCCTTCTCTGCTTGACTACTAATGGCCTGAGACCCCTCAGCCTCCATGGGACCAGCTTTTGCCCTCACCCTGCCATCAGTGGCTCCTAGGCATGTGCCCTTCATCCACCGTGCTCACTGACCCTCCTTCAGCCCTCCAGCCTCCTGCAGATACTCCCCCCAAAAGCCCCTTCCGCACAGCTTGGAAGCCCAGCCCAACACCCTTCGAGCCCTGAAACATTGTTGCTCCTGTTTTTCTCTTCATGAATCACCCGAAGTGCAGCAGTGCCTCATGGTAGTAAATATAGGTAAGTGTTGGAACCACCAGGGTCCTCTGGTGTCCTTGGGCAGCCAAGGAGTAGATCCTCCTGAACCTGCCCCCAGGCTTGTTTTAAGAAGGGCTGGAGGCCGGGCGCGGTGGCTGACGCCTGTAATCCCAGCACTTTGGGAGGCCGAGGCGGGCGGATCACGAGGTCAGGAGATCGAGAGCATCCCGGCTAAAACGGTGAAACCCCGCCTCTACTAAAAATACAAAAAATTAGCCGGGCGTAGTGGCGGGCGCCTGTAGTCCCAGCTACTCGGGAGGCTGAGGCAGGAGAATGGCGTGAACCCGGGAGGCGGAGCTTGCAGTGAGCCGAGATCGCGCCACTGCACTCCAGCCTGGGCGACAGAGCGAGACTCCGTCTCAAAAAAAAAAAAAAGAAGGGCTGGAAATATGCCAGCACTGAGGCAAGGCAGAAATCACCGTATCTGGTGTGATGTCGGGGGCAGACTCTCTTTGCCAGCTCAAGCCAAGATAAACAGTAATTCTAAAGTCCCGGGGATAATGTTTGTTTCAGAAACAAGTCCCAGAGAGAGGTGGGACCAGCCTCTTCATGTAAAGTTAGAACATTCCTGATAACAGAAGAAGAATTTCTCCTGTAAGTATTGATATAGTTGTGTAACAACAGGTGTACCTTCTTTCTCTTAATATTAAAAAATTATAATGATAGTTTCTGCTTATTTTTAAAATTCTGAAAAAAATTAAAGGACTCTGAAGCAGGAAGTGGAAGCCTTCTCTTGTACTCCCTACTCACTCTCATCTTAAAGGCATGCCATATATCTTGTTTTGCAGCCTGTGCTCTTGTGCTCCTTACCGCCCCCCTCCTTTAGGAATTGCTCTATCCTCTACTTCATTATTTTTATTGGCCACATAATTTACCATGGTACGGGTGCACCATAACACTGGAGAACAATCTTTAATGCCATCATTCTGCTTCTAGGAATCTGTCCTACAGAAACACCTGGCACTAGCGTGAAACACTGCACGTACATAAATGTTCATGATAGGATTGTTTGCCAATAGTGAAACACTAGAGACAATCTGTTCATTTGTAATATAATTGAAGAGAGATGAGGAGCGAACCACTAAGGTATATATGAGAAGCTCTGACTCTGAGGACTCTGCAGAGGAGACAAAAGGCCACTATAAAATACTGAACATGAGTTTTCTACCAATAAAAGTCTCCCCTTTGCGGGGGCAAGCAGGGTAGTATCAGGTTACCTGTCCTCTAACCTGGACTCCAGTGATCTAAAACAATCGGAAGGACACTCCTGACAGTAGTAGTCTCTGTTGTTGTTCTCCTTCTCCTCCTCCTCTTCTCTCTCTCTCTCTCTCTGTTTTATAGAGACGAGGTCTCACTATGTTGCCCAGGTCCCACCTTGGCCTCTCAAAGTGGTGGATTATGGGCATGAGTCACTGTGTCAGGTCTTTTTTTTTTTCTTTTTAATTAAAGACAAAGGTTAACATGGTATTCTGCATTTTGCTTTTAATTTTTGGTATAAAAAATAGAAAAATCGGCCGGGCACGGTGGCTCACGCCTGTAATCCTAGCACTTTGGGAGGCTGAGGCAGGCGGATCTCCTGAGGTCAGGAGTTTGAGACCAGCCTGGCCAACATGGTGAAACCCCGTCTCTACTAAAAATGCAAAAATTAGCCGGGCGCGGTGGCAGGTGCCTGTAATCCCAGCTACTCAGGAGGCTAAGGCTGGAGAATTGCTTGAACCCAGGAGGTGGAGGTTGCAGTGAACCAAGATTACACCATTGTACTCCAGCCTGAGGGACAAGAGCGAGACTTCGTCTCAAAAAAAAAAAAAAAATTAAACTAAGTTACACATTTAAAAAAAAAACTGACAAGTACCAAAAATACCCTCAATTCTAGAAAAATAACATGGTATTTAAAAAAAATTAATAAACTGCCCGACATGCAGTTTTCGTGACCTCTACCTTTGTGTGGCCATCCCAGGTGAGGTGGCACAGTGGACAATAGGAATATATCTGAGAGGCTTTTCAGCACAGGACGGCAAACAATAAGTATGCATGGAAGTTACTGCAAACCACGTGAACACAGCCCACTGAACCCACAGTGAATGTGTCTCTAACCTACCTTCCCACAGCTAGGTCCCAGAAAAGCCTGTGGCTGCTCCAGTGTCACTTCACACAAGGTGATATGTGACAAAGCGGAAGTTGGAAGAGAAAGACACTGTCATCTTGAACAACTGTGATTAAAATATCTTTTGCAAATTCTACAAAAACACAGGACCATGTGAACACACTGCTGGGTCCCCTCCCAGGGCCTTGGCAGGGGCCTCTGCAAGTGACCTGAAGCTTTAGCTTCCTTAGCAGACACTGTGCCTGGGGGTGTGGGTGCTGTGGCGTGAATGGGGGCAGCCAGCAGCAGAGAGTTCCCTCCAGCAGTCCTTCCTTGCACTTGGCTTCAAGTTTACCTTTACATGTCTTGGAGATAGTCCCATATTAGGACAAATAGAGGTGCCTAATTCTACCCGCCCCCCCCAATTCTTTTGAATGATAGTATTCTATTTTATGAACATCCACATTTAGATCATTTCCAACCTGCCATAGTGAATAATGCTGCAAATAATATCCTTGCTCAAATGGATATTTAGCATTTGTGAGAATACATCTGTAAAACACATTCTCAGAAGTGTGACTGCTGGGTCACAGAGTATGTCTAGTTAAAATTTTGATAGATATTGTCAGTTGCTATCCTTGGAGGTTGTGAGAACATGCCAGCAGGGTGCGAGAGTGGGCAAGACTGTGTGTTAGCAAACGTTGCTGATTCTTGCAGCAATTTTTTTTTTTTTTTTACCTCTGTAGGTTAAAAAAATAGTACTTTGCTGTAGTTTTAATCTGCATTTCTCTTATTAAAAGTGCAGTGGCACATGCTTTTATATTTTAAGAACCATATAGAGGTCCCCTTTTGTGGACTGTTTTTATACTTTGTCCATTTTTCTACGGGTTAATCTTTTTCTTCTTTATTTGTAAGAGTTGTTTAAATACTTAGGAAATTAGCCCTTGATCTATGGTATAATTGGCAAATATATTCTCCTAGCTTTTCATGTGTCTGTTGACTCTGTTTACGGTATTTATGTTTCCATGGGAAATAATTCTATATTTATGTAACTAAAAGTATTAAACAGTTTTAAAATGACTTCTGATATGGGTATCATTCTTAGAAAGGCCTGCCTCTCCCAAATGTAATAATATAAAAATTCTTCCATGGTTTGTTGTAATACTTTTATGATTTCATTTTTATTATTTAAGTGTTTGATCTTTCAAAAATTTGTTTTTCTGTGTGGTGTTAGGTATGAATATTTTATTTTATCTCAGAAGGCTACCTTATTGTCCCAAGATCATTTATTAAAAATACATCTTATCTCCACTGATTAAAAAACTATCTTGATTAGAGGAGAATACCTCCTGGCAAAAAACAAAGACAAAAACGATCTTGGCCATATACTAAATTTCAGTATATAGTTGGTCTTATTTTCTAGATTTTTAGTCTGTTCCAAAGAACAGTTTATTTATGCACCAGTTGTTCACATTACCTTTAACATTTTGGGAACTCTATCCTCCAGAACTGGGCGAGAATAAATTTCTCTTATTTTAAGCCACTCAGTTTGTGGTAATTTATGACAGCAGCCTAGGAAACCGGTACAGTTGCAGAGCTGGGATTTGAACCCAAGTCTTTTGACTCTGAGTCCTGTGTTCTGAATGGGAGCACAGGATTATTCATTTCTGTTCCTAAGACAGGGTGTTTATGAGGGGAAGAGTAGGGGAAAATTAGTATAACTTAGTTTCCTTAAGCCTCCCCAGCCTGTAGGTGTTAAGAGATAGAGTGCGCTGAATATTCTCTGTGTACCCTTCACTCTTCTCTGTCCTGCACTGTGTTCAGGAGGTTGACCTCAAGGGATGGCTTAGCCTTCCACAGCCTTGCCATTTGGCTTCTGGTTGGGTTTGTCCAGTGCTGGGCATTCGCAAGCCACAGGAAGGTGGCTCCCTCCCTGCTGGGTGGCAGCCTGCTGGTGGCTGTGATCTTTACCCAGGCCCATAGCTTCTGTCTTGTGGCCTATGGCTCCAGCTCTTGCCCAGCGGTTGGTGGCAGTAACCACTTCTGCCTTTTCCCTTTCAGGCCTACTGGTGGTAACAGCTTCCTGCTGATACCTAGCCCTCAAGAACTGCACCAGTCTCTTACAGGTTTTCCATAACCCCACTCAAATCCCCATAAAAGAGCCATTCTTTAAATTTCCTTCAGTCATCACTTTTGCGAGTACCGTGTTTCCTGCTGAGATCCTGACCACTCTGGGGACCATATTGTGTGACAGAGAGAGAGTAACTCTGGTTTCCTTGACTCTAGCCTTCAGTGCTCATTTGGAGCCACCTTAAGTCCTGACCATTCCAAATGCCTCTGGGAGGGCACTTCTGCTTTGTGGCTCTGAAGGAATGCAAGTTGCTCAGGGACTATGGCAAAGTCGGGAAGAAGCCTGTCTCCTCTCTGGGTTACTCCTACACAAAGATCCCAAGCAGGGCTGCCTCGGTTCCAGGGCTCCCTGCCCCATCTCTGGAACTTGGATAGGTGTGGATCTGGGCCAGGTACTTGAGTGCCAGAACTGCCTCTCTCTCTGGAGCCTTGGAGGGATAAGGATCTATTACTCTGTCAAGCTCACAGGGCAGGCCCTTCCTTTAATCAAGATGAGCTTTCTTCTTGGAGGTTTCTCATTCCTCATGCAAACAGACTCGTGACAGGGTGTGCTCCCCTGTTGCCAGACATGCCTAGACATATCGAATTCTACTTACACTTGAGCTGGGATCCTTTTATACAAGGTTAGGAAAGTAAATGAGGGCCAGGTTGCAGAAGGCCTCCAACACATCAAACCAGTTTTAACCTAATATTGTAGGCAAGGAATCACTGAATGTATTTGAGATAGGGAGAGCCTTGGATCAAGAACTGCTAAGAGCTTAGCTTGGTTGCCATCTCAGTGCCCATATTCTTGCTCTCCCTCTAGTTGAAATATCCCCATCAGCAGAGAGGCCCCATGGAGTCATTCTCCATCACGGTACCTTGTCTTATTTCCAGGAGAGTAGTTCCCCTTCTCTGAAATCATACTCTTTCTTTCTTCTTCCTCCTGTATTCCATGGGGGCAGGGAGATCTCCATCTTACTCAATGCCATACTCTTAGGGCGTGGCTCATAGTAGACACTCAGTGAATACGTGTTAAATTTGTTGAATAAGCGAATGAATTTGGTCCTATGAATGAATTTAGATGAGGAAGCCCATGGAGTTCAAGGGACTTAGGGACCTGCCTGAGTCCACATTAACTCATGTAACTCATCCAGAACTGAGCATAGCTGGGATTAAAACCAGGCTAGCTAACAAAATCTCTACCTCCAGGAGAGGCAGGAGCTGGGGAATGGGTTAGTAGGAAGGGTGAGGAGAGGATTTCTAGGAAGATGTGGTGACACATTGGCCAGAACTGAGGTGGGGGAGAAGAGACAAGCTCTTGAAATGGGGAATTAACATATATTGGGTATCTACTCTGTGCTAAGCACTGTACCTGGCGCTTTACATGTAGTCTGATTTCTACCCTCCGCTGTATGTATTATTATCCCAATTTTCATGAGCTAAAGAAATAGGGACACAATAGTTTAAATAAATTGTCTGCTTTTATCCATTTATACATAACTTGATTCCTAAGATTGACCTCTTCTGACCCTCAACATGGCCTCTTTGAACATAGAATTAAACCCAGGAGTTCTCCATGAAGATGATCACCATGCCTGGGGTTCATGGTCTGATAGAGGAGGGCAGTAAGAGTTAAGTATTCATTCAGGGAAGGAGTGGGGAGCAGGGTTATGTGGCTCTCACCTTGTTTTGTAAGAGAAACTGAAGCACAATAAGGCAGGAGACTCTTTTGCTAAAAGGAGAGCAGTCAGAGGTGGAAAGAAGGCCTGAGATGGAGATTCAGCCCAAAGGCCTTCTGCTTCAAGGTACTAGAGAGGGGCAGGACAGGAGGACCAGGCAGGGTGGAGCAGAAGGCTTTGGAGCCAGAAGTAACACAGATCATTTTTTCCTTTTCTGGATTCCAATCTAGGGAGAAGAATCAGGTGTGCAGGATGAAGTAGGGTGTGGTGGGCTGAGTCCAGTCCAGACCAGGAGTAGCGTGAGCCCCTCCCTGCCCCCAATTGGGCCCCTTCCTTGCAGTGGGGTGCTCCTGGTCCCTTGCCTGCACACAAACACATAACGACCCTGCAGACCAGATGTTCCAGGGCAGGCCTAATTTAAAGTCTGATGCCTTTTGACCTCATAGGTATACTTGTGTCTATCAGACTGTGGCTCTTCGTTTTAGTCTGCAAAATAAGATCATTGAGGCCGAGACATAGGCCCTGCCCTCCACAGGGCCAGGTTCTATTCAGGCCCAAGGCTGTATAAGGTGTTCTTTGTGCTGGGGATGTGAGCAGAGCCTGGGTGTTGAAGGTGGTCCCCTAGCCCAGGGTTAGTCCCAGACCACTGATGCCAATTGGCTGACTGGTCAGGGGTTGCAGGAGACCTCGGAGGTTACATTACTGCCCGGACCCTCTATCTCCTTCCCCTCACAGCATAACTCAAACGTGCTAAAAAGGGCTTTCATAAACAACTCAAGTCTGAAAACTCTGGCAGCTCTCCCGCCCCTCCAGCCCTGGGGGGCTTCAGGAGGGTCTGGGCTGCCCGCCAGCTCCAAGCTGTCCCTAGACTTCAGTGGGGGGTGGGGAGTCAGTGCTGTTACCCTTTCCTTCCTGCTTGGTCTCCAGCCCAGAGTTTCCTTAGGCCCCGGCCTCCCTGGGCTCCCCACCCTACTCTACCTTAACCCTTTCCTCCCAGGGAAGGAGTGGCCGAGGTCCCCGTTCTCTTGGGACGCCTGGGAGAGGCTGTTGGGGGTAGGGGGGAGGTGGGGGTAAAGGGGAGAGATCCTTGTTCCAAATCTCAAAAAAGGGTGCCGGAAACCAATCCTCCCCTCCTTCCTCTTCCCCGTCCTTCCACTAGCAAGAGGGGAACGTGGAAGGAAACTAACTTTGACCCCTGGATTCTGGCTCTGGGCCCAAAACTTGGGTGGAAGGCAGAGGCCTCCGGGACCCTCCCCGCCCCCTCCTCCCCCCCGCCGGCTCCCCCGCCCTCTCCTCCGCGCCCCTTTAAGCTATCCAGCAGACGGAGACAGAGTTGATCCAGGAGGGGCTGGCAGAGTGCTGGAGGGGGAAGGCTGGGGGCGGAGGGAAGGGCGGCAGGAGCCCGACCGGTCCCACCCCTAGCTACAACCCCGGGCAGGAAGAGCTCGTCGCGGTAGCAGCGGTCGAAGGGGACCAAGCTCCAGAGGGCGGGCGCCCGAGCCGTGCGGGGTGGGTCCCGCCGCCTGGAGGAAGGAGGCCGTGCGGGGGGCGCGCCGCGGGGAGGAGGGGGCGTGGCTTAGGCGCCTGGGGCTGGGGGCTGGGGCGCCTGCCGCCCCGAGACCCGGGTGACACTATCGTCTCCTTCGTTCCAGGAGCGGGCGGGGCAGCCATGCTCCTGTCTGGGGGCGATCCTCCGGCGCAGGAATGGTTCATGGTGCAGACAAAATCGAAGCCTCGGGTGCAGCGGCAGCGGCTGCAAGTGCAGCGCATCTTTAGGGTCAAGCTGAACGCCTTCCAGAGCCGCCCGGACACCCCCTACTTCTGGCTACAGCTCGAGGGGCCCCGAGAGAACATGGGCAAAGCCAAGGTAAACAGCTTCTCCCCACCCCCACCCATCTCTTCCAGCCAGATCACTCTCTCCCCTTCCCCTGGGGAGATGGTGGTCCGCAGAGACACCACCCACCCTGCCCCCGCCTGGATTTGGCAGTGTGGCAGGCAGGTAGTGGGCCATCCTCCTGCCTCGCCAGATCAGCCTGCGCTCCTTCCATGCCCGCTTCTTCCCTCTGGTTCCTTCCTTTCCTGCCCCACCCCTTCCCTACGTGTCACCTCTGTCCCTCAAGTGCACTGAGAGCACCTCCTCGGTGTGTGTCCCCCATGAGACTTCCCTGGCCAGGGCCCCAGCATCAGCAGTCCCACTTTTCCATCTGGGGAGCAACTCAAGGCGCTGTATTTCTGTGGCCTCTGCAACACACCTCTTTGTTCTCCACCAAGACTGAAAGGCCCAGGTCCTTCTGTCTCCTTTTAAGTCTCCTTAAATCCTGGGCTGCCCCTTGGAGCCTCTGAGTACTAGGACTGGAGGGGCCTTTAGAGATGCTTCTAGAGTGATACTGGCATTTTACAGATGAGGTACTGGTGGCCAGAGAGGGTAAGGGGCCTGGCTGAGTGCTCAGAGTCAGGTAGGTGAGGTGGTGGGGGTTGGACCAGAACCCAGGGCTCTGGGCTCCCTGCCCCACACTCTTGATGCCACTCAGCTTCTTGCAGGGGTTCAGAGTGGGGTGCAGCCCTCTTCCCAGATTCCCAGCCCTTGGAGATGGGTGGGAGTCTGGGAGGAGGGCTATGGGTTTTCAGATGAAAGGGCTTGCTATGTGGGGCTGGACCTTGGACAGGCCAGATCACAGTGCGCCTCTCTTGCAATCTCCCTGGCTTCTCTCACAAGCTTTTCCTCCCCTTGGGCCTGTCAGATTCCACTGTCCCCCAAGGTTTACCTCTTCCCTTAGATTCCTTTATCTTACTTCTTCTTTGTAGGAATGCCACAGCCTCCCTCTGCCCCAGACCACCTTCCCCTTCACCACGCACACCTACTGCAGATGGGTTTATACCTATATCTTAATTGGTCAAGGCCATGGGTGGGGAGGCCCAGAACTCGGCCAGCCAGCCTGGTAGGCAGGCAGGCTGGGAAGTTCCTCCCTCAACCCCTCTGTGGAGCTGCTAGGTCAGCAGTTTTTCCAATTTTGACAGAGGTGCTAGGAGGGGGAAGGGGTGTCTTCCCAAAGAACATATGTACTGGAGGCCTTGAGAGGAAGACATTTAGAAGCCGGGGTAGGGTAGGCTAACAAGAGGAGTGTTTTGGGTTCTTTGGGTTCTTAATCTTTTTGTTACTTTGAAAGGCAGCAGCTCACCCTCTTAGGGGACTCACACTTTCTTTTTCTTTTTTTTTTTTTTTTGAGATGAAGTTTCACTCTGTTGCCCAGGCTGGAGTGCAATGGCGTGGTCTTGGCTCACTGCAGCCTCCACCTCTGCCTCTTGTGTTCAAGTGATTCTCCTGCCTCAGCCTTCTGAGTAGCTGGGATTACAGGCACGTGCCACCATGCCCAGCTAATTTTTGTATTTTAGTAGAGATGAGGTTTCACCATGTTGGCCAGGTTGGTCTTGAACTCCTGGCCTCAGGTGATCCACCCGCCTTGGCCTCCCAAAGTGCTGGGATTACAGGCATGAACCACTGTGCCGGGCCAGGACTCACACTTTCGGAGGTACCCCCGCCACCCCCTCCTTGCTCAAATCCTGGATTGGCTTCTCCAGGCCTACCTGCTCCGTCTCCCTCTGCTGCTTCAGGGTTCTTCGGACCGCAGATCTCACACCTCAGGCTCCCACTGTAGGCCCAGCTAATGGAATCAGTGGCTCCCTTGATTCCTAGCCCTGTTCCTCCACTCCCCCTTTGTCTTCCCTTTGGGAAAGGCATTGTTGAAAAGTGGGAACCCAGCGTGAGGGGATTCTGGGTAGCTCCCTGCCTTATTTTACACAATGACCATAAAGGAGACTTTGTTGGCAATTTGGAGAAGGAGGACAGGGAAGGTGAGGGGCGGGGGGGGTTAAAGTTTTGTCTCAGGGGTTAGGGGATCTGGGTTTGATATGCTGTCACCAAGTTACAACCAAGATAGGAGGGGTATGGTGAGGAGAGTTTGAGACTGGGGTTTGCTACCTGTTAACTATCTGAACTGGGTGATCAGATCAAATAATTTATCCTCTCTTGAGCCATTTCCCTCATCTATGGAACAGACTATAATAATACCTGGTTCATGAAGAGTTTGTGAGAGTCTGCTGAAATCATGCATGTTACAATACTGTTATAAAATGTGGAGAGCTATAGAGTATAGATGTTAGCTACTATTGTTTTTGACTAGCTGCGTAACTTTGAGCAAGTCCTTTTCCCTCTCTGAGTCTCGATCTCCCTGTTTGTAAAGTGGAAGTCTTGGATTAAATGCTGTCTGAGGTCCAGCGATCTGACACATGAACATTTCCCAAGTGTAAGGATGTCTTGTGGTTCTCATAGGGAGGCAGCGTGGCTGGCCCCAATCTCAGCTGTAGGGACACAGAATCATGCACTTTGTTAGTGGCATACTGAACATAGGCCAACAGGCAGAGAGGACTCTGGGAGACTACAGGTTGCAGGACTGGGGGAGGGCTGATGGTGAGGGTGGCTTGTTGGGGTCTGAGGGGAGGAGGGGTCGAGAAGGATACAGGCTCATCTAGAGAAGGGCCTGAGTGTGTTTCTATGTGGTTGGTTTCTCAGGAAAATCTCTGTAAATCTTGAGTGCTTTAAAATTGTTTTGTTGTGGTGGGATTAAAGAACACTGAAGACATTACTGTGAAACACATACCCAGGCAGCAAAACAAACACTGGGGAGGCCTCTCTGAGGTGAAATCAGTGAGTGGAGAGGCGGGTTTTAGTAATGATCAGAAGAGGCCCGGGACAAGCCCTGCTCCACCCTTCTCCCCTTTGGCAGTGAGGTGAGGATGGGGTGGGCGGCAGAGAAGAGAGGTGACCACTGCGGGAGGTGATGGGGAGCCTAAAGGCAGTGGTGGTGGGCAAGAGTACCTTCTGGAGACTGGGTTCTGGAGCTCTGGGACAGGGTGTGGCCTGCTGACATCTGGCTTGGCTGTCAGATGGAAGTTGAACTATCTTTGCTGCACACTAACTGTGAGCAGTACCCTGAGAGTTGGTTGCGGTCAGTGCCTGGAGTTGGCTCCTATGGACCCACTGTTAAAATTTCGGGAATTGTGCAAGTGAGTGGAGGAGTATTTACAGCCATGGTGGGAGTATTTATGCCACAGAAATTGGCAAATGCGACAAATCAAGGTTACCCCCCACCCCCAGCTGATTGTTAAACATTTACCAGGACACCTGCTTGTGTTGTGGGCACTGAATACTTCTTTTTCTTTAAACTTAAATTTTCTTTTATCAAAGTAATACACATTTGAAAAGTCCAATTTTACCAAAAGGCTTAGAAGAGCACACAGAGGTTCCCTGCCCCGGCCCTCCCAATTCCTCCTTCAGTAACCATCCCCACTGACAGTATTTGCTCTGGCATTTACGCATCTCCACATTTCTAAAAGAATATGTAGACACTATTGTCTTTTAATTAATTGACGTTTGCTGCTATCTTTTTTTGGTCCCATTATCGTATGTGAGGATTGAGCTCCCTTTCACGGCCAGCCCCTCTTCTCAAGATAGTTCTGTTTCAATTACCTGCTAAATCTACGTTTAGCATTGCCTCATTATGCCTTGCACATAGCGTTCACATCGAAGCACTGAAGTGTACTATGATTTTGTTTTCTTTCTTACTTTTTGGGTTTTACTGAGGTCATTGAGGTTAAGCACTCCTTGTTTTTCAATTTGCCTTTCTTTGTACCTATTGTTAATTCTTACCACTTCCAGTAGCCTCTCAGTACAGTTTTCTACAAGGTCAGTCTATCAGTTCAAGGTGTTCTTTTGGTTCTAAATTTTTTCTTGGCGCCGTCTCTCCTGTCTGGTCAGTTGCTTTCCAGGCTGACACAGCTGTCGTTCTTGGCATCCTTTGCCTTTTTTCTTTGCTAGATACTCATGTCCTGGACCTTGAAACTTTTTCTTTCTTGGGTTGATGGAACACATCCCTCTGTAGCCTCAAGTTAAAAAGATGGTGCAGCAGCAAAGTGTATGCAGATGCCTGCTTTCAACATGCCTGTCTCTTGAGTCATACCCTCCAATCTGAACTAGCTGTCCTGTGTAATGACCATTGTCACCCTAAAACAGTGCCTGGCATGTAGTCAAGAATTATTTGTCGAATGGATGAATAAATTCTGAGATTTCTCTTCACCGTCATCCTGGAGATGGTCTTTGCTTCTTTCTTACTTGGTTTGCTGGAAAACTGCTCTCCAGTGGCTTCCCGGGAAAAGTTTTACAGGAGGAAAAATGCTGAGGTTGCATGTCCACGTTGCATAGCCAAAGGATATTTGATTGAGAGCTTGGCTGATATTGAATTATAAAAGGAAAATTATTTTCCTTCAGAAATGTGAGGGTTGTGCTCCATTTGGAGGAGCCTGAAGCTGTTCTGGTCCCTGGTCATTTGTGTGAGATGTTTTTTTCTCTGGAAGTTGTCAGTTTTCCCCAATGTTCTGCAGTCTCCCAGTGAGGCCCCTTTGTGCGGTTCTGTTTTCCTCCATTGTCAGGCACTCTTGTTGTACTTAGGGGGCCTTCTATCTGGACACTCATGTTCCTCAGATCTGGGAAATGTGGGGAAGTATTTAGTCGATGATTTCCTCTCCTGTGCTATCTCTGTCCTCTCTTTCTGGAAGTCCTCTGCTTTTCTTATGTTTTCTCCTCTTTTTCAACTTTAACTTTTTGTTCTGCTTTCTGAAGATTTCCTTAATTTTATCTTTGAAGCCTTTTCTTGGGTCTTTCATTTCTGCCATCAAATTTTTAATGTCTAGAAGTCACTTATATTCTCTCTGTTAAAAAATAGTATCCTACGCTTTTTAAATCCAATTTGAAACGTATGTATTCTATTCTTGTTTAGTGTCTACCATATTCTTTGTTACCTCTCTGAGGATAGAAATGATAGTAAGCTTTTTGAAGTTTTCTTCTCCCCCCTAGTTTCTCTTCTTTCAGGTTGCTTTTTTGTTTTCCTGTATGGTTTGTCCTCTGTGTTTCACATTAGAAGTTTTCCTCACAAGCCTGATAATCCTTGCATGATAAAGAGTGAAGGACAAAAAGCTGATTGGGAGTGGAGGCTGTGGGCAAGACTTGTTGGTTTTGAGCTTGATTGTACAGAGATTTGCAGGTGCTGTTGGTTAGGGACCCCGTTTTGTGATCTTTAAGTCTCTGCTCTTGGGCTGGCCAGGTTTTCCAGAATGTATGCCTGCTTCCCTGGCCTGGAGGGTCAGGGTCTGGCTGCCAAGCAAATCTCTGAGTGGGAAGAATGAGTTTCTCTGCGTTTAGCTTGCATTGTATACATCATTCTTTGGCCCTCCTCACTCCCTCCATGTTTTTTTGTGTGGTGCTCACACCTTCGATTATGCTGATCAACCTCGACTCCTAAGACCTTGTTTTGTACTCCCTGGAGAACAGCCCTCCAGTGAGCGGGAAGCTACTTGCCAAGCCTGTGTGTGTGTGTGTGTGTGTGTGTGTGTGTGTGAGAGAATGTGTGTGTGTGAATGTGTGTGAATGTGTGTGAATGTGTGTGTGTGTGTGTATGTGTGTTGGGAGTGGTTGGGCTCCCAGATCTAACTGCTCCTCAAAGAACCTGGTTTTTCATGTTCCCCTTCACTTCCAATTCCAGAGTTTCTTGTTGTTGTTTTCTGAGCCTTTTGAGTATCCTGCAGTGTAAATTGGGGTGGTTCTGGAAAGTAGACAATGAATGATAACTGACTTATGAGAAAGGAGAACCCTAAGTTAGGTGTTAAGTAATAAAGCACCTTGACAAGTACAGAATAATATTAAAATATGTCATATAAATGCTTTTATTTAACTTACAAGTTGACTAACGACCTGTGGGTATTGGACAATATATTCTTACAAATACAGTGCTCTTTTTCTGTGTCCTTTTCTATTCTTCTGTATCATCTTTCTACCTAGTTGTTAGTTGTTCCTGCCTCTTCTTCTCTACTTTTTCTCCTCTTGGAGGAAGAAGGTCTGGGTTGGCTTTAGGCAGGAAAGCTGTTCAGGTATTTTCAGGCTGTAAATGCCTGTTGTTTCCTTATCTTCTCTCCCTCTACAGTATAGACGGCATCATGGTGAAGACCCCCGACTGTGGAGCTAGAGTGCCTGAGTATCCCAGCCTACTAACTGTGTGATCTTGGACATATGGCCTTCCTTGCTCATCTAAAATGGGGATAATAGTATTTCCTTAAAGGGCAGAGAGAGGAATAAATAAGATAATGTGTGCAAAGTGCCTGACACATAATAAGCTCTCACTAAATATTAGTTCATATTTATTATTTTAAAAATTATCACAGTTCCTATATATTTCTTAATTTTAAAATATCGGGCCGGGCACGGTGGCTCATACCTGTAATCCCAGCACTTTAGGAGTCTGAGGCGGGTGGATCGCGTGAGGTCAAGAGTTCGAGACCAGCCTGACCAACACGGCAAAACCCCATCTCTACTAAAAATACAAAAATTAGCCGGGCATGGTGGTGCACATCTGTAATCCCAGCTACTGGGGAGGCTAAGGCAGGAGAATTTCTTGAACCTAGGAGGCGGAGGCTGCCGTGAGCTGAGATCACTCCAGTGGAAAAATTCTGGTATCAGAGCCTCTAGCTGTGCCACTGTACTCCAGCCTGGGTGACAGAGTGAGACTCTGCCTCAAAAAATAAAATAAAATAAAATAAAATAAAATAAAATAAAATAAAATAAAATATTGGACAGTTGATGGAACCATAAATATTCTAAGCTCTCTGCAGAAAGAGAAAGAAGCCACCCATAATCTTCTTCCCCAGCACATCTCTCCATTTTTCATGTTGTTTTCCGGTCATTGAAATGGGGGTGCCTGGGGTGGGGGAATATTTGTTAAGGTCTGAGACAGCCCACACCTGCTCAGATTTAACCTTGCTAGGCAGTGGGACCAGATGAGGTTGGGGTAGGAGGGGTTGGCTTGGGATGTCCATCAGGTTTTGAGCTGGTTTTGAACTGATTGAAAAGGGGTTAGACATGTATTTCAGGCTCTGAGGAAGAAGTTGCAGGTCTGTGGCCTCGGCCAGGTGGAAGAGGGACACGTAGGCCTGAGCCGGGAAAGATGGCCCGGGGACTGAGCAGAGGCACCTGGGTGGTCTTCAGGATCGCTGCTGGAGATCCAAAATGGAGTATGGGACTGCCAGGGGAAAGCAGGAAGAGGGATGAGAGGGATGACTATCAAAGAAAGGGGATGTGGAGGGGCATGGGGGCATATGAAGTCCACATGGGGTGGCTGATTGGAGCGAGAGCTCATGGGACCGCACAGATGGAACTCAGCCAGAGTGGAGAAACCCCAACCTCGCCCACCCCAGCCACTGCTAAAGATGGCAAGTGTGTGCCCTGTGAGCTCTGTGAACTCTAGGACTTGGTCTGCCCAGAAAGCCAGAGTTCTTCCTTCTCTTTAGCTATTGTGTGTATGTGCGGGTGCAGGGGTTCCCCTGGACACTGGCCCAGTGGCTTATCTCCTGCTCTGTTGCCTCTGGGCAACAGAGTTACTATGATTAGGGGTACAGGTTGTGCTAGAGGCATTCTGGAGGGGGATGAAGCTCGAGTCTCACATGATTACCCTGTAGTCACTGTGGTCTGCCAGAGGAGGTGGAAAAATTTCTAGTATCAGAGCCTCTAGCTGTGTGCCCTTGGGCAAGCTGCATAGCTCTTCTCAGCCTGCAAAATGGGAACAGGCTGTGCCAGGTGTCATCCTCAGTACTTTCTGCGTATTAATTCACTGAAGCTTCAGAGTGGCCCAATGAGGCAGGAACTATTACTGTTCCCATTTTACAGAGGAGGAACTGCAGGCACGGGGGCAGGCGTGTTGTGTGATTAATAACTTGCCACAGGTTGCATAGTTCCTAGCTTATGGAGGGTGCCCAGTAGTGTGCAGCCACTTTCTCCCCAGCTGTCACACAATTCAGGAATGCCAGACTGGGACTAGACCTCAGGAGCATCCAGTTTAACCTTTCTTTTTCTTGGTGAAGAGACTGCGGTGCTGAGAAGGTGATAGATGCCCCACAATTAACCTAATCAGTTGAGGTCGAGTTGGAGCTGCAACCTGGGTTCTTTCCCTCCTCTCTCCCAGGCTTCCCTGTTCTGTTGGTGTTCCCTGGAAAGAAATGGGTGTGTGAGGGTGCAGGACCAGGGAGAGAGTGGCTGGCCATGGGGGAGTCATTTGGCTCATGGTGGATGGGGGGTGGTAGTGGTGGGGCCACATGGTTAGTGAGGGGCTGGCCTTTTGGGTGGCGAGGGCAGATCCAGGGGCAGGCCCCCAACGGGCTGACTTCATTGTGTTCTCCCCATTGTGCCCAGGAATACCTGAAGGGCCTGTGCAGCCCAGAGCTGTGGAAAGAGGTTCGCTACCCACCGATCCTGCACTGTGCCTTCCTTGGGGCCCAAGGCCTCTTCCTGGACTGCCTCTGCTGGAGCACCCTTGCCTACCTGGTGCCTGGCCCCCCTGGCTCCCTGATGGTGGGCGGGCTGACTGAGTCTTTCATCATGACACAGAACTGGCTGGAGGAGCTGGTGGGGCGACTGCGCTGGGGCCCTGCCCCTCTGCTGACCCCCCGGGGGATCTGGGAGGCTGAGGTGACCCGGGCCTTTGGGGCCCTGGTCTGGATCCGTGGTGACCAGCATGCAGGGGACCTACTGCAGCTGCCCCCAGCGGTCCAGGAGCTGCTGCTGAGCCTGGTGCGGGATGCTGCGGGCAAGGAAGACATCATCGAGTGGCTCAGCCGCTTCGGCATCTCTGACTCCCACTCCGATCCGGAGGTTCTAATCTGCCCTCCCCAGCAGCAGAAGGAAGCCCCAGCCATGGTGTCCGTGGGAGAGAGTCCTGGACCCTTTGTGGACATGGGGACCCTCCAGAACAGGGGCCCAGAAAATTCAAAGAGATTATCTAGCCTGGGAGCCACTGGGTCCCTGATCACAGCCCAGAGCACACCGCAGGAGGCAGCAAACCAGCTGGTACGGTAAGTTCTGGAGAATGAGCCTGGCTTCTCTGATCCTACCCCTGCTCCCCTACCCTAAGGAAATAGTAATAGTTTGGGACCAAACTGGCCTTCCACCTTTTCAATGAACTTGGGCTTCCTCCAGGGTCGGTTCCAACAACCAAGATGGTATGGACAGTGCTCAAGAGGAAGGGACAGTGCAAGCCACCAGCAGCCAGGACTCCACGAACCACACACAAGCCTTGTTGAAGCAAAGGCAGGTCCAGAAGATAGAAGATAAACTCCTCTTCCAACCTCCAGTATCAGCCCTGGGTGTGTGCCCACCCTGGAAGGCCTGGACCCCGGGGCCAGCCTTTGGGCCATTGTGGCCGGGGGCTATTGCTGCAACCTTCTGGAGGATCAATGAGCTGCATTCTCTACATCTGGCCTGGCTCCTGTCCCAGGCGTGCTTCAATTTCCCCTTCTGGCAGAGACCTCTGGGCCCCATTCAGTTGAAGCTGCCAGGGCAGAATCCTTTGCCCTTAAATCTGGAGTGGAAGCAGAAGGAGCTGGCTCCTCTGCCTAGTGCAGAAAGCCCAGCTGGTAGACCAGATGGGGGGCTGGGAGGAGAAGCAGCCCTGCAGAATTGCCCAAGGCCAGAGATTTCCCCAAAAGTTACGAGTTTATTGGTGGTCCCTGGGAGCTCAGATGTAAAAGACAAAGTTAGCTCGGATCTCCCACAGATAGGGCCACCCTTGACCTCTACACCCCAACTACAGGCTGGAGGTGAGCCGGGGGATCAAGGGAGTATGCAGTTAGATTTTAAGGGACTGGAAGAGGGACCCGCTCCAGTGCTGCCAACAGGGCAAGGGAAGCCCGTGGCTCAAGGGGGGCTGACAGATCAGTCAGTACCTGGAGCTCAAACAGTGCCTGAAACTCTCAAAGTGCCCATGGCTGCAGCAGTGCCCAAAGCTGAAAATCCCTCCAGAACTCAAGTGCCATCTGCAGCTCCCAAACTGCCTACATCTCGAATGATGCTGGCAGTGCACACAGAGCCTGCAGCTCCCGAAGTGCCTTTGGCTCCAACAAAGCCAACAGCTCAACTGATGGCCACAGCTCAAAAAACAGTTGTGAATCAACCAGTGTTGGTAGCTCAAGTGGAACCCACAACTCCAAAAACTCCCCAGGCTCAGAAGATGCCTGTAGCAAAAACATCACCTGCAGGTCCCAAAACACCCAAAGCTCAAGCCGGGCCTGCAGCTACAGTTTCCAAAGCACCTGCAGCTTCCAAAGCACCTGCAGCTCCCAAAGTACCTGTGACCCCCAGAGTCTCCAGAGCTCCCAAAACACCTGCAGCTCAGAAGGTGCCCACGGATGCAGGGCCAACCTTGGATGTAGCCAGACTTCTGAGTGAGGTCCAGCCTACATCAAGGGCTAGTGTCTCCTTACTGAAGGGCCAGGGGCAGGCTGGAAGGCAGGGTCCCCAGTCCAGTGGCACCTTGGCCCTCAGCAGTAAGCACCAGTTTCAGATGGAGGGGCTCCTGGGGGCTTGGGAGGGGGCCCCAAGGCAGCCACCTCGCCACCTGCAAGCGAACAGCACAGTGACCAGCTTCCAGAGGTACCACGAGGCCCTGAATACACCCTTCGAGCTGAACCTGTCAGGGGAACCTGGAAACCAGGGGTTGCGGCGAGTGGTCATCGATGGCAGCAGTGTGGCCATGGTGTGAGTAGTCACGGGCGTGGGGTGGGCTGGGGATGCTGTGGACCTGGGGCAGGGCATCCCTGGGGGACAGAATGTGGGCATCCCTTCCCAACCTTCCTATGGGCGACATGGGGAAGAGATGGGAGGGAAGTGGTCCATCCATGTTGAATGGCTCCTGCGTGCCAGGCAGTGTGCATGGAATCCTCATAGCAGCCCTCAAGGGCAGGTTTCTGGTTTCCCTGTCTGATAGATGCTGAAGCAGGCTCAGAGGTGGGAAATCTTGCCCAAGATCCCTGAGCCAGCAAGGGGTCCAGCTGGCCTTTTGGCTCAGATGTGTCCACTGCCAAGGTCCATGCCCTTCCCAGGCCAGCTTTTAAACTTTTAGCCCAAACTTCAAGGCCCAGCACAGATTTCTTTTCCTGACTCTGCTGGCCCTTAGCGATTGCCCTTCCTCCACAGTACTTACTGCTGTAGAGGTGTTAGCATAAACATGTGCATGCCACATAATTTGCCACATGATAGAGTAGTTATCTGTGCAGAGCACACTCCCAGCACACTGTCGGTGGCCAGGGAATTTTTGTTTGCTTTAAGCCCTCAACTGAGCTCTCTGAGTGGAGGGGCTGCCTTCTTCCTCTTGCCCTCAATGTCCCTACACACATGCGTACACACAGGTACATGCACACACACACACACATGCACGCGCACACACACAGAGTTTCTGGCAGTGCCCTGCACCAAGTAGGTGCTCACAGAATGTCTGAGTATGGAGGGAAGGGGAGAGGGCATCATTGGTGTCCTTGGTGCTGGCATTGCTTGCTTGCTGCCCCAGGGCTGGCTCTGAGGGAGGAGTGGTGAGGCAGGGTCTTTCCTTGTCCCACGACCCCACAGGCATGGCCTGCAGCACTTCTTCTCCTGCCGAGGAATTGCCATGGCAGTGCAGTTTTTCTGGAACCGGGGACACCGAGAGGTCACTGTGTTTGTACCCACCTGGCAGCTGAAGAAGAACCGGAGGGTGAGAGGTGAGGTGTCCCCTGCCTGCCCAGCCTCCACAGTGTCACCAAGCTTTCTTCTCTCTGCCTTGCTGCCCCGACCCTCTGCCACCCCAGAGTGGCCATTTCCACTTAGCCCTCCCTTGACCATTTCTGTCTTCTGCCTTTCACCCCCAGAGAGCCACTTTCTGACGAAGCTACACTCGCTCAAGATGCTTTCAATCACACCCTCCCAGCTTGAGAATGGCAAGAAGATCACCACCTACGATTATAGGTGTGCCGGTCCCCAGGCCTGCCCTCCTGGGCTCAGGGAGTTGGGCCTGGCTGGTGTGTCAGGTGGAGTCCGGCCTGTCTTCTCTGGGGAAATGGAGGCAAACATGTTGGGGGTGTCGGTTGTGCAGAGGGTGGGGTGGAGCACGGGCATCTGTCAGCAGAGGGATGGGCACATTGAGGAAAGGGCTTGAGGTTGGCTCTCCCCAAGCCCGGAGTTGTTTCTGACTTTGGGACTCTGGAGTCCGTCTGCCTTAGCTAACAGGCATTCTTCCCCCATGACCTGTGAACATCAGAGAGGTTCCCCAGGGTTTTGGGTGCCCGTTTCGGTTGAGGCTCATGTCTCCAGACTGCTTTAGTCTTTTCCTCCCTCGGAGCCCCGGCACTGGTGGAGGTCTGTGCATGGCTGATGTGGATGGAGCCCTGGGCAGGGCTCTGGAAAAGGAGAGCCCTGAATGCCTAAACCCTGAATGCTTGCCTGCTTGTCAATCCTAAGCGCCCACCCCTCAGCATGGCTGCAGGACCTCTGTGCTCAGGGGAAGCCTGTGACCCTGCCTCTCTTAGGGCAGGGAAGGCCCTGGCATAGTCACTGGTCCTGGGTTGGAGTTGATGCTGGGCGGACAGAGATCTTGGTTTCACATAGGCAACTCTCATGCCAGGCAGGGAGAAGTTCTGTTTCTCCACACTCTTCCCAAGACCTGGCACCCAACCAGGCCTGGGAAGGGCTGGGCAGAGAACCTCACTCATCCCTCCTTGTAGAGCTGGTCCCCTCCATTGAGTCTTCAAGTGCCTTTAAGTTCAGGCGTGGGTTTGATGGAAGATGGCTTTTCCGCAGACCGTCCCTCTGCTGGGCACTTGAAGAGTAGCATGCTTTGGGGAGCCCGAATGGAAAGTTTCAGGGACTACTGAGAAGTAGGTAGCCTTTGCTTTCTTTCCTGGTCACAGCCCTCTTTAGAGGAGAGGTGATCCTTGGAAAAGTGGATTTGTTTATTCAGGTATGTGTGCTTATATGTGTTAGCGTATATATGTCTGTATGTCTTGGCATGTATATGAATATTATGCATTGGTGAAGCATTATAATGGAATATTTGTGTGTGTGCTGTGTGGCCGGCACTTACCTAGACACTTAAAAGTATTATCTCATTCAGTTTAATCCTCACAGCAACATGGGGTAGGTATTTTATCTCTGTTTTACAGATGCAAAAAACGGAAGCAGTAAATACACCTGTGTGAATGTGGACGAATGTGAGTTTCTGTGTCTGTGCTTGTCTATGTATGTGCCTATGCGTATAACAGGGGTGTGTGTTTGTATATACAGCTGGGAATGCGTGCATCCAAGGTCACCCTTGGATGACCTTGATCCCTATCAGTGATCTCACATGGCTGCATAGAGAAGGGGATGGGCTCGGGGGTCCTGGATTTCTGAGTAGGAAGGGCAGTGTCTTTGTCTGACACACCTCAATGTGAAGCTGCAAGTTTATTTTCCCAGATGACCCAGGAAGTGAGGGGGCTAGTTACTGGGTCATTAGTGACTTCCCCTCTCCCTGCAGGTTCATGGTAAAGCTGGCAGAGGAGACAGATGGCATCATTGTCACCAATGAGCAGATTCACATCCTGATGAATAGTTCCAAGAAACTGATGGTCAAAGATCGGTAAGATGGTCCCCAGAGGCTTGAGCCATTCCTTCCCCTTGGATGTCAGGCAGCCCCTGGCATGGGAGGGATTAGGGCTGGAAGAGAGGCCTTGGAGTAGTGCCCACCAGCACCTGCCAGGATGTGGGTCTCAGCGCCATGGAGAAGCCAGGCGACAACAGGGTGTGGGTGGGTCAAGGGCTCACAGTGACTGTGCCTCTTCTCCCCCTGGGCCCAGCTTGCTGCCTTTCACCTTTGCGGGGAATCTCTTCATGGTGCCTGATGACCCCCTGGGCCGTGATGGCCCCACCTTGGATGAGTTTCTGAAGAAGCCAAACAGGTAATAGGTCAGACCTCCCCAGCCTCCCAGGCCCTCCTGGGGCTGATCGGAAACTTCCCCTTAGTGTTGGCCAACATCTAGTGCGTAATAATGATCAGAGTGATCTGACTTTTTCATGTCTTTATACTTGTGCCACATGTTTATGTGTTCATAAACCACTTACAGTAGGTTTTAATACATATATGAAAGCACATATGTAGAATGTAGTTTTAACATTCTACATGCATCCTTCCAAACTGGCATTTGTGCTCAATGATTTATTAGTTTTTTCAGATGTATCCTATGCTAATTCATGTAGCTCTGTTTAATGGTCATATAGTGTTCCATTACATGAGTACCCAATAGATTTTTCTGTTTTCTTGTTGAGGGCCATTTGACCACTTCCATTATATGCTGTTGGGTCCGAGGCTGCAGTGAACAGCCTTGCTCTTATTCTTTGTATCCAAGGGAAGCTGTGTCTAGAGTATTCACCAAGTAGGATTTTTTTCTATGTTTATCGTCTCATTCGATCCTCACAACTTGAGTTATATGTAAATGACCACTGTCTTCATTTTATAGATGAGGAATCTGTGACTCAAGTGACTTTTCCAAGGTCACATTGCTGGTGCCAGCACAATTGGTTTGCAGTAACTTGGATCCTCTGCTGCCCACCTGCCAGTTCCCTAGGCCCAGCAGGGAACCTTTGTCAGGATCTTCTGGGCAGAGCTCTGCTTCCTGGGGCCAGATCCCCCAGTCTTACCTTGCCAATTTGGAAAAAAGTGATGTGGATGAGGTTTGTCTGCTGTGTCCTCACAAGCTCCTTGTCAGGCTCTCCTTCACTTTGGTGACACTGCCCCCCCTTTTCCAGGATTGCTCATCCTGGGTTAGGCTGGAAGCCGCCAGTCATCTCTTATCAAACCACTGGCTTACAGCTAGTTTAAATGTTACTTGGTCAGTGAAGTTTTGATTGGATGAGTCTTCAAGGCACAAATGAACCTCTAATACTGGGGGTCTGGCCCATGCATGAGGTAGAGGAAGTGTTTATAGGCAGGGGCCCAATTGTGCCTATGCCATGCAAGTTGTTGGCACTTGGCCCAGCCTCAGGACACTTTGGAATGGGGTTTCCACAGAGGTGCTTTCCCTTTGGAGGATTGCTCACGATGGGGCTGCCCTTCCCTCTTCCATCTGTTTTGGTGTAGGTTGGACACTGACATTGGCAACTTCCTGAAGGTGTGGAAGACCCTTCCTCCCAGCTCAGCCAGTGTCACTGAGCTGAGTGATGACGCTGACTCTGGGCCCCTGGAGAGTCTGCCGAATATGGAAGAAGTCAGGGAAGAGAAGGAGGAGAGGCAGGATGAGGAGCAGAGACAGGGGCAGGGCACACAGAAGGCGGCTGAGGAGGACGACCTTGACTCTTCGCTGGCGTCAGTGTTCAGGGTGGAGTGCCCGTCCCTTTCGGAGGAGATCCTGCGGTGCCTCAGCCTCCATGATCCCCCTGATGGGGCCCTGGACATCGACCTCCTGCCAGGGGCAGCTTCTCCCTACCTGGGCATCCCCTGGGATGGAAAGGCTCCCTGCCAGCAGGTTCTTGCCCACCTGGCCCAGCTCACCATCCCCAGCAACTTCACCGCACTCTCCTTCTTCATGGGCTTCATGGACTCCCACAGGGATGCCATCCCTGACTATGAAGCCCTAGTGGGCCCCCTGCACAGCCTCCTCAAGCAGAAGCCTGACTGGCAGTGGGACCAGGAGCATGAGGAGGCCTTCCTGGCCCTGAAGCGAGCCCTGGTGTCTGCCCTCTGCCTGATGGCCCCCAACTCCCAGCTGCCCTTCCGCCTGGAGGTGACCGTGAGCCACGTGGCCCTGACGGCCATCCTCCATCAGGAGCACTCAGGGAGGAAGCACCCCATAGCCTATACCTCAAAACCCCTCCTCCCTGATGAGGAGAGCCAGGGCCCCCAGTCAGGGGGTGACAGCCCCTATGCTGTGGCCTGGGCCCTCAAGCATTTTTCCCGCTGCATTGGAGACACCCCGGTGGTCCTGGACCTTTCCTATGCCTCCCGGACCACTGCGGACCCTGAGGTGCGGGAGGGCCGCAGGGTTTCCAAAGCTTGGTTGATCCGATGGTCCCTCTTGGTTCAGGACAAAGGCAAGAGGGCCCTGGAATTGGCCCTCCTCCAGGGCCTGCTGGGGGAGAACCGCCTGCTCACCCCCGCGGCCTCCATGCCTCGCTTCTTCCAGGTTCTGCCGCCTTTCTCTGACCTGTCCACGTTCGTCTGCATCCACATGTCGGGCTACTGCTTCTACCGTGAGGATGAGTGGTGTGCTGGCTTTGGTCTCTATGTTCTATCGCCCACCAGCCCCCCTGTCTCCCTTTCCTTCTCCTGCTCCCCTTACACGCCAACCTATGCCCACCTGGCAGCCGTGGCCTGCGGCCTGGAGCGCTTTGGCCAGTCCCCACTCCCAGTGGTTTTCCTCACTCACTGCAACTGGATCTTCAGCCTCCTGTGGGAGCTCCTGCCCCTCTGGAGGGCTCGGGGCTTCCTCTCCTCTGATGGGGCTCCACTCCCTCACCCAAGCCTGCTCTCCTACATTATATCCCTCACCTCTGGCCTCTCATCCCTTCCGTTTATCTACCGAACCTCCTACCGGGGCTCTCTGTTTGCTGTGACAGTGGACACCCTGGCCAAGCAGGGTGCCCAGGGGGGTGGGCAGTGGTGGAGTTTGCCAAAGGATGTGCCAGCCCCTACAGTGAGTCCCCATGCCATGGGCAAGAGGCCCAATTTGCTGGCATTACAGCTGAGTGACAGCACCCTGGCCGACATCATTGCCAGGCTGCAGGCTGGGCAGAAACTGTCTGGCTCCTCACCGTTTAGTTCTGCCTTTAACTCACTCAGCCTCGACAAGGAGAGTGGCCTGCTTATGTTCAAGGGAGATAAGAAGCCCAGGGTCTGGGTAGTCCCGACGCAACTCCGGAGGGATCTGATTTTCTCTGTGCATGACATTCCCTTGGGGGCCCACCAGAGGCCCGAAGAGACCTACAAGAAGTTGCGTTTGCTGGGGTGGTGGCCTGGGATGCAGGAGCATGTGAAAGATTACTGCAGGAGCTGCTTGTTCTGCATCCCCCGAAATCTCATAGGCAGCGAGTTGAAGGTTATTGAGTCCCCATGGCCCCTCAGGTCGACCGCCCCCTGGTCGAACCTGCAGATCGAGGTGGTGGGCCCGGTCACCATAAGTGAGGAGGGCCATAAGCATGTACTTATTGTGGCTGACCCAAACACCAGGTGGGTGGAGGCATTCCCCCTGAAGCCCTACACACACACGGCTGTGGCCCAGGTGCTGCTTCAGCATGTGTTTGCAAGGTGGGGTGTTCCTGTGAGGCTGGAGGCAGCCCAGGGGCCCCAGTTTGCCCGGCACGTCCTTGTGAGCTGTGGGCTGGCCCTGGGAGCCCAGGTGGCCTCCCTGAGTCGGGACCTCCAGTTCCCCTGCCTGACGAGCTCAGGGGCCTACTGGGAATTCAAGAGGGCCCTCAAGGAGTTCATCTTCCTGCATGGGAAGAAGTGGGCGGCCTCCCTGCCTTTGCTGCACCTGGCCTTCAGGGCCTCCTCCACTGATGCCACACCGTTCAAGGTCCTGACCGGGGGTGAGTCAAGGCTCACGGAGCCCCTGTGGTGGGAGATGAGCAGCGCAAACATTGAAGGGCTCAAGATGGACGTCTTCCTGCTACAGCTGGTGGGGGAGCTGCTGGAGCTCCACTGGAGGGTGGCTGACAAGGCGAGTGAAAAGGCCGAGAACAGGCGTTTCAAGCGGGAGAGCCAGGAGAAGGAGTGGAATGTGGGTGACCAGGTCCTTTTGCTGTCCCTCCCCAGGAATGGCAGCAGTGCCAAATGGGTGGGTCCCTTCTATATCGGGGACCGGCTGAGCCTGTCACTCTATAGGATATGGGGCTTCCCAACCCCAGAGAAGCTGGGGTGCATCTATCCCAGCAGTCTGATGAAGGCCTTTGCCAAGAGTGGCACCCCGCTGTCCTTCAAGGTCTTGGAGCAGTGAGCGGGAGCAGCGGGGGTGCCCCCTGCCCCAGGGCCGTGGGTTTCTGCTGCTAGGCCTCCCCCTGTCCCAGCAGTGCTCTCAGTCCACTGGGGGCCCTCAGTTGTGCCTTTTGTAGAGAACTTGCTTCATAAAGCTTTGCTGAATTGCCTTGAACTAGGGACCAGCATCCCCATGGAAACATCCCCAGTTTGGGGTACTTGGAGAATTTGCCAAAGGCTGTCAGATATGGGTCCCTGGCAGTTTTACACTGGGAAATGGAGTGCTCCTCTAGGCTATACCAGGCTCAGTGTCTTCTCCCCAAGTATCCTCTTTCCCCTTCACATGTAGGTGTGTGGTGGTGTGCACACACACTCACGAAAGAATCTATCTTGGCCATGAAACTGTGGCTGTTGACCTTGGAATTGGAACCACAGTCCTTTCCCATACAGAAACCCCAAATGTGGGCTCCTCCCTCCAACCTGTTCTTTTGGGGACCCTTTGCCCTTAGAGCTGTCACAGATGACATAAGCCTGGGCAGGCTGTGGGGAGGCCGCTGCCTCCTAGCCTCACGGTCAGCTTTCTCAAGCCAGGTGTGGCCTGCACAGCTCTCAGGGCAGGGCTGGCCATCCTCCCAGGCCTCAAGGGCAGTGTCTTGGAGTGGGAGGATGGCCAGCCACAAGCCACCAGCTTGTCAGCATGGGAAGGGCAAGGGGGAAATGGGTTGGCCTACCTCATTTGACTCCAGCCAATGGAGACAATTCCTGACCCCTGCTTTGATGGTGTTGACCCCACAGGAATCAAGGATCTTGATGCCAAGTGTGGCATCTCTATCTGAAGAGCTGCTTCTGTTAGACCCAGGGGCCCCGGCCTCTGTTTTAAGGGGGCAGGGCGTCTGCAACAGGAGTGGCACACGGTGAAGTGCTGGCATGGCTCTACCTCCCAACCCCTCCCAACCCCATCCCAAAGCCTACAGTCCTCTGCTCCTTCTACCTCCACTGTATCCTGCATCCCAGACCCTACAGATTGTGTGATTGCTTCATCTGTATCACCCCCCGAGTCCTGTGGACCTGCCTTCTGTGTAGAGCAAAACCCAGGCTCCCTCACAGCCATTCTTTGCAGAGATCACCCTTGCAGTGAGTGTGAGTTCCTTCCAGGTGTGTGCGCGTACACTCACCCTCTGAATTGCTGCCGCTGCCAAGGAAGTGGGCTCCAGGTGAAGGCCAGTGCCACGTCACTCTGGCTGGCCTTCTTAGTAGTTTCATTTCTCCGGAAGCTGAGCCAGTCTCCTGGTCTAGCCCAGGTTGCCAGAACGCTTGGCATTGCAGAGTGCTAGAGCCAGTGGAGAACTTGCCAACTTGATTGTTTTACAGCAGAGGAAAGAGGATCACAGAGGGAAAATGATTCACCCAAAGTCACACAGCAAGTTCATGGCTGAGCTGAGACCAGGATTAAGCTTCCTGACTCCCAGTTCACCATGAAAAGGGTTCTGGCAACAGGTTCAAGCTGGAGAATCCTTCAAAATGCTACACCCACATTCTCTCCAACTCTTCATCTCCCTGATCTTCCAGACAAACTACCTGGATGTTGCCCTTAAACCATTTCTAGCTGTTAACCCTGTCCAGAAAAATGATTGAGTGATAGCTGAGAAGTGGAAAGTGTGGGATTTTTGGCAGGTGCTCTCTTTCCTCCGCCCCCCGCGCCATTCTTTCTCTTCCTCCTCTCTGTAATGGTATGTCCAGCCTCACTCTCCCTCCCTGGTGCTGTATGCGTTCCCCCTGTTAGCTACATTTGTGATCACATACCCTTCTTTTAAGTGAATTTTTTTCATTTGATTTGTCAATAAACGAATCAAACTGGAGCTGATGTCCAGTTCTTTGTTTAGCTTCAGTCTCAATTGTGGGAATGAGGAGTGTGGGGCAGTCATGGGGTATGGCTGCTATATGTTTCCCAGATAAACTTGCAGATTTGAAGAAAAGTACCTTTTCCAGACCATCTGCCCCAAGCTCTTACTGTACAGATGAAGAGACCAGGGCCCAGAGGGTGATATGCTTAAGGCTCCATAGCTGCTTCATGGCAGGGCTGGAAGGAGAGTCCCACCTCTGGGCTTCCAAGCTGGTACCCTTGGCAGTTAATGTCTTGGAAGTGGGCAGGGTTGGAATGAAAACGAGTGATGAGGCAGGGCACGGTGGCTCATGCCTGTTATTCCAGCACTTTGGGAGGCCGAGGTGGGTGGATCTCTTGAGGCCAGGAATTCAAGACCAGCCTGGCCAACATGGCGAAACCCCCTCTCTACTAAAAATACAAAAATCAGCTGGGTGTGGTGTCAGGCACCTGTAAACTCGGGAGGCTGAGGCAGGAGAATTGCTTGGACCCGGGAGGCGGAGGTTGCAGTGAGCTGAGATCACACCACTGCACTCCAGCCTGGGTGACAGAGTGAGACTCCATCTCAAAAAGAAAAGAGAAAGAAGGAAAGAAGGAAAGAAGGAAAGAAGGAAAGAAAGAAAGAAGGAAAGAAGGAAGGAAGGAAGGAAGGAAGGGAGGAATGAAAGAAAGAAAATAAATGAATGATGAGAGAATGGTGTTAGTGCTGAACCAGCTTCATTTTACTGGAAAAATTATAGACCTAGGTTTGCATCTATATTTGCTACCTATGCAGGCTGTTTCCTGAGGTCTCAGTTTCCCCATCTATAAAACACAGGGTAACAATTCCTAATTTATGAGATGGTTCAAGGATTACATGAAATAATCTGTTTGAAGAGGCCAGTATGGCTTGGGATGGAATAGCATTCATCATATGTAGCTAACATTACTCTTCTTCCTGCCCTGGGAACTCTTGCTGGTCTCTCCCCTCAGGATCAGAGACCTTCTTAACCCAGGCCAAGCTTCGTGACTTTAGGCCTTTGCTTTTTGCTGCCTTTCTCACTTGCCCGGGGTTCTGCTCAGCACTGGCTGGCGTACGGGTTGGGGTGGGAACCATCCTTCCTGAGAACTCCCCAGCTCCTGTGCATACCATTGTTCATTCAGTATTTATAGGACACCTGCTATGTGCCAGGCTCTGCCTAGGTGTGGGATGGCTAACAGGTAACAGGAGTGACACGGTCTCTGCCTCTTTGCAGCCCACAGTCAGGTGAGGGAGACAGACAATCCAACAAACAAATACAGTTCAGGGTGGTAAGGGAAACAATGTGGCCTAGGAGCCCATGGTGCAGGGGCCTGGGGTCTCAGCCCACATGACAGTCAGAGAAGCCTTGCCTGAGCCCCTTCACCAAAAGTAATAGGATTTTGCCAAGCCACCTTTCCAGTCAGCCTTCCACTTTAGAGTGCTGACCCTTTCCATTGCTGACCTGTACTACAAACAATTTATTACTTTTGGTTATTACTTTTTACTCTAGATAACTTTAAGCAAGAATCAGATTTTACTCACGCTGGCTTCTAAGTCCTCTGACAGTGAGGTTTTTCTTCTTTGCTGTTCAACAATCTACCAGGTCTGAACAGAAGTTTGAGATTCCTCCTATTTTTGGAGGGGTGAATTAAAGAGTTTTGTCCATGGTAAAGCACCATGGACGCTCTAGGCAACCAGTCACTGCTTCTCTGGTTTACACCATCACAATTATTCCTTCTTATTTGGGCCCTGGCAGGAGGGCTTCCCCAAGTCTCTAACAGAGAAATTACAAAGTTGCCAGTATCCAGACAATCCCATGACATAAGCAAACAATAAAAATAAAGAATATTCCTATCCCGTGCCCCTGTTAAAACTTACATAAGCTATCTGGTGAAGTTGGGTCCACCTAAGCCTTGCTATACCATGCTTTCCTAGCAAGTATTTACTAAGTCCATGTGTTCATGAATGAAAGTGAACATACCTGGAAGACAAAAGCTTTGTAACAGGTAAATGGCTACAACAAATAAAAAATCCTACCTGCTTTTAAAAGACTGTCCAAGAATCCCTGGGACAGGTCCAATTTTTAACTTGTTTACTAAGTCATCTGATAACAGTAACTTACATATACTGAGTACTTGCTCTGTGTTGGGTACTGTTCTAAGTGCTTTCCAACCCTGTGGGGTGCATACAATTAGTATCTCCATTTTATAGGTGGAAGAAAATGAGGCACGGAGAGGTGAAGTAACTCACTGAAAGTCATGTACAACCACTGAGAGGCTGGATTTGAGCACTGACTCCTGTGCTCACCTTCTTTTCTTTTCTTTTTTCTTTTCTTTTTGTCTTTTCTTTTCTTTTTTTTTTTTTTTTGCAACAGAGTTTTGCTCTTGTTGCCCAGGCTGGAGTGCAGTGGCACGATCTCGGCTCACTGCAACTTCCGCCTCCCGGGTTCCAGGGAGTCTCATGCCTCAGCCTCCTGAGTAGCTGGGATTACAGGCGTCTGCCACCACGCCTGGCTAATTTTTGTACTTTTAGTAGAGACAGGGTTTCACCACGTTGGCCAGGCTGGTCTCGAACTCCTGACCTCAGGTGATCCACCTGCCTCGGTCTCCCAAAGTGCTGGGATTACAGGCATGAGCCACCGTGCCCAGCCTCTGTGCTCACCATCTTAACCACCATACTACTGCTTCTGACACAAGTGCATTCATTTTGTTGTTAGAATTAGTCTCCCCTCGCTTAATCTGTGGTCTCTCCATCTGTTATTAATGCACTACATAGAGTCCGCTAAGATGTCTCCATTAAAGTTTGGTCCTCAGTAAGATGATTCACAAACTAAAATGGATTTACCTCCGTTGGGTCCAAGAACTATTCTCTTGGTCCTGATAAGTTTTGACTGAAATGCTGTACTCTCTTTTTCCAAAGAGTGCCATTTCCCCTCAGCTAATAAGTGGTGATATTTCTTAGGTCTGTACATTCTTGCAGATGGTGAAAAATGAAGTAGTGGAGATTCTGGGAGCTGAATTGTGAGGGATCTCGAAAACCATGTTAAGAAATATGGATTTCATTCTGAGGCCCACCTGGAGCCCCCAGAGGGCCTTAGGCAGTGAAGTTTATTTACACAGATCACTAAGGCTACCGCAGTCTGGAGAATTGAAGGGAAACCACAGGACCAGTTAGGAAACCACAGGACCAGTTAGGAGGCTTTCATAGAAATCTAGCTAAAAGATTGTTAGTTTGAGCCAGGGCAGACGGAAAGAAACGAATGGAACTGATGGATGTGAATGACTAGATATGAGGGTTATGGGAGAGGGAAGAATTAAGGATAATGGCCATTTTTGGTTTGGGCAACAGGGAAGTTCCGTTTACAGATATAGAGAACAAGGGCGAGAGAACAGATTTAGGGAGGAAAGACTATAATTTCAGGTTTTAGCGTGTAGACTTGAAAGTGGAATATTCAATGTATGAGTCTGAGTTTCAGAAAGGGCGATCCTGGATAGAGATAACATTGTCAGCATATGGATGGTCATTTGTGCCTTTGAGAGTGTCTTAGGACCAAAGAATGCTAGGGCAGAACCTTGATGAAAATCAGCACTTAAGAGATGCAGGGCACAGGCAGAGAGGTGGAGGAAAACCAGGGAGCGTACAGTCAGGGAAGTCGGGGCAGAGTGCTTCTAGAAGGAGGGTATAGTCAGCAGGGTCAAATGTTAGAGACAGACTGAGTGACAGGAGGACTAGGAAGTGTTCACCAGCTTCAGTAACACGGAAGTTATGAGCCATGGCTGAGGGCAGTTCAGGTGGAGCAGTGGAGGCCATAGTTCACCGGTGATTACGAGGTGTGCAAATCGAGAGTGTAGACATTTGTACTACAATATTTTGCTTTAAGGAGGAGATGAGCTGACGCCAACTACCTGCAGGAATAGATAGAGCTGAGGATAACTATACCTATATCTACAACTACTTCCATGCCTATCTTCTCTTAGATTTAAGAGACTTGAGCTCCTAAACTTTAAGAGCTGCTGAAGGGAAGGAGTGAGTAGAAAGGAGAGTGACAGATGACAGGATGTCTGGAGGAAACTGGATCCAAGACTGGTGGATGAGGATAGCAGCCTTGACAGGAGGAGGAACTCGTCTCCCACCGAGACAGGCAGGAGGAAGCAGAGATGGGGAGGAAGGTGAGTTTGTAAGTGTGGTGGTGGGCAGGGTCCTGCTTGGAGTTTCTGTGTTCTCAGTGAGGTGGAAGGTGAGGCTGTCTGCCGCTGACCATGGGCCATGGGAGCAGAACTGGTGGGGCAAAAGGCTTAAGGAGGGAACAGAAGCTGGCAGTGGATTCTGGGGAAGATGAGGGGCAGCTGGCAAAGGAAACCAGTGAAGAGTTAGAGGATTGAGGATTATAGGATTGAGGACCAGATGTGGCTGGAGGCCATGGATTTAGATCCACATTGAATCCTTCATCAGTGGGACTTCTCTGTAGGAATCAGCTGCCAGGGCATGGGCATAGGGAAGGTGAATAGTTGGAGTCTGTTGTTAGGATCCTTAAAGTCTGAGGAGCTTTTGGTACCTGGAGAGGACCACACACCATCACCTGTGCTTTATTTATTGTTTAATCTATTCACAAACCTACTGAAGGAAAAATTGTCTAAATATTTGAACACGATTTCTATAACCAGCAAATCAAAATCTATACATTTAACAAGTTAAATGATTTAAACGTTGATTAAAAACAATCAAATCCTCCTAAATATTTCAACTGAATCACTAATATGTCAGTTTCTCTAAAAGCTTCATTTTGGTAAGGGACACATACCATTATAAGGATTATAAAGTTTATAACACCTATGCTTAAATCCACTATAAAAATGGGTGGTAGACCTGAGAGACATTATCTCAGCTCAGGGCAATTTTTGAATTTAGATATCTAAAATAAAAATATATCTCAATGTAGATCAAGTTTTGGATTATTAATCAATGAATTTTTGGTTGGGACCTGGGAATTGGTTCACCTTCTAAAATGATTAAAATCTGAGCTGGTATTTATCTTGTATATATCATGGGAAATTTTCAAGCCCATACGTTTTCCATGCAGTGGTATTGTAGCTGCATGCCTTTTCTCTACATGATGCCATCTTTGAGTTTAGTGACTCTGATATGCAGATGTCCTGAAGATGTCCATGCCTTAATCCCTGGAACCTGTGAATATGTTATGTTACATGGCAAAACGAACTTCAAATATGCAATTCAGGTTGTGGACCTTAAAATAGGGAGATTATCCTGGCTTATCTGGGTGGGCCTAATCACACGAGTCCCTAAACTCAGAGAACTTTCTACACTGAAGTCAGAGAGATGTGGTAGAAAGGTAGGCCTGAGAGATTTAAAGTGTGAGAAGGACTTGGCTTGCAGTTGTTGGCTTGAGAATGGAGGGGGCTAGGACCTAAGTCCTACAACCGTAAGGAACTGAACTTTAAATGAGTTTAGAAGTGGATTCTTCCCCTCCAGTAAGGAAGGCTGCCCTGCTTATACTTTGCTTTTGATCTTGTGAAACCCTGAGCAGAGAAGCCAGTCACGTTTTGTTGGACTTCTGACCCACAGAAACTGTGAGGTAATAAACAGTTGTTTTAAGCCACCAAGTTGGTAGTACTTTGTGGCCAGATGTGGTAGCTCACACCTGTAATCAGATCACGTGAGGCCAGGAGTTTGATACCAGCCTGGACAACATGGCGAAACCCCATCTTTACTAAAAATACAAAAAATTAGCTGGGTGTGGTGGCTCGCACCTGTAATCCCAGCTACTCGGGAGGCTGAGGCATGAGCATTGCTTGAACCCAGGAGGTGGAGGTTGCAGTGAGCTGAAATTGCACCACTGCACTCCGGCCTGGTCGACAGAGCATGACTCTGCCTCAAAAAACAACAATAAAAAACAACTTCTAGTTGTCTTCCCCAATAGCTAATTTCCCCTTCTTCCTTGTTATAAAACTCCCAACTTCTGGCTGGACATGGCTGCCTGGAATAAACACTGTAGCTCCTAGCCAAGCTCCCTGGCTTGGTGAGCCCGGGTGACTAAATTCTACTGAGACACAATCAGAAATATTGGTGCATATTTCAGAAAGCTTCTTTCAAGGAAAGAGATGTGTTGTTTCTTCCTTCCTCCTTCCTGTTAGGCTGATGTAATGTCTGGAGCTCAGGGAGCCGTCTTGGGTCATGAGGTGGCAAGCTAAGGATGGTAGAACAAGACAGAAGACTGGGCTTTCAAATGATCATAAGGCTGCCATCCATCCCTGGACTCTTATTTACAGATTTTTCTATGTGAGACAAAAATGATTTCCTATTTTGTTTAAGCTATTCTTATTTTGGGTTTTACTGTTACAGCCAAACCTACTCTTAATCATTTTGCCTAATTAATATCTCATTATAATTAGTGGGGTAATACAGAGGATCCATTTTCTAGGAGATGAACGATCAAGCCTGAGCAGTGAACAGTTGTCTTTTGGACATCTGACTAATCCATTGTCTTATAACACGCCATTGGACTGTTTTTCTTCTTAGTTGCAAAATATACTCAAATAGTTCCACCAGTATCTTTCATTCTTGGCACAGTGCCAGATCTTCTTGGAATTATTCACAGTTCTCTGTACTCACCCCTCCCTACTTACATAGATAAAGAAAAACAAATGTACCTTGCAAATAGACAAAATGCCTACTATATTTATGTTCTTGTACTTATCACGACTCACTAAAAATAGCCTATATTCACTCTTCTTCACTCAGCATATTAACTACTTTTTGTCACACTTTATAGTGACTTCTTCCTTTTTGAATATCATTGCAGGTACATGGATTTAAAAAATTCACCTTGTTCCAATTAACTGTATTATTTTCCTTTTGATAATCAAATTGTCAAAGCATGTCAAGTGGGAGCTTCTTTAAATTGATTCCTTTGCCTTTTCAGCTTTACTTTATACATTTAAAAAGTATCTTTGCTTTCTGTCATCAACAACATGTTCTGGGCCTGGAGTTACTTAAGGTGTGCAGCTATTCTCCAAGGAACCTGAGGGTTTTTGGTATTTTTTTTTAATGGTGACTAATATCTGAAGCAAAGATCCAGTTTCTAAGAATGGATATCAGATTGTTCCTGATGTTGTTTTTAGGATTAGTGACAGTTCAAAAAGTTATTTCTTTTCAAAACCACAAATTCACCTTGGTATTTCCTATTTAACTCAAACATTATTCAACTTTTAAAATGTAATTTTAGTATACAGTTTGATATTTATTTTCCTCTGCAACATACCTACTTGTACCTGTAACACCCGATCCAAACTCCAGAGGCATCTTCTCCTTAGTAATTCTATAGTGTCTCACTGACCACCATTCTCTAGTTGTTTTATTGATAGATTCATCCAGGCTGGGCCAATGGGACAGCGGGATAAGAAAGAGAGAGGGAGGGTTTAGCATACTGGCAGGAGAGGGTCTGAAGGAATGAATCATGGAATCCCAGGTAATAGGAAGCCTAAGGAGGAGAATAAGACAGCACAGATCAGGAGAAAGAGAGATAGTGGGGATATGCTGGAACAGGTACAGTGAAGATAACTCAGTGAGAGAGCTGGGAGGAAGGAGGCAGCAGTCAGAGTGTGGAGGGACTAAAGTTCAAACTTCAAAGGTGGAGCAGTTTCAGGAGGTGGCCAAGCAAGAGGATGCATGGTTATCGATGTTTTCCATGGTCCACTTCCAGCTCTGTATACCTGCTCTCAGCTCTGCTCTCAGCCAGAGCAAACACACTCACCCTAATCTCAGGTGGGGAGGTAAGGGCCAGAGTCCATCTGGGATCCAGCATAGAAGGACAGCCAGGATTGCTACCTGCTGGCTGCTCTGCTATACATGCAGAATGTGTACCATGTTCAGTCTAGACAATACACCCTCCTTCCTTCCTCACCAGCCACAGACTCCAGGCCCTTCCCACCCTTCTGCCTGTGGCTGAGCCTCCCACCCTAGCCCATACGGTGCTGGTTCAGCTTCTGACGGTGCTGGCTGAGATCCGTGATGCTGGCTTTCCTCACAGGAAGAAGCCTGCAGGGTACGCTGAGGCTTGTCCATCTGGGCTCCTGTGGGGGCCTGTCAGGCTCACCTGCGCCACCTGTCCCTGATCAGCATTGAGCAGGAAGCTGGGGTGGGGGAACCGGAGGAGCAGAGGCCGCAAAGTAGTGCAGATCTTCCTTCTTGCCAAACCTTGCCCTGATCCTAGGGCTGCAGGCAGGAACAGATGCAGCAGGTGGCTGGGAGGGTAACTGGGGGTGGGTGGGTGGAAAGGCCTGGTCTGGAGATGCCACAGCTCTACTCTTCTCTTAAACTTGGGTGTTTGGCACAGGGTCCCATGCAAAGAGGTGGGATAGGAGCCAGAGGGAGTCTCTCTCCTGCCTCTGCTGTTTCTGGGGCAAGAGAGGGCAGAAGAAAGTTGTCAGGGGCTGGATTCTTGTGCTTGAAAGACTTGGGTCCTCAGAGAGGGAAGATGAGGAAGCCAGAGAAACTTGAGTATTTCCAACCACCCAGTAGATTCCCCCGACGCAGGCGCAGAGACACTCGGTCCCCAGGGTCCAAGGGCAGTAGCACAGAGCTGGTGGCTGCCTCCCGGGTCACGTCAGGATCATTGGCAAAGGCTGAGATGACAGGCCACGTGTTCAGCATCAGGCTCACCTGGGGAGGGGAGCCCAGTTAGCCCCCATTCCCCAGCCCTTAGCTCAGGACCCCCCACTTTCCCAGGAGCTTCCTCTTGGGAAGCTGGGTTTTAATGGGCTCTCCCGGGAGGGCTGAGGGGCGGCCAGCATTGGACTCTGCACATCCTCCACACTCAATGCAAGGCAGGCCCATTCCTCCCCTGGTCCTGGCCTCCAGGACACAGGTCAATGGAGAGTCCACCCGGAGGTCAGCTGGGCTCCCCTTCTTCCCCCTCCCCACCCTCCTGAGCCGGGGATGGGGGCCAGTGCTGAGGTCACCTGGACAGTTTGGCGGTTGTACACCTTCACCACATGGAACCGGAAGCTGTAGACACCCCGGACAGGGGCTACGAAGGAGCCAGAGGCCCGGTCAAAGCCACCGCCCTCGTTCACCAGGACCTGGGGGAAGCAGAGCCTGCTGAGTGGGGCTCAGGAAATGCCCATGGCTCAGGGGTACCATGGGGACTAGGGGCAGGGGCAGTGAGTAATGAATAGAAGGAGTGGCAAGTAGGAGTGAATAGGAGTGAACAGATTCAAAAGAAATGGTGAGAAGGGGCAAGGAGAGGGCTGCGTATGGGTGGAGGGAGGGGAAACCGTCGGTGGGGTGGTGGGGCAATAGGCCAGATTAGTGAAAGATGTAGGAAGCTGTTTTCTTAAAGCCTCAGAGACAGCAAAGTGGGCTTGGACAGTTGCTTCCAGGTCCTTGCAGGGTCTTTCCAGGTCCCCTGGACAGGGGTAGGGGGATTACCTGGTCGAAGTAGATGGCCCCACTGGTGCCATTGCCGGTTTCCCCTGCTGGCTCATGGTGGTGGCTTCGGACCGCAGCAAATGCCACTCGCCCAGGGGGTGCCTCTCCCAGGGCTGCTCCCCCGGGCCCCCCTGCAGCAGCTCGGCCAGGCTCACAGACCACCAGGCACTCCCCCTCCAGCAGGACGGGCTCTGACCCCTCCTGGGCCCACCCGGCCCCCAGGGCCAGAAGCACCAGAACCAAGGGCAGCCCGGGACTGTGTAGGGGACCTGGTAGCCAGTGTGGCTTGGCTCCCAACATGGCTGAGGGGCTCTGCAACCCACAAGTGCCCCGGTCTTCTGCCCCTCTTCTGTTTCCGCTCCTCTCCCTGGATTCTCACCGCCGGCACCCTGATCGTCTGCCCTCTCTAGGCTCGCTGAACCCCCTCTCCATACCTGTGTCCCAGCTCTGTCCTGCCTCCCACTCTTACTCCTGCTGTCACTGCAGTTCCCTCCTCCTTGGCAGAGCATGCAGTGACAGCAGTTGGGCTTTGGGAGAGAAAGGAGGGATGAAGCCGCCTGCCCACTGGACGGGAGGGCTGCAGCCAGAGCTTCAGGGCAGCCCTGCTGGATGGGACAGCACTGAGGGCTGGACCTGGGGGGATGGAGAACATGGTATGTGTGTGTGACGGGTGTGACAGAATGTGTGAGTGTGTGCATATGCCAGAGGCAGCCCCTCAACCCCTTCCTCCTACTCTTCCTCTCTTCAAAATCCCCCACAAATCAACAGCCCTTCTTCGTGGCATCTTTCCGTTTGTTGGAAGAAAGGGGTACTCCACCACGGGTACCCTCCGCCTCCCGCCTCCCGCCTACCCCCTCCGCCACGATTGCTTTGGTGGAAAGTGCTTGGGCCTAGAGCACCAGTGGGCCAGTCACGCTGCCTCTTTGGTCGGCCACATCTTTATTCGCGGGAAACAACTTTCAACGCATGGTTCCCCTTTCCGAGAAGTAACTGCGCAGAATGCGCGAGGACCCTGAGGGCCGGGAGACAGACGGGAGGGCTGGTGAGAAGCGCAAGGGGCGAGCCCTGGAGCCGCCGAGGGGACTAGGCCGAGCGGGCCCGTCGGGGCCTCTGGGCGCGGCGGCGGGGTTGGGAGGAGGGCGCGCAGCCGGGAGGAGCTGGGCTGACTCCGCCCCAGGCCAGGAAGTGACTCAAGAAACAGTTTGCGTGCGATGTGGACAAGAGAGGTCCCCGCTGGGTGAGGAACCCGGGAAGGCCCGCCCAGATTCGGGCCCCCTGCCCTTGTCCCCTGGGCTGGGGGCGCGGGCAAAGCGGGGGCCTGGCGGGCGCTGAGAGGACCTGAAGCCGGCGCGGGCGGCGGAGGCGGTAGGCGCGCCCCTCCACCGCGCCCGGGAGCGGGGAGCGGGGGCCGCGGTGCGGAGTAGGCCCGGCCCGGGGTGGCTGCCCCAGTCCGCGGTGGGCGGGCCCGGCCCGGCCCGGCCCCTGGGCCCTGGGCGGTGCTCCTGGCCCGACGGAGAGGGGCAGCGGACGGCTGGGGGAGGGGTGGGAGTGGCTTGAACCTTGGAAATGGCAGACCAGGGCCCCCAGAGGACAGCCTAGTTCAATCCCCTGCTGAGGATTCGTCCTTAAGAAGCTTCAGAGTGCCCCAGGAGACTCCTTCTGGCCTCCAGGCCGAGCTGGAGCCCCCCCACCCTTCTTGCTCCGGACTGTGGTCATCCTTTTCCAAAGCCCAGACGCCCACTCTCGATAGACAGCCTTGTTTACCGGGACTTCCTCTCCGGAGAGGCCTGCGTGACATACACCCTCCCTACCTCCAGTGGACTCAGATGCTTGTCACCTCCTGGGGCTGTTTACCAGAGCCTTAACTAGGTGCGACCTGTTGATAGCTGGTGTAGTCCCAGGAACCAGGATTTGGATGGAGGGTACAATGAGGCTCTGAGCTGCCTTCTCCCCTTCCAGGGCTGGGGGCAGCAGCCATGCCTACCTGGGGGGCCCGCCCCGCGTCCCCAGATCGCTTTGCGGTGTCTGCGGAGGCTGAGAACAAGGTTCGGGAACAGCAGCCCCATGTGGAGCGCATCTTCAGCGTGGGGGTGAGCGTCCTTCCGAAGGACTGTCCGGACAACCCCCACATCTGGCTGCAGCTGGAGGGCCCCAAGGAAAACGCCAGCAGAGCCAAGGTGAACGCCTTCTCTCCCCCATCCCTCCAGGCACCAAGGACGCTTTCCCCCAGGGCGGAGGAGAGCAGGGCCGAGGAGAGCAGGGAAGAGGAGGGGCCTGGGGAGGATCTCCACTTCTTGGTTGTCTCACTGGCAACCTCAGTGCCCCTGAGTTTTGAGGGACTTTCCAACTCTATATTTGTTTTCAGTTTCAGCTTAATTTCTTCTGTGATGGCCCAGGCTGGCAAAAATCATTCTGTGCTCTTTGGGAGAATAGAGATATCTGGCTGAACAAGTTGGCCCCACCAAGGAATGCACTGTGGGGTGGGAGGCTGGGCCACATTGCTTCCTTTGGGATTAGGCTGGGGTTCCAGGATGGCTCAATCATGTACCAGCTTTGTGATGGGAGTCTCAGTTTCCTTATCTCTAAAATGGGAATAACATCATGTGGATACTCCAGACATCCTGGAGCTCAGGAGCGAGCAAGGAGCCAGGAGGGGTGATCTGGGCCAGTTAGTTTACTTTTCCTGACCTTCCCTTCCTCCCAACCAGGAGTACCTGAAGGGCCTCTGCAGCCCAGAACTGCAGGATGAAATCCACTACCCGCCCAAACTGCACTGCATCTTTCTGGGAGCCCAGGGCTTCTTCCTTGACTGCCTGGCCTGGAGCACGTCAGCCCATCTGGTGCCCAGGGCGCCAGGCTCACTGATGATCAGTGGCCTGACTGAAGCCTTTGTCATGGCTCAGAGCCGGGTAGAAGAGCTGGCAGAGCGGCTGAGCTGGGACTTCACGCCAGGACCATCTTCCGGAGCCTCTCAGTGTACTGGAGTGCTGAGAGACTTCTCTGCCCTGCTGCAGTCCCCGGGGGATGCCCATAGAGAGGCTCTGTTGCAGTTGCCCCTGGCTGTCCAGGAGGAGCTGCTGAGTCTGGTGCAGGAGGCGTCTAGTGGGCAGGGGCCAGGAGCACTGGCTTCTTGGGAGGGGCGGAGCTCAGCCTTGCTGGGTGCTCAGTGCCAAGGAGTGAGAGCTCCCCCTAGTGACGGCAGGGAGTCCCTGGACACTGGATCTATGGGACCCGGAGATTGCAGGGGAGCAAGGGGAGACACTTACGCTGTGGAGAAGGAGGGAGGGAAACAGGGTGGTCCCAGGGAGATGGATTGGGGGTGGAAGGAGTTGCCTGGGGAAGAGGCGTGGGAGAGAGAAGTGGCCCTCAGGCCACAGTCAGTGGGTGGAGGGGCAAGGGAGTCAGCACCCCTGAAAGGGAAGGCCCTGGGGAAGGAGGAGATAGCTCTGGGAGGAGGAGGGTTCTGTGTCCACCGTGAGCCTCCCGGTGCCCATGGCTCCTGTCACAGGGCAGCTCAGTCCCGAGGAGCCTCCCTCCTCCAGCGGCTCCACAATGGGAATGCCTCTCCTCCGAGGGTGCCCAGCCCTCCACCTGCACCGGAACCCCCATGGCACTGTGGAGACCGGGGTGACTGCGGAGACCGGGGAGACGTGGGGGACAGGGGAGACAAGCAGCAGGGCATGGCACGGGGTCGGGGGCCTCAATGGAAACGAGGCGCCCGAGGGGGCAACTTGGTGACTGGCACACAGCGTTTCAAGGAGGCCCTGCAGGATCCTTTCACCCTGTGCCTTGCCAATGTGCCTGGCCAGCCAGACCTCCGCCATATTGTCATTGACGGCAGCAACGTGGCCATGGTGTGAGTACCTGGTGGGGCTAAGGGCCTAGGAGAGGGAGGATATGTCCTGAGGGGCTGGCATTGTAGCCAGGGTGCCAAGCCCCTCCTCTGGCCGACCCCCTCCCACTACAGGCATGGCCTCCAGCACTACTTCTCCAGCCGGGGCATTGCCATTGCTGTGCAGTACTTCTGGGACCGTGGTCACCGTGACATAACTGTCTTTGTGCCTCAGTGGCGCTTCAGTAAGGATGCCAAAGTCAGAGGTGAGTTGGGCCTGGTCTTCAGTGTCCCAGGATAGGCTCTGTTTCCACTTTGAGGAGAACCCTATTATGTTCTTTTTCAATAGAGAGTCACTTCCTGCAAAAGCTGTATTCCCTCAGCCTGCTCTCCCTCACACCCTCACGAGTCATGGATGGCAAGAGGATCTCCTCCTATGATGACAGGTACTTGCTCCTCTCCTGGCCCCAGGCTTGATATTGAAGGAGCCCTATGGAAGACTGAGGGAGAGAGAAAAGCTCCTGGTGGTTTACGCTGTTTCTAAGCCTTGGTGGTGGGTAAGGGGCCAGTTATTCCTCTGTGTGCCTTATGATTGGGTAGGTAAACCTGCCCTGCAGGTGTGATGAGATGAACTGTAGACAACCATGTTTGTCTATTCATCATTCATCAAACAAAATGATACCTTGTATTTATATAGTGCCTTACTGTCTAGAAAATACTGGTTTAGTGGAAAGGTGGGAAAGCTGGTTACATAAGTAGCTGACAGATGTCTTCTTATAACCTGAATTTCCAAACATGCAGAGAAATTTCCCTAACATTCTGGAAAAACCAGAGTAAAGGTCAAAATAACAAGTAAAATGGAGAAACACAACGCATGAATAATAGGACTGTACAAAACATGGTATAATAGAAAGATCACTGGATTTAGAATTGGAAGATCTGAATTTGAGCCTCAAGTAGCACTACTCATTGACTTTGACTGTGGAACTTTTCTTAGTGAATTAACCTCTTTGTCTCAGGGTCCTCCTCCATTCATTTACCCTCCTTGTGAATATACGAAAAAGATAAGGTATGTGCTTGCCTTGCTCAAGGTGCTAGGCAAGAGTACAGTGACATTCCATCCTAACTTTGCACAGACCTACTCAAGTGTGGCAGCGGGTATATCTCCAATCTACAGTCGTGGAGACAGAGGGTCAGAGTGGTTACCTGTCTTAGCAAAGGGGAATTAGACCTCAAAGCTGCCAGATGGTTTGAATGAAAATACAAGGCACACTTCTACCATAGTCTGCCTAGGTGGTGTGAGAAATGAGCAGATTTTAGAAAGCCAAGTTAAAAAATTTACAAGTTCTTTATTCTCTAGGACATTATACAGTTTTTAAAAATTAGTTTTTCCAAACCATAGTGATTATATACTTTGTCTTTTCAAACACTTACCTTCTATTCCTTAACAAGCAAATGGTATTCTACAAAAAAGCAGTTTACGTTCTCCCAATGTTATTCTATTTATATCTAGATGTCACAGATTACCCAAGATATGGAATCTTCTTTCCACACCTGCATTGAAACAGAATTGAAACTGAAGATTGAGTTCGTTTTAATGAATGTTAAAGGCATGTGTCTGCCCAGTTGTGTGGGACCTGGTTGGCAGATAACATAATATAAATTGGGAATTCGCCCAGTAACAGTGAATAAGCACAGTGGTACACAGCGTAGGCATACGGAATGAATGTTGCTGAACAACATACTGTGTAATGCGATCATAGTAAAATATGCTTAACTGGAAAATACCATTTGCATACCATAAGTGTACCATATAATTTTTTTTTGGTTTGTTTTTGAGACGGAGCCTTGCTCTGTCGCCACGCTGGAGTGCAGTGGCACGATCTCGGCTCACTGCAACCTCTGCCTCCCAGGTTCAAGTGATTCCCTTACCTCAGCCTCCCGAGTAGCTGGGACTTCAGGTGCATGCCACCGTGCCCAGCTAACTTTTTGCATTTTAGTAGAGATGGGGTTTCACCATGTTGGCCAGGGTGGTCTTGATTTCCTGACCTCATGATCCGCCCACCTCAGCCTCCCAAAGTGCTGGGATTACAGGCGTGAGCCACCAAGCCCGGCCATAGACATTTGTATGTCATTCCCTTAATTTGTTTCCCAGACAGAAGCTCAGAGCCTGATATCTGTCACACCTAATCCTGACTCCCAGTTCCCCCTATACCACACTATCTTTCAAATACTGACTGCTCACTTAGTACTAGGTGCATGGCCTGCAGGAGGAGGTGGGAACACTGGGAACAAGATCTGATTCTTGACTAGAGAGCCGAAAGAAACCATAAATCAAACACTACAGGAACTCAGAGGGAAAGGAGCCCCATTCTGGCTGGGGTTTTGTGGGAAAGGAGAGATTTGTGAGTTTTTGTGTTGAGAAGACTGGGATGGGTTGGATCTCTGTTTCTAAATCTGTTAAAAAGACCACCACCCATCACTTCATGAGTCCTACCCTGTCTTGTGGAATCAGAATTACTGAATGGAGCCCAGGCATTTTTTAAAAAAGTTCCCTTGGTAATTCTGTTCCTTAGCAAGTCTTGGGAAGTGCCTTCCAGATAGAGGAAATAGTTGGAGAAATATGGAAGTCAGCATAAGACATATGTGGAGAGCAGAGTGTAATCTGATTATTGATTTTAGCTGGAGTTGAGAGTGGGTTAGGGAATATTGGGAGAGATAAGGCTGTAAGGGTGATTTGAGCTGGCCTGTAGAAGGCCTTAGCTGCCAGGCCTGGGTGTGTGGACTTTATTTGGTAAATAAAGGGCAAGTGTGGAAGAGTTTTGTGTAGGTGATAAGCATGCTTTCTTGGGGCAGGGCAGGGGAGACTGGAGGGTGGGTGAGTGGTCAGAGGCGGGGACCCCCTTGTTAGGAGGTTATGCATAATCTCAGTTGCAATATCTGAATTACTGGGGTGGTAATGGTGGGCCTGGGAAGGAAGGGAGCAGAGCACAAGGCTTTTCAAAGGAAAGGCATGTTGGATTTGCAAGGGATTGGTTGGGCAGGGTGGAAGACAGAGCTAGATCTTACTGTTTACTAACGAGGCACAAAGTGTTGGGTGAAGGACTATGGTTGGCAGATAGGATGCTACTGGGAGACCACCTTGGATTCATCTTTGTTTCCTCTCTAGGCCATGGCACTTGCATCTAGTCAGTTGCCTGTAGCTGGGTCAAGGTGAGGTAGGGGGCCAGATCTCCATCACCAGAAGTGGCCTATGGGAGACAGTAAAACTTCTGGGGTTGGGGCCTTGGAGAGTCCCAAATGGTTGCTGTGGTTTTTACTTTTATTTTTGTAGATTTGGGGGATACCAATACAGTTTTGCTACATAGATATATTGCATAGTGGTGAAGTCTAGGCTTTTAATGTAACCATGATCCAAACAGTGAACATTGTACCCAGTAGGTAATTTTTCAACCCTCTCTCGGTTGCTGTGGTTTTGGAGACAGGTTCATGGTGAAGCTGGCTGAAGAGACAGATGGGATAATTGTCTCCAATGACCAGTTCCGGGACCTGGCGGAGGAGTCTGAGAAGTGGATGGCAATCATCAGAGAACGGTGAGGGAGCCCTCCCGCTGAGAACTGGGCACAGATGCAGATGTTTTTCTAAAGCCAGCTCTGCTCTGGCCATGGGGTGAAAACTCTGGGAAGGAGGTGAAGTTTTCTTGAAGGATGGAGCCAGCAGCTTCTGGTGATACTGGTCTCGGTTGTCTGGGAGGTGGGCAAGGGCCCCCTCTGTGACCACACATTATCTTTCGCCATCCAGCCTGCTGCCCTTTACCTTTGTGGGAAACCTCTTCATGGTACCTGATGACCCACTGGGGCGAAACGGCCCCACCCTGGATGAATTTCTGAAGAAGCCAGCCAGGTAATCAATCCCCTAGACTACTTACAGGCAGCCCCCACCCCTGGCCCTCTCTCAGCAGGCCCAGAGACTTGGGTGGAAGTGTGACCTCAGTTTGGGCCAGCTTAATTTTGCAGTGGTTTGAGTTGCATTGGCCTTGGCCTTTATAAGCTTCCCAGGGGATCCTGACATAGAACCTCCTTGCTGGGAGGGAAACACCTGCTTCCTGTTTCTCTTAATCAGCATGTTTGATGGAGTTATTTGGAAAATGGTTGCTTATACTGACAGCCAGTTGTATTCAGCATGCCTTCTGCTGACCATTACATAAGTGATTCATTTAGGACTAGAACTAGATCATAATAGTGGCAGAGTTCACCCTGTTTCTAAAAGAACGGCCCATCTTCCCTTCAGAAGTGGGTTGATACTGCCACTCAGTGGTCAGCTTCAGGAACTTCAGGATTTCTCCCCCAAAGCCAGGAATAGGCAGGACAATTACGAGAGGGGTGCCCACTAAGATCTAATTTCCCCCCCAGGATGCTCATCAGCTCTTTTTGGTCTGTTTCTTCCCAGGACACAGGGGTCTTCTAAGGCTCAGCATCCTTCCAGGGGCTTTGCAGAACATGGTAAACAGCAGCAGGGGAGAGAAGAGGAAAAAGGTAGTGGTGGCATTCGGAAGACCCGGGAAACAGAGCGGCTCCGGCGGCAGCTGCTGGAGGTGTTTTGGGGTCAGGATCACAAAGTGGACTTCATCCTGCAGCGGGAGCCATACTGCCGGGACATCAACCAACTGTCTGAGGCCCTGCTCAGTCTTAACTTTTGAGCCTCACCTGCTTGAGTGGCTGCCGCCCTGTCAGCTCCAGCCGCCTCCAGCTCAGCCCTTTCTGTGAGAGTCCCTCTGCTGCTCACTCTGATCCAGAGGCACCCTGAGTTGGTGCTTTGGATCAGGGAAGCCACTTTGGGACAGGTCCATAAAGTGAACTGATCTTACCGAGTCAGGACCTCAGCCAGCTCTCAAGAGGTTCTGCTCAGCCTTAACTTCTCAACTTTGCCTTAGCACAGGGTTTCTGTAGGGAGTGGGGGCTGCTAGAGGGGATTAGTTCCGGAGACTGAGACTGTTGGCTCCACCTCCAAGCTGAGCTAGGGTGGAGGGCAGGGTGGGCAGGAAGTGACAGGAAGTTAAGCTGTTCCTCTCCCTGGCTGCTGCTCTGGATGGCCAGAGAACAAGATGCTCCCTTGCTGAGCTCCTGGGAGCGTGGAAGGAGATGCTAGGCCCTGGCACAGTGTTATGTGGACTGGGCCACGATAGGGTGGAGTGAGCTAGTGAAGAAGGCAGAGGGAGACTTGGCTTCTGGTCTCAGCTATGCCTGTTTTGTGACCTTGATTGAGTTGCTTGGGCTTTACTTCTGCCTACAAATCAGGGGTAAAAATACCTGTTGGGAGGAGAAATGAGAACATAGAGGAAAGCCTCTTGGAGGAAAGGTGCTTGGACCAAGTCTCAGGTGTGTCTGCCTGTGGCTGCACAGGCTCTCTAACCGAAACCTCACTTTCAGAGAGATGTGGGTCCTTTGTCTCCAGGATCCACACCCTAGATTTTAACACTGCATTCTCACTATAACGTGCCCTATAATGGCTGCATCCCTTTTGAGCAACCTCCAAAATCTACATTTACACAGTAGGTAAATTAGGGATGACTGCATTATCAAAATACTCTCAGGGTTCCTATAAATGGCAGCTCTCCTGTTGTATTCAGGTGTTGTTTACAGACTAACAAATGTGTTGGCAAATCCCTGGTTAGATGCACTTCCTGGTGTTGAGATGAACACGTCGATTTTTCACCAATCGATGAAGCCATGCTCTGCAATGACAATATTAATGTGATCCGACCCTAACATTTTCTCTATGGAAGACGTATGTTGCATAAAGCAAGGCACACTTCTGCTTTATGTGTGTGTGTATGGGGATGGGAGGACTTAACGGAAGTTGAACCAGTTGGTTCTAGATGAACCAATTATCTGGAAAATGAAAGAACCAGAGTTGGAAGGCACTTGACTGGCCACCAGACCAACTCTGCTGTTACTGACATGCTTTCTTCACCCTGATTCCTAGAGGTCATTGCCCTGGATCTGCTTGAAGTCCTCCTGTGCCAGGGAATTTACTATCTCCAGGGTAGCACATTCCCTGTGTAGACGGTATTAATCAGTACTCCTTACTTTAGTGCAGCCTAAAGTATGCTTTTCTGTTACATCCACCTTTGAGGCTGGTCATACCTCCAGGAACAATACAGAGCCAGTCAACTTCCTGGAATCCAAGACCAGATAAAGAAGTAGGACAGGTGCCCCTGGGTTCTGTTCTGTGTGGGCCTGTGGGGAGTCTCTAGACAAGATCTTTTCCAGGCCCTGACTTCTGCCTCCCTCTGAGTGGCACAGGGAGTTGAATACTGCATGGCGAGTGTAATGATGATGGGGAGGGTCCTTGTGTCCTCACCCCTTCCTTTTTGGTGATTTACACCACTGTACCATACTGACCCAGGCTGGGGGCAGGTGTGTTGGAGACAGGCTGGTCAAAGAGGTGACAATGATTAAGAGATAACCCAGCGGTCCCTGAGAAGAGATTGGTTAGTATGGCCTGAACTGGTGGCTGGGGGAACTGTGTCTGGTCAAGTTATGGCAGATGTCACAGCTTTAGGTAGGTAAAAAGGGTCCTAGATGAAAACCTTGGAGTTTTTTTTTTTCCTGATAGGGTTGTTTATACTTCTTGATTGGTTTCTTGCCATTTTCACTTTCAGTGATGGTGGGTGTGCAGTAGACCAAAAGTGTCTTCTGCCCTTTTGTGCTAAGGGCCCTGGTTGACTGAGTGGCCCCAGTCAGATGAGAGGCAAGTCCTAAGCTTCTTATAGACAGGGATGTTGACTTTGTTCTGCTGCAGCCTGATAAACTGGGACCACTGTGTGGTTAGTAATGCACTTGCCATTTGGTGACACAGACTGAAGGCTATCCTACACCTGGGCCTTACCTCTTCCTCTACTGGCATCCTAATGGCACTCTGACAGCATCCAGGGTGACTACAGGGCCCATTGGAAATGGATCATCATTCTCTCTTCTAGTGTCTATCTTTATCATAACCTGATGTCCCAAACTTGTGACAAGTTCTTTTGGCAACTGAAGGACCAAGAAGGGAAACGGTGATGAGAGAGACTGCTCATTGTAACTTTCAAAACCCCGTCTTTGGGGAAGAATCATCTAGGGTGACATTCCTTGAAGTAAATCCCAGGAGAATCTAGGCCAAAGAGATGAGCCAAGGTTAGTGAGACAATTTATTTTTATTGCCTAAACTGCAGAGCATTCTCTACACAGCGTAAAGGAGAAGTGGGGCAGCTGCAGGACATGTAGAGAAACCAAACTGGGAAATCTTACAAGGAGTTGAAAAGATTAATGTCCCAACCTGATGAGATTACGGCCTTGAGACAATAAGGTGGAGCAACAGAACAATGGGAAAGAGGACTGGGAGAGGAATCTAAGAACCAGATGGCTTCAGCTCTCTAGAGGAGCTGAGCCTATTCACAGTGCCTAACCTGGAAGCCTGTGAGGAACAGGCCTCAGGCCCTTGCCACGACCTACTTAGGCTACAATTTCCTTTAAGGCAGCCCCTAGCTCTGGGAAGGAATACTGGTAGCCAGTGGCCAGTGTTCGCTGTGGGATCACCTTCTGGCCCTCCAGCAGCATGATGGCACGCTGTCGCCCAAAGACAGCTTGCACCACAGCGCTGGGGAGAGGGATGAAGGCTCGGCGGCCCAGGGCAGCACCCAAGGTCTGGGCAAACTCAGCATTAGTGGCGGAGGATGGAGCCACTCCATTCAGGACCCCGTGCACGTGGTTTGCTTCAAGGGCATGGGTCAGGATTCCTGCCAGGTCCCCGATGTGTATCCAGGGGAAGAATTGGTGGCCTGAGCCGATGGGGCCCCCCAGGCCCAGGCGAAAGGGCAGCAGCATGTGGCCCATGGCACCACCCCCACGGCCCAGCACAACCCCTAGAGCAGGAAAGAGGGAAGGTACAGGGGTCCTCTCAGCCTTGAAGGAGCCCACTGCTCCTCCTGGTTTCTGTTTCCCCTTCCTCACTCTCCCCATGCTGACTTGGCTCTGTAACAGAAGTGAGCAGTATGGCTGTCTTTAAGACCTCACACCTTCTCATCTGCAGGTTGGCTAGAAGTGGTGGCATCCTCTCACTCTGTAATTGTAATCTCAGCTCTCCTAATCCCATCACTTCCCCAGCCCAGAGAAGACATTCCAACCCTGTCTGATACCCAGGCCCGTTTCTCACCTGAGCGCACCACCACCTGGCGTGTAGAATCTCCAGGAAGCCTGGCTGCAGCTTCCCATTTGGTTACGAGGTTGGAGAAAAAGTCAAAGTCCCCTCCTGGGCTGTCTTCATCATACTCCGCAGTCAGACTGGGCTGGTAGTAAGCTGCCGGTGGAACACAATCATTTGCCCTGGGTGTCCTTGGTCCTGCCTGGCTCTCTGTAGTGGAGGCTCCCCTTGGCCTCACCTTCTCTGGCCCTTAGGATCTCCCCATTTGGAGACAGAGCCATTTGGATATTTTCCCCTTGAACTTCTCCATGACCTGAAGCGTTCCTTCCCTGGAGGAACTCTGGTTGCAGGGCTAAACTTAGAGGCTGCTAGAGTGTAGTGGTTAAGAACAGGAACTTGGGTACCAGGCGCCTGAATTTTAATCAGCTCCCTCATTTATTAACTCTCTGACTTGATGCAAGTTACTTAACCTCTCTGTATAGAATTTTCACATCTTTAAAATGGGAATAATAGTACCTACCTCATAGGGTTGTTGTAAGGAATAAATGATAATAAGCATAAAACACTTCAAATAGTGGCTGGTGTGTATAATTGTTTGCAATTACTTGGTCCCAAAGGTGACCAGGAACTCTGTTCCTAAAGAACTATGGTGTGAGAAGTAAGGGACTTTGGGATAGGTGGACTTTTCCCTGGCATTGAGTGATGCCACTCCCCACTGTTTTTTCAGGGTCTCAATTTCTTAGTGAAAGTACACAAAGGTTAGGAGAAACATGCATGGATCAAGGGCCTAGGAAGTCATTTTGCCTGGAAAAGACCAGTGCTCTGGTGTGTGCATAGCTACAGAGGTCTGAGTTACCCCGTTCCCCTGGCGAATATAAGGGGCTGGTGATTTGGGGGGCGTACCTACACCTGTGACTAAGACCCAGGCCTTGGGGGGTTGTGGGGCTTTGGTGATGGCTTTAGCCAGCAATTGGGTGGTCTCTAGGCGGCTGCCGATTACCTCTTTTTGGAAGGTTTCATTCCATCTGCAGGAGAAACATGGGAAATAAAAAGCCACTAAATACATAAGTGCACATATCCCTCTCTCTGTCTTTTCCTGGGAGCTATTTCATACCAATTTCTTGTAAAGCCCTGAATTTCGGCTTAAGAGAAACAGTCAACGTCTCCTGTAGAGGGAAAGGGCATTCATTTCCTGGGCATCCTGAGTTATACGTGAGGACTTAAGCCAATTGGCTGACTGGGTGGAGGAGCAGGTGGGGGTGGAGGAGTGGAGCAGAATGAGTAGTCTGGGATATCGGTTTAGTTCGGAATCTGGGAGCTCCATTACCCATAGCTCACAGGTTCTCATCAGTGGGGCACTGTCCTCCCTGTGCTCTAGTGGGTATCAGCTTTAGGGCCCGGGCTGACCTTCGGAGAGGGTTGAGGATGTTCTCTCCGGCCAGGTTGACGGCGGCATCGCAGCTCGGCAGCCCCGATGCAGCGAGCTCATCCTGTCGGAGAAAGCACACAGTGCCCCTGCCCCGCCCTGCGCCGCCCAACTCTGCCCTCCCACCCGCTTCCAGAGGATGGACTTACCCACGTGATCCGGCCGGGCCCGGGCTTTCGGGAGACCAACGTCACTTCGTGGCCTCTGGCATTCAGCAGCTGGGTTAGGGCTGTCCCAATGAAGCCTGTCCCGCCACCTGATCGGAAAATACAAATTGTTTATATTCCCGTGGAGTTGGGGTGGGGGCGCCTTCCGTCCCCGCTGTGGCACCCTCTTCCGGCGCCATCCCATCTGACACCAGGCTTCTCCCCACTTATCCCCCTCCTCGCGATGCAGAGGTGACACAGGTCACAGGGATTAGGGAGATTCGGCTTCTCGGGCTAGGAGGCCAAGGCCAGGTTGCCTGTGCACTAGACAGTGCCCTCCCGGAAGCGGATTCCCAGTCCTCAATCTCCGACTAAGCCCGCCCAGCACTCTCCCTTTCTGCCCTCCCTCACCCACAAGCACACGCATAGCGACTAGGACCTAACGCGCCTGCGTAAAGTTTAGAGTTTACCTCACCTCAGACGCGACTACGACCTCTCTGCGCATGCCCCTTTCGGGAAGCGCGTTCCAATCGAGGTCGCAATCCTGTGCGTGACCCTTCTCGGCGACCCGGAAAAACTTGTAAATATAGGCTGGGTGTTTCAATAGCAAGCGAGGTGGGAGGGATTAGACCGATGGACCCGGAAAGGGCGGAGGAGGGAAGGCTTTAGTGTAGAAAACCAACCAAACCAAACCCAAACCAACAAAACCCTTCACCTAAAACCCGAAGCTACCCAGACCTCAGAATTTTGGATGTCTATTAAGTTGGCGGGTCAGTAATGCAAGAGAACCCTTCCACCGGTAATCTGGATTTCTTTCCACTCGGCCAGTTTTTTCTTCTCTCTCTTTCCGCTGGAGCCTTTCTATCAACATTTAAACATTCCAAAGATCCCCCTATATTAAAATAAGCCTTCTCCAGACCTGTTTTTCCTCCAGCTAATATTCTTTTTTTTTTTTGCCTTCATAGCCAAACTTCCCACAAGTGTGGTTTCCATTTTCTACTTCTTACTTCACTCCTATAGGGTTTGTGCCTTTATCATTCATTTCCTCACTCTCCAAGAACATAAGTTTCCCATGTGTCACCAAATCTAATCCCTAGTTTTCAGTTAGTTTTCTTGACCTCTCAGTATCAATGGGCACCTGCTGATTCCTTCCTCCCTTTGAAAATGTTTGGCTTCAGTGAAAGACATTCTCTTCTCGGCTTTCTCGTACCTTTTTTCAGTCTCTGATGCTTGCTCCACCTCTGCTAAGTTCTTAAAATATTGGTATTCCTCAGAGCTGGATCCTAGGACCTTCTCTTTCCAATCTGCACTTTACCCTAGGCATCTATGCCTTGAATTCAGTTACCAGGCTTTAACAGAAGACATCCCAAATCTCCTATGCAACTCGGATCTCTCCTCTGAGCTCCTAACCCCTATAAAAACTTTTCACTACACATCTCTTCTTGGACGTCTGAAACCCTGTTGATTTTAAATACTGAATCTCTCCCAGATTTATCTAAGAGGGGTCTTTGAAAAGTTCATGGAAAATGTGTATTATGCTAAAAAATACATAGGTTTCCAATTTTTTTTTTTTTTTTTTTTTTTTTTTTTTTTTTTTTTGAGACGGAGTCTCGCTCTGTCGCCCAGGCTGGAGTGCAGTGGCGGGATCTCGGCTCACTGCAAGCTCCGCCTCCCGGGTTCACGCCATTCTCCTGCCTCAGCCTCCCAAGTAGCTGGGACTACAGGCGCCTGCCACTACGTCCGGCTAATTTTTTGTATTTTTAGTAGAGACGGGGTTTCACCGTTTTAGCCGGGATGGTCTCGATCTCCTGACCTCGTGATCCGCCCGCCTCGGCCTCCCAAAGTGCTGGGATTACAGGCGTGAGCCACCGCGCCCGGCCCCAAATTTTTTTTACACCAAAATAAACTTGTACTAACTTGTTATATAACATGTCTGAACAGGATCTGACGCACTAAGAAGGCTAGACAGTTTGAAAAGAGCCCCTATCAAAGCAACCTGAATTCTGCTAAAATTGAAGCAAGAACAAACATGGAGTTTCTGGTGAAGAATGATGAAATTGATGCCTTATGAAAAGTTTATGAGGACAATGCCCCAAATAAATCATCAGTCTACAAATGCATAACTCATTTTAAGAAACGAGGAGATGGACAAGCATGGTGGCTCATGCCTGTAATCCCAGCACTTTGGGAGGATTATGCACGAGCCTCTCTCAAGCCCAGGAGTTTGAGACCAGCCTGGGCAACATAGCGAGACCTCATCTCACTAAAAATTTAAAAATTAGCCAAGTGTGGTGGTGCACACCTGTAGTTCCAGCGTCTTGGGAGGCTGAGGCAGGAGGATTGCTTGAGCCCAGCAGTTCAAGGTTGCAGTGAGCTATGATTGCACCACCGTGCTGCAGCCTGGGTAACAGAGTGAGAACCTGTCTCAACAAAAAGGGGAGGAGATGATGTTGAAGATACAGATAGTGGCAGACTATCCACATCACTTTGTGAGGAAAAAAATTCATCTTGTTTGTGCCCTAATTGAAGAGAACTGACAACAGCAGAAACAATAGCCAACACCATAGACATCTCAGTTGGGTCAGTTTACACAATTCTGACTGAAAAGTTACAGTGGAGCAAACTTTCAACTCGATAGGTAACAAAACTGTTGTACCCAGATCTGCTACAGTTAAGAGGAGAGCTTTCAGTGGAAAGTTTAAACAAGTGGGGTCAAGATCCTTGATATGGCTTTGTGACCTCACCCAAATCTCATCTTGAATTGTAATCCCCAGCTATTGAGGGAAAGACCTGGTGGGAGGTGATTGGATCATGGGGGCAGTTTCCCCCATGCTGTCCTCATGATAGTGAGGGTGTTCCCATGAGATCTGATGGTTTTATAAGTAGCAGTTTCCTGTGGGCTTTTCACTTACTGTTTTTCCTGCCACCATGTGAAGAAGGTCTTTGCTTCCCCTTTGCCTTCCACCATGATTATAAGTTTCCTGAGGCCTCCTGGGACATGCGGAATTGTGACTCAATTAAACCTGTTTTCTTTATAAATTACCCAGTCCCCAGCAGTTCTTTATAGAAGTGTGAAAACAGACTAATACAATCCTGAAGCATTTCATCAAAGAATTGTAACAGGAGATGAAATATGGCTTCACCAGTATGATCCTGAAGAAAAAGCACAATCAAAGCAATGTCTATCAAGCGGAGGAAGTCAAAGCAAAGCAGACCAGTCAAGAGCAAAGGTAATGGCAACAGTTTTTTTAGGCTACTCAAGGTATTTTCCTTGTTGACTTTGTGGAGGACCAAAGAATGATAACATTAATTTGCCTATTGAGAGTGTTTTGGGAAAGTTAGCCAAAGCTTTAGCAGAAAAACACCTGAGAAAGCTTCACTAGACAGTTCTTCTCCACCGTGACAATGCTTTTGCTCATGTCTCTCATCATACAAGAACAATTTTGTTAGAGTTTCAATGGGAAATCTTTAGGCATCCACCTGATTTGGCTCCTTCTGACTTCTTTTTGTTTCTTAATCTTAAGAAATTCTGTCAAGGGCACCCAGTTTTCTTCAGTTAATAATGTAAAAAGGACTGTATTGATGTGGTTAAGTCTCCAGGACCCTCAGTTCTTTAGGGTGTACTAAATGGCTGGTGTCATTTCTTACGAAAGTGTCTTGAAGTTGGTGGAACTTATGTTGAGAAATAAAGTTTATATTTTATATTTTTTAATCTTTTAATTGATTTTTCCACAACATTTTGAAATTTCCTCATATTTCCCTCTGTCTCTGCCATCACAATCGTCTTATGAGTTATTCTGTCTTGTGTAAATATCTGCAGTAGTCTCCTAGTAGGTCTTCCTGCTTTTGCATGTTTCTCCTCTCCAAACTATTTCACACATTGCAAGCTGAGTGATCTTTGAAAACCATATGAGGGGAACATTATAGTGGCACGTATAGTTTAAAAAACTCCCAGTTTAAAATTCCTGGATATGCTGGATAAAATTAAACATACCTCCATTTAAATGTATTGCCAAGTTAGCTAGAAAAATAAAAAAATCCCAGAAGCCAAAAAATGAAATGTGTCTTGGGACTGAGGTTATGACAAAGATTATTTGCTTGGCCAAACTTTAGTCAGGCTTCTGAACCTTCTAGGCTCATTTGTACACCTCTTTGTAAAATCCAGTTTTCGCAAAGAGCCTTGCTAAGTCAGTTTAGCAAGAACCCCCTCAACCCTTGATATCTGATCACTCTCAATCTCTGATCAGGCCCCTCATCCTTCATCCCCTAGGTGATGTCTGATCACCTTGGCCTATCTTCACATGAATCCCGTTAGTTTGGGTTAGCCAGAATCCCTCTTACCCTTGATATTTTTCTCTTACTAATTTTTCATCCACTGACCCCCACCGTATTCGTTGGCTATAAATTCCCACTTGCCCATGTTGTTTCATACTTGACCCCAATCTCTCCCACTGCAAGACCACATTGTAGTGGTACCTGTACCTATTGTGATGGAAAGTCTTCCTTACCTTACTCTATCAAGTGTCACTGAATAATTTTCTTTAACAGGTATTTTGTGACTTTTAGTTTCAGTAACCCAGAGGCTTGGGTGACAGGAGACCATGCCTGAGATCGAAGCAAATTTGGGACTGAGACCCCTGGATAAAGCCCTTGGGCTGTGTTCTCAGATAAAAAGTAAACTTTAAAAGTCCACCTGGTATCAAAGAACATGGCCTGGAAACTTGTTTCTCTAGGCTTTGCTCTTGTCTAGGATTGGTTGTCAAAAAAATTACCGTTCTTTGAGAAGTTGTATCTATTGTCCTGTCCGCCTGCATATTTGTGGTTTGAATTAATTGTTACCTACTTGGCCTAGAAAGCTCTAACCCAAGAATTTAAATTAAGTGTTCCAGATAGAAGACATAAATCTTCCCTTGGTTTGGTTTCACAGGATTTCAATAGATAAAATCCTGCCAAGCATAAACATACAATACAAAATTACAAAACACACAAGGAAACAAAGCACTCTGAGGGTGTCAAATAAAATCAAACCAAACCGAAACAGAAAACAGCAGATTTAGACAAAGATTTAAAGTGTTAGAATTTAGAGGTATAGAATATAAAATTACCAAAGTTTAAAACGTTTAAGAAAGAGAAGAAATTAAAAACATGAGAAAGAGACAAGATGCTATCAAAAAATACCAGCAGAATTGATAAAAGAACCAACCTGAACTTTGAAAAATTAAAATTTTTTTAATTCAAAAAATTTTTTATTGTACTTTAAGTTCTAGGGTACATGTGCACAATGTGCAGGTTTGTTACATATGTATACATGTGCCATGTTGGTGTGCTGCATCCATTAACTCATCATTTACATTAGGTATTCCTCCTAATGCTATCCCTCCCCCCACACCCACCCCACAATAGGCCCCGGTGTGTGATGTTCCCCACCCTGTGTCCAAGCATTCTTATTGTTCAGTTCCCACCTATGAGTGAGAACATGCAGTGTTTGGTTTTTTGTCCTTGCGAGAATTTGCTCAGAATGATGGTTTCCAGCTTCATCCATGTCCCTACAATGGATCATCCTTTTTAATGGATGCATAGTATTCCATGGTGTATATGTGCCACATTTTCTTAATCCAGTCTATCATTGATTGACATTTGGGTTGGTTCCAAGTTTCTGCTATTGTGAATAGTGCCACAGTAAACATACATGTGCACGTGTCTTTATAGTAGCATGATTTATAATCCTTTGGGTATATACCCAGTAATGGGATTGCTGGGTCAAATGGTATTTCTAGTTCTAGATCCTTGAGGAATCACCACACTCCCTTCCACACTAGTTTCCACTCCCACCAACAGTGTAAAAGTGTTCCTATTTCTCCACATCCTCTCCAGCACCTGTTGTTTCCTGACTTTTTAATGATTGCCATTCTAACCGGTGTGAGATGGTATCTCATTGTGGTTTTGATTTGCATTTCTCTGATGGCCAGTGATAATGAGCATTTTTTCATGTGTCTGTTGGCTGCATAAATGTCTTCTTTTGAGAAGTGTCTGTTCATATCCTTCACCCACTTTTTGATGGGGTTGTTTGATTTTTTCTTGTGAATTTGTTTGAGTTCATTGTAGATTCTGGATATCAGCCCTTTGTCAGATGGGTGGATTGCAAAAAATTTTCTCCCATTCTGTAGGTTGCCTGTTCCCTCTCATAGTAGTTTCTTTTGCTGTGCAGAAGCTGTTTAGTTTAATTAGATCCCATTTGTCTATTTTGGCTTTTTTTGCCATTGCTTTTGGTGTTTTAGACATGAAGTCCTTGCCCATGCCTATGTCCTGAATGGTATTGCCTAGGTTTTCTTCTAGGGTTTTTATGGTTTTAGGTCTAACATTTAAGTCTTTAATCCATCTTGAATTAATTTTTATATAAGGTGTAAGGAAGGGATCCAGTTTCAGCTTTCTACATATGGCTAGCCAGTTTTCCCAGCACCATTTATTAAATAGGGAATCCTTTCCCTGTTTCTTGTTTTTGTGAGGTTTGTCAAAGATCAGATGGTGGTAGATGTGTGGTATTATTTCTGAGGGCTCTGTTCTGTTCCATTGGTCTATCTCTCTGTTTTGGTACCAGTACGCTGCTGTTTTGGTTACTGTAGCCTTGTAGTATAGTTTGAAGTCAGGTAGCATGATGCCTCCAGCTTTGTTCTTTTGGCTTAGGATTGTCTTGGCAATGCGGCCTCTTTTTTGGTTCCATATGAGCCTTAAAGTAGTTTTTTCCAATTCTGTGAAGAAAGTCATTGGCAGCTCGATGGGGATGGCATTAAATCTGTAAATTACCTTGGGCAGTATGGCCATTTCGATGATATTCATTCTTCCTATCCATGAGCATGGAATGTTCTTCCATTTGTTTGTGTCCCCTTTTATGTCATTGAGCAGTGGTTTGTAGTTCTCCTTGAAGAGGTCCTTCACATCCCTTGTGAGTTGTATTCCTAGGTATTTTATTCTCTTTGAAGCAATTGTGAATGGGAGTTCACTCATGATTTGGCTCTCTCTTTGTCTGTTATTGGTGTTTAGGAATGCTTGTGATTTTTGCACATTGATTTTGTATCCTGAGACTGTTGAAGTTGCTTATCAGCTTAAGGAGATTTTGGGCTGAGACGGTGGGGTTTTCTAAATATACAATCATGTCATCTGCAAACAGGGACAATTTGACTTCCTCTTTTCCTAATTGAATATCTCTTTATTTATTTCTCCTGCCTGATTACCCTGGCCAGAACTTCCAACACTATGTTGAATAGGAGTGGTGAGAGAGGGCATCCCTGTCTTGTACCAGTTTTCAAAGGGAATGCTTCCAGTTTTTGCCCATTCAGTTTGATATTGGCTGTGGGTTTGTCATAAATAGCTCTTATTATTTTGAGATACATCCCATCAATACCTAGTTTATTGAAAGTTTTTTGGCATGTAGGGCTGCTGAATTTTGTCTAAGGCCTTATCTGCATCTATTGAGATAATCATGTGGTTTTTGTCTTTGGTTCTGTTTATATGATGGATTACGTTTATTGATTTGTGTATGTTGAACCAGACTTGCATCCCAGGGATGAAGCCAACTTGATCGTGGTGGATAAGCTTTTTGATGTGGTTTGCCAGTATTTTATTGAGGATTTTTGCATTGATGTTCATCAGGGATATTGGTCTAAAATTCTATTTTGTTGTTGTCTCTGCCCGGCTTTGGTATCAGGATGATTCTGGCCTCATAAAATGAGTTAGAGAGGATTCTGTCTTTTTCTATTGATTGGAATAGTTTCAGAAGGAATGGTACCAGCTCCTCTTTGTACCTCTGGTAGAATTTGGCTTTGAATCCGTCTGGTCCCGGACTTTTTTTGGTTGGTAGGCTATTAATTATTGCCTCAATTTCAGAGCCTGTTATTGGTCTATTCAGGGATTCAACTTCTTCCTGGTTTAGTCTTGGGAGGGTGTATGTGTCCAGGAATTTATCCATTTCTTCTAGATTTTCTTTTCTTCTTTCTTTCTTTCTTTTTTTTTTTTTTTGAGACGGAGTCTCACTCTGTCACCCAGGCTAGAGTACTAGAGTGCAGTGGCACTATCTCAGCTCACTGCAAGCTCTGCCTCCCAGGTTCATGCCATTCTCCTGCCTCAGCCTCCTGAGTAGCTGGGACTACAGGTGCCCGCCACTATGCCCGGCTAATTTTTTTGTACTTTTATTAGAGACTGGGTTTCACCATGTTAGCCAGGATGGTCTCGATCTCCTGACCTTGTGATCCACCTACCTCAGCCTCCCAAAGTGCTGGGATTACAGGCGTAAGCCACCGCGCCCGGCCTAGATTTTCTAGTTTATTTGTGTAGAGGTGTTTATAGTATTCTCTGATGGTAGTTTGTATTTCTGTGGGATCAGTGGTGATATCCCCTTTATCATTTTTTATTGCATCTATTTGATTCTTCTCTCTTTTCTTCTTTATTAGTCTTGCTAGCGGTCTGCCTATTTTGTTGCTCTTATTGAAAAAAGCAGCTCCTGGATTCATTGATTTTTTGAAGGATTTTTTGTGTCTCTATCTCCTTCAGTTCTGCTCTGATCTTAGTTATTTCTTGCCTTCTGCTAGCTTTTGAATGGGTTTGCTCTTGCTTCTCTAGTTCTTTTAATTTTGAGCTTAGGGTGTTGATTTTAGGTCTTTCCTGCTTTCTCTTGGGGGCATTTAGTGCTATCAATTTCCCTCTACACACTGCTTTAAATGTGTCCCAGATATTCTGGTATGTTGTGTCTTTGTTCTCATTGGTTTCAGAGAACATCTTTATTTCTGCCTTCATTTCGTTATTTACCCAGTAGTCATTCAGGAGCAGGTTGTTCAGTTTCCATGTAGTTGAGCGTTTTTGAGTGAGTTTCTTAATCCTGAGTTCTAGTTTGATTGCACTGTGGTCTGAGAGACAGTTTGTTATAATTTTTGTTCTTTTACATTTGCTGAGGAGTGCTTTACTTCCAACTGTGTGGTCAATTTTGGAATAAGTGCGATGTGGTGCTGAGAAGAATGTATATTCTGTTGATTTGGGGTGGAGAGTTCTGTAGATGTCTGTTAGGTCAACCTAGTGCAGAGCTGAGTTCAATTCCTGGATATCCTTGTTAACTTTCTGTCTCGTTGATCTGTCTAATGTTGACAGTGGGGTGTTAAAGTCTCCCATTATTATTGTGTGGGAGTCTAAGTCTCTTTGCAGGTCTCTAAGGACTTGCTTTATGAATTCTGGTGCTCCTGTATTGAGTGCATATATATTTAGGATAGTTAGCTCTTCTTGTTGAATTGATCCCTTTACCATTATGTAATGGCCTTCTTTGTCTCTTTTGATCTTTGTTGGTTTAAAGTCTGTTTTATCAGAGACTAGGATTGCAACCCCTGCTTTTTTGTTTTCCATTTGCTTGGTAGAACTTCCTCCATCCCTTTATTTTGAGCCTATGTGTGTCTCTGCATGTGAGATGCGTCTCCTGAATACAGCACACAGATGGGTCTTGATTCTTTATCCAATTTGCCAGTCTGTGTCTTTTAATTGGGGTATTTAGCCAATTTACATTTAAGGTTAATATTGTTATGTGTGAATTTGATCCTGTCATTATCATGTTAGCCGGTCATTTTGCTCGTTAGTTGATGCAGTTTCTTCCTAGCATCGATGGTCTTTACAAATTGGCATGTTTTTGCAGTGGCTGATACTGGTTGTTCCTTTCCATGTTTACTGCTTCCTTCAGGAGCTCTTCTAAGGCAGGTCTGGTGGTGACAAAATCTCTCAGCATTTGCTTGTCTGTAAAGGATTTTATTTCTCCTTCACTTATGAAACTTAGTTTGGCTGGATATGAAATTCTGGATTGAAAATTCTCTTCCTTAAGAATGTTGAATATTGGCCCCCACTCTCTTCTGGCTTTGAGAGTTTCTGCTGAGAGATCCACTGTTAGTCTGATGGGCTTCCCTTTGTGGGTAACCCAGACTTTCTCTCTGGCTGCCCTTAACATTTTTTCCTTCATTTCGACCTTGGTGAGTCTGACAATTTTGTGTCATGGGGTTGCTCTTCTCGAGGAGTATCTTTGTGGCATTCTCTGTATTTTCTGAATTTGAATGTTGGCCTGCCTTGCTAGGTTGGGGAGGTTCTCATGGATAATATCCTGAAGAGTGCTTTCCAACTTGGTTCCATTCTCCCTGTCAATTTCAGGTACACCAATCAGACGTAGATTTGGTCTTTTCACATAGTCCCATATTTCTTGGAGGCTTTGTTCATTTCTTTTTCCTCTAAAATTCTCTTCTTGCTTCATTTCATTCATTTGCTCTTCAATCACTGATACCCTTTTTTCCACTTGACCGAATAGGATACTGAAGCTTGTGCATGCCTCAGGTAGTTCTTGTGCCATGGTTTTCAGCTCCATCAGGTCATTTAAGGTCTTCTCTATGCTGTTTATTCTAGTTAGCCATTCATCTAGTCTTTTTTCAAGGTTTTTAGCTTCTTTGTGATGGGTTCAAACATCCTCCTTTAGCTCAGTGAAGTTTGTTATGACTGATCTTCTGAAGCCTACTTTTGTCAGCTCGTCAAAGTCATTCTCTGTCCAGCTTTGTTCCATTGCTGGCGAGGAGCTACATTTCTTTGGAGGAGAAGAGGCACTCTGATTTTTAGAATTTTCAGCTTTTCTGCTCTGGTTTCTCCCCATCTTTGTGGTTTTATCTACCTTTGATCTTTGATGATTGTGACCTACAGATGGGGTTTTGTGTGGATGTCCTTTTTGTTGGTGTCGATGCTATTCCTTTCTGTTTGTTAGTTTTCCTTCTAACAGTCAGGACCCTCAGCTGCAGGTCTGTTGGAGTTTGCTGGAGGTCCACTCCAGACCCTGTTTGCCTGGGTATCACCAGCGGAGGCTGCAGAACAGCAAATGTTCCAGAACAGCAAATGTTGCTGCCTGATCCTTCCTCTGGAAGCTTTGTCTCAGAGGGGCACCTGGCTGTATGAGGTGTCATTTGGCCCCTACTGGGAGATGTCTCCCAGTTAGGCTACTCAGGGGTCAGTGACCCACTTGAGGAGGTAGTCTATCCATTCTCAGATCTCAAACTCTGTGCTGGGAAAACCACTGCTCTCTTGAAAACTGTCAGACAGGGACGTTTAAATTTGCAGAAGTTTCTGCTGCCTTTTGTTCAGCTGTGCCCTTCCCCCAGAGGTGGAGTCTATAGAGGCAGGCAGGCCTCCTTGAGCTGTGGTGGGCTTCACCCAGTTCGAGCTTCCTGGCCACTTTGTTTACCTAGTCAAGCCTCAGCAATGGCGGACGCCCCTCCCCCAGCCCGGGCTGCCGCCTCACAGTTCAATCTTGGACTGCTGTGCTAGCAGTGAGCAAAGCTCCATGGGTGTGGGACCTGCTGAGCCAGGCATGGGATATAATCTCCTGGTGTGCCGTTTGCTAAGACCATTGGAAAAGCACAGTATTAGGGCGGGAGTGTCCCAATTTTCCAGGTACCGTCTGTCACGGCTTCCCTTGGCTAGGAAAGGGAATTCCCCGACCTCTTGTACTTCCCGGGTGAGGTGATGCCCCACCCTGCTTCAGCTCACACTCTGTGTTCTGCACCCACTGTCCAACAAGTCCCAGTGAGATGAACCCAGTACCTCAGTTGGAAATGCAGAAATCACCCGTCTTCTGCATCGCTCACACTGGGAGCTATAGACTGGAGCTATTCCTATTCGGCCATTTTGGAATGATCCACCCATGATGATTCAAGTTTTAAAATTCAGTGAATGTTTAAACATCAGGGAATAGATTTAGGCATTGGTTAAGAGAGGATTAACTAGATGTGAAGAAATTACCCAGAATGCAACAGAGAAAAAGAGATAGAAAATGTAAAAGAGAGGGTATGAGATGAGGATGATAAACTGAGAAATTATAATTCTTCTATTTGGTGTTCCAGAAGAGAGGAGTCAGAGAAGAGAACAGAGAAAATATTTGATGAAATAATAGCTGATTGTTTTCTAGAATTAAAGAAAGATATGAATCCTCAGATTCAGTAAACAAAATGAGTTTCAAGTAAGATAAATAAAAACAAACCCATACCTAGTTTCATCATAGTAAAACTGGAAAAACAAAGAGAGATGTTAAAAGTAGTCAAAAAGAAGACAGATTATCTATAAAGAAATGCCTTTTTTTTTGAGATGGAGTCTCTCTGTTGCTCAGGGTGGTGTGCAGTGGCAGGATCTCAGCTCACTGCAACCTCCACTTCCTGGGTTCAAGTGATTCTCCTGCCTTAGTTTCCTGAGTACCTGGGATTATGGGCATATGCCACCAAAGCCAGCTAATTTGTGTATATTTAGTAGAGATGGGGTTTTGCCACGTTGGCCAGTCTGCTCTCCAACTCCTGACCTCAATTGATCCACTGCCTCAGCCTCCCAAAGTGCTGGGATTACAGGCACGAGCCACCATGCCCAGCCTAAGAAATAACAATTAGACACCTGACACATCAGCTGCAACAATATCATCTAATGGAATAATATCTCAAGCTTGAAGAGAAAATAATTACCAACCTAGAATTGCTTACCAACACATTATTCAAGAATGAAGGTGCCGAGACCAGCTCGGTCATGGAGACCCTAACCTGGCGGCACTAGAGGAATTAAAGACACACATACAGAAATATAGGGTGTGGAGTGGGAAATCAGGGGTCTCATAGCCTTCAGAGCTGAGAGCCCTGAACAGAAATTTACCCACGTATTTATTGACAGCAAGCCAGTGATAAGCATTGTTTCTATAGATTATAGATTTACTAAAAGTATTCCTTATGGGAAACAAAGGGATGGGCTGAAACAAAGGGATGGGCTCTGGCTAGTTATCTGCAGCAGGAACATGTCCTTAAGGCACAGATTGCTCATGCTATTGTTTGTGGTTTAAGAACACCTTTAAGTGGTTTTCCACCCTGGGTGGGCCAGGTGTTCCTTGCCCTCATTCCAGTAAACCCACTACCTTCAGCATGGGGGTCATGGCCATCACGAACATGTCACAGTGCTGCAGAGATTTTGTTTATGGCCACTTTTGGGGCCAGTTTATGGCCAGATTTGGGGGCCTATTCCCAACATGAAGGTAAAACAAGGATACTTTTTAGACAAGCAAAAACTGAGAGCATTTGCCACCATCAGACTTAATATACTTTGTCAGGAAAAAAGGAAATGATCTGAAAAGGAAAATGTAAGATGCAGGAAAATAGTGATCAAAGGAATTGATAAAGTTGATAAATATAAATATTTACTATATTAAGCAACAACAATAATGTTTAATTTGTGGGTAAAAATTAAAAATATTAGTCACCAGTAATAGGTAGTAAGAGAAATATTTGACTGGAGTTGAATTGTTATGAAAAATATAGCAATACTGAATAATGTTAAACTTTGTTAAATGTAAATTTAAAAATTAAGGCTAAATATTGCATATTAGAAGTAAAGTGTGCACTTCTAAATCAGTAGAGGGAAACAATTGAATAAGATAATCTAATCAATTTAAAAGTTATCAGGAAAAGATAAAAAGAGGATGCTTAGAAAAAACTAGAAAGGCCAAAATAAGATAACAGAAATAATCAGTAACCATAATAAATTTAAATGGAGTAAGAAATTAAATTAACTAGATGTATCTGGAATTACAAATTTCAAAAGAAGTGAATCTCACAACTATAATGTTAAACAAAAAAGAAGTTGCAGAAAAGTACCTACAATATAATGCTATTTACCAAGAGATTAAAAGTATGCAAAATTATACTTTTTTTTATTGAGGGGCTAAATATATTTGTAGTTAAAATAAAAAGAAATGCAAGGGAATGATGATGATGGGTAGAATAGTAATGTGATCAAGGAGGAGTACCCTGGGAAATTTAACTTCTTATTTCTTAGGGTGTATTCATTTTATTTTTGGTATATCTGAAATATTTCACAATATACAAAAATGTGTAGTGGATTTAAGATATGTTGTCATATTTCAGATGTATGGAAAGATAACTTTATTTTCTGTAGTTGAACACAACTTGCTCATAAACATTTCTCATTGGAAGTGGTATAAACTTAAACTCATCCAACAAAGTTAATTATCATTTCTAGTTTAAAACTTCTCATATACTCAGTTTTCTCTGGGTAAATTCTTAGTCTTTCAGCATGCCTTGTCCCTTTTCTCCTTTCCTTCTCCTAGCTAGACACCCAGGTGTAGCAGGCCCTTTGGCAGGCACTGTTATGTAGTCCTCAGTGCCTGCTTGGAAGGGTCTCATCTCCTTTGGCCTTTGGATCTTGCCTGCTGAGATCAGCTAAGGCACAGCTGGTTAGGCCAGACCTCTGGGCAGTGTTTTGGCCACTGCTTCTGATACCCATGGCTCTTGCCTTGATATCAGAGTTCCACAGCATCTGCTGGATGATGAAGAAACACTTGGCTTGCCTCTGGCCAACAGAATGGGATGCATGGGCCTTGATGAGGGTCCCCTCAGGCTCACCTCTTGGTAATTTTTCACAGTCATTACTGCTCAGGCACCTTATTGTGAACTAGTTATATGTTGCTGTTAACAAATTATCTCAAAACTTAGTGGTTTGAAACAACAATAGTATTTATTATCTTTTACAGTCTTGTGGGTTAGGAATATGGTAGCAGTTTAGCTCGGTGGTTGTGAGGTGTGGCTCACAGTCTCTCATGAGGTTATACTCAAGATATCAGCTAGGGCTGCAATCATCTGGATACTTGACTGGGGCTGGAGGATCCTCTTTCAAAAAGCCTTGCTCACATGCTGTTGCAGGAGGCTTCATTCCTTGCTGATTGTTTCTCACCATGTGGACCTCTCCACATGGCTGCTTGAGTATCCTTATGACATGGCAGCTGGCTTCCCTGGAGTGAGTGATTCAAGAGAGTGAGAATGAGGAGAAAGCTTCAATACCTCTAATGACTAATCTAATCTCAGTGTAACATACAGTTACTTTTATCACAATCTATTTGTTAGATGTGAGTCACTGAGTTGAAGGGGTGAGAAATTTGGCTGTAAAACTTTTAAAGGGAATAGAGTCAAATAATTTGTTGGCACATTTTAAAACCAACACAAGCTCTGTGCTGCATTTAGGGCTTCTCTGAGATGCTTGTAGACTCTCTCAGTTGTGCCTGGGAATTGTGGTACAATCCTTGTTATTTTTAGATGCCTCTTTTACCTCTCCAGGTTTTCAAGCATCTCTCCTTACCTCCCTAGCTAGGCTCCTTCTCAGAGAGTTCAGGCAGCATTTATAATCTAGTTATGTTCTCTCCAAATCTTTTAGCTCCTTCCCTAAGCCCAGGGAAAGCTAGGTAATGGGCAACTGCTCTGACATCATAGCCAGTTTCTTTCCTACCCTCTGATTTATAAAACAAATTCCATGCTTGGTCTTCTCTCAACAAAACCCTTGCTCTTGAATTTCCTCCTTTCCAGGCTATTAGTTAGATATGGAATAAAACAACTTGCTTTTGAGAGTCAAAACTAAGGCTTGTCGGATTTGTTCCCTTACACTGCAGAGGGAAAAGGAAGTACTGAGAGGGAAAATACGTTGGGTAATATTGCAAAGCAAACTGGCTTTATACATGGCTAGATCCAGGTGCTTACATAATGTCATCAAGGATCCACATCTTTTTAATTCTCAGCTCTTATTTTTTGTTGGTTGACTTCATTCTCAGGAAGATTTTCTCCCTTTAGAGTGAGAATGAATTCTTGGCTTCTATTTCCAGCAGAGTAACTATTTCTCTTAATTCCATAAAGAATGTCAGAACTGACTCTTCTTGGACTGTTATGGGTCTCGTGCCATCTCTGAACCAACTATTGTGGCCAAGTATGGAGTTTTCTGCCTGGCCAGGCCTGAGTCGTGTGTCTACTGCTGGACCAGGGGTGGGGTAGCCCCACTCACTGTCCTCCACTGTGGAAACCCAGCTGAGCCCCTGAGGTGTTAAGGAACTCCTCCTCTCTTCAACAACGTTGACATTCCTTCCTTTCTCTCCTGGCTATGTCTTTCCTTCCAGTGAGCTGGGAGTTGTGCTGTAGAAGGTGAGAGGTGAGTGGGAGGGTTCCACTAAATTACATGCCTTTTAGAGTATAGATTTAAGAGGGTGGATGTCCATCAATATCCTCAAGGAGGTGAGATGGAAACCTCCTGCAGAGCTTTACACCCCTTGCGAAGAGGAGGTACATAGGGACAGAGCTCCCATTGCAGCAGCCAGCCCCTCATCTCCAGGGAGGCTGATGGAGAGCAGGCTCTGTCTGAATGTGTTCAGCTTTCCATCCAACCTCCTTAAAGCTGTCGTTCTTCTGGGTTCTGGGGATGGGTGGGTCAACTTCTCTCATCCTCCTCAGCCTCTCCTTTAGCAACTGAACTATTTTAGTTAAACTTTTTGCAGCTCTCAGAGTCCATCTGACACTTTGGAGGTTAAAACATTCAAACCTTAGACAACAAGACATGAGAAATTTTCATCTGCACATCTGGGCTTAGGGGCAAGTGCAGCTGGCTTTCCCTTTGGGAAGAAAAGGCTTCCTCCTGGGTCTGCAGCAATCACAAGTACTTTGAAATGGGACTGTTTTCCTCACAGCTGCTTCCTGAAACAACAAAAGGAGCTGAGCTCAGTCAACCTCTGGGGCATCAGGCCAGCCCTGCGGGGCAGGATAAAAAGTCAGAGAAGGATCCTGGCTGCTTCTTCAGCTTGGGCCAAGGCAGAGTGGGATGGGGGATTTGCTGGTGACAAGTGCCTCTGCCCCTTCCCAATGCCACCTGTGTGAATGTTCCCTGCTTCATTTTGTTGGAATAGATTTTTGTGACTTCTCTCAGGCTCTGAGATGTTACTTGCCAAATGCTATTCACATAACCATTTTACATATTTCTGTTACTGTATGGTAGAACCAATCAACTAACCAATTAATCGACCAACCAACCAAAATCCTAATTCTGGAGACACATTGGATAAAGGATCCTAGAAATCTCCCTTCCTTTTTATAAGATAGTCTGCTCTGACCTCAGGGTCTGGGGCCACAGGAACAGCATTCCTGAACCTCGATGTCTGTGGAGATGCCAGGTCTTCTCCAGGGGCTGCACCTTGTCTTCTTCTTTTTCCCTTCCACTAAGACTTTTAGATGCCCCCATCCCTAGTCTGACCCCTAACCAGACATCTGTTCCCAGTGGGACCTTTTGTAGGAGCTGAGAGACCTGGCCAGCCTCCAGCATCAGCTCCGTACCCTCCGTTGTTGGCCAGGACCTGCTGTGGAGAACAAGTGCCCTTGAGGTCTCTCTGCTCTTAGTTTCCAGGGCAGTGAATGAGAAATGCCCTCTTACATACTCTGACAGTGCTGGGGAGAGAAAGCTAAATAGATAGATAGATAGATAGATAGATAGATAGATAGATAATGATGTTAGTCTTTGGCCAGGCTGGACCTGAGAGGAACTGTTTAGCATGAGCAGCTCTTCTTGCACCACCAGAGGCTTCACCAGCCCAGCAATTCCATTTCCTACTCACTCAGAGGAAGGGCTACTGGCTGCAGTCTCTTGCCACTGTCTGGCTCTGTGCTGTAAAATGGCCACTGGGAGGCTTCTCCTGGGTCTGTTTTCCCCTGGCCCCAGCACAGGCCCTTCTGAAATTAATCTATGGAGAATGTATTTCTCCATCTCCACTGTGGCTGTGGCCCTTTCCCTACAGTCTACTCAGCCCCACATGAGTTGGGGGTAGTGGGAGGCTGGGCTCTGGGGAAGGGACCCAGGGAGATATGAGCAGGTGCTTGCAGGGAAGGTCAGCTTTCTCCAGCTCCTTTCTCATGGTAGACACTCAATTACAGGGCCTCCCAGGTGCTGGATAGCTCTGTGCTGGCAGAATGCTACTTCTCACACCCCTCCGCACAGCAGAGATGATGAGGGCTGGGCCTGATTTTCTCCCTGCACTCTGATATAATAAAGTTGTTGTCACTAGGACCTATTAAATCAGGCACTCATGGTAGTAAATGTGGAGATCAGGCAGCTTGGAAATCCTCAGGCACATGTGCATGTGGATGCGTGTGTGTGTCATGAAGACACAGGATAAAGTCTGTTGTCTGTGGCCCTGGGGGATTGAGGCAGTGATCACCAGAGCTGGCTTTATCTTTGCGTTCATGCGTCTTCTACCCACTCAGCTCACATTTCGTTATACCATTCAGCAGTTGGCAACCTGAGGGGTTCCTAGGGAGGGAGATGTAGGCTAGTCCATCTTCTCCTCCATGGATCAACATAGGCCAGACCCAGCTACAGGAGGCTGGACCACAACCAGCATGAAATTTTTGCTGAGTTTAGACAGAAGGTCACTACGTCACTGAGGTATCTCATTGAATACTTGATTAGATAGAGAAGGAGATGATGGAGAAGAAAGAAAGATGACAGGAGAGGATAAGGGGGTGGCCATGACAACAGAGGAAGAGAGAGGACTCAGAGGTTGTCCCCAAGGCTTAGACTCTAAATAATTAAGAGACAGCCCTGGGCTCAGTATCCAGGTTAGATCTGTGTAGGATCCCTGGGGCACTGAAGTTGAGGATGTAACTAGTGGCTTGAAGGTGGAGTTGAGAGGTTCAGGGTGCCTGGTGTGGATTGTGGGGATGAAGGTTACAACCAGGACCTTTTATGGACTGTTCACAGGACTCCACATCCAGGCAAAGGCCAGAGTATTGATTCTTAGATGAAATGCTGTTACACAGCATGGGGACTTCACTTTTTTGAGACTGAAGAACTTTGAGGGGAAATAAAATCTCTGAAGAGAAGCTAGGTTCCATCTACAGAGGTAGCATGGCTTAGTGCCTCTCATCCATTCTGTTGAAACAGCTCTTGTCAGTGACCTCTATGTTGCTAAATTCATTGATCTCAGATCACCACATACTTTGCCTCTCTGCAACATTTGTTTCAGTGGAAACACTTTCTTCACTGGTTTCCAGGACATGATTTGTCCTCCTCTTACCTCATTAGCCACAGCTCAGTCCCCTTGGCTGGCTTTGACTGTCACCTGATCTCTAAACATTGGCATACTGCAATCTTTGTCTTTGGGCCTCTTCTCCATGTAGGCTCACTCCTTAGTATGAATCTCAGGTTTTTGAATAGTGTCTAATGAATCCCAAGTTTCTGACTCCAGCCTGAATATTTTTCCTGAATTCTAGGCTTAAATATCAAACTACCTACCCAATGTTTGTATGTGGATGACTAATAGCCATCTAAACTTAACACACCCCATACCATTCTCTTGATTTCCATGGCCCCAAACTTGTTCCTTTGCTGGTTCTCCCAGTCTCAGCAAATGGCAGTGTAGTTTTCCCATTTGCTCAGGTCAAAATAAAAAACTTGGAGTCATCATTAACTCCCCCTGATCCATGAGCAGGAATGGTTGGATTTATCTCTAAAAGAAATCCATACATGCAATAAACCCATAATTAGGTATCTCACCATGTTCACTACAGCTACCATCTGGTACAAGTTAATGGCATCTTTGTCTGGATCATCATAAGGGCCTCCTTACTGGTTTTTCTGCCCTAACTCTTGCTCCCTTAGAATTTATTGTTCACTTGGTAGACGGAGCGATCCCTATAAAAACTTAAATCAATCATGCCACTCCTCTGCTCAAAGTCTTCCAATGGATTCTGGTTTCAGAATAAAAGCCAAAGATCTTATAAGATCTCAGGGGACCCTTGAGACCCCCAGTGATTTTGTCCTCACTTGTCTATATGACCTCACCTCCTGCCTGTCCTGCCCAAGTCACACTGGCTTCTCAGTATAGCGTGACAAACTTGCTTCTGCCCAGGGCCTTTTTGCTATTCCCCTGCTTGAAATGCCATGCCTCCAAATAGCCACATGGCTCTCCCAGACCTCACTTCCTTCAGGTCTCTAATCAAATGTCTTATTAGACATTATTGACCAGCATATTTAAAATCGGTTTTCTTCCTCACCTTTGGAACTTTGTTTTTCCTTCATCCTGTCTTATGTTTCATACCACTTATTATCGTCTGATGTATTGTGTATTTACTTGTTTGTTTGTTACCTGTCTCTTCTCACTAGAATGCAAACTCCACAAGAGCAGAGATTTTATTATTATTATTATTATTATACTTTAAGTTTTAGGGTACATGTGCACAATGTGCAGGTTAGGTACATATGTATACATGTGCCATGCTGGTGTGCTGCACCCATTAACTCGTCATTTAGCATTAGGTATATCTCCTAATGCTATCCCTCCCCCCACTCCCCACCCCACAACAGTCCCCAGAGTGTGATGTTCCCCTTCCTGTGTCCATGTGTTGTCATTGTTCAATTCCCACCTATGCGCGAGAACATGCGGTGTTTGGTTTTTTGTCCTTGCGATAGTTTACTGAGAATGATGATTTCCAATTTCATCCATGTCCCTACAAAGGACATGAACTCATCATTTTTTATGGCTGCATAGTATTCCATGGTGTATATGTGCCACATTTTCTTAATCCAGTCTATCATTGTTGCACATTTGGGTTGGTTCCAAGTCTTTGCTATTGTGAATAGTGCTGCAATAAACATATGTGTGCATGTGTCAGAGCAGAGATTTTATCTGCTTTGTTCACTCTTCACCCCAGAATTTTGGAGAGTACCTTCATTTTGTAGATGCTCAATTAGTATTTTTTGAGTAAATGAAAGAATGGTGGTTGAGAGTGCAGGTCCTGGAAAAAGATTCCCTGAGTTCAAAGTCCAGATCTTCTCTTTAACAACTGTGTGATTTTGGGCAAGTTTCTTAACCTCTCTGTACCTTAGTTTCCTTACAGTAATTGAGGATAACAAGTACCTGCCTCATAGAATTGCTATGAAGACTAAGTTAATACATTTAAATCTCAGATAAGTCCACAGCACATAGATTTGATAGATGTCAATCATCATCATCATCATCATCATCATCATCATATGAAATTATTAGCTGGGGTGTTAGAAATATAAGAAGAGACAGAATTTTAGAAATCTGGGAGAAGTGAGAGGATGCAGAACATACGGATGGGATTGGTGGAAGCTTTGTGTGGCAGATTGTATTTTTCGAAGACACCTGCAACAATATCTCAGTTTCACATGCTATTCTGGAAACTTTTCACTCCCTATCAAAAGGTAGAGCGTATGTACTTTCCCTTCAAGTCCAGATGGGTATTTATGACTGCCTCAAGTGATGTAACTTCCAAGACTAGGTTATAAAAATGCCACACACTTCGAACTTGTTTTCTTGAAATGTTCACTTTTAGAACCACCCATCATGCTATGAGAAAGTCCAAACTAGCCCATGTAGACAGACTACATAGGGAGGCTATATGGGTGTTCCTGCTGACAGCCCAGCTGAGGTCCTTGCCAACAGCCAGCATCAACTGCCAGATGTGTGTATGAAGATGCCTCTAGATGACTCTGGTCCTTGTTGAGTCACCCCCAGCCTTCAGGTATTCCCACATGAAGCACCAGGCTTCATGGAGCATAGCCCAGGTGTCTCTGCTGTGCTCTGAAATTCCTGGACCAGGCAATCGATGAGAATAATCCTGTGGTTGTTTTATGGCACTAAATTATGGAGCAGTTTGCAGTACAGCAACAGCAATAGGGTACTCAGGTTCAACTGTCAAGAGACCAGTCAACAGTGTAGCAAATAGATAACAGGCAAGAAAAGCCACACAAAACCAGGTGTGAGAAGTGGTCCTATTTCATTGCTTGGTCACGGATTACTGAACAGGAGATTTGAAACCCTTAACGGCATATCTGATCAGCAGGGGTTTAATGGGAAGAAGATGATTGGAACATAATTCCAGAGTAAAAGAAAGATATATGAACAAGCAGATGAGGGTAAAGTGGTCCTGTATGTGAGGAAGGCATAAGTAATTTTAAAACAAAAATTTATAAAATATCTATGGGAGGAAATTACATTTTCATGTGAATCTGAAAATCACACTCACATATAATAAAACATTTGCGATTTGATGATGCAATATACTCTTGGAGGTTGCTTGAGAAGGCAGATTGTCAGATGAAGTAAACTTGTGTATTTATTGGCTTACTAGAACATATTTAGCATCCTTTTTTGGGAACCACTGAGTGAGTGAATGAGGTGGTAAAGTATACTTTTATTTTTCAAGATTGAATGGATAAAACAGTGAAACATGAGTGTAAAAAAGTGGAGGTACTCTTTTTTCCTTTTTCTCTTAATATATATGTATTTTTTTTTCTTTTTCTTTTTCACACCTGGCGAACAGGAAATAGTGGTGCTCTTTATTGTAGATCACCTGACTTGTCCCAAAGACTGAGTAAAAAATGAGATGATAGAAGCTGTTAATTGAATGCAAACAGTACTACTTGATGAAACAAATGGTGGAAAATGCCTTATTATGATGGAAATTAAAGGTGATGTTTTTAAGATCTGGGGATATAAAAATAGACTGGCATATAAACCAGGCCAGGTGTTAGCTATAATTCTTTTAGCAGTGGTGTTTATGCCCAGTTAAATTCAATATCCTCATGGGAGAAGGGAGATAACTGAGATAAAATAGGCAAATTAGTTAATGAAAAATTGAAAAATAGAATATGAAAAGGTAATAACCCATATGAGCCAGGTAAATTACAGACACAGTGGAAGTTCAAGAAATAACCATTTCTGGATCAATATTTTCATGTACTTAATATTTTTTCCTTGGTGATTAATAGCATAATCAAAGAGGCTGTTATGGGTAAAAATATGTCTCTTAAAATATGGTAAAATTGACAAGGTGAGGAAAAAATGAGGTCACTGAAAAGTGTTAATTATAAATTAGGAAACCAAAAATTCTCACAGGGACTGAAAACCAACTTAAAAAAAAAAAAACCAACGTACCAAACTTTTTTTTTTTTTTTTTTTGAGACAGGGTCTCTCTTGCCTAGGCTGGAGTGCAGTGACAAGATCACAGCTCATTGCAACCTTGACCTCCTGGGCTCAATCGACCCTCCCACCTCAGCCTTCTGAGTGCCTGGGACTACAGGTGCACCCCAGCATGGCTGGCTAATTTTTGTATTTTTTTTTTTTGTAGAGATAGGATTTTGTCATGTTGCTCAGGCTGGTCTCAAACACCTGGCCTCAAGCGATCTATCCTCTTCGGCCTGGAAAGGTGCTGGAACTACAGGCATGAGCTACCATGCCCAGCTCAAACCAAACTTTTAATTGCAGCATGGTGCTCTGCTAATGTAACTCAGTGAGCAATCACAAAGTGAACACATCCCTGTTACCACCACCCTAGTCAGGAAATAGGACATCACCACATCAGAGGCCCCCCGACAACCATGTGCCTCATCCTAATTCTTAACATCTCCACCCTCACCAAATGTGACTGCCATCTTGACTTTTAACACCAAAGATTAGTTTTGTTTGTTTCTGTTCTTTATATAAGTGTGCTGACACAATAGGTCTCCTTTTAAGTTTGGCTTTTGCTCCCCTTAACATTATGCTTGTGAGATTCATCAATGTCATTGTAATAGCAGTTAATTTTTGTTGCTGGGGAGTATCCTATCGTATCACTGTACCATAATTTATATGAATAAATAAGTAGTATTTATTCATTCTACTGTTGAAGGAATTTTGGGCTGTTTCACATATCATGCTATAATGAATATTCTTGTTCATGCTTTAGGATGCAGAGATTTCTTTTGGGTGTGTTCTTAGGCATGAATTGATGTCATAGGATATGTGCATTTTCAGTTTCTCAGCTGATACTGAGAAAGTGAAAAGTGACGGAGCTGTTAACGGCACTTCCTCTAATAGTGTAGGAGAGTTCCAGTTGCTCTCCTTGTCAATATTGATATTATCAATCTTTCTAACTTTAGCTATTCTAATGAGTGCATGCTGCTATTGCTCATGGTTTTAATTTCTAATTTTTTACTGATGAGGTTAGTACCCTTCATATATTTATAGTTCAGTTGGTTATCTTACTTTTGTTAACTTTCTGTTCAAGTCTCTTATCTGTGTTTCATTGAGTTGTCTGATGTTTTTTCTTATTGATTGATAGGCACAACTTGTAAGTTCTGCATGTGAGCCCTTTGTTGATATATGTGTTGCAAGGATCTTCTCCCATTCTACGGTTTGCCTTTTTCGCTCACTTAAAGGTGTCTTTTCATGAGCAAAAGTCCTTCTTGTAGTCTCATTTTTAAAATCGTTTTTCCTTTAAGGCGATAATTCTCAATGATAGGGTGAGTATTTTTCAGGCAATATTTGGGACATACTGAGTATCTATCATCTATCTATCTATGATATCTTTCTATCTATCTAATCTATCTAAGATATCTATCTATCTATCTATCTATCTATCTATCTATCTATATGGTTTTTTCCTTGTTGTTTATCTGAGATTCTAATTGAATTTGGCATCTTGTTTTTTCCTCCTAAATCTGGTAACCATACCCAGGGGACATTGGAGAATGTATTGGAGAAACTTTGTTGTCATAACTGGGAAGTGGTGGTGGGGAATCGGTTGGTATCCCATGGGTAGAGGTCAAGGATGCTGCTGAACGTCCTACAATGCACAGAACAGCTCCCCACAACAAAATTGTATCCAGTTTGAAATGTCAATAGTGCAAGGTTGAGAATCTTGCTTTAAAGTTAGTGCTTTTTTATGTGCCTTGAAGAAATCTATCTAAACTCCAAAGTTTTAAAGATATTTTTCTATTGTATCATCTCAAAGTTTTATTGTTTTACCTTTCCCATGTAGATCACCTGGAATTAACTTTTGTGTGTCTGTGAGATAGGGGTCAAATTTCATTTTTGCTTCTAGATATTCACTTGACCCAGCAATATTGATTGAAATGACCATCCTTCCCACTTCTCTACAGTTCCTCCTTTGTCATAAACCAAGTGTTTATGGATAAAGGTGTTTGTTTCTGGTCTCCATTCTGTTCTATTGCTTTAATTGATTGTGTTTGCATCCACACCATATTTTACTAATTACAGTAGTTTTAAATAAATCTTGGCATCTGGAAGCAATCTTTTTTTTTGGCCTTTAAAACATTTATATAAATGTCTGGGGTGCAAGTGCAATTTCATTACATGCATATATTGCATAATGGTCAACTCAGAGCTTTTAGGGTATCTAGTACCCTAATAACCTACACTGTACCCATTAAGTAATTTCTCATCACGGGAGTATCTCGATTGGATTTCCTCAGAAACAGACCCTGATACAAAAATTTGAGTGCAAATAGTTTGTTTGTGATGTGATTCCTGGAAGCACTGATGGGTGAGTGAAGAAGTGAAACAGAGAAGGAAAGAAAATACAGGGTGTTTCAATGAGCAAATTACCTCTGTGGGCACCTGGGGATTTATCTCACCCAGGACTTTTGGAAGATGGTGTGGGACATGTCTCAGCACTGTTCCACTAGAAGGAACATGAATGAAATAATGAAACTGGGTTATTTATCCAGCAATTCTCATCCATAATGGGTTAAGGCAACTTTAGGGGCATTAACTCTCTGACATTTCTTGTCTGCTGTGTAGTCTGGCTGAGCATGCTCTTGTGGCCTGAGAAAGCTTTTGGGGAGAGTTGTGGAAGATTGGCATAAGAAGCTTTCTGTAGAGGCTCACTTTGGTGAGCATTGATGATACGTTGGCAGGACACCAACAGTATCACCTACCCTCCACCTTTTGAAATGGTCTGATCCAGTACCTCACATTGAGTTCATTTCATCTTGTCACTGATTGTTCAAGGGGGTAGCCATTTCAATTTATAATAAAACGGTCTTATAAAGGGAAGTGTATTACTCAGGGTTCTCTAGAGAAACTGACCCAATAGGATAGATATTATTTGTAATACACAGAGAGAGAGAGAGAGAGACAGAGAGAGAGAGAGGAGAGAGGAGAGAGGAGAGAGAGATTAAAGAATTGGCTCAAGCTGTGGAAGCTAGCAAGTCTGAAATCTGTAGGGCAAGCCAGCAGGCTGGAAATTCAGATAAGAGTTCAAGAGTTGATGCTGGAGTCTTGAATCTGAATTCCTCAGGGCAGCAGGCTGGAAACTCAGGCAGTATTTCTATGTTGCTGTCTTGAGGAGAATTCTTTCTACTTTGGGGAACCTCAGTCTTTGCTTTTCAGGTCCTCAACTTATGGGATAAGGCCCACCTATGTTATGGAGGATAATTTGCTTTACTTAAAGTCTACTGATTTAAATGTTAATCACACAGATTCATTGCAATCCCTATAGAAATACCAGTGACATTTTTCACAGAAATAGAAAAAAATCCTAAAATTTTTATGCAACCACAAAAGACCTCAAATAGCCAAAGTAATCTTGAACAAAAAGCACAAAGCTGGAGGCTTCACACTACTAGACTTCAAAATATACTGCAAAGTTGAAGCAACCAAAATAGCATGGTACTAGCATAAACAATAGACACATAGACTGATGGAACAGAAATGAGAGCCAAGAAATTAATCCACGTAACTACAGCCAACTACTTTTTGACAAAGGCACCAAGAACTCTCATTAGTGAAAGGACAGCCTCTTCAATAAATGGTGCTGGAAAAACTTGATATCCATATGCAGAAGAATGAAACTAGACTCCCACCTCTCACCCTATATGAAAATCAACTCACAGTGGATCAAAGATCTAAATATAAGACATGAAACTACAAAACTACTAGAAGAAAACATAGTGGAAACACTTCAGGACATTGCTCTGTGAAAAGATTTTATGAATAAGACCTCAAAAGCACAGGCAACAAAAGCAAAATAAACAAGTGGGATTATATCAAACTAAAAAGCTTCTATACAGCAAAGGAAACCCTACACAAAAGGAAAAGACAACAGAGTAAAAATACAACCTACAGTATGGGGGGAAATTTTTGTAAACAATTCATCTGACAGAAGATTAATATCCAGAATATACAAGGAACTAAAAATCTCAATAGCATAAAAAAACCCACCCCAAAATGATTAAAACATGGGCAAACGATCCAAACACAGACAGTTCTGAAAAGAAGACAAACAAATGGTCAACAAATATTTAAAAGATACTCAACATTGCTAATCACCAGGGAAAGGTAAATCAAAACCACAATGAGGTATCATCTCACTGCAGTTAGAGTGGCTATTACCAAAAAGACAAAAAATAACAAATGCTGGCGAGGATGTGGAGTAAAGGGAACTCTTATATACTGTTGGTGGGAATGTGAACTAGTACAGCCACTATGGAGAAAAGTATGGAGGTTCCTCAAGAAACTACAAACAGAACTACCACATGATCTAACAATCCCACTACTGGGCATTTATCCAAAGGAAAGGAAATCAGTATATTGAAGAAACATGTGCATCCCTAAGTTTATTTCAGCACTATTCACAATAAGCCAAGATATATAATCAACCTAGGTGTCCAACAACAGATGAATGGATAAAGAAAATGTGGTATATGTACACAATGGAATAAATTCATCAAGCCACATTCAGCCATAACAAAGAATGAAATCCTTTCATTTGCAATGGCATGGATAGAACTAGAGGACATTATGTTAAGTGAAATAAGCCAGGAACAGAAAGTTAAACACCACATGTTCTCACTCATTTGGGAAGCTAAAGAAAAGTTGATCTCATAGAAGTAAAAAGTAGAACAAGAGGGTACTAGATACTAGAGAAGGGGGTGGGGAGAGGAGGAGATTTGTTAAAGGATACAAAATTAGAGCTAGATAGCAAGAATGAGTTCTAGGGTTCTATAGCACCATAGGATAACTATAGTTAACAATAATATATAGTTTCAAATAGCTAGAAGGAGGATATTGACTGTCCTCAACACGAAGAAATGATGTTTTAGATGATGGATATGCTAATTACCCTGACCTGACCACTATACATTATATGTATCAAAACATCACCATGTATGTACTCCATAAATATGTACAATTATATATCAATAACAAAATTTAAAAATGAAAATGTCATACAAATATTAATAGCATCTTAAAAAATATTTTTATAGGGACAAGCTACAGTCCATACTTTTTTTCATAATTTTATTTTATTTTTATTATACATTAAGTTCTAGGGTACATGTGCACAATGTGCAGGTTTGTTACATAGATATACATGTGCTACGTTGATTTGCTGCACCCATTAACTCGTCACTTATATTAGGTATTTCTCCTAATGCTATCCCTCCCCCTGCCCCCCACCCCACGACAGGCCCCTGTGTGTGATGTTCCCCACCCTGTGTCCAAGTGTTCTCATTGTTCGATTCCCACCTATGAGTGAGAATATGCAGTGTTTGGTTTTCTGTCCTTGTGATAGTTTGCTCAGAATGATGGTTTCCAGCTTCATCCATGTCCCTACAAAGAACATGGACTCATCCTTTTTTATGACTGTATAGTATTCCATGATGTATATGTGCCACATTTTCTTAATCCAGTCTATCATTGATTGACATTTGGGTTTGTTCCAAGTGTTTGCTATTGTGAATAGTGCTGAAATAAACATAAGTGTGCATGTGTCTTTATACTAGCATGATTTATAATCCTTTGGGTATATACCCAGTAATGGGATGGCTGGGTCAAATGGTATTTCTAGTTCTAGATCCATGAGGAATCACCACACTCCCTTCCACAATGGTTGAACTAGTTTCCACTCCCACCAAGAGTGTAAAAGCGTTCCTATTTCTCCACATCCTCTCCAGCATCTGTTGTTTCCTGACTTTTTAATGATCGCCTTTCTAACTGGTGTGAGATGGTATCTCATTGTGGTTTTGATTTGCATTTTTCTGATGACCAGTGATGATGAGCGTTTTTTCATGTGTCTGTTGGCTGCATAAATGTCTTCTTTTGAGAAGTGTCTGTTCATATCCTTTGCCCACTTTTTGATGGGGTTGTTTTTTTCTTGTAAATTTGTTTAAGTTCTTTGTAGATTCTGGATATTAGCTCTTTGTCAGATGGGTAGACTGCAAAAATTTTCTTCCATTCGCTACAGTCCATACTTTTACAGTGAGTCCTGAGGTCATTATTAACAGTCATTATCTTCCTTTAGCACCTTTTCTGCATTCCCTACCCTAACTCCCTGGCAAGCACTTCTGATGGTTTAGGTTGTTTATTCAATAAGGCAAATCGGATCTTTATCTCTAAGGTTACCGTGCCATTGTTAAGGCAGGATTTCTGCAATTGTGTGTTATAGTTATCACTGGGTAGAAGCATCAAGAAGTGTCTTGTACTGCTTTCTGGGCCACAATTACATTGTTTTGTGGCAACAACTTGATCTCTTCATGATAACCAGGGTCATTTAGTAACTTCACTGTTGCCTAGAGATCTACTGTCAAAAGAAGCTTGACATGACAGTTGGCAGCCGTAACTTTATTTTTTAGTGAAACCCTTATTGTATCCCTGGCCCTGGTGAAAGCAAATCCCCCACTCTGTGCTTGGAAATGAGGACCTTTATTAAGTGGGACCTAAAATTGTAGGGACAGAAAAGCCAAATTTACCACGTTGGTCCCTAGGAGTGCTTGCCTTATACTATGACTTGGTGGTTCTGATATGATTCAGCTCATGATGGACAGCTGTGATCACACAGTCACCCTTATGTCCCATGGTCAGATATTCAGTGTCTGCTAGGGCCCAGTAGCACCCTGGGAACTACTTTTCATATGGTAAATAGTTCTCTGCTACATATGGCATAACCTTACTATGGAACCCTAGAGGTCTGTGCTATAATTCACTTATGAGGGCTTGTCAGTCATTTCAGAGGTGCCCACCCTTATCTGTCATGGCTACCTTTAGCACCCATGGAATCTGCTGGGTCATATGATTACGGGCCAGGGCTGCTCATACAGCAGGATGAACATGCCGCAGGACTCTCTTGTTTTGGGAGATCCTCTGAAAAGCTGACAGCAGCCTTCTGAGAAAACCCATTAAATGGGCTGGAGCAGTATTCCCAAGAGTGTTATATGCTATGTGCAAAATCCAAAGAGGCCTGCCGGGCACTGTGCCTCTTTGTAGTCCATGTCGTCAATATAGCGGATCCATCTGATGATCTGTGAAATGTCCAGATGCAAAGGTCTCTTTGGACTGTGTTGAGAGAGAACCGGAGGTTTAATATAGTGCTGAGATGAGACTGCTTTCCATACTGGGTGAATGCAAACTGTTCTGATCCTTCCTCCTGACGGGAACTAAAAGAACACATTTGCCTTATCAAAAGTCACATATCAAATGCTAGAGGCTGTGTTGCTCTATTCTAATGAAGACACAACATACAAAACTGCAGTAACCGCTGCTCCACCACTTGGTAGAGTAGTCTGCTATCATCTGCTAGGGTGTATTTGGTTTTCCAGGTGACCATTTCTGTATCATTTAAATCTTTGAGGCTACCACCAAATTCTGCCATTTTACCTGGAATGTTGTATTGTTTCTGATTTGCCATCTTGGCTAGGTTGTGGACAACTAAAGCCTTTTTTACCGTAATGCCTCTTATTTTATAAGTCAGGGAATCATGAGAGTTCCATCAGCATTTAAGTGCTGCCTATACATTAAAAGTATGCACTCAGGGACCAGGGTATTTACCAAAGGGTAGGTTCAAGGACCCAACTGGCCCACTGTGGGATAGATTTAGGATAGGGCTTCCTTTATCATTTGGTGCCTTTCAAGTGCAACTCTAACAGATGGACCACAACATATTTTGGGTTCCCTAGTATTAGTGAGAGGTGACAGCGTGCTGGCAGCCCTGGCAGCCCTTGCTCACTCTTGGCGGTGCCTTGGCCTTGGCGCCCACTCTGGCCATGCTTGAGGAGCCCTTTATTCTGCCGCTGCACTGTGGGAGCCCCTCTCTCGGCTGGCTGAGGCTGGAGCCGGCTCCCTTTGCTTGCGGGGAGGTGTGGAGGGAGAGGCGCAGGTGGGAACCGGGGCTGGGCGCGGCACTCGGGGGCCAGTGTGAGTTCCGGGTGGGCGTGGGATCGGCAGCCCGCACTAGGGCTTAGCACCTGGCCAGCAGCTGGGGAGGGTGCACCGGGTTCTCTAGCAGTGCCAGCTGGCAGGTGCTGCACTTGAATTCTTGCCAGGCCTCAGCTGCCTCTCCGTGGGGCAGGGCTCGGAACCTGCAGCCCGCCATGCCCAAGCCTCCCCACTGCCCTGGGCTCCTGCGCAGCCTGAGCCTCCTCGACAAGCACTGCCCCCTGCTCCAGGGCTCCTGGTCCCATCAACTGCCCAAGGGCTGAGGAGTGTGGGCGCATGCGGGACTGGCGGGCAGCTCTGCCTGAAAGGTCCTGGTGTAGGATCCACTAGGTGAAGCCAGCTGGGCTCCTGAGTCTAGTGGGGACTTGGAGAACCTTTATGTCTAGCTAAGGGATTGTAAATACACCAATCAGCACTCTATGTCTAGCTCAAGGTTTGTAAACACACCAATCAGCACCCTGTGTCTAGCTCAAGCTTTGTAAATGCACCAATCAGTGCTCTGTGTCTAGCTAATCTGGTGGGGACTTGGAGAACTTTTATGTCTAGCTAAAGGATTGTAAATGCACCAGTCAGCACTCTGTGTCTAGCTCAAGGTTTGTAAGCTCACCAGTCAGCACCCTGTGTCCAGCTCAAGGTTTATAAATGCACCAATCAGCACTCTGTATCTAGCTAATCGGATGGGGACTTGGAGAACGTTTATGTCTGGCTCAGGGATTGTAAACGCACCAATCAGCACCCTGTCAAAACAGACCAATCAGCTGTCTGTAAATCAGACAAATCAGCTCTCTGTAAAATGGACCAATCGGCAGGATATGGGTGGGGCCAGATAAGGGAATAAAAGCAGGCCGCCCCAGCCAGCAGTGGCAACCTGCTCGGGTCCCCTTCCACACCGTGGAAGCTTTGTTCTTTTGCTCTTTGCAATAAATCTTGCTGCTGCTCACTCTTCGGGTTTGCACTGCCTTTATGGGCTGTAACACTCACTGCGAAGGTCTGCAGCTTCACTCCGGAGGCCAGCAAGACCATGAACCCACCAGGAGGAATGAACAACTCGGGACAGGAAGAACGAACAACTCCAGATGCGCCACCTTAAGAGCTGTAACACTCACTGCCAAGGTTTGCAGCTTCACTCCTGAAGCCAGCGAGACCACGAACCCACCAGAAGGAGGAAACTCCGAACAAGTCTGAACATCAGAACAGACAAACTGTGGACACACCATCTTTAAGAACTGTTAACACTCACCGCGAGGGTCTGCGGCTTCATTCTTGAAGTCAGTGAGACCAAGAACCCACCAAATTCTGGACACATTAGTACCAGCTCAGATCCTATACACAAGACCTCTCAAAAGTGCTGCATATTTTGTAGGTTCCTTTGGCAAAGGATTGGAACAATATTTTCTGAAGGTCAGATGAAGCATAGTGGAAGGACCCAAAGTCACCAGTTCTCTCAGATGCAACTGGGGCAGTGAGAAACTAAAGAAAATATTCATAAAATGGTATACAAGTAGGGGCAACACACAAGGTAGAAGAGATGTCAAATGTTTGCTCTCCTGAAACTGTTAGCTGAGCTTTGATGAGTGTCACTCCATGTTTCCTGGCATAGGTGAGGGTTCCCTCTCTCTGAAAGGGTGGTGGGATCCAGGTTACATCCCTGTTCGTAGGAGTCAGGGTTAGAAGTTAATTGTTATGGAGTGATCAGAAGATGTTTCCCTGGCTCCTGCAATGCCTCCGACCCCCTTGGTGGCCTCTGTTACATAGGGATTGGAAGACTCCCTCTTGAGGGGTGTGGCTTCAAAAAAGGAGCATTTCCTATCTCCAGGAAATGGAGACATGACAGTATACTTTTTGGCCTGCTTGTTTTTTTTTACCAAAAACAATTTTAGGAAAAGCTTGAGAATATCTAAGGCTCAGTGATGTGACTTTTTCCTTTTTCTTCTGTCGTTGAAGAGGAAGAGTTGAGGAACCTCCTTGGATAGAAGGGGTATAGCTTATTTTAGGACTTCAACCAAAGGCACGGGAGAGAGAACAGGCCAAAGGACTGTAAGGAAGGTTATCTCAGGATTGGGATCCGGCAGGAAAAAAGCCCTGGGTCGTTATTCTCCACTTACCCCTCCATGACAGCGCCTCACCTTGCTCTGGGGCCTACTTTTGAGGGCGGCTTCAAAAGCCACTCTGTGCTCTGGCTGGCAGTTGGGGTTGGCCAGTGGAAGCACTGGCAGGAGGTGGAGGCAGGAAGAGAGAGAGGTGGTGGAATTTGTTCACAGAATCTCTTCCTGCCAGACCACCAGTTGGCTGTGGGTCCTTCCTCTATTGCAGCCCACAGCTCCTGCCCTATAGCTGCAATTGGCACCATAGAGGTAGAACTTCCACTCTCTTCCCAGGTTTCAAGAACCACTCCTTCTCCAGGCCCCTTCCTGCTGGTAGGCAGTGGTGGCTTCTCACTCTTGCTAGCTCTGGGGCACATCACCATGCCCTACTGGTTTTCTGTAACTCTGCTTCTTTTGCAAATATTCCCTCTGTTGAATTTTCCCTACATTACCCTGCGTGATTGTGCCATTGGCCACTGCTGGGATGTGACAGAAAGGCCATTTGAGGATAAAGGACCAAAGAACAGGTCAATGTGATTATTTCAGAGCCTGAGGTGGGGTTGATTACAGAAAACTCACAGCTGGTCAGGGTGCACTTTTCAGAGCCAGGGGGCCCAGCAAAGATACGGTCATATACCAGATGCAAATCAGAGAAGATTTTCATCAGGAAAACTATCACGAAAATTAGCAAAGATCTTAGCTTCCTGGCTACTCTTACCTAATGATGTAATTACTGATGAGAAAATGAACCCAAAGTAATGCAGCCAACTCCTCTTCTGGGGAGTGGTTGCGTTTAATTGCACTAAAGCCACGTAACAAAAACAACAGCAAAACCCCCAAACACTTAAACTACCCAAACAAATTGAAAGTGCTGAAAAGTTGAGTGAGGACAGAAGCCTCTCATCATTTAATCCAAAACATAGACTCACTAAATAATAACCCCAGCCACAAATCATGTAATCTAGAGAGAGATCTATGAGCTCTTTCTCTGTCTCTTTCTGGCCTGGCAGACTGAGAGATCCAGTGCACAGAAGATCCAGTGCACAGAAGGGCAGCCTCATATGGTTTGTATGGGGAATACTTAGTCTTGGGATATTCAAAGGGAAAAGAGGAAAAGTCCAGGGTTTTTCCTGGAAAAACCAGGCTTGCCTTAGAGCTCTCATACTGACAAACCCTTTAATTACATGTATTGTGCTGTGTATTGGCATGTAGTCAGTGTTCAGTGTTTTTTGGAGTTGTTTTTTGCTTTTTTTGTTTTTATAGACAGAGTCTCACTCTGTTGCCCAGGCTGGAATACAGTGGCACAATCATAGCTCACTGTAGCCTCGAAATCCTGGGCTCAAGCGATCCTCCTGCCTTGGCCTCCTGTGTAGCTAGGATTACAGACCCACACTACTGGGCCTGGCCAGCAGTGTGTTTTGACTTGAGCAGCCTTGGCTTCTTTCTCTTTCCCTCAGCAGCGGGGACTCAGCTTGGCCAGTGCTTGTGATGGGCAAGCCAGGGGCATCCCCTTCTCATGGGTTGGGTGAAGCCTCTAGTGCTGAAGGACAAAGCTCACACAACTCCCCACTTTTGGCTGTCAGCACCAGCCAGACAGGAGCAAGAACCAGGAACAACTCCCAGCATCTCAGAATCAAATCTCCACTCCTGGATGCTCTAGTCTTTCCTGATTACAGGCCCACATGGAGCCTGTTTGAAGGGGTCGCTGCCATGGGCTGAGTCAGGGCATTGAGGCCTGGATGTCAGGGCCCAGCAGTGTCCAGTTTCCAGGCCTCATTACAGCTGCTTCCATGAGGGGTTCCCCCAGCACTGGGCCTGGAGAGTTATGAGTCTCTCCTGCAATTTCTGCTCTGGGGACCTGGTTCCACAATCTTCCGGGAAGGTCTTTCTGGTGTATGTGCTCTGTTTCAGTTTATATTCTGGACTCCTATGAAGATGTTTCAGCAAAGTCTTTTGCTCCTTTTTGTTTTATGTTTAGTTATGTCTGTTGTAAAAAATCAATGTAATAAGTTTATAATTAATTAAAAAAAACCCAGTCACTTCTAATCTCACAAACAAGTGTGCACCTATTATCCCATTGTTGAAGATATGGTACATATAATTTTTTTCTTTGCCTCAACATTACATTATATTAAGACTAAAGGCTGGACAATGGCTCCATGTGGTGGAGGGGAGGGGTTTCAGAAGCCTGGTCCTCATCTTGTCTTTCTTTTTTTTTTTTTTGAGACCAGGTCTTGGTTTGTTACTCAGGCTGGAGTTCAGTGGTGTGAACACAGCTCACTGCAGCCTCAATCTCCCAGGTTTAGCAATTCTCCCACCTCAGCCTCCTGAGTAGGGTAGCTGAGACTACAGGCATGTGCCATCATGCCCAGCTAGTTTTTGTATTTTTTGTAGAGATGGCATCTCACCATGTCACCCAGGTTGGTATCAAACTCCTGAGCTCAAATGATCCTCCTGCCTCAGCCTCCTAAAGTGCTGGAATACAGGCATGAGCCACTGTACCAGCCTCCTCTTGTTTTATACAAGGGAAGAATCCTATTTCAAAGTGAAAGGAGGAGTTCATCTTCTTGTATTGGATCCTGTGTCAGAAATATTTTTAAAAGATTTTATTATAAAAGTTTTCAAATGCATACAAAAGTAGGAAGGATTGTATAGTGAACTCAATGTATCTGTTCCTCACCTTCCATCATAATCAATACATGGCCAATTTAATTTCCTTTACACCTTCCATTCCTTGCCTTATGCCAACCTCCCCAACCCCTCAGATTATTTTGAAGCAAATCCCAGACATCAACAAATACTCTTCTACACCATGAGTATGGGTCTCAAGTTAGGGAAGTGATCTGGTTCTAATTTGTATACTTGGCTTGCCCCACTCCTCCAGTGGCCTGAGGAGTCATGGGTAGGGCAGGGGGCCTTGCCTCCTGCTCTTGCATGTGGTCTTTCACAACAGCTGAACATATGGGGGACCTGTCCCAGGAAAGCGTCAACCCTGGACCCTGAGGGATATGTCCAGAGAAGTGAGGAGGCTGGAGGAATGAGAGCTATTAGTCAGAGAAAGAAAAGACCTGGAGAGGTATGACCATTGTCTTTATATGATTGGAGGGTGGTTTGGATTTGAAGTGTTAGATTTGTTTTACTTGTTCAGGTGTGAACACAGAATGCAAATGAAGGCCCTCTGGGCAGAAATAACCAGGAAGCAGATTTTTAGTTCAAGAACTTTCTAATCATCTGAGTGGTCAAAAAGTGGAGTAGGTCACCCAGGCTAGGGGATCACCAGGTGAAGACGAGGTAGCAGAATTTAAGCAATGGGTTAGGGTGGTACATGAGTAAATTAACTAAGTTCCTTTAAATGAATTTTCCAGTTTCTAAGAGAATCAATGACACACTTGGTTAAGAGTCAAGAACTTTGTGTGACCACAGAAGTCCTTTTACCTTATTGGGTCCTACTCATACAATTAGGATTTTGGATTATGTGATAGCAATAATAGCTAACTATGTTGAGCCCTTATGTGTTTTAAGCAAGTATTAGCTTGCTTTCAATAACTACATAAGATAGTGTATTAGTCCAATCTCACACTGCTAATAAAGACATACCCAAGATTGGGTAATTTATAAAGGAAAAAGGTTTAATTGACTCAAAGCTCAGCATGGCTGGGAAGGCCTCAGGACACTTACAATCACTGCAGAAGGGGAAGCAAACATGCCCTCTTCACATGGTGGCAGGAAGGAGACGTGCCAAGCAAAAGTGGGAAAAGCCTCTTATAAAACAATCAGGTCTCTTGAGAACCCACTCACTTTCACAAGAACAGCAGCATGGGGGTAATTGCCCCCATGATTCAATTACTTCCCACCGGGTTCCTCCCATGACATGTGGGGATTATGGGAACTACAATTCAAGATGAGATTTGGGTGGGGACACAGCCAAACTATATCATTCCACCACTGGCTCCACCCAAATCTCATGTCCTCACATTTCAAATTATAATCATGCCCTCCCAACAGTCCCCCAAAGGCTTAACTCATTCCAGCATTAACTCAAAAGTCCGAGTCTAAAGTCTCATCTGAGACAAGGCAAGTCCCTCCTGCCTATGAGCCTGTAAAATCAAAAGTAAGTTAGTTGCTTTCTAGATACAATGGGGGTACAGACATTGGGTAAATACACCCATTTCAAATGGGAGAAATTGGCCAAAATGAAGGGGCTACAAGCCACATGCAAGTCCAAAATCCAATAGGGCAGTCGTTAAACCTTAAAGTTCCAAAATGATCTCTTTTGACTCCATGTCTCACATCCAGGTCACACTGATGTAAGAGGTGGGTTTTCACAGTCTTGGGGAGCCCTGCCCCTTGGATTTGCAGGGTACAGCCCCAACTTCTAGCTGCTTTCACAGGCTGGCATTGAGTGTCTGTGGCTGCACATGATGCAAGCTGTTGCTGGGTCTACCATCCTGGGGTCTGAGGACAGTGGCCCTCTTCTCACAACTCTACTAGGCAACGCCCCAGTGTGGACTCTGTGTGGGGCTCCCATCCCACATTTCCCTTCCACACTGACCTAGCAGAGATTCTCCATGAGGGCTCTGCCCCTGCAGCAAACTTCTGCCTGAGCATCCAGGCATTTCCATACATCTTTTGAAATCTAGGCAGAGGTTCCCAAGCCTCACTTCTTGATTTCTCTGCACCTGCAGACCCAACACCATGTGTAAGCCACCAAGGCTTGGGGCTTCACCCTCTGAAGCAAAGGCCTGAGCTGTACATTGGCCGCTTTTGGCCATAGCTGAGATGCAGGGCACCAAGTACCAAGACTGCACAAAGCAGCAAGGCCCTGGGCCCAGCATATGCAGCCATTTTTTTCTCCTCAGCCTCCATGTCTGTGATGGGAAGGACTGCTGTAAAGACCTCTGACATGCCCTGGAGACATTTTCCCCATTGTCTTGGGAATTAACATTTGGCTTCTCTTTACTTATGCAAATATCTGCAGCTGGCTTGAATTTCTCCTCAGAAAATGGGTTTTTCTTTTCTAGCACATCACCAGGCTGCAAATTTTCTGAACTTTTATGCTCTGCTTCCCTTTTAAACATAAATTCCAACTCCAAACCATATCTTCATGAAAGAATAAAACTGTGTGTTTTTAAGAGCACCTAAGTCACATCTTGAATGCTTTGCTGCTTAGGAATTTCTTCTGCCAGATACCCTGAATCATCTCTCTCAAGTTCAAAGTTCCACAGATCTCTAGGGCAGGGGCAAAATGCCACCAGTCTCTGTGCTAAAGCATAACAAGAGTTACCTTTGCTCTATTTCCCAACAAGTTCCTCATCTCCATCTGAGACCACCTCAGCCTGGACTTTATTGTCCATATCACTATCAGCATTTTGGTCAAAGTCATTCAACAAGTCTCCAGGAAGTTCCAGACTTTCCCACATTTTCCTGTCTTCTTCTGAGACCTCCAAACTGTTCCAACCTCTGCCTGGTACCCAGTTCCAAGGTCTCTTCCACACTTTTGGGTATTTTTACAGCAGTGCCCCACTACCTGGTACCAATTTACTGTATTAGTCCATTCTCACACTGCTTATCAAGACATACCTGAGGCTGGGTAATTTATAAAGGAAAGATGTTTAATTGATTCACAGTTCAGCAGGGCTGGGGAGACCTCAGGAAACTTACAATCATGGCAGAAGGGGATACAAACACATCCTTCTTCACATGGTGGCAGGAAAGAGAAGTGCCAAGCAAGAGGGAAAAGCCCCTTACAAAACCATCAGATCTCGTGAGAAATCACTCACTATCATGAGAACATCAGCCTGATTCAATTACCTCCCACTGGGTCCCTCCCATGACTTGTGGGGATTATGAGAACTACAATTCAAGATGAGATTTGGGTGGGGACACAGCAAAACTATATCAGATAGGTACTATAATTATCTGTATTTTGGATATGGAGAAACTGAGGCACAGAGACAGTATGTATTTTGCTCAAAGTCACACAGCTATCATATGATAGAGCTGGGATTTGAACCCAGGCAGTTGGTTTCAATGCTAGCATGCTTAACCACTATGGCACAGTATATTTCAAAGATAAGTTTGAGTGTTTCAGCTCTAATCATACAGTGATTCTAGGATGAAATGAGATAATATATGTGACCTTGCATTATTCTACACAAATGACACCACTTCACATCTTATATTTTTCTCAAAACAAGGATATTACAATTTCTTTTCTCCAACCAGATCTTGGACAAGCTGTGCTCCTCTGAGACAGTAACATCAGACAAAAGTCTCATAGACCGTGATCTCTGACAGGGCGAGTACTGAACCAGGCGTATTCACCTTTGAAAGCCTGGGACGATGTAGGCCCTCAGGAGGATTTGTTTATTGATTGATGGCAGGACTGTGGCCCAGAAAACTTTTCACTCGAAAGGTGCCATGTTCCAGGTGGCCAGCTGGGGGAGCCTTAGCCCAAAGGCAGGGCAGGCTGAAAGTAGCAGAGGCTGTGTTGTGATTGGCGGTCAGCGGTCCGGAGTCCACCGAGGGCTGGGCTGGATGTGAAGGGTTGAGTTGCCTGTGAGGAGAGGCCTTGCCTGTCCCAGAGGCCTGGTCCCGCTCAGCCAGGTCATGGGACAGTGGAAAGGCCCCGCTGGAACCTAGGAGGAAGTTGCGCTGGTCAAGACGGTCTTAGGGGACAGGAGCTGGTGGCGGGAGGGGAGACAGCACTCCGAGCAACCTCAGCGTGCCTCGAGGGGGACAGGCATCCGGGAGGCCAGAGGCTGAGCTGGGTTCTGGGCGCTGGCAGGTCAGCAGGGCAGGGAAGAGAAGGTCATCGAGGGTGGGCCTGGGGGCTTCCCAGCAGCCAGCCCCTGTGACTGGGAGAAAATCCTGCCCCTGGGCGGAAAGGCCCCCATCTCTCCCTAATGGTGAGAGGGCAGGATCCCGAAGGGGCCCCAAACCGTACCTCTCAGTGTGCGCCTCCTTCAGGCGATTTCCCACCCCATCCCCGTCTTCTCTGCCATTCAAAGGGGCAAGGGTGTGTAGGAGAGGAGGTAGGGAGATTCCTCTCTCCCGAGGATCCCTGGCAGAGGGGCCTGGCACTGCAGGGGTGCATGCGAGAAGTGGGTGCACGTCCGCAGAGCTTGGGTGGGCAGCAACGAGAGGGCTTGGGTGGGCGAGAAGAGAAGGCATGGGCTGCTTGCACTCATTTTATTCCAACCCCACAGAATGCGGCTCAACCACGAGGTGAGTTGCTGAGGCTGGGCGAATGCTCTGCTCCCATTTTACCCAGGGAAGCCAGATGGAGACCTGAGAGAAGATAGGAGGAAGAACCCGGAACCCCACTCTTATGGGAAGTGGACTTGGACCAGAGACTTTCCTCTTTATGTTTTATTTTATTTTGTGTTTTTAGAGACAGGGTCTCACTCCATTGCCCAGGCTGGAGTGCAGTAGCACCATCACAGCTCACTGCAGCCTCAACCTCCTGGGCTCAAGCAATCCTCCTGTCTCAGCCTCCTGAGCAGCTGGGACCACAGGTGTGCACCACCATGCCCCACTAATTAATTTTTTTTATGGAGGTGGGGTCTCACTATGTTGCCCAGGCTGGTCTCAAACTCCTGGCCTTAAGTGATCCTCCCACTTCAGCCTCCCAAAGTGCTGGGATTACAGGTGTGAGCTGCTGTGCCTAGTTCCTCGTTTTTTAACTCTATTTCCTCTTCCCCAAGGAAGGAGATGAAGGAGAGGCCTCTGTTTGCTGCTAGTGTGAGGTTAAGCTGGGAGGATGGCCAGAGGCTGAGTCACAACTCCTGAGGCCCCTTTAGGTGCTGCGGTTTCAGTAGTCCAGCCTCCTACCCTCTTTAGGCCACTTCAGCCCCAGGTTCTAGCACCTTCACCCTGGTGCTTTTCCCTCCCAGGGAGTCTCATGAACTATTTCCTTTGGGGAAGGTGAAGAAAGACCAGTTTAGCTTGGAGGGGACCATCTCTACTACTCAATGCCCCAATAGAGGACTTCCCAGCTGTCATCTCGAAATTTCTCATTCTTGGCACTTGTGGGAAAAGTCTAATTCTAGAGCTCCCCAGAGTCACTTTATCTCCTGGGGCAGTAAAAATCTGCCCATGGCACTGATCTTGGAGGAGACCTCTTATCTTCAGGGACACCGCATCTGCTAGAGGTGGCAGAGGCCCTGCCATTGTTTCTTTCCGCCTTTGAGCTGCAGCACCTTTTTCTTGGCTGGTCTGAAGAACCCCTCTACCCACACTGCAGGCTGGAGGTCGCCTTGCATGCTCCGGCTCCTAGGCTGGGTGAGCCTTAGAGCCTTTGGGTGGACTGCTGCTTTAGCAGCTTAGGAAGGCAAATGCTGGCTCCTCTTCCTCTCCTCACTTGGTAGGACTCAGAGCAAAGAAAGGATGGCTTTTCTCCAGTCCTTCTCCCTTTTCAGACAGGCGGCACAGCTAGAGAAATATGTAAAGATCAGGGGAAGCCTGTTTTGCATAGTGAGAGTCTTGCACGCTTGGGACATCAGGACAGCCTCCAGGGGTTCTAAGTGTGTGTGGACTATTCTCAGGGAAGAAATGCTGGAGGGCCTTGGGCTGACATTCTAGCTCCTCCACACTGCTCTTGACATCCTAGAATAAAAAGGGAAGGCCAAGGTCACCTTTAGGGCATTCTTTGAATGTGGCTGGCCTGGGGCTGGAATGGGAGAATATAGTGCGGTCCTGGCTCTGAAAAACCACAGTTACTCTGGGTCTGTGCCTTAAAGCTGTGGTTTCATGAGGTCAGATTTCCTCTCAACAGCCAGGAGTAATCAAGATAGAGAACCATTTAGGCTTGTTCCTTCCTATATGTCAACAGCTATTCTACCCCAGGGCTCAGATTTAGAGCTAGTGTCCTGTTCTCTTTAGCAGAACTGACTCCTCTCTCCTCTGTGCCTCTGTGTGATTGCTGACCTGGCCTTAAGCACCGCCTCAGTGGTTAAGTTTTGCAGAGAGGGCTGGTTACTTCCCTGGTACCTCTCTTGTTATTGAACCCTAGTTTCCTATTGACTATCTATCTTTTCTTCATTTACTCCTTATTTTGTCATGTCTAGCTCCCAGCAGTTTTCTGAGAAAGGGTACTTGGAAAGCCATTTTTTTTTAGACTTTCAACGATGGAAATAGATTTATTCATTCCTCACAGTTGATTGATACACTGTCTGCTTAAGCTTTTTGAGGGTCAAATTATGTTCTCTGGTATCAGTAGTAACTGTGAGCTGTGAGAGACCTTTCTGTTTCATGATAGACAGATACAATATGATGGACTCTTGGAGAAATCGCTGGTCACAAGGGAAGAAGGTGAGGTCTCTGATGACCCTCCCAAAATACACATAGCCAATAAACCAAATCATATCTGAGCCCAGTTTACTGGAGCTGTGGATTGGGGTGGCCAAGAGCTTTGTCATGCGTATGGTAATAGCTTATAAGTATTTATTCCCAAATGGCTAAGAAATTAATTGAGCACCATTTATTTTACCATAGTTTCTGTGTTTACTATATACTAAATGTTTTCTATAGGCTAGAGCCATTATCTGAGCTCTCTAGTCAGTTTCATGGATCTATCTGGTCAATTCTTGTAGCATCATATATATTTTAAAGTTTGTCTTCTCTTTATGTATTTATTTTATTTATGAGGTGTCTTAAGAAGAAATCTCAAACTGTCAAAAGGCTCTGATTTTATTCTTGGGCTACCTAGTGCTTTTGACAGCCTTGGAAGATGCAATGGAAAGCATGTCCATCAATGCTAAAAATGTCATGAGTTGGCAGGAATACACAAAACCCAGGAGAGCAAAGTAGCAGTCTAAAAAGATTCTGCTAATGATTTATTAAAGTCTCAAAAGATTATATATATATATAAATATATATATATATTTTTTTTGAGACAGAGTCTCATTGGGATTACAGGGATTACAGGCATCTGCCACCATGCCCAGCTAATTTTTGTATTTTTAGTAGAGATGGGGTTTCACCATGTTGGCCAGGCTGGTCTCGAACTCCTGACCTCAGGCAATCCGCCTGCTTTGGCCTCCCAAAGTGCTGGGATTACCGGCATGAGCCACTGCACCTGGCCTATATGTATATACTTAAAGGATAGATACAGAGTCTCTCATTTGGTTTAAAGACCAACTGCACAAGAATAAAAGTGAATATGCATGCCTTAACAGTTGTGTATGTCAAGAACACACGGGTTTCACTTGGATGCAAAGTCAGCTTGAGGCTGCTCTACTCTGATCAGATAAAATACCTACAGGAACCAGGATGGTAACTGCACTAGTGAAGTGGACTGTTAATTTAACTATATTACATTATATTTAATTTAATATGTACATGTTAAATTAATATGTAACTTTATTTACATAATAAACATTAAACTCATAGGAAGAATCTTTATTTCTACAAAGCCGTGTGTGCTCTCCCCACTTTTTTTGAAGCACATGGCCAGCTCTCTCCATCTATATTTATCATTCTCCATGTTCGATACAGAAAAATTTCAAGAAAAATTTCATTTTTCTCCTTACTGCGAGAAAAGCAACAGCATAACAGCAATGATACATGGAAACGGACACTCTGTGCTGGGGAAGCAAATAAGGGGAGGTGGGATTTCCTGTGTGGGAGTTAGATGGTTGCATGCTCCTTCTGAACTGAGCAGCCATCAACTCCAACTGATTCTTGCCATACAGGAGTATGGGTCAATGATTGCCAGACCTCATGTTCAGGAGATGCCAGCAATCTGGATTTTCCAATGAGATTTCCTGATTTTAAAAATTTTGGCAACCATGTTTTTATTTTATTTTTTATTTATTTATTTATTTTTTTCAGTGTTGTGTGCATTCTTTATTTTTATTATTATTTTTTTTTATTATACTTTAAGTTTTAGGGTACATGTGCACATTGTGCATGTTAGTTACATATGTATACATGTGACATGCTGGTGCGCTGCACCCACCAACGTGTCATCTATCATTAGGTATATCTCCCACTGCTATCCCTCCCCCCTCCCCCGACCCCACCACAGTCCCCAGAGTGTGATATTCCCCTTCCTGTGTCCTTGTGATCTCATTGTTCAATTCCCACCTATGAGTGAGAATATGCGGTGTTTGGTTTTTTGTTCTTGCGATAGTTTACTGAGAATGATGGTTTCCAATTTCATCCATGTCCCTACAAAGGACATGAACTCATCATTTTTTATGGCTGCATAGTATTCCATGGTGTATATGTGCCACATTTTCTTAATCCAGTCTATCATTGTTGGACATTTGGGTTGGTTCCAAGTCTTTGCTATTGTGAATAATGCCGCAATAAACATACGTGTGCATGTGTCTTTATAGCAGCATGATTTATAGTCATTTGGGTATATACCCAGTAATGGGATGGCTGGGTCAAATGGTATTTCTAGTTCTAGATCCCTGAGGAATCGCCACACTGACTTCCACAATGGTTGAACTAGTTTACAGTCCCACCAACAGTGTAAAAGTGTTCCTATTTCTCCACATCCTCTCCAGCACCTGTTGTTTCCTGACTTTTTAATGATTGCCATTCTAACTGGTGTGAGATGATATCTCATAGTGGTTTTGATTTGCATTTCTCTGATGGCCAGTGATGATGAGCATTTTTTCATGTGTTTTTTGGCTGCATAAATGTCTTCTTTTGAGAAGTGTCTGTTCATGTCCTTCGCCCACTTTTTGATGGGGTTGTTTGTTTTTTTCTTGTAAATTTGTTTGAGTTCATTGTAGATTCTGGATATTAGCCCTTTGTCAGATGAGTAGGTTGCGAATATTTTCTCCCATGTTGTAGGTTGCCTGTTCACTCTGATGGTAGTTTCTTTTGCTGTGCAGAAGCTCTTTAGTTTAATTAGATCCCATTTGTCAATTTTGGCTTTTGTTGCCATTGCTTTTGGTGTTTTGGACATGAAGTCCTTGCCCATGCCTATGTCCTGAATGGTAATGCCTAGGTTTTCTTCTAGGGTTTTAATGGTTTTAGGTCTAACGTTTAAATCTTTAATCCATCTTGAATTGATTTTTGTATAAGGTGTAAGGAAGGGATCCAGTTTCAGCTTTCTACATATGGCTAGCCAGCTTTCCCAGCACCATTTATTAAATAGGGAATCCTTTCCCCATTGCTTGTTTTTCTCAAGTTTGTCAAAGATCAGATAGTTGTAGATATGCGGCATTATTTCTGGGGGCTCTGTTCTGTTCCATTGATCTATATCTCTGTTTTGGTACCAGTACCATGCTGTTTTGGTTACTGTAGCCTTGTAGTATAGTTTGAAGTCAGGTAGTGTGATGCCTCCAGCTTTGTTCTTTTGGCTTAGGATTGACTTGGCGATGCGAGCTCTTTTTTGGTTCCATATGAACTTTAAAGTAGTTTTTTCCAATTCTGTGAAGAAAGTCATTGGTAGCTTGATGGGGATGGCATTGAATCTGTAAATTACCTTGGGCAGTATGGCCATTTTCACGATATTGATTCTTCCTACCCATGAGCATGGAATGTTCTTCCATTTGTTTGTGTCCTCTTTTATTTCCTTGAGCAGTGGTTTGTAGTTCTCCTTGAAGAGGTCCTTCACATCCCTTGTAAGTTGGATTCCTAGGTATTTTATTCTCTTTGAAGCAATTGTGAATGGGAGTTCACTCATGATTTGGCTCTCTGTTTGTCTGTTGTTGGTGTATAAGAATGCTTGTGATTTTTGTACATTGATTTTGTATCCTGAGACTTTGCTGAAGTTGCTTATCAGCTTAAGGAGATTTTGGGCTGAGATGATGGGGTTTTCTAGATAAACAATCATGTCGTCTGCAAACAGGGACAATTTGACTTCCTCTTTTCCTAATTGAATACCCTTTATTTCCTTCTCCTGCCTGATTGCCCTGGCCAGAACTTCCAACACTATGTTGAATAGGAGCGGTGAGAGAGGGCATCCCTGTCTTGTGCCAGTTTTCAAAGGGAATGCTTCCAGTTTTTGCCCATTCAGTATGATATTGGCTGTGGGTTTGTCATAGATAGCTCTTATTATTTTGAAATACGTGCCATCAATACCTAATTTATTGAGAGTTTTTAGCATGAAGGGTTGTTGAATTTTGTCAAAGGCTTTTTCTGCATCTATTGAGATAATCATGTGGTTTTTGTCTTTGGCTCTGTTTATATGCTGGATTACATTTATTGATTTGCGTATATTGAACCAGCCTTGCATCCCAGGGATGAAGCCCACTTGATCATGATGGATAAGCTTTTTGATGTGCTGCTGGATTCGGTTTGCCAGTATTTTATTGAGGATTTTTGCATCAATGTTCATCAAGGATATTGGTCTAAAATTCTCTTTTTTGGTTGTGTCTCTGCCCGGCTTTGGTATCAGAATGATGCTGGCCTCATAAAATGAGTTAGGGAGGATTCCCTCTTTTTCTATTGATTGGAATAGTTTCAGAAGGAATGGTACCAGTTCCTCCTTGTACCTCTGGTAGAATTCGGCTGTGAATCCATCTGGTCCTGGACTCTTTTTGGTTGGTAAACTATTGATTATTGCCACAATTTCAGAGCCTGTTATTGGTCTATTCAGAGATTCAACTTCTTCCTGGTTTAGTCTTGGGAGAATCACCAGCTAACATCATAATGACAGGATCAAATTCACACATAACAATATTAACTTTAAATATAAATGGACTAAATTCTGCAATTAAAAGACACAGACTGGCAAGTTGGATAAAGAGTCAAGACCCATCAGTGTGCTGTATTCAGGAAACCCATCTCACATGCAGAGACAAACATAGGCTCAAAATAAAAGGATGGAGGAAGATCTACCAAGCCAATGGAAAACAAAAAAAGGCAGGGGTTGCAATCCTAGTCTCTGATAAAACAGACTTTAAACCAACAAAGATTAAAAGAGACAAAGAAGGCCATTACATAATGGTAAAGGGATCAATTCAACAAGAGGAGCTAACTATCCTAAATATTTATGCACCCAATACAGGAGCACCCAGATTCATAAAGCAAGTCCTGAGTGACCTACAAAGAGACTTAGACTCCCACACATTAATAATGGGAGACTTTAACACCCCACTGTCAACATTAGACAGATCAATGAGACAGAAAGTCAACAAGGATACCCAGGAATTGAACTCAGCTCTGCACCAAGCAGACCTAATAGACATCTACAGAACTCTCCACCCCAAATCAACAGAATATACATTTTTTTCAGCACCACACCACACCTATTCCAAAATTGACCACATAGTTGGAAGTAAAGCTCTCCTCAGCAAATGTAAAAGAACAGAAATTATAACAAACTATCTCTCAGACCACAGTGCAATCAAACTAGAACTCAGGATTAAGAATCTCACTCAAAGCCGCTCAACTACATGGAAACTGAACAACCTGCTCCTGAATGACTACTGGGTACATAACAAAATGAAGGCAGAAATAAAGATGTTCTTTGAAACCAACGAGAACAAAGACACCACATACCAGAATCTCTGGGATGCATTCAAAGCAGTGTGTAGAGGGAAATTTATAGCACTAAATGCCTACAAGAGAAAGCAGGAAAGATCCAAAATTGACACCCTAACATCACAATTAAAAGAACTAGAAAAGCAAGAGCAAACACATTCAAAAGCTAGCAGAAGGCAAGAAATAACTAAAATCAGAGCAGAACTGAAGGAAATAGAGACGCAAAAAACCCTTCAAAAAATCAATGAATCCAGGAGCTGGTTTTTTGAAAGGATCAACAAAATTGATAGACCGCTAGCAAGACTAATAAAGAAAAAAAGAGAGAAGAATCAAATAGACACAATAAAAAATGATAAAGGGGATATCACCACCGATCCCACAGAAATACAAACTACCATCAGAGAATACTACAAACACCTCTACGCAAATAAACTAGAAAATCTAGAAGAAATGGATGCAACCATGTTTTTAAAACCTTGTGCAGGACAGGCTCAATGAGCAGGATAGGCTCAATGAGCAGGATGCTGGATTGTGCTGTCTCAAACATTGTAGCCAGCTCTAAGTACTTTATTTTATTTTATTTTTTTGAGACGGAGTCTTGCTCTGTCGCCCGGGCTGGAGTGCAGCGGGGCGATCTCAACTCCCTTCAACCTCCACCTCCCGGGTTCAAGTGATTCTCCTGCCTCAGCCTCCTGAGCAGCTGGGATTACAGGCATGCAACACCGTGGCCAGCTAATTTTTGTATTTTTCGTAGAGACGGGGTTTCACTGTGTTGACCAGGCTGGTCTCGAACTCCTGACCTCAGATGATCCACTTGCCTTGGCCTCCCAAAGTGCTGGGGTTATAGGCGTGAGCCACTGTGTCTGGCCAGCCCTGAGTACTTCAAAGTAACGGTGACAAACTACAGCACATTAAAATTGTGAGAGAAACTAGAAGCTTGGGAAAAGGGTGGAAGACCCAGGGATGATGCTTCTGAGAAAAGAAAGCTCAGCTGAGATTTGATACCAGACTTCTGGTTGTGTATGAACTTCCCTGTTAGGGACAGAACATTTTTTTACTGGAGACAGGAGGAGCGATGGGATCAGGTCTAGCATTCGAAGGTATTTTGGAAGCAGCTGTGAGATCTATATAAGCAGAACTAACAATCAGCTACTTTAGGACATCAGGACATATGTGCCTGGGAAAAGCAGTGAGTTTCCATCATTGGAGATGTTCAGGCAGCATCTTCAACCAGTTGGGGACATCATAAAGAGTACTGAAACACTGGAGGAGGGCATCATGTCCAGTCCTGATGGTCCTGTCCATCCCTAAGGGATTATGATTCCAATCTTCTTTAGCTACTGTGGAGCATTTGGGCTTTTCCTTTCCCTAAGCTCCCTTGCAAGTTGTACCATTCTTTTTGCTATTTAAGGCATGCAGTAGGCAATAATTCAATGTATGGGGTTCCAATCCTGGGTGCCCTGGCTTTTGCCCTTGGCAAAGCTTTATAGCATCTCTTAGCCTTACTTTATTTATAAAAATATGAGTGAATACAAAATATCAGTGTGAAGATTAATATGGCCCATGCAGCTCTTGTGAGAGGTCATGGAGATTGGGACTGTCGAATGGCCTTTAAAAAAAATTAATCCAATGGCCTTTAAAAAAAATAGTCTTTTAAAAAAATTTAGCTCTGCTGAAGGGGGAGGTTCCAAGATGGCAGAATACGAACAGCTCCAGTCTACAGCTCCCAGCATGAGCGATGCAGAAGACTGGTGATTTCTGAATTTTCAACTGAGGTACAGGGTTCATCTCACTGGGGCTTGTTAGACAGTGGGTGCAGGACAGTGGGTGCAGCCCACGGACCATGAGCCAAAACAGGGTGAGGCATCATCTCACTCGGTAAGTGCAAGGGGTCGGGGAATTCCCTTTCTTAGCCAAGGGAAGCCATAACAGACGGCACCTGGAAAATCAGGTCACTCTCACCCTAATACTGCACTTTTCTGATGGTCTCAACAAACGGCACACCAGATGATTATATCCCACGCCTGGCTTGGAGGGTCCCACACCCACAGAGACTTGCTCACTGCTAGCACAGCAGTCTGAGATCGAACTGCAAGTCGGCAGCGAGGCTGGGGGAGGGGTGCCCGCCATTGCTGAGGCTTCAGTAGGTAAACAAAGTGGCTGGGAAGCTCGAACTGGGTGGAGCCCATGGCAGCTCGAGGAGGCCTGCCTGCCTCTGTAGACTCCACCTCTGGGGGAAGCGCATAGCTGAACAAAAGGCAGCAGACACTTCTGCAGACTTAAACGTCCTTGTCTGACAGCTTTGAAGAGAGTAGTCCTTCTCCCAGCACGGAGTTTGAGACCTGAGAATGGACAGACTGCCTCCTCAAGTGGGTCCCTGACCCCGAGTAGCCTAACTGGGAGGCACCTCCCAGTTGGGGCCGACTGACACCTGATATGGCTGGGTGCCTCTCTGAGATGGAGCTTCCAGAGGAAGGATCAGGCAGCAACATTTGCCGTTCCGCAATATTTGCAATTCTGCAGCCTCTGCTGGTGATACACAGGAAAACAGGGTCTGGAGTGGACCTCCAGCAAACTCCAACAGACCTGCAACTGAGGGTCCTGACTGTTAGAAGGAAAACTAACAAACAGAAAGGACATCCACACCAAAACCCCATCTGTATGTTACCATCATCAAAGACCAAAGGTAGATAAAACCACAGAGCGGGGAGAAACGAGAGCAGAAAAGCTGAAAATTCTAAAAATCGGAGCACCTCTTCTCCTCCAAAGGAATGTAGCTCCTCACCAGCAATGGAACAAAGCTGGATGGAGAATGCCTTTGATGAGTTGAGAGAAGGCTTCAGAAGATCGGTAATAACAAACTTCTCCGAGCTAAAGGAGGATGTTCAAACCCATTGCAAAGAAGATAAAAACCTTGAAAAAAGATTAGACGAATGCCTAACTAGAATAAACCGCATAAAGAAGACCTTAAATGACCTGATGGAGCTGAAAACCATGGCATGAGAACTATGTGACACATGCACAAGCTTCAGTAGCCGATTTGATCAAGTGGAAGAAAGGGTATCAGTGATTGAGGATCAAATGAATGAAATGAAGTGAGAAGAGAAGCTTAGAGAAAAAAAGAGTAAAAAGAAATGAACAAAGCCTCCAAGAAATATGAGACTATGTGACAAGACCAAATCTCCGTCTGACTGGTGTACCTGAAAGTGACGGGGAGAATGGAACCAAGTTGGAAAACACTCTGCAGGATATTATCCAGGAGAACTTCCCCAACCTAGCAAGGCAGGCTAACATTCAAATTCAGGAAATACAGAGAACACAACAAAGATACTCCTCAAGAAGAGCAACTCCAAGACACATAATTGTCAGATTCACCAAAGTTGAAATGAAGGAAAAAATGTGAAGGGCAGCCAGAGAGAAAGGTCGTGTTACCCACAAAGGGAAGCCCATCATACTAACAGTGGATCTCTCAGCAGAAACTCTACAAGCCAGAAGAGAGTGGGGGCCAATATTCAACATTCTTAAAGAAAATAATCTTCAATCCAGAATTTCATATCCAGCTAAACGAAGCTTCATAAGTGAAGGAGGAATAAAATCCTTTACAGACAAGCAAATGCTGAGAGATTTTGTCACCACCAGACCTGCCTTAGAAGAGCTCCTGAAGGAAGCAGTAAACATGGAAAGGAACAACCGGTATCAGCCACTGCAAAAACATGCCAATTTGTAAAGATCATCAATGCTAGGAAGAAACTGCATCAACTAACGAGCAAAATGACCGGCTAACATCATAATGACAGGATCAAATTCACACATAACAATATTAACCTCAAATGTAAATGGACTAAATACCCCAATTAAAAGACACAGACTAGCAAATTTGGTAAAGAGTCAAGACCCATCAGTGTGCTGTATTCAGGAGACCCATCTCACGTGCAGAGGCACACATAGGCTCAAAATAAAGGGATGGAGGATGATCTACCAAGCAAATGGAAAACAAAAACAACAGGGGTTGCAATCCTAGTCTCTGGTGAAACAGACTTTAAACCAACAAAGATCAGAAGAGACAAAGAAGGCCATTACCTAATGGTAAAGGGATCAATTCAACAAGAAGAGCTAACTATCCTAAATATATATGCACCCAACATGGGAGCACCCAGATTCATAAAGCAAGTCCTTAGAGACCTACAAAGAGACTTAGACTCCCCCACAAGAATAATGGGAGACTTTAACACCCCACTGTCAACATTAGACAGATCAACGAGACAGAAAGTTAACAAGGATATCCAGGAATTGAACTCAGCTCTGCACCAAGCGGACCTAATAGACATCTACAGAACTCTCCACCCCAAATCAACAGAATATACATTCTTCTAAGCACCACATCACACTTATTCCAAAATTGACCACATAGTTGGAAGTAAAGCACTCCTCAGCAAATGTAAAAGAACAGAAATTATAACAAACTGTCTCTCAGACCACAGTGCAATCAAACTAGAACTCAGGATTAAGAAACTCACTCAAAACTGCTCAACTACATGGAAACTGAACAACCTGCTCCTGAATGACTGCTGGTTACATAACGCAATGCAGGCAGAAATAAAGATGTTCAATGAGAACAAAGACACAACATACCAGAATCTCTGGGACACATTTAAAGCAGTGTGTAGAGGGAAATTGATAGCACTAAATGCCCACAAGAGAAAGCAGGAAAGATCTAAAATTGACACCCTAACATCACAATTAAAAGAACTAGAGAAGCAAGAGCAAACACATTCAAAAGCTAGCAGAAGGCAAGAAATAACTAAGATCAGAGCAGAACTGAAGGAGATAGAGACACAAAAAATCCATCAAAAAATCAATGAATCCAGGAGCTGGTTTTTTGAAAAAGATCAACAAAATTGATAGACCACTAGCAAGACTAATGAAGAAAAGAGAGAAGAATCAAATAGATGCAATAAAAAATGATAAAGGGGATATCACTACCGATCCCACAGAAATACAAACTACCATCAGAGAATACTATAAACACCTCTATGCAAATAAACTAGAAAATCTAGAAGAAATGGATAAATTCCTGGACACATACACCCTCCCAAGACTAAACCAGGAAGAAGTTGAATCCTTGAATAGACCAATAACAGGCTCTGAAATTGAAGCAATAATTAATAGCCTACCAACCAAAAAAAGTCCAGGACCAGATGGAATCACAGCCGAATACTACAGAGGTACAAAGAGGAGCTGGTACCATTCCTTCTGAAACCATTCCAATCAATAGAAAAAGAGGGAATCCTTAACTCATTTTATGAGGCCAGCATCATCCTGATACCAAAGCCTGGAAGAGACACAACAAAAAAAGAGAATTTTAGACCAATATCCCTGATGAACATTGATGCAAAAATCCTCAATAAAATACTGGCAAACCGAATCCAGCAACATATCAAAAAGCTGATCCACCATGATCAAGTGGGCTTCATCCCTAGGATGCAAGGCTGGTTCAACATACACAAATCAGTAAACATAATCCATCATATAAACAGAACCAATGACAAAAACCACATGATTATCTCAATAGATGCAGAAAAGGCCTTTGACAAAATTCAACAACCTTCATGCTAAAAACTCTCAATAAATTAGGTATTGATGGGACGTATCTCAAAATAATAAAAGCTATCTATGACAAACCCACAGCAAATATCATACTCAATGGGCAAAAACTGAAAGCATTCCCTTTGAAAACTGGCACAAGACAGGGATGCCCTCTCTCACCACTCCTATTCAACATAGTGTTGGAAGTTCTGGCCAGGGCAATCAGACAGGAGAAAGAAATAAAGGGTATTCAATTAGGAAAAGAGGAAGTCAAATTGTCCCTATTTGCAGATGACATGGTGGAATATCTAGAAAACCCCATTGTCTCAGCCCAAAATCTCCTTAAGCTGATAAGCAACTTCAGCAAAGTCTCAGCATACAAAATCAATGTGCAAAAATCACAAGCATTCCTATACACCAATAACAGACAAAGAGAGAGCCAAATCATGAGTGAACTCCCATTCACAATTGCTTCAAAGAGAATAAAATACCTAGGAATCCAACTTACAAGGGATGTGAAGGACCTCTTCAAGGAGAATTGCAAACCACTGCTCAATGAAATCAAAGAGGACAGAAATAAATGGAAGAACATTCTATGCTCATGGATAGGAAGAATAAATATCTTGGAAGTGGCCATACTGCCCAAGGTAATTTATGCATTCAATGCCATCCCCATCAAGCTACCAATGACTTTCTTCACAGAATTGGAAAAAACTACTTTAAAACTCATGTGGAAACAAAAAAGAGCCCGCATTGCCAAGACAATCCTAAGCCAAAAGAACAAAGCTGGAGTCATCATGCTACCTGACTTCAAACTATACTACAAGGCTACAGTAACCAAAACAGCATGGTACTGGTACCAAAACAGAGATATAGACCAATGGAACAGAACAGAGCCCTCAGAAATAATACCACACATTTACCACCATCTGATCTTTGACAAACCTGACAAAAACAAGAAATGGGGAAATAATTCCCTATTTAGTAAATGGTGGTGGGAAACTGGCTAGCCATAGGTAGAAAGCTGAAATTGGATCCCTTCCTTACACCTTATACAAAAATTAATTCAAGATGGATTAAAGACTTAAATGTCAGACCTAAAACCATAAAAACCCTAGAAGAAAACCTAGGCAATACCATTCCAGACATAGGCATGGGCAAGGACTTCATGTCTAAAACACCAAAAGCAACAGCAACAGAAGCCAAAATTGAGAAATGGGTTCTAATTAAACTAAAGAGCTTCTGCACAGCAAAAGAAACTACCATCAGAGTGAACAGGCAACCTACAGTATGGGAGAAAATTTTTGCAATCTACCCATCCGACAAAGGGCTAATATCCAGAATCTATAAAGAACTGAAACAAATTTACAAGAAAAAATCAAACAACCCCATTAAAAAGTGGGCAAAGGATATGAACAGACACTTCTCAAAAGAAGACATTTATGCAGCCAAAAGACACATGAGAAAATGCTCATCACCACTGGTCATCAAAGAAATGCAAATCAAAACCACAGTGAGATACCATCTCACATCAGTCAGAATGGCAATTATTAAAAAGTTAGGAAACAACAGGTGCTGGAGAGGATGTGGAGAAATAGGAACACTTTTACACTGTTGGTGGGACTGTAAACTAGTTCAACCACTGTGGAAGACAGTGTGTTGATTTCTCAGGAATCTAGAACTAGAAATACCATTTGACCCAGCGATCCCATTACTGGGTATATACCCAAAGGATTATAAATCATGCTGCTATAAAGACACATGCACACGTATGTTTATTGCAGCACTATTCACAGTAGCAAAGACTTGGAACGAACTCAGATGTCCATCAATGATAGATTGGATTAAGAAAATGTGGCACATACACACCATGGAATATTATGCAGCCATAAAAAAAGGATGAGTTCATGTCCTTTGTAGGGACATGGATGAATCTGGAAACCATCATTCTGAGCAAACTGTCGCAAGGACAGGAAAGCAAACACTGCATGTTCTCACTCATAGGTGGGAATTGAACAATGAGAACACTTGGACACAGGAAGGGGAACATCACACACTGGGGCCTGTCATGGGGTGACGGGAGTGGGGAGGGATAGCATTACGAGATATGCCTAATGTAAATGACAAGTTAATGGGTGCAGCACACCAACATGGCACATGTATAGATATGTAACAAACCTGCACCTCGTGCACATGTACCCTAGAACTTAAAGTATAATAAAAAAAGAAAAAAAAATTTAAAAAGTTTTTCAAATTTTAATTTTTTCAGTTTTATTTATTTATTACTATTAATATTTATTTATTTATTTGTTTTTGAGACAGAATCTCACCCTTTTGCCCAGGCTGGAGTGCAGTGGCACAATCTTGGCTCACTGCAGCCTCTACCTCCCGGGTTCAAGCAATTTTCATGCCTCGGCCTCCCAAGTAGCTGGGACCACAGGCACCCGACACCATGCCCAGCTAAGTTTTGTATTTTTAGTGGAGACAGGGTTTCACCTTGTTGGCTAGGCTGGTCTCAAACTCCTGACCTCAAGATATCTGCCAGCCTCAGCCTCCCAAAGTGCTGGGATTACAGGCATAAGCCACTGCACCCAGCCAATATTAATTTTTAAATTGACAAATACAAATTGTACATATTTACAGTGTACAACATGAAGTTTTGATACACATATGCATTGTGGAATGACTAAATCAAGCTAATGAACATATTCATTGTCTCACATGCTTATCTTTTTTTATGGTGAGAACACTTAAAATTTATTCTCTTCATGATTTTCAATTATTAAAATGCATTGTTGTTAACCGTAACCAGCATGTTGTACAATAGGTCTCTTGAAATAGGCCTTTATTGTTGTTAACTTCCTTCCTTTAATTATGTTTTGCTCATAAGACTTTTTCACAGGTAAATGATGAGTTCACCCATTGAGTTGAAACCCTTGTCAGGGAAGGTCAGGAGTGCATATATCACGTTTTGGACCTCTCCCATGACACCAGTGAATTACAGGTGTGCAGTTTGCAGGCCCTCACTATGTCCTGCTTTACACAGAGGTTTTCATCCTGACTTTATTCTGCTTCACCCATGGGTTTGCTGAGCTCTCTTTACCTAGGTTGTTGAGGACTAGATAAATCATTGTTGATTTGACTATCAAATGGCCGTGGAGAGACAAACCTTGGCTTATAAGAATGTATATGTTTGCAAGAACTTTTCTTAGGGAGGGGCAGAGGCTGAGAAGAATTCAAGTTTGTTGGGCAGTGTGTGGAGAGAGGAGTGCTATGAAGCTGTCAGAGCACAATATTTACAAGCATCAGATGTTCCTGAACATTCTGGAGCTGTACTCTATACAAGTTCTGACAGTAGGATAAGGCTTCTTTGTTTCTCTTTTCAATTTCTTTTTGGTTATCATTTACCATATAATCACTTTAGAATAATTTGACACATATAAGGGAAATCTGTTTCTCTATTACCCCTTGCTCTATATCAAGTAGGATTGTGAGTGTACAAAGTAGTTAAGGGAATTGGAATGGAGGGAGGGGAACAGCTTTCAGTATCTTAGGTGAAGGCTCAGCTTTGGGTCAGGGTCAGGGCCGGGAGTCAGGGGTGTCCCTGTTTGGCCTCCTTACTTCTGTCTCTGCCTTTTCTGCAGAACCCAGGGAAACTGGGCTGTTTTGGACTATAATTATCCAGTGTTTGTGTTGGGCAGGTCCCTTCCCATGGCATGGAGAAAAAACCCCTCATATCTGGGCTAAATCTGCAGATGCTGGAACATTTTTCTTCCCCTTATCAGAACCTAGCCTCCATTAACAGGGTCAGTGTCACTCTCTGAATCACTGAATCAAATCTGCAATGATGGCTGATATTGTCTTTTATGGATGGGCTGGTTGAAGAGGCCAGTGTGGCACCAACAGCTCTTTCCACACTCCTTGCCCAAGAGGAAGTTGTCTTCTTTGGGTTCACACTACAGGGCAGACCCAGCCACGGGCCTCAGGGCATCCTTAAAGCTTTTCCTAGGTAGTTCCTCCCAGCTCAGGCTCTGGATGATCCTGAGGATGTCCTCCTCACTCCCTATCTTCTGCCCCAGGCGACGGGGTACCATGTCCTGTGGTTTCCCTGCTTCCTGGGGAATGTGCTCTGTATGGGAAAAACAGAAAATAAGACCATTTGCTGAGCATCTAAGCAAATGTTTGAGAAAGCCCTCCTGCATTTTTGTGTTTCTTCATTTTTTTTGTGATTTGTGAAAACAAAAACAATTTTAAGGAGAATAAAAAATTAGAATAAATAAATAAAAAAGCCATTCTTTAAGTTACAATTATGAGAAAATTACCTCTATTTTTGAAGGATTCTTTCCGCTTTTCCCTAAAATATATAGTTTTCCATACTGTTGCAATCAAAGTATGTGTACATTTTTGAATATTCTTTTTTCTTCAATTCGCACTATATTGTACTTATAACTAGATTTGGAGTTGGGATTCCCAAGCTCTGAGGCAAGCAGGGAGGGAGCTGTTGGAGGCCCCTTGATGTTTGCGCCTTTGGAGTAGCATGATTGTGAAAGCAGTAGAAGGACTTCAGAACCAGGAAGGTCATCTCCTCCTGTACCTCTCCCTTACCCCAGGCTCTGGTAACCACCATTCTACTTATTTCTATGAGTTTGGCTTTTAAGAGTATATGACCGAGATCATGCAGTATTTCTCTTTGTGTGCCTGGTTTATTTCACTTAGCATAATGTCCTCCTGGCTCATCCATGTTGTTGCAAATGACAACATTTCTTCTTTTTAAGGATGGATAATAGTATTCCACTCTGTGTGTGTTTGTGTGTGTGTGTGTGTGTGTGTGTATGTATGTGTTCTTTATCCATTCATCCAGTGATGGACACCTAGGTTGATTCCATATCTTAGTTATTACGCATAAACACGGGAGTGCAGATATCTCTTTGACATACTGATTTCAGTTCCTTTAAATATATATCCAGTAGTGGGATTGCTTGATCATATGGCAATTGTATTTTTAATTTTTGGGTAAAGCTCCATACTTTTTTTCATAATTTACATTGCCATCAACTATACTAATTTACATTGCCATCAACAGTGTACAAGTGTTCTCTTCTCTACATCTTCACTATCAGTTATCTTTTATTTTTTGATAATTGCCATTCTAATAGGTGATATCTCATTGTTGTTTAATTTGCATTTCCATGGTGATCAGTGATGTTGAGCATTTTTTCATATACCTATTGGCTATTTGTATTTTTTGAGAGAGGTCTATTAGGTTCTTTGCCCATTTTAAAATTGGGTTATTTGCTTTCTTGCTATTGAGTTGACTTCTTTATTTGTTTTGAATATTAAACCCTTATTAGATGTGTGATTTGCAAATATTTTCTCCCATTCTATTGATTGTTTCTTCACTCTGTTGATTGTTTCCTTGGTTGTGCAGAAGACTTTTAGTTAGATGCAATCCTATTTGTCTATTTTTGCTTTGTTGCCTGTGTTTTTGGGATAATATCCAACAATTCATTGCCCAGAGCAATGTCATGGAGTTTTCACCTATGTTTTCTTCTAGTAGTTTTAGAATTTCAGGTTTTATATTTAAGTCTTTAGTCCATTTTGAGTTGATTTTTGTATATGGTGTGAGACAAGGGTCTAATTTCATTCTTTTGCATGTGAACATCCAGTTTTCCCAACACCATCTATTGAATAGACTGTCCTTGCCCTATTGTGTGTCCTTGGCAGCCTTGTCAAAAATCAATTTGGACATCTATTTTGTGTGGAGAGAAGTGGCGCAGGGAAAGGATACATGTTAGCTCATGGCCATGGATATTGGTTAGTGGCTATCACTCACAACAGCTGGGGAATGGGTACATCACCTGCTTAAGAGGTCCTGGGAAGGGCATCAACAATGTCTACTAAAATCCATTCCTTGCACTGTTCAGATTCACTTGTTTCTGGCCTTCAGGTGGGTAGTTTTTATTTTCTCATCCACATTGGTGTTACCTCCTCAACCCCCTCCTTTACTCACTCTAATAGATGACATTTACATACATAATTAGGTCCACTGTTGACAATATACCTTTGCTCAGAATGATCTAATTATCAGCAGAACAAAGGTGAGCTTGTTTATGGAGAGTCCCAACTACATCTCTGGGTAAGGACCAGTGCACCTGGTCCAGTTTATACACCACTCCAGCTTCCCTGGATTCCACTTGCATTGACTGCTTGCTTTGCTTTTAGGTTGGAGTGGCTCTGGTGACAACTCACTCTGTTCTCATGGTCACAAATCCCTGCTCACTGCTGCCACTGCTGCTGCCACCACAGACCAAGAGCTCCACTTGCACAGTGCTGCTGGCTAAGAAGAAGTTGCTGTACCTGAGCACTGGACCACATGGACTCACAGAGACTCCCAACCAAGTAAAGGGGTGATATGGCTTGTGGATGTCAACCATATTCTCTTCTTGATCACCTCGCTGCTGGAACAATGGGCCATGGTCAGAGTAGAGTGGTCATGGAGGTTGAATAGATGCCATGAATGGGTCCAAGAACATGGACACTCTCTTTCACCAAAATCAATTCGGGTCTTGCCACTGTTAATCACCTAACTTGCCAACAGCAGAGACTATCGCTGAGTCTTTGAGATGGCACTGCTCTTGGAGAGATCAGGCAGCCATCCAGTGAGAGGTTGACCCCTCTGCTTTGGAGGGGATGGACATTCATCCTTATCACCATTGATACTTGCTCTAGACATGAGTTTTCCTTCTCTGCCTGAAATTCCTCTGCCACTACCACCATATGAGGGCTTACAGATTTCCCAATCCATCAACCTGCTTCTCACACACATTAGCTCAGAGTAAAGGACTCATTTTATGGCAAAGAATGTAAAATGATGGGCTCATTGGTCTTATTATATACCATGCCACCCAGAAGCAGTCAACCTAGTGGAATGATGAGCTGGCCTGTTGAAAGCTCAGCTAAGGTGCCAGCTCAGAGATGACACCCTGTAGGGTTGGAAGTTGGAGCACTGCTTTCCAGGATGTGATACATATGCTGAATCAATACCAATCTATGGTTCAGTGTCCCCACATAACTAGAATATATGAGTCCAGGAACCAAGGGATAGAAGTAGAATTGATCCCTTCAGTTATCACTCCCAGGGACTTACTTGTGGAATTTGTATCTTACTGTTCCTGCAAACTTAAATTCTGCCAGTTTAGAGGTCTAAGTTTCCAGGAAGTAAATGCTTTCTCCAGTGGAGGTGGGAAAGGCTCCAGTGAACTGGAAGTTGTGACTATCACTCAGCTGTTTGGGGCTCCTCATAACAGTGGACCAGCAGGCAAAGGAAAGAGTTGCCTTATGGCTAGAATAATTGGCCTTGATTACCATGAGAAGCTAGGGTTGCTGCAATGCAATGGGAGAAGATAAGAGTATGACTGCAACCCACGGGATTTGCTGGAAGTATCCCCCATACTTTTGTGCTCACTGATGATTGTAAATGGGCAGTTACAACAACCCAAACCTAACAAATGCAAAGCATCTAACAACTCAGTCCCCTCGGGGTAGAGGTCTGGGTCACTCCATCAGACTACAGCACAGACTTACTGAACTGCTAGATGGTTGTTGGGGGACACCTAGAGTGGGTGGTGGAAGTGAGATGCAAAATATCAATTAGGACTCTGGGATCAGCTGTGGCAGTGGAGATTTTCAGGAGATTGCAATTGGCCATTGACACCAATTGCCAGGAAAGACTGCTCACTAACCTGAGGGAACCTGTAGGGCTTAGCTTCTCTGGTAGCTTCCTGAATGGGCTGAGTGACGCGACCTGGAAATGGAAGGATGCTTTGTTCCCATGCAGAAAACCCTGAGCAATGGAATTCTGAAGATGGTTATATGTGCTTATCCACTGGTGGAGCCATGAGTAGTGCTGCGTCCTCAATAGTTAGAATACATGGATGGGGCTTGGAGCCAGCATAAAGACAAAATCAGAATAGCTATTAATCCCATCCTGTAGACATAACCCCCATAATTATTTTGATGTAATTACTTCCAATTTTTTCCTGTGCATATATAAAATATATAGCTACAAAAGTGAGATTCTACTATAGGAAGATTTTCATATTGCTTTGTAAAAGCATTACATTATATTGAATATATTGAATTTTCTTGAATTTTTCCATACTAAATGTTTTTAACACAAATTTTCATGAATTCAGAATATTCAGTCATACAAGTTTATCATAGAAGCTTTTCTCCATGTCTGGGATTCCAGATTTTTGTTATTGAAAATGCTGAGATTCAAACTATCACAAGGACAAAAAACCAAACACCGCATGTTCTCACTCATAGGTGGGAATTGAACAATGAGAACACATGAACACAGGAAGGGGAACATCACACACCAGGGCCTGTTGTGGGGTTGGGGGGGGGTAGGGATACCATTAGGAGATATACCTAATGTTAAATGAAGAGTTAATGGGTGCAGCACACCAACATGGCACATGTATACGTATGTAACAAACCTGCACGTTGTGCACATGTACCCTAATACTTAAAGTATGATAAAAAAAAAAGATAACCAAGAAAAGAATGTTGAATTTATAGACAGCAATTGTCCTTTTTGTAGAAAAATATTGAGCTCCTGTATTTCAGGTTAAAATGCATGTCAATTTTTCAGATGAAGTAACTGAACATATCAAGTAGTATCTTTAAGTCATATAGCTGGTAGAAGACTTGAAACTAGAAACCAGAGCTGAAATGAAGTCAAAAGTTCTCACTTTGGTATGGTTTCATGTTTCTGAAAAAAAAAATCAAGTCATACAGTGCATTAAAAAATTTTTCTGATATCTAAGACTATGATAGAAATTTCATATGTATATATGTGTGTGTGTATAATAAATCACTTTTTTAATACCTTTGATATATTAAATGCAAAGCAGAAATTATTTGGAAGATGAAATATATAGGAATAAATTATAAAAAGTAAAAGCATAAATAAAAATGCTGAGATTAAAATTTTTATGCATGAATCTTTTTGTGTGTCTTTGATTCTTTCTTAAAGATAAACTCCCAGCAATAGTTCACTTGGCCAAAGGTGTTCAGTACACCCTCAGAAATGATGGGTGTTGCCAGCCTCAGGCTCTGGCTGTCCTGTCCCTTTCCTGCCCTGTTTTCTCTCCTCCAGTCAGTCTCCCATGACAAGGGTTTGTGTTGAGCAAGCTCTAGGTTTTGGTCTTCCTGCTGGTTTGGGTGAAGCCATTTGTGGATGGGTGTTGCTCATGCAGACCTTGTAGTGCTGTCTCTCCTCTAATCTGCTCTCAGTATCTGTTTGGTAACAATGAGTGAGTGGGAGGCAGTCTTCTCTGCATATCAGATGAAAGCTTCACAGAGGGAAGATCTTTTCTTATCGATGTGGGCTATGAGGAGGGCCCTGTGTGGCATCAGCTGCCTTCTTTATATCATGTATCTAAACCATGGTCTTCAACGAAAGAGAGCCAGTGGTCTTCAACGAAAGACAGTGATCTTTCTTTCCTCCTCCCTCCCTCGCCTGGGGACATTTAGCAATGCCTGGAGACATTTTGGTTGTCACAACTTTGCGGTGGAGAAGGGGGTGTTGCTTCTGGCATCTAGTAGGAAGAGGCCAGGGATGCTGTAAACATCTTATATCTTGCTTATAATTGAAAATGTTCTTAGTGCTTCTGAATATTACTAAAGATAAATCAGAATTGGTATAGGGTTGATGATTAAGGCAAAGAAGGATTTGGTGTCTTTTCTTAAGCTGGAAATATGGATCCTGCCTTTCCAGGGAAAATCTCTTCTTTTTCCTCATTTTTTTTTCTTCATTAATTCCTCTCTATTTCTCTCTCTCTCTCTCTCTCTCCCTCCCCCCCCATACACACACACACACACACACACACACACACACACACACACACAAACCCCTTCCAAATCCTTGGGTGCTTGGGCTGGGAATCAGGTCACTATGTGCAGGGAGAAGAGAGCAGCAGAGAGGGGACACACACTCACGACTAGAAGCTGTGTCTTCACTGAGGTTTATTGAGAGTTCTGTGACCTGTAGGATACTTCTGGAGGCTTAGGGTTGTGGCTGAGGGACCAAGGGTAGACCAGAATGAGTGGCACACACTTTGCTGCTCAGGTCCAGTTCCAGCTTCCCTTTCAGGCTGGCTCAGGATCCAGGATTAATTTGCCTGCAGGATCTGGTTGATCCAGGGCCGGTAATGGGAGATTCGGGTGAAGACAGCAGGGGGCTTTGCATCCGACCGTCCATAGGATACGATGCCCTGGGCCACCCCAGCACACAGAAGAGGGCCCCCAGAGTCTCCCTGTAGGGGGAGGAGAGAGAGAAGAAGGTGAGCCCGGGAAGTCCTCCACTCCTGTCTGCCAGCCAGCTTGGAGTCACAGTGAGACCTAAAGTCAGACGCAGGAGGTGGAGCTCCTCACTTATACATCTAGTTCTGATGCCCCTTCTTCCTTTCTTGGGACCGTCATCCACATTCTCCACATCACCCCATGCCCCCAGTGCAGTAGACTGGAATGGATGGTCAGAGGCTGTCTTGGACCACGGGAGGACAGCAATTCCTGTGATGCTCACCCTGTCACTGACTGACAACCTTCTGACCCCATCTCCTTCTAAGAGCATTCTGGTCCCTGAACAGTGAGTTTTGGAGAGGAAACCTAGTTGGAGGATCACCTTAAATGCAGATTTTGTCTTCCTGGGATTGCCCACACACAGCTGAAGATTGTGGTCAAAGTCTCTGAAGTGGCTGCAGGCCTGGGGATCCATGAGTCTCAGCTTCACCTCTTGCAGAGTGTCTGAGCCCGGCTTCAACACACCTGTTCTTCCCCAGCCAGCCACCCGGCACATTCTCCCAGGTGGGACAAAGTTGAATTGGGATGGGAAGGGGAGTGTCCCCACAGCCAGGGTCAGGCTGGCTTTCTCCTTCAACTGTGAAGGGAATGAAGGACTGTCAGTCCTCGAAATGGGCTCTGGACAGTTGGAGGTGATCAGGGAGGGACAGGGTGAGTAGCTTCATGTTATAGCCAAGTCCTAAGAAAAATTCAGGGCAATGAGGACCTGAAGGAGAAGCTTAGGAGAATGGGAAGTGGAAAGGGAGAAGAGAGGTGTTGTCACCTTTAGTAACATGATATCGTGGTGAAGAGTAGAAGTGTTATATTTTGGATGACGGAATTGCTTTATAACCTCAAGCTTCTGCCATGTGTCTTCTTCCTCTGTTATGTTATGGGCTCCAAGGGTGACTGTTATAGACCTGTTGTGAGGAAGAAGGAAGGAAAAGGAGCGACAGTGATGGCTTGGGGTTTCTTCTGAGGTGAGCTCATTCTGAGAAAAGAGGACTAAACTCTGTCACTGGGTCGCCGGACTCTACCCATCTCCCTTTTCATGGGCCACTTGTGGCATTTGAGGGCTCAGGCTTAACTCATGAAAGAGCTTTCTCAGGAAACAGACACAATTTCTACGACCCCTGGAATTGCTGGGGACTGAACAGGCCAGGGAGGACTCAGGGGACAGGGTTCACACTTCCTAATTCAGGGAACCCTGCATGAGGGCCAGCCCCTGAAGCAGGAGATATCAGTTAAACGGGAAAGTGGGGGTCTCATGTAGACCCTGTTCTCTGCCTCCCATAAAATGATGGGTTCAGGACCCTGAGAACTAGAGGCCAGTGTTCTTGAAAAGGCCATAGAGGAAGTGGCCCTGAGACTGGGTGGGGCCCTGAAAAGTGAGCCGTGTGTCTTGAGTTGGGTAGGGGTGAGGGGTGCTACTGCAACAAGAGGGACCTTGGACAGGACCTCCTTTTCCTCCGAAGGGGAGCTTAGCTCACAGTGACTGAGGCTCAAGGAACTATTCAAACACAGACTAAAGTCTTTCAGCCCAAGTCTTCCCTCTCCTGAAAGTTGACAAGACCCAGGACCCCCTCTTCAGTCCCCAGTGCAGGTGTATTCCTGGATGCTACTCTGGTTGTTCATCTCCCATTTGGAGATAAATAGACCCTGTTGTCTCACCTTCCTGCACAATGAGCAGCCGTCAGCACAAAGTTCCGTCTTATAAGGAAACCACCACAAAATTTTGAGGGACCGTTGGAAGTTACAATTTCCAGGTAGGCCATGTAGGGGCGGGAATGTGGCTTGCATTCTGTGCCCCCGATGATCTCCCCTGGAACAGAGCACCCCAGGGTTTGAACACGGCCATAGATACTCTCTCCAATGAATGGACAAATTGGGTTAAAGCTGAGCTAGGCTTCCCTGGAATCTCATTCTCACCCTGTGTTCCGCCCATCTTCCCTCTCCTGTCTCCTGTATTTCGTATCTTTCCCCACCCATAACCTCCCAGGTGAAATCTCATTCTTGCCTCTGCTCCATTCTGATGTTTTCATCTCAGACTTCTCCCACTCCCACCTTGCCCTGGCCCACCCTCCTCTGTCTCTGTGTAGGACCCACTGTCCAGGTTCCTGTTTTAGATTTCTCCATAGCTCTTGAGCATGGTCACAGAGTGAGAAAGTCACAAAGTAATGGGTAGCCCTGATGCTCAGAAGATTAAGAGGACATGTCTGTTTTCCTGGGGATACCCCTTTTCCTTCCACTTGCTCTGGGCTTTTCTACAATTGAGGTGAAATTCCTTGTTCCTGGGGGCTGTCCTAGGCTGTAGAGAATGGCAGTGGGTGGGGGTGGGGGTGGGGTGGCACACATCCCAAGTGGAAATTTCCCTCTGGGACTCTTGAAGAGAGATCTTGGAACCCTGTTTAGGAGTCAGCTATTTTCAGACTAAACATCTTTGTTTCAGGAGCTGATACTGCAGATTTCAGAGGGAAGAACCCTGATACTCACCAGCTTCAGCTCTGGAGCACAAGAGAAAGAGCAGCAGGGGGAGAGGAAGAAGCAGCATCTTCCCAGAGAGGCTGCCTGAGCAAATGCTGGTTTTCCTTTCCAGTCTTGGGTTTTATAACTCCCAGAAGGCAAGAGAGGGGCAAGGCTGGTAACCACAGGAACTGCATGGTCACGTTTTCTTCTCTCACTCTGAATTGGCTGTTTCTGATCAGAAGTTCCCCTAGAATCACCCAGTGTTTTTCTAGAAAGGAACTTGAGCCCTGAACTCCCAAGTGCTGGCTTCTCAGATGTACCCTCAACTATGGTGACTTTTCTGGAGTTGGGGGCAGGAAATGGAGGGACCATGTTTTTCTTTCCCAATTAGGGCAGCTTGTGAAAGGCCCACTGAACGTTCAGTGCAAAGACTTTTATGGCTATGTTCCATAGTCAGAAATGCATATTGCAGAGTCCCAGTGCATGCACATATGTATGTGTGAGTATGTAAGCACAAATTAAAGGTTTCAGGAAACAATCTTTATCTTAACCATGTGCAGTGTTTTCTGTTAGTTTCCATTCCACTCCACTCCACTCCATTCCACTACACGTCAAAACTTGAGCAACAACCCCATTTAAATGATAATTCCTTGTAATTTGAAAAACATTGACCTGGATCTCTCTCCTCCTCTGAACCACATGTTTTTGACAGAAGAGAGATCCAAGGAGGGTAGATGTGGGAAAAGAACAGACCCTAGGACAGAACTTTATGCAAAGAGCAATTGGGATTGGAATTAGCATTTTCTGAGAGTCTAGGTGTATCATATATTGTCACAACTCTTAGATATATTATTACTTTCACGGCAACCCTATCAATATGTATTACCATTATGATCATTATCATGTCATGATAGTCAATTTTTTAAATCAGCTATCATAGCTTATGGTTCAGAAATAGATTTTCCTGATATCAAATCAAGGTCCCTTTCTGCTCTAGCACTAGAGAGAAATAGAGGAATAGAGTCCTGCCAATGTGCAGGGGAAGTAAAGATGTAGAAGGGTGTTTGCTCCAGAGAGGTTGGGGTTTCCTACTGTTGCATTAAGAATCAAGCTTTCCACAACAACCTGGGGACACACCATTACTGTCACTTTACAATTGTAGAATTGATACTCAGACCCATTAACATGACAAAGATCACACACCTTATAATATCAGAAGTGGGTTTCAAGCACATAGCTTTTATTTTCCCTGGACTTACAGAAAGCAGTCCACATGGTGGACTGTCATTTCTCTTGGAGATTTATAAGGCATTTAGTTCAAAGACGGGGATGAGTAGTGTATAAGTGCCTTTCCCAAATCATCTCACTATGCCCTTGGTCTCAGGTTGGGCTTGTGACCAGAGTGATCCACTCCTTAGTATATATTGGCCAGGTCCTCTGTTGCTTTTAACTTAATTTCCCAAGTTCTACCTACAGCTCTAACTCTCTCTAGAATAAGACATTTAAACACATCCGTAATGTCTTTTCAAATCTGGTCTTCTTAAGTGTCCTTGTACCACTTTCTTCACTCTCTCGGGGGTTGCCAGAGAATATTCAGAATGCCCAGTTAAATTTGTATTTCAGATGAACAACAAATCATTTTTTAGTTAAGTATGTCCAAATATTGAATGGGACACACTAATACTAAAAAATTGTTGTTTATCTAAAATTTGAATTTAACTGGAATCCTGTATTTTTTATTTGCCAAAGTTGGCAACTCTTCTCTGGGCATTTCACCATTAACAGAACAGAAGAGAATCCGGAGCTGGAGAACTCTTGTCTTGTGGTCTTACATCAGTTAGACCAAAAAATCAGAGGCTTAAACAAATCAAAGCTGTTTGCTTTCACTGATATAATTAGAAATTGAGAGGCAGGTAGTCTGGGGCTAGTAAGACAGCTCCACAGCATCAAGATTCAGATCCACCAAGACTTAAGTTTTGCTCCACCTGCCTGGCTGAGGGTGAGGAAATGGAATAGGTATAGCCCCAGTCAGGGGACCAATTTCAGAAACGAGGACTGCGCTATCTGCTCACATTTCCTTCTTTGCTTTGTCATATGTATACCTGTGTATTTTAAGAGATTTCCTTTTTCTCTTTCTTCTTCCCCCTTTGGTTATTTTATATATAGCATGTTGGTAGTGAACTTTATGGTTTAGGGTACAGTTATCAAGTTGGGAGACTAGAGAATATCAAATTGAAAATGTGACCAAACTATTGTTGGAGCAGGTATCACCTAGAGACACAGTACTTGAAGTTAAAAGCAGTAACTGTTGAGACTGGGTTATTTCAGTTCTGCTGAGTCAAGTCTAATTTTCCTTTATATAAAAGATGGTAAAGATTATGTTCAGTGGGATAATTTTTGTTCTTGGAAACTTTAAGTGTGGCAAAAGAATGAATGTTGATGTGGGGCAACCAAGTGATGGATTGTAGTGGACATTTTCCATTTATATGGCTCCTTAATGTCTCTGGAACACCCTTCCTGTATTAGAGGAATTCCCAATGATAACTTTGCCTTACTAAGGTAGAATCCACAAACTTCCATTCCCAGTTTCTCTTGCATTTAGGTCATGTGACTTAGACTCTGTTAATCAGATAAAGGGGTGTACAATTTGACTTAGAAGGGAGTAACATGAGGGAGCTATTATCATGTGGAATTAATTCTTCTAGTGAGGGTGACTGGTAGAGGGGTCAGGGTTTGTGGAAATAATTGATGATTCAGATATCCAGTGCTGCCTAGAATGTTTGGGCCAAACAAGTGGTAGTAGGACCTTTGCTGCACAGTGTTATGGTGTATTTTGGACATTGCTTCTGGCTAGTTTGACTCTAGACATAATCCTACAGCATCTTGGGAAGCAGCTGTTGAGTATGTATAAGAAAGGACTTACTAACAATCTGTTGTTATAAAATAAATGTGTGGTTAGTGGAGGTAAGTGATTTCTCATTGCGGCAGATACTCAAGTAGAGGTTGAATCAAGTCTTGATTCACAGTTAGTAGGACAGAAAATTTGGGCCTGATGTAGAAGCACTGGCATTTAAATAATGGCAATGATTCCTTAGTAACTATAATGCAGAGGGATCATTCCTTCTCTGAGTTTCCAAACATTGTATTAACTGTGCTAGTATTCACTTTGACATTTAAGGCATGCAGTTTGCTCTGCAGTTAGATGGGGTGAGTTTGAATCTTGGTTCTGCCACTTAGCTATGTGTCTGAACTTAGGAAAAATTTTAAAGTTCTCAGCCTTAGTTACTGCATCCATAAAATATGAAGAATGATACAGTACAAGGATTTTTTTCAGAATTAAATATGATGCTCAATGTGAAATGCCACATGATTGGTTCTTAATAAACGTTGGTTTTATTCCTTTGTGTTTTACCTTGTGCTGCCATATCACCACTTGATGGATAATTGATAGATATATCCTCATTGGCTATAATTTTTTTGATGAAAGAATAAATCTTATACTTCCTCTAAATTCTCCTAAACACATTACAGATTAACATCTGTTATGGAATTTGGTTATTTCATGCTTTGCATGTAACATCTTTTTTCTATTCATTCATGTGCTGCCAGGCTGTTTATTATTCTCTGAGTAATGACTGTGTCTTTCTTGATTGAGCATTTCTATGCAACTTGTTTTAACCCTCGAGTTGGCAGGTATAAAACACCTAGAAACTTTTGTTGCAGTCTCTTCTAAAGAACTCCTGTGGGTCAGGGACAGCTGATGGCATGGGCTCATACTGAGCAGTAGTGCAGTGGAGCAGACAGAGTACATCCTTCATGGCACTGGCAGATTTTCCTGAAGCAGGCTGGAGCTCACTCTGTGTTTGCCCTCGCAATAAGTCCTGCCTGTTTCTATAGTTTCTGAATGACCAAGTTTTTCTGAATTTAAGGTTTATGTTTAATAGCTGCTGGCTTACATTAAACATCTATAAAGCAATTTAAGAGAATTACTTTCAAATTGATTTATTTTACGATACTCTTGCCTTCACTCCTAACACAATAGCTCACTTTTGAATTACTGCACTCTGCACAATATTTCTGAGTGGACAGTGTATCCAGGAGAATGAGATATGTAGAGATCCTTGGAGATTATTCCCAGTGTTGGGGCAGGAGGAAGATTTCTCAGCGTGTGTGTCCTTATTTCTTTTCCAGGCTCTTCAGCACAAACCTAAAAACATTTTGCTTTTTTAAGGGGTTCTTCCTAAGATTTCTCTTTCCACTCACCATTTCTGCAATGGGCTAATATTAAAGTAGGGAGAGTCTCTGAGGGTGCCCTTTATCATAAGTTTGGGCAAAGCTCTTTATGTGGATGGTTTCTGCTGTAGTCTCTGAGATGCTACTGCTCCCATTATCACTCTCAGCTTCACTCAGGCAGGCCTACTCCTTGGGTCATCATCTTCTGTAACACTGTAGCCATGATGATTTTATCTTTTCTGTGTGGGCTGTGGGGGAGGTTGATAAGGCAACAACTATTCTTTCCATCCCAGGGGTCCACAAGATGCTTGTTTAATCTGTGGTTGGTGTCAGTGGTGGAGCTGGTGCTCACAGGCTCAGCCCTGATCCTCATCATCTTCACTTCTGGTTCCTGTGAGCCAAGCTGTTAGAGTATAGTTCCTGGATTGAAAGGAACTATACTCTAGTTGTATTCTAGATGGTCCTGCAATGGCTTGATAGCTCCTTACTGGGATTACCATATTGTGGGATTTCTATATTGTGCTGGGGCCTTAAAGGGTGTCTCATTGGTCTAGTCATTCTTGGTTGCAAGGAGATTCCTTAGTCTCTTGAAGGGCAGATGCTGCCCAGGATGCAGGTATGGTTTTGGTAAGGCTGATGGGGTAGATAGTGTGAAAGGGCAAATTATGTGAGACTCATGAGGCAGGTGGTATCAACAGCATGTGTCCATGGCTACAGGGTAGAGCCAACCCTGCAGGGGTCGTTTAGGGATTTTTCAATAGTGCTTCTTTCCAACCACATTTGGAAGCAAGGGCAGAGGGAGCAAATCAGGACAACGGACAGCTCCCAGCCCTTCACTTTTTTTTCTGGGAAATGCCAGGTTTTTCAAAGAAAATGAGTTGGCCTCTAGGGAAGGTAAGGAGGATGGAAATGCAGGTCAAGAATGGCAAGATACAGGGGGAGTGGACATGGAGAGATGTATTAATAAATTGCATATTGATTATGTATTAACTGGGATCCCTGTTAGGAAACTCCTCTCCCCCAACCTTTTTTCCCCCCTGAAACTTGAAGTTCTTTTTCAGAATTTCAAACATTCCCTTTAGTGATCTTTAATATTACCAAAGGTGGAGAAATCAATATTTCACTATCAGTTAATGACTGAAGTAAGGAAGTGGCACTGGCTGCTCAGGGAATGGGTCAGTGGGCAGTAGAAATGGCAGCCACACAAACAGGCCTTCAATGTGTGTTTTTAAGGGGACTTTTTGGGCATACCCCATCACCTAAGTGCATCCCTAAAGTCTGGTCAGGAGCACAGGTCTTCTGTATGACCTGGCTACAGAAAAAAATGGCTTCTCTCTGGTTATGGTCCATGTTAATTTTTTTAAAATTGAGAATCATAACATACATACATAAGAGTGAAAAAAATTTTTTCTAACCAGCTTGATTTGTCATTTCCTTTAGACATTTCATCATGTCCTTATCCTGCCCTCTTCAATATGAGAGAAGGGCCATGGATAAGAATTGGGGGCATTTTGAGCAAAGCAGGTTAAGGGAAACTTCCAAAGCCAGTTTCTGATTCTTTCTCCACCCTACTCTTCTTGTCCCTGGGACACTGTCATCAACTGTGGAAAGTATATGACTCTTCTAGGTATAGCTCTCCCTTTGGAACATATGCAAAGATATCCTGCAGCATTATTTTAGGCTCTTCTCTGACCCAGGTTAATGATTTTGGAATAGGGGCTGAGGACTTACAGGACAGGAAGTTACACCCTAGACTCACCAGATGTGGCTTCAGGAGGCAAGAGGAAGACCAGCAAAATGATCAGGGCCTGCATTTTCCCTGCGACATTGCCCATACTGACCATGGCTAGTTCTGTCACCCCTTCACTGGGCCCCGCTTTTATAGCCCTAGAAGTAGAAGAAAGGGGATGGCTTGAAGCCACAGAAACCACCTGATCTCATTTCTGTCTTTCATGCTGGCATGGTTATCTTCCTCATCAGAAATTCTCATGACTCTACTCTCTGCTCTGGGAGTGTAGAAGTTGTGGTGAGTTCTCAAGAGTCCTAGGAAGAGGGATGCACACTTGTCACTCAGAAAAGCTCTCTAGAAGTAGGTAGTAGCATGCATGGAGGGGGGAGTTTTAGGTGCTGTAGCACCCATTCTAAGCAGGGATTAGGGAACTTTTCTGTCAATCACCAGGTAGGAAGTACTTTCAACTTTGAGAGCCAAATGGTCTCTGTGGCAACTATTCAACTCTGCTGTGTAACACAAAAGCAACCATAGACAATTTGTAAACCCTGGATGTGAACATGTTGCAGTAAAACTTCATTTACAAAGGGAAGTGGGAGGCTGATTTGGCCTGCAGACCATAGTTTGCCAGACCCTGATCTAGGTATCAGCCCTTCTTTCAATTCTAATAATCAGAAGAAAGGAATGTGGTGGTGAGAGGAGGAAGGAAAAAGGGAGAATTTATTTTTTCAAAATTTTTCTTTCTTTCTATATTTTTATTGAAACATAATTCACATACCATAAAATTACCCTTTGAAAATATACAATTCAGTGCCTTTAGCAAACTTACAAGGTTGTGCAACCATCAACACTATTTAATCTAGGACATTTTCATCACCCCATAAAGAAACCTGTATTCATGAGTAGTCACTTCCATTGTCCACCTCCCCACAACCCCTGGCAACAAATAATCTACTTTGTCTCTATGTATTTTGCCTATTCTGGACATAAATGGAATTATATAATATTTGGCTTATTATGTCTGGATTCTTTCACCAAAAATAAAGGGTGAATTTACAATGTGTTTGGCACTGCTAGGACTTTACATGTATCTTCTCATTTAATCTTTATTAACAGTCTTTTGGGGTTAGTATTATTATACACAATTATGAAGCACTCAGTGGAAGTTCAGAATGTCACATAGCAGCACAGCCAAAATTTAATTTGTCTGGTTCTGAAACTCATACTTTTTCTATTCCACTAATTTGAGTAATAAGGGTTGTGGGAGGAAGAGTTAGTCCAATGAATGGAGAAAAAAATGGAATGTATAAAGGAGAATATTTGTGTTCTCTGGAGGGGTTGGGGTAACCCACTTGTGCATTGAGAGTCACACCTGGCTTGAGAATAAATTGATACCTGCAGCTGTCATTATTTGAAATTATCCTGGACTCTCATTACTTTATGTGCCACTGAGGAAGAATAAAATTGTTCTAAATTAAACAATAATGTGTCATTAATTATCAGGTTCATTTCTGTTGTGAAGAGGTTAAAATGAGAAATATTGTGCATCTTTTAACCTATGACACATGGTAGAGTTCAGGTGTGTGCTTTATCTCATTCACCCTCAAATCAACCCTGAGAAATATTATTGTGTTTATTTTACAGATGAAGAAACTGAGTCTCAGATAATTTGAATCACTCGAAAAAACTTTGTAAGCTATAAACATAACTAGGTATCGAACTTATATCCAATTGCATGATCTTTCCTTACATCATCCTGCTGTCCTGGACTGTAGAAGCAGAGCAAAACCAACAACAAACCATTTCCCTCAATTTTATAAGGCACAATCCATATTATTATGATTTTCAACATTATTTTTATTTCATTTTAGATTCAGTGGGTACATGTGCAGGTTTGTTACATGGATATATTGTGTAATGGTGAGATTTGGGCTTCTAGTGAAATATTGTACTCAATACGTAATTTTTCAATCCCTCTGCTTTGGAGTTCCTGGTATCTATTATTTTCATCTCCATGTCCATGTGTACCCATTGTTTAGCTCCCACTTATAAAAGAGAACATGCAGAATTTGATTTTCTGTTTCTGAGTTACTTCACTCAGGATAATGGCTTCCAGGCCCATCCATGTTGCTGCAATGGACATGATTTCATTCTTTTTTTATGGCTGCATAGTATTCCATGGTGTGTATATGTGTGTGTGTGTGTGTGTGTGTGTGTGTGTGTGTGTGTGTGTGATTAGATATTTTCTTTATCCAGTCCTCCATTGATGGACACTTAGGTTGATTCTATGACTTTGCTATTGGGAATAGTGTTATGATAACCATACAAGTGCAGGAATCTTTGAGATATAACGATATGTTTTCCTTTGGGTAGATACCTAGTAGTGAGATTGCTGGGTTGAATGCTAGTTCTATTTTTTGTTCTTTCAGAATCTCCATACTGTTTTTCATAAGAAATTTACACTCCCACCAACAGTGAATAAGCATTCCCTTTTCTCTGCATCCTTGCCATTATTTGTTATTTATTTTTTGACTTTTTATTAATAGCCTTTCTGACTAGTGTGAGATGGTGACTCATTTTGGTTTGATTTGCATTTCTTTCATGATTAGTAATGAGCATTTTTTCATATGCTTGTTGGCTGTTTGTCTTCTTTTCAGAAATGTCCGTGAATGTCCTTCGCTCTTTTTTTTTTTTTTTGAGGCAAGTCTCACTCTTTCGCCCAGGCTGGAGTGCAGTGGCGCTATCTTGGCTCACTGCAGCCTCTGCCTCCCAGGTTCAAGCGATTCTCCTGCCTCGGCCTCCCAAGTGGCTGGGATTACAGGCACCCACCATCACTCCCAGCTATTTTTTGTATTTTTTGTAGAAACAGGGTTTCACCATGTTGACCAGGCTGTCTCAAACTCCTGACCTCAAGTGATCCATCCACCTCAGCCTCCTAAAGTACTGGGATTACAGGCGTGAGCCACCATGCATGGTTTTTGCCCACTTTTTAAATGAGGTTATTTGTTTTTCTTTCTTGTTGATTTGTTTGGGTTTCTTATATATTAGTCCTTTATTGAATGCATAGTTTGCAAGTATTTTCTCTCATTCTATATGTTGTCTGTACTGTAGGTCTGTCTCATTCTGTAGGTTCTCTCATTCTGTAGGTTGATTGTTTTGTTGTGCTGAAGCTCTTTAGTTTAATTAAGTCCCATTTTTCTAATTTTGTTTTTGTTGCATTTGCTTTTGCGGTCTTATTCATAAATTCTTCATCTAGGCCAATGTCCAAAAGAGTTTTTTCTAGATTTTCTTCTAGGATTTTTATAGTCTCAGGCCTCACAGGTGAGGCCTCAAGTAGCTGGGACTATAGGTGCGCACCACCACGCCTGGCTAATTTTTTGAACTTTTAGTAGAGACTGGGATTTGCCATGTTGGTCAGGCTGGTCTTGAACTCCTGACCTCAAGTGATCTGCCCACCTCGGCTTCCCAAAGTGGTGGGATTACAGGAGTGAGCCACTGCACCCGGCCCTTATTTTGCTTTTTTGCTTCCATTGCAGATTCATTGCAGATCCGAGCACAGTTGGGTTTATGTTGTTTCCTGCTCTGTCTTACCTCCTTTCACCAGTCTCCCCGTTTATTCAGTGTTCATTCTAAGCAGTCCTTAAATCATCCCTTTCCCATGGGTTTGGGTAGAGACCCTTAAATCTGGGATAGTTCTTTCGTTAAACCTTGTGATGCTGCCTGTCCCTCTATCAGCTCTCAGCATTGGCAAGGCCAGCAATGGAAAGTTCCCTGCATCTTAGAATCAAATCTATCAACGGTGATCTCATATCTGGTGGGATTTAGAAGAAGTCTGTTATGTCACAAACTGTCCTTTTCACATGCTTACACGAAGCTCATTCGATTTGTGGTTGTTGCCAGGAATGGAGGCAGCCAACTCCTGAGGCAGTGTGGCAGGAGTCAGAGGGCCAAGCCTCAAAGATTCTTTTATGCGCCCCCCCTTATGTGTTTTCAGTTAGAGTGAGTACTCCCTTAATTGAGGGACTACTCAGGACTTCTGAGTAGTCCTGGATTTAGCCCTCCAGGATCTGAAATCAATGTTGTCCCAGATAATGATTCTGCCTTTCATTTGCTCTTTTTTCCTGTATTTCCTTATCTCTTAACACATACATCCAGGAAAAACTTTCTCCTTCCCCTAGAAGTTATGCACAACTGACACAGTTTTGAACATTTGGCTAGTTTATTGATGCTGCCATAGGGAAGTGCTCTAAGTATCAAGATCTCTTGTGAAAGACTGATTTTTCAGTCCCTGTAAGGGGAATGTCGTAAAGAGAAAGGAGCGGTGAATTTCTCAGGACAAATGTCCCTGATTAACAGCAAAGATTACATTGTTGAGACTTAGGAAAGGGTACATCTTTTTCCTACAAAAGCCTTATTCACACCATGCATTTGGGAACGAGGTGAAGTAAGTATTAAATACGTAGTTAAGAGCTCTGGAATCAGACTGCATTGGAATCCTGGTAGCACCCTTTATCAGCTTTGTGACTTTGGGTGCATTTCTTTATCTCTCTTAGCTCCCCACTTCCACATCTGTAAAATGGGCTTAATGATAGTGAGGATTAGATATTTTTTGGGGAAAGCATCAGGCATAGTAAGTACTCAAAGTTAGTTATTAATATTGACATTATTAGCCCCCAAGATCACTAACCTCTTCCAAGAGTTTGTGAACCAGAATTGTCTTCTTTTAAGTTATTCCAGGACTCTAAAAGGCCAAATAAATAAAAAGAGGACCTCTCAGCACTTGGAACAGTCTTCCACCTGCCTCAATCCTTATCAGAGGGATTCTGGGAGGCACCACTCTGTTCCCAGCCCCTACTGTGAGAAGCAGTGGTTCTGTGCCCTGGGGTTTCCCAGCCTTGTGAAAATGATAACATCCTTTTTGTGTTACGCTGGGGCAGTTAGTTGCATCCTCATTTTGTGCTGTGGGACCTCACGTGCCACTATTTCTGTGTATTCTTGCAGTTGCTCAGCTTCCCCTAATTTTTATAACCTTTTCTGTATGGCCTGGGTTCCTTGAGAACCACCTGATAGATGACTGGCACTATCTCACCCAGCCTCAACCTTCTATTCTTTTTCTCCTGCTGTCTTATGAGTTCTTTCAATGACAATATTTGTGTCAGCCTGGCTATCAAAATTCTCTATTCCTTCCAAGTTCTGGGTTTCTAATAAAATACCACTCACATTGATTTTGTATCCTGAGACTGCTGAAGTTGCTTACCAGCTTAAGGAGATTTTGGGCTGAGACAATGGGGTTTTCTGGATATATAATCATGTCATCTGCAAACAGGGACAATTTGACTTCCTCTTTTCCTAATTGAATACCCTTTATTTCCTTCTCCTGCCTAATTGCCCTGGCCAGAACTTCCAACACTATGTTGAATAGGAATGGTGAGAGAGGGCATCCCTGTCTTGTGCCAGTTTTCAAAGGGAATGCTTCCAGTTTTTGCCCATTCAGTATGATGTTGGCTGTGGGTTTGTCATAGATAGCTCTTATTATTTTGAGATACATCTCATCAATACCTAATTTATTGAGAGTTTTTAGCATGAAGCGTTGTTGAATTTTTTCAAAGGCCTTTTCTGCATCTATTGAGATAATCATGTGGTTTTTGTCTTTGGTTCTGTTTATATGCTGGATTACATTTATTGATTTGCGTATATTGAACCAGCCTTGCATCCCAGGGATGAAGCCCACTTGATCATGGTGGATGAGCTTTTTGATGTGCTGCTGGATTCGGTTTGCCAGTATTTTATTGAGGATTTTTGCATCAATGTTCATCAAGGATATTGATCTAAAATTCTCTTTTTTGGTTGTGTCTCTGCCTGGCTTTGGTATCAGGATGATGCTGGCCTCATAAAATGAATTAGGGAGGATTCCCTCTTTTTCTATTGATTGGAATGGTTTCAGAAGGAATGGTACCAGCTTCTCCTTGTACCTCTGGTAGAATTTGGCTGTGAATCCATCTGGTCCTAGACTCTTTTTGGTTTGTAAGCTATTGATTATTGCCACAATTTCAGAGCCTGTTATTGATCTATTCAGAGATTCAACTTCTTCCTGGTTTAGTCTTGGGAGGGTGTATGAGTCCAGGAATTTATCCGTTTCTTCTAGATTTTCTAGTTTATTTGCGTAGAGGTGTTTGTAGTATTCTCTGATGGTAGTTTGTATTTCTGTGGGATCAGTGGTGATATCCCCTTTATCATTTTTTATTGCATCTATTTGATTCTTCTCTCTTTTCTTCTTTATTAGTCTTGCTAGCAGTCTATCAATTTTGTTGATCCTTTCAAAAAACCAGCTCCTGGATTCATTAATTTTTTGAAGGGTTTTTTGTGTCTCTATTTCCTTCAGTTCTGCTCTGATCTTAGTTATTTCTTGCCTTCTGCTAGCTTTTGAATGTGTTTGCTCTTGCTTTTCTAGTTCTTTTAATTGTGATGTTAGGGTGTCAATTTTGGATCTTTCCTGCTTTCTCTTGTGGGCTTTTAGTGCTATAAATTTCCCTCTACACACTGCTTTGAATGTGTCCCAGAGATTCTGGTATGTTGTGTCTTTGTTCTCGTTGGTTTCAAAGAACATCTTTATTTCTGCCTGCATTGCGTTATGTACCCAGTAGTCATTCAGGAGCAGGTTGTTCAGTTTCCATGTAGTTGAGCGGTTTTGAGTGAGTTTCTTAATCCTGAGTTCTAGTTTGATTGCACTGTGGTCTGAGAGACAGTTTGTTATAATTTCTGTTCTTTTACATTTGCTGAGGAGAGCTTTACTTCCAACTATGTGGTCAATTTTGGAATAGGTGTGGTGTGGTGCTGAGAAAATGTATATTCTGTTGATTTGGGGTGGAGAGTTCTGTAGATGTCTATTAGGTCCGCTTGGTGCAGAGCTGAGTTCAATTCCTGGATATCCTTGTTAACTTTCTGTCTCGTTGATCTGTCTAATGTTGACAGTGGGGTGTTAAAGTTTCCCTTATTATTGTGTGGGAGTCTTAGTCTCTTTGTAGGTCACTCAGGACTTGCTTTATGAATCTGGGTGCTCCTGTATTGGGTCCATATATATTTAGGATAGTTAACTCTTCTTGTTGAATTGATCCCTTTACCATTATGTAATAAAAAAAAATACCACTCACTCACTCACTCACTTTATCAGTGAGAAAGTAGATGGATGAGCACTTCCTAGATACCAGACCCTGGTGAGACAAAGGAGATCACAGTCTGCAAGCTCATAACTACAGCACGAATAGCCACGTGCTTCAGTGGGAGGTGTATAATGTGCTGTGTGGTGGTAAGAGAAGCTCTCGTCTGTCCTGGAAAGGCAGTGACAGCTTCATTTGAGGTGAGATCTCAAGGATAGGTTAGATTTTATCATTGGACAAATTGAGACAGGGCTTTCTGTGCAGAAGTAGTGACCTATGCAAAGAGGGCAAGAGAAGGGATGGGTGTTTGCGGAACTACATAAAGTATCTAGCATAAAGTTGAGTGAAAGAGGGCAGGAATGGTGGAAGATGAGGCTGGAGAAGAGCTGGGTCAGGAAGGGCTTATGTGCCATGAAAGTGTAGAGTTTGTCCTATAGGTCAGTTTTTAAAAATTGTGGTTAAAAAAACACAAAATAATGGTAAAAAAACCCATAAAATTTACAATCTTGACAGTGTTTAAATGTACAGTACAGTAGTGTTAACTCTATGCACCCTGCTGTGCAGCAGATCTCTGGAACTCTCTTATCTTGCACAATTGAAACTCTATACCCATTGAATAATTCCCCATTTTCCCCTTCCCCAGCCACCATTCTGCTTTCTGTTATTCTTTGAGTGTTGCCTAATTGAAATACCTGATGTAAGTGGAACTATGAAGTTTAAAATTTTTTTTGCTTATGTGTGATTGGCTTACATCACCTAACACAATGTCCTCAAGTTTCATCCATGTTTTAGCATATGACAGGATTTCCTCATTTTTTAAGGCTGAATAATATTTCATAATATGTATATACCACATTTGCTTTATTCCCTCATCCATGGTCATTTAGATTGCTCCTCCCTCTTTTTTTTTTTTTTTGGGACAGGGTCTTACTCTGTCACTCAGGCTGGAGTGTAGTGGCACATCACAGCTCACTGCAACCTTGAACTCCTGGGGTCAAGCAATCCTCCTCCCTCAGCCTCCTGAGTAGCTAGAACTACAGGTGTTCATCACTATGCCTGGCTTATTTTTTGTTTTTAAATTGTGAAATATATCACCTATACAGAAAGGACTTACAGTTTACCCATCAGTTTAAAGAATGATTATAGAGCAGATGCTTGTATTACTATTACCTAGGTTAAGAAATAGAAACATAGACAGCTCCCAGAAGCCCTGTATGCTTCTCAATCACAATTCTATACCTCCACTATAGGTAACTCTTAGCCTGACTGACTTCTGTGATAATTCCTTACTTTTTTGAATCTATTTGGCTCCTGAGTTTGGAAAAGTGAAATAGTTACATTTTTACCATCTATGTATGTACCTCTATAAAATATAATTTAGTTTAGTCTATTTTGAATATTATATAAATGGGATAATATGTATGTATTATTTTGTAACTAACTTCTTTCACTGAATATTATGTATGCGGGATCTGCTTATGTTGTTGTGTGTAGGTCATTGTTTCCATTGTGTGAATACCACAATTTAACTATCAGTTTTACAGATGATGGACATTTTCTTCTGTCTGGTTTCTTTAAATTATGCATCTAACGCCAGGAAAAGCATTCTTGAACATGTATCCTGGTGCACATTTGTACATGTCTTTATGGCCTGTTATCCAGGAATATAATCATTTGGTCAAAGCATATGCATAGCTTCAACTTTAATAGGAAATGCCAAACTGTTTCCAAAATCATTGTACCAATTTATGCTCTTACCAGCAGCTTATGAGACTTCTTTTTGCACTACAGCTACACAAACATACAGTATTTTCAGGTAGTTTAAAATGAACTTTTTACTGAAGAATGACACAAGTATACCAAAGTGTACAAATCTTAGGTGTAGTCCCAACGTATTGTTACAAAGTGACACACTCATGAAACTGCAACCTAGATCAGACAATAGACCATTGCCAGCATCTCAGAATTCCTTCTTAGACGCTGCCTTTCTTTTCCTGAAATGTAACTTCTACTTTGACTCCCATTATCTTAGATTGATTTTACCTTTTTGTTTTAAAACTTTATGTAAATAGGATCAATCAATAAATACCCTTTTGTGTCTGGTTTCTTTTGTTTAACATTATTATTGTAAAGATTCATCCATGTGTTTGTGTGAAATGTTGTTCCTTGATTCTTATTGATGATTACTGTTCCATTAAATGATTATACTATAATTTATATATTAATCCTACTGGATATTGAAATTTGTCTTATTTCCAATTTAGTTGTTGCTATTGGGAATGGATCTGCTCTGAACTTTCTTATTCATATCTTTGGTACATAGATGTATGCATTTCTGTTTCGTGTATCTTTAGAAAAGAATTGTCGTGCTCAACATAAGCATACATTGAACAAAACATTTCTTCTTCAAAGTGATTGTACTACTCCCATCAGTAGTGTACAAAAGTTTTGGTATGGTTGGTATACTTTGGTGACACTTAGTATGTCAAAACTTTTTATGGTAGGCACTCTGGAGGTTCGGTAATGGTTTCTTATTGTGGTTTTAAATTTGCATTTATCTAAAGACCAACAGGGTTGAAAAATGTTTTACATATATATTGGCCATCTCAATATCTATTGTGCTAAGTATGTATTTAAAATTTTGTTCATTAAAAATTGCATTGTCATTAAGAGATATACCTAATGTTAAATGACGAGTTAATGGGTACAGCACACCAGCATGGCACATGTATACATATGTAACTAACCTGCACATTGTGCACATGTACCCTAAAACTTAAAGTGTAACAATAATAAAATTTTAAAAAAATTTGCATTGTCTGTATTTTTCTTACTGATGTGTAGCTCTTTGTATATTTGGATATGAGTATTTTGTCAAATACATCCATTGCAAATGTTTTCTTCAACTTTGTGATTTGTCTTTTCACCCTCTTATCTTTTGATGAACAAAAATTCTTAATTTTAAGATTAATTCACTTGTACATATAGATTTTGTGCATATATCAAACTAAATGAGAACATTTTTGCAAGTGTTCCATATAGAGGCAGCAGAGATATTCCAGGTCAGAAAGTGAGAGATGCATAACGCAGTGGAGGCAAGGCGCCGTCCAGTTGCATTGTGGGGAGCTGATTGCTATGGCAATGACTGGAGTAAAAATGTGGGCCAAGAAAATGTGAGACAGGGCACAAGTGGTGTTCAATATGCATGTAGATATTTTAATCTGCCTGTATATCAATAGAGGTGCCTGTCGTACAAATAGAGATGTGTTAAAACGTTCCAGTATGTTTGAGAATTTGTTTTGTTGATTACTGCTTTGTATATTCTGAAGTTATGTTATTAGATGCACATGGTTTAGAATTATCATGTCTTCTTAATGAATTTAACTTTTTAACATGATTAAATGTCTTCTAAAATCTCTAGTAATATTCCTGTCTTTAAAGTTTTCTTTGTGAAGTTAGATCAGCTTTACTTTTTGGTTAGGGTTTTCAAACAATCTATTTTTTCATCTTTTTACTTTCAACTTTTCTGTATCATTATATTTAAGACATTTTCCTTGTAAGTAGTGTATAGCTGTTTTTCAATCCAATATGATCATTTTGTCTTTTAATTAGATTATTTTTGGGGTGCATTTTAAAAAATAATATCTAATATTCATTGAGCACTTACTATACATTATACTAGTCACTGCATTAAATGCTTTTCATATGCTCTGCCATTCAATTCTTACCACAACTCTATTTAGGTAGTAATTGAAATAGTTGATGTAAAATCTACCACCTTACTACCTGTTTTCTATGTTTCACCTGTTATATGTCCTTTTTCTTTCCATTCTTATCTTCTTTTGGATTAATTTCTTAATCATTTAATTTGGCTTCTCTTTCTGCTTGCTAGTTATATGTTTTTTTAAATTCTTTTAATAGTTACCCTGGAGATGAAAAAATAAAGTCTTGACTTATTAAATGTAGTTTAAGTTAGTACTCTTTCCACTTCCTGGAGAATTCAAGAACATTAGAAGATTTTAACTTAATTAGTTCTCTTTAATCTCTTATGTTATCATTGCCACATATTTAAAACCCTACTAAGACATTATTGTTATTGCTTTAGATAGATAATATTTATTAGATTTACTCATGTATTTATCTTTTCTTTGCATTTGATTCATTCTTACATTTGAGTAATTTTGCTAAAAATATTTTATTAATTTGAATAACTTTATATAAATATTTTTCTAGTGGTTTTTTTGGCAAAGAATTCTGTCAGTTTTCTGTTTATTTGGAAATATTATTATTTCACCTCTAGCATTAAAGACTATATTCTTTAGCTATAGAATACTAAGTTGGTAACTATTTTAAAAAAAACCCTTTATACATATATGTTCAGCACCTTAAAGTACATTATATCATCTTATGGCTTCCATTGTTTTTATAATAAGAAACCAGGTGCCAGTCTTATTGTTCCTTTTTTACTTTAATAAATTGTTTGCAACATTTTACTATAATATGGCAAGGTGTGTTTTTCATTTTTCTTTTCAAAATTTATACTTTAAAAATTCTGTAGCTTGATATATTTTATCACTTTGAAAAATTCTTGGTCTTTAGAACTTCAAATATTATTTCTGCTTTATATTCTCTTTCTTCCTCTTTTAAGACTCGAATTTCATTTTACATTAGAATTTCTTGAGGTCGAGCCAAGATGGCCAAATAGGAACAGCTCAGGTATACAGCTCCCAGCTTGAGCGACACAGAAGACAGGTGATTTCTGCATTTCCATCTGAGGTACCGAGTTCATCTCACTAGGCAGTGCCAGACAGTGGGCGCAGGACAGTGGGGGCAGTGCACCGTGCATGAACCAAAGCAGGGTGAGGCATTGCCTCACTTGGGAAGTGCAAGGGGTCAGGGAGTTCCCTTTCCTAGTCAAAGAAAGGGGTGACAGACGGCACCTGGAAAATAGGGTCACTCCCACCCGAATACTGCGCTTTTCCTACGGGCTTAAAAAATGGTGCACCAGGAGATTATATCCTGCACATGGCTCAGAGGGTCCTATGCCCATGGAGTCTCACTGATTGCTAGCACAGCAGTCTGAGATCAAACTGCAACGTGGCAGCGAGGCTGGGGGAGGGGCGCCCGCCATTGCCCAGGCTTGCTTAGGTAAACAAGGCAGCTGGGAAGCTCGAACTGGGTGGAGCCCACCACAGCTCAAGGAGGCCTGCCTGCCTCTGTAGGCTCCACCTCTGGGGGCAGGGCACAGACAAACAAAAGACAGCAGTAACCTCTGCAGACTTAAATGTCCCTGTCTGACAGCTTTGAAGAGAGCAGTGGTCCTCCCAGCAAGCAGCTGGAGATCTGAGAACGGGCAGACTGCCTCCTCAAGTGGGTCCCTGACCCCTGACCCCTGAGCAGCCTAGCTGGGAGGCACCCCGCAGTAGGGGCAGACTGACACCTCACACGGCCGGGTACTCCTCTGAGACAAAACTTCCAGAGGAACGATCAGACAGCAGCATTCGCGGTTCACAAAAATCTGCTGTTCTGATGATACCCAGGCAAACAGGGTCTGGAGTGGACCTCCAGCAAACTCCAACAGACCTGCAGCTGAGGGTCTTGTCTGTTAGAAGGAAAGCTAACAAACAGAAAGGACATCCACACCAAAAACCCATCTGTACATCACCATCATCAAAGACCAAAAGTAGATAAAACCACAAAGAGGAGGAAAAAACAGAGCAGAAAAACTGGAAACTCTAAAAAGCAGAGCACCTCTCCTCCTCCAAAGGAGCGCAGTTCCTCACCAGCAATGGAACAAAGCTGGATGGAGAATGACTTTGACGAGTTGAGAGAAGAAGGCTTCAGACGATCAAACTACTCCGAGCTACAGGAGGAAATTCAAACCAAAGGCAAAGAAGTTAAAAACTTTGAAAAAAATTTAGACGAATGTATAACTAGAATAACCAATACAGAGAAGTGCTTAAAGGAGTTGATAGAGCTGAAAGCCAAGGCTCGAGAACTACGTGAAGAATGCAGAAACCTCAGGAGCTGATGCGATCAACTGGAAGAAAGGGTACCAGTGACGGAAGATGAAATGAATGAAATGAAGCGAGAAGGGAAGTTTATAGAAAAAAGAATAAAAAGAAATGAACAAAGCCTCCAAGAAATATGGGACTATGTGAAAAGACCAAATCTACATCTGATTGGTGTACCTGAAAGTGACAGGGAGAATGGAACCAAGTTGGAAAACACTCTGCAGGATATTATCCAGGAGAACTTCCCCAATCTAGCAAGGCAGGCCAACTTTCAGATTCAGGAAATACAGAGAATGCCACAAAGATACTCCTTGAGAAGAGCAACTCCAAGGCACATAATTGTCAGATTCACCAAAGTTGAAATGAAGGAAAAAATGTTAAGGGCAGCCAGAGAGAAAGGTCGGGTTACTCACAAAGGGAAGCCCATCAGACTAACAGCGGATCTCTCAGCAGAAACTCTACAAGCCAGAAGAGAGTGGGGGCCAATATTCAACATTCTTAAAGAAAAGAATTTTCAACCCAGAATTTCATATCCAGCCAAACTAAGCTTCATAAGTGGAGAAATAAAATCCTTTACAGACAAGCAAATGCTGAGAGATTTTGTCACCACCAGGCCTGCCCTAAAAGAGCTCCTGAAGGAAGCACTAAACATGGAAAGGAACAACCGGTACCAGCCACTGCAAAATCATGCCAAATTGTAAAGACCATCGAGGCTAGGAAGAAACTACATCAACTAATGAGCAAAATGACCAGCTAACATCATAATGATGGGATCAAATTCACACATAACAATATTAACTTTAAATGTAAATGGACTAATGCTCCAGTTAAAAGACACAGACTGGGAAATTGGATAAGGAGTCAATACCCATCAGTGTGCTCTATTCAGGAAACCCATCTCACGTGCAGAGACACACATAGGCTCAAAATAAAAGGATGGAGGAAGATCTACCAAGCAAATGGAAAACAAAAAAAAGGCAGGGGTTGCAATCCTAGTCTATGATAAAACAGACTTTAAAGCAACAAAGATCAAAAGAGACAAAGAAGGCCATTACATAATGGTAAAGGGATCAATTCAACAAGAAGAGCTAACTATCCTAAATATATATGGACCCAATACAGGAGCACCCAGATTCATAAAGCAAGTCCTGAGTGACCTACAAAGAGACTTAGACTCCCCCACAAGAATAATGGGAGACTTTAACACCCCACTGTCAACATTAGACAGACCAACGAGACAGAAAGTTAACAAGGATATCCAGGAATTGAACTCAGCTCTGCACCAAGCAGACCTAATAGACATCTACAGAACTCTCCACCCCAAATCAACAGAATATACATTTTTTCAGCACCACACCACACCTATTCCAAAATTGACCACATAGTTGGAAGTAAAGCTCTCCTCAGCAAATGTAAAAGAACAGAAATTATAACAAACTGTCTCTCAGACCACAGTGCAATCAAACTAGAACTCAGGATTAAGAAACTCACTCAAAACCGCTCAACTACATGGAAACTGAACAACCTGCTCCTGAATGACTACTGGGTACATAACAAAATGAAGGCAGAAATAAAGATGTTCTTTGAAACCAATGAGAAAAAAGACACAACATACCAGAATCTCTGGGACACATTCAAAGCAGTGTGTAGAGGGAAATTTATAGCACTAAAAGCCCCCAAGAGAAAGCAGGAAAGATCCAAAATTGACACCCTAATATCACAATTAAAAGAGCTAGAAAAGCAAGAGCAAACACATTCAAAAGCTAGCAGAAGGCAAGAAATAACTAAGATCAGAGCAGAACTGAAGGAAATAGAGACACAAAAAACCCTTCAAAAAATTAATGAATCCAGGAGCTGGTTTTTTGAAAGGATCAACAAAATTGATAGACCACTAGCAAGACTAATAAAGAAGAAAAGAGAGAAGAATCAAACAGACGCAATAAAAAATGATAAAGGGGATATCACCACGGATCCCACAGAAATACAAACTACCATCAGGGAATACTACAAACACCTCTACACATATAAACTAGAAAAATCTAGAAGAAATGGATAAATTCCTTGACACATACACCCTCCCAAGACTAAACCAGGAGGAAGTTGAATCTCTGAATAGATCAATAACAGGCTCTGAAATTGTGGCAATAATCAATAGCTTACAAACCAAAAAGAGTCCAGGACCAGATGGATTCACAGCCAAATTCTACCAGAGGTACAAGGAGGAACTGGTATCATTCCTTCTGAAAATATTCCAATCAATAGAAAAAGAGGGAATCCTCCCTAACTTATTTTATGAGGCCAGCATCATCCTGATACCAAAGCCGGGCAGAGACACAACTAAAAAAGAGAATTTTAGACCAATATCCTTGATGAACATTGATGCAAAAATCCTCAATAAAATACTGGCAAACCGAATCCAGCAGCACATCAAAAAGCTTATCCATCATGATCAAGTGGGCTGGTTCAATATATGCAAATCAATAAATGTAATCCAGCATATAAACAGAACCAAAGACAAAAACCACATGATTATCTCAATAGATGCAGAAAAGGCCTTTGACAAAATTCAACAACGCTTCATGCTAAAAACTCTCAATAAATTAGGTATTGATGAGACGTATCTCAAAATAATAAGAGCTATCTATGACAAACTCACAGCCAATATCATACTGAATGGGCAAAAACTGGAAGCATTCCCTTTGAAAACTGGCACAAGACAGGGATGCCCTCTTTCACCACTCCTATTCAACATAGTGTTGGAAGTTCTGGCCAGGGCAATTAGGCAGGAGAAGGAAATAAAGGGTATTCAATTAGGAAAAGAGGAAGTCAAATTGTCCCTGTTTGCAGATGACATGATTGTATATCCAGAAAACCCCATTGTCTCAGCCCAAAATCTCCTTAAGCTGATAAGCAACTTCAGCAAAGTCTCAGGATACAAAATGAATGTACAAAAATCACAAGCATTCTTATACACCAATAATAGACAAAGAGAGAGCCAAATCATGAGTGAACTCCCATTCACAATTGCTTCAAAGAGAATAAAATACCTGGGAATCCAGCTTACAAGGGACGTGAAGGACCTCTTCAAGGGGAACTACAAACCACTGCTCAATGAAATAAAAGAGGATACAAACAAACGGAAGAACATTCCATGCTCATGGGTAGGAAGAATCAATATGAAAATGGCCATACTGCCCAAGGTAATTTATAGATTTAATGCCATCCCCATCAAGCTACCAATGACTTTCTTCACAGAATTGGAAAAAAAACTACTTTGAAGTTCATATGGAACAAGAAAAGAGCCCGCATTGCCAAGTCAATCCTAAGCCAAAAGAACAAAGCTGGAGGCATCACACTACCTGACTTGAAACTATTCTACACAGCTACAGTAACCAAAACAGCACGGTACTGGTACCAAAACAGAGATATAGATCAATGGAACAGAACAGAGCCCTCAGAAATAACACCGCATATCTACAACCATCTGATCTTTGACAAACCTGAGAAAAACAAGCAATGGGGAAAGTATTCCCTATTTAATAAGTGGTGCTGGGAAAACTGGCTAGCCATATGTAGAAAGCTGAAACTGGATCCCTTCCTTACAACTTATACAAAAATTAATTCAAAATGGATTAAAGACTTAAACATTAGACCTAAAACCATAAAAACCCTAGAAGAAAACCTAGGCATTACCATTCAGGACATAGGCATGGGCAAGGACTTCATGTCTAAAACACCAAAAGCAATGACAACAGAAGCCAAAAATGACAAATGGGATCTAATTAAACTAAGGAGCTTCTGCAAAGCAAAAGAAACTACCATCAGAGTGAACAGGCAACCTACAGAATGGGAGAAAATTTTCCCAATCTACTCATCTGACAAAGGTCTAATATCCAGAATCTACAATGAACTCAAACAAATTTATAAGAAAAAAACGAACAACCCCATCAAAAAGTGGGCAAAGGATATGAACAGACACTTCTCAAAAGAAGACATTTATGCAGCCAAAAAACACATGAAAAAATGCTCACCATCACTGGCCATCAGAGAAATGCAAATCAAAACCACAATGAGATACCATCTCACACCGGTTAGAAAGGCAATCATTAAAAAGTCAGGAAACAACAGGTGCTGGAGAGGATGTGGAGAAATAGGAACACTTTTACACTGTTGGTGGGGCTGTAAACTAGTTCAACTATTGTGGAAGTCAGTGTGGCGATTCCTTAGGGATCTAGAACTAGAAATACCATTTGACCCAGCCATCCCATTACTGGGTATATACCCAAAGGACTATAAATCATGCTGCTATAAAGACACATGCACACGTATGTTTATTGCGACACTATTCACAATAGCAAAGACTTGGAACCAACCCAAATGTCCAACAATGATAGACTGGATTAAGAAAATGTGGCACATATACACCATGGAATACTATGCAGCCATAAAAAATGATGAGTTCATGTCCTTTGTAAGGACATGGATGAAATTGGAAATCATCATTCTCAGTAAACTATCACAAGGACAAAAAACCAAACACCACATGTTCTCACTCATAGGTGGGAATTGAACAATGAGAACACATGGATACAGGAAGGGCAGCATCACACTCTGGGGACTGTTGTGGGGTGGGGGGATGGGGGAGGGATAGCATTAGGAGATATACCTAATGCTAAATGATGAGTTAATGGGTGCAGCACACCAGCATGGCACATGTATACATATGTAACTAACCTGCACATTGTGCACATGTACCCTAAAACTTAAAGTATAATAATAATAAAATAAAAAAAATAAATAAAATAAAAAAAGAACTTCTTACTATTTTCCACGTGGCTCTTACACATCTTTTTGTATTTTATATATTTTTCTTTCTATGATTTAAAAAGCTTCTAGAAGCCCTACTTAACCATAATAGGTTCAGAAGAAAAATGGTAAACACATAGTAATCAGCGGTGCATAACAATGATGAAATCCCACTGGGCAGATGTTACAAGGATAAATCCATTAGCTTCTGTATCTTCACCCAGGGAAGGGCTTCCCAATGTACTGTTCTATAGGATCAGGTTCAGATGTCTTACCCTGCCCTGTAAAGGGCTTCAGAAAAGAAATCCAGCCCCCTTCTCCAATCTCTTCTTCAGTCTCTTTCCTTTAGGTCCTTCAGTACCTTTCCTCTTTCTCTCCCACATCATGCTCTTCTGTCATTTTTGGACCAAGGCTCATACTCCTTCTTCTGTCTGAAATGGCCCTCCCCTCTTGAGCTTTTTGGAAAGCTCTTCATCATTCTGCACAACTCAGCTCAACTATAACTTTCCTCTGACATTCATCTGCATTCTCCCTTCACTAAGACAGAGTAAATTTCTTATTTATGTTCTAACAGCAATTTACACCTACATCTATTGTACCTTTTACTGTATTGTCATAGATAACCCTCTGTGTACCCACTGCTTCTATGATAATTTGGGTGTCTCAATCAAGGACTAAATTTATCCTGTTTATCTTTGAATCTCTAGAACCTAGCAGAGTACTTTATACATGGGGAGCCCTCTATGACTGTGGTTGAATTGCACTGCTGAGTTTATACCTATAGAAGCTGCCTCTGACCATGTAATATAGGACCGCTGAACAATCTTCTCATGACCTGAACTGGATTGTGTGAGGTTGAGAGGTGATGAGAGTTAGTAAGAAAATCATTCCTGAAGACTTAGGAGATTAATATGGCTGTTGAAGTGTGTTAACTGTATTTTGCCAAGCTCCGAACATAAGGATGGGAAATACAGAGGAAGGTAGTAGGGCTATGGTAAGAGGTTAGAAATCAGGCCCCAGTTCTCCAAAAGAGTGTCCAGAATATGTTGGGTAATGGGGACATATGGTGATATAAACAAGATATAGGCAGGAGTTCTAGCTTTCAAGAATCTTGAGCAGACTCATAGCCAGGTAAAAGAAGGCTTTGTGAAGGCTTTGTTAAGTGAGCTACTGTGATGGCAGTGGAGTAACTCATTTAACTCTACCTCTCTTTGTCTTTTTTGTTGTTTTGGGCTTCCACAATGTAAATGAAATACTCTTTAAACATGCCTCTAAGCTGTGTAGCCAGTGGGGATGGATGTGTGAAGTCTGGACATCTTTTAAGGTGCAGTTTTTGAGGAGCTCTTAGTTCTGGTGAGCCCTGGGGGAAATCATTACTAGTCTTACTATTTGCATTTAACACATTTCTGGGTGGAAGTCATCAGCTTTCTCCAGGGTTCTTCTTGAAGTGGGGAGAATCCTGGGAGTCACTTGGAATTAGATGAAAAGCAGATAGGGATGTTGGTTGTTTCAAGTTCATCACTTTCTATTTATCAGCTTCATCAAGGCCATGGAAGGTTCTAAATTGGACGGAAGTGCTCCTTTTTCTATCCTGTCAGTCAGCTGTTTCAGAGAACTGATAAAAGAAGTCATGCTTTCCCCCAAAGGAAACATAAAACAGTCCCAAGATAAGGATGACGTCCCAGGCCTGAGACTCCTGTGTCTACCCTTTTCTTTCAGAGCTCACTGCATAAGAAGAATGGTGGCCATATTAGGAAGATTGGTCCCTTAGCTCATTCTTGGGCTGGATCCTTATTTGAGCTCCCACTGGGGTATAGAACATGCCTTTCTCCCAGTTATCTTCTTTGCTACATTGCTTGTCATGTTATGTCAGCATCAGCTGCACAAAATCCAAGAGGATCTCATCCTAGGACTTCATCCCTAAGATCTGGGGAGAGTTTCCAAAGGAGAAGGTCTTATGTGGTAAATGTACTCCCAGCTGTCTCATAGTGGGGACCAATGAAAAACTGAGAGGGGTGGAGAGTAGAGGTGTTTAACTCAGAACTCAGTAGAATTGCCCTGCATTGGGGATGGCGAAAGTGTGTGTGACAACTGTCTTTAAGCATTATACAGACCATTAGATGGCACATGTGTTCTTTGTACACATGGTTTTATGTGGGGTGTAAAAGGAAAATGGTTGAATTCTGTATATTATCTGTCCAGGTTTGCATCAGAGTAGCCAGATGTTTGCTTGACCAGGGTGGTTGGGATGAAAGCTATTGGGGAAGAAGGTGGCTAAGTGAGTTTGAAGGCCACTTGCTCCTCTGAAAAGTCACATCTCTGGGCTGGAAGAGCACCGGCCTTGCAGTTGGCAGACCAAGGTTTCAAACCTGGCTTTGCGGGTAACTCAGTAAAAGGCCATCTGGAGTCACTTTCCTTTCTGTGTCTTGGTTTCTTTATATCCCAAAGGAGGAAGTTGTTTTCTGTCAGTGGGTTTCAAAGCTGCTTACTTTTAAAAAAGTAAAAGGGACCTCCTTTTCAAAGGAAATTTCATACTATGCCTATACCTAAAAGAGACAGAGATATGCTCTTCTGATTGAAGAGAAGGACTGCGGGGCTGGGAATAGTTAACCTGTTGCTTTCCTCTTCCTTTCCACTTCCGGGAGCTCCACAGAGCACAGTATTGGAACAAGATGATAACTAAGCAAACAATCCTTTATTCTAGTGCCAATAAAATGTATTTCTAGGATCAACAAGGTAATTTAAGCTTTAAGTATAGTGTGCTTTACAAATGAGAGGCGTGGTAATTGTTCTGGAATTAGAAGGTTTTAAATTCTGGTAGATACCTAATGAGGTCTAGGCCATATGGGACTCAGAAGATGGGACACCCTAAATGTTAACTGTTAGTGAGAGCAGGGAGTGTTTATTCTGTGCACCACTGGATTTCCAGTGCCTAGCACAGTGCCTGGTATATGCTAGTTGCTCAAAATTTATTTAATAACTAATGGTAGGAGCATAGCCTTTCTGTTATTCCACAGAAAGAATCTCCTGTAACTCAAGAGGGGCTGGCAAGAGAGTCTTATCCTGGGAGCCAGGCTGTGGGCTAAGACTAAGGAAGAATAGGCTGAAAGGGGCTGAGGCCCTGATCTCATGGGGGATGCTGGGCTGGACATGAGAACTGAGCTGACTGTGCTTCAATGGACAGTGTGTCTGGGACTCTAGGGTCATTTCTCCTGCTCAATTGTCCAGGGACTTCTTGGTATAGGCAGTGGCTTGGGCTTTGGCCTCCTTTAGGGTGGCCCTGGTCTAAGAGAAGCAAGGGAGGGGCCTGAAGAATTTTCTGGTAGAGACAAGGCCCTGAGGGTTCCATGCTTTGGACTTCAGTCTCCAGGACTCCTCAGGTCCTTCTCTCATCCAAGTTGTGGCCCTCTGGGGATGATGATGGGGGAGAGCAGATACTCTGGATTGACCTAATGTAGGAGACACAGACTTTTTTGGCAGGTGCATCTAAAGGTTTCAGCTTACTCTGGAAAGAATCATTAATGTGTACCTGTATCTTTTAAAATTGTTAATAGTTTGCTATAGAGTAAGATTTGATTTGTGCAGGTCTGTTTTAGAAATTCAACTACTTCTGTTACCACACTGACCTCATTCTGTTACCACAAACTAACAGAATTTGACAGTAAAAAAGTTAGGTATATTCCACCCCTCCCACATCATACATTCACAAATTTTATCTTATTCTTATTATGTGTCCATTGCTCTTTTGTTGCTTCTGTATGAAATATTTTGGTCTTGTGGCAGAGTGAAAAACAAACAGGCAAGTCATGTGGTGGCTGACAGAGCTTCTTTGCAGAAGTGGAATAAGCCACTATGCTCACATGGCAATGGTCAAAATGAGTCACATGCCCTAGCTTGGCATCACTGGGGTGGGGACATACAATCTTCTCCTAAGGAGGCATACTATGGAGAGGAGCAGCACATATTTTGAAAGATAATTTAATCTACTAAAATAATTTGTTTTTATGGGTTTATAAGACGTATTAATTTTTATATGTTGACCTTTTATCCATCAATTTTACTGAGCTGTCTAATATGTGGATTGCTATCTAAAGACAGCAGTTGTTTCAACTTGAAACAGCAACTTATGTCTTCCTTTTCAATTTCCAAATCCTTATTTTTGTTGTTGCATTACTTAGGACATCCATACAATATCAAATAGTAGAAATAGTAATAGATATTTTTTAATGTTTCTTACTAAATGTAAATGCTTTAAAATATTACCCTTATGTAAGATATAATTGATATGATTTAGACAGTTTCCTTTTATTTTTGTCTTCCAAAAGACTTAAAAAAATTAATCATTAAGTGTTAAATATATAGAAGTCACCATGCTACAATGTGGTTGTCAGTCAGCTTTCCCTAGGTTATGCTGTGGGGAAGAACCAACCCCCAAATTACAGTGCTTTCGCCAACAATAAAAACATTTATTTCTTGTTTCTATTACATGTTGGCTGCAGATCTGCTGAGGCTATATTCTAGCTGGGTTTCTACTCCATGACTTCATAATTTTGGGATTATGGAATTATTTTATTTATAAAGTGAAGTCTTTTTCTTCCAGTGTGATAATCATAACCTTTTAATAGGAGTATTTATTTACTTGTAACATAGTTAATATCGTTGTGCTTAAATCTACCATCTTATTATTTTTTTCTATTGTCTCATATGCTCTTTGTTCCCCCCTCCCCCATTTTCTTGGATTTTTGGGATTTAGTTTTTTTGTTTGAGACAGGGTTTTGCTTTATCACTCAGGCTGGAATGCAGTGGCACAAACATGGCTCACTGCAGCTTCAACCATCGAGGCTCAAGTGATCCTCCTGTCTCAGTCCCCAAAGTAGCTGAAACTCCAGGCACCTACCATCATGCCTGGTTAATTTTTTTGTGGGGATGGGGTATCACCATGTTGCCCAGGATTGTCTTGAACTCTTGAGATCAAGCAATCCATGCTGGGATTACAGACATGAACCATGGTGCCTGGTCTAATTTGGTATTGTTATGATCCTATGTAATAATCACAAGTGGCTTGCAAACTGTACCTCTTTGTTTTATTCTTGTAACATTCTAATCAATTTTTTTTTAAAAAGATGAAGCCTCACTGAGTTTCCTAGGCTGGACTCAAACTCCTAGGCTCAAGTGATCCCCTAGCCTCAGCCTCTTATATATCTGAGACTACAGGCATGTGCCACTGAGTTCTGCTGTTTTATTCTTTTAAAATTGTTGTTCGAGGCACTACCCTTGCTGCCAGTGTGAATGTGCATGTGGAGGCCACCGGTCCTGTACCTGCCAGTGCTCTACCCCAGCTGATGAGCATGCATTCCGTTGTGTTACCACTGCTGCTGGCACATGCCAACAAGCATGAATCCCACTTCCTCTGCCCAATGAAGCCCTTTGGCTAGCACTATCCATGGGAATATTGTGGCCAGAGGTATGGGAACACCTTGACCTCTCCAGCGTAGCAAGTTCCTAACCTCTAGGGGCCAGAAAACAAAGCCAGGAGCCTAATACCAGCCCTCTAGAGTGAGAGCATGAAGCCCAGAAGTGCTGAGCAGAGCCTTGATCTCCTAAAATCTTCCAGAAATGAAGCCAGTTGACTGAACCCACCATCAAATCCCCAAGGACATTGAGGAAGATAAAAGCAAAATTAAAAAAAAAAAATCCAAAGGACAGCAGCTTCAAAGATTGAAGGAACATCAGCCCACACAGTTGAAAAAAACCAGTGCAAGAACTGTGGCAACGCAAAAGCCAGAGTCTTTGTACCTCCAGATGACTGCACTAGTTCCCTGGCAATGGTTTTTAACCAGGCTAAAATGACAGAAGTAGAATTCAGAAAATACGGATAGGAATGAAGATCATTGAGATTCAGGAGAAAGTTGACACCCAATCCAAGGATTCTAAGGAATACAATAGAATGATGTGGGAGATGAAAGGTCAAATAGCCATTTTAAGAAAGAACCAAACTGATTTGATAGAGCTGAAAAACTCACTTTGAGAATTTCAGAATATAATTGCAAGTGTTAACAGCATAATTGAACAAGCTGAGCAAAGAATCTCAGAACTTGAAGACCAGTTCTCCAAAATAACTCAGTCAGACAAAAATAAAGGAAAACACTCTGAAGGGAGTGCTAAATATGGAAAGGAAAGACTGTTATCAGCCCCTACAAAGACACATTTAAGTACATAGACTAGCGACACTATACAGCAGTCACATCAACAAGCTTGCATAATAACCAGCTAACAACAGGATGACAGGATCGAATCTGCACATATCAATACTGACCTTGAATGTAAATGGGCTAAATGCCCCAATTAAGAGGCACAGAGTGGCAAGTTGGATAAAGAAACAAAGCCTAATGTTACGCTGTCTTCAAGAGACCCATCTCACATGCAACGACACCCATAGGCTCAAAGTAAAGGCATGGAGAAAAATCTACCAAGCAAATTGAAAACATAAAAAGGCAGGGAGTGCTATTCTAATTTCAGTCAAAACAGACTTTAAGCCAACAAAGATAAAAAAAGACAAAGAAGGGCCTTATGTAATGGTAAAGGGCTCAATTCAACAAGAAGATCTAACTATCCTAAATAATATGCACCCAACACAGGAGCACCCAGATTCATAAAGCAAGCTCTTAGAGACCTACAAAGAGACTTAGATAACCACACAATAATAGTGGGAGTCCTCAACACCCCACTGATTGTATTAGACAGATCTTTGAGGCAGAAAACTAACAAAGGTATCTGGGACCTGAACTCGATACTTGACCAAATGGACCTAGTAGACATCTACAGAATTCTATTCTCCACCCCCAAACAACAGAATATATATTCTTCTTGTCTACACATGGCTCATACTCTAAAATCAACCACACAATCATACATAAAACAATTCTCAGCAAATTAAAAAAACCCTAAATCATACCAACAACCTTCTTGGACCACAGTGCAATAAAAATAGAAATCAATACTAAGAATATTGCTCAAAACCATATAATTACATGGAAATTAAAAACATGGTCCTGAATGACTTTTGGGTAAATAAAAAAATTAAGATTTAAATCAATAATTCTTTGAAACTAATGAGAGCAAATATACAACATATCAGAATCTCTGGGATACAGCTAAAGTAGTGTTAAGAGGGATGTTTATAGCACTGAACACCCACATCAAAAAGTTAGAAAGATATCACAGTAACAACTTATCATCACAACTAGAAGAACTAGAGAACCAAGGGCAAACCAACCCCAAACCTAGCAGAAGAAAATAAATAACTAAAATCCTAGCTGAACTCAAGAAAATTGACAAAAACATACAAAAGATGAATGAATGCAACAGCCGGTTTCTTTGAAAGAACTAATAAGACAGACTGCTGGTGAGACTAATAAAGAAAAAAGAGGGAAGATCCAAATAAACACAGTCTGAAGTGACAGAGAGGATGTTACCGTTGACCTCACAGAAATATAAAAAACCTCTCAGAAACTGAAACAAACACCTTTATGTACACAAGCTAGAGAATCTAGAAGAAATGAATACATTCCCAGAAACATACAAGCTCCCAAGATTGAACCAGCAAGAAATGGAATCCCTAAGGAGATCAATAATGAGTTCAGAAATATAATCAGTAATAAAAGTATGCCAACAAGTAAAAGCCCAGGGGCAGATGGATTCACAGCCAAATTTTACCAGATGTATAAAAAAGAGTTTTACCATTCTTACTGAAACCATTCCAAAAAAATTGAGAAGGGACTCCTTTCCAGCTCATCTTATGAGGCCAGCATTTTCCTGATACCAAAACCTGGCAGAGACAGAACAATAAAAGGAAACTTCAGGCCAACATTTTTGATAAACATAGATGCAAAGATCCTTGACAAAATACTAGCAAACCAAACCTAGCAACACATCAAAAAACTAATACACTATAATCAAGTTGGCTCTATCCCTGGGATGCAAGGTTGGTTCAACATACTCAAATCAATAACTGTGATTCATCACATAAACGGAACTGAAAACAAAAACCACAGAGTACTTCCATAGATGCAGAAAAGGCTTTTGATAAAATTCAATGTCCCTTCATGTTAAAAACCGACAACAAACAAGGAATTTAAGGAACATAGCTCAAAACAATAAGAGCCACGTATGAAAAACCCACAGCCAATATCATACTGAATGGGCAAAAGCTGGAAGCATTACCCTTGAAAAGCAGAACAAGCAAAGATGCCCTCTCTCACTATTCCTACTCAACATATTATGGAAGTCCTGGCTAGAGCACTCTGGTAAGAGAAAGAAATGAAAGTCATCCAAATAGGAAGAGAAGGAGTCAAAATATCCCTGTTTGCAGATGATATGATTCTATACTGAGAAACCCCCATAGTCTCTGCCTAAAAGCTCTTTGGTCTGATAAACAACTTTAGCAAAGTTTCAGGATATGAAATCAATGTACACAAAAGAGTAGCATTCCTATGCACCAGCAGCATCCAAGCTGAGAGCTGAATCAAGAACACAATCCTATTCACAATAACCATGAAAAGAATAAAATACCTAGGAATACAGCCAACCAGGGAGATAAAAGATCTCTACAATGAGAATTACAAAACACTGCTCAAAGAAATCAGAGATGACACAAACAAATGGAAAAGCATTCCGTGATAGTTGGATAGCCATATGCTGAAGATTGAAACTGGACCCCTTCCTTACACCACATACAAAAACCAACTCAAGGTGGATTAAGGACTTGAATATAAAACCTAAAGCTATAAAAACCCTGGAAGATAATCTAGGAAATACCATTCTGGACATAGGACCTGGTAAAGATTTTATCCTGAAGAGCTGAAGCAATTGCAACAAAAACAGAAATTGATAAATGGGACCTAATTAAACTAAAGAGCTTCTGCACAGCAAAAAGACTATTAACAGAGCAAACAGACAACCTACAGAATGGGAGAAAATATTTGCAAACTATGTACCAACAAAGGTCTAATAACCAGAATCTATAAGCAACATGAACAGATGCTTTTAAAAAGAAGATATACACGTGGCCAACAAGCATATGAAAAAATGTTCAACATCACTAATCTTTAGAGAAATGCAAATCAAAGCCACAGTGAGATACCATCTCACAACAGTCAGAAAGGTGATTACTAAAACGTCAAAAAATAACAGATACCAGCGAGGTTGTGGAGTAAAGGGAAGACTTATATACTGCTGGTGGAAATGTACATTAGTCTGACCATCATAGAAAACAGTTTGGCAATTTCTCAAAGAATTCAAATCAGAATTGCTATCTGACCCGCCAATCCCATTATTAGGTATATATCCAAAGGAATAGAAATTGTTCTACCACTAAGACACATGCATGCATATGTTCCTCACAGCACTATTCACAATAGCAAAGACATGGAATCAACCTAAATGCCTATCAATGGTGGACTGAATAAAGAAAATATAGCACATGCACACCATGGAATACTATGCAGCCATAAAAAGAATGAGATCATGTCCTTTGCAGCAACACAGATGGAGCCAGAGGCCATTATCCTAAGCAAACTAATATGGGAACAGAAAACCAAATAGCAAATGTTCTCATTTATAAATGGGAACTAAACATTGAGTACATATGGACACAAGGAAGAGAACAACAAACATCAGGGTGTACTTAAGTGTGGAGGGAGGGTGGAGGATGAGGATCAAAAAACTACCTATTGGGTACTATACTTAACACCTGGGCAATGAAATCATCTGTACACAAAACCCCCATGACACACAATTTACCTATACAGGAAACCTGTACATGTACCCCTGAACCTAAAACAAAAGTTAAAAAAGACATAAAAATTAAAAAAGATTGTTCCAGAGTTTACAACATACATCTTTAACTTATCACAGTCTGCCTTCAAGGAATATTATATGAATTCATATCGTGTAAGACCCTTACAGCAGTGTATTTCTTTTTCCCTTTCCATCCTTGTGCTAATGATAGTACATGATACAGATACATTACATTTGAAGTATCATTATGTTTTACTTACACATATGTTCTGAACCTCATAACTCTGTTTTTATTTTTTGCTTTAAGCAATCATGTTTTAAAGAAATAAAAAGTTTACATTAACCCAATAGTTATAATTTCTGGTGCTCTTCATTCCTTTTTATAAACTAGAGGTTTCATCTGAAGTGTTTTTTTTTTTGCCTGAAAAATTTTCTTTAACATTTTCTATAGTGCAATTGTACTGGTCATAAATTCTTTCAATTTTCATTTGTGTAAAAACATGTTTACACATGTTTTGGATGATGGGGCAATTGGTAAGCTAAGAGAATTCCCTGGACATGAATCCATTGCTATATTTAGTCATGAATAGTGGTATAGTTTGGATGTCTTAACTAAATCTCATGTTGAGACGTAATCCCCAGTGTTGGAGGTGGGGCCTGGTGGGAGGTGTCTGGGACATGGGAGCATAGCCCTCATGGCTTGTTGCTGTTCTTGCAATAGTGAGTGAGTTCTTGTGGGATCTGGTTGTTTAAAAGTGTGTGGCACCTCCCTCCCCTCTCTCTCTTGTTCCTGCTCTCCCCATGTGACTTGCCTGCTCCCACTTCACCTTCCATCACAAGTAAAAGCTCCATGAGACCTCCCCGGAAGCTGAGCAGATGCTAATGGCATGCTTGTACAGTCTGCAGAACTGTGAGCCAATTAAGCCTCTTTTCTTTAGGAAATTTCCAGTCTCAGGTATTTCTTTATAGCAATGGAAGAATGGCCAAACAGATTTTTTTCCCTGCCTAAACCTTGTTCTTTCATTTTGCCAACCAGACCCCAAGGGTGATTCCTAATCCATACCCCCCAACTTTTTTTTTTAGAGCACCATCTATATAAAATTCTACTCCTTTATAGATGAATTAATACTTGTTAAGATCCTTTATTTCACACAAACACTAGTACAGGAAGTGCATTTGTTTTCTCCTACGGCTCCTTATATGAAGAGCTGGTCAGAATTGGAACTAAGTTGATTTATAATGTGGATGTGCTATAAAAATTGTGCTTTCAAGTTTGCTGCAGGAAGTCAGGGACCCCAAATGGAGGGACTGACTGAAGCCATGGCAGAAGAATGTGGATTTTGAAAATTTCATGGACATTTATTAGTTCCCCAAATTAATATTTTATAACTTCTTATGCCTCTCTTTACTGCAATCTCTAAACATAAATTGTGAAGATTTCATGGACACTTATCACTTCCCCAATCACCACCCTTGTGATTTCCTAGGCCTGTCTTTACTTTAATCTCTTAATCCTGTCATCACGTAAACCAAGGAGGATGTATGTCGCCTCAGGACCATGTGATAATTGCATTAATTGCACAAATTGTAGAGTATGTGTGTTTAAACAATATGAAATCTGGGCACCTTGAAAAAAGAACAGGATAACAGCAATTGTTCAGGAAATAAGACAGATAACCTTAAACTCTGACCACCGGCTGGTGAGCCAGGTGGAACAGGGCCATATTTCTCTTCTTTCAAAAGCAAACGGGAGAAATATCACTGAATTCTTTTTCTCAGCAAGGAACATCCCTGGGAAAGAGAACATGCACCTGGGGGTATAGGTCTACAGATGGCCCCCCTGGGCGTGCCTGTCTTTTATGGTCTATAGACTATAGGCGTGAAATAGACCCCAGTCTCCCATAGCACTTCCAGGCTTATTAGGAAGAGGAAATTCCCACCTAATAACTTTTGGGCAGACGGGTTGCTCTCAAAACCCTGTCTCCTGATAAGATGTTATCAATGACAATGGTGCCTGAAACTTCATTAGCAATTTTAATTTCACCCTGGTCCTGTGGTCCTGTGATCTTGCCCTGCCCCCATTTGCCTTGTGATATTCTATTACCTTGTGAAGTACTTGATGTCTGTGACCCACACCCTATTCATATACTCCCTCCCTTTTTGAAAATCCCTAATAAAAACTTGCTGGTTTTGTGGCTTGGGGGGCATCATGGAACCTACTAACATATGATGTCTCCCCCAGATGCCCAGCTTTAAAATTTCTCTCTTTTGTACTCTGTCCCTTTGTTTCTCAAACTGGCTGATGCTTAGGGAAAATAGAAAAGAACCTACGTGACTATCGGGGCAGGTTCCCTGATACAAGTTTGCATGGTATTTCCAAGCTGGTCTGATTTCTTTCATTGCAAATATTTATACTTAGCAAAACAAAGTCCCTCTTTCATGTAAAAACTCTGTGTGAGACTCTGATTTCTTCCAAATTCAAGAGATACAGATTTAAGAGCACTAAATCTTCCCAACATTTAGGTATTTAGTTCATTTTAAAATTTAGCCACTTGTTAAAAAAGCCTGGGTTGATGCTGAGGAACAATGTCGCTGACTATCAGATGGGCAATTTTAAGTTACCTAGTTAATTTCTTATGATTCTGATTTAGCTCTCAATTAGGAAGACATTTGATCTTATAGTTTATATATTTCCCCTCTGAAGGCACATGTATGTCTACAAAATATCCATTAAACCTCATCTTAACCCAAGGTTGGTTCCTTAGGTCTTCCTTTTTAAAAATTTTTGTGGGTCATAGTAGGTGTGTATATTTGTAGAGTACATGAGATATTTTGATACAGACCTGCAATGTGAAATAAGCACATCATGGAGAATGGGATATCCATCCTCCTCAAACATTCATCCTTTGAGTTACAAACAATGCAATTATTCTTTAAGTTATTTAGAAATGCACAATAAAGTTATTGTTGACTATAGTAACCCTATTGCATTATCAAACAGCAGGTCTTATTTATTTATTCTATGTTTTTGGTACATTAACCATCCCCACCTCCTCCTTGTCCCCTCTTCTCAGCCTCTGGTAATCATCTTTCTTTTTTCTATGTCCATGAGTTCAGTTGTTTTGATTTTTAGATCCCACAAATAAATGAGAACATGTGATGTTTTTCTTTCTGTACCTGGCTTATTTCACTTAATGATCTCTGGTTCCATCCATGTCACTGCAAATGACTAAATTTCATTCTTTTTTTGTGGCTGAATAGTACTTCATTGTGTATATGTATCACATTTTCTTTATCCATTCATCTGCTGATGGACACTTAGGTTGCTTCCAAATCTTATCTATTGTGAACAGTGCTGCAACAAACATGGGAATGCAGATATCTCTTCATTATAATGATTTCTTTCTTTTTTTTTTTGAGTATATACCCAGCAATGGGATTGTTGGATCATATGGTAGCTCAATTTTTAGGTTTTTGAGGAACCTCCAAACTGTTCTCCATAGTGGTTATACTAATTTACGTTCTCACCAATGGTATACAAGGGTTCCTTTTTCTCCACATCCTCACCGGCATTTGTTATTGCCTGTCTTTTTGTTACAAGCCATTTTAATTGGAGTGAGATGATATCTCATTGTAGTTTTTATTTGCATTTCTCTGATGAATAATGATGTTGAACACCTTTTCATATAGCTGTTTGCCATTTGTATGTCTTCTTTTGAGAAATGTCTATTCAAACTTATGCCCACTTTTTTTTTTATCAGATTGTTAGATATTTTCCTATAGAGTTGTTTGAGCTCCTTATATATTCTGGTTGTTCATCCCCAGTCAGATACGTAGTTTGCAAATATTTTCTCCCATTTTGTGGGTTGTCTCTTCACTTTGTTGATTGTATCCCTTGCTGTGCAGAAGCTTTTTAACTTGATATGGTCCCATTTGTCCACTTTTGCTTTGGTTGCCTGTGCTTGTGGGGTATTGCTCAAGAAATTTTTGCCAAGACCAATGTCCTGGATAATTTCCGCAATGTTTTCTTGTAGTAGTTTCATAGTTTAAGGTCTTAGATTTAAGTATTTAATCCATTTTGATTTTATTTTTGTATATGGTGAGAGATAGGGGTCTAATTTTATTCTTTTGCATATGGATATCCAATTTTCCCAGCACCATTTATTGAAGAGACTGTCTTTTCTCTAGTGCATGTTCTTGGTACCTTTGTTGAAAACGAGTTCACTATAGGTGTGTGGATTTGTTTCTGGGTTCTCTAGTCTTGTCCATTGGTCTATGTGCATATTTTAATGCCAGTACCATGCTGTTTTGGTTACTATAGCACTGTAGTCTAATTTGAAGTCAGGTAAAGTGATTCCTCCAGTTTTATTCTTTTGGCTTAGGATAGCTTTGGTTATTCTGGGTCTTTGTTGGTTCTTCATAAATTTTGGGATTGATTTTTTCTATTTCTGTGATGAATGTCTTTGGTATTTTGACAGGGATTGCATTGAATCTGTATAATCCTTTGGGTAGTATGGACATTTTAACAACACTGATTATTCTAATCTATAAACATGGAATATTTTTCCATTTTTGTGTCCTTTTCAATTTCTTTTTTTTTTTTTAATTATACTTTAAGTTTCACAGTACCTGTGCACAACATGCAGGTTAGTTACATATGTATACGTGTGCCATGTTGGTGTGCTGAACCCAGTAACTCGTTTCAATTTCTTTCATCAATGTTTTATAGTTTCTATTACAGATATCCTTCACTTCCTGGGTTAAGTTAATTCCTAGGTATTTAATTTTATGTGTGGCTATTGTAAATGGGATTACTTTTTAATTTCTTTTTCAGATTGTTCACTGTTGTCATAAAGAAATACTACTGATTTTTGTAGGTTGATTTTGTATCCTGCAACTTTACTGAATTTATCAGCTGTAATAGTTTTCTGGTAGAGTCTTTAGGTTTTTCTAAATATAAGATCATATCATCTGCAAACAAGGATAATTTGACTTTTTCCTTTCTGATTTGTATGCCTTTTATCTTTGTCTTGTCTAATTGCTCTAGCTAGGACTTCCAGTACTAAGTTGAATAACAATGGTGGAAATAAGCATCTTTGTTGTGTTCCAGATCTTAGAAGGCTTTCAGTTTTTCCTCATGCCGTATGATACTAACTGTGGGTTTGTCATATATGGCTTTTATTATGTTGAGGTATGTTCCTTCTATCCCATTTTCTTGGGTGTTTTTTTTATCATGAAGAGACATTAAATTTTATCAAATGCTTTTTTTTAAAGCATCAATTGAAAAGATCATATGTTTTTTGTCCTTCATTCTTTGATGTGATGTCATATTGATTGATTTGTGTATATTAACTATCCTTGCATCCTGGGGATAAATCCCACTTAGTCATGATGAATGATCTTTCTAATATATTTTTGAGTTTGATTTATTATATTTTGTTGAGAATTTTTTATATCAATATTTGTATTAGTCCATCTTCACATTGCTAATAAAGACATACCCAACACTGGGCAATTTACAAAAGAAAGAGGTTTAATGGACTTAAGAGTTCCACATGGCTAGAGAGGCCTAACCATCATGGCGGAAGGCAAGGAGGAGCACATCTCATCTTATGTGGGTGGCAGCAGGCAAAGAGAGCTTATGCAGGGAAATTTCCTTTTATATAATCATTAACTCTCATGAGACTTATTCACTATCACATGACAACACAGGAAAGACCTGCCCCCATGATTCAATTACCTCCCACTGGGTCCCTCCCACAACACATGGAAATTCAAGATGATATTTGGGTGGGGACACAGCCAAGCCATACATTCTGCCCCTGGCACCTCCCAAATCTCATGTCCTCACATTTCAAAACCAATCATGCCTTCCCAACAGACCCCCAAAGTCTTAACTCATTTCACTCATTTCAGCATTAACTCAGAAGTCCACAGTCCAAAGTCTCATCTGAGACAAGGCAAGTCCCTTCCACCTGTGAGCCTGTAAAATCAAAAGCAAATTAGTTACTTCCCAGATACAATGAGGGTACAGTCATAGGGTAAATACAACCATTTCAAATGGGAGAAATTGGCCAAAACAAAGGGGCTATGGGCCATATGCAAGTCCAAAATCCAGCAGGGCGATCAAATATTAAAACTCCAAAATGATCTCCTTTGACTCTGTGTCTCTCATGCAGGTCATCCTGATGCAAGAGACAGGATCCCATGGCCTTGGGCAGCTCTTCCCCTGTGTCTTTGCAGGGTATAGCCCCCACTCCTGGCTGCTTTCATGGGTTGGCATTGAGTGTCTGTAGCTTTTCCAGGCACACAGTGCAAGCTGTCAGTTGATCTACCATTCTGGAGTCTGGAGGACAGTGGCCCTCTTCTCACAGCTCCACTAGGTGGTGCCCCAGTAGGGACTCTGTGTGGGGGCTCTGACCCCACATTTCCCTTCTCCACTGCCTTAGCAGAGGTTCTCAATGAGCGCCCTGCCCTGCAACAAACTTCTGCCTGGACATCCAGGTGTTTCCATACATCTTCTGAAACTTAGCTGGAGGTTCCCAAACCTCAATTCTTGATTTCTGTGCACTTGCAGGCCCAAAACCACATGGAATCTGCCAAGGCTTGAGGCTTGCACCCTCTGAAGCCACAGCACAAGCTCTGTGTTGACCTCTCTCAGCCATGGCTGGAGCAGCTGGGATGGAGGGCACCAAGTCCTTAGGCTGCACACAGCATGGGGACTCTGGGCCTGGTTCACAAAACCACTTTTTCCTCCTAGGCCTCTGGGCCTGTGATTGGAGTGGCTCTTGTGACGACCTCGACATGTCCAGGATACATTTTCCTCATTGTCTTGGGGATTAACATTTGGCACTTCATTACTTATGCAAATTTCTGCAGCTGGCTTGAATTTCTCCTCAGAAAATGGGATTTTCCTTTATATTGCATTGTCAGGCTATGATTTTTTTAAACTTTTATGCTCTTTTCCCTTTTAAAATTGAATGCCTTTATCAGCACCCAAATCACTCCTTGAATGCTTTGCTGCTTAGAAATTTCTTCCACCAGATACCCTAAATCATCTCTCTCAAGTTCAAAGTTCTACAAATCTCTAGGGCAGGGACAAAATTCTGCCAGTCTCTTTGCTAAAACATCACAAAAGTTGCCTTTGTTCCAGTTCCCAACAAGTTCTTCATTTCCATCTGAGAGCACCTCAGCCTGGATTTCATTGTCTATAACATTATCAGCATTTTGGTCAAAGCCATTCAACAAGTCGCTAGGGAATTCCAAATTTTCCCATATTTTCCTGTCTTCTGAGCCTTCCAAATTGTTCTAACCTTTGCCTGTTACCCAGTTACAAAGTTGCCTCCACATTTTTGGGTATCTTCTGATCAGCACCCCATTCCTGGTACCAATTTACTCTATTTCCCCATTTTCACACTGCTGATAAAGACATACCTGAGACTGGGAAATTTACAAAAGAAAGAGGTTTAATTGACTTACAGTTCCACATGGCTGGGGAGGCCTCACAATCATGGTGGAAGGCAAGGGGGAGCAAGTCACAACTTACATGGATGGTGGCAGGCAAAAAGATCTTGTGCAGGGAAAATCCCCCTTATATAATAATCAGATCTCATGAGACTTATTCACTATTATGAGAACAGCACAGGAAACACCTGCCCCCATGGTTCAATTACCCCTCACTAGGTCCCTCCCACAACACATGGGAATTCAAGATGAGATTTGTGTGGGGAAACCATATCATAGCCAAACCATATCAATATTCATTAGAGATATTGGCCGTGGTTTTCTCCTTTTGATCAGTATTTGTCTAGTTTTGGTATTGGGGTAATACTCGTCTCATAGAATGAGTTTGGAAGTATTCCCTCCTCCTCTATTTTTAGGAATAGTTTGATTAAGATTGGTATTAGTTCTTATATAATTGTTGGTACAATTCAGCAGTGAAGCCATTGGGTCTCAGGCTCTTCTTTATGAGAAACTTTTCATTATGGCTTCGATCTTGTGACTTGTTATTGGCCTGTTCACGTTTTGGATTTCTTCCTGATTCACTCTTGGTGGTTGTACATGTCTAGGAATTTGTCCATTTCTTCCAGATTTTCAAGTTTATTGGCATATAGTTGCTGATAGTAGCCATTAATGATCCTTTGAATTTCTGTGGTATCAGCTGTAATGTTGCTTTTTCTTTTCTGATTTTATTTATTTGTATCTTCTCTCATTTATTTCTTAGTCAGCCTGGCTAAGAATTTGTCAATTTTGTTTAACTTTTTAAAAAACCAACTTTTTGTTTCACTGATGTTTTGTATTGTTGTTTCATTTTAATTTCATTTATTTCTGCTCTGATCTTTATTATTTCTTTTCTTTTACTAATTTTGGATTTGGTTTGCTCTTGTTTTTCTAATTCTTTAGGATGCATCATTAAATTGTTTATTTGAAGATTTTCCTTTTTTTGATGTAGGTACTTATAGGCATAAACTTTTCTTTTAGTACTGCTTTTGCTGTAGCCCACAGGTTTTGTTATGTTTTGTTTCCATTATTATTAGTTTCAAAAATTTTTTTTTCAATTTTCTTCTTAATTTCTTCATTGACCCACTGGTCATTCAGGAGCATGTTGTTTAATTTCCATGTATTTACATAGTTTCCAAAATTCCTCTTGTTATTAATTTATAGTTTTATGTCACTGTGGTTAGAGAAGACGCTTGATATTATTTCAATTTTTTGAATGTTTTAAGACTTGTTTTGTGACTTAACATATGGTCTATCCTTGAGAATCATCCATATGCTGAGAAAAAGAAAGTGTATTTTGTGAGCATTGGATGAAATGTACCATAAATATCTATTAGATCCACTGGGTTCTACAGTTATTATTAAGTTTGATGTTTCTTTGTTGATTTTCTGTCTGGCAGATCTGTCCAATGCTGAAAGTGACATGTTGAAGTCTCCAGCTATTGTTGTACTGGGGTCTGTCTCTCTCTTTAGCTCTAATAATATTTGCTTTATATATCTGGGTGCTCCAGTGTTGGGTGCATATGTATTTAGAATTGTTATATCCTCTTACTGAATTGACCCCCTTATCATTATGTAGTGAAATTTTTGTCTTTTCTTATAGTTTTTGTCTTGAAATATATTTTTTCTGATATAAGTATAGAAATTCCTGCTCTTTTTTGGTTTCCATTGGCATGAATATCTTTTTCCATCCCTTAATTTTCAGTCTATGTGTGTCTTTACAGGTGAAGTGTGTTTCTTGTAGGCAACAGATCAATGGGTCTTGTTTTTTAGCCATTCAGTCAGTCTGTCTTTTGATTAATGAGTTTAGTTTATTTTCATTCCATGTTATTATTGACTAGTAAGTCCTTACAACTTTATTTTCTGGTTGTTTTGTAGTCTTCTTCTTTTTCTTTCTTTCTTTTGTGTCTTCCTTTAGTGAAGGTGATTTTCTCTGGAAATATGATTTATTTTCTTGTTTTATTTTTTGTGTATCCATTGTATGTCTTTTGGCCTGAGGTTACTATGAGGCTTGAAAATACCATCTTATAACCCATCATTTAAACCTTATAACAACTTAACACTGTTTGCATAAACAAACAAATAAAGAGTAAACTAATTAAAGCTCTATGCCTTAACTTCACCCCCTCCCACTTTTAAACTTTTTGTTGTTTCCATTTATATCTTATTGTACTATGTCTTGAAAGGTTGTTGTTATTATTTTTGATTGGTTCATCCTTAGATCTTTCTACTTAGGATAAGAGTGGTTTACACACCACAGTTATAGTGTTTTAATATTCTGTGTTTTTTGTATACTTACCATTACCAGTAAGTTTTTTTTTTTTTTTTTAAAGTCAGGAAACAACAGGTGCTGGAGAGGATGTGGAGAAATAGGAGCACTTTTACACTGTTGGTGGGGCTGTAAACTAGTTCAACTATTGTGGAAGTCAGTGTGGCGATTCCTTAGGGATCTAGAACTAGAAATACCATTTGACCCAGCCATCCCATTACTGGGTATATACCCAAAGGACTATAAATCATGCTGCTATAAAGACACATGCACACGTATGTTTATTGCGACACTATTCACAATAGCAAAGACTTGGAACCAACCCAAATGTCCAACAATGATAGACTGGATTAAGAAAATGTGGCACATATACACCATGGAATACTATGCAGCCATAAAAAATGATGAGTTCATGTCCTTTGTAGGGACATGGATGAAATTGGAAATCATCATTCTCAGTAAACTATCACAAGGACAAAAAACCAAACACCGCATATTCTAACTCATAGGTGGGAATTGAACAATGAGAACACATGGACACAGGAAGGGGAACATCACACTCTGGGGACTGTTGTGGGGTGGGGGGAGGGGGGAGGGATAGCATTGGGAGATATAGCTAATGCTAAATGACGAGTTAATGGGTGCAGCACACCAGCATGGCACATGTATACATATGTAACTAACCTGCACATTGTGCACATGTACCCTAAAACTTAAAGTATAATAATAATTAAAAAAAAGAAAAACAAAAAACAAAAAACAAAAAACCAGTAAGTCTTGTAGTTTCAGATGATTCCTTATTGCCCATTAATGTCATTTGGTTTCTGGTTGAAGTACTGCCTTTAGAATTCTTTTGGGACATTTCTGGTGTTGATGGAATTTCTTAGCTTTGTTTATCTGGGAAAGTCTTTTTTCCTTCATGTTTAAAGGATGTTCTTACCAGATATACTCTTCTAGGGTAAAAGTTTTTTTTCTTCAGTACTTTAATTATCTAATGCCACTCTCTTCTGGCCTGTAAGGTTTCCACTGAAAAGTCTGCTGCCAGATGTGTTGGAGCTTCATTGTATGTTATTTGCGGCTTTTCTCTTGCTGCTTTTAGGATCATTTCTTTATCTTTGACCTTTGGAAGTTTGATTCTTAAATGCCTTGAGGTAGTCGTCTTTGGGTTAAATCTACCTGGTGTTCTATAACCTACTTGCACTTGGATATTGATATTTTTCTCTAGGTTTGAAATTCTCTCTGTCATTATCCCTTTGAATAAAATTTCTACCCCTATCTGTTTCTCTATCTTTTCTTTGAGGCAAAGAACTCTTAGATTTTCCCTTTAGAGACTGTTTTTAAATCCTTTAGGTGTGTTTCATTGTTTTTTAAACTATTTTTTCTTTTGTCTCCCCTGATTGTGTATTTTCAAATATCCTGTCTTCAAGCTCACTAATTTTTCTTCTGCTTGATCAATTCTGCTATTAAAGGACTAACACATTCTTCAGTATGCCAATTGCATTTTTTAGCCCCAGAATTTCTGCTTTATTATTTTAAATTATTTCAATCTCTTTGATAAATTTATTTGATATAATTTCTTCTCTGTGTTATCTTCAATTTCTTTGAGTTTTCTCAACACAGCTGTTATGAATTGTCTGTCTGAAAGGTCACATATCTCTGTTTTGACAGGATTGATCTCTGGTGGCTTAGTTTTTTGGTGAGGTCATTTTTTCCTGGATGGTGCTGATGCTTAGATGTTCTTCAGTGTCTGGGCATTCAAGGGTTAGGTATTTATTGTAGTCTTTACTGTCTGGGCTCATTTTTAGCAGTCCTTCTTGGGAAGTCTTTCCAGATACTTGAAAGGACTTGCGTGTTGTGATATAAACTGTATCTGCTTTAGGGGGCATCCTAAGCCCTGTAACACTGGGGTTCTTGCAGACTTGTAGAGTTACTGCCTTGATGGTCTTGGACAAGTCTGGGAGCATTTTCTGAATTTCCCAGGCAGAGACTCTTGTTCTCTTCCCTTACTTTCTCCCAAACAAACACAGTCTCTCTATTCTGAGCCTCCTACACCTGGAGGTGGTGTGACACAAGCACCCCTGTGGGCATCACCTCTATGACTACACAGGGTCAAATCTGAAGCCAGCGCGGCACTGGATCTCACCCAAGGCCTGCTGTAACCACTCCTTGGCTACTGCCTATGTTTGATCAAGGTCCTTAGACTCTACAACCAGCCAGTGGCAAAGCAAGCCAGGCCTATGTGCTTCCCTTCAGGGTAGCAAGGTTTTCCCAGCCCTGAGTGGATCCAGAGGTGTAGTCCATGAGTAAGGGACTAGAGTCAAAAACCTTACTAACATAGAAAATTGGTAACAAGGCTATAATGTTACTTGAAAATGTGGAATTACCTTCGGAACTGGGTAATAGGCAGAGCTTGGAAGATTTTGGAGGGCTCAGAAGACAGAAAGATGAGGAAAAATTTGGAACTTCTTAGAGATTGGTTAAATGGTTATGACCAAAATGCCAATAGTGATATGGACAGTAAAGTCGAGGCTGATGAGGTCTCAGATGTAAGTGAGGAACTTATTGGGAACTGGAGCAAAAGTCACCCTTGTTATGCCTTAGCAAAGAACTTGGCTGTATTGTGTTCATGTGCTAGGGATCTGTGGAAATTTGAACTTTAGAGTGATGACTTAGGGTAACTGGTGGAAGAAATTTGTAAGCAGCAAAGCATTCAAGATGTGGTGTGGCTGCATCTAACTGCCTATCTCATATGTGAGAGTGAATAAATGATTTAAAGTTGGAAGTTATATTTAAAGGGGAAGCAGAGTGTTAAAGTTTGGAATATTTGCAGCCTAACCACATGGCAAAGAAAGAAAAAGCTTTTTCAGGAGAGGAATTCAAGCTGGTTGTGGAGCAACCACTTGCTAGAAACATTTGCATGACTAAAAGGCAGCCAAGGCCAGGTGCGGTGGCTCACACCTGTAATCCCAGCACTTTGGGAGGCCGAGACAAGTGGATCACGAGGTCAGGAGATCGAGACCATCCTGGCTAACATGGTGAAACACCATCTCTACTAAAAATACAAAAAATTAGCCAGGCATAGTGGCAGGTGCCTGTAGTCCCAGCTACTCGGGAGGCTGAGGCAGGAGAATGGCATGAACCCGGGAGGTGGAGCTTGCAGTGAGCCGAGATCGTGCCACTGCACTCCAGCCTGGGCAACTGAGCAAGACTCCATCTCAAAACAAAAAACAAAAAACAAAAAACAAAAGGGAGCCAAGTGCTCATAGCCAAGATGACGGGAACAAGGGCTTGAAGGCTCTGAAAGCTTTCTGAGGCAGCCCCTCCCATCACAGACCCTGAGGCCTAGGAAGAAAGAATGGTTTTGTAGCCAATGCCTGGTCCTTCACTGCTCTGCTCTGGGACACTGTTGCTTGCATTCAGTCTGATCCAGCTCTATCCTTGGCTCCAAGGGGCTCAGATACAGTTTGGGATACTGCTTCACTGGGTGTGAGCCATGAGACTTGGTGGCTTCTATGTGGTGTTAAGTCTGCAGTCTTGCAGAGTGCAAGAACGAAGGAGGTTTCGTATCCTTTGCCTAGATTTCAGAGAATGTATAAATGTATAAGAAAGACTGGGCACCCAGTCTTCTCCAGGTGTGAAGCCCTCAAAAAGAACCTCTCCTAGGACAATGCAGAGGAGGAATGTAGGATTTGAGGCCCTAAATAAAGTTTGCCATGGTGCACTGCCTAGTGGAGCTGGGGGAAAAAGGCTACCATTTTCCAGACCTTAGAATAGTAAATCCACCAACAGTTTGCACCTTGCGCCAAGAAAATCTTCAGGCACTCAACTCCAACCTGTGAGAGCAGTTGTGTGGGCTGTATTCTGCTGAGATATAGGGGTTGAGCTGCACAAAGTTTTAGAAGGCCACTTCTTGCAGCAGTGTGTCCTGGATATGGGACATGGAATCAAAGATTATTTTGGAGCTTTAAGATTTGATGATTGTCCTGCTTGGCTTCAGACTTGTGTGGGACCTGTATTTCCTTTCTTTTGGCTGATTTCTCCCTTTTGAAACAGGAATGTTTGCTCAATGCCTGTACCCCCATTGTATCTTGAAAATAGACAACTTGTTTTGATTTCACAGGCTTATAGGAGGAAGGAACTTATTTCCAGATGAGATTTTTAAGCTTTGGATTTGGAACTTTTGAATTAATACTGAAATGAGCTAAGATTTGGGGGGACTATTGGGAAGAGATTATTATATATATATACATATATATATAATATTTTGAAATATGAGAAAGACATGATATTTGGGGGACCAAAGGTGGAATGATATAGTTTTAATGCCATCTGTAAACCAGAATCATGCCTTTTCATTTTCCACTAGTTAGTTGATCATAGGGAACTCCCTACAGGTATAGGTTGAGGAAGAAGTGTTGAAGTACAAAGGGATTTTGAACTACTAGCTCATGGAGTTTACCTGTGTTTTCCAGCCTGCTCAGGCCTAGTCTCATAATTAACCTTTCTACTTAATAATAGGATGCTATTGAGCAAAATCAATTTCATAATTTACTGAATAAGATAATCCAACATTAATAATGGGCAGTTCAGTCACATAGTCATTTGGTGTCTATATTAGTCAGGGTTCTCTGGAGAAACAGAATCAATATAAATATCATATATATATATATATATATATATATATATATATATATATATACACGCACACACACACTCACACACATATATTTAGTGTAAGAAATTGGCTCATGTAATTATGAAGGCTGAGAAGACCCTGCAGTTGGCAAGATCCGTTTAGCAAGCTGGAGACCCAGGAGAGGCAATGTGTAGTTTAAGTCTGAGTTTGATGGTCTGAGAATGAAGGAAAGCTGATGGTACAAGATCCAGCTTAAAAGCTGGCAAGCTTGAGACTCAAAAAGAGATGATATTTCAGTTTGAGTCTGAAGGCCAGATAAGACTGATGTCCCAGTTCAAAGCAGTCAGGCAGGAGGAATTCCTTCTTCTGTTTGAGAAAATCAGCCTTTTTGTTTGAGTCAGGCCCACCCACATTAGAGAGGAAACTCTGTTTTATTCAGTATGCCAATTCAAATATTAATTTTATCCACAAATACTTTCACAGAAACACCCAGAATAATGTTTGACCACATACATAGGCACCCCACGGCCCAGCTAAGTTAACATACCAAATTAACCATCACAATGTCCCATGGCCAGGCATTTATTCTCTTTCAGTAGTCAGACAGGAGTTACTTTTTAAATAGAAGTAGTAGAAGATGGCATGACGTTATCCCCATGGCATCTCAGCTGTGGTTTTCCTACTATAGCTTGCCAGCTTCTCTGTAAAAACAACTCTGCCTGTCTCAGGTACTTCTAATGCTATTGTATCTTCCGGTCATGAGGCTGTGGTGGGAGGACAGTTTCCCTACAGCCTGGATGGTTGTAAAGCTGTTTTTACTCTGGACCCCACTCAAAACTGGTAGCCTTGCCGATTACTGAGTAAATGGGTAATAGCAGCATGCCCAAATATGGTATATGTTATTTCAAAACCCCAAGAAGTCCACTTTGTCCTTCTTTTTGTGGTAGATGTTGTAAGGTGCACCAACTTGTCTGTAAGTTTAGAGGAGATACTTTACATGCTCCACATTACCAGAATATTAGAAACTTCACTGATATTGTCTGCCTCAGAATGTTCACAGGGCTCTTCTCTATCCCCTGATATGTGTGAGTCTTACTAAGACATCTAGCATGCTTGAATTTTCCTATTTACCATTTTCAAGTAGAATAATGTCATCCATATAATGAACCAGAGGTGTGTTCTGTGGGATATCAGGATAATGATTTCTCGATGATATTGTGACAACATGTAGGTGACTTGACATAGCACTGATATAAGACAAGTTTTATTTTTGTCCCTACCGGTGGAAGGCAAACTGCTTTTGGTGATCCTTGTTGATAATAATTTTAAAAACTGATCGTTCTGGATCAATATATTCCTATTAGGTACCAAGGGTTGGGTGGATTTGTTTCATTAACAATACAGCATCTGGGACCACAGTTGTGATTTTCATTGTCATCTGATTAAGAAGAGAGAATCCATAGTCATTTTCTAAGATGCTTGTGGCTTTCTAAAGCTGTATAGGTGATACAAATGGGGATGTGGTAGAAATCACCAACCTTGTATCTTCTAAGTCTTCAATGATAACATTTTTCTTTGGGATTTCCCAGAGATGCAGTTTGCTTTCACTTTAACATCTTGTGGGGTGGGGATTGTTCTGGATGCTTCTTATCATAATAACCCTTATTCTACCATTTGGCAAAGCAAAGTGGGAATTTTGTCTGTTACTGTGCTTGTTTATTCTTACCAGACACTCTGGGTAGATTGCCAGATAAAAATAGAATGCTCAATTAAAATTGAAGTTCAGATAAACAACAAAATGTTTGAATATAAGTATGTCCCAAGTATGTAAAATATTGCACAAGATACACTTATACAAAAAAAAAATTTGTTGTTTTTCTGAATTGCAAGTTTAACCGGATGTCTTGTATTTTTATTTGCTACATCTGGCAACACTAGACAATAACCACTTGATGACTGAGTGGTCCCAGTGGGTTTACTATGACATGGACATCTGTGGTAGGTTGAACAATGGCCCCTCAAAGGTGTCCACATTCTAATCCTAAGAACCCATGAATATGCTACCTTATATGGCAAAAGGGACTTTGCAGATGTGATTAAGTTAAACATACTGAGATGGGAGGATTATCCTGGATTATCTAGGTGGGCCAAATCACAAGAGTCATTGTAAGAGGGAGATAGAAGAGTCGGACCCAAAGGAAATGTGGGGATGGAAGCAGAGGCCAGAATGATGTCATTGCTGGCTTTGAAGATGGAAGGGGCCATGAGCCAAGAACGCAGGGGGCCTCTTGAAGATAGAAAATGTGGGGAAATAGAATATTCCCTAGAGCTTTCAAAAGGAACACAGCTCTGCTGACACCTCGATTTTAGCCTACTGATACTGATTATGGACTTGTGAGCTTGGAACTGTAAGATAACATATTTGTGTTAAGTCATTAAGTCTGTGGTAATTTGTTAAGCAGCAATAAGAAAGTAATGCATCTCCTGACCTTCATTTGTCTCCATTCTGACCAGGGAACTATGGTGGCAATTATGACTGGCATAAGTTCAGAGCCTATAGTTAACAACCCTAGAAAGGTCTGGGGTTCCTTCTTGCCTGTATTCATCCACCATGGTAAATGTCCACAAACTCTTCTGCGGTCAGCTTAAAGAAAATTTGGCAGGGCGCGGTGGCTCACGCCTGTAATCCCAGCACTTTGGGAGGCCGAGGAGGGCAGGTCACGAGGTCAGGAGATAGAGACCATCCTGGCTAACACGGTGAAACCCCGTCTCTACTAAAAAAATACAAAAAAATTAGCCAGGCGTGGTGGCGGGTGCCTGTAGTCCCAGCTACTCAGCAGGCTGAGGCAGGAGAATGGCGTGAACCTGGGAGGCGGAGCTTGCAGTGAGCCGAGATCGCGCCACTGCACTCCAGCCTGGGCGACAGAGTGAGACTCTGTCTCAAAAAAACAAAATAATAACAACAACAACAACAACAAAATTTACAGGACACACCTGTGTCTGTTAAGACACCTGCCTCTTCAACTGAGGAGATCTAGGTCTCTTAATTGATTTAGAGGTAAGGACCAGCAGTAAAACCATATCATGGTGCCTCAGCTTAGATTTCTGCCTCCAGATCTAGAATTATTTTGTTTAAGTCAGCAGTACTTTAGTGGGTGGCCTGTCTGCTTCATTCCTAGGGACACTGTGCCAACAATGCACGGGATGCATCTGTGGAATGCATCTTTTAGCCAGAATGAAAATGAAAATGTTCTTCAAAATGAGAGAATGGGTGGCTGTTTGTTAATGAAAAAATGGGTGCCATGGCACAATAGATTTCTACCTTCCTTATTCCATCTTCTATAAAACTGTCAGGAATTCCAACAACACTTATAAAACCATGTTTATAATTTTTAGGCATACATTTTTATGTGTGGTGTTTTCTTTTGTTTTGCTTTTCCTTATGGTTGATTTTTCTTCCACTACTCCTCTAACTCACAGCTTCCAATACTCCTTCTCCGAATACTCTGTTCATTTTGGTTTTATAAGGAGGAATCCAAGATGTTCAAAAAGTCTTTGCCTATCATAACAAAGTGAACCAGGATTTTCTATTTAATTAATTTTAGATTAGTTTTTCACTTCTTCTTCTACATAAGGGTCATCTTTCACTCCTGCAGTGACACTGTAAATAGGGCTTTATATTGGGAAGTAACACATTTGTCAGGTGTTGCATATTATATCTCTACCAGTTGGTTATTCTGTGCATGTGTTTTCTAAGATAAAAATATGAGTAAATTTCTGCTGGGACAGTAACTCTCAACCTTGGCTGCATATTGGAATCATATAGGGGAATTAAAAAAATTTCTGATGGCTAGGTCCCATTTCCAGAAATTCTGATTCAAGTGGTCTGGGTTATTGCCTTGACACTAGGAGTTTTAAAAGCTACTCAGGTGGTTTTAATGTGCAGCCAAGGCAGAGAACTACTCTGCTATGGTCTTCATAATGACTTTTAACTTTAAGCTCTTGTGTAGTTATGTGAAGTTGCATCAAATATGACGAGATCGGTGATGTCAGATCTGGATTTTGGTGGCCCCTATATCGAAATGATCCCTCTTGACCACCATTATCTGTTCCAGAAACAATTGTGTATTGGCTAAGAATTTATGATGTTTTTCTGATTATTTCCATTTCAAGGGCTTGTTTGAAAATCTAAAATTCCCTTATCCTTTTTGGACAAGGCAGTTTAAAAACATTTATTTCTTTTTCATGCTAGGGACCAGAGTAATGTTGCCTAAGCACAGCCAGGGTAATGTAATATTCTTTCTTATTCAAGCCCAGATGGTGGGTAGCTTGGTGACCATGGTTGCTTTAGCTACTTGGGGAATAGTGCTCAAGTATTCAAGCTGGTGGTTGGGATAGTACACGAACTTCCCTACAAACTCCATTAGTGGCTGTTCAAGAGGCTCATGAAACAATTTAAAGGACATGAAACATGAATGGTTGAAAATATATAGACAGAAACACAACAAAAAAAGGTAATTTCAGGCCAATATCCCTGATGAACATCAATGTGAAAATCTTCACTAAAATACTGGCAAACCAAAACCAGCAGCACATCAAAAAGCTTATCCACCATGATCAAGTTGGCTTCATCCCTGGGATGCAAGGCTGGTTCAACATATGCAAATCAATAAATGTAATCCATCACATAAACAGGACCAATGACAAAAAGCACATAATTATCTCAATAGATGCAGAAAAGACCTTTGATAAAATTCAACACCTTTTCATGCTAAAAACTCTCAATAAACTAGGTAAAATGGAACATATCTCAAAATAATAAGAGCTACTTATGACAAATCCATAGCCAATATCATACTGAATAGGCAAAACTGGAAGTACTGATTGATATTGATTCTTCCTATCCATGAGCTTGGAATTTTTTCCCATGTTTGTGTCCTCATAATGTTTCAGAGAAGTTCACACACAGACCTACAAGGGGATGTATAGAAAAATTCTTATTGTAGCGTGTTTTTGTGTGGATTCTGGATGCTGGAGGTAAAATAAGTTGTCTATAAATGGGAAGATGAATTAATAAAATGTGGCAATGCAAACTCTAGAATATTAGGCAACAGCCAATTTCTGCTATGAGGCTTACATAAAATATTAATTTTATTAATTAAAAATACATGCACACGGAATTCCAAGAATGGTGGTAATGTCAAGGGGTTTGGTAAAGATTCCTGCAAGCAATAATTGTAAAAACTGGAAAGAAATATTTAAAATAAGTATTTGAAGTCACTGGAAAGTACACAAAGCAGGCAGAAATTTAGGAGAGTCACAGATGACCATGACAGATAAGAACAGCAACTTGTGCTTTCTATTTTTACCTAAGAGTACGCCATATCCCTTTACACTATGACAGAAAAAAGTTGTAGCATTATTGCCTTGAGATAGCAAAGGACAGGATTTAGGGCTGGTGGAGCAGTTGGAAATTTAAGGAGAGGGGAATTCTAGAACTCAGGGACCTATAGAAGGGGTAAGACCCCCAAATTTGAATGTGAACTATGTCCTTTTCCTAGCTGATCACAAAACTGCATATGGCATGGGGAAGACTGTATGGGGTGAGGCTACATAACAGCAGCTAAACAGAAACACCAGCTGCTGCACTTCACAAGGAAGACACAGTTTATAGTCTTGAGTCCAGGCAGACTAAGTCTTTACCTGATGACATGGTTTGGATTTTTGTCCCCACTCAAATTCTATTTTCAGTTGTAATCCTCAATTACAATTGAGGTGGCACCTGGTGGGACCTGGATGAAGGAGGGGCCTAGCAGGAGTTAATTGGATCATGGGGGTGGATATCTCATAAATGGTTTGGCAACATATCACTTGGTACTCTCCTCATGGTCATGAGTGAGTTCTTACAAGATCTGGTGGTTTAAAAGAGTACGACACCCCCTCCTGCCTTGCTCCTGCTCCCACCATGTGAGATGCCTTGCTCCCTGTTTGCCTTCTGCCATGATTGTGAGTTTCCTGAGGCCTCCCCAGAAGCCAAATAGATGCCAGCATCATGCTTTTTTTTTAAATACAGCCTGTCGAACTGTGAGCCAATTAAACCTTTTTCTTTTATAAATTACCCAACCTCCAGTATTTCTTTATACAAATGCAAGAATGAACTAATACAGAAAATTGGTACCAGGTGCAGGGTATTGCTATAAAGATTCCTGAAAATATGGAAGCAGCTTTGGAATTGAGTAACAGGAAGGGGTTGGAAGAATTTGGAGGGCTCAGAAGAAGACAGGAAGATAAGGGAAAATTTGAAACTTCCTAGATACTTGTTGAGTAGTTGTGACTCAAATGCTGATAGTGATATTGACAGAGATGGCCAGGCTCATGAAGTCTTAGATGGAGATGAGGAACTTATTGGGAAATGGAGCAAAGGTCACTTTTGTTATGCCTTAGCAAAGAACTTGGCTGCAATATACCCCTGCTCTAGGGATTTGTGGAACTTTGAACTCAAGAGTGATGATTTAGGGTATCTGGTGGAAGACATGTCTAAGCAGCAAAGCATTCAAGATGTGTTGTTGCTGCTTCTAACAGCCTGTGCTCATATGCATAAGCAAATAAATGACTTAAAGTTGGAAGTTATATTTAAAGGGGAAGCAGAGCATAAAAGTTTGAAACATTTGCAGCCTAGCCATGTGGTAGAAAAGAAAAGCGCATTTTCAGGTGAGGAATTCAAGCAGACTGCAGAAATTTGCATAAGTCAAAAGGAGCCAAGTGCTAATAGCCAGGACAATGGAGAAAAGGCCTGGAAGGCATTTCAAAAAACTTTGAGGCACCTTCTCCCATCAACTTCTGGGGAAGCCTCAAGAAACTTACAATCATGGTGGAAGGCAATGATTGTGTTTCCTGAGGACTAGCAGGTTTTGTGGGCCAGGCCCAAGGCCCTGCTACCCTGTGCAGCCTCAGGACACTGCTGCATGCATCCCAGCTGCTCTAGTTCTAGCCATGGTTCAGACGGGCTGTCGTACAGCTTGGGCTGCTGCTTCAGAGGGTGCAAGCTGCAAGCCTTGGCAGATTCCACGTGGTGTTAATCCTGCAAGTGTGCAGGATACAAGAGCTGAGGCTTAGGAGCCTTCACCTAGATTTCAGAGGATGTATGGAAAAGCCTGGGTGTCCAGGTAGAAGCTTGCTGCAGGGACAGAGCCCTTATGGAGCACCCCTATTACAGTAGTGGGGAGGGGAAATGTGGAGTTGGAGCTCCACACCGAGTCCCCACTGGGGCACTGCCTAGTGGAGCTATGAGAAGGGAGCTACCATCCTCCAGACACCAGAATGGTAGATCCACTGACAGCTTGCACCCTGCACTTGAAAAAGCCACAGGCAGTCAATGCCAGCCTGTGAAAGGAGCTGTGAGAACAGCCTTGGAGGCGTAACCCTGCAAAGCCACAGTGGGGGAGCTGCCCAGGGCCTTGAGAATCCACCCCTCACACCAGTGTGCCCTGGATGTAGGACATGGAGTCAAAGGAGATTATTTTGGGGCTTTAAGATTTACTGACTGCCCTCGGGGCTTCAGACTTTGATGGGGCCTGTAGCCCCTTTCTTTAGGCCATTTTCTCCCTGTTGGAATGTCAGTATTAACTCAGTGCCTGTATGCTTATTGTATCTTGGAAGTAACTAACTTGTATTTTATTTTACAGGCTCATAGGTGGAAAGGAGTAGCTTTGTCTCAGATGGGAATTTGGACCTTTGAATTAATGCTGGAATGAGTTAAGACTTTGGAGGACTGTTGAAAAGGAATGATTATATTATGAAATGAGAGAAGGACATGAGATTTGGGAGGGTCCAGGAGTGGAATGACATGGTTTGGATCTGTGTTCTCACCCAAATATCATGCTTAATTGTAACCCTCAATGTTGGAGGATATCAATGTTGGGGTCTGGTAGGAGGTAATTGGATCATGGGGGTGGATTTCTCATAAATGATTTATCACCATTCCACTTGGTACTGTCCTCATGATTGTGAGTGAGTTCTCTTGAAATCTGGTCTTTTAAAAGTGTGTGGCACCGCCCCCCTCCAATACCTTGCTCCTGCTCCCACCATGTGAGATGCCTTGCTTCCCCTTTGCCTTCTGCCATGATTGTAAGCTTCCTGAGGTCTGCCCAGAGGCTGAGCAGATGCCAGCATCATACTTCCTGTACAGTCCACAGAACTGTGAGCCAATTAAACCTCTTCTATTTATAAATTACCCAGGTATTTCTGTATAGCAATGCAAGAACAGACTAATAAATCTGAAGGAAAACCCATTTTCAGAAGAACATAACGGGATCAAGAGTCACTTAAGTGTGTCTTATTTTTAGCCCCAAATTACTAGAAGCATTAGTGTGTTCTTGCATTGCTATGAAAATACTTGAGACTGGATAATTTATAAAGAAAAGAGGTTTAATTGGCTTACAGTTCTGCAGGCCACATATGAAGCATAGTGCTGGCATTTGTTGCTGGTGAGAGCCTCAGGAAGCTTACAATCATGGTGGAAGGTGAAGGGGAGCCAGAATGTCACATGGTGAGAGGAGGAGCAAGAAAGAGAGAAGGGGGAGGTCCCAGACTGTTTTAAACAACCAGATCATTTGTGAACTAACTGATACTTATCAGAAAGGTGATGGTGCTAAACCATTCATGAGGGATCTGACATGATCTAATCACCTCCCACCAGCCCCCATCTGCAACATTGGAAATCACATTTAAACATGAGATTTAGAGGGGCCAAAGGTCCAAACAATATCCTTAGATATGTAAGGAAAGAAAAAGTATGATTCATACTCAGGAAAATGGCAATCTACAGCCTTGACTATGAAGGGAAATGATGTCAGATGGTTTCTCAAATCTACAGAAAGCAATGAAAAGTACTAGTGATGGTGAATATAGACATCTAGTTTGAAGCTATATAGTTGCAATGTTTCTATATTTTTTCTAAAATAAAAATGAATACCATAATCTTTATATTTTCCACTAAAAGGAATGCTGAGATATAGCTCAAAGACAATAAAGAAATTAACAAGGAAAAGTGGAAAATATATTAGGCCAGGTGTGGTGGCTCACACTTGTAATCCTAGCACTTTGGGAAGCCAAGGCAGGTGAATTGCTTGAGCTCAGGTGTTTGAGACTAGCCTGGGAAACATGGTGAAACCCCATCTCTACAAAAAATACAAATAGTAGCCAGGTGTGGTGGTGCACACCTGTAGTCTCAGCTACTTGGGAGGCTGAGCCAGGGGGTAGAGGTTGCAGTGAGCCAAGACTGTGCCACTGCACTTCAGCCTGTGTGACAGAGCCAGACCTGTCTCAAAAAAAAAAAAAAAAAAAGTGGGAAACCTATTTGACAAAAAAGAAAGCAAGAAGCTGGCAAGAGAGAAGCAAAGTCTATGAGATAAATAGAAAACTAATCGCAAAATAGCAGATTTAAGTTTAATCATAATAATTGGATTAAATATAAACGGAATAAGCACTCTAATCAAGGGGCAAGGACCAATTATATGCTGTCTTTAAGTAACACACTTTAACTACAAAGACACAAATAGGTTCATATTCAAAAAATGAGAAAATATCTCATGCACACTCTAATCAAAAGAAGTCTGTAGTGGCTTATCTGGTTGGGGACTGGCTGAGAGCCAGGAAAGGCTTCTGAATGTGAGGAAACAGTGTAAGAGAAACCCCCAGGGATCCACACTCCAAAATGGTCTTTTATGATCTTGGCTATGGGAGAATCTCTTGATTCACTAAGGCCTCAGGACTGACATATGTAGCTGCTTAGAGATTGCACAGAGATATTGCTCCAGAAAGGGAACTCACTACAAAATCCCAAAGGCATCCGAGCCTAGAACAGCTTCAGCTGGACACCATTCTCGACAGCCTAGATATTGGGGATCTACAGACATGGCTGCTGCTCCAAAAAGGGAGAAGGGAGACCAGGCACTCTTATGCACCCCTGGGAGAGTCCCTACCATCCTGCTGTGTGCTCCTGTTGAGAATGAGACATGAGTGAACCATACTCTAAACAGCTTCTTGCCCATACTGCTTCCTTGGGGAAGGGGGCATCCGCTCTGGTCCCAAGCTCAAGATGCCATCTTGAGAGTTTAATGCTGGGCTTCACCTCACCCTTGGGCTGAGCTTGGGCTCACGTGGCTGCAACCACCCCCCAGCCAAAGAACAGCAGGGAAACCAGCTGCTGCTACACTTATCTAGAATGATACCCACTTCCCTACAACCATGCTGCTGTAAGACTGAGATGTAAGTAGACCACACTTCTTACAGATTCTTGCCCACACTGCCAGCCTGTAAAAGGTTCCACCTTCCCAGGTTGCAGACCCTTGGTGCCATTTTGAGAGTTTAACACTGGCCTGTGCTCTGCCCTTGGGCAAAGTAAGCACTGACATGGCTACAGCTTCTGCCCAGCTGAGGAGGGACACGGAAATCACACTCTCCTATGCATACCTAGGACAATACCTAGCACCCTGATAAGGGCTGCTGTGAGACTGTGACTTCAGTGGATGGCAGTCTTCACAGCTTCTTGCCCATGCTGTTCATCTGAGGGAGGCCCTGCTGTCTCTTGTCACAGACCCACAGCCAACACCATTTTGAGAGCTTAACATTGGGCTTTGCCCTGCCTTTAGGCCAAGTTCAAGGCAACATGACTGCAGCTGCCACCCAGCTGAGGCAGAGACAAGGGAGACCAAGCTCTCCTAAGCACACATAGTACAATACCCACTGTCTTTCTACAGATATTTGTGGGACTGAGGACTAGTCTTCCCAACCCATCACAGCTTCCAGACCACCAATATAGACCACTTGGGTTTCAGTGCTCCATCACTGCTACTGCTATCACCCGCATTACACCAGCTGCCCAGGGGCCTGAGAACCTGAACACGCACAAGCCCTTAACTCCCATTACTAGAACACTTTTAAGCAAGCCATCTGGAGGCCCAAGAATCAGCCCTCTGGGACACACTAACACCAATGCCAAAGTAAACTTCTCTGGGGCCTAAAAACAGGCACACTCAGCCTGCTGCTGCCACCACTGGGGCTTGAAGACTGGCTCAGCTGGTGTCCAAATCCTCAGCTAAACTTAACCACAGCCTTAACTAATAACTATACTTAAGCCACTGAGGATATCACAGATACCACTGACGCTGTGTGCTGCTGAATAAGACATACAAAGGTCACACTACCACAGGCACTCCAAATTAAAGCCAAAGTGTCCTACTATATATATACATCTTCAGAAAAAAATTGTCCCCTAAAAAAGCATTTCAAAAAATTGGAACAAGCTATATCAGATGCTCAGATGTTAATAGAAGGACACAGGATTCACAAAAGGTAAGGAAATATGACACACCAAAGGACCACAACAATTATCCGGCAACATATTCCAACCAAAAATAATTGCTCAATATTCCAGATAAAGAATTCAAAATATTGATTCTGAAGAAGTGCAATGAGATGCAAGAGAAATCTGCATCAAACAAATAAATCAGAAAGGCATTCAAGAAATGAATGAGAAATTTACCAAGGAGATAGATACCTTAAAAAAAAAAAGCATAAGTTCTGGAATTGAAAAGCTCATTGAAAGAAATAAAAAAAATATTTGAAAGCTTCAATAATAGACTAGATCTAACAGAAGAAACAATCTCAGAATTTGAATACAGGTCTTTTGAAATAATCCAGCCAGACAAAAATAAGGAAAAAAGAATAAAAAATAATGAACAAAGCAGATGTTTGGGACTATATAAAGCAAACAAACTTAAAAATTATTGGTGTTCCCAAGGAGGAAAAGAGATCAGAGTTTAGAAACCCTGTTTAAGGAGGTAATCTATGAAAACTTCCCAAGTCTAGCAAGAAAGTTAGACACCCAGGTATAGGAGGCCTAGCAATCTCCATGAAAATACATTGCAAAAAGGATTTCACCATGGCATATTATATTCAGAATGTCTAAAGTCAAGGTAGAAGAAAGAATTTTAAAATTAGCAAGAGAAAAGCATCTAGTCACCTGTAAAGGAAACCTTATTGAACTAACAGCAGACTTTTCAGCAGATACCTTACACAGGAGAAGAGAATGATATGGTATATTCAAAGTACTGAAAGGAAAAAATTGTCAGTCTAGATTTTTATTTTCTGCCAGAATAAGCTTCATAAATGAAGGAGAAATAAAGTTTTTCCCAGAGAAGCAAACACTGAGGGAAATTGTCACCACTATACCAGCCCTAAAGGAAATGCTCAAAGGGGTCTTAAACATGGAAACAGAAGGTTGATATTCACCATCACAGAAACAAATGAAAATATAAAACTCATAGGTCTTATAAAACAATCACACAAAGGAGGAAGAGAAAAGGATCAAATGGCAACATGACAGAATTTCATCAAACCACAAAGAGAAAAACACAGAGAAAAAAAAAAGAAAGAAATAATTTATAAAACAACTTGAAAACAATTAACAGTGACAGGAATAAAGCTTTACATATCAATATCAACCTTGAATGTAAATGGACTAAATGCTCCACTTAAAAGATATAGATTGGGCCGGGCGCGGTGGCTCACGCCTGTAATCCCAGCACTTTGGGAGGCCGAGGCGGGCGGATCACGAGGTCAGGAGATCGAGACCATCCCGGCTAAAACAGTGAAACCCCGTCTCTACTAAAAATACAAAAAATTAGCCGGGCGTAGTGGCGGGCGCCTGTAGTCTCAGCTACTTGGGAGGCTGAGGCAGGAGAATGGCATGAACCCGGGAGGCGGAGCTTGCAGTGAGCCGAGATCCCGCCACTGCACTCCAGCCTGGGCGACAGAGCGAGACTCCGTCTCAAAAAAAAAAAAAAAAAAAAGATATAGATTGGCAGAATGCATTAAAAACATGACTGAACTATATTCTACATACAAAACTCATCTTACCAATAAAGACACACATAGACTCAAAGCAAAGAGGTGGAAATAGATATTCTACACAAAAGGAAACCAAAAGTTAGCAGAAGTAGATATATTGTATCAGATAAAACAGACTTTAAATAAAAAGCAGGAAAAAAGACAAAGAAGGTCATCATATAATGATAAAGGGATCAATTCAGCAAGAGGATATAGCAGTCCTAAATGTATATGCATTCAACATTGGAGCACCCAAATTAATAAAACAAATATTACTAGACCTAAAGAGGTGGCAATACAATAATAGCGGGAGCTTCAACATCCCACTCACAGGACTAGATAGATCATCAAGACAAAAAATTAACAAAGAAACATTGGACTTAAATTGGACTTTAGACTAAATGGACTTATACAGAACATTCTATGCAACAACTACAAAATATACATTCTTTTCATCAGCATATGGAATATTCTTCAAGATAAACCACGTTAGGTTATAAAACAAGTCTTAACAAATTTTAAACAATTGAAATTACCTCAAGTATCTTCTCAGACCACTGTGAAATAAAGGTAGAAATCAATACCCAGAGGAACTTTGGAAACCATAAAAATACATGGGAATTAAACAACATGCTTCTGAACAATCACTGGGTCAAGAAAGAAGTTAACACAGAAATTAATTTTTTTTTGAAACACATGAAAATAAAAATGCTATATACTAAAACCTGTGGGATACAGGAAAAGCAGTGCTAAGAAGGAATTTTATAGCATTAAATACCTACATCAAAAAGTAGAAATATTGAAAATAAGCAACCTAACAATGCAAACTAGAAATGCTAGTTTGACAAGGAACTAGAAAAGCAAGAACAAACCAAACCCAGAATTAAAAAGAATAACAGAAATAACAAAGATCAGAGGAGAACTAAATGTAATAGAGACCAACAAAAGTTTACAGAGGACCAATGAAACAAAAAATTGGTTCTTCAAAAAGATAAACAATATTGACAAACCACTAGCTAGACTTACCAAGAAGAGAAAATCCAAATAAACACAATCAGAAATGAAAAAGAGACATTAAAACATGCCACAGAAATACAAAGATCATCAGAGACTATTATGAACAATTATATACTTACAAACTAGAAGACCTAGAGGAAATGGATAAATTACTGAAAACATCTCCTGAGATTGAACCAGGAAGAAATAAAACTCCTGAACAGATCAATAGTGAGTAGTGAGATTAAATTAGTAATAAAAATATTCCAGCAAAAAAAACCCAAGACCAGCTGAATTCTACCAAACAAAGAACTAATACAAATCTTCCTGAAACTATACCAAAAAATCAAGGAGTAGGGAATTCTTCCTAACTCATTCGATGAGGCCAGTGTCACCCTGATACCAAAACTAGACAAAGATACAACAAAAAAGAAAACTACAGACCAATATCCCTGATGAATCTAGTCATCCATGACCTTCTTTGTACTGTTGAGTAGCAGTTTCAGGCAACTGCAGAATCTTGTGGAGCAACACTTGAGATTCTGGAGTAGAGAGAGGTTTCTCATTTACATGTACATGTCAGACACAGTCCTGGCCTTGCAGGTAGGGCCTCTGAAGGCTCCACATGGAACGGGAAGAGGCAGAGCTCAACTCAGAATCTTCAGATTTTCCATCTACACAGACTCTTTCTTCTCTGCTCCCCCTTCTCTGGCCTTTGGTTGTTTGAAAAGGAAAATGGCTTAGTGTGGGTGAATGGGTGCGTGTGTGTGTGTGTGTGTGTGTGTGTGTGTGTGAGAGAGAGAGAGAGAGAAAGAGGAGAAAGACTTTCTCTTTCTGAAATATCATCACCTGACCCAATCCTTCTCCTTTTTGCCTTAGCTGTTGGGTTGGGGGAGAAGTTCCCAGTGAGGTTTCTGTGCCTGAGCTTACCATAATTTTATGACTTTCCATTCAAGTTGATAAGGCTTCTAACGCACAAAGTCTGCACGTGGAAAAAGAAAGAATTGTGTTCTTTTGCACTGGTTTTCATTGTGCAAAATGCTTTCTTGCCAAAGTTCTGCTGATGAGGTTTACTCAACAGGGAAGAGTGCAGATTTGTTAGAAGTGGTGGATCTGGCTTCTGGGATGGTCACCTTCTGGAGGTGAGTACCCTGGGGTCTGTAGAGACCTTTTCAGTAGGGCAGCAGAGACAAAGAGCTGCCTTGGAAGTGCTGACTGGCAGAGAAAGACCTGAAGATGAGATGAATGCCCTCGGGGCTTCCTGGGGACTGAGTCCTGAGACTGGGCAGTGCTCTGAGGCCCTAAGTAAATGCCACAGGGAGGAAGGGCTGAATGGGGGACTTTTCTACTAGCAAGTATTCTTTCCATTTGTCAGTGCAAACATTTAATAATGAGACTGTTATCCCCCAGAGCATGCCAGTAATAGATAATTCTTATGGGTAGGCAGTTAGTAAATACAGAGAGAATGACTGAGGATTGTTAAAGATGTATTATTGATTAAAATTTTGTTGATAAATGGCTTACACTGAATATTAGACAAATAACTTTCTGATAAGAGATACACATAAAATAATGGTCAAATTCATCAAAGCATTTCTGTATATAGCCTGTTGGATTTGATAAAATGTCTGTTCAGGGATTATTTCATTTAAGATTAGGAAAACTGCAAAAGTTCAGATGGTAAATGTCACACTGAAAGGAGTAATTAACATTTCTACTTACCTAGGAAAACCTCCTGACTGATTCTGTGTAGTTACTTTCAGCAGGTGTTTAAAGCTTAATTTTAAATTATGTGATTTCAGTAATCTTTTGTTTGAATATAATATTGATGTAGACAGTCATGGGCTAATCTTCAGGGCAAATGTATTGTTATTTAGGTCAACATTTTGTGAGGTGTTTTATATACCTTCAGAGTATCAAAAGTTCTCAGACAGATCTTCATCACATTGGTGAGGAAAATGCTGGCTTATAAGTACAGTGGGGTTGGTATAGCGCAAGGAAGGGCTATAAACCACAAAGTGACTGAGATAGGTCTCAATCTAACAGAAGTTTATTTAGCCAAGGTTGAAGATGCACCTGGGGAAAAAATACAAGCCACAGGAGCATCTATGACCTGTGCTTTTCCCTAAAGGGTTTTAGGAACTTCAGTATTTAAAGGGGAAAGAGCAAGCAGGAAGGTAAAAATGGGAGAGAGAGTAGGACTTCAGGCAGATGGTTATGTTCTTGTGAGGTTCTGATTAGCCTCAGTAAATCTACATCTTACACAAGATAAAGTAAACATGTGGAAAAGCAAGTAGAGGAAATGAGGTGATGCCACAGGATTGTGGATTATAGCTGTTTGGAAATAAATAGAAAGCAGTTTTTTTCCCCCCATGGGTCAGTTCCCAAGCTTAACTTTCCCTTTGGAATAGTGAAGTTTGGGTCCTGAGATTCTATTTTCTTTCACAAGGTTTAGGACAAGCATGCGGGCTGGTGATGGACGCTATGGTTCTTCCATCCTTGGCTATTGTGATTAATGCTGTTACTAACATGGGTGTTTGTTAGCTATTTTTAAAGAAGCAAAATCTCTTTAATTTTTCTTTATTCTAGTGCTTGTATGGTTTAATGTTTTTGCATTTAGATCTGTGATCCATTTGAGGTTTATTTTGAAGTATGGTGTGAGGAATGGATCCAATTATAGCTTCCATCCCCTCCAAATATCTATCTAGTTGTTCTAATGCTATTTATTAAAAATCCATTGTTTCCCAGTGATTTGAGATGCCACCTTTTTCATACACTAAAGTAGGTCTTTTTTTTTGGAATTTCAGTTCTGTCTTTTTGGCCTGCCAGTCTTTTTTTTTTTCTTTCTTGGAATGGTGTCTTGCTCTGTCGCTCAGGCTGGAGTGCATGGTTCACTGAAGCCTCAACCTCGTGGGTTCAACTAATCCTTCCACTTTAGCCTCCCAAGTAGCTGGGACTATAGACACATGCCACCATGCCTGGCTAATTTTAAAATTTTTGTGTAGAGACAGTGTTTCCCTATGTTTCCCAGACCTAATCCCCAATGTGATGGCATTAGGTGGGGCCTTTGGGATGTGATTAGGTCGTAAAAGCTGAGCTCTTTGAATGAGACTAGGTCCCTTGTAAAAGAGACATCAGAGAATTCCCTTGCCCCTTTTGCCATATGTGGACACAGGGAGAGGATGGTTGTCTGTGAACCAGAAAATGGGCCCTAATTAGACACTGAATCTGCTAGTGACTTGATCTTAGACTTCTTAGCCTCTAGACCTGTGAGAAATAAATTTGTTATTTATAAGCCACCCAATTTGTGCTATTTTGTTGTAGCAATCCAAACAAACTAAGTACTGAATGACGTTTAATGAACAAATGAGGAATTGGTTATTTATACTCTGTGGACGTTTATTAAGGCTCTGGCAACACTGTGGAGCTGGCCTGTGTCCCCGAGAAGAAGAGTCAGTCACAGGGGGGTCTCCATCTGATCCAGCAGTTTGAAGCTTCTCATTGTTGTCCTTATCCAGGGCAGGAAACTTGAGACCCTGGTGAAGACTTCTGGAGGAACCCCTGACGACTTTCCATAGGAGACGATGCCGTGGGCCACATTGTTACACAGCAGGGGGCCTCCGGAATCCCCCTGTAGGTAGAGAGGAGAAGGGAGACTGAGACAGGCCTCCCTGCTCCTGCTTCCCTGAGCTCCGGGCTCTCAGGGAAGGCAGGGGTGGGTGGGCCCCTTCAATTGCTGGGTGTGTGTGAGATGGAAGATCGGTGGGGTACAGGAGCCAAGCCTCTGGATCTTTTCGGTCGCTGGACTTCAGCTCTGCCTTAATTACTGTCTCCAGCCCAATCTGAGTCAAGGTACCTCTCCCTTCTCCAGGAGAATGTTGCCTATGTATGTGTTGTGGGTCTTCCTCCTATTCCCCCAGAGACCAGGTTGATGGGGAAAACAATCCCCAGCCCACCCTGGTCTGGCTGCCAGGCTGAGGCTGTGGGGATGGAATCTGTTCGCACTGCCTGGCTCTGCACGGGCCCCTCTCTCCCGGGGTGTGTTGGCCAATGCCCATGCCTTACCTTGAAGGCAGCCTTCCGTTCCCGCCGGTCCCCCACACAAATCTGCCTTCGGGGGTCGTAGGAACCGAAGATGCGGAGGCACTGCCTATCCCTCTGCACTCTCAGCTGCACCTCTCGGAGTGTATCTGTTCCCCTCCTCATGCTGACCCTGCCCCAGCCGGCCACAGTGCACAGCGTCCCGGGTCTCAGTCCCTCCTGGGCTCTAGGCAGAGCCACTGGGTTCACGTTTCGATTCCGTCTGACTCTTCTGCTCAGCTGGAGGAAGAATGTAGGCGTTCCCGCTCAGCTGGGGCCTCCAGCCAAGGCTCGGGGGTCGCTGGTGCAGTACACATCCCATGCCCTCCCCGCCACCCCGGAGCCTTGCCCTCACTTCCTCCTCCATTGTCCCCGGACACACTAGGAAGGAGCCAGAGGGCCAGGTAGGTGGTACCTGCAATAACATGATGTCATTCTGGATGGTCCGCTGATTATATTGAGGGTGGCGGATGGCTCTGCGCGCAGTGATGTGTTGCTGGGTGTTTTCCCGTCTCTGGATATTGTGGGCGCCCAGGGTGACATTTATATTGCTGCAAAAGCAAGAGGTAGGTCTGGGCTGCAGGAGCTATGGTCCACCAGCTCTGCAGGGTAGGCAGACAGCACGGGGAGGGCAAGACTGCAGCTAACCAGAATCGAGGGGATGGGAGGGCCCTGGGGCTCAGCTGTATCCTCTTTCTCAGCAGCTCTGAGCTAGGGATGACAGGGTGGTACTTGCCTTCAGGTTTGCTTCCCCAGATTAAGTTGATAAATAGCCTGAGTTTATATTTTGAGCCCCAATATGTGTCTTCCATCTCTTCCTCTTGCTCTTTTTGATCTTATCCTCCTTTCCTCCTCATTTACACTGGCCTGTTCCCTCCCGCAAAGACTCACTTGGTCTTTCTTTCACCCTTTCATTGCTACAACTCTTCTTTCAGATGGCTCTTCCACCGAAGAGCTCCGCAGGGCTGTGTTCCTGGCTGGCCAGGAAGTTCCTTAGCTCCTCACCTTCCCCAGCAATGAGCTGCTGTCAGCACAAAGTCTTCTCGCACCAGGAACCCTCCACATCTGCTCTGACCTGCTGGACTCTGGATCTGAAGATACGCCATGTAGGGGCGGGAGTGGGGCCTGCTCTCCCGGCCTCCGATGATCTCCCCTGGAAGGAAGCATTTGGCACTTAGCTCTATGCTTGCTGAACCTGCAATGTGGGTACCAGATTGGTGGCTCCAGAAAGGCTGGAAGATGGGGACGGCAGGAGAGAGGGTGCAGGAGAGGGAGGAGATGGTGCTGAGGCTTGGAGTCTATGGGGCAGCAGATTGGGAGGGGGCTCCAGGGTTCTACAGGAAACACTGCTGTCTTGAAAGGAGCCCTTTTCCCCATCCTAGGCCTCACCTCCCTCCTCCTCTCCAAAAGAGGGAGAACAACCCTTGTTCCAGGCAAGGCCAGCTTCAGCCTCAGGTATTGAGGAGAATGCTTTGCTGTAAGTACAGGATTGTTCCTGAAGTTCCCTTATACTTTTATCCTCATGGAGCTTCCCAGAGCCCTCTGAGTCCAATTCAAGACCACGTGGGACTGGTGTTTAAAAATCTAGACATGAGCTGATGGTACTGTTATTGCTGTATTCTTACCTCCTAGGTAGGGTCTGACACATGCTGCCAAATTATTTACACAAAGCATGTTTTTATAGCACTTATAGTGTGCGGGCAATTCCAAGACATTTAAATACTCTAACTTATTTAACTCTCATGGCAACTCTGCAAGATCGGTATTAATATTATTCTCATTTTATAGATGAGGAAACACAAATTCAAATAACTTGCTCAACAGTACAGAATTAGGATATACCAAGGCAATTTGGCTCAAGAATCTATGGGATGAGGTCAGGCCTCTGAGGGTGGGGATGGTCACTCACCTGCCTCAGCCCCAGTGGGTAGGAGAAAGGCCAGCAGAAGCAGGAGTGGCTGCATCTTTCCTGAAAGGCTGCCCAGTCAGTTGCTGCTGTGCTTCCTCCTCCTAGACTTTAAGGCCCTGAGAGAGGAAGGAAGGGGTGGGGACAGGGGATTGAGAATTCACAGTCCCATTCTCCTGCTACCATGAAAGGTTTCATCACCCAAGGCTGCTCAGGAAGTTTGCCCACAAACTGCCGGAGATGTGGGTGAGACCGTGTAATCCAAGCCAACATAGTGAGCTCTTGAGCAGCTGCTAAGTCAGTGCCGAGAGCAGAAATAGGAACCCAGCACAACAAGGAAGGGGCTTGGGGCATTGTGTCCAGAACCCTCAACCCATCAAATTCCAGAATACTCCAGCAAAGCAAGAAAGCTGGCAGCTGCCCACTTCCTGTTTTCTACTCCTCTGGGATTAGATCATTATTGCTTTTGAATTTCTGGGTTTCTCCTAATGAATGCAAGTTCCCTGGATTGCTTATCTGTATATACTTAATAAGTCTGGGACAAGGATGAATGAAAGGGTGTGGTGTGGTGAGGGATGTGGGTAAGAACATCAGGAAAAAGTTGAAGGGGGCAGAAGAGGAAAGGGTAAGCCTGCCTGCTTTCAGTGTTTGGCCCAAGACCACCCTGCTGAGACCCCTGTTGCTCTAATTTCTTTCTAGAAGCTGTCAAGTCAGATTGCGTAGGCACTCTCCTGAGTAGGTGAAGCGTGCGGCTGGAGAAAGAAAAGGAAGAACAAGGCTCTGACAATCACAATTACTTTCTTAGGTCACTTGAGTCCTCAGTGAAAATTGTGACACAATTGAAGACTTCTGCTTGCCTGTCTCCTACCCAAGGTTAAAGTCCTTATGTTCCAGACGGCTCCTTGCTTGCAGAAAAGGCTTAGTAATTTGGTTTTATTGGGAGCTGTCGTATCCTAGCTGGAAAATATCTAATATCCCATTTCACTGGTGACATTAGAGGCCCATCAACCTAATCCCAGGAGCAAAAGCTTCTGAGAAGGAGGTACATTCATTGCTGTGCTACCTATAAAAGAATTAGAGCCGCATACTCAACAATGGGAGAAAAGAACAGCAAATTACTGCAGAGTAACACAATGGATTATTAAAAACACTTAAAATATTTAGAAGATTCTGTGTATGCACAGAAAACCGTTATAATCCAGTATAATTTTTGCAGAAATAGCAGAATTGAAGACTAATACAATTCCCAATCTCTTTTTTTCTGTCTTTTATTTTGAAAATCTTTTACTTAGGTATTTATTTTTAACTTTTATTTTAGGTTTGGGGGTACATGTGAAGGTTTGTTACATAGGTAAACACATGTTACGGGGATTTGTTGTACATATTTATCACCCAGATATTAAGCCCAGCACTCAATAGTTATCTTTTCTGCTCCTCTCCCTCCTCTTACCCCACTGTCTGTTGTTTTCTTCTTTGTGTTCACAGTTCTTATCATTTAGCTCCCACTTATAAGTGAGAACATGTATTATTTGGTTTCCTGCATTAGTTTGCTAACTAACATGTATTATTTGGTTTCCTGCATTAGTTTGCTAATAGCCTCCTGCTCCACCCATGTCCCTGCAAAGGTCATGAGTCCATTCTTTTTTATGACTGCATATGTATATGTACCACAATGTATATGTACCACATTTTCCTTATCTGGTCTATTGACGGGCAGTTAGATTGATTCCGTGTCTTTGCTTTTGTGAATAGTGCTGCCGTGAACATTTGCGTGCATGTGTCTTTATGGTAGAATGATTTATATTCCTCTGGGTAAATATCCAGTGATGGGATTGCTGGATCGAATGGTAGTTCTGCTTTTAGCTCTTTGAAGAATCACCATACTGCTTTCCACAATGGTTGAACTGCTCCCACCAACAGTGTATAAGTGTTCTCTTTTGTCTGCAACTTTGCCAGCATCTGTTATTTTTTGGCTGTTTAGTAATAGCCATTCTGATTGGTGTGAGATACAATTCCCAGTCTTTATGGAGTATAATAGGCCCTCTTGAAAATCTCATGAAAATTAGGGTTCCTTTCCTTATACATAAATATATAATTTTTTCACTTATTTTTAGAGCTGCACAGAGCTTAACCTCTTCTCTTGTACAGGCTCTATAAAACGTCTTTATGCATCTGAAAAGTAACGTGAAGAAGAAGGGAGCAAAGAGAGAATAGTATAGCACCTTTATTAGTGCCTTAGCATTTGGCATAATTTAATTTATTAAAAATTTTCAACATTTTGTTTTGTTTTAAAAATGTTAGTTTAACTTAAAAATAGAAGAAAGGGATAAAGAAAAACCTGCACATATGAAAAAAAAGGAGTAAAATATATGCATTCACTCATGTAATAAAGATTGATTAGGAAATTTCATTAATAGTGACCTAGAATTTCATGCAATCTTCTCATTAAAAGTAATCAAAGCTATTTAAGATATCTAAAAAGCTTACAAACCTCGAAGAACTACCAGCATTGAAGTGACTATCAGATCAAGTTGAAGGAATAATGAGAGTCTAGTTAGGAAGCTGCTATTGTTCCAAGGGAATGTGCTGAATCCACAAAATTTCAACTTTTGTTTTTGATGACCACATTAAGGAGAAATCTGTAGAAAATATTTAAAGTATGCTATATAGTTTCTTCTGAAGAACGGATGCTACCCTTCCCTTTATGGGACTAGCATAACCTCCATGCCAAACCCAATAGAGACAATATAGAAATGAAACATTATAGGTCAATAAACTTTTGAATATTGATGCAAACCAAATCAATCAATAAGCAAATAGATATTAATATATCATAAGTAATTTGGGTTTATTCTAGGAACACATAGTTGACTTTTCATTTGAAAAGCAAAATTGCTGTAACACATCATATGAACTGACTAAAGAAGAAACATCATGTGATTATTTAATTGAAACAATGAAGGCCTAAAATTTACCCTTATTTACTTAAAAAATACTCTTAGCAGACTAGGAATAAAAAGAGTGTCTTTAATCTGATAGAAGTTATCACAAAATTCCCACAGCAATCATTATACCTAATGGAAAAGTGTTAAAACCTTTTTTTGAGAGCAAAACATTACAATAATGCCTGAATACAAATTATTATCAGTTCTGTTCAACAAACAGTACATTAGCAGTTTTAGCCAGTGCAGTTAGGTAGGAAATGGAAATGAAAGGTATAAAGACAGGAAAAGAGAAAACAAAATTGTAATGATTTGAGGAAGTGATAGTATACGTAGACAATCCAAAATCATCTACAGGTAAATTACCATAATTAATAAGAGTTTTACAGATTTGCTAGAAAAAATCAATTTAAAAATTAATCATATTTCTACATGTACTGCAACACTGTTAGAAAGAAATTTTTAGAAAGTAATACTTAAATGGCATGGAAATGATCAAATAACTAAATGTAAATCTAAAAGAATATGTGAAAGACCTCTTTGGTGAAAATTATAAAACTGAATGAAGAGACATTCAAGAAGACCTAAACATGAAGAGATTCCATGTTCATAGATTGGAAGAAGACTAAATATTGTAAAAATGTCAGCTCTCCCAAAATTGATCTATATAGATTCATTGCACCGAGCGGTATTTTATAGAACTTAACTGATTGTAAGTATATTTGGAAAACAAAAGGCTAATGATAGCCAGGTCACCATTAGAGAATGAGAATAAGATGGAAGACTTGCTTTTGCAAACAAAGCCATGGGAATGAAGATAGCGTGGTATTGATGAGGCATAGAAACATGGACTAATGGACCAGAAATAAGGACTCCACACGCATGTGGACGCTGACATACACATGGATGGATTGATTTATGATGGATGTTGCATCTTTCATCATAATAGGGAAAAGACTATTTTCTTTTTTTATCCCCAATAAATGGTACTGGGATAATAAATTGCCTTTATGGTGTCCTATAGAGACAAATATTTTCTATGTGGAAAAATAAAACTTGACCTTCTTCTCCCAAAATATCAAAAAACCTATTCTAGGTAGATTATGGATCCAAGTAGGAATAATGATTTGAATATATAATGGAAGAATATCTTCATGATAGGTAAAGATTTTAGTACTGTATATAAAGTACTAATAATGAAGAAAAGGACTGATGAATTTGACACATCTAAATTGAGAGAAACAAAAGACCATTCATGGAGTAGGCAAAGATGCTTGAAATACACATAAACAACAAAGGGCTTATATTCAAATTACATAAAGAACTCAGAAATCTGGCCAGGTGCAGTGGCTCACCCATGTCCCAGCACTTTGGGAGACCGAGGCGGGTCGATCACTTGAGGTCAGGAGTTGGAGACCAGCCTGACCAACATGGTGAAAACCTGTCTCTACTAGGAACATACACAAAAAAATTAGCCAGGATGGTGGCACATACTTGTAACTTCAGCTACTCGGAAGGCTGAGGCAGGAGAATCGCTTGGGGAACTGGGGAGGCTGAGGTTGCTGTAAGTGGAGATTGCCTCACTGGGCAACAAAGTGAGACTCTCAAAACAAAACAAAACAAAAACTTGCAATGAAGAAGACAATTAACTTAATAAAACAATAGCCAAAAGACTTGAACAGTTTTATCTCAAAACAGGAAATCGAAGTGGTCAATAAACATGAAAAAGTGTTACTCTGACTAGATATTAGAGAAGCACCCATTTGAAGCACAATGAAGGCCACGTATGGTGGCTCATGCCTGTAATCCCAGCACTTTGGGAGGCCAAGGTGAGGGGATCACTTGAGCCCAAGAGTTCGAGACTGTGTGTGATGGCATGTGCCTGTAGTCCCAGCTACTTGGAAGGCTGAAGTGGGAGTTGAGGCTGCAGTGAGCCATGATTGTGCCATTGCATTCCAGCCTGGGTGACAAGACAAGACCCTGTCTCAAGGAAAGAAAAAAGAAAAAAGTGCAATAACAGTTGCAGCTACCATGTTGGCTCTTTTCCCAATCCTAGGTATATACCCTAGAGAAACATCGGGTGCAAATTTCTACCAGATACATGTCCAAGAAGGTCATAGCAGCATGTTCAAGATAGCCTCAAACTGGAAACACTTCGAAGGTCCACTAACAGCAGCATGAATAATCAAATTGTAGTATATTCATATAATGGAATATTGCATAGCCATAAAAATAAAACTCTTCCTTCATGCAGCTATGCAAATGAATCTTACAAGCATAAGTTAAAAGAACCCAAGAAGACAACTTTAATTTTATTTATATAAAGTTCAAAACTAGGCAAAATGAAACTATACTGGATAGAAATACATACATACATATACATATATATACATATATATGTATATATGTATATATGTATATATATACATGTACCATATATATATGTATATATATGGTAAATGTATAATGAAAAGCAAGGAAATAGTTATCACCAAAGTCAGAATAGTAGTTAACTCTGGAATTGGAGGACAGAGAGAGCATTTTGAGTAGGAAGAAACATATGGCAGATTTCAGTAGTGTTGAACAAACCCAATTTCCCGACATAAAATGTAGTGTTTAACTTATAATTATTCTTTAAACTCTCCATTTATGTTTTATCAACTTCTCTTGTGTGTATATTTTGTAATACATTTAAAAAAAAATCTGATTGCCAGAGGATGGGGATTAGAGAGAACATTCAGATGGAGAGGGGAATATATATGAGTAGAGTGGGGCACATACTTTTAATTTATTTTTTATTTTAATAAAAATTGTAATATTTGAACAAAAAGACCAATATGTTTCACAATATCTATAGCTGGTTACATCTGCTTTTGACTGTTTTATTACATTTCCGTCAGTTATAATTTTTTTCTCCTCTGGGATGTTGGGACATTAATGTAGGACGTTTTCCACCTCCTCCCTGGGCCCCATAAGCCGCGGACAATGCAAATCCTCTGAGAAGGCAGTTGCCAGTTGTTGCTGGGTCAAATCCCCCTCATTTCCTCTGATGCTACTCTAGTCAGTAACCAATCTAGTTCCTCTTGGCTTTGTAGGAGACCAGCATAGTACTGAGTCACTCCAGACCCTCAGAGCTACCTTAAAATCACTCTTAAAAGGACATTTTGGAAGCTCCTTGGGAAGTTCCCACTGATGAACTTGTGATTGCTTTATTAAGTGTCGGTGCTGAGAGAGGGCTGTGCCAGAGTCATTGTCTTCCAACCACAGTTGTCTTCAGGGAGCCAGATGCTTTCTTGCCAAGAACTGGCCTGTGTTGTCATTTTTGTAGGAAAGAAAAGGTGACAAAGGAAAGAGTGAACCCCTCAGAGGGTCCTGAAATGCATACTTTGCTGTAGCAAAATCACTGGGAGTTGATTAAAATCTTCTCATCAGAGTAGTTAGAGGGAAACAGGCAATGCACAAGCCCTGGCTATGGCAGAGAAAGATTTGAAAAAAGATTCAAGGTCTTTCATGTTTCCTGGCAGAAAGGCTTACTTCTAAGATTGAGCAGTGCCTCTGAGATCCTGGGTAGATGTGAGAAAGGTAAAGGTGATATTTGTGTGTGTGTGTGTGTGTGAATGTATATATGTAATTTTTTTCCTTATCAATTCATCCATTGGTGAACATTTAGGTTGATTACATATCTTTGCTACTGTGGGTAGTGCTGCATAAACATGGAAGTGCAGGTATCCCTTTGATATACTGATTTCCTTTCATTTGAATAAATACCCAGTAGTGGAAATGCTGGATCATGTGGTAGCTCTATTTTTTTTTTTTTGGTGAAACCTCCATACTGTTTTCCATAATTGCTGTACTAATTTATATTCCCACCAACAGTGAATAACAGTTTCCTTTTCTCTGCATCCTCACCAGCATTCCTTATATTTTGTCTTTTTGATAATAGCATTATAACTGACATCAGATTATATCTCACTGTGGTTTTGATTTGCATTTTCCTGATAATTAATGATGTTGAACAGTTTTTCATATCTCTGTTGGCCATTTTCTGTTAAGAAATGTCTATTCCTATCCTTTGCCCTTTTCATAGGATTATTATTATTATTATTATTTTGCTGTTGATTTTTTTGAGCTCCTTGTATATTCTGGATATTAGTCCCTTGTTGGATGAATAGTTTGCAAATATTTTCTCCAATTTTACAGGTTGTCTTTTATTCTGTTGTTTCCTTTGCTGTGTAGAGCTTTTATTTTAATATAGTCTATTTTGTCTATGTTTGTTTTTGTTGCCTGTGCTTTTGTGGTCTTAACCATAAAATCTTTGCCTAGATTGAAGTCCTGAAGCATTACTCCTATGTTTTTTTCTAGCAGTTTTGTATTTGGGCCTTACATTTAACGCTTTAATACATTTCGAGTTGGTTTTTGTATATGGAAAGAGATTGGGATCTAGTTTCATTCTTCTGCATATGGATAGCTGGTTTTGCCAGAATCATTCATTGAGGAGGGTGACATTTTCCCAATGTATGCTCTTGGCAACTCTGTCAAAAATCAGCTGGCTGTGAATACATGGATTTATTTCTGGGTTCTCTATTATGTTTCATTAGTTTAAATGTCTGTTTAAATGCCAGTGCCATGCTGATTTGGTTACTATAGCTTTGTAGTATATTTTGAAGTCAAGTAGTGTGATGCCTCCAGCTTTGCTCTTTTTTTTAATTTTTTTAAATTATACTTTAAGTTTTAGGGTACATGTGCACAATGTGCAGGTTTGTTACATGTATATACATGTGCCATGTTGGTGTGCTGCACCCATTAACTTGTCATTTAACATTAGGTATATCTCCTAATGCTATCCCTCCCCACTCCCAGCACCCCACTACAGGCCCCGGTGTGTGATGTTCCCCTTCCTGTGTCCATGTGTTCTCATTGTTCAATTCCCGCTTATGAGTGAGAACATGTGGTGTTTGGTTTTTTGTCCTTGCGATGGTTTGCTGAGAATGATGGTTTCCAGCTTTATCCGTGTCCCTACAATGGACATGAACTCATCATTTTTTATGGCTGCATAGTATTCCATGGTGTATATGTGCCACATTTTCTTAATCCAGTCTATCATTGTTGGACATTTGGATTGGTTCCAAGTCTTTGCTATTGTGAATAGTGCCGCAATAAACATACGTGTGCATGTGTCTTTATAGCAGCATGATTTATAATCCTTTGGGATATACCCAGTAATGGCATGGCTGGGTCAAATGGTATTTCTAGTTCTGGATCCCTGAGGAATCACCACAGTGACTTCCACAATGGTTAAACTAGTTTACAGTCCCACCAACGGTGTAAAAGTGTTCCTATTTCTCCACATCCTCTCCAGCACCTGTTGTTTCCTGACTTTTTAATGATCGCCATTCTAACTGGTGTGAGATGGTATCTCATTGTTGTTTTGATTTGCATTTCTCTGATGACCAGTGATGATAAGCATTTTTTCATGTGTCTTTTGGCTGCATAAATGTCTTCTTTTGAGAAGCGTCTGTTCATATCCTTTGCCCACTTGTTGATGGGGTTGTTTGTTTTTTTCTTGTAAATTTGTTTGAGTTCATTGTAGATTCTGGATATTAGCCCTTTGTCAGATGAGTAGATTGCAAAAATTTTCTCCCATTCTATAGGTTCTAGTTCTTTTAATTGTGATGTTAGGGTGTCAATTTTGGATCTTTCCTGCTTTCTCTTGTGGGCTTTTAGTGCTATAAATTTCCCTCTACACACTGCTTTGAATGTGTCCCAGAGATTCTGGTATGTTGTGTCTTTGTTCTCGTTGGTTTCAAAGAACATCTTTATTTCTGCCTTCATTTCGTTATGTACCCAGTAGTCATTCAGGAGCAGGTTGTTCAGTTTCCATGTAGTTGAGCAGTTTTGAGTGAGTTTCTTAATCCTGAGTTCTAGTTTGATTGCACTGTGGTCTGAGAGACAGTTTGTTATAATTTCTGTTCTTTTACATTTGCTGAGGAGTGCTTTACTTCCAACTATGTGGTCAATTTTGGAATAAGCGTGATGTGGTGCTTAGAAGAATGCATATTCTGTTGATTTGGGGTGGAGAGTTCTGTAGATGTCTATTAGGTCCGCTTGGTGCAGAGTTGAGTTCAATTCCTGGGTATCCTTTTTAACTTGCTGTCTCGTTGATCTGTCTAATGTTGACAGTGGGGTGTTAAAGTCTCCCATTATTACTGTGTGGGAGTCTAAGTCTCTTTGTAAGTCTCTAAGGTCTTGCTTTATGAATCTGGGTGCTCCTGTGTTGGGTGCATATATATTTAAGATAGTTAGCTCTTCTTGTTGAATTGATCCCTTTACCATTATATAATGGCCTTCTTTGTCTCTTGATCTTTGTTGGTTTAAAGTCTGTTTTATCAGAGACTGGGATTGCAACCTCTGCCTTTTTTTGTTTTCCATTTGCTTGGTAGATCTTCCTCCATCCCTTTATTTTGAGCCTTTATGTGTCTCTGCACGTGAGATGGGTTTCCTGAATACAGCACACTGATGGGTCTTGACTCTTTATCCAATTTGCCAGTCTGTGTCCTTTAATTGGAGCATTTAGCCCATTTACAGTTAAGGTTAATATTGTTATTTGTGAATTTGATCCTGTCATGATATTAGCTGGTCGTTTTGCTCGTTAGTTGATGCAGTTCCTTCCTAGCCTCGATGGTCTTTACAATTTGGCATGTTTTTGCAGTGACTGGTACTGGTTGTTCCTTTCCATGTTTAGTGCTTCCTTCAGGAGCTCTTTTAAGGCAGGCCTGGTGGTGACAAAATCTCTCAGCATTTGTTTATCTGTAAAGTATTTTATTTCTCCTTCACTTATGATGCTTAGTTTGGCTGGATATGAAATTCTGGGTTGAAAATTCTTTTCTTTAAGAATGTTGAATATTGGCCCCCACTGTCTTCTGGCTTGTAGAGTTTCTGCCGAGATCAACTGTTTGTCTCATGGGCTTCCCTTTGTGGGTAACCCGACCTTTCTCTCTGGCTGTTCTTGACATTTTTTCCTTCATTTCAACTTTGGTGGATCTGACAATTATGTGTCTTGGAGTTGCTCTTCTCATTTAGTATCTTTGTGACGTTCTCTGTATTTCCTGAATTTGAATGTTGGCCTGCCTTGCTAGATTGGGAAAGTTCTCCTGGATAATATCCTGCAGAGTGTTTTCCAACTTGGTTCCATTCTCCCCGTCACTTTCAGGTACACCAATCCGTCGTAGATTGGTCTTTTCACATAGTCCCATATTTCTTGGAGGCTTTTTTTATTTCCTTTTATTCTTTTTTCTCTAAACTTCTCTTCTCGCTTCATTTCATTTATTTGATCTTCCATCAATGATACCCTTTCTTCCAGTTGATCGAATCGGCTACTGAGGCTTGTGCATTCATCATGTAGTTCTCGTGCTGTGGTTTTCAGCTCCATCAGGTCCTTTAAGGACTTCTCTGCATTGGTTATTCTAGTTAGCCATTCGTCTAATCTTTTTTCAAGGTTTTTAACTTCTTTGCCATAGGTTTGAACTTCCTCCTTTAGCTTGGAGTAGTTTGATCATCTGAAGCCTTCTTCTCTCAACTCATCAAACTCATTTTCCATCCAGCTTTGTTCCATTGCTGGTGAGGAGCTGTGTTCCTTTGGAGGAGGAGAGGCACTCTTATTTTTAGAATTTTCAGTTTTTCTGCTCTGTTTTTTCCCCATCTTTGTGGTTTTATCTACCTTTTGTCTTTGATGATGGTGATGTACAGATGGGGTTTTGGTGTGGATGTCCTTTTTCTTTGTTGGTTTTCCTCCTAACAGTCAGGACCCTCAGCTGCAGGTCTGTTGGAGTTTGCTAGAGGTCCAATCCAGACCCTGTTTGCCTTGGTATCAGCAGCAGAGGCTGCAGAACGGCGGATATTGGTGAACAGCAAATGTTGCTGCCTGATCGCCCCTCCGGAAGTTTTGTCTCAGAGGAGTACCTGACTGTGTGAGGTGTCAGTCTGCCCCTACTAGGGGGTGCCTCCCAGTTAGGCTACTCAGGGGTCAGGGACCCACTTGAGGAGGTAGTCTGTCTGTTCTCAGATCTCCAGCTGCGTCCTGGGATAACCACTACTCTCTTCAAAGCTGTCAGACAGGGACATTTAAGTCTGCAGAGTTTTCTGCTGCCTTTTGTTTGGCTATGCCCTGCCCCCAGAGGTGGAGTCTACAGAGGCAGGTAGGCCTCCTTGAGCTGCGGTGGGGTCCATCCAGATCGAGCTTCCTGGCTGCTTTGTTTACCTACTCAAGCCTCAGCAATGGCGGTCGCCCCTCCCCTAGCCTTGCTGCTGCCTTGCAGTTTGATCTCAGACTGCTGTGCTAGTAATGAGTGAGGCTCCATGGGCATAGGACCCTCCAAGCCAGGCACAGGATATAATCTCCTGGTGTGCCATTTGCTAAGACCATTGGAAAAGTGCAGTATTAGGGTGGGAGTGACCCGATTTTCCAGGTGCCGTCTGTCACCCCTTTCCTTGGCTAGGAAAAGGAATTCCCTGAGCCCTTGCATTTCCTGGGTGAGGCGATGCCTTGCCCTGCTTCAGCTCATGCTCGGTGCACTGCACCCACTGTCCTGCACCCACTGTCCGACACTCCCCAGTGAGATGAACCTGGTACCTCAGTTGGGAATGCAGAAATCACCTGTCTTCTGCATTGCTCACACTGGGAGCTGTAGACTGGAGCTGTTCCTATTCGGCCATCTTGGCTCCACCTCCGCAAGCAATCCAGCTTTGTTCTTTTTGCTCAGGATTGCTTTGGCTATTCAGGATCTTTAATGGTTCCATATAAATTTTAGGATTTTTTTCTATACCTGTGAAGAATGTCATTGACATTTTGATAGGAATTGCATGGAATTCATATATAGGGATCGCTTCGGGTAATATGGTTATTTTTCACAATATTAATTCTTCTGATTCCTGAGCATGAGATGTCTTTTCATTTTATGTTATTTTATTTTTATTTTTCCATAAGTTATTGGGGTACTGGTGGTATTTGGTTACATGAGTAAGTTCTGTAGTGGTGATTTGTGAGATTCTGGTGCACTCATCACCTGAGCAGTATACACTGCACCATATTTGTAGTGTTTTATCCCTTGCCCTCCTCTCACTTTTCCTCCAAAGTCCCCAGAGTCCATTGTATCATTCTTATACCTTTGCATCCTCATAGCTTAGCTCCTGCATATCAGTGAGAACATACAATGTTTGGTTTTCCATTCCTGAATCACTTCACTTAGAATAATAGTCTCCAATCTCATCCAGGTCACTGTGAATGCCATTAATTAGTTCCTTTTTATGGCTAAGTAGTATTCCATTGTATAAATATACCAGTTTCTTTATCCTCTTGTTGATTGATGGGCATTTGGGTTGGTTCCACGATTTTGCAATTGTGAGTTGTGCTGCTATAAACATGCGTGTGCAAGCTTGTTTCTCGTATAATGACTTCTTTTCCTCTGGGTAGATACCCAGTAGTGGGATTCCTGGATCAAATGACAGTTCTACTTTTAGTTCTTTAAGGAATCTCCACACTGTTTTCCATAGTGGTTGTAGAAGTTTACATTTCCACCGGCTTTGTAGAAGTGTTGCCTGTTCATCACATCTATGCCTACATCTACTGTTTTTTGATTTTTTGATTATTGCCATTCTTGCAGGAGTAAGGTGGTATTGCCTTGTGGTTTTGATTTGTATTTCCTTGATCATTAGTGAAGTTGAACATTTTTTCATGTTTGTTGGCCATTTGTAAATTTTCTTTTGAGAATTGTCTATTCATGTGCTTAGCCCACTTTTTGATGGGATTTTTTTTTTCTTACTGATGTGTTTGAGTTCATTGTAGATTCTGGATATTAGTCCTTTGTCAGATATATAGATTGTGAAGATTTTCTCTGACTCTATGCGTTGTCTGTTCACTCTGCTGATGGTTCCTTTTGCCCTGCAGAAGCTCTTTAGTTTAATTAAGCCCCAACTATTTATCTTTGTTTTTATTGCATTTGCTTTTGGGTACTTTGTCATGAAATCCTTGCCTAAGCTAATGTCTAGAAGGGTTTTTCCAATAGTATCTTCTAGAATTTTTATAGTTTCAGGTCTTAGATTTAAGTCCTTAAGCCATCTTGGTTGATTTTTATATAAGGTGAGAGATGAGAATTCAGTTTCATTCTCCCACATGTGGCTAGCCAATTATCCCAGCACTATTTGTGGAAAAGGGTGTCATTTTCCCACTTTATGTTTTTGTTTGCTTTGTTGAAGATCAGTTGGCTGTAAGTATTTGGGTTTATTTCTGGGTTCTCTATTCTGTTCCATTGGTCTATGTGTCTATTTTTACACCATGTGTCTATTTTTAAACCAGTACCATGCTGTTTTGGTGACTATGACCTTATAGTATAATTTGAAATCAGGTGGTGTGATGACTCCAGATTTGTTCTCTCTGCTTAGTCTTACTTTGGCTGTGTTGGCTATTTTTTGATTTCATATGAATTTTAGAATTGTTTTTTCTAATTTGGTAAAGAATGATGGCACATGTGTACATATGTAACAAACCTGCACGTTGTGCACAAGAACCCTAAAACTTAAAGTATAATAATAATTAAAAAAAACAGTGAACTTCTCAAAGGAAAAGAAAAAAAAGAATGGTGATGGTATTTTGATTGAGATTGCATTGAATTTGTAGATTGCTTTTGGCAGTGTGGTCATTTTCGCAATATTGACTCTACCCATCCATGAAGATGGGATGTGTTTCCATTTGTTTGTGTCATCTATGGTTTCTTTCAGCAGTGCTTTGTATTTTTCCTTGTAGAGGTCTTTTGAATCCTTGGTTAGGTATATTCCTAAGTATTTTATTTATTTATTTATTTTGCAGCTATTGTAAAAAGGGTTGAGTTCTTGATTTGATTCTCCACTTGGTCATTGTTGGTGTATAGAAGAGCTAGTGATTTGTGTACATTAATCTTGTATCTGGAAACTTTGCTGAATTCTTTTATCAGTTCTAGGAACTTTCTGGAGGAGTCTTTTGGGTTTTCAAAGGAAACAATTCTATCACCAGCAAACAGTGACAGATTGATTTCCTCTTTACCCATTTGGATGTCCTTTATTTCTTTCTCTTGCCTGATTACTCTGGCTAGGACTTCCAATACTGTGTTGAAGAGGAGTGGTGACAGTGGGCATCCTTGTTGTGTTCCAGTTCTCAGAGGGACTGCTTTCAACTTTCCTCTATTCAGTATCATGTTGGCTGTGGGTTTGTCATAGATGGCTTTTATTACACTGAGTTATGTCCCTTGTATGCCGATTTTGCTGAGAGTTTTAATCATAAAGTGGGGCTGGATTTTGCTGAATGCTTTTTCTGCATCAATTGAGATGATCATGTGATTTTTGTTTTTAATTTTGTTTATGTGGTGTATCACATTTATTGACTTGCATATGTTAATCATCCCTGCTCCCTGGTATGTAACCCACTTGATTATGGTGGATTATCTTTTTCATATGTTGTTGGATTCAGTGAGCTGGTATTTTATTAAGGATTTTAGCATCTAAGTTCATCAAGGGTATTGGTCTGTAGTTTGTTTTTTGGTTATGTCCTTTCCTGGTTTTGGTATTAGGGTGATGCTGGCTTCATAGAATGAATTAGGGATCCTTCTTTCTCTGTCTTGTGGAATAGTATCAAAAGGATTGGTACCAATTATTTGAATGTCTGGTAGAATTCTGCTGTGAATCCATCTGGTCCTGAATGTTTTTTTTTGTTGGTAATTTTTCAGTTACCAACCAAATTTGGTAATTTTTCCATTGCAATTTCATTGCTTTTTATTGGTCTGTTCAGGGTATCTAATTCTTCCTGATTTAAGTGAGTGGTGTCGTGTTTTTCAGGGAATTTATCTATCTCTTCTAGATTTTCTAGTTTATGTGCATAAAGGTGTTCATAGTAGCCTTGAATGATCTTTTGTATTTCAGTGGTGTCAATTGTAATATCTCCTGTTTCATTTCTTAATGAGGTTATTTGGATTTTCTCTCTTCTTGGTTAATCTTGCTAATGGTCTACGAATTTTATTTATCTTTTCAAAGAACCAGCTTTTTGCTTCATTTATCTTTTGTATTTTTTTTGTTTCAATTTCATTTAGTTCTGCTCTGATCTTGGTTATTTCCTTTCTTCTGCTGGGTTTGGGTTTAGTTGGTTCTTGTTTCTTAAGTTCCTTGAGTTGTGACCTTAGAATATCAGTTTGTGCTCTTTCAGTCTTTTTGATGTAGGCATTTAGGGCTATGGACTTTCCTCTTAGCACCGCCTTTGCTGTATCCCAGAGGTTTTGATAGGTTGTGTCATTATCACCATTTAGTTCAAAGAATTTTTAATTTCCATAGGTATATAACTTAAAGTATAATAATAATAATAATAGTAATAAAAGAATTTTTAATTTCCACCTTGATTTTGTTTTTGACCCAGTGCTCATTCAGGATCAGGTTATTTAACTTCCATGTATTTGCATGATTTTGAAGGCTCCTTTTGGAGTTGATTTCCTGTTTTATTCCACTGTGCTCTGAGAAAGTGCTTGATATAATTTCAATTTTCTTAAATTTATTGAGGCTCATTTTATGGCCTATTATATGGTCTATCTTGGAGAAATTTCCATGCACTATTGAATAGAATGCGTATTCTGCAGTTGTTGGATGAAATGTTCTGTATAGATCTGTTAAGTCCATTTGTTCCAATGTATAGTTTAAATCCATTGTTTCTTTGTTGGCCTTCTGTCTTGATGACCTGTCTAGAGCTGTTAGTGTAGTATTGAAGTCCCCCACTATTATTGTGGTCGTATCTCATTCCTTAGGTCTACTAGTAATTGTTTTATAAGTTTGGGAGCTCCAGTGTTAGGTGCATATATTTTAGGATTGTGATATTTTCCTGTTGGACAAGGCCTTTTACAATTATATGTCATTCTTTGTCTTTTCAACAGCTGTTGCTGTAAAATTTGTTTTGTCTGATATAAGAATAGCTACCCCTGCTTGCTTTTGGTGTCCTTTTGCAGGAGATGCCTTTTTCCACCCTTTTACTTTAAGTTTATGTGAGTCCTTATGTGTTAGGTGAGTCTCCTGAAGGCAGCAGATAGTTGGTTGGTTTGTTTTTATCCCTTCTGCAGTTCTGTATCTTTTTAAAAATGCTTTACATTCTGGGATACATGTGCAGAACGTGCAGGTTTGTTACATAGGTATACACGTGCAATGGTTGTTTTCTGCACCCATCAACCCATCATCTACATTAGGTATTTATCCTAATGCTATCCCTCTCCTAGCCCCCACTCCACAACAGTCCCCGGTGTGTGATGTTCCCCCTTCTGTGTCCATGTGTTCTCATTGTTCAACTCCCACTTATGAGTGAGAACATGTGCTATTTGGTTTTCTGTTCCTGTGTTAGTTTGCTGAGAATGATGGTTTCCAGCTTCATCCATGTCCCTGCAAAGCACATAAACTCATCCTTTTTTATGGCTGCGTAGTGTTCCGTGGTGTGTGTGTGCCACGTTTTCTTTATGCAGTCTATCATTGATGGGCATTTGGGTTGGTTCCAAGTCTTTGCTATTGTGAACAATGCTGCAATAAACATATGTGTGCATGTGTCTTTATAGTAGAGTGATTTCTAATCCTTTGGGTATATACCCAGTAATGGGATTGCTGGATCAAATGGTATTTCTGGTTCTAGATCCTTGAAGAATCACCACACTGTCTTCCACAATGGTTGAACTAATTTACACTCCCACCAACACTGTAAAAGCATTCCTATTTCTCCACATCCTCTCCAGCATCTGTTGTTTCCTGACTTTTTAATGATCATCATTCTAACTGGCATGAGATGCTATCTCGTTGTGGTTTTGATTTGCATTTCTCTAATGACCAGTGATGATGAGCTTTTTTTCATGTTTGTTGGCCTCATAAATGTCTTCTTTTGAGAAGTGTCTGTTCCTATCCTTCACCCACTTTTTGATGGGGTTGTTTGTTTTTTTCTTGTAAGTTTGTTTAAGTTCCTTGTAGATTCTGGATATTAGCCCTCTGTCAGGTGGCTATATTGCAAAAATTTTCCCCCATTCTGTAGGTTGCCTGTTCACTCTGATGATAGTTTCTTTTGCTGTGCAGAAGCTCTTTAGTTTGATTAGATTCCATTTGTCAATTTTGGCTTTTGTTGCCATTGCTTTTGGTGTTTTAGTCATGAAGTCTTTGCCCATGCCTATGTCCTGAATGTATTGCCTAGGTTTTCTTCTAGGGTTTTTATGGTTTTAGGTTTTAAGTCATTAATCCATCTTGAGTTAATTTTTGTATAAAGTGTAAGGAAGGTGTCCAGTTTCAGTTTTATGCATATGGCTTGCCAGTTTTCCCAACACCCTTTATTAAATAGGGAATCCTTTCTCCATTGCTTGTTTTTATCAGGTTTGTCAAAGATCAGTGGTTTTAGATGTTTGGCATCATTTCTAAGGCCTCTGTTCAGTTCCATTGGTCTATGTATCTGTTTTGGTACCAGTACCATGCTGTTTTGGTTATTGTACCCTTATAGTATAATTTGAAGTCAGGTAGTGTGATACCTCCAGCTTTGTTCTTTTTGCTTAGGATTGTCTTGGCTATACAGGCTCTTTTTGTTCCATATGAAATTTAAAGTAGTTGAAGTGGAGCATTTAGGCCATTTACATGTTAGTATTGAGATGTGAGGTACTGTTGCATTCATTGTGCTATTTGTTGTCTTTGTACTTTTTTTTTTTTGCCTTTTGTTTTGTTTTATAGGTCCTGTGTGATTTATGCTTTAAAGAGGTTCTGTTGTCATGTCTTTCCAGGATTTGTTTCAAGATTTAGAGCTCCTTTTAGGAGTTCTTGTTGTGGTGGCTTGGTAGTGACAAATTCTCTCAGCATGTGTTTGTCTGAAAAAGAATATATCTTTCCTTCATATATGATGCTTAGTTTCGCTGGATACAAAAATCTTGGCTGATAATTGTTTTGTTTGAGGAAACCGAAGATAGGGCCCCAAACCTTTCTAGCTTGTAGGTTTCTGCTGAGAAATCTGCTGTTAATTGGATAGGTTTTCCTTTATAGGTTACCTGGTGCTTCTGTCTCACAGCTGTTAAGATTCTTTCCTTCGTCTTAACTTTAGATAACCCAATGACAATGTGCCTAGGCAATGATCTTTTTGTGATGTATTTCCCAGGTGTTTTTTGTGCTTCTTGTAGTTGGATGCCTAGGTCTTTAGCAAGGCTGGGGAAGTTTTCTTCGATTATCCCCCCAAATATGTTTTCCTAACTTTTAGATTTCTTTTCTTCCTCAGGAATACAGATTATTCTTAGGTTTGATTGTTAAACATAATCCCAGACTTCTTGGAGACTTTGTTCATATTTTCTTATTCTTTTCTCTTTGTCTTTGTTGGATTGGGTTAATTCGAAGACTTTGTCTTTGCGGTCTGAATTTCTTTCTTCTACTTGTTCAATTCTATTGCTGAGACTTTGCAGAGCACTTTGCATTTCTGTAAGTGTGTCAAATGTTTCCTGAATTTTTGATTTTTTTTCTTTATCTATTTCCTTGAATATTTCTCCCTGCACTTCTTGTATTGCTTTTTGAATTTCCTTGCATTGGCCTTCACCTTTCTCTGGCTCCTTCCTGATTAGCTTAATAAGTAACCTGAATACTTTTTCAGGTAAATCAGGGACTTATTCTTGGTTTGGATCCATTGCTGGTAAACTAGTGTGATTTTGTTTTTTTTTTTTTAAAGAGCCTTGTTTTGTCATATTAGCAGAGTTGTTTTTCTGGTTCCTTCTCATTTGGGTAGGCTCTGTCAGAAGGAAGGTCTAGGGCTGAAGGCTGTTGTTCAGATTCTTTTCTCGCATGGGGTGTTCCCTTGATGTAGTACTCTCCCCCTTTTCCTATGGATGTGGCTTCCTGTGAGCCAAACTGCAGTGATTGTTGTCTCTCTTCTGGGTCTAGCCACCCAGCAAGTCTACCTGGCTCTGGGCTGGTACTGGGAGTTGTCTGCATAGAGTCCTGTGATATGAACCATCTATGGGCCTCTCAGCCATGGATACCAGCACCGTTCCAGTGAAGGTGGTGGGGGAAGGGAGGTGAAGTGGACTCCAGGAAAGTTCTTAGCTTTTGTAGTTTAATGCTCTATTCTTGTGCTGGTTTGGCCTCCTGCCAGGAGGTGGTGCTTTCCAGAGAGCATCAGCTGTGGTAGGATGGAGAGGAACCAGTGGTGGGTGGGGACCTAGAACTCCCAAGATTATATGCCCTTTGTCTTTAGCTACCTGGGTGGGTAGGGAAGAACCATGAGGTGGCAGCAGGGCTAGGCATGTCTGAGCTCAGACTCTCCTTGGGTGGGTTTTGCTGTGGCTGCTGTGGGGAATAGGGGTGAACTTCCCATGTCAATGGAATTGTGTACCTAGGAGGATTAGGGCTGCCTCTGCTGAGTCATGCAGGTTGTCCAGGGAAGTGGGGGAAAGTCAGCAGTCAAAGGCGTCATGCAGCTCCTATGCAAATCGAAGGGCTGATCTCATTCCAACTGTGCCCCAAATAACAACCCTGAGTCTGTTTCCAGGCAGTGGGTGAGCTGGGCATGAGAACTTGCCCCAGGCTACCTCTTCCAGCTGTGAAAGAAAAGGGCTTCAGTTCTTCCCCAGGCTGTGGAGTCTGCACACTGGATTCATGACCTCCCCCAAGTTCTGGCCAGGAAGCTTCTTGCCCAATTCAAATTGTTGCAAAGTTCAGCTGGAGATTTCCTTCTTCCTGTGGCATTTTCCTGTTGCTCCTCTGGCCACCCTCCCAATGGATCCGTGTGGTCCCTGGCAGGAATGTCTTGCTTGGGGACCGAGTGAGCTCTTAGAGCCTTTCTGCTGCTTCCTCTACCCCTGTATTTTACTCAGCTCTCTAAATTGACTCAGTGCCAGGTAAGGTTGGAAACTTCTCCCACAAACAGAGCTTCAGTTTCTTCAGTAGGGATGTGTGTTAAGGAGAGGAGGATCTCCCCTTTCCACTTCCACAGTTGGGGCACTCACAGTATTTGTGGTGTCTCCCGGGCCCTGCGGGAGCAGTATGCTTCTTTCAGAGGTCTGTGGGTCCTCTTGGGATTGCTGGTTTGTTCTTGCCATTGATATGGAGAAAAAATTCACAGTGTGACCCTCCACAGGCTGCTCTGTCTGTCCGAGTTGGAGCTGCAATCTAGTCCTGCCTCCCGTCTGCCATGATGATTTCTAGATGTCTTTTCTTTTCTTTGTGTCATCTTCATTTTATTTTATCAGTGTTTTCTAGTTTTCAGTGTAGAGTTCTTCTTTCACCTCTTTCATTAAATTTGTTCCTTAAATATTGAATTTTTTGGTGGCTATGGTGAATAGGATTGCTATCTTGATTTCTTTTTCTGCTAATTTTTATTGGTATATAGAAATGCTATTAATTTTTGTATGTTGATTTACTAAATTTGTTTATAATTTCTAAGAGTTTTTTTATGAAGTTCTTAGCTTTTTCTTTATTTCAGATTGTAATGTCTCCTTTTTTGTTTTTGCTTTCATTTATTTGGGTTTTCTTTCTTTTTTTCATAGTCTAGCTAATGGTTTGTTGCTTTTGTTTATCTTTTCAAAAAGCCAAGTTTTTGTTTTGCTGTCCTTTTCTATCTTTTTCTCTATTTCATTTAGCTCCTCTCGTTTTTTATTATTTATTTTCTTCTACTAATTTTGATTTTGGTTTGTTCTTGCTTTTCTGATTCCTTAGGTGCATTTCCAGGTTGTTTATGTGAAACCTTTCTACTTTTTTGATGTAGTGTTTGTTACTATAATCTTCCCTTTTAATATTGCTTTTGCTTATCACATAGGTTTGGTATGTTTTGTTTCCATTTTCATTCATTTCAAAAACTTTTTTGATTTCTCCCTTGATCCAATGGTTGCTCAGGATGTTTTTAAATTTCCATGTATTTGCATAGTTTCCAAAGTTGTTCTTGTTTTTGATTTTTATTTTTATTCTATTGTGGTCTGAGAAGATACTTGATATGCTTTTGATTTTTAAAAATTTATTGAGGCTTGCTTTATGGCCTAACATGTGGTCTTTCCTGGAGAATGTTGCATGTATTGATGAGAAGAGTGTGTATTCTGCATCGGTTGGATAAAGTGATCTGTAGATGTCTGTTAGGTCCATGGCCTACAGTGTGGTTGAAATCCAATGGTTCTTTTTTGACTTTCTGTCTAGATGACCAGTCCAATGCTGAAAGTAGGGTGTTAGAGTCTCCAACTATTGTTTTGGCATCTATCTTTCCCTTTAAATCTAATAATATTTGCTTTATATCTTGGTGCTCCAGTGTTGAGTGCATATATATTTGTAATTGTTATATTCTTTTGCTGAGCTGATCCCTTTGTGATTATATAATGACCTTCTTTGTCCCTTTTTACTGTTTTTGACTTACAGTCTGTCTTATTTGATATAAGTATAGCTACACCTGCTTGCTTTTGGTTTCCATTTATGTGGAATATCTTTTTTTCATCCTTTCACTTTCAGTCTACATGTCTTTACAGGTGAAGTAAGTTTCTTGTAGGAAGGATATAGTTGGATCATGTTTTTAAAAATCCATTCAGCCAATCTGTGTTTTCAGTGGGGAATTTAATCTGTTTATGTTCAAGGTTATTGTTGATAGGTGAGAATTTATTTCTGTCATTTTGTTTATTATTTTCTGTTTTTTTGTATATGTTTTATTCCTTTCTTTCTCCCTTGTTGTTTATAATTGTGATTTGAATGTTTTCTGTAGTGGCAATATTTTAGTCGTTTCTTTTCTCATTTGTACATCTTTTCTACCAGTGAGTTTTATACTTTCATGTGTTTTCATGATGCTAAATATTCTTTCACTTCCAGATGTAGGGCTCCCTTAAGCATTTGTTTTAGGACTAGTCTAGAGGTGATCAATTCCCACAGTGTTTTCTTGTCTGGGAAAAGCCTTGTATCGCCTTCATTTTGGAAGAATAGCTTTTCTGAGTATAGTATCCTTGACTGCTAGATTTTTTTTTCTTTTTCAGTAATTTGAATATATCATCCCATTCTCCTGGTCTGTAAGGTGTCTGCTGAGAAACACACTTTTAGTCTGATGGGGGTTCCCTTTCAAGTGACTACATGCTTTTCTCTTGCTGCTTTTAAAAAATCTCTCTTTGTCTTTCACTTTTGACATTTGACTATAATGTACCTTGATGAAAACCTTTTTGGTTAGATCTATTAGGTTGGTGCAAGAGCAATTGTGGTTTTGTCATTAAAAGTAATAGCAAAATCCCAATTTCTTGTACTTTCTCTGTCTTTTTTTTTACTTTAAGTTCTGGGATACACGTGTGGAATGTGCAGGTTTGTTACATAGGTATACATGTGTCATGGTGGTTTGCTGCATCTATCAACACGTCATCTAGGCTTTAAGCCCCTCATGCATTAGGTATTTGTCCTACTGCTCTCACTGCCCTTGCCCCCAATCCCCTGACAGGCCCCAGTGTGTGATGTTACCCTCCCTGTGTCCATGTGTTCTCATCGTCAGCTCCCACTTATAAGTGAGAACATGTGGTGTTTTGTTTTCTGTTCCTGTGTTAGTTTGCTGAGAATGATGGTTTCCAGCTTCATCCATATCCCTGCAAAGCACATGAACTCATCCTTTGTTATGGCTGCATAGTATTCCATGGTGTATATGTGCCACATTTTCTTTATCCAGTCTATCATTGATGGGCATTTGGGTTGGTTCCAAGTCTTTGCTATTGCAAATAATGCTGCAATAAACATAAGTGTGCATGTGTCTTTATAGTAGAATGATTTCTAATCCTTTGGGTATATGGCCCATAATGGGATTGTTGGGTCAAATGGTATTTCTGGTTCTAGATCCTTGAAGAATCACCACACTGTCTTCCACAATGGTTGAACTAATTTATGCTCCCACCAATACTGTAAAAGCGTTCTCATTTCTCTACCTCCTCTCCAGCATCTGTTGTTTCCTGATTTTTTAATGATTGCCATTCTAACTGGCATGAGACGCTGTCACATTGTGGTTTTGATTTGCATTTCTCTAATGACCTGCGATGATGAGCTTTTTTTCATGTTTGTTGGCCTCATAAATGTCTTCTTTTGAGAAGTGTCTGTTCATATACTTTGCTCATTGTTCATGGGGTTGTTTGTTTTTTTCTTGTAAATTTGTTTAAATTCCTTGTAGATTCTGGATATTAGAACTTTGTTGGATGAATAGATTTCAACAATTTTCTCCCATTCTCTAGGTTGTCTGTTCACTCTGATGATGGTTTCTTTTGCTGTGCAGAAGCTCTTTAGTTTGATTAGATCCCATTTGTCAATTTTGGCTTTTGTTGCAATTGCTTTTAGTGTTTTAGTCATGAAGTCTTTGCCCATATCTATGTCCTGAGTGGTATTGCCTAGGTTTTCTTCTAGGGTTTTTATGGTTTTGGGTGTTACATTTAAGTCTTTAATCCATCTTGAGTTAATTTTTGTATAAGTTGTAAGGAAGGAGTCCAATTTCTGTTTTCTGCATATGGCTAGCCCATTTTCCCAGCACCATTTACTAAATAGAGAATCATTTCCTCATTGCTTGTTTTTGTCAGGTTTGTCAAAAATCAGATGAAAACTCCAATTTCTTTTGCACCAACCCAATATTTGTGGATCTTTGAGCTTCCTATATCTCTTGTAAGACTTGAGAAGTTTTTAGCTACTATTGTATTTTATAAGTTATCTATGCCTTTCTCATCTTTTCTTCTGGAATGCCCAAAATTCAAATATTTGGTGGTTTTATGGTGTCTCATGTCTTACATAGCTTTCTTCATTTTTTTTTTTTTGTTCTGAGTTATTGCAAAAGACCTGTCTTTGAGTTCAGAAATTCTTTCTCACGCTTGATCTAGTCTATTGTTAAGGCTTTCAGTTCTTTTTTTTTTTTTTAAATTTTGCTCATTGAATTGTTAAGTTGCAGGATTTCTGTTTGGTTCTTCTTTATGATAATTATCTGTTTGTTAAATTTCTCATTTAGATAATGAGTCATTATTCTGATTTCTTTGTATTGTTTATTTATGCTCTCTCATGTATCACTGAGCTTCTTAAAGATCATTAAGTTTAATTCTTTTTCAGGCATTTCATAGATGTCTTTTTTGTTGGAATCTGTTGCTGGATAATTATTCTGTTATCTTGGGGTGTTATGTTTCTTTGCTTTTTCATGTTTCATGTGTTCTTACATTGGTATCTACATATCTGGTATAACAGCCACTTTTTCCAATTTTATGGATTGGCTTTCATAGAACAATGTCTTTTCCTTATAGGTGTATCTACAGTGGTGGCTGGGTAAAGCACTTTGGCTTTGATTCTGGGAAGAGGCAGTAGTGTAGTCTCTGTGTGATTTCTTTGGGTATAATCAGTATCAGTGGTGCCTGTGAGTTCCTGAGTATCTTAGGCTGCAGTTATTAGTGGAGGCTACGGTAAAACTTTTCTCAAATGGGGACACCAGGTGGGCTGGTCTTTGGGCACCAGTGGTGGCAGTGGTGGGTTGGATATGCTGATCTTTGGGCCCCTGGGCAGTTACTTGAGCATTGATGGTAGTGGGTTTTTTCAGGTCAATTATTAAGCCTCCAGATGGCTTGCTTGGGTGCCAGCAGTGGCAGCAGTGGGCCAGGTCTTGGTGATGGACCCAAGGCAGGAGGGTCCTTGGGTCTCTGGGTGGTTTGTTTGGCATTTGTGATGGCAGTAGCAGTGTCAGGCCAACCCTTAGCCTCCCACAAAGCATGTGCATATGTTAGTGGTGGCAGTAGTAGGCTGGGTGGGCTAGTCCTCAGGCCCTTAGGTGGCATGTGCAAGTGGTTGATGGCAGTGGTGGTGGCAGCCGAATGGGCAGGCCTGTCCTCTGGCTCCTGGTAGGTGTGCATAGGGGTGCCAGTGGTGGTGGGAAGAATGGGTCAATCTCTGGGACCCAGATGATGTGTGTGAGTGCTGTTAGGCTGTGTGGGGATGATCTCAGTCTCCCAGAAGGTGTGCATGGGAGCCTGTAGTAGCAGGAGGGGCAGGTCCATCTGTAGACACCTGGATGATGCATGTGGTCACTGATAGGGGCTGTGCCAGCCAAAATAGTCCTGTCCTCAAGTCCTCTGATGATATGTGCTGGTGCAGACTGCAATGGGTGGGGTGGGTTGATATCCAGGCCCCCAGATGGTGCACTTGAGTGGCAGCAGAGGTGATGGTAGCAGCAATGGGTAGGGTGGGCCTGTCCACAAGCCCTGGGACAGACTCCATGTGGGCCAGTCCCCAGGACCCTAGAAGTGGCACTGCTGTATGGGTTGGGGAGGGTGGCGATACAGGGTTGCTGTCAGTGGCAGTGGTCCCAGGCAGATGGCTCTCAGGCTCTGAGGAACATGTGCTTTGGCTCACTTTGTCTCAGGGACAGGCTTATGCTGAATTCTTATGTTCTGTCTTAGAAATACTATTTGATACGTGATTATCTACCTACTGTTGTAGTCTTTCTTTGTGGAGGAAGCAAGTGCTGGCTGCCTCTAGCCAGCTATCTTTATCACCTAATATTAAATGGAAAAAGTAGAGTGTAAAACTATACAATTTGACACGAATTTGACAGAATTGTGGGAAAAGGGCAATAATCAGAACAACAATTTTATGTGATTCTTATTTTCACTTTATATTATTGATTTTTTTCTATAATGGAAATATATTCGTTTTATAAGCAGGAGAAGAAATGTAGAGCACATGATCCTTATAAACAGTAAACACCATTAAGCATTTTGATAGAGACAAGCCAGCAGTTTGGCAAAATAATTTCCTTTTCTTCTGAGGGAAGAAATGTAGTTCATTTCATTGATGAGCTACGTTGTCCACCTCACTTGGGGTTAGGTGTGGCTGTGTGATTGTTGCAGTAAATGAACGTGAGTGGAAATGATGTGGGCACCTTCCAGACCTGGCCCAGAACACACTCCTATGCCTGATCATCTAGGCTTTTCCTCTTCCATGGTTTGATGCAGAAGAAGTTGGGGAAGGATCTTTAGAGAACTGAGCCTGGATCTCTTAATCCTGGGCTGACCATGTAATTTGTTGGCCAAACTGGAACACGTAAGAATAAAAGGATGCAACTGTTCACTGGGAATATTCATTTTGTACTGTGTGTGGGCAAGATACCAACTTCGGCCGGGCGTGGTGGCTCACACCTGTAATCCCAGCGCTTTGGGAGGCCGAGACGGGCGGATCACGAGGTCAGGAGATTGAGACCATCCTGTCTAACACGGTGAAACCGCATCTCTACTAAAAATACAAAAAATTAGCCGGGCGTGGTGGCGGGCGTCTGTAGGCTCAGCCACTCAGGAGGCTGAGGCAGGAGAATGGCGTGAACCCGTAAGGCGGAGTTTGCAGTGAGCCGAGATCGTGCCACTGCATTTCAGCCTGAGCGACGGAGCGAGACTCTGTCTCAAAAAAACAAACAAACAAAAAAAGAACAGAAATCAACTTCTGTTGTGCTAGTCACTGAAATTCTGAAGCTTATTTGTTATAATAGGGTTATCTTAATTCACACATGTACAAACTTAAGCCAACCTTTTTCTCATATGGAATATTGTTAAAAAATAAAGTTAATATAATAATCGTAAAATTTAAAAAGTTGAATACATTACAAAATAGAAAGAAGAATCATGTCAGCCTTAATCCTACCACCCAGCTGACAGTTAACAGAGATGTACTTTCACCCAGATTGTTTCTTTGTATATTTTTACATAGATGTGACTAAAATATATTTATTTTTGAATCATATATTTTAAATTAACATAAACATTTTCCTCATTTTATTAAAAATCTATTAGTGAATATCATTTTAAAATGTTATTCATATCTAATAAACAGACTTTTAATTTACTAAATAATACATAAAAGTTATAGAAAAATTAAGAAAATAGATACATAGGAAGCAAAAATGCCTACAGGAAAAAGGTGTATATAAGCATGGCCAACTGTGATGGTTCATACCTGTAATACCAGCACTTTGGGAGGCCGAGGCAGGTGGATCACCTAAGGTCAGGAGTTTGAGACCAGCCTGGCCAATGTGGTGAAACCCCCTCTTTACTGAAAATACAAAAAATTGGCTGGGGGTGGTAGCACATGCCTGTAATCCCGGCTACTTGGGAGGCTGAGGCAGGAGAATCACTTGAACCACAGTGACCCGAGATCACACCACTATACTTCAGCCTGGGTGACAGAGCGAGACTCTGTCTCAGGGAAAAAGAAAAAAAGAAAAAAAGTGTATATAAGCACAAATTTAATTGTAGTATATACCAATCTATAATCTAGTTTTAGCATAAACATACCTGGTGAATATTCTTCCATGTGACAAAATGTAGTTATATATCGTAACTTCAGGGATTTCATAGTGTTTAATAATATGCAGCTTTAAAAAATGAATCCCCCAATTAGTGCTGGATATTTGCATTGTTTCTAAGATTTTACTTGTATACCAAGGTTGTTATAAGGAAAAACTGTGTTCAGTTTTCTTTGTGTGGTTGATGGCTAGGTCAAATACTTTTTTTTCCACATAAAATCCAGCTCCTGCAGGTCAAAGAATCTCTTTTCTTTTTTGGATCTTTGTGTACAAGCCGTGAAAATACCGTTTTCTCAATGCTTATACTGAATCTGAATATTATCATTTTTGTAAATCCTTCCCAATCAGATAAGCAAAAGTTATTATTTTAATTTGTATTGATTAATTATTTTCCAAATGTTTACTTTTTTCCAAATGTTTATGAGTTTTTTTTTTAAAAATGAACTTGCCTATTAATGTTGTTAGCCTAGTTTTTTATAGCTGTGGATAATGTAGATGTTAATGGCTGCAAAATGGATATGTTGAATGCATGATATTTTACCATTTCCCTATTTTGGACATGAATACTGATTCTAATATGGGCTCTATTATTAAATAATGTTGCAATGAACATATTTATGAATAACCTTCACACACACAACACACACACACACTCTTCAGATCTTACATAGGATAAAGTCCCATGCTCAATGTCAAGTGTTTCTGTTAGATCTAAGAGGGAAGACTGACCCACCAGGCACTCTCTTACTAGGGTCCTTTGGCCCTGGTGGCAGAAATCTTTGGTCACTCTGCCGCTGTCTTTGGCTTACACCCTGGGACTCCATAGAGCTCTACTTGGCTGGTTTTTTGGGGTCTTTGTGCTTCTTCTATGTGATGGCCCCCTGACTCTTACGTGTGCTGCTGGTCACTTGCTTATCTCTGCATATATTGACTCCTCTCTCACCTGTGCTGCTGCCAGTACTGCTTCCCAGGGAAAGGCTTGGGAGATAGACATCATGACAGCCTTATGTGAAAAATAAGTCTATTTGTTTTTCCTCTTATTTTTCAATGTGCTGGATTTTTTCCCTGTATGCGTGTGATTTATTTGTTATTCTTTTCAGTGAAGTTTCTACTTTTTTCAGTGTTGGTCCCATTTGTTTCAGTGTTTGCCAGCTATTGTGAGTTTACAGTGTTCTGTCACATTTAACTCATTAGCAGTACTATTTGAGAGATCAGGATCCTAAATAAAGTCAACGGGGTCACTATTATATTAACTGTCTCACACTTGAACTGTAGCATTTCTTAAGTTTGTGGACTGAGGTTAATGTCTTCTATATGCAGAATAAACAAAGCCAAGGCTGCTCTGGTTGTCTTCTTCCTTCCTTCCTGATATAATTTGGCTCCGTGTCCGCACCCAAATTTCACCTTGAATTGTAATAATCCTCACATGTCGTGGGAGGGACCCAGTGGGAAGTTATTGAATCGGGGGGGCCAGTTTTTCCTGTGCTGTTCTCGTGATAGTGAATAAGTCTCACGAGATCTGATGGTTTTATAAAGGGGAGTTCCCTGCACAAGTTCTCTTGCCTGCCGCCATGTAAGACATGACTTTGCTTTTAATTCACCTTCCGCCATGATTGTGAGGCCTCTCCAGCCATGTGGAATTGTGAGTCAACTAAACCTCTTTCCTTTATAAATTACCCAATCTCAGGTAAGTTCTTATTAGCAATGTGAGAACAGACTAATACACTTCCACACCTCTGGACACAGACTCCACTGAGCATAGATTAAAAACTTTAGGACCTGAGAATCTCCAAGTCTCTTCTAATTTCACACACTGTCCTTCTGGAATCAAGCCAGATCATGCATGTGAGGCTGTAATGAACACTACAGGTAGAATATAGATAATTTAATTATTTTTAAAACAAGATTTCTTGTAGATTATAAATACAGATCCGTTTGTGCCAAACTGACCTGCCTGGTAGAAGCAGAGGAACCAGGAGAATTGAGATGAAACTTTTTATCATTGTAAAATTTCCAAAAGCAGGGACAGGGCCTATTATATGCCTGGCACAAAGAGAGAGATCAGCAAGTATTAGTCTATTGATAACTGGCATAGTGTTACTTCCAGCCCAGTGGCCCTGGAGCCCTCTGGTGCACAGCTGCCATAACCCCAGATTGCCAACAGGGGGAGTCTGGGTCTGAAGCCAGGCTAGGCTGAAAGATGTTGAGGCTGCTGGGTGGCTCCCCAGAAGGTGATGCCTGAGACCCTGGGGAAAGCTGCACTGGACTGAGGGCCTCAGCTAGCCCTGCCCAGGTGGAAGGTGAGAGCTGGCTCCTCTGATCAGCATCAGGTGGGCTGGCAGCCGAGGTCTGGCTGGGACAAGCAGTAGAGAAGAATTCACACAGAGCTGGGAACTCTGTTAGGGACATGAGAGAGAGGCTGGCTTCAGAACAGGGTGATCTAGAAGGGAAAGAAACTGGTAGCCAGGGCACTTGGGTGAAAAACTCTTGGGAGCTGGGAAGGCCGGCCAGGAAGGAAGAAGGTTGACTGAGCTCAGGGCTGGGCCCAGGGCAGGGAAGAGGGACCTAGGTGCAGAGGAGCATCTCAACCTCCTAAGCTGCAGGCAGACCTGGCTGTGGGAGAAGCCTGCCCCCATTGGAGGGACAGGCCCTGAAAATAGGAAACTGAGTACTCATGGCATGGCCCCTGGCCTTCTGAGTCCCTGGAGTTATTTCCTTTCCACTGCCCTGCTCCATTCTCTGCTACGTTGTTAGGGGAGTAGGTAGTTGGTTTAGAGACGATAAGAAATTCCTAACGTCCAGAGAGGTTTATTTTTTTTTGTGAAGGGAGAGGGGTGAAGATTGTTTGTTTATAATGGAGTTCAAACCAGCTCTAACAGAGGGTTCAGTATCAAAGACATGTGATTGAGAAATTAGTGAAAAAACTGTACAGCATGGGGTTTAGGGAGGAGGGAGGGCTGGGGGAGAAAGGAAGAAGCAAAAGCCAGAACTGACAGCAGACGGCTGCCTGGAGCAGTGTTGTTGCATATTGAAGATGGTTCAGTGAATAAATAAGACTTCAGTCATATTTACACCAGAGATCCATTTATTACAGTCCTGCAACCCCGACTGCCCACCCCTTGGGGATTCTTGCCTCTGTCCCAGAGATGGTCAGGCCCAGAGGAAGGTTAGTCTCATGCCTGCTGTTAGAGGCGCTTCATTGTTCTCTTTATCCAGGGCAGGAAGTGTGAGACCTTGATGTAGACTCCTGGAGGTGTCCCTTTTTTGTTTCCATAGGAGAGAATACCTTGGGCTACGTCCTTACACACGAGGGGCCCCCCGGAGTCCCCCTGTGAACAGAGAGAGGAAAGACTGAGCTAGTGTTCCCTGGGATGGGTGGTCTCTGTTATGGATTTTGTGTGACATCAGTGCCAGGCAGGCCTTGTCACTCACCTCCCTCAGTCCTGGGTCTCCAGCATGGCCCTGGCTGTGCTTTCTGGCTCTCCCCAGACCAAGCCTTTCTCTGCAATTCTCACGGACACTTTGGTGATAAGTGACTGTCGGATGACAGATCCTTCCCCTCCAGCCACCCCAGTCCACCCAAGGAGTGGACTAAAGACTAGATTCCAGGGGGACACAGGCTGCCCAAGCTCTGGGCTGAGAGCATAAAGATCTGGCCACTGTCATACCCCAGAACTCCCTCAAGTTCCTCTCTCCCTGTGGTCTTTCTGGGTAGAGGCTGGAAACCCAACCTTGAAACCGGTCTGTGTCTTCTTTGGATCCCCCACACAAATCTCAGTGGCTCTGCTGTAATTGCCATGGAAGAGACGTTCACACTGGCAGTCCTTCTGCACTGTCAGCAACACTTCCTGCAGTGTGGTTGCTAAAGTGCTCATTGAGACATAACCCCAGCCAGCCACACTGCACAGCTGCCCTGGCTTCACCTGGGCCTTGCTGCTAGGTAGCCTGAGAGGCCGCACAGCTGTGGTCCACTTGGCCTTTCTCTCCAGCTGGTGGGGAAGAAGCAAGAAAGTCCAGGTCAGGCAATGGCCTTCTGGGCCCCGACACAGTGATGGGGCTGCACAATCTTCCCTCTCCTCTAAGGCACAGGAACTGACCAAGAGGTCAGGATGGAAAGGAGGAAAGGGCCGGCATCCCAGTGGGAGTGGAACCAACTGGACCAAGAAGAGCAAGAGTGGCAGGAGTGTGCCTCACCTGCAGTAGCATGATGTCGTTGGAGAAGTTCTTAGGATTATAGGCTGGATGGGGGATGGGTCTTTTCACAGGGATAAACTGCTGGGTCCGCTCCTGTTCCTTGATATTGTGGGCCCCCAAGGTGACATTTATGGAGCTGCACAGAGAGCAGAGTGAGGATGGGGGTGGAGTCACAGGGGATAGAGCCCAGGAGCAGTGAAGAGCAGATGACAGCTGTGGCAGGGTAGGGCTGCAGCTGAGGGGAAGTTGAAGGGACAGGAGGGCTCCAGGGCTGAGTGACTGTGCCCTCTACTTCACAAAGACATGAAGAGTAGGGCTTCTGGGGGCTCTCTCTTGCCTTCAGGAAATATCATGAAATTGCTCGAGTTTGCATTTTGATCCTTAATGCATGGATTCAACCTTTACTACTGCCTTATTGGGCCAGTGTGTGAAACCATGCCACTTGCTCTGACCTCTGACCCTCTGACCCTCTGACCCTGTCCTATTTCTCAGCCTTTCATCATCTTAGTCCTATTCCCAGGTGGCTGCTCCGATGAGCTTTCATGGGCTTGTGTTACCAGGAACTCTGGAAGCTCCCCTGGGCTGCAGTCCCCAGGAGAAAACAAGGGTCCCTGTAGGGGGAACTCAGGAGGTGAGCTGGTGCTGCTCCTTACCTTCCCTGGCAGTGAGCAGCTGTCAGCACAAAGTCCTTTCTCACTAGGATGCCGCCACACCTCTTCCGACTCTTCTCTTGCAGAAACTGAACAAAGGCCATGTAGGGGCGGGAGTGGGGCTTGGCCTCATGGCCCCCGATGATCTCCTCTGAAAGGAAAGACTGGAAGATAAAGTAGCTGGGGATGGCTGCAGTCAGGAGAGAAGGCTTAGGACGACAGTGATTGAGGGTGAAGTGTTTTGTGTGCTGCAGACAGTGAGGGAGGGGTCCTCCTGAGCTCTGCAGGCAGTACTCCTTGCAGGCAGAGCAAGCTTTTCTGAACTTTAAGTCTCAGAACCTTCTCTCAGAAAGAATGGACAGTGCTTGACTTCTGCATCCTACTGCAGAAACACACATGGAGGAAGAAAGATCTATTTTCACAGTGGTAGAGCCCCAGAGGATCCTGGACAGGACTTCCCAGGCTCCTCCTTTTTAGTGAGTCTCTCTGATTCCTCTGAGCCTCTGCTGTCCTCCTGATTGGTGCCATTTTCTAATGATCTACCCATGAGCTTCTGGAGTTGGATTTTCTAAAATTCTCATGTGCCAGGGCTGAACACATTCTAGGTTCTCAGTAAGTGTTGTTTGGTGCATAAATGAATAGCCTCCAATTAGCCTTTGGCTGAGGTTTAGTGGGGGTAGTGCTGGTGGGATTCAGGACCTCAGGGATGTTAGAGGGGGTTATCACCAGGTCAGTGGAGTAGCTGAGGGCCTGCAAAGGCAGAAGGAAGTGGAGAAATCAACTAAAAATGAATCGCAAAGCCCAGGTGGAGCCAAGGTAATGGGAGAGCTATGGACACAGTCATCTTGCCATCTCTGAGATCAGTTGCACCATGGGCTTCCCTCCTGGCAGGGGTGACTGGGTGGGGGCACTGAATAAGTGGTTCTTAAGCTGAGTCCAGTAACAACTCCTATGACTGCAACTTGGTGTCTGAGCTCCTCTTTCCTGGGTTGGAGTGTAGAGTAATAATTACTTATCTTTTTTAGCTTCACATTCCCTACCAAATGCCTTTCTAAGAACAATCCACACTCCAGGTCATAAAGGAGAGGTCTAGGGAGAGGCTAACACCCATTAAACCTTTTAGGGAACACCCTTCATTTTTCGATCTTTGCTGAGTGTCTATCTAGCCTCAGATTTATAAGTCTGGGTGTGGAATGGGAGGTGGGCTCAGATTGAGGAAAATTCCTGACCAGTGCTCATGGGTACAGGGTATCTTATAAGATGGGTTCAGGCCTCTGGAATAGGGATAGTCACTTACCTGTCCCAGCCCCAGGGGTCAGAAGAAAGGCCAACAGGAGGAGGAATGGCTGCATTTTCTCAGGAAGGCTGCCCAGGTCAGAGCTGTTGGTGTTGACTCCTTCCAGAAACAAATGCTGGAGGGAGATGAAGGAGGGATGGGTACAGTAAACTCAGAGACCTCCTAGACTTGTCCCCTTCTGGTTTTGATGGGTGTCATTATAGAAGGTGGTTTATTAAAATTATCTGGTTTGGTTTAAGTTGACATGGCACTGTCACATTTACACCCCTGCTGCTGAGTAACAAGGTGAAAGCAAGAATAAAGAACAAGGAGGTGGAGCTGTTGAAGCTGTGGCTGCAGCTAGCAGAAAGGCTGGTACTGCAGAAGCTCCTCAGTGACTGAGAACCAAGAATGTCTCCTTTTCTCAGTTCTTGGCTCTTTTTCTACTCAGATAAAATCATGAATAATTATTTAGCAAGCCAGATCCAGGGATATGAGAGACATGGCTCTTGCCCTTGAAGAATTGATGGTTAGCAAGAGTAGACTGAAAATCTGGGGTTAGAGCACAAGATGGTAAGGGCCGTGGTGGGGAAATCTGCCTGTTGGTGTGAGACGGAGGCTGGACTTGCCTTAGCAGTATGCAGAGTTGCACACACCCAACAAATACTGCAAATGGCAACCCATTCCTATCTTACCACTATCTCAGATTCATATTTTTGGGATATTTAGAATCCCCTCTTTAAATATAAATATTCTGTGACAAAGATAACTTTTTTTATTCCACAGTTCTGCACAAAAGTTCTGGACTTGATATTTATTGAACCAAAATGAGTCATCATTGGGTCCACTGAAGTGTAGTGGACTGATTGCTTTATGCTTTGGTTATTTAGCCCTCCTTAAGCTGAGGTGGGGACTGTTCCACTCCATCTATGGTGCTTATGAATGAGGAGGGGATTTCCCTTGAGAAATGCTAGTTGTTGTTGCCAGGTGATGGAAAAATGGATGCTGATCATCCTGATAATAATTGTTCACTAAGGCCGGGCGCGGTGGCTCATGCCTGTAATCCTAGCACTTTGGGAGGCCAAGACGGGTGGATCACGAGGTCAGGAGATCGAGACCATCCTGGTTAACATGGTGAAACCCCATCTCTACTAAAAATACAAAAAATTAGCCGGGCGTGGTGGCGGGCTCCTGTAGTTCCAGCTACTTGGGAGGCGGAGGCAGGAGAATGGCGTCAACCCAGGTGGAGCTTGCAGTGAGCTGAGATCGCGCCACTGCACTCCAGCCTGGGTGACAGAGCGAGACTCCATCTCAAAAACAAACAAACAAACAAACAAAAAACTGTCCACTAAGTATTCTCTCAGTTTCCAGAGAGCCATGTCTCTGATGTCCCTTGGCTCACAGTCATAGGCTGTCCATAAACAAAAATGTGTATATATACATATGTTTGTATATTTATGTATATGAATATATATAAATATATATGTATAGTTAAGTAGGAACATGTAAATGATAAAATTAAACTTACCAAAAATTCTACCACCGGAGATCATTATTAATGCTTAAGCATGTTTCCTTCTACTATTTTTCTAGGTATTTATAAGGTGCTATTCCTGCTATTACTTTAACAGAACTGGGATAGGACTTTAGGTGATAGACTTTTTTGTGATGAATTTTCCAGGTGTTCTTTGAGCTTCTTGTATTTGGATGTCTAGGTATCTAGCAAGGACAGGGGAGTTTTCTTCAATTATTTCCTCAAATAAGGTTTTCAAGCTTTTAGATTTCTCTTCTTCCTCAGGAACACCAATTATTCTTAGGTTTGACTGTTTAACATAATCCCACATTTCTTGGAGGCTTTGTTCATTTTTTAAAAATTATTTTTTCTTAGTCTTTGTTTGATTGGGTTAATTTGAAAGCATTGTCTTTGCGCTCTGAAGTTTTTTCTTCCGCTTGTTCTAGTCTAGTGTTGAAACTTTCCAGTGGATTTTGTATTTCTCTAAGCATGGCTTTCATTTCCAGAAGTTGTGATTATTTTTTCTTTATGATATCTATTTCTCTGGGGAATTTTTCACCCATATCCTATATTTATGTATATATATATTTTTTAATTTTTAAAGTTGTTTTTTCACCTTTCTCTGGTATCTCCTTGAGTAGCTTAATGATCTTCTGGATTGTT